>NC_000005.10:77609807-78859807 GCF_000001405.40 Homo sapiens | reverse complement strand
GAGGAAAGCAGCCAGCATTCGGGGTGAGAGGAGGCACAATGGTGCCTCTCTAAGGACAGTTCATGGAAGATCATCACTCTTTTTTTTTTGTTTGTTTAGCATAGCCCCTGAGTCCCATCATTCGATGGAGGCAAAGCAAATCCATCTTCTTCTACTTTCTTTGGGATCATGTTTTGATTCTTATGGCAGAATCCAAGAATGTGTTGTTCGTCTCTTCAGCATTGGCATTAGTGAAAATCCCCTTGGGACTTTGGCATATGGTCTTCTCTTTAGTTTCCAACGCTGTTGCCAGTTTTCATCTTTTTGTAATTCTTCGTGGATATTAAAATGGAAATTGGAAGAAAGGCATATTAGTCCCTGAAGTTTATCCTGAATTAACCCAGAAGTCCTACCAATTATTTTTTAGTAATGAATAGGAAAAGATTATATTAAGGGTATGATTCAGTGATTTTTGATTACTTTTTTCTCTAGACTACTTAAAAAACTTAATAAACCTTCTTAATAACAATCTATATGAAAAATATCTTTCCATATATAACTCTAGACCCAGTGAATTCAACTTACATATTTCCTCACTGAATTTCATCAACATTTTCTAATTTCCGTGCCTATACTCTTAATTTATGGTAATATTTGCATGTTGAAATGGCTTTTCAGGAAGCATGGGATTTACACAAACCAAATATCACCTGCCCCCCATACACACACACCCTTAACAAAGGAAATAAGTCCTGTAAGGAGTTTCACCGGGATAGTGGTTAAAAATCGGTACTTTTTGATTAGATCTGGTTTAAATCCTGTCTCCTCCATTAATTACTTGTGCAATCTTTAAGCATTGATTTCCTTGTGTAAAATGTAATAATAGTTACATTTGTCTGTAACAAATGTAACAAATAACAACCTATCCTGTAGACACCTATGTGAGGATTTAGTGAGAGAGTGTGTTTGAAACATTTAGCACCATGCCTGGAACATTGTAAGAACTCGGTAGCTGGTAGTGAAGATGATAACAAGGATGATGGTGCTTCCAAAGGGTTAACAGGTCGGACATTACCCTGTGGATGTGTTGGTCAATGTTTTCATTAGTAACTGGGGTTATTTTTTTTCTTCAAAATTTCTTCTCAGAAAGTATTGTCATTGCTATTTCTAAAAATTTGATACTGCCTTTCAGGGTGTGTCTTTTATGACAGATGGTCAGCAGTTAGTGGTAAAAGAAGTATGGAATGTAATACCATTTCATTTATTTATGGGAAATGTTTTGTTGCCCCACCCTTCAACTAATAGGAAAATGAAAATCAAAAACTGGAAACTATTTATAAATGGACAGTGCTGTGATCTCAGTGTCTGAAACTGTAGACTTTTAGAAAATATTTATAGCATATTGGAAACTGGTCACTGGTCAGTGGCTGTCTCCTTGCCCTGTTTTTGTAAATAAAAATACTCTAGCAAATGTGAAATTTGGGGTAAATTCAAACAGAATACTGAAAATATCATCAGAGACAATGATATACTACTTTATAAGTTTTCAAGAGAAGAGGGTGAAGAAAAATGTTTAACTTTTATTAATAGAAGCATTTGCAGTTAATAGAGATATTTGTTTATGGAGCCTTAAAAATAAACCAAATGAATGGAAACACCATACATTCAAGGAGACACTGAGGCCATGTGTACATCTTACTGAGCAGAGAATTTAGCATAGAAGGTTAGAGATGGGATTTGGGGGTCAGTCTGCCTGAGCTCCAAACCCAGTCCTGTCACCTGCTCAACCACATGATTGTGTAAGTCACTTAACCATGCCATGCCAAGCTTGTCTCTACCTCACAGTGTTGAAGGTTGAATGAAATGATACGTGTAAAGTATTTTAAATGGTGTGTTGCACATAAAAAATGTTCTATCAGTGCAAGCTACTGTTATCCAAACTAGCCTAGCCAAAACAAATGAAACCCCAAAATAACTAGTTTGGTTGTTATAGGCATGGGTAAAACTTGCCAACTTCACCGGTTTAGAGGTAGGTCTTCATCACTAAGTGGCAAATGGCAAACAAGATAGTTCTGTTATTTTCTTTACATAGGTCTTTGTCTACTTACTGCCATAGCCAATAATATGTGCTGGGATGGGGGTAAACATTGTACGGTGGCAATCCTTGAACTGTCCCATGGGTGCCTACCTTAAAGAAGCTAATTAGAGAGCTCTGCTTTGTTCCTATAAGCCTGGAGCCCAAGTATTTGCTGTAATAAAAACACCCATTACCTTGATTCACGTAAAACCAGGACATTTCATGAACTTGTGTGATTATTGAAAACCCGTTTATCATTAACACCGTCAGTCATTATTTAGAGATTTTTATTTCACAAATAAAATCAACAATCTGATAAAGACAGTATAGCTCATGCAGCTAAACTATAGCATCTACCAAAACCAAAAAATAAGGAAAATACCTAGATAACAGATTGCAATATGTATTTTTTAATATACAGTCTATAATGAGTAGACTGTGTGACTTGACTATATTGACACTGATATTTTTCCAAAAAGAGACTCTCATATTGGAGAGAACATCATAAAATGTCTTAGAAATTAAAATTACATCTACCCCAGTGTGTTTCATAAAGGGAGCACTTGCCAGCAAGAAGAATAGGTAGGAATATTAATGTTTCATTTTATCTTCATATTATTCTTGTGTCTGTGTCCCAGGTTATAGTCTTTGAGGTTATATTATTTCCATGTCTGCAGAATCTGGATCTATATTTTACAATAAAAGGGCTTTTGTTGCCTCATGCAATTCTCATAACAACTCTGTAAGATAGGTACTTTTATCTAGATTCTGCTGATGAGAAAAACAACACCCAAGTTTATATAGCCAGTAATTTCTGGAGTTGGGATGCACACCCTGAAAGGCTTTGCTCCCAAAGACAATGCTATACTTCTTATGAGAGAGTGATGTCTTCAGAAATTGGTCAGGAGGAAAGTTCATTTTCTGATGATTGTATGGAAATGAAACTTTGGAACTGTATGATGTCCTGGAATACTATAGTATTTGTAGCATTACCTAAAAATGAATACATGCATATATGTGTGTGTGTGTAGAGAGAGACATAGAGAAGATAGAAGCTAACACATGATTATAGTATAGCAATAATCAACCCCACAACCATTTTATGGTTCTGATAGGGCCACTGTTTATTCTGCAAGATCACAAGTGATCACAAGAGTTGATATTGCTGAAACTGTGTTATGAACATACAACATACACTTTTTCTCCAACCCACTTTGGTATACACACCTTTGTGGAAGAAATTGTGTCATTGTGATAAAGCTTTGTGTTCAAGGTACTAATATCCCTATATGGCATATATTAAGATATTGATTATAGAAAGTTATCAACAGATTTCTTAAGATACTTTCTGGGAAACCAGGACTTGTTTTCAAGGGGAAGCCATTATCATTATATATGGACTTCTTACCTAAGTGTCCTAAAAGCTAGATACCCATCTTTTGCTCTATAGGAACAAAATCAAGAATTTAGAACATGTAATCACATATGGTGACCTCTATAACAAGGCCAGAGAGCAGTGATTCTTAATCTTAGATGTGGGTTAAAATCAGATTGCATTTTTGACAAGGGTGCCAAGATAGTTCCATTGGAACTATTGAAAAGACTATTGGAAAAAATAGTCCTTTCAAAAAAATAGTGCTGGGATAACTGGCTACCCACATGCAGAAGAATGAAGTTGAAGAAGCATGACATCAGCAAGATGGTAGACTAGAAGACCCTAGTGCTATTCTCCCTCAAAAAGATAGCCAGAACAATGAATAAACAACTTCATTTTAACAAAAATAACTGAGGAGGAGCACAGTGGTGCACAAGAGAAGTAACAGATACCCTGGTGAGCACAGAAACTTGGGATGGCCACATAGAGAATGGGAAGAAATGCCAGGCCTCCATTACCCTAACCCCAATTGGAAGCAGCTGGGAATGAACTAGGAGGAACGTTTCCCTACTGCAAGGAGGTAAACAAAAGGATCCCAGCAGCCCCATCAACACCGTGGATACCTACAGACCTGAGCACTGGGGTCCCCTGCAATCCTCACAGACACTAAGCCTAGCTGAGGGAGCTGCCTGAAGTCCACATGTCCGTGCTTCCCCCAGAGAAGGAGCCAATACTATGATCCACACCCTGTGGCCCACATAGCTACCATGCTATGCCATCTTGGAGTTGGAACTATGGCTGGATGTGTCTTGCTCTGGGGGCAAGTATGCATGGCTCTCTTTTATCCCTGAGGCTAAGCCATTGCTGAACTGCCCCAGCCCAATGGCCTGACATCCCCAAGTCGAGCAACTGTTTTGTGCTCCCCTGTGGGGCCAAGCAGAGGTGGAGCTGCTCCACCTCCCACCACCCTTTCCTCCTCAGGCCAGAGCTGAAGCAGTGTCCTGATTCCTGGGAAAACAGTACTTTGACTGCTCAGAGAAATCATGCCCCTCCAATGCCTAAGTCAAAGCAGCACGCTGCATCCTAGGGAAATGGTGCCTGGTCCACCCAGAGCAGTCATACCTGTTGGACTCAAGCCGAAATGACACATCACCCTCTGGGGAATTTGTACCCTGGCTGAGCTGAATAGCTGCAAATCCCAGGGCTGTGCTGACATGGTATCCTGTGTCCCAGGGAAACAGAGCAGTGGCTGAGCTGAGACACCCCATCCTGCAGGCCAAACAGCTCTAGTGTCCTTCCTTCCTGGGGCTGTACTAGCCTCCTGAAGTCTGAGCTGCTGAGATACCCTTGACTCTGGGGAGTGGAGTCATTGCTGTGCTGCACATTGTCTTCCAGGGCCCAAATAACAGCTGTGTTCTGCCATTCTAGGGTACAGCATATTTCTCTGCAGAAACCTGACAAGCCAGGAGAGAAGTGGATGATGTATTCAAAGTACCAAAAGAAAAAAAAATTGTCAGCTAAGCATGCGATACCCAGCAAATCTACCCTTCAGAAATGAGAGAGAAAGAAAGTCTCCCAGACAAGTAAAAACTGAGGGAATTCATCACCACTAGACTGGCTTTACAAGAAACAGTCAAGGGAGTCCTGTATCTGGAAGAAAAAAGATGATAATCATTCTCATGAAAACACACACAAGTGTAAAACTCGCTGGTAGAGCAGATGCACAAAGGAGAAAGAGAAACAAGAGAAAACCTTGTTACTGCAGAAAACCACCAAACTGCAATGATCTCAAATATCTTTCCTGACCACAATGAAATCAATAACAAGAGGAACTTTTGAAATTTTACAAACACATGGAAATGGAAGTTAAACACGTTCCTGAATGGTCAATGGGTCAATAAAGAAATTAAGAAGGAAAATGTTAAATGTCTTGAAAGAAATGAAAATAGACATACAGCATATCAAAAACCTATGGTATACAGCAAAAGAAGTGTTAAGAGGAAAATGTATAGCAATAGATGCCTACATCCAAAAAGTAGAAGGATTTCCAATCAGCAACGTAGCAATGTATCTCAAGAAACTAGAAAAGCAAGAACAAGCCAAATCCAAAATTAGTAGAAGGAAAGAAATAATGATGAAAGCAGAAATAAACAAAATTCACGGAGATCTGGCAGCCAAGATGGCTGAATAGGAACAGCTCCGGTCTACAGCTCCCAGCGTGAGCGACACAGAAGACGGGTGATTTCTGCATTTCCCTCTGAGGTACCGGATTCATCTCACTAGGGAGTGCAAGACAGTGGGCACAGGACAGTGGGTGCAGCGCACCATGCGCAAGCCTAAGCAGGGCGAGGCATTGCCTCACTCGGGAAGTGCAAGGGGTCAGGGAGTTCCCTTTCCTAGTCAAAGAAAGGGGTGACAGACGGCACCTGGAAAATTGGGTCACTCCCACCCTAATACTGCACTTTTCCAATGGGCTTAAAAAACGGCACACTAGGAGATTATATCCCGCACCTGGCTCAGAGGGTCCTATGCCCACAGAGTTTCGCTGATTGCTAGCACAGCAGTCTGAGATCAAACTGCAAGGCGGCAGCGAGGCTGGGGGAGGGGCACCCACCATTGCCCAGGCTTGCTTAGGTAAACAAAGCAGCCAGGAAGCTCAAACTTGGTGGAGCCCACCACAGCTCAAGGAGGCCTGCCTGCCTCTGTAGGCTCCACCTCTGGGGGCAGGGCACAGACAAACAAAAAGACATCAGTAACATCTGCAGACTTAAATATCCCTGTCTGACAGCTTTGAAGAGAGCAGTGGTTCTCCCAGCACGCAGCTGGAGATCTGAGAACGGGCAGACTGCCTCCTCAAGTGGGTCCCTGATCCCTGAACCCCGAGCAACCTAACCGGGAGGCACCCCCCAGTAGGGGCAGACTGACACCTCACACGGCCGGGTATTCCTCTGAGACAAAACTTCCAGAGGAATGATCAGACAGCAGCATTCATGGTTCACGAAAATCCGCTGTTCTGCAGCCACCGCTGCTGATACCCAGGCAAACAGGGTCTGGAGTGGACCTCTAGCAAACTCCAACAGACCTGCAGCTGAGGGTCCTGTCTGTTAGAAGGAAAACTAACAAACAGAAAGGACATCCACACCAAAAACCCATCTGTACATCACCATCATCAAAGACCAAAAGCAGATAAAGCCACAAAGATGGGGAAAAAACAGAGCAGAAAAACTGGAAACTCTAAAAACAGAGCGCCTCTCCTCTTCCAAAGGAACGCAGTTCCACACCAGCAACGGAACAAAGCTGGACGGAGAATTACTTTGACGAGTTGAGAAAAGAAGGCTTCAGACTATCAAACTACTCTGAGCTACAGGAGGAAATTCAAACCAAAGGCAAAGAAGTTAAAAACTTTGAAAAAAATTTAGACGAATGTATAACTAGAATAACCAATACAGAGAAGTGCTTAAAGGAGCTGATGGAGCTGAAAGCCAAGGCTCGAGAACTACATGAAGAATGCAGAAGCCTCAGGAGCTGATGCAATCAACTGGAAGAAAGGGTATCAGTGATGGAAGATGAAATGAATGAAATGAAGCGAGAAGGGAAGTTTAGAGAAAAAAGAATAAAAAGAAACGAACAAAGCCTCCAAGAAATATGGGACTATGTGAAAAGACCAAATCTACGTCTGATTGGTGTACCTGAAAGTGACGGGGAGAATGGAAGCAAGTTGGAAAACACTCTGCAGGATATTATCCAGGAGAACTTCCCCAATCTAGCAAGGCAGGCCAACATTCAGATTCAGGAAATACAGAAAATGCCACAAAGATACTCCTCGAGAAGAGCAACTCCAAGACACATAATTGTCAGATTCATCAAAGTTGAAATGAAGGAAAAAATGTTAAGGGCAGCCAGAGAGAAAGGTCGGGTTACCCACAAAGGGAAGCCCATCAGACTAACAGCAGATCTCTTGGCAGAAACTCTACAAGCCAGAGGAGAGTGGGGGCCAATATTCAACATTCTTAAAGAAAAGAATTTTCAACCCAGAATTTCATATCCAGCCAAACTAAGCTTCATAAGTGAAGGAGAAATAAAATACTATACAGACAAGCAAATGCTGAGAGATTTTGTCACCACCAGGCCTGTCCTAAAAGAGCTCCTGAAGCACTAAACATGGAAAGGAACAATCGGTACCAGCCGCTGCAAAATCATGCCAAATTGTAAAGACCATCGAGGCTAGGAAGAAACTGCATCAACTAACGAGCAAAATAACCAGCTAATATCATAATGACAAGATCAAATTCACACATAACAATATTAACTTTAAATGTAAATGGGCTAAATGCTCCAATTAAAAGACACAGACTGGCAAATTGGATAAAGAGTCAAGACCCATTAGTGTGCTGTATTCAGGAAACCCATCTCATGTGCAGAGACACACAAAGGCTCAAAATAAAAGGATGGAGGAAGATCTACCAAGCAAATGGAAAACAAAAAAAGGCAGGGGTTGCAATCCTAGTCTCTGATAAAACAGACTTTAAACCAACAAAGATCAAAAGAGACAAAGAAGGCCATTACATAATGGTAAAGGGATCAATTCAACAAGAAGAGCTAACTATCCTAAATATATATGCAACCAATACAGGAGCACCCAGATGCATAAAGCAAGTCCTGAGTGACCTACAAAGAGACTTAGACTCCCACACAATAATAATAGGAGACTTTAACACCCCACTATCAACATTAAACAGATCAATGAGACAGAAAGTTAACAAAGATACCCAGGAATTGAACTCAGCTCTGCACCAAGCGGACCTAATAGACATCTACAGACCTCTCCACCCCAAGTCAACAGAATATACATTTTTTTCAGCACCACACCACACCTATTCCAAAATTGACCACATAGTTGGAAGTAAAGCACTCCTCAGCAAATGTAATAGAACAGAAATTATAACAAACTGTCTCTCAGACCACAGTGCAATCAAACTAGAACTCAGGATTCAGAAACTCACTCAAAACTGCTCAACTACATGGAAACTGAACAACCTACTCCTGAATGACTACTGGGTACTTAACGAAATGAAGGCAGAAGTAAAGATGTTCTTTGAAACCAGCGAGAACAAAGACACAACATACCAGAATCTCTGGGACACATTCAAAGCAGTGTGTAGTGGGAAATTTATAGCACTGAATGCCCACAAGAGAAAGCAGGAAAGATCCAAAATTGACACCCTAACATCACAATTAAAACAACTAGAAAAGCAAGAGCAAACACATTCAAAAGCTAGCAGAAGGCAAGAAATAACTAAGATCAGAGCAGAACTGAAGGAGATAGAGGCACAAAAAACCCTTCAAAAAATTAATGAATCCAGGAGCTGGTTTTTTGAAAAGATCAACAAAATTGATAGACCGCTAGCAAGACTAACAAAGAAGAAAAGAGAGAAGAATCAAATAGACGCAATAAAAAATGATAAAGGGGATATCACCACTGATACCACAGAAATACAAACTACCATCAGAGAATACTACAAACACCTCTATGCAAATAAACTAGAAAATCTAGAAGAAACGGATAAATTACTGGATACGTACACCCTCCCAAGACTAAACCAGGAAGAAGTTGAATCTCTGAATAGACCAATAACAGGCTCTGAAATTGTGACAATAATCAATAGCTTACCAACCAAAAAGAGTCCAAGACCAGTTGGATTCACAACCAAATTCTACCAGAGGTACAAGGAGGAACTGGTACCATTCCTTCTGAAACTATTCCAATCAATAGAAAAAGAGAGAATCCTCCCTAACTCATTTTATGAGTCCAGCATCATCCTGATACCAAAGCCAGGCAGAGACACAACCAAAAAAGAGAATTTTAGACCAATATCCTTGATGAACATTGATGCAAAAATCCTCAATAAAATACTGGCAAACCAAATCCAGCAGCACATCAAAAAGCTTATCCACCATGATCAAGTGGGCTTCATCCCTGGGATGCAAGGCTGGTTCAATATACGCAAATCAATAAATGTAATCCAGCATATAACCAGAACCAAAGACAAAAACCACATGATTATCTCAATAGATGCAGAAAAGGCCTTTGACAAAACTCAACAACACTTCATGCTAAAAACTCTCAATAAATTAGGTATTGATGGGACGTATCTCAAAATAATAAGAGCTATCTATGACAAACCCACAGCCAATATACTGAATGGGCAAAAACTGGAAGCATTCCCTTTGAAAACTGGCACAAGACAGGGATGCCCTCTCTCACCACTCCTATTCAACATAGTGTTGGAAGTTCTGGCCAGGGCAATTAGGCAGGAGAAGGAAATAAAGGGCATTCAATTAGGAAAAGAGGAAGTCAAATTGTCCCTGTTTGCAGATGACATGATTGTATATCTAGAAAACCCCATCGTCTCAGCCCCAAATCTCCTTAAGCTGATAAGCAACTTCAGCAAAGTCTCAGGATGCAAAATCAATGTACAAAAATCACAAGCATTCTTATACACCAATAACAGACAAACAGAGAGCCAAATCATGAGTGAACTCCCATTCACAATTGCTTCAAAGAGAATAAAATACCTAGGAATCCAACTTACAAGGGATGTGAAGGACCTCTTCAAGGAGAACTACAAACCACTGCTCAAGGAAATAAAAGAGGATACAAACAAATGGAAGAACATTCCATGCTCATGGACAGGAAGAATCAATATTGTGAAAATGGCCATACTGCCCAAGGTAATTTATAGATTCAATGCCATCCCCATCAAGCTACCAATGACTTTCTTCACAGAATTGGAAAAAACTAAAGTTCATATGGAACCAAAAAAGAGCCCACATTGCCAAGTCAATCCTAAGCCAAAAGAACAAAGCTGGAGGCATCACGCTACCTGACTTCAAACTATACTACAAGGCTACAGTAACCAAAACAGCATGGTACTGGTACCAAAACAGAGATATAGATCAATGGAACAGAACAGAGCCCTCAGAAATAATGCCGCTTACCTACAACTATCTGATCTTTGACAAACCTGAGAAAAACAAGCAATGGGGAAAGGATTCCCCATTTAATAAATGGTGCTGGGAAAACTGGCTAGCCATATGTAGAAAGCTGAAACTGGATCCCTTCCTTACACCTTATACAAAAATTAATTCAAGATGGATTAAAGACTTAAACGTTAGACCTAAAACCATAAAAACCCGAGAAGAAAACCTAGGCATTACCATTCAGGACATAGGCATGGGCAAGGACTTCATGTCTAAAACACCAAAAGCAATGGCAACAAAAACCAAAACTGACAAATGGGATCTAATTAAACTAAAGAGCTTCTGCACAGCAAAAGAAACTACCATCAAAGTGAACAGGCAACCTTCAGAATGGGAGAAAATTTTTGCAATCTACTCATCTGACAAAGGGCTAATATCCAGAATCTACAATGAACTCAAACAAATTTACGAGAAAAAACAACGCCATCAACAAGTGGGCAAAGGATATGAACAGACGCTTCTCAAAAGAAGACATTTATGCAGCCAAAAGACACGTGAAAAAATGCTCATCATTACTGGCCATCAGAGAAATGCAAATCAAAACCACAATGAGATACCGTCTCACACCAGTTAGAATGGCAATCATTAAAAAGTCAGGAAACAACAGGTGCTAGAGAGGATGTGGAGAAATAGAAATACTTTTGCACTGTTGGTGGGACTGTAAACTAGTTCAACCATTGTGGAAGTCAGTGTGATGATTCCTCAGGGATCTAGAACTAGACTAGAAATACCATTTGACCCAGCCATCCCATTACGGGGTATATACCCAAAGGACTATAAATCATGCTGCTATAAAGACACATGCACACGTATGTTTATTGCGGCACTATTCACAATAGCAAAGACTTGGAACCAACCCAAACGTCCAACAATGATAGACTGGATTAAGAAAATGTGGCACATATACACCATGGAATACTATGCAGCCATAAAAAATGATGAGTTCATGTCCTTTGTACGGACATGGATGAAATTGGAAATCATTCTCAGTAAACTATCGCAAGGACAAAAAACCAAACACCGCATGTTCTCACTCATAGGTGGGAATTGAACAATGAGAACTCATGGACACAGGAAGGGGAACATCACACTCTGGGGAGTGTTGTGGGGTGGGGGGAGGGGGGAGGATAGCATTAGGAGATATACCTAATGCTAAATGACGAGTTAATGGGTGCAGCACAACAGCATGGCACATGTATACATATGTAACTAACCTGCACATTGTGCACATGTACCCTAAAACTTAAAGTATAATAATAATAAAATAATAATAATAATAAAATAAAAAAATTCACGCTAAAAAATAATACAAAAGATCGATGAAATTAAAAGTTGGTTTTTGAAACGATTAACAAAACTGACAAATAATTAGCTAGATGAATCAAGAATGTAAATGGTCCAAATAAAATCACCAACAAAAAAGGAGACATTGCAACTGATACCATAGAAATACAAGTGATCATGAGAGACTATTATGAACAACTATATGCCAACAAATTAGAAAATCTAGTGGAAATGGATAAATTCATGTATACATGCAATGTGCCATGATTGAACCAAGAAGAAATAGAAAACCTGAATAGACCAATTATAAGTAATGAGATTGAATCTTGTAATAAAAAGTCTCCCATTGAAGAGAAGCCCAGGACCTGATGACCTCATTGCAGAATTCTACAAAACATTTAAAGAACTAATAAAAATTCTTCTCAAACTCTTCCAGAAAATTGAAGAGGAGGGAATTCTTCTAAACTTATTCCACAAGACCAGCATTATGTTGATACCAAAACTAGACAGAGATACAACAAGAAAAGAAAACTTTAGGCCAGTATCCCCAATGAACATAGACACACAAAGCCTCAACAAAATGCTAGCAAACTGAATCCAGCAACACATTAAAAAGATCGTTCACAGCCAGGTGTGGTGTCTCATGCCTGTAATCTCAGGGCTTTGGGAGGCCAAGGCAGGAGGATCACTTGAACCTAGGAGTTCAAGACCAGCCTGGGCAGCAGAGGGAGATCCCATTTCTGCAAAAAATTTAAAAATTAGCCAGGCATGGTGGCATGCTCCTATAGCCCAGGTACTAGGGAGGCTGAGGTGGGAGGATTGCTTGAGTCTGGGAGATTGAGACTGCAATGAGCCATGATCAAGCCACTGTACTCCAGTCTGGGCAACAAAATGAGACCCCATCTCAAAAAATAAAAATAAATTTAAAAGATCATTCACCATTATCAAGTGGGATTTATCCCAAAGTTGCAAGAATGGTTCAACATATACAAATCCATAAACATGACACATTACATCAACAGAATGAAGTATAAAAACCACATGACCATCTCAATAGATACATAAAAAGGATTTGATACAATTCAACATCGCTTCATAATCAAAACACTCAACTAATTAGTTATAGAAGGACCACAGCTCAACACGATAAAGGCCATATATCATAAGCCCATAGCAAACATCGCACTGAATGGGAAAAAGTTGACAGCCTTTCCCCTAACATCTGAAACAAGACAACGATGCTCACTTTTACCACTTTTGTTCAACAGAGTAATGGAAGTCCTAGCCAGAGCAATCAGGCAATAGAAAGAAATAAAGGACCTCCAAAATGGAAAGGAGGATGTCAAATTGTCCCTATTTGCAGATGATATCATCATATATACAGAAAACCCTAAAAGCTCTACCAAAAAACTCTTACAACTGATAAACAAATTCAGTAAAGTTGCAGGATACAGAATCAACATACAGAAATCAGTAGCATTTCTATATGCCAGCAACAAGCTAGCAGAAGAGAACACACAAAAAATGAAAAGATATCTCATATTCATAGATTTGAAGAATAAATATTGTGAAAATGATCTTACTACCAAAAGCAATCTACAGAGTCAATGCAATCCCTATCTAAATACCAATAACATTCTCAACAGAAATTAAAAAATCCTAAAATTTACATGCACCCACAAAAGACCCTATAGCCAAAGCAATCCTGAATGAAAAGAACAAAGTTGGAGGCATCACACTGCCAGGTTTCAAAAGATACTATAAAGGTATAGTAACCAATACAGCATGTTACTTGTGTAAAATACAGATTCATATACCAATGGAACAAAATAGAGAACCTAGAAATAAATTCGTGTATGTATAGCCTACTGATCCTTGACAAAGGCACCAAGAACATTTATTGAGGAAGAGACAGTCTTTTCAATAAATGGTGCTGGGAAAATTGGATATCCACATGCATAAAAATGAAACCAAACCTGTATCTCTCACCATATATAAAAATCAACTCAAAATGGGTTAATGACTTAAATATAAGACCTGAAGCTATGAAACTCCTGAAAGAAAACATAGGAGAAATGCTTCAGAACATTGGTCTGGGCAAAGATTTTATGGAGAAGACCTCAAAGGCACAGGCAACAAAAGCAAAAATAGACAAATGGGATTATATCAAGCTAAAATCTCCTGCACAGCAAAGGAAACAATCAACAGAGCAAATAGACAGCCTGCATAATGGGAGAAAATATTTGCTAACTCTTCATTCAACAAAGGATTAATATCCAGAATATATAAGGAACTGAAACAATTCAACAGAAAAACCCCCCAAATAATCCAGTTTAAAATGGGTAAATGAGCTGAATAGACACCTCTCAAAATAAGAAATACAAATGGCTAGTAGATTTATTTTTAAAAATGCTCAACATCACTAATCATGAGAGAATGCAAATTTAAAACCACGATGAGATATGATCTCAACCCGGTTAGAATGGCCATTATCAAAAAGTTAAAAAATAACAGATCCTGGCGAGGTTGTAGAGAAAGGGGTACTCTTATCCACCACTGGTGAGAATGCAAATTAGTCTAGCCATTGTGGAAAACAATATGAAGGCTCCTCAAAAAACTAAAAATAGAACTACCATATGATCCAGCAATCCCGCTACTGGGTATATATGCAAAGGAAATGAAATCAGTATATCAAGGAGATATGTGCACTCCCATATTTATTGCAGTACTATTCACAATACCCAAGATATAGAATCAACTTAAGGGTCCATCAGTGGGTGAATGAAGAAAATATGGTATATATACACAATGGAATACTCTTTAGCCATAAAACAAAATGAAATCCTGTCATTCACAGTAACATGGATGAAACTGAAGGTCACTATGTTAAGTGAAATAAGCCAGGCACAGAAAGATAAATACCACATGTTCTCATACATGGAAGCTAAAAAACGTTGATCTCATAGAAGCAAAGAGTAGAGTAGTGTTTTTCCTGAGGGGTGGGAAGGGTAGGGGAGAGGAGAATAGCCAAAGGTTAGTTAATGGATATAAAAGTACAATTAAATAGGAGGAATAAGGTCTAGTGCTCTATAGCACTATAGGGTGACTATCATTAACAACAATTTATTGTATATTTTTGAAAAGTTACAAGAGTGAATTTTGAATGTTCCCAACACAGAGAAATGATAAATATTTGAGGTGATGGTTATGCTAATTACACTGACTTATCATTACACATTGTACACATATATTGAAATATACTCTAGCCCATAAATATGTATATTTATATGTCAATTAAACATAATAAAAAAAGAAGATAATGAAGTTGGATCTCTACCTCACAGCATACACAAAAATTAACTTAAAATGGATCATAGACCTAAATGTAAGAATTAAAACTATAAAACTCTTAGAAGAAAACTCAGGAGTAAAGCTTTGTGATCTTGGGTCAGACAGTAGTTTCTTAGATAAAAGCAACACAGGAGAAAATACATAAGTCGAACTACATCAAAATGCAAACTTTTATTCTCAAAATGATATTCTCAAGGAAGTGAAAAATCAACCCACAGAATAGGAGAAAATATTAGCAAATCATGTATCAGATAAGGGACTTGCAAATAGAATATATAAAGAATTCATGCAACTCAATCATAAAAAGACAAGTAGCCCCATTAAAATACGAGCAAATGATCTGAATAGACATTTCTCCAAAGAGGATATATAAATGGCCAATACATACATGAAAAGATGCTCATCATTAATTATTAGGAAAATGCAAATCAAATCGCAATGAGATATCACTTTACACCAACTAGAATGGCTACATTCAAAAAGACACATTAATAAGTGTTGTCAAAGATGTGGAGAAATTGAAGCACTTATTCCTGGTGAGAGTGTGAAATGGCGTAGCTGCTTTGGAAAATTGTTCGGCAAGTCCTCAAAATGTTGTAGAGTTACCATATGACCTGGCAATTCCACTCCTAGTTATAGACCCAAGAGATATGAAAACGAATGCCCACACAAAAAATTGTACATGAATGTTCATAGTAGGATTATTCATAATAGCCAAATATTGAAAACAATCAAAATACTAACCAAGTAAATGGATAAAGAAAATGTGATATCTTCAAGCAATGGGATATTATTTAGCCATATAAAGGAATGAAATATTTGATGCATGCTACCACATTGATGATCCTTGAAAACATTATGCTAAGTGAAAGAAGCCAGCCACAAAAGGCCAAGTATTGTGTGGTTCCAGTTATATGAAATGTCCAGAATAGGCAAATCTGTAGAGACAGATTAACAATCGGCTAGGGCTGGGGAGGGGAGTGAAGTAGAAAATGAAGAATGACTGCTAATGGGTACAGTATTTCTTTTGGGAGGATAAAAATGTTCTAAAATTAGACTGTTGATGATTGTGCAACCATGTGAATATACCAAAAACATTTAACTGTGCAGTTTAAATGGGTGATTGTATGGTTTTAAAATTATACTTCAATAAAGCTAAGTTTGGGTGCTTTTATAAATCTTTATGCCCAGGCTGAAACTCAGAACTCAGTCTCCTGGGATTGAACCCATGCATCAGTATTTTTTAAGAGTTCTTCAGGTGATTGTATTGTGCAGCCAAGGTTGAGAATCATTATGTTTGAATCAGCCCTAATCCAAATAAGATTTTAATTTAAGAGACTCCAAAAGAGTTGAGATCCCATGTGGAAGGACTCCGGGAGGCTTCCTCAAACCATGATACCTCAAGTGTGGTTCTGAGACCAGCAGCATCAATGTCACCTGGGAAACTGTTAGAAATGCAGATTATTGGGCCCCATTCAGTTCAAGTACATCAGGATCCACAGTTTAACAAGCTCCCCAGATGATTCATATGTACATTAAGGTTTGGGAAGCACTGCTTAGGAGCAGCGGTTCCCATGCTTGGCTGCACATTGGAATCATCTGGAGAGTCCAAAAGTACCAATGCTTGGGTTCCACCGCCAGTGATCTTACGGGTATGAGATGCAGCCTGTGCATCTGGGATTTAAAAGCTTCCCAGGTAATTCTAATGTACAGCAAAGTTTGAGAATGAGTACTGCAAAAAACAAGATACCTAATGGCAAATAAGATGGTTAATAAAATTTTCTTATTTTGTTTTTAACAGAAGGATAGATGAACATGCATAAGAAAGTGGAGATTATTGATATCAAAAATTTCCAGAGGAGTGAGGAAGGGATGGCAGTGAGACAACAATGGAAAACGTTTTCTCTAAAAAAAAAAAAAGGGAAAAAAACAAAAACAAAAACAGAAAACTCACCACACACCAGGCATTTTCCTTCTAAATCCAAGAGAGGGATCTTTCATGTGATTATTGGAGACTACTCAAATTTAAGTGGCCAAGAATTTGTGGGTTCTTAAGAGGGTCTTTAATGCTGAAAACATATGGGTATTTACTGAACTTCCCTTTCTTTGAATTTATAAAGAGAAAGTTTATTAATATGGTGGTGAACATTTCTTCCCAAGCTGTGTACCCATGTCCAGCTTCTTCGGTCTGGGGAAATTTTAACTCCTCAGTAGACAGTGGGCCCTGCGCAGGGTCTGGGGCATGCTCTTCCTATATATGGCATTCAGCCCTGAGGATTCTCCTCCCCAGCAATCGGCCATGTCTCTCTAATGACCATTGTCTCTGCCATTTACTGGTCTTTTCAAAATTATGACTCTGAAATATCTCCTAGGCAAAATTATGAGGCTTGCAGAGTTAGCTTTGAGACTTCTCATCACCCACCCCTTCCCCTCCTTCCGACAAGCTCCGTTTCTGTCCCATGCCCCCAGATTGTCTTCTCCAGGTGACTTGAACCCACCTTCTTGGTTGCAGTATCAGTACACTGTACCCTTGTCTGCACTGAAATTAACCATGCAGTTTCTGTGCCTTCTTAAGTTGATGTGTGTGTGTGTGTGTGTGTGGTGGTGGAGGGTATAATTACTTGAATCTGTGTTAATAAAGTGTTAACTATTAACGGAAATCCACAATCCCTCTCTACCTCCCCCTCAGGAAGTCCCTAATGGTGTTTGGTCATTGTTTCAATCACTTGTCATATATTGTGTTTTCTTGGCCCATATCTCTAACCACATCCTTATCAAAATATTCTGATGAGTGCATTTTAAAAGTAGAATGACAACATACTTAAGATAGTTGGAGGGGTTGGCTCCTATTTGCATCATGATGATTCTGCCTATGAAGATTTTTCCTAACAATCAACTAGGATTATACACAACGCTTGGTTTCAAAAAATCATCTCATCGTATTAAATTTACTTATTTTAAAATACCTGTGACTCTTCTGAATAATGAAAAAAATGACATGAATGAAGAGTATGTATATAAACTCTCTCTAAAGTTATTAGGAAAATGTTTTTATTTAATTGTGCCTAATATTTTGGGGTATTACAGTGAACTCTACTTTTAAAGCTGCGTAGTTATGTATTAATATACTGGCCCTGAAATTTTTGAGTTTTCAACCTATAGTCCAGAAAAAGCCTTTATTTTTAATAGTTGCCCTAAAAATTTAACACAAAAGTTTTACTTAGCTAAATCTAAATTTAATCAGTAGCTTTACCCCACTTCCAAACAATATAAATACTTTAAAATGCTTTCATTTGATTTCCTTTCCTTGCTTGCTATTATTTTCCAGGATTTTAACTCTGTTTGCTTGGTTTTATTTGTTTGTTTGTTTTAAGACAGAGTCTCACTTTGTCATCTAGGCTGGAGTGCAGTGGTGTGATCATAGCTCACTACAGCCTTGAACTCCTGGGCTCAAGGGATCCTCTTGCCTCAGCCTCCTGTGTTGCTGGGACTACAGGCATGCACCACCATGCTCAAATTATTATTATTATTAGTAGTAGTAGTAGTAGTAGTAGTAGTAGTAGTAGTACAGACCAGGTCTCAGTATGTTGCCTAAGCTTGTCTCAAACTCCTGGCTGGCCTCAAGGGATCCTCCCATCTCAGCCTCCCAAAGTGCTGGGATTATAGGCGTGAGCCATTGTACCTGGCATACTTGTTTGGTTTTAAGCCCACAAATTAGACATCATCATCATTCTATTTAGATTTTCTCATATTTACCATTTTCTTTACATATCATTTCTACTTCCATTCAGAGCTTCTGGGATCAAACCGTAGTTCCTGGCATTTTGGACTGGTTGATAGTCTCCAGGATATTCAGGCAGTTAAGTGTCTCCGAAAGAAAATGAGAAAAGAAAGGTCCTGGGAAATATGCCCCACCCCCACCCCTGCAGTGCTGCCGCTGCTGTCCCAGGACCGTGGGCACCCCTGAATGTTTCTCTTCCACTGTCTCTGATCACTGTGATTTATGGAGTAGAGGGGGACAATGACATCTGATAGAATACCAAAGTTAAATATGCTCAATTTAAGGAGCTGTTATTTATTCAGAGATCGTGTCTTTCCTACCTTTTTTGCTGTTTATTTTATAAAATAATGGTGATGGTAGTTGAAGTTTGTTATTTTGTTTTGTTTTAAATTAATTCATTAAGATTTGTTTTTATATTTCCTTACTTGGCAAATACAAAGTTGTGAATCACAACCCAGATTTTTTGAAATTGTATTGGGCATTGAAATCCCAAACCACTGCTATCAACAGCTAACTGTGAGTTTGGCGTGTGGACACTGGGACACCTGAAACCATGTCTTGGTTACGTCAGGAGCCTTATTGATTATTTATATTATGTATGAATCCTGTGGTGTTAACAGTACTTTGCAACCTTTAGTACTTAGCTGAACTGTATTAGATTATCAGGGAGTCCTCAGTACACCCTCAATGATTTAAATTGTTTTTAGCTACTTCTGTAAGGCTGAGTCTACACTAGCAAAATGACCTGGGTGCCTATTGTGCTCCCTACATACATCTGGTGATGTTTATGCTCCCAATTTCTTAAGAACACTGCTTTGAGAGTCACACAACCCAATATTCTACCAATAACTTACTATGTACCTTCATCATTTGTAAGAAGAGGGGGTTGAACTAAGCGATCTCCAAGTCACTTTTCAGCACAAATGTAGGTTGTGATTGTATTTGTGTGTACACATTTTTTAAAGCCTTAAAGAGATCTAGGTATTTCTCATGTATTTATATTAAATCTAAGATCCGTGTTGCAAATTTGGACATGGAGGACATTAATTTTTCTGATGTAGGTTACTCTTTAAGAGGCATGTTGCATCTGTAATATTGGTGCCACCATTTTGGCAGATGCAGTTTCTTCATTTACTCGTAAGTGTTCAGTATGAAGTCTATATGAGGTGACTTGAGTTCTCATTTCTCTGGTGTAAAAAATGGTCATGTTTAAATAAGGCCACAATATTTATTTCAAAGGGTCCCAGAATCATTTTTTAAAATATCTTCATATGCTTGACACTGAAGTTCTTATGTAAAGGGTTCGGTCAATGTAAACAAACGATGACTGCTTGAAGATGCACCAGCCGTGATTGTGGAGACCTCCAAATTCATGACAGAGTTGTTAACTGGCAGGTTTGTTATTTCCTATAAGTACAAGGAAGGGAAGTATTAAAATAATTCATGCCCATTAGAGAGAGGAAATTAACATTCCCTTAAAAATTGTTTTCCAGTGAAGGAAGCCCATCCCCCAGAATTGAGCTGCTGCATAATATTGACCCGAACTTCGTGGACTCTTCACCGTGTGAGTACCAGTGCATTGCTACTAGATTAAATCTAATTGGCCCACCAAGATGGTTTGATTACCTAGTGTGTCTCTAGCCTAGCTTTCTCTTTTTTCCTGAGTTGCTATAAAGGTAAACAGTTCTTCGGGACATATCTCCCGCTCATCTCAGAGGGCAGTGTGCTGTGAAAGCAACACCAGCTTATGAAATAAGAAAGGTGAATTCTATTCTTGCTCTGCCGCTTACTAGCCTTTAAGCCATTGAACTCTCCCTGCCCCAGCCTTCCCCATTTACAAAAGAAGAACTCATGGCATCTCTGAGGCTCCTTCTCACTGTAGATGTCATGTTGCTGCCCTGTTCTTACCTGAGAGCTCCAGAGCCACCTTCCAGAAAACTCACAGTCAGATAAGCCACAGTTGGGTTCCAGGTAGTGTGAGCAACCACATTATCTGATTGGGCTGGTCAGGTACTGCCCAACACCTGCTGGGTGTCACAAGTGTGACTTTCCTAGCAGTCCTGGAAGTGATTCCGCTTGATTCTGCCTCCTGCCTAAATTAACCTGTAAAGAGCCTTACCATTTCCTTCAGGGCAGGCATGCATGTAGTGCTTCCAGATCACAACGGACTGTAATAGGCCTGTATAAATACCATGCGAGTGGCCCTAATGCCCTCAGCATAGTGAGTTTGGGCATAGAAAGCCTTAGCAATTAGACCCTTTGCCCAGCTTTCATCATAATGCTCATCTTGCAAACAGTGCCCTTATATTCCCTTATTCACATGGGGGCTCCCATCCGCTCCTTTCTGGACATACTGCTGCCCACTTAGTTCAGGCTCTCCTTACTTCTTTGTTTTTTCCAAACTGCATTATAGCTCACCACAAAATATTCTCATTCAGAGATTCCTGCTCAGAGAATTACCCCACAGTCATTCTAAATGTGTCACCAGGCACTCGGGCCCCACTTGCCCGGCCAGCCTCACTCCAGGCACTCCTTGTCATGTTCTCACTTCCTAGACACTTGTCATCTCCATGCAGATCATCGTACTGTCATGAATATGCTTTTCCCTATGCCTGAAACACATTTTCCCTACCTGTCTATAATCTCTCTCATCCCTTAAAAACCCAGCCCCATGTCTCCCTCTGTGAATGCTTTCCAGAGCCCCAGAAGGAGCAGTCACTCCTTCCTGTGTGCATGTGTCTCCGTATAGCATCCCTCACATGTTCGTGTTTGTGCCTGCATTTCCAAGCTGAGAGCTCCTGGAAGTCAGCATCTCCTGTATTTTTTTATCCTTGTCAGTTAACACAAATACTGGGAGCTTGCTAGGCACTCAGTAATGATTACTTGATGACTCAGTGGACAATTGGAGAGTTGAGATGCAATAAAGACCAAGTGGACACATTAAGACCTGGACAGGAAAGGGCCCTGAGACAGGCGAGAATGGCTACATCGTGGAGAAATTTCTATTTCTTTTGGAGTAAACGCATGTCAGTGAGAGAGGCAAGGGCAAGGTTTGAGCCCTAAGGACTGTAAGAACAGTCTAGATTTGTGCTGTCCAGTATAGTAGCCACAGGCCACATGTGGCTGTCAGGTACTTAAAATATGGCTAACTGTGGATTGAGATGTGCTGTGAGTAGAATATATACATCCGATTTTCAAGACTTAGTACACCTATGTATTATATGCATACAATATTATAGATTTATTATTTGTTGAAAGGATAATACTTTGGATATATTGAATTAAATATATTGTTAGTGTTTTACTTCTCTCCTCTTCCTTTCTTAATGTGGCTAATAGAAAATTTAATTTTAATTAACTTACATAAGTGACTTGCATTATATTTCTATTGGCCTAAAAACCCCTTCTAGAAGGTGCTAGGAAGTAAGTTGATCAGCTGAGCTGATCACAGAGCTGTGAATAGTTACTGTGAGGCTACATCAATGACTCCTAAACTTTTCTCTACCCCAGTACACCTAAGAGATACATTTCAGTCATATCAAAGTCTCTAAGGGTGGCTGGAAGAGAATAGTGGGGAGGCAGGAATGGCTTTAAAACTTTCTGAGTAATTTAATGCACTGCAAAGCCCAGTATAACCTAGGTCTAGGGGATATGTGGAATATGCCACCCACATTATAATGGTTGTAAATGTCTTCACCTGCTAAATTCCACCTACAAATGAAAAACCTTAAGACCCCTCACTCACTAAGCTGTATTTTGGTTTGGCATTTGAAGTAGGAGCTTGAGAACTATACTCCTATGTGATATGGTTGGGATTTGTGTCCCACCCAAGTGTCATGTCGAATTGTAATCCCCCATGCTGGAGGAGGGGCCCGGCGGGAGGTGACTGGATCATAGGCATGGATTCCCCCTTGCTGTTCTTGTGATAGTGAGTGAGTTCTCATGAGATCTGGTTGTTTGAAAGTGTGTGGCACCTCCCCCTTCGCTCTCTTCCTCCTGCTCCAGCCATGTAGGACATACCTGCCTCCTCTTCACCTTCTGTCATGATTGTAAGTTCCTGAGGCCTCCCCAGCCATGATTCCTGTACAGCCTGTGGAACCCTGAACCAATTAAACCTCTCTTATTTATACCTAGTCTCAGGTAGTTCTTTATAACAATGCAAGGACGGACGAATACACTATCACCACAGCACTGTGTGCTGCAGGGTTCTTGGTGCAACTTGCTGTGCTTTCTCCTGTCTTACCTAAAGGGCCCTAGCAAAATAACAGCACAGGCAAAAGGTTTCTCCAGAGTAAAAGTTGGTAAGAGCATGGAAATTAGAATAGAAAATTTTCCTAATCTTGCCATCCATAGACTGTAAGGACATTTACTTCTCTTGGACTCAGTTTCCTATGTATTATGTGGTAGAATTATAAGACCCAGTACTGCCGCCACAAATTTAGGCATCCTCTTTGGCCTTCTGCTGCTCTTCCTTCCCTCTCTGGAGCCCACCCAGGCCTTCATGTTGGCTTCCCCACCAGCTTGGGACTCCTGCTCTGACTCCTGCAGATAACGAAGGACATTGTCAGCTCTTGCAAGGATGTAGAACCACATTCACTGTTGCTTCACACACACACAGCGTTCTCTGCTGTCTGTGCCTGCAGGTAGCAAGGTGCCACCCACCTCCTCACACATGGCAATCCCATGGGCCTTTTCTGCCCAGTTTTTATATTCACTTCACTCTACTGAGAGGCAGAAGAAGAAACAAGAAGAGCTGTCTTTGGGTGCCTGCTCATTTTTAGGATGATGATACAAGCCCGTTTCCTTTTCTATGCAATTCATTTATGAGGAAAAATTAAATCCAGCTATAAAAAAACATGTACTTAGGGGACAGCCAAGTCTGGATATCATATTCATAGAGCACAGAGGCTTTTGTGGAGTTAAATCAGAAGTAGCCAATCTCGGGTGTAAACTGAGGGTTAACAATGGAGTCAGTGTTATCACAGAAGCATTTCTGTGGTTTCTCACTCCAGCTCTTCCCAGATCGTTGGTGCTTACTGCGGGAGAAGAAGGTAGCGTTCCACCTCCACCTTCCCTAAAGCCACTTCGTCAGTTTCCTCACCTGTGGAGTAAAGAAGGAATTAAATGATCTCCAAGGTCCCTCTGGCTTCAGTGTTCTGTGGGTCTCTATATGAATGGGACCTCAAAGGAGCAAAGCTGCTTACTCTGCTTCTCTCCTTTTTCTGCCTGCTAGAAGGAGTGTGTCCATTGATAAGCAGTGATGTTGCCAAAGGCATGATCATAAATAGATAAACACAAGTGCAAATGCTAGAAACATTATATGCACTAGAGGAATTTGAATTATTTTATGAGTTTCTTATTACTATATCCTGGCCACCTTTCTGATTTCCGTTCCGAAACATCACCGTATCGATCCGCTTTTCTATCTCCTCTTTCCCTTAGTGGGTCATCCTGGGGTTTGTTGACCAATGTCTCCTCTGATTGTGAATCATACGAATAGGCATTACGCACTTCCCAGGAGATTTCTGCCCTCTGCCTAGCACCACATGCTCCCAGAAGCTGGCCTCTTGGATTTCAGCAGCTACACCTCCCCCGCTCCCTGCCAACACACACCCCATTCCCCTAGTCAAATTATAGGGTGCCCAGAGGCCCATCCTGCTGGTGGAGTCAGGATTTTTTTCATGGTCACATGCACATGGTAGGTTGTGGCTTGGATACTAACAGTAAAAATACTCAAAGATCGGCACAAAATATTGATACACGTACACATTCATAGAGAAACATGCACACACACCAGGGGTCACCAAATCTCTCATAGATCAGGAGATTCACCATTCTGCAGTAAAGCATAAAGTCTCAAGGATGCATACGTAAATTATACCATTAGGATGACTACAATTTAAAAAATGAAAGAAAGAAAAGGAGAGAGAGTGGAAAAAGGAAGGAAGGGAGGGAGGGAGGGAGGGGAAAATAAGAATTGTTGAGGATGTAGAGAAATTGGAACCCTTATTCACTGTTAATGGGAAAGTAAAATAATGTAGCCTCTATGGACAATAACATTGTGTGATTACTCAAAATATTAAAAATAGAATTATCATAGGATCCAGCAATCCCACTTCTGAGTATATACCTAAAAGAATTAAAAGCAGGGGCTTGAACAGGTATTTGTACACTCATGTTTGTAGCAGCATTACTCAGCATTACTCAGAACAGCCAAAAGGTAGTAGCAACCCAAATGTCCATCAGTGAATGGATGAATAAACAAAATGTGGCATATATATATATATATATATATATATATATATATATATACACATATATATACCATGAAATAGTATCCAGCACTAACAGTGAAAGAAATTCTAATACATGCTACAACATGGATGAACCTTAAAGACATTATGCTAAGCAAGTCACAAAAGGAAAAACTATATGACTCCACTTACATGAGGTACCTAAAGTGGTCAGATTCATAGGGACAGAAAATAGAATGGTGGTTGCCTGAGGTTGTGGGGAGGGGAGAATGGGGCATGATTGTTGAGTGGGTGTAGAGATGGATGGTGATGATGACAGCATAACAACGTGAATGTATTTAATGCCACTGGACCATACAATTAAAAGTGGTTAGGATAGTAAATTTTATGTTGTTTGTATTTTACCACAATTTAAAAATATAAAAAATAAATAAAACGTAACTTTCCCTCCTTCCAAAACTGAAGAGAAACTGCATGAGAATAGGGTCTCTATCTTTTTCATTTACTGCCATATGCACAGTAAGGTCTCCGTAGCACAGAACCTAACATCGTAGTAAGTTGTTGGGTTAATATCAGTAAATATCTGCTAATGAATGATAAACAGATCAACCTGTCAAAGTCATTGTTTTATTGTCTTACAGCCTTTCCTGAGCCTAAAAGTACCTCCAGATGGCCACTTATACTCCTTTTAAACCCCAAACCTACCTTTTGTGCCTAAGTAAAAATAACTTAGAAGCTACAAGTCACTTATTAAGTTGTAATTGACATTATATACAGATGTTTGAAACTGTTCATTCAGCTTCTAAGTGCCCACCCTCATCGCTCCCTGCATTGAAAAGATCGGCCAGAAAAGATGATGTGGGATTTCCCTGCCCAACTTCATCCCTTTTCCCAGACCTCCTCAATAGACAAATAGAGATTTATAAAGCCTTTGCCTCTGGCCTGGCTCGGCCTGACTTCCCTCTGAGTCTGGGGCTCTGCCTCTTCTTGCTGTTCTGAGTTCGGTTCTGCTCCTGTTTTCTGGGATGTTCCCTCTGGTTGTTTCATCATTCACTGGTTATCTCAGTGCCCCAACCCTAGCTCTGCTTTTATCCCCTTCCTCCCTCCACTGCCTCCCAGCTTCATGACCTGTGTCAGAGTGTGGGATGTAATTGCTTTCCTGTGTGCTTTGAGGAGACTTTTTATTCATTTTTGAAGGCTTTGTTCTGAAGTAACCTTGGAAGTGCTTTGGTCTCTGTTCAGATAGTACCCTTCTCTTTTCCTTTGT
The DNA here is from genome assembly GCF_000001405.40 of Homo sapiens. NCBI lineage: Eukaryota > Metazoa > Chordata > Mammalia > Primates > Hominidae > Homo > Homo sapiens. The sequence goes on along the minus strand of NC_000005.10, from coordinate 78,833,398 downwards.
TCCCTTCTGAGAAAACTCCTAAGAATTATTTATTCCTCCATGTCTTTAAAATACTTCTGTCTTCGTCCAGCAGCACAGGGTGGTCAGTGTAAGAAACCCGTGAGAGAGCCTGGGGAATAGCACCATTGAAGCTGATTAGTGGGAAAGCCTGGAAACCTCTAAAGTGGTGGGGAACAGCCATAATCCCAGGGTAGGCAAGAGGTCCTGCAGGTCTGAATTCAGCTCTACATGGTTCCAAGGAGAGCTCCAGCCCCAAATTCCACACTCCTGCAAGGCCCCAGCAAGCATGGCTCAGACCACAAGGAGAACTGCTTCAAAGGCATTATTTTGCCTGAGGAAAAACATATACACCTATCCTGCAGGTGCCGGGCTTGATCTTGGCTGTTCTGCAGTAATGATCCTGCCCCATCTGAGACCACGACTCACTTTGGAAGTCAGACGTGGCATTCTATGATGGCTGGAACACACATATCCGATCATGTAACATAGGTGTATATATTTAAAACGTACGCACACACAGGAGACACACACATTCTGCTGGTAGAAGCTTGATTATAGATGAAGGGCAGTGACAGATGTTAGCATTTTCCACCCCACCAAAGGCCAGCTCTTCAAAGTGATTCCATACAGCTTTGTTACTATTTCATTTAAAGGCCCTCTTCTCTTTAAAGTTTCTAATGAGATGTTATTTCTGCTCCTGATTATAGGGTGAAAGAACAGCCTTCTTCCCACCCTCTCCTCTCTCACACACACATTTTCTGTGGTGCAATTGCCAAATCCATGCTTGAGATCCAAGAGTCGTCCAGGTTGGAATGCTTGGAGCTGCTCCCTGTTTCCTCCTCAGAGCGACATTCAGAGCCATTTCCCAGTATTATGTTGCCATTTCCAAGATTGTTTATTCAGTAAATAAATAAACGATGATGGCCTGGGATGCATGAGGTACTGTTATAAATACTCGAGATCAGTTAAGCTAAAGCCAAACCTAAAGGTCTGGCTAAAACCCAGTCTGGAAGAGTCTGGAAGAGGGCATGGACACAGCCTCTCCCCACCCTGCTGGAAGGCTGTTGGTGGTTCCCAGCTGTCCACTAGCAAGCCCTCCTACAACGCCCACCATTCAGCACCATTGCAATGCCCTCCTTCAGTCCTGTTTATCTCCCTTGTTGCCCTGCGCCTTCTGTAGAGTTCAGTGCACATTCCTACTCCTCCGTGAAGCCCTCTCTGATTCTTTTGAACTTGAGTCCCTTGAGTTTCTCTGGAGCTTCCCAGGACGGTGAGCTCTTGCTGCCTCATAGTGCAGTATTTATATTCACGTGTTTTCCCCATCCGGAGCTATAAGGAGAGCAAGGCTTCATTGTATAGTTCTCTCGGTGTCTTATGTATAAGAGATTAATACATATTGAAAGAATGCACGCTAATAAATGAATAATTTATCATCAGCTGATTCGATTAGAATCAGTCTAATGAGAACAATAGTAATTTCATACATCATTTTCAAGGCATTTTTATTTCTTTTTGGGTCTATTAGAGAAGTAGTGACACAGAGGCATCTTTCTTTCAGCCTGAAATTAGATATTAAGCAGAATCAAGAGTTAGGGGGAATGCATGGGGCTCACCCTGCTACAGATTGCTCAGCATTGCATAGAATGCCAGAGGCTAAGGGCCCCTTGGCAGTTTGTTCACTCTTTATAATCCAAGTGAAGAAACTGAGGCACCAGGTCATGCATGCTGTTAAATATCAGAGCTGGAACTCAGGGCTGTTCAGACCCGGCATGTACATCATGTCCTACTGATTTCGCAGGTCTCATCGCTTTGTGTCCTACCCTTGTCTTGTGGGAGAAGGGCACCCAGATATGAGTTACGATCATCTCACCTATATAATAGCATGTTGATGGGACATGACTCATTTAAAGGAGGCTGGAAAAATGGGTCGAGTAGTCACATTAGCCTTGCTAGATTCACATGTAATCTGACTCTGCAGATGGTGGTAGCTTCTGCTTGTAGAGCTAGTCATGGAAGCCCTGTCAGTGCCTTGTATTCACTCCACTGGAGGGTGCTGGGGGGATGAGGGAGCTGTGTGTGGGGTGGGCAGTGTCACCTAGTAAAACAGGTAGAGTTTGGGGGTGCCAGAAAGCCCTGGGTTTTATTCAATACCAGCTCTGACTTATTTCCTGTGAGCTTGTGGGTAAGTTCTTCCAGCCATCTGTTTCATCACCTATACGTTGGGAACGATTATAACAATATCTCCTGTAAATATGTCCAAACAACAGTGAACAACAATTACATTCTGGCTGCTACGATTGGGGCAGGGTGGGAAAGTTGCACTTTTCACTTTATGTATTTCTCTAGTTTTAATTTTAAATTATGAGCACATGTGACTTCCTTAATCAGGAATAAAGCCATAAAGCTTTATTTGTGAAAACCACCTCCAAGGAGGGTTCCGGTAAGCATGGAATATCTGAAATCTGCTGGGTTCTTATAGAGTGGGAGTTGCTGCTTCCGTGCCTGCCTGTACTAGGTCAGAGCAGTTAGAATTTTGTGTCGTCTCTAGTTGCCAATATTTGTCTTTAGCAGCTCGTCAAATTTTCCTTGGTGTGGGTTGCTACATGCCCTCAATCACAGAGCCAAAACACAGATAGCTTTCTCCTTTTTAATTTTCAAAGGCTTCTAGTCTGCCCCCTCCGCTTTGGGGAGCACTAAAGTCTGTTTGGAAATGTGGCCTTTTTGATGCCAAAGGCAGTCCCACAAGCCTCGTATCCCCTCCACCCCACTTCACACAGCACATCTCAAGGAGCACGCATGAAACCTTCACTGTTAACACTTGGTGCTGGCATCCTGGCTTTCATCCCGAGAAAATACACAAACCAAACCAAATCCACAGCACTTTAAAAACACTAATTAACTCTCACCACTGGCCTAGGCTACGCAGAAATGGCAAATCCCGCTGCCCCAATTTTATGTTTGGAGAAATCAGGGTAAGCAACATTTTCTAGGGCTTCTCTGAGCCAGATCACAGAAGCTGACCTGAAGGACTTGGCCTGGCCCTGCATCTGGAGTTAGGCCATTTGATGAAGGGCCAGCTGCCTCACCAGATCCCTTCTCTACAGCACCACGTGGTTAGTGGCCCATAACTCCATTTGTACATCAGCGTTTGTTTTTTTTTCCCCAGGGTTACTTTGATGCCAAACTGTCTCATGTCCAACTGACCATTTATTTATTTGCTTACTTTTCTTTAATTCTGGTACAGCCTAGAAATTTTAGCCATAGCTTCCAAGTGTAGCCTGTTAATTATAGTTGATTAAAGGTTCTATGCTGATTTTGAATTTCAACACAAAAGCAGACTAACTTCCAAACAGTCCCTCTCAGGTCCAGTGGCTCCGCCCCTTCCGTCTTCCACCCTGGAGCCTCCCCAGGTCTGGTAAAGATTTGGTGGTGTCCAGACTCCTTTTTTCCTCTCCCAGTCTGGACCAGTCATTCTCCTACCTCAGTTCCCCAGTCTTACCATCTGTAAAGATAAATATATCCATCTTTCTTGAAAGAGTCTACCATAAAATTCTGTAAAAACATAAAACCTCATAAAATTTTAGGGAACATATCCAATGAAATTAAAATTTACAAAGTAAATCTATTTTGTAAATATTTATTGATCTTGTCAGAATTTTTAGGGGTTTTAGGGTGCTTGTGTATAAGGCTGAAATAAAACTTTTGAAAACATTTCTGGGACGTTGTTGAAAACAGACTAAACGGCCTGTTTAGTAACCCATAATGTAAGATGTTAGTAATCAGGCATTTATAGACTGAAGTCTGTTACCTCTGGCAGAAAATACCTAGGGAATGAGTATATGGCCCCTGCTTCTAAAGATTCTTTTGAATCAGAGGAAAACATATGCCCAGGAAAGGATATTAACACAGTTATAAAATAAAGTAGAACAAATGATAAGTGATATAATATAAGCAGTAAGGACAAATGAAGAAGTGACAGCATTTGGGAGTGATTAGGAAAGGTGTTCTCAAAAAGGATATCTTTAAATTTGTCCATTACTTCAACAACTTTAGTTTTATCTTTCTTGATTTTAATGTGAATGAAGGAAAAGAATATTTAACACTATTAGTTTTCTATCACTGATCAAACAAATTACCATAAACTCAATGGCTTAAAACAACCAATACTTAACCATCACTCTATTTTCGTATTTTTTGAATGTTTTCAGTTCTGTAGGTCAGAAGTCTGACATGGGTCTCACTGGACTAAATCCAGGGTACCGATTGGCAGGGCTGCAGTCCCTTCCAAAGGCTGAGGGGACATCCCATTTCCTTGCCTTTTCCTGCTTCTAGAGGCTGCCTACATTCCTTGGCCCATGGCCTCCTTCCTCCATCTTCAAAGCCAGCAATGGAAGGTTGGGTCCTTTTCTAGCACATTCTTTGAACCTGGCTTCCATCATCTCATCTTGTCTGACCTGTTCTGCCTCCTTCTTCAACTTTTCTGGACTCTTGTGATAACATTGGGCCCACCTGGATAAATAATCTAGAATCACCTCCCTATTTGAAAGTCAGCTGATTAGCAATCTTAATTCCATCTGCAGCCTGAATGCCCCTTTGCCGTGTAACCTAACATATTCACAGGTCCTGGGGATTGGGACGTGGATATCTTTAGGGGGCCATTATTCTGCTACCACAAATACCTGCTGTGTTGCCCTAGACTTCATGAAAAATACAACAAGTCGCTTATAACCTAGTTGGAGAGAACAAGAACATACAAAAAGTTAAAAGAAAATCAGATAACAGTTGAAAGCTATGGTGGTAGAGACGTTACAAGTTGTACTTAATTGTCAGATCATTTCCATGGAGTCTGATAGTTGCTATGAGAGTGAAGGAGGGCTAAAACACTCAGGCCCTCTTTCACCTCCACTGAACCTCAAAGAGTTCCTAGGTGGAAAAGACCATCAAAGGAAATAGAAAAGGCTGTGAGCAAAAGGTGTGTGAGCCTATTTGGGGGACAAAGGGGAGGCATGAAAGAAGAGATGGGAAAGCTAAACAAGGACAATATGTCACACTAAGGAGATGGGATTTCATCCTGTATGCAGCAGGGAAGCTCCTTTTGTACAAATAATAGATGGGGGGGTGGTGCAAGAAATTTTTAAAAATACAGAAAAGCTCAAAATTTTTAAAAATACACACAAAAAAAATCACCCTAAACCTATTATTCTGCTACCCAGAAATAAGCATTGTTAATATTTTGGTGGGCTTTTTCTATTTCTATTTAGGGAGAGCTTTCAACATTTCACCGTTCAGTATGATATCGATTGCAGATTTTTTTTATACTCTTTATCAGTGTAAGAAAACTCCCTCCTATTCTTAGTTTGTAGAATTTTTAAAACAGCTATTGCTGTTGTCCACAGGAAAGTCCCTTTGTGTCTGCACTATTTTAATCCCAAAATAAAGAAAAATCTGCTAATTCCACAGGTGGTTATATAGATGCTGGGGTTTCAGCACTTCCTGTTTGACCGGAAACTCTCAGTGAAGTAAAAAAAAAAAAAAATCAGAAATTGTGGAAGTTTATTTGTAGAGACTCTTGTTTTGCCGTTAGGACTGTGGGTCCCAGAATTCTTTGGAATGACAGCCCTAGTCAAAGTCTAGCCATTTCTCTCCCAATTATCCAAACAAAGGCTGGTTTAGGCACTGCCTGAAAGGACTTGATAGATGTAATCCAAGTCCCATATCCTTAAGTGCCTCAACCAAGAGGAAGTCCTGGGTGGGCCTGATTCAGTCATATGAGTAAAATATAAATTTTCCTTTGTAGGCTGGTTTTTACTAAAAATGATATTGCTGGATTATCCTTGGAATCCATCTCAGCAAAGTGTTAGAATAATCTCAAGTATAAAGGCAGGAGGGGCTGGGCACAGTGGCTCATGCTTGTAATCCCAGCACTTTGGGATGCCAAGGTGGGTGGATTGCATGAGGCCAGGAGCTCAAGACCAGCCTGGCCAACATGGCAAAACCCCGTCTTTACTAAAAAATACAAAAAAGTAGCCGGGCATGGTGGCACACACCTGTAGTCCCAGTTACTAGGGAGGCTAAGGTGGGAGGATTGCTTGAACCGGGGAGGCAGAGGTTGCAGTGAGCTGAGAGTGCACCACTGCACTCCAGCCTGGGCGACAGAGCAAGACTCTATTTCAAAAAAAAGGCAGGAGAAGTAGTTTATATAAGATATTTATAACTAGTTTAGTGGTCTAATAGCCTATGGATGAGAAGTGACTGGTACAGTGGGCCATCCTAGAAAGAGAAAATCATGTCTAGGTGGGCTCTATTTGATGGAGCCGTTGATCTGGGGCCAGGTTTACAGTCTCTTGTCACTATCTGGACTCTGTTCTAGGTATGCAGCTGGCTGTGCCCCTATTAGGATGAACCCCCTGTAGGTGCCCTTTCCTTCTGATATGCCAGGGATGCTCTGGGACTTCCTGTCATAGGTGATTCCTAATGCTCCTGACCCATGGCAGCCAAATAGGTTCCCCCTTGGAGGCTTCCATTCTGCCCTGTTACCTGCCCTTATTTTCAAATTTGGAATGTTTGTAGAAGTCTGTTAGTATCTCTCTCACTTATTTTGGGGGTATCATACTGTTTTCACAGCAAAAGAGCTTGCAGTCAGCTTTAGCTTCTTCCTTTAATACATGAGGGGTAACACCTGTGCTATTTGTTTTCTTTCCTAAATGCCTTCACAGAAGCAGTTTTGAACCAGAGAATATACACAATTAAGTAAAAGGAGTTGAGAGAAATCACATGGAGAGCAATAAAGAAAAGAAACTAACCATTGTTGACAGTGCACTGTGTTCTAGGCACTGTGTAGCTACCCCCTGCCCCCAGTACCTGCCTTTCTTTAGAGCACATATTATTTTTTAAATATTTATTTATCATCCTCCTGTCTCCATTAAAATACAAGTTCCACGAGGGCAGACAATTTAGTCTTTTGTGTTCTTTTCTATACCCAAACATCTAGAACAGTAGCACAATAAGTAGTTGTTGAATAAATGTCTTTTCTTAAAGAAAAAATGAAAAAAGGGGCCAGGCATGGTGGCTCATGCCTGTAATCCCAGCACTTTGGGAGGCTGAGGCGAGCAGATCACAAGGTCAGGGGTTTAAGACCAGCCTGACCAAAATGGTGAAACCCCATCTCTACTGAAAATACAAAAAGTAGTCAGGCATGGTGGTGCACGCCTGTAGTCCCAGCTGCTTGGGAGGCTAAGGCAGAAGAATCCCTTGAACTCAGGAGGCAGAGGTTGCAGTGAGCCAAGATCGTGCCACTGCACTCCAGCCTGGGCAACAGAGCGAGACTCCATCAAAAAAAAAAAAAGAAAGAAAAAGGAAAGACATGGGGTTAACTTTTTTAACCTTTAAAAAAGATCTATGGAAAAGATTGGATAGATGTCAGAGGTACTTGATTGTAATAGCTAATGCTTGTTTGTAAAGTGAGACGTAAGAAAGCTTAGATTTGGCTTAATTGATGGCAAGTTTAAGAGACTGAGGTTTACTTGAGACTGACATTAGTATAAATTTAAAATGACTTAAAGAGGAAGTCATGGGTATTTGAACTATTTATATTCATTTCAGATCCTTTCTTTTACATCATTTTGTAAAAACTCCTTCGAAAAAAATAGTTCAGTGCTTATAGCTGACTTTTAGCTTCTTTCTCAAAAAAGAAAAAAATAATAAAAGAGGAATGAGAAAGTCAGCTTAAGTACTACCTTCCCTTATCTTTTGACTGAGATATAAGAATTATTTGTGACATAAATACATTTTATTTAAAGAAAGTTGAAGATTGGATCTGGGTTATTTTTTGGACAAGTTAGAATATAGTACTTGATTTCTAATTGTTAACAACTAATGTTTTAAAAAACAAATGTTAGAGACTGAAAAGGAATCTAAACCTTTCCCTTTTTCTAATTGTAATCATATTTTCAAATGTATATGGGATTTTTTTCTTAGTCTTTCCACAAATTATAAACAGCAGCATTTACCCTGCATTGAGCTGAAATGAATAAACATTTTTTAAATGAAAATAATGACAGTGAAAACCAATTTAGAAAAGAAAGGAAAAAGATGCCCATAAATCACAGACACTTGGAAGAGCATGTAAGAAAAGCTAAGAACTACATTTTTCATATTTTACATTTTCTCTTTAAAATCGCTTTCCAAATTGTTGATGGTTTGGCAGCTCCAAGGATGACATCAACTCTTCCATTGTGCAGTATCTGCTTGCTTTTAGATAACTTGGTGGCACTTTATCAGGTTTTGGTGATTAAGCTGAATTAAAAACCAACTGGATTTGAGTTTAAATTCTCCTAACTGCTAAACCAAACACATTCCTGACCGTAGGCCTACTTTTGAATACTTCTGAAAACTTATTATTACCCATAGGCTGTTTTACTTCTAGAAACAAAAGTAAGCAAGTGAGAGAAAAATGCACTCCTTAGAGTTACTAACCACATCTGTCAAAATGCAGTATATTACCAGTGCAGCTGTTAAAATGCTTTTAAACCAGCCATCTTCTTTTCTGCCTATCTTAACCTGACTGAAAACCAAGAGGACAATAATCTTGGCATTGTTTTCCTACTTCAGAAAATCACAGATAGTTATGAGCTACTGTCTCTCTCAGCAGTTGGGGGCAGATTCTGATGATTAGTTAAGTCATGATGAAAAGATAATACCAGAAATTAGGCTATTAATGAGGAAGAAAACAGCAGGCTGTGAACAGGTCTGATAACTTTCCTGTATATCCTAGGAACTCACCTGGGAATACTAGGTGAAAACATTGGCATTCCACACATCTGGTCTATTACCCTACACTTAAAGCAGTGCCTTTCATACCTGAATGTGCACACGAATCACCTGATTCAGTCAGGCTGGGGTGGGGCCCAAATTCAGCATTTCTAACAGACTCCTGAGTGGTGCCAATACTGCTGGGTCTCTGACTACAATTTGAATATTGAGCCCCTAGTCTAGAGGACTTTCACCCAATTTGAAGCTCAATCTTTAGAATTTAAAATATTTGTATAAGTATTTAAGACTAAATATTTTTTCTAAGATATCTAATTAAAGACAGAGATGTAAGACCTTGAATTTCAGAACTGTTTTATAAATTGTATTAGTCTGTTTTGCGTTGCTGTAAAGGAATGTCTGAGACTGGGTAATTTAAAAGAGGTTTATTTCGCTCATGATTCTGCAGGCTGTACAAGCATGGCACCAGCATCTGCTCAGCTTATGATGAGGCCTCAGACAGAAGGCAAAGGGAGAGCAGGTATGCACATGGCAAGAGTGGCAGCAAGAGAGATGCCAGGCTCTTTTAAAGAACAGCTCTTTAAAACATGAACAGAACAAGACTCAAGGAGGGCATCAAGCCATTTATGAGAGATCTGCCCCTATGGCCCAAACACTCCCCACTGTGCCCCCCCTCCAACATTGGGGATCACATTTCAACATGAGATTTGGAGGAAACAGATATCCAAATTATATCATAAGTATTTATAATCTCTTCCCCCACATTTCTATTTAAGCTAGTTGTATAGCAATTTACATTATCTTTCAGATTATCCAAATGCCAAAATGTTTTCTGATCCTAAAGTAACATGATGCATTTGCTGAAAAAAAGTTTAAGATATATTCAAGCCAGCAAGACATGAAGATTTTAGAGCTCATCACAGAAGCTTGGTCTCTTTTCCTTTTGTTCCTGGTTTTCTCCTTATGTGAACATTCAGAAAGAAAACCCAAGCTTCTAAAAAATGGCAAGGAGCTCAGTATCTACCACCCTAGAAGAAGGTCCCTGGAAATCAAGAATCAGGTAGCAGATTTCTTCTCCTATGAACATTCTTGGGGAAACCTACTTAGGCTATGGGTTCTGACTTCTTTCAAGTACTTCCTCTGATCTTGCGGAAGTACTATGGATGGGTATAGGCAAACCCCAAAAAGTCCCCAGAAAGAGTTTTAGTAGAGAAACTAGGTGATTAGGAGTGCCACTACTTTGTGCAAAAGAGGAAAATTCCCCATGCTCATGCCTCTTAAATGGCTGAGAGATTTCTGTGGCCTGGTATTACACACCAGGCCAAAGTAGTCACTGGGACACCCATTGGTCAGTTACTGTGTCTCCAAGGGACACAGAGCATCTTGCCCAGTGTCATCATTATGTGAGCTTGGCCTGCCTCCTGGACTCAGTGAACCTGTTTTCTCACCTCCCAAAAATAAAAGCAAAAACACACCTACAATTTCAGAGCATGTGAAAAATGGATCTAATCATCACATTCATAGGGACAATGGTAGAATTTATTAATGTTCCTACAGTTTTCCTTTAAAGTGTTTTGAGATTAGAAACAAAACATTATATGCAATATTTGAGAGGAAAAACCACAAAATAATAAAATTTTGTATTCAGTATCTCAGTTGTGTAAAAATAATATAGACATTAAAACAGGATTAGAGGCCAGGCGTGTTGGCTCACGCCTGTAATCCCAGCACTTTGGGAGGCCGAGGCGGGCGGATCATGAGGTCAAGAGATCGAGACCATCCTGGCCAACATGGTGAAACCCTGCCTCTACTAAAAATACAAAAATTAGCTGGGCATGGTGGCACACATCTGTAGTCCCAGCTACTCAGGAGGCTGAGGCAGGAGAATGGCGTGAACCCGGAAGGCAGAGCTTGCAGTAAGCCGAGATCACGCCACTGCACTCCAGCCTGGGTGACAGAGCAAGACTCCGTCTCAAAAAACAAACAAACGAAGAAAAAAACAGGATTAGAAAGAGAATACCAAATTGTTATAATGGTCAGTTAGCTTTAGAGGGTGAGATTATGTATAATTTTTAGTATCGTTTTTATTCAATTCAGTGTACCTATTACTTTTGCAACTAAATTTTTGAAAAAGAACAAAGAAAAAAGGCAACAAAGCAACACTGATCAGGCTGAAGGTCTCCTGGGCCTAAACCTCCCAACCACCAAGAGTGTCAAAATCTCTGTTCAGGGACTTGGGTCTGTAGTTAATTGTTGGATGTTTTTATGTGGTATAAATCTGTGTACTGCCTTGATGACAGTAATAAACTAGAGTGTCTTGATAAAGACCAAAGTCATCAATTTTCCAAAATCTGTATTTGATTAATTCTCCAAAGGTCCAGGTCAATGTTATTCCTCAAACTTTATTATTTTAACATAGAAGCCCAAAGTTTCCAAGTCTGTCAGAAAATTCATTATCACTGTAAAACAGCAAAAGGTCACAAAATGTCTCTTTCTACAATAAAATAGCATATAAGAAAAAATCTCTTTTTCTCAACAATTCATTACCCCAACAGAAACCAAAAAACCTTTGACATTTCAGGTCTTTTTGCTTCAGGGGAAATAAATGTTCCATAGATCATGGAGAAAAATGACAAACAAATTAATGAAAAACAAATACACTCCTGCAGTATCCCCAGCCACGCCAGACCAAACAAGTCAGAGTCAGCTTTTATTCTTGGGTCTTTCCAACTCTGAAGAGTGACAGTTTCCATAATGGCATCAGCAGTTTAGTTAGAGAAAGCTGTACACACACCAAAGAAACACAAATTAAAGAAACATGTGGTAGAAAAACAGAAAGAGGAATTCTGTTATTTCATGCATATTTAATTCTAGTGGGAAAGTCATTGCTGGCAAAGTGTTATTGAAATCTTGAGCTAATAAGTAGAAGCATTCTAGAAGATATGCACCGCCTCCTCATAGTGCTTTATACAAAATTGTAACTTGACTGAATTTAGCAGTGCTCAATTTTCCCACATTCTAAAAATTCCTTCCTTGAATTCTGCCTCACTCTCACCACTAAACCTTGTCAGAAGTAGTTTGCATGTGCTTTCTCCATATCTTCAATTTCCATTCATTTACTAATTTTAACACCAAATACATTTCCATTTTCATTATTTGTTTAAACACAGCCATACAAATAAAACCAAAATTGGCCCAGTGCAGTGGCTCACGCCTGTAATCCCAGCACTTTGGGAGGCTGAGGTGGGTGGATCATCTGAGGTCAGGAGTTCGAGACCAACCTGGCTGACATGGTGAAACTCTGTCTCTACTAAAATTACAAAAAAATTAGCTGGGCGTGCTGGTGGATGCCTGTAATCCCAGCTACTCAGGAGGCTGAGGCAGGAGAATAGCTTGAACCCGGGAGGCAGAGGTTGCAGTGAGCTGAGATCACGCTATTGCACTCTAGCCTGGGTGACAAGAGCAAAACTCCGTCTCAGATAAATAAATAAATAAAACAAAACAAAGTTCACTATGACCCTTATTCCCTGTCCCCCTCCACAGAGGTGACCACTGCTAACAGTTTTGACTTTATAGACCACTTTAGATGTGCTTATGTATACAATATGGATTTATGGAGCAGTGGTGTGTACAATACTTTTTTTTTTTTACATAGATAATATCATATAAAATGTTGTGGGGTTTTTTTTTTGCCACATACTTTTTTCTGTCAATGATCTGTCTTGGAGATCTTTCCAGATCCGTAAGTATAAATCAGTGGTTTTCAACCAGGGGCTAGTGAGCCCCCCAGGGGAGATTTGGCAATTTTTGCAGGCATTTTTGGTGGTCACGACCTGAGTGGGGAATGCTATTGGCATCTAGTAGGTAGAAGTCAGGGATGTACTAAACATCCCACAATGCACAGAACAGCCCTATGACAAAGAGTTTTCCACCTGAAATGTCAATAATGCTGAGGCTGAGAAACCCTGATAAAGGTCTACTTTATTCTTTTAACTGCTGCATGGTATTCTGTAGTTTATTTAGCCAGTCATGTAGCAGTGTATATTTACATGATTTTTTTTTCTTTTTTGAGTTGGAGTCTTGCTCTGTTGCCCAGGCTGGAGTGCAGTGGTGCGATTTCGACTCACTGCAACCTCTACCTCCCGGGTTCAAGCGATTCTCCTGCCTCAGCCTCCCGAGTAGGTGGGACTATAGGCGTCCACCACCACACCCAGCTAATTTCTGTATTTTTAGTAGAGACTTTTAAAAACATGTTTATTTGTAGATATCAGTGAATGTTTCTTCCATTTACTTTTGACCCAACTGCAATCAACCTTGTTTCCTAAATATCCCTAAATCCATTGCTACTGCTTTAACAAAATACCACAGACTGGGTAATTTATAAATAATAAAACTTTATTTCTCACAGTTCTGGAGGCTGGGAAGTCTAAGACTGAGGTGCCGGCAGATTTGGTGTCTGGTGAGGGCTCCTTTCTGCTTCCAAGATGGTGCCCTGTGGCTGCATCTTCCAGAGGAGAGAAACATTGAGTCCTCACGTGGCAGAAGGGACAAAAGGGGAAAAGGGAAGAACTCTCTTCCTCAGGTTCTTGGATAAAGGCACTAATCCTATCCATGAGGGTGGAGCCCCCAGGGCCTAATCACTTCCCAATGGCCCCACCTCTTAATGCCATCACCTTGGGGGTTCCAACATATGGATTTTGGAGCAACAAACCATAGCAGCCCCCTGCAGGTGACCAGTGGGTTTTCTGAATCCCTTGGCTCCTTTTCAGCATGAGCTGACTTGGCCCTTCTGTGCCATTTGCCAGTGCTTGTCCTAAAGCACTTGGCCTCCCAGGCCCCTTGGCTCTGCCTTTTTCCTCTCTACCTCTGTGGCCCCCTTCAGTCTCTGTGGCTCTGCCATCTCCTGAGCTCTTGCTGTCACAGTGCTAGGCATTAGGGATATGAAGACGAACTGTGGAAGGTCCCAGCCCTGGAGACCCTCCAGTCTAGAAGACAAGCACATACACAAATCTCCCAAAGGGAAGCATCACCTAGTCAGGGCACATTTGAAGTGTGCTGAGTGATTGAATAAATAACTAAATATAGTAGATTTTAGAGGACAGTGGGAAATGTTTTTCCTTCATGATTCAGAATTTACTGCATATTTTATCTTCATGACACCTTTTCTCACAACATACGTTTTGAAAAAAAATAAGTCACGAAAAAGACTTTCCTCATATTTTCCCACCCACAGTCTTTTTGTCTGCCTTGAAACAGCAACTGCATTGTTTCACATACAGGGAATGCACTTGGTCTTTGCCAAGGCAGAGAACAGATCAAATTTGAGAAGCAGCCCTGCTTGCTGCTGGCTGAGGGATGGGAAGTGAGGTTGGCCCTCGGAGCTTCCTTCCCCTACCCTTTCTTTCAACCTCCTCATGATGGTAGGACCATCACCTCCCAGCAGCCCCTTCCTTACTCCTGTGGGGAGATTTCAGAAGCAGACTGAGTGGCAACTGCCGCCTGGCCCTTTTCTCCCTGGATCAAGGGATCTTAAGCACCTACCTGAAACCTAACAGCAAAGGAAATCTCAACTATAAATCTAACTCCATGCAGAAATTAAACTCCTTCAACGGGTATTCACTGCTCACTGTGCAGGCCCCAGGGAAGTGTAAAGATCAATGGGACATGGCCTCTGCCCCTAAGGAGCCAGAGAGGGCCAGGGCAAGGGTGGGAGGGGGCATCTATAAACAACTGCTTGCAATGCAAAACAGAATCAAGTTAGTCCTAAAAAGAGGATTGAGCAAGGTTGCTTAAGGAGAAAGGAAGGATTCATTATGATAGGAGATCAAGCAAGACACTTGAAAAGCATGTCCCTTCTGGTAGCGGGCGCCTGAAGTCCCAGCTACTCAAGAGGCTGAGGCAGGAGAATGGCATGGACCCAGGAGGCGGAGCTTGCAGTGAGCCGAGATTGAGATCACGCCACTGCACTCCAGCCTGGGCGACAGAGCGAGACTCTGTCTCAAAAAAAAAAAAAAAAAAAAAAAAAAAAAAAGAGCTTTATTTTATGGGTTCTTTCCATTTAAACCCAAGGAAAGTGGGGTTTCTGAAAGAAGAAATGAAATGCGAACCGTGCAAGATTCTAGATGGCCATTCTGCTGAGCACCATGTAGTTTGGGTAAAGCCCTGAACCTTACAAATGGGAGTTTTTATCTCAGATATGTATCTCAGATGCAGGACTTTTATCTCAGATATAACTAAGAGTATCCAAGATTGCAGCTGTCTCGGCCCTAGATGCTCAAGCCTGTGCAGCCTTAGTTGTATATCAGAGATCTACAGAGATCTTAGTTGTGTATCAGAGATCTACAGAGATCTTAGTTGTGTATCAGAGATCTACAGAGATCTTAGTTGTGTATCAGAGATCTACAGAGATCTTAGCTGTATATCAGAGATCCACAGAGATCTTAATTGTATATCAGAGATCTTTCTTTGGGGGGCGGCACAGGGGGACGGAGTCTTGCTCTGTCACCCAGGCTGGAGTGCAGTGGTGTGATCTTGGTTCACTGCAACCTCTGTCTCCTGGGTTCAAGTCATTCTCCTACCTCAGCCAGCTGAGTAGCTGGGACCACAGGTACGTGCTGCCATGCCCAGCTAATTTTTTTGTATTTTTAGTAGAGACGAGGATTTACCATGTTGGCCAGGCTGGTCTTGAACTCCTGACCTCAAGTGATCCACCTGCCTTGGCCTCCCAAAGTGTTGGGATTACAGATGTAAGCCACTGTGCCCAGCCCTTAGTTGTATATCAGAGACATTTTTTGTTTTGTTTTTTTGGGTTTTTTGAGGCAGAGTCTCGCTGTCACTCTGTTGCCCAGGCTGGAGTACAGTGGCGTACTCTCAGCTCGCTGCAACCCTTGCCTCCCAGGTTCAGGAGATTCTCCTGCCTCAGCCTCCTGAGTAGCTGGGAGTACAGGCATATGGCACCACACCCAGCTAATTCTTGTATTTTTAGTAGAGAGGTGGTTTCACCATATTGGTCAGGCTGGTCTCGGACTCCTGACCTTAGGTGATTCACCCCTCTTGGCCTCCCAAAGTGCTGGGAGTACAGGTGTGAGCCACCGCGCCCGGCCTATCAGAGATCTTAATTTGATTTATTTCTGTTCAAATCAGATCTGACTCTTAAAGGCACCCATTTATTGCCCCAGACCTGACTGTAGATATTCTGCAGGATCTACACATACTTTTATCTTTATTTATATTTCTATTTGCTTATGTTGAAGCCGAGTGGGTCCTGGGAACATAAAGGATATAGCTCAAGGATAGAGGCTTTTACCATAAATTGCCAAAGCTCACCTAGAGAAAGAACAGAGAGGAAGCTGTGAAGGATGTGTGGGTTTGGGGAGGGAAGCATAAACCAGAGAGAGTGAAGCAGTTGGATTATTGGTCAGTGAACAAGGACAACAGTGGTCACCATAGCTGTTGTTATTTTGTGCCTACTAATGATCATTCTTTATCTCTCCCAGTAGAGAACTGATTGAACTGAAGTCCGGAAGACAAGGAGGGTACTGCTACAGAAGGGCCCAGAGGGCTGCTGCATTTATTTCCTATCGCTGTATAGCAAATTACCACAAATTTAGCAGCTTAAAATAACACCTGTTTACTACCTCACAGTTCTGTAGGTCTGAAGGCTGGGCAGGCTCAACTGGGTTCTCTGCTTAGGGTCTCAGAGGGCTGAATTCAAGGTGTCAGTCAGGTTGGGCTCTTACCTGGAGGCTTTGCAGAAGAACCTTCTTCCAAGCTTGCTCAGGTTGTTGGCAGAATTCAGTTGCTGTGGTTGTAGGACTGAAGTCCCTGTTGTCTCCGCAAGGACTACCCTCAGCTTCTCAAGTTCTTGTCCCATTGACCCTTTCATGGTAAAGTCAGCAATGGAGAAGCTTCCTCTTGTTGAATCCCTCTCACAATTAGAATCTCTCAACTGTAACAAGAATCTCGCTTCTGTAACAAGCTGGAGAAAATTCCCTACTTTTAAAAGGCTCATGTGATTAGGTTAGGCCCATGCAGATGCTCTCTGATTAGTAACCTTAATGGCATCTGCAGAATTCCTTTTCCCACCAAACATAACATAATCTCAGGAGTAACACCAGGGGGTGAAGACCATGGAGCCCTTGGTTCCACCTGACCTTGGAATGACACCTGGAAATCCAGGGTTCAGGGACCAGAAATCTGTGACTGAGGGTGGGGCTGGGGAGTGACACACAGAAGGGAAATATTCTCCGGGAGCCAAACAGAGAAGGACTTTTGGAGGCAGAATTTGCTGACAGAGCTAATCAAGCCCCCTTAATCAGTAAGAGTCTTTGTTGAGCACCTTCTTTTCTAGGCCCTGTTAGGCACTAGAATAATGAAGGAGACAGTCCTTGCCCTTTAGGAATTCACAGTCTAGTGAGATTGTAAGAAATCTCCTGGACTAGAAATGCAGTCCTGATACAACCGTACCCTGAGAAATCTGTATATCTTCAGGAAAGTCATTTTGTGTGTTTTACAGACTGGCCTGAGTGCTCGCTGCTGTTGTAGCTACCACCAACTTTCTACTGAAGATGATAACCCAGGGCATAAGAAATGACTTCAGACCCAAGGTTCTGAAAGGGCCCCTCAAGGCCTCGGGTGGCTCCTGCAGAAGTGGCAGAAGAGGCGGGAACTAGGAACCTGGCATCATAGGAAAAGTGCCTTCTCCAAGAAAGAAGGGGCCCCAGGAGGCTGTCTTACTTAGATCAACCATAAACTACCACAGATGGGTCATTTCTTATATTATTTCAAAATATCTTTGAAGATGAGAATTCATTTGTGTCCTTCATAGACCAAAGTTCTTTGTGTTACCTTTTCCCAAAAGTAAATTCCTTTCCCTTTATTCATTCCTTGTGGAAATAAAATGCAAGCCCTTTATACTTGTCTTACAGTAATATGGCACATGTAGCTTACTTTTGAGCATCCCAGTGAATAATGTTTGGAACTTTTCTTATTACCTAATAGCATATAGAGAAGAGTGAAGTCAGCTAAAAACAGAAATTTTGAAAAGCCATCTTCAGGAAAATGTAGGCCCAGATGCTTTCCTCCACCTTTTTTGACAGGCTGCCACATACAGTTTCACAGGTTGCTAACTGCACAGGGGCACAGCCTGTCCTCCATTTGCCAAGTCACACTTTCTGGCACAGAGAGGGGTGTCTTGTTCTAATTTGTCTTTGTGGCCTGCTCTCTTCTGTTCTTGAAGCTGCAAGCCACAGTGAGATGAGTGAAAAGCAGTCAGTCTCATAGAAAAAAGCAGGGAAAAAGCAATAGAGACAAGAAGGAAAGCCAAGGAAAGGATTCTTGGGGAAGGTCAACAGGGAAGGGTGGAGAAGGGGAAAGGAGATGACCATTATGATCTTCTAATTAGGAGTTTAGGGGAGATCGTTTGCCTTATTCAGCAACCATGCGACTAGAAAATAAGCAATCTCTTTAAAATAATGCTTTACTACAGTCAACTTCAATAATCTTTTCGATAATTGGGTTGTGATTAAACTTACAGGCACAAGACTAAATAATCCCAACGCCTTTAACTTTGCACATTGTTTTTTGTTTGTTTGGTTGGTTTTGTTGTTTTAGTTTGGGGTTTTTTTTACTTTGTGTGCCCTTATATATTCAACAAATACTTCTTGGTACCCATTCTATTCATAGCACTCTCTTAGTCCTTGTATACAGGGGTCCTCAATCCTTGATGTGAATTAAAGTCACCTGGGCAGCATGCTGAAAATGCAGCTTCCTAGGCCCTCCCTTCATGCAGCTTCAGGATCTCTCAGCTATATTTTGATCAAACATCCAAGGAATTTCTGGTGATTCAAGGACCACACTTTGAGGAAGCTTGCTGTAGACATGGAAAGCATATAATCCATAGTTCTTTGTCCTGTAAGACCGTATAACTGAGTTAGGGAACAGGAGGTAGACATACATAAAGATAACGAACAACACCCAACAGTGGGTGCTACAGAAGCAAGTGAGTAACAGAGAAAATGATGAACCAGTGACATATTAGGTGGGAAGAGGAAGAATGTTCCTACATGGAATTCCCTGAAGACTTCAAAAAAAAGAGTGGGCCTTTAAAAGAGAGGAGAGACCATTTCAGTTGGGAAAAATATGTAAATAAAGGCGCAGTAGCTTTATGTGGTGAGAGACTTAGGGAAAGACTGACTCAACATCTCTTGGCTTCATGATGATCCTTTTTGACCCACAGGTTCTTTCTCCTTTCTTATTAGGTTGCTTTTAAGACTATTTCATAAGGGATCGCAGATGTGCATGTAAAAAGAGATTAATCACTATTGAAATGTATGTGCTGACTGATTTGTGTGTTACACTATTGAAAAACTGTATAGACTCCAAATGGCATCTGATTATTAAATTCAGATGCCAGAGTCTTTGATTAACAGCATGTCTTTTTGCTCTGTATATTTTCCTTCAGAAGTAGCAGGGCTTGCAGACATCTCAAGCTATGCCACAGAAGAGTCAAACAGAGGAAGTGGTCATGAAATTAAATGTGAAGACAGTCTATTAACTTTTGCAATACAGAACCTTTGTTTACTCATAAAATCCATATTTGGAGCTCATTCTTTCCAAATGGATTATTATCTAAGTGTTTTTATTGGAGACTGTTTGGTACTTGTGTTTTATAGTTCTTTTTCTTTCACTCAAACAATTTTGTATATTAGAAAACAATTTCAGCAAATATTTTATGTTTAAAAAATCAGAAGAAAATGAAGATGACCCTCTCTTTTGCCAGTACTCATAATAAATACAAAATGAGAAGAGATTTTTATAGTACTGCATGACTCTATTATCTGGAGTACAAATCACTGCTTTTTTTTTTGTTTTGTGAGACAGGGTCTCCCTCTGTCCTCCAGGATGAGCACAAAGGCATCCTCTCGGCTCACTGCAGCCTTGAGCTCCCTGGCTCAAGTGATCCTCCCACCTCAGCCTCCTGAATAGCTGGGACCACAGGCATGTGCTACCATGCCCAACTAATTTTTTATTTTTTGTAGAGATGGGGACTCACTTTGCTGCCCAGGCTGGTCTTGAATTCCTGGACTCAAGTAATCCTCCTACCTCAGCCTCACAAAGTGTTGGGATTACAGGTGTGAGTCACTGTGCCTGGCCTTGCATTTTTTAAAAGTGATAAGTAAATGCTATATGACTTCAGGTAGAGATTATATCTCATGTTTAATTTGTATAACTGCATAAGTAGAAAAACTGTTCATGAAAATATATTGGCTGGGCGTGGTGGATCACACCTGTAAACTCAGCACTTTGGGAGGCTGAGGTGGGTGGATCTCCTGAGGTCAGGAGTTCAAGACTAGCCTGGCCAACATGGAGAAACCCCATCTCTACTAAAAATACAAAAATTAGCCGGTGTGGTGGCACATGCCTGTAATCCCAGCTACCTGGGAGGCTGAGGCAGGAGAATCACTTGAACCCGGGAGGCAGAGGTTGCAGTGAGCCGAGATTGCACCACTGCACTCCAGCCTGGGTGACAGAGCAAGAGAAAAAAAAAAGAAAGGAAGGAAGGAAGAAATTTACTTATTCCATCTCTGTACACATAATTTGTAAACTTTTTTATCATCAATTATTATTATAAATTTTTTGAGACAGGGTCTCACTGTGTTGCCCAGGCTGGAGCGTAGTGGTGTGAGCACGGCTCACTGCAGCCTCGATCACCTGGGCTCCAGCAATCCTCCCATATCAGCCTCCTGAGTAACTGAGACTATAGGCACATGCCACCATGCCCGGTTAATTTTTGTATTTTGTAGAGACAGGGTTTCGCCATGTTACCCAGGCTGGTCTTGAACTCCTGAGCTCAAGCAATCCACCTGCCTCAGCCTCCCAAAGTGCTGGGATTACAGGCATGAGCCACCACATCAGCCCATCAATTATTATTAAACTCATGTGTACCAGTACAATTTCAAGCCCTCTAAGCTGCATTTAATGCTAAATTGTGATATCATGTGTGTGTGTGTGTGTGTGTGTGTGTGTGTGTGTGTGTTTGAACAGAATGTTCATATGACTTCATTTCTATAATAATGTGATAATACAAATATTTGGGGTCATTTTAATCGTATTAGCATTTATCTTTACCAAATTGATTTGATTGTTGTGTAGCCACTTCTCATCTGTTACATATACACGTTTTACATATCATTCAAACTTGAAATTTCCTTAAACAACTTTCCCAGCCTGGTTTCGGATGATTGCTTGTTGAGACTTTGTCCATGCTCTGTCCTCCCCTCCCCACTGTAAATACTCTTCTTTTGGGCTAGGGGGCTGTGCCCTCCAGGGTATTGTTTTCCTTCCTGTTCAGTGCCCATGCTCTTGCCTGTGTTTCTCCTGTACCTTTCCCAGGACCTAGCAGACAGCCGAGCACCTGCCCACTGCTCTGTAAATACTGACCTGCATCTCAAGTGGGGTAGCCTTTGTGTACTTTCCCATTTCCAAGTTGATTTGCCTGTGAATCCCATATGTGAACACATATGCAGATGTCCCTGATGTGCTCTTTCCTGCTTGGAGGCACATGCAAGGATGTGGCACTTTTTCTAATTGCTTGAACAGTCAAGTGGATCTCTCTTAGGCAGCACTTGGCCAAAAATTCTGAATATTTAATCACTGGTACAGGATTAGTTCAGTTGGCCAAAAAGAAAAAAAAAATGTATGGATGAAATGTGAATACACTGTTAACTTTTTCATCTGCCTTTATAATTAGTGTTTTTTCAATATTAAGTTTCTGCTTTTTATACTGAGTTTTTAGGGAAAAAATATGGGAAGGATTCCATATTCATTGCTTCACACGATCTATAGTTCCTGAGATAACTATATAATTATGAATGTTGATACACCCATAAGAGACTTTGCTTTTTCCTCTCACACATCTGTTTTGCTTTAGGCAAGAGAACTTTCTCATGCCAGAATGGCTGCAGTGGATGTAGGCAATCTGCTTTATGTTGAGCCGCTACAATTCACAGATGCAAATGTTTAAAAGGTTAACATGGTTATTTCTTCATCTGAAACAAACGTCCCTAGTCACTACTTTTGTCCTTTAAAAAAAATTGTATTCTTTTATAAATCCATTGTGTGTAATCCTTATACCCTTGTCTCATAATCCTCATATCAGAGCTGAATTAACTCTTTTGTGGCCTCCTGTGATGAATTTCAGTTGTCCTACTAGTTTCTCTTGCTGGTGTGATTGTGTCCTCTTGATGGAATTTAGGTTCTTAGGGAGAGAATGAGGGAAGCAGCTTCTCTACCCAGAACAGAATCCCACTAACCGAAAGAATGCTGCCCTGCAAAAAAGTTTCTAGTGTATCCATGTGTGATCTCAATTATTTAATCAACAAACATTCCAGAGCATCCATTGTTTCACTGTACTAGGAAATGGGGGCAAGACCAGGATAGTATACGGAGGCTAACCTCAGCAACTGCAGTCCAGTTGGAAAGATGAAACCTAACATGATGATAGGATGGCAGCGGGTTGTGAGTGTCAAACGCATGCTTCTGTACTGCGCTCCTGCTGCCTCCAAAAGCAGGGGGAGCCTTCAGTTCATCACACCTACAGCTCTGGACATTTTTTCATGTTGTTAAATTAATCTAACATTGTAGGATCTGAATTTTCTATAGAAACTTTACCTAACTTTTCTTGTATTGCTAATTTGTTGTATTGAGTAAGCCTTCTGTGTAGAAAACAGTTTAACTATGTTAACAACACTATGTCAAAGATTCAAAGCCTTTGAGAGCTTAGGAGAAATCCAACCCCAGTCATTTTCTGACACAACTGAACACAGTACTCTGTGGTTGAAAGTTCCTGAAACTCCCAAAGCACAGGAAGGCTGACTACAGATCCTAAAGATGTTTAACTCACATAGTCCTTGGTGGCACTTACTGTTTGCAGCTGGAGGGCCTTGTATTTTCTTAAAATGCATCCTAAATAAAAACTCAAAAGCCATTCAATGCTAATTCAAGTTTCATGGTTAAAGGCGCAGCTTTGCTGGCATCTAGAATTAGAACCGTGTGGTGTGTCCCCCAGAAAACGAGCTCTCATGGCAAAAACAGACAAACTCTACCCCCTGCCAAACTAACTGTCAGCAGAAATCTGGTCTGCTTTCTGAAATGGGATGTAGGTTTCCAAATTCTCTAGACAATCTCTTTCCAAAGCAAAGGAGAAACAAATAACTCACAGGCACCAACTGCATTTTCTGTTCAAAGCAAGAAGGGTTTTCACTGTGCTGTTTTTACCTGTCATTTCACAACTCAGTTCTCTCTGGAGCACTTGTACCAAGGGTACAAGAAAGTCATGAGATCAGAGAGCTGGTTTTGGACATGCACTTAATCACTCCCATCCTTATTTCCCCTGCTTCCCTGATGCCCCTGAATAGCAGGCTCTGTCCCCGAAAGAGAAATGAGAGTTAAAGAAATGACCACTTAACCTTTTCCTTTGGTAGGGAGGTTCTAGGAGGCCAGTGAAGCTTGCGGGGGTCGGGAAATTTGAGAAGTGAATGGAGATTAGGAGAACAGAGTTTGCTCCAGATGAGCTTTGGAGCTGTGCCTTTTCTTCTGGAACTCACTACCGGATCAAGGGGTCTAGTGGGGTGCCCACCACACTGGCCACCAGACCAGGCTTGATGGAAAGGGCCCAGAGATGGGTCCTGCTTGTGCAGTCTACAACTGCCAGCATCAGCTGCCCCCTATTCCTCTCTGTGGCCCATGGTCAGCCAGAATCAGAGGGCCAAAGCAATGGGCCTGTAGCTTGAGAAGCATGTCAGCAGGCTGGGGTTCAAGGCCAGGCCTACAGGCCCGCAGTGGAGAGGGCAAGGCTGGCTCCAGGTCCGATGGGCAGGTTGCCAGGACGTGATTTTCAGAGCAGGAAAGTGGAGTGAAGCGTGACTGGCAGTGAGTGTGAGCAGACAGCTGCAGAGTCGTCTCTGCCTAGTGTTAGGCCTGGCCGCAGGCTCTGGCGGCCCTCAGCCTGACCGTAGGATGGGTCTCCCAGCTTCAGCTGAAGGCAAGAAGTGCCGCTGACTTGGGGAGCTGAGCCAGACCTGGCTCCTGCCCTCCTCCCTGAACGTGCTCCAGGATCATCTGTCTGCCTGTTGTTCCTCACTCTTTTTAGCTCTCCACGGGGCTGGCCTTTGTTGTAGACAGAGAAGAGAGGCACTGTGTTATGTGCCGAAAGCTCTGTCACAAGACACCTACACCACCAATGTGCTGCCGTGCTTTTCCTCATGCTGTTCCCGTTGCCCAAGTGACCTTTCCTGCCTTTCTGTGCCTGGTAAAATCTGGCTTGTTCTTTGAGATCCAGTTCAAATGTAAGCTTCCTTGGCAAGTCCTTCCCAGCCGCTCTGACCACCACCTTTCCTGGCAGGATTGCATACTGATTGCAACCCCCTCGGTGCCCGCTCAGCGTGTTCTATGCACCTGTAGCTCTAGCCCATTATGATAGAGTTATTTATTCACATTCTTTGTTAGATGCTGAATCTGTCCAAGACAGGGACCTGGACATCTGTCCATTCATCTCTGTATCCCTCCCAGCACAGTGGCTGAAACACAGTTTGTCATTTATACATGTCTGTTTTGCAAATCCGTTATCTGAGATGAAAGCCTGTAGATTTCATTAACATCTTAGCTCTGACTAGTTGAGAAATCAAAAGTAGGGCACATGGCACAGCTAACACATATTGGCGTCTTGCTGTGTGCTGCCCTAGACACCCCGTGTCCAGCAAAAAGTCACACATCGTTGACCCGAGCAGAGGGAGCCCAGGGGGCCATCCTGTGTCCCTCCAGCATCACTGCAAACAGGGTGGGGGCACCAGTGGAGGCAGGAGCGCTGACCTGTCTTGAAGGCTGAGAGTAAGATGGGTCCCTTGTGGCCTTCAAAAGTATTTGGACTTCTGAAGCTGCCTGTGGCTCCGGAAATTAGGGAAATGCTTTAGTGGGAGTGCTTCTGTGTGCGGGGAGGTGTAAGTGCAACATGAACTGAATCTCACTCCACCCAGTACAGGATGTGCCCGGAGAGCATGCTGAGCTACCCTGTGCCAGCTACGTGCTCTAGAACAGCATCCTCCCAGCCACCCAGGAGGTCATGCAGGCCTCGTCATCAGAAAAGTGGCTTAAAAACCATGTGGAGTCAGACCATTTGAACACTAACTAGAAATGGGAGGCTATTAGGGAATTATTGTGAATGTTCTAGGAAACATTGCTCATCTTTGCACATTAAATTCCTACTAATATAATAGTATCATGATTATGAGGGGTTTATTTTTTTAAGGATCCTTGTCTTTTAGGGATATATGCCAAAATATTTACCGATGAAATATGATGGTTGGAATTTGCTTGGAAATAATATGGGGAGGAGGGGGTGGGAGGTAAAGATAAAGAAAATTGGCCACAAGTTGATGATTGTTGGGTACATGGTGTTTATTATGATGCTCAGTCTACTTCTGTGCATGTTTGACATTTTTCATGGCAAGGTGTTTTTTTTTTTTTTTTTTTTTTTTTTGAGACGGAGTCTCGCTCTGTCGCCCAGGCTGGAGTGCAGTGGCGGGATCTCGGCTCACTGCAAGCTCCGCCTCCCGGGTTCACGCCATTCTCCTGCCTCAGCCTCCCAAGTAGCTGGGACTACAGGCGCCCGCCACTACGCCCGGCTAATTTTTTGTATTTTTAGTAGAGACGGGGTTTCACCGTTTTAGCCGGGATGGTCTCGATCTCCTGACCTCGTGATCCGCCCGCCTCGGCCTCCCAAAGTGCTGGGATTACAGGCGTGAGCCACCGCGCCCGGCCTATGTTTTTTAAGTATTTGAGAGATTAAGGGGAAACAGTATTTTGTTCTCATCCCCTCGTTTCTTGGATTTGCTTTATTGTCCCTTTTCCTCACCCCTGGTTACCTCTGAGGATCTCCTAGTTAGAGAAGAGGGTCCAAATTGTTGTTCTATCTACCCTTTTGGTACCTTCTTAAAAGGCCTTCCCTTAAGGTTCCCCAAATATGTTTAAAAGTCTTTGGAAATTAGGTGCATTTCCTCCCATTGGCTCAGGAAGGGGTGGGGAGCAGCATATGGTACTGGAAACCAGGCTCCCTTGAAGTGCTCCTTGCCCGGGCTTAGGCTCTGTTGAGGTGAATCACTTGCCTCCCTCCAATGAGGAGTATGCTTTCCTGAGGTTGTAGAAGAGAAATGTGCCATTTTCACTGTGCCTGTACCCAAGGGAGCCAGAATGGGAGCATTTTAAAAGAAAGACACTTTCATATGACTAAATCAACCTGGAAGCCAACTGATGAAGATGTGCTATCTGATAGAGCTTGGGGACCACCAACCAACTGGGAACATAAAATGTGGAGGGCAGGCTTGGCCCTGGATTATTGACTCTCTCAAATGTTTCTATTATGTCTCACTCTTAAGGAGGGAGACTAGAAGCTCTTAAGTCCAGTAGCTTAACATTTTTCAGAGTGGATTTTTTTCTTGGCCTTATTTCTACCACCCTCGTGTTCCCAAAACACCCCTTCCATCACCACACCCCAACACGGAATGCTCTGCACTCACTGTATTGTCCTCAGCCATTTCCCACCTTCATGGCCCAGCTTTCTGCCAGTGCAGACCACAGATATGGTTGCAGGAAAGTGGAGAAAGAGTAGCTAATCGGAGGTGACAGGGAGCGGAAGAGTAAGCATGGCGAGAGCATGCCAGCTGGTGGAGTCTTAAATGGAACTGTAGAGTTCTTGGGGATGTCTGCCCATTTGAGGTAACCGTCTTGTCTAGCTTCCTGTCCACATGGCACATTCCGGTGGTGTGACTTGAAGGAAGCTACCAAAACCATATTTATCACATTCCAGAGGCCAGAGGGCCTATGAGTAATCGTGAGTATGGAGACGATGAAGTTGGAATCCAGGAGAAGCTGATGGTGGAGCATAATGAGGCAAATCTAATAGGCCAGAATGTCATCAGGTCAATGTAGAGTGCTGTGCGTGGGCCACCTGCAAAGCGCAGGGTGAGGAGGAGTGACTGACAAGGAACTTAATAGGAGGCAACAGTGTGATGTGGCTGCACAGACCTACAAATGCTTTAAAATCCAGTTGCATGGATACAGGAGGCTGAAAGCATCAATCCTGTAATATATCCAGATGAGAAGTGCCAGTCCAGGAATCACATTTTGTTCCCTGTAAGTTTCTGAAGGGGGCCATCTCAGTAAATGATGGTTGTTCATATGAAAGATATTATTATTTCTCTGATGGTATCTGATACTGCATGTTGCATGCAGAAGAAGATCTCTAAAGATCTTTACATATTAACAGCCTATGACATCCTTCAGGTATACAGTTGTTACACATGCCAGGGGACACTGTGACTTTGTTATTGTTTTGTATTTTCTCTGCATTTGGGTTAATTTTGTTTGATTATTGTCATCCCTTTAGTTCCTAACTTACACACTAGGGTGTTAGAGAGGAAGGTAATCCAGAACAGATTTTATAATAATAACAATAAAGGCCACCCTATTTTCTCTCTATTGTATTGCTCAGTACTCATAGCGCATTAGTGCATTTAACGCTCACAGAAACCCAATGAAGGTAGGTGGTAGTATTAGTCTCATTTTACAGAAAAGTAAAATATTAGAAAGTTAAGCAATTTGCCCCCAAGGCCGCACAGCTAGAAAGCAACAAGGCAGGGACTCTGGGAGCCCAAGCTCACAGTGCCTCTCCCTGGTGTTGCTTTTTCCACAGCAGTGAATAACTGCTCCCCTGAAGTGCTCCTTGCCTGGGGTTCGGCACCGCGACCAGTTCCACAGGCATCGTGTCTAAGTGTGACTGTGCCCCGGAACCCACAGAGCCACCCGGCTGCTCAGTCGATGATAATCAAAAATTTTAAATTTGCTTCCATTGGACATTCCTGCTCATCCAGCCACTTTTCTTATCAGAAGACAAAGGCATGCTGACCATATGTTTATTATCATTCCTCCTCTTTCCTGCTTGTTTTTCTAGTCAAGGTCAGAGAGGACCAGAAACACCCAGTGCTGAGAAGAGTGAGCCTTGCTTTCTCAGAAATGGTTCCTACCTCTGTGGAAAGCAGTGAAAGAGCCTCCAGTAGCCTCTTCCTGGAGTGGTGGAGGGTGGATAGAAGGAAAAACAATTAGAAGTAACAATAACGAATAGAAACAGAAAGACGTCTTTCTTCCTAACAACCTCATTTTGTTTTCCTTCTAATCTTATTAAATTTTCACATACTTGGTATAAAATCACAACAGTTTAGGTTCTGATAATGTCTTATAGCTGCCTGTGTGCCTCGTTGGCTGACTTATGCTCTGATATGTCCCTAATATGGCAGATTCTCCATACAGATAAGTGGAAAGTAACTCCTCCTACAGGTAAACTTGATGGGACTGTAGGATTAAGCCTTTTGCTTGTTATGCGACTCAGCAATTATTAGGAAAAGGCTGGGTGTTTTCAGCAGCCCCTGGGAAATGTGATTTATGACATGACAACGTTGGTTGGTCGGGGTCTCTGTTTCACTCTCCAGTGTGCACTCATTTGAGTAAGTCTGTGAGGAACTTCCCACTTGTAAGAAACAGTATCTTGCGTGTTGCTATCACTAAACCCTGGAGGCCGGATGCTGTGTCCCTGCTAATGGTCTCTGGTTGGCAAATATACATGTGACTCTTTCTGAGCAAAGTGCTATGTGTAATATGAAAGGAGCTTGAATGGGTAGTCCCTGCCCTCAAGTGGCCTTGATTTTACAGGAGACTTGCCATGGACCTGGAAGATGCATGGAGCACGGGGCAGCATTTGCCCATTCCCTCAGCGTGCACAGGTATAATGGCCACTGTCCGGGAGCTGGGAGGTCAGAGGCCAATGACTGCAGCCAACCATACTGGGGACAGAAAGGCCAGTCCCTACCAGGCTATCCACATTGGTTAAAATAGGAACCACCCATTTTTGTCTCCTCTCCAGGCTTTGAAAGCATTTGGGTAATTACAGCTTGCCTTTCTGCCTTTGGTTGTTAGTTTTAGTGTCTTAATTATCTGCCATGTCAAAAGATTTCTCCTGATCCCTCTGAGCTCTCTCCCTTTTGCTCCTAGTGGTGTTTTCACCCTGCTTGATAAGTTAGAATTGTACAGTGGTTTCCATTTCTTCTGTCATATAAACAGTAGGCAGTTCTCAACCTTCCCATCCTCTCTAACTTACTCTCTACTTTTTTTCCTTAAGAGAGGCTTATGTGATGACATTGACCAAGTAAGTCCTCTAACCTCAGTGATAGGGTGGTTCGGATGGGGTGGCAAGGAAAGGAAAAGGGAATTGAATCAGTTTTGATTTTTTAAAAATCATGCTGAGCTGAAGTGAAACACTTTTTTTTTTCCACAAAAACTGAGTCTGAAGGGATCTTTTTTTTTTTTTCATTCCACATTTTGGTTACATCTGCAGTGAGCAGTTGCAAATCCTGAGAGACTTCTCTTCCCTGGCATTTGTTTCATTTTGCAAGAGTCTCACTGTGCCTGTGTCTTATGTGAGCTCCTTGAAATGAAAGAACGTTAATGGCTGAAGACTGTTAGAGCCATTTGGGTGCCTGCTTATACCTTTCACTCAGCAGGACTGCCAGGGGCCCTGTCTGGCTCTGCCAGGTGCCCTCGGGTGGGAGAATAAGGGCACTGAAACAACAAATAGGCCCTTGACCAGACCTCCAGCTCCTTGCCTGCAGGGAATAGCACTGGAGTACAACGTCTAGTACAAAGTAGGTGTTCAATAAATAACCATCAAATGGGATAAAACCAGTTCCTAGCCCAGCACAGGTGCAGGGTAGATGCTCAGTAAATATTTGTTGAAGAAACGAATACATTACTATATCCCATGGGGGAAGACCTCTGGTCTTCATAGCACTTGCATCATTTGTAGCTCTGCAAGGGCTCTGGGCTGGATCGACTAGGAAAGCAGCCTGAGCAGGGAAGCAGATGGCTGATCAAGCCCTCCAGCCGAGGAGACCAGCACTGTTTCTGTGGGAACTTGGATGCCACTGACCTCACTCATGGAAGCTTGCAAGAGTGGTGCAGGCCCCAGTGGACCAAGGCCAGGGCTCTGTCTGCTCCCTTTGGCAGTCGGAAAGCAGCACACACTTAGCTTTGCCAGGACCCAGCTTCAGCGGCCTTCATAGCCCAGTAATTACCTCGTGATCAAGGGAGGGAGGGATGTGTGTAGAAATCACTTTTTAGTAGCACATATTTCTCTTGGAAAAGCCCCAGTAAGCTGCCGACTTTCTCTCAAGTGTTCAAAGGATACCAGGGAACTGACGGGCTAATTTAATTGTATTAATACAAGAGGCGGCCGTCCCTAGTGCAGAGGGGAGTGCGTTAGGGAGAATTGTCTGTCGGGAGGCTGGAGTTCCAGCTTCAACATGGAAGTGAAAACACTCTCCAGGAAAGCAGACGAGTCCCACTGGGGAGGAAACTGACTCTCTCCATGGCCCACAGGGCCTGCTCTTCATCTGTCTGAAGAAGCCTCTTTATTGCATTCAGATAAGTGTTTCACTTGAAGGAGAGCAAACACAACCAAATAATGACCTAGATGTCCCTTCCTCATGTTTTCAAACAGTCCCCCTTCTCTTTAATCCCTGCAGGAGAAAATGTCCTGGAGTTGAGATCTTAGGAGACATTGGTTCATTTAAGTCCATTATGAGACCTTCACAAGGCACCCCTTAAATCTGGCAGTAGGACCACAGTTTTATCCTGGCCACAAATTTAAAGACTTTGATCCTATTCCCTCTCAGGTATCAATGCAAACAGAACAATTCTAACATTTTTAGTATGGCCACCCCAACGTGGACACCAATTAGCTAAGCCAGGGAACTTTACTTCTATTTCCTCATCTATGCAAAGGGGAGAACAGGTTAGATGATGTCTAAGGCCCCTCAAGAACTTGAGTGCTCTTCATTCTGTAATCATTATCTCTCTAATTAGTTTCTCTTCTCTAAACTTTATTCTCCTCCACGGCCTCTGTTTAGGGGTGGAAGGTAGATGCTGTACCCTAGTGTGTGTTTCCCGGGGCTGTTTCTCAGCCTGCTGCTCTGTTCTCTCCACTCTCTATCTGTCCCTATTGCGATCATTCTCAAATCTAACTGTGACTGCAGCACTCCAGTTCATTCATTTATTCCATAATATTTCTCAAACACCCACACGGTGCTAGGTGCTGAATGAACAGTACACTGGTGAACAAGAGTCATGATCCCTGCTTTTTTTGGATCATATACTTTTCTAGGGAGACATGTATTAAATATATTTAATTTAATTTAACAAATATAATTTAAATAATATTAAATATATTAAATGAATATATAATGATAAATTGTAAGACGTGTTATGGAAGATGAACAGGGGTTGCCCTGATTTAATTTGGGAGGTCAAAAAATATCTGCTCTGAGGAAGTGTTATTTGATCTGAGACCTGGAAAAGGAGTTATCAGGCAAGGAGTTGTAGAAAGTGCTCCAGGTAGAGGAAAGAGCTAACACAAAGACCTTTGCAGCAGGGAAGGGCTAGACTGGATGAACAGAGCTTCGTGTGCCCAAAGAACTGAAGGAAACCAGTGTGGTTGGAACATACACAGTGAGAGCAGTGGGGTGAGATGAGACTGGGAGAATGACAGATTAGTTAAGATAACGCTGGCTGCTGGAACAAACCAAAACTGACATTCGAACAGTATAGACATTTATTTCTCATTTGCAGAAGTGCAAACTAGATATTCCTGAGCAGTTAGATATCCCTGTTCAAAGCAGTGTCTTGGAGACCACAGCTCCTTTCATTTTGCAGCTCTGCCATTTTTAATGACCTGCCAAGGCCAGCGTGCTTCTCTGCATGGAAGGCTGTGCATGAGAGGGTTTTCTGGGCCCAGGCCTGCCTGGAAGTGGTGCTCCCAACCGCACTCACATTCCGCCAGCACACACCCAACTGCAAGGGAGGCCGAGAAATGTGGTCAGAGTGTGATCCCAAGAAGGAGACAGGGCAGATGACGCAGACACTGTGGGCCATGTTGCAGTTTCAGTTTTATTCCTAGCGTGCTGAGGAGTGTGAGTGAGAGTGCACCTGTGGCAAATCCATCAGCACTTCTAAACCTACACGTTCAATTGCTAATGTCATGCAATTCATCTTCCTCCAAAAGCAACATCTCTCACGTGTTCTTCCAGTGATGCCATTCCAGACCTAGCAGTCCTTTTTCCTGCTCTATTCATCGTCTAGACTTACTTGACCAATCCAACCCTGGACTGGTTCAGTACTTCCCCGACTAGGCTCTTCAATTGGTTTCTTTCTGCTCTGATACAGAATGCTAAGGTACGTATTTACAATGTAGACTATCCCCTTCCAGTGACAGAGTTATTCCTGGCTGTTGTATAGAGCAACTTTTTTGTACTATCAGGTCATCCTAGAAACTTAATTAGTAATCAGAGTATAATGAACATGGAGATGTGTCTTTCTAAAACAGGCCTTTCATCCCTGCTAAAAAAAAATTTTACTTGCTTCCAAGTACCTACTGAATAAAGTTCTAACTTCTATATGTTGGAGGTACTAACGCAACCCATCTTTTCCTAACAATTCTTACTTTGTCCTCCTCAAGCCAGCCAGGGTGCTCAACTATCCAGAGTCCAAACAAACTTGGTGAATTCTCACCTTGTACTCTTCCACACTCTGCCTGGGATGTCCTGTTCCTGCTCATCCTCCTCTCTGAATCCTACTGATGTTTTAGTGCAAGCCTTCATCCCCTAAGTCTCACCTTCTCTGGGAAGTCTCCCCTCCAACCAACCAGAAATAGACTTTCCATCTCTGGAGTTCTGTAGTGCTTACTCTTCAAAGTAATTAATGCTTAAATTAACTTGTGTCTTACCACTCCTTTGGCATTTATCATGTATTGCCTTTTATTGACATTTATTCTCCCAATTCATTCTAAGCTTCTTAAGTAGAGATACTTTTCCTGGTATCTAAAACAGTACCTTGCACACCCTCCAAAAAATTATTAATTAATTTAATGTTTTTCTGTAATTCCTGTGACACCTTATACAGTTTCTTAAACATGGCAGATGCTCAAAAAATTCTTGTTGATTTGTTATTATTGTTATTTTAATGTATAACCCCCTGTAAAATGCAAAGTCTTGGTCAGTTAAGGGGGAGTGCTTTTTCTGGGAATTCCAGCCCCAAACGGAGGTCTGGGTAAAATGCATGGTGGAGAGGGGAGTCTGTGAGTGCTCCTCCAGCCTCTGTGCACAGCTTCCTACTTTGCTGCTGCTGCTGCTGCTTTTTTTTTTTTTTTTAATTGAGATGGAGTCTTGCTCTGTCACCCGGGCTGGAGTGCAGTGGTGTGATCTTGGTTTACTGCAACCTCTGCCTCCTGGGTTCAAGCAATCTTCTCACCTCAGCCTCCTGAGTAGCTGGGACTACAGGTGCACACCACCACGCCCAGCTAATTTTTGTATTTTTAGTAGAAATGGGGTTTTACCATGTTGGCCAGGCTAGTCTTGAACTCCTGACCTCAAGTGATTTGCCTGCCTCGGCCTCCCAAAGTGCCGGGATTACAGACGTGAGCCACCGCGACTGGCCGCTACTTTGCTTCTCTTGCTCATTCAGAAAGCCAACTCTGGGTTTGTCACAGATTGTTTGCTTACAAATATTCCCACTTTTTCATTCACAATCCTTCTTTCCCCAAGAAAGAGGTTGGTCGCAAGGTGTAGGGGTGTTGCCCTGGGGCTCTGTCTTTCCAATTTTCCCTTCTATCCAGATTTTTCATCTGCCAAACCCTATGAGAGCCAGGAGAGGGCATCAGATCAACCAGCCAAAGCTTCAAAATCTGCCTTGACTCTGTGGGGTTCTGCTCACCTACACCTTTGTAGGGTACCATCCTCTAGTAAAATGAGCCTCTACTATGATAGCAGGCTCCTGCATTCTATTTCTAAATCTGCCTGATTCTAAACATTCTTGTTTGAGTCAGATGGGAAATACAGTTCTGTTTCATTTTTCTCCCCGTCTTAATTGGTTTTCCGTATGCGGGTTCAGAAGTAGGATTTTGCCATACACATCATCCTTCATGTGAGTAGGTGAGCACCAGCATCAGGGGAAGGAAAAGAGACAAACTGACTGTTAGGGAGGGAGTCTCTCTCCAGACTCGGCTAGCCAGCACAGCTTCAGATCCTGCCCCTCAAGTGAGTCACTTCATGAATGTGGCTAAAGTGTCTAACGGTTGGCATTTCTCAGGAAGCATGCTGGGATTATGGATGTGAAAGTTAACATGGGTTGAGAGAGGACTGAGGCTTCAGCAATCTCAGAATGTCTGTCTGTTGAGCTTCATAACCAAGCTGCCAAATTCAAATCTGCATCTACAGATTCTTGAGCACTTGAGGCGGGTGCCCTCTGAAGCTGGACCTTTTCAAAGCTGCTCTGAAGAGCTGGGTGGCACCTCCTTCATATTTCATTCTAAGTCAATTGCAGAGCTAAGAAACCGTCTTTGCTTACTGTCTCAGATGTGTTTCCAGTTTTCATTGGAAAGAGAAATTGTGTTCTGAATCCCAGTTCATGTGAAACCCTGATAACTTCTCAAAATATAAAACGTCCTTACTTTCGGGGGCTGCTGTCAAGAACTAGAGGAGGCTGGAAAGAGTTGTCTCAAATGTTTGCTTTTTTACCTTTGGCAAGCATCACCTAGTGGCCCTCATGTCAGTGACTACAGGGTTTGTGTAACATGCCTGGGTTTGGGCCATGGACAGCAATGTTGTGGAGGGCTGCCCTTGGAAGAACACCAGCCAGCTTCAGTTTTCTGCACTGTAATTGTTGCCACTGCTACCCCAGTATGGGCTCCTGGGGTCAGGAGGGATGGCATCACCAAGCTTCCCGGAGGGGGCAGGCCCACCTGACAGCCATTAAAAGGCTGATTCCGTGGGCAGGGCCCTTTTTCCAAATTAAGTATTAAATGAACATTATTTCATCCTTATCCAAAACTGTGCTCAGAGCCTAGACACGTCTTTCCTGCACACCGGAATATGAACCGTACAACACAGGGTGAGCTCAGCCTTCAGCAAGGCGTTTTGGATGGTGAGGCTTTGTGGTTGGGATTGCACTAAATGCCATGTAGGGGGCGGGGGGGTCTTTCTCCTTTCATCCCTTGCCAGAGACTCAGCCTGGGCCATGCTCATCATCATAATCACAGGCTGAAGAGGAATATTTTGGGTTTAGTTTCCCTTTTTTTTTTTTTTTTTACACACAATGCCTATTTATAACCATTTGTTGACAGACTCTACCAATTACTTAAAAAAACGTGTATTTAGACAGAGACAGACCAAAAATGTGAATTCAATGGTGGCCCTAGTTCTGTATTCGATTAGCATCTGCTGGTGCCAGAACTGGAGATGGCTGTCTGTTGTCACTTTAATTGGAGGATGATTAGAAAAAAATACTTGCTTTTCTTCCAATCTTATCTTTGTTGTTACCAGCTCATCAGATCCGCAAGTTCATGTTTATTATGGCCATTATATGTTAAAAGCTCAGTGCATTTTCTGTCTCCACATCATCTATAACATCCTGTTGCCAAATCCAGTTATCTCCTTTCCTGCTTTCTCATACTTTCCCTCTCTTTGACATTAACCATTTTCTCCATGGAGTATTTCCCCTGGCTTCTGAGGCCTTCTTCTAGTCTAACTCCTCCTTCTCAGCCTTTTAGAGGCCCCTTCCCCTATGCTTTGCCTTTCAAATGGTGTTTCTTTCCAGAATTCCATCCTCCTCCCTGTTCTTTTCTCAGTCCATATATTTTTTCCACCTTAAATACAGCCAGAAGAAGTGGAGACAAGGCACCCAGTTTGAGAGTCCAGGACTTGGCAGTGCACATCGGACATTAGAGAGGGGTTACCCATAAAGCTATCTTAGGGGCAGCTGAATATACAGGATCTCTGTGATTCCTACCCTTACCCCAAAAAGCAGGATGGCTCACGGGGGCAGCAGAAAGGTGATGGAGCCAGAGAGAGTAGGTAAGCTATTGTCCATGGTGGATACAGGGAGAGACAAGCTGAAGAGGTTGAACCTGTTTTGATGGCCAAGGCCAGCAGATGGATGTCAATATCCCTATGTGAAATACAGGAGTGGAGCACCATCGAAGGAATGATGTGAGAAGGAAGTGAGAAGGCTGGGCTTTGTTACTGTGCAGGTTCACCTGGGCTAGAGGCACTATGGTTGGATACACAAAACAACAGTCTGGGTTAGAGATAAGATTCTGGAGTCTAGAATACCCAGCGAAATGTTGGGCATGGAAACTAGAGGAACGAAAACATTGAAGAGATGAACAGTGAAAAAAGAATAAGCAAATGAGGCTGAAAAGAATGGCAGGTAGAGGCCGGGCGCAGTGGCTCGTGCCTGTAATCCCGGCACTTTCGGAGACCAAGGCAGGCGGATCACAAGGTCAAGAGATCGAGACCTGCCGGGCGCGGTGGCTCACGCCTGTAATCCCAGCACTTTGGGAGGCCGAGGCGGGCGGATCACGAGGTCAGGAGATCGAGACCATCCCGGCTAAAACGGTGAAACCCCGTCTCTACTAAAAAATACAAAAAATTAGCCAGGCATAGTGGCGGGCGCCTGTAGTCCCAGCTACTTGGGAGGCTGAGGCAGGAGAATGGCGTGAACCCGGGAGGCGGAGCTTGCAGTGAGCCGAGATCCCGCCACTGCACTCCAGCCTGGGCGACAGAGCGAGACTCTGTCTCAAAAAAAAAAAAAAAAGAGATCGAGACCATCCTGGCCAACATGGTGAAACCCCGTCTCTACTAAAAATACAAAAATTAGCTGGGCATGGTGGCGTGTGCCTGTAGTCCCAGCTACTCGGGAGGCTGAGGCAGGAGAATCACTTGAACCCAGGAGGCAGAGGTTGCAGTGAGCCAAGATTGTGCCACCGCACTCCAGCCTGGTGACAGAGTGAGACTCCGTCAAAAAAAAAAGAATGGCAGGTAGAAATGAGACTCCCAAAGATGAACCCAGATGGAGCATTTTCTCTATGCCAGGCACTGCAGTAAGTGCTTTGCACGCATTGTCTCACTTAGAGACTGAAAAGGGGAAGGACACCTTAGAAAGAAGAAAATTTCAAAAAGAGAGACCCTCCTTCTGCCTTGATCATATTTGTCACTCTTTCTTTACCTATTGCATTGGCCTATCCATAGGGCTCTTCCTGGATCCTCCTGGGGAATTGGTATGTCTTTTGGAATCTCCTAGCACTTTGTGCGTTTTATTTATTCAGGCAACAAATGTTTATTCCACTATTTTAGAATTTATGGTGGTTAAACAAAATTATTTTATTATTACCTGCTGAACTCCAGCTTATTCATTCTGAAGATTTAGTGTCTAACACATATAGTGATCAACAACATAGGTATTTGTTTAGTAAGTAAATGAATAATATGAAATAAGTTATTTTTTCAAGACTCAAATTTAAACCAAAGCATGAGAAGAGCTCTTGTCAACCTATTTCAGGTATAGGTGGCTTAATTTACTACAACGGTCATGAGTTGAGGATTCATTGAATGGTTGTTTTCTGTCATTTTTGGTTTACACTGCTCAATCAACACTGCTGGCTGATGTCAGACCTTAACCAATTGTTGAAGTTCCCTGTAACACCAGCACATTCTCTGAATACTTACTATGCACAATGCAATAATGATTAACATTTGAACTCTGTCTAGGCTGAGTAAGCCACATCAAAGCTCTTTTTTCACTAGGACTTTTAAAATATCAGATATGAACTGAGTGAGTAGGTGTCAGAGAAATTGACTTTGTAAACTGAAAATCATAAACTTAAGATTCATTTGAAATACGTCATGTGGAGTGCATATATAAAAATTATGAGCATTTTAATTTGTCCCCTGTAGGTAATAAATAACATCTGCAATATTCCTCCTCACCTTTTTCTGATTAGCTTCATGTCTGGCATATTTTTCCCAACACTCCTGTTTCGTGTTGTAAGAATTTCTCCAAGGACAGACAGGATTCTAAGTAAGTAGTGAGGGTCTAACAGAAAACTTGCAGCAACCAGGTTCAAGTTCAGAAATGAGGGAAGTATTTAATGGTGGTCAG
Organism: Homo sapiens; assembly: GCF_000001405.40. Classification (NCBI taxonomy): domain Eukaryota; kingdom Metazoa; phylum Chordata; class Mammalia; order Primates; family Hominidae; genus Homo; species Homo sapiens. Next base: position 78,795,535 of record NC_000005.10, on the reverse strand, counting down.
GCCTCCCTATTTTACTCTTCTTTGGTACACGCTGGCAGAGCTGCACAGGCCCCGAGGGGTGGCAGTGCCTGTGAAAGGCACAGTGCCTGTGAAAGGTCTATAATCTAGACCCACAAGCCAGCCCCCTCCTCCCCAAAGCTGGTGTGGCTCCCAGGCCCCCTCACTCCCCACATGTACCTGCACCCACATGGGGGCATCCAGCAGAGTGCCCTAGGCCACCAGCATCCCCCTAGGGTCCATGGAGCTGGAGGGACCTCTGGAGACTCCCAAAGATGAACCAAGGTGGACATTGGCCACCTCTGCTGGGCAGCTGCATAGAGTTTGTTTGGGAGGAAGATTTTGTCCTTAAAAGTTTGAAAACCACTGCCTTAACTGTGTAATTTCAATAACTACTATATGATGATGATAACAATAATAGCTAACATTTATTGAGAGCTTACTCTCTGCCAGGGACCCTATTATGGGCTTTCAATGTACTATCTCATTTAATTCTCCCAAAAAAATCTCTGAGGCACTTACTGATTTTATCAGCTAGAAAACAGAGGCTAAGTAAAATGCCCATGGTTACAGAGTTATGAAGTAGGAGAGCTGGCCCATTTAGTCTGGCTCCAAAGCCAGGGATCTCAATCTTGCTGCTAATACTGCTATTAATTAGCTCTGGTAAAAGTGAAGAGGCAGCCTGGACAACTGGAAAACAGAACAGCACATGTTTAGTAAGTGCCTATGACAGTCAGGCGTTAAATGATGCTTGAGCCTTAGTTACTCTGAGCTTCACTCTATCCCTCTCACCCCAGTGGCCTCACCTAATTTTGGAAAAGTTGGACAAGCAGTGAGACAGACAGGGTAAAAAGAAAAAATTGGCTTGTAAATACTCCCCGAATATCCTGCCTGATAAAACATTCTTCCTCCTCTCCCTCCTCCTCCTTCCTATCACCTCTCCCTTTGCCTTTCTCCCCAACCCCACCTCTCTTCTTTGTTTTCTGTTTTCTTTTTGCCTCCCTTATCGGTCCTGTCTTCTTTGCCTTGTGTTAGATTCTTTAGGCTCCTATTTCAGGACAGGTCACATTTACTCTTGCTTCTACACTAGGACACACCCTCCCCTCTTACTACTCAGTGTTAGTTCACTGGCCTCAATAAACACTGGATGTTTTTATTTTATTTCATGTTTGTGCACTTGAAGACTATTGAATTCATTCTGTGTGTTTTTTTTTCCAAAATGATATATGAATTAGAATTGCCCTTTTGAGCCAAGAACCCTGGTGGGTTTTGTTTTGTTTTTTAACAGAGCCGCAAGCCCAGGAATGAGAAATCAGTTCATAAAATCAATAGCAAGCAAATTTAGAATCCACTACAGCACCTATACCCAGCTTATAGTAAGCCTGAGAAGCAGACTCCTACAGGATGAGATTGATTCCAGCAGTGTGGTTAGATATTTGGAAATGCCTAAAGAAATGTTTATGCTCAAGTTAAGGTTGCAGCAGAAACCATATAACTTGAGAATTTCTGGGGCCTAAATGTACGGGCTCTACAGAATGTACTACGTTGCTTTGTGCCTCTGCCCAGATCACTATTCTCCTTTTCCACTTTCCTCCCATGCTGCCCCCAGCACACGCATACTTGCCTCATCGCCTCAAAAAAAAAATAATAAAAATTGAAATCTTTCTAATGCCAATTCAGCCTTCCAGTTTCATCTGAGACATCACTTCTTCAGGGAGATCTTCTCCTTTCCCTAGACTAATCAAGGTCCCCACCTTGCCTTCCTAGAGCCCCCATCCCTAGCCACAACACCCATCAAAATTGATCATCACTGCTTGTCTCCTTGCCTTCCTCCACCTGGCTGTGTGCCCAGCAACTAGGACTAGTTCAAGAAGTATTTGTTGACGAAGTAAATCAATTTAGTTTGGGGGGACCATGGCCACAGGATCAAGACACTTCTCAGCTCTCTGCTGTCTCCTTACTCTTGCTTTCCAGACTCTGATTCCCGAGCAGTTGGGAAGACATCTTTTTGTTTCTTCCATTCTGAAATTCACTGACCAACTGCGTACATCCATGCTCATAAACATTTGATTTAGCTATAAAATCTATTTTAAATAAAAATGCCAATTAGAGTAGAAACTTCCTGCTCCTCCCTGTCCCCACTATGTGTAAGGTAAGTGTGGAGGTGGGAAAAAGAGCGTTGTCTTCTAAGGAGTGGGAGTTGAATGTCTCCTAGGTGCCCACTGCAGGCAGCATGAAAATAATAGGATGGATACTATAGGAGGCACATTTGAGATCTTTCAAATTGCTCCAGCTGACCATCCATGACATGGGCTACCTGGTGAGGCAGGAAGTCCTGTGTGGGACTGTCCTAGGGCAATAGCTGTGCAAAGACCATCATAAGTGCAACAGATGCTGCTGAAGATGGTAATTTCAGGCAGCCTATGTTAGGCCAGGGCTCAGCTGGGCTAGACTAAGGGAACCAAAGACAGGTATGAAAGGGACTGTAGGCTCCAGTGACCCCAAGGCAGAACCAGAATTGGGAATCTCTGTTCTATTGCACTCTGTTTTTACAATTCTGGCCAGACCTGTAGTGTGGCATACCACTACAGGTTATGTGGGGAAAATGTTACCACATATTCCCCACATAATTTTCTAACAATACCTCGTTCCCTTTGCAGCTGGTTCAGATCTCACAGTCATAAGAGGGTTGAGCAGTTGGTCACACCTTGACTTGACAGCTGTCAGTCAGAGGCCATAGGTTCAACATATATTGAAATGATTTCTTTCAGTTGGTCAGTTGGTTTTACCTATTTGCCTGGGCTTATGGCGACCACCGTGGAAATTCAAGAGACCTGTACCCAGAATCCGTGCACTTATGGTGCACAGAATGCTCACTACGTGTAGAATCTTATTTCCTCTTCACACTCATTCTATTTAGGTAGTATTTTGGTTCTCATTTTTGCATACAAGGAAACAGGAACTCAGAGTGGTTAAATGACTTTATAAGATAAGAAAAAGAGCTTGTTCTAAAGGCTATTGAAATGCCAGTGATTGATTTCTCTGAGTTACTTTTCAGAACTAGAGTGATGGCATAGGGCAAGCTTATTCAAACCCATGGCCCACGGGCTGCACGTGGCCCAGGATGGCCTTGAATGCGTAACTTTTTTTTTTTTTTTTTGCGACAGATTCTCACTCTGTCGTCCAGGCTGGAGTACAGTGATGCGATCTCGGCTCGCTGCAACCTCCACCTCCTGGGTTCAAGTGCTTCTCATGCCTCAGCCTCCTGAGTAGCTGGGATTACAGGCATGCACCGTCACACCTGGCTAATTTTTGTATTTTTAGTAGAGATGGGGTTTTACCACAGTGGCCCGGCTGGTCTCGAACTCCTGGCCTCAAGTGATCTGCCCGCCTCAGCCTCCCAAAGTGCTGGGATTACAGGCGTGAGCCACCATGCCTGTAAACTTTCTGAAAATTCATAAGCTTTCTTAAAACATTATGAGTTTTCTTGCAATTTCTTTTTTTTTTTAGCTCATCAGCTGTCATTAGTGTTAGTGTATTTTATGTGTGGCCCAAGACAATTCTTCTTCTTCCAGTGTGGCTCAAGGAAGCCAGAAGATTGGACACGCCTGGCATACGGCATACCACTGCGCCATCCAAAACAGCTGTGCACAGCCCCACTTCCCAGCTGTTAGGGGCTTTTTTCATCTTCAAAAATTAAGCAAAGAGGTTCACTAAAGCATCAGTTCAGAGTGTGGGGCTTCTAGTCAGTGTATTTTAGGGAATTAATTTTAGGAAGAAACTATTTTTAGGTCCACGATTATTTTTAAAAACAAAAATCTAGACAACAGTGCATACATGCACGTCTGGATATGTAAGCCCTTACCACACAGCGAGATGAGAGGGTGGCCTTGGCCAAAGCCTGCAGTTGTTGGGACATTCAAAACCATGAGCAGACTGGAGATTTGAGCCACATGTGCACCAGCGCAGTCGCTCAGATGCGGCCTGGGTGCGCTGATCTGGGAGGGGGACTCACGGGCTCTGGGTCTCTGACTAGCTGGCACATGAAGGACCTTAATGACTTGAACCTCACTTTCAGTTTGAGATCCTTTGAACTTTTGTTAGAGTGAGCCATAAAGAAGTGGTCAGCCAATCAGATGTTTAGTATAAACTGAACTTTAGCGTAAATAAGCTTTAAGAGACACATTTGATTTACATAATAAATAAACAAGCTACTTTTAGGAACTTTTAAGTACAAAAGTTGAAGATAGTTGCTAATTAAACCTAAATCTTGCCTGTACATTAAAAACATACTCGACAGAATTTCCAGTTTAGAAAACTCCTCAAGAACCAAATTTCTGGGACAGCTGGGGTGTTTTTCTCACTTAGCCCAAGTGAGTAAGTTTTACTGTAAGTAAATATGCATACATCATTAAGTGAAGGTGGCATCACACTGGCAGGGAAAGTCAGATGGGTTATTGGCGAAGAATGAAATTTTGCTGATCTTCATAAATTGTGAAATGATAAAAAACAAATAGAACTCAGTAGAAATGAATGGCAGGCCAAACAAACCGGACAGAAAAGGGGCTACAGACTAAAAGTGGTAAATTACAGCTTCTACACATAAATCCTTTTTACCCCAACCCTCTTTAAATTCTGGAACATAAATGGGGGAACAAATATAGACCCTTTCTAAATCCACACCAGAGAAGTGACTTTGGTTGTTTTTTTGTTTGGTTTTATTTTGTTTTTCTGATATAATAGTGATTTTTGCCTCCTTTCCTCCTCTTTGTAAGGTCTTGGGTAGAAGAGGTTGTAAAAGAAAATGAAACTATATTATACTGATGATAATAGCTACCATTCAGTGATAGTTATTGACAGATGTTAATATCTGTTTCATAGAGCAAGGATTAAATGAGTTATACATAGAACACTTAAAGCAGTGTTTTATGTTTATAAGCATGTAGTATTTAAGTATTAGATATTATTATCTTTAATGTTGGCAATTGTCTTAACAATATAACAGATATTCTACTAAGCACTATATATGTCTTATCTCACTTGCTACTGTTATGTTAATTTTATAGATAGTAATCTGAGGCATGGGAAGTTTAAAAAGTTGCCTGAGATTGCACGGGTGGTAATAACTGCGCACTTTCTATATGCTGTACTTAGTACTAGACATTTTTAATGTATCGTTGCATTTAGACCTCACAACAATACTGAAACTGAGGCCTAGGGAGGCCAGCTAACACCAAGATCACACAGCCAGTGAGTGATGGAGCTGAGATTCAAACCCAAGCAGTCTGGCTCCAAAAGTGCATGTTCTATGCTACTGTGTACTATGGCCTCCTGGAGAAGGGCTGGTAGGATGCCACTTCAATGATACAGCCCTTTCCTCCATCCTCATTACCATCCCTAGCACTGCTTTCCTTCAGGGTCACAACAGTAGGTCTTCCTAAGCCCCATTCTCCAATCATGTCCAGCTCATTGTACTTGAGCAGCATTTCGGAGAGGAAATGCCTCTAGACCCTCCCGTTCACCCTACAGCGCTGTTTGTGCCACGCTTCCCTCACCACCCTGCCAAGCCCTTGCTTGCACACCTCTAATGCCAGAAAATCATCCTCCCAAGGAAACTCATTCTTTCTGTCTTGGGGAAGCTCTGTCTGGTGGAAACATATTCCTCATATTGACCCAAATGGTGCTATGTGCCTTTAACCTTTCTGTGCCTCAGTTTATTCATCCATGGGACTTTCACGAGGATTAAATTAGACACCAAGTGCTTAAAACAATGCCTCATCTGTATTATGTTTGCTAAATATTAGCTGCTATTACTATTTTATTATTATTAGTTCTCTCTATGGCTTCCACCCCAAATGCTTTATAGTACAAATTGAGTCCTTCTTGAATTCACTCTTTTTCACCCTTTTGTCAGCTGCAGCCTGCCCTCCAGGATATGATGGTGGCCTTTGTGATGACTTTGTAGACTCAATACCATATCACTCCAGTCTGCTGTACATGCATCGTTAAGAACTGTCTTTCTGGGATATTGCTTTTGTACATCATTTCCCTCTTCAGAAGCCAAACTGGTTCTTGGTTGCTTTCATACTTTGGATGGATTATTAGATTCTCTACTAATTTCTTGCTGATCTCTACCCATGCTCTTCTCTCTGAGCATGAAAACTTCCTGTCTTCCATGGACTTTCCTCTTCTTATTTGCAGGTCAGCTCACATATTTATTTTGTTTAAACATTATGTAGTTAAAAGTCTCAAAGGCTATATACGAAAATGTTAACAGCAACTAATAAATTAACAGGTCATTTTTATTTTCCTTTTCATGTTTTTCTGTGTTTTCCAACATATATACAACAAACATATAAATTGCATTGTTATGAAAAATACTGTGTTTCCTAAAAGTACAATCATAGACTGTATTATACAATACTTTCCAAGGTCAAGAGGATGCCTTGTGCAGTCAAGAGAGTAGGATTGCCTTTCATGAAGATCAGAAGTATCTCCAGCCCTCCCCTCAGTCCCTTCCCTTTTTGGTGAACCCATTGGAATCACTAATTAGTGTATTTCAAACTATATATATTAGCCATAGACCCTTTCTTCAAACAAAAATGTAGGCCAGGTGTGGTGGCTCACACTTATAATACCTCAGCACTTTGGGAAGCCAAGGTGGGAGGATGGCTTGAGGCCAGGAGTTTCAGACCAGCCAGGTAACGTAGGGAAACAATTACAAAAATCATAGTGGCCTCTTTAAAAATTTTTTTTCTAATTTTTTTAAAATTAGCTAGGTATGGTAGCACATGCCTGTGGTCCTAACCACTCAGGAGGCTGAGGTAGGAGGATCATTTGAGCCAAGAAGTTCAAGGCTGCAGTAAGCTAGTAAGCTGTGATCTCACCACTGTATTTTAGCCTGAGCAACAGTGTAAGACCTTATCTCAAAAAATAAAAAAATAAATTAAAAAAATGTAGAGAAGTACAACATATTTAGCAGATATTATAGATTCTTCCTTAAGGAGTTGAACTCTGTTGAAATGGAGATGGTGAACCTGGACCCCGACCCACTAACTCACCATCCTATTTCAAGACAACTTCTGAGTTACTTCCAGAACCTACTTTGGGTCTGGAGAACACAGTTCTCCACTGAAACCACCACCAGGCCACCTCATTCTGGTAACAAACAACTCCCAATTTCTAGGGGTTGCTCAGATAAGGAGTGCTGTAAGTTTACTACGTATTATGTAACATATTTCATCAGTCCTAAAATTTTCTGCTGATCTCCTTTTTCCCATCCAAAATCAATACACACGGCTAATCCATCTTATAGCTGAATATTTCTGTCTGGCCAGAAAGCTTTATTATCTCAGAGGTGGCTTTCAGCTCAGAAGGAAACGAGAAAAATTTGTTTGTTTATACTTCTCTCTTAACTCCCTAGCTTCTGCTCATTCATCAAGCTAATAGATGGAATATTTGGCTCTTCTGATTCGCCATCTGAAACCCTCTGCTCTCTTGGCTTCTGTAATGTCCTGTTTAACTGGTTCACTTCCTCATATTATTTTCCTCTCTACTCCGTTTGCTGTTTTCCTTTGGCCCTCAGTGCTCTGTTTCTGGGCGTCTGCTTTCTTGCTTCCCTCCCTAGGCAGCGAATCCACTTCTAGGGTTAAGCAATCACTGCATTGCGGGTGGTGCTTAGTGTGTGCCTCAGTCTGTCAGACAGAGGCCAGTCCTATAGCTCCAATATGTTGTGGAGCCGTCTACCTTGAGCTCAAGTTAATTCCTAAAATCAGTATGTCTCATTCCAGAATCCTTTACTCCCCACTATTTCCCGTCTGAACATCTCTATTCTGCCAATATCAACAGTATTCTCTCAATCACCAAACTCAAAACCTTGGATTTTATTTATCTTTTATATTCTTTTGTCACCAAATATCTTGGCTTTCACCTTGGGAACTTCTCTTAGATGTCTCTTTGCTCATCACTTCATGTCATGGAATTCCAGAACACAGTGCTGTATTACCACATACAGTTGTTAATCAACAAATATTTCTTAAATTGGCATCTAGTCCAACTCTGTCAACGAAATTTTAAAAGTTTGTTAACATTCTAAGAAACCTCTGCCTCCTGTCTTGGGTCCTGACAGTTTATCCAATACACTGTCAAGTTAATAGTGAAAACACCCAGTGCGGCCAAAGCAATCTTGGGAAAAAATAAAAGTGGGAGGACTCAGGCTTGCTGATTTCTAAGGTTACTACTAAGCTTGACAAGTCCTGGTAGTGTGGTACTGGCATAAGAATAGACATAGATCAGCTATGTGTGTGGCTCACACCTGTAATCCCAGCACTTTGGGAGGCTGGATCGCTTGAGGCCAGGAGCTAGAGACCAGCCTGGCCAACATAGTGAAACCTGTATCTATATAGATAGATAGATAGATAGATAGATAGATAGATAGATAGATAGATGGTTATCGATTTTTTAATAACTATAGATCAATGGAATGGCATCGAGAGTCCAGAAATAAACCCTCATGCTTATGGTCAATTGGGTTTTGACAAGGATACCAAGACAATTAAAGAGGAAAAAAATACTCTCTCAGACAAATGGTTCTGGAGACAACTGAGATATCTATATACAAAAGGATGAAATTGGGTGGGTATGGTGGCTCATGCCTGTAATCCCAGCACTTTGGAAGGCTGGAGTGAGAGGATTGCTTGAGGCCAGAAGACAAGCCTGGGTAACATTGCAAGACCCCCATCTCTATAAAAAATCAGCTGGGCATGATGGCATGTGCCTGTAGTCCCCGCTATTCTGGAGGCTAAGGTGAGAGGATCGCTTGAGCCTAGGAGTTTAAGGATGCAGTGAGCTAAAGCTAAGATCGCACTCCAGCCTGGGTGATGGAGTGAGATCCTGTCTCTAAAAAGAATAAAATTGAGAATGTAATACAGAACACATTTCAGCCATTTTTTAATGCTCTGCAGTTACTCGAAAGGTTAAACATAGACTTACCATATAACTCAGCAATTCTGCTTCTAGATATATACCCAAGAGAGGTGAAGATGTACATCCACACTGAAATTGTACATGAATGTTAATGGTACATTACTCGTAGTCGCCAAAAAGTATAAACAAAGAAGTGTCCATTAATTGATGAATAAAGAAAATGTGGTATATTTTTGGCAATATACAGGAATGAAAGGAATATTATTCATTATTTAAAAAGAATGAAGTACTGATACGTGCTACAAAATGAATGAACCTTGAGAACATTATGCCAAGTGAAAGAAGCCAGACACGAAAGGCCACATATTGTCTGATCCTATTTATATAAAATGTCCAGAATAGGTAAATCCAGAGCACAAAGTGGGTTAAGGGTTGCCTAGGGCTGGAGGGTGTGGGAGTAAATGGGGATTAACTGCCAATGGTGCAGGGTTTCTTTCTGGGGTGATAAAAATGTTCTAAAATATGTTACAGTGATGGTTATACAACTTTGTGAATATATCATACTAAAAACCATAGAATTTTACACTAAAAATGGGTGAATTTGATCATATGTGAACTATATGATATACTCTTTAAAAAATATATTTAAATTCCTCTTATGTCTCCCTATTGATTAGAAGGAAAAGTTGCCACCTCTCTGACCCTTCTTCTGCAGCCACATCTCCCTCTGACCATAATCAAGAAGTACTCCTTGCATTTATGAACTCATGTCATTAGATCGGGCCCATCCAGATAAATCTGAGATAATCCTCACATCTTACAGGTCTTACCTATAATCATACCTGCAGAGTCCCTTATGGCATGGAAGGTGATGTATTCATAGGTTCTGGGAGATTAGGATGTTGACATTTTGAGGAACCATTATCCTGCCTATCATACCCTGTTTTATACTTCTTTCTATTGCATAAGAGTCTCACACATGTTGACAGATGGATGGAAAAAATATATTATGCAGGTACTAACAGCAGCAACAATGACAGCTAAAAACTGAGCTATCTATACATCAGATAAAGTAGATTTAAAGGAGGAAAGCACTATTAGAATTAAAGAGGGAGTTTTCAAAATAATTATCCAGTCATAGAAGAGATTTTTAACATACCTCTCTCAGTAACTGATAGAACAAGCAAACAAACAAAAATGTCCATAAAGATATAAAAGATTTGAACACCATAGTTAACAAACTTGACCTAAATGATATACAGAGCATTGAGCCCAACAACTTCAGACTACATGTTTTTTACATTGGTGCTTGGATAATTCATAGTCCGTATTAGAAATGAAAATGTTGAATATCTGTTATTCAAAAGGTTATAAAAAAAATAACAAATTAAGCCCAAAGAAAATAAAAGGAGGGAAATAATAAAGATAAAAGAAGTTAATGAAATAGAAAACAAACATACTACAGATAGGATCTACAAGGCCAAAAGTTTGTTGTTTGAAAAGACCAATAAAATCAGGCCAGGTGCGGTGACTCACGCCTGTAATCCCAGCACTTTGGGAGGCCAAGGCGGGCGGATCATGAGGTCAGGAGTTCCAGACCAGCCTGGCCAACATGGTGAAACTCTGTCTCTACTAAAAATACAAAAAATTAGCTGGGCATGGTGGCATGCACCTGTAATCCCAGCTACTCAGGAGGCTGAGGCAGGAGAATTGCTTGAACTCCAGAGGCAGAGGTTGCAGTGAGCCAAGATCGCACCACTGCACTCCAGCCTGGGTGACAGAGCAAGACTCCATCTAAAAAAAAAAAAAAAAAAAGACTAATAAAATCAATTAAACACTAGCAAAACGTATCTTGGGAAAAAATGAAAAGCATGAATTGCCAATATCAGGAATAAACAGGCAATATTACTACAGATGCTACAAACATTTAAAAGATAATACAAAACAAAAGTTCACATGTACTACACAAATTCCTAATAAAATACAAGTTATCAAAACTGACAAAGGGAGAAATAGAAGATCTAAATGGTCCTATACCTGCTCAGGAAATTAAATCAATAATTTCAAACCTTCCCACAAAGAAAACTCTAGGCCTAGATGGCTTTACCAACAAACTCTTTTTTGTGGATGAATAGTATTCCATTGTGTCTATATATCACATTTTCTTTATCCATTCATCTATTGATGGACACTTAGGTTGATTCCATATCTTGACTATTATAAATAGTGTTGCAATAAACATGGAGGTGCAGGTAACCCTTTAGTATACCGATTTCCTTTCGTTTGGATAAATACCTAGTGGTGGGATTACTGCACTGTATGGTAGTTCTATTTTTAATTTTTTGAGGAACCTCCATACTGTCTTCCATAATACCTTTACTAATTTACACTCCCACCAACAGTACACACATACATTTTTAAAGCATAAAACAGTGCTATATATTATCCCTTGGCACATATGTATTCTGCATTTTAAAATGGCTGAAGGATGCACTGAAGTCACAATAGCAGCAGCCTCTAGAGGAGTAAATGAAAGGACAGGGTTTGAGGATAAGAACAAAGGAGACTTCAACTTCATTTTTATTGTCCAGTTTCTTTTATTTTTTTTAAAAAAAGGCAAACATGGTAAAATGTTAACATCTGTTCATTTTGGGTGATGGCTCATAGGGTGTTAGTCATATTATTCTTTGTAATTTTCCCTTTGTTTAATTTCTCAAAATGAAAACAATAAAGTCAAGATAATAGTATCTTTCATAGTTTAGTCTTAGGCTTATTTATTGTTTAGGTATTTTATGTTCCTGTTTGTCTTAAGAAAAAAATGTGTATAAATATAAGTATAGATGAGATAGTTAAATTTCCTTTTTTTGTTTGTGTTCACAAAACATGCTTGTTTTATTTAACATTCTTTGGTATCAAAATGTGGCCTTCATACAAACTTGTGAGGAGTAAACCATGAGGGTTCACAGTTTTACCACAGTCTGTATGTTAGCAACCATTTCCTGTGATAGACATGCTCATGCACCTCAAGTACTAGAAGTATCCATTTGTATTGGAGCCAAAATATCCGCAAGCAGAGAAACAAGAAGTCAAAAATATTTTCCTCTTTGGTGCTAAAGATTTGCTGCTGTGTGATTGTTGAGACTGAAGTTCTGAAAGCACCAGTGTTTGCCGGATCTGTCTCCAGCTTGTCTCTACAAGGTCATTTCCAAAAGACTGTCAAAAGAATGGCATGTCCCGCCTTTTCCACCACCGACACACCCTGCATGAAAACCCCAGGAGCACAGAAGTCCTGCTTGGGTGAGGATAAGGGCTCTCTCAAAGTCTATTATCGAAGGAAGGCAGACAGATGGGTTAACCACTCCAATGGAGTCTATACTTTTACAGACATATCACATATTATGACAATTAATTATTAGGCTGGTGGTTCAGCAACCTTTCGAAGTGATCCCAAGATGATTGCTGTGACCATATTTGAAAAGCTAACAGATAAATGTGGGCTTAAAACAGACTATATGTTATTCAGCTAGGCCTCAACCATAGGCATAAGTAGGAGTGAGGTGAGGGCCCTTGTGGACCCACCAGGGTCTTCCACAAGAGTAGAACTCTTGCCTTGTTCACTCCTTTCATAATCAGGCAAAGGAAGGAGTTATTCAAAAGGAGGAACTGAGCATGTTCAACCGAGACCCTTTTTGCTGTCCAATTTCCAGCCAGCCTGTCACCTGGATATATGTAAGCACTCTGGTCTGCTCTTGGCTGTGTGCTCTAAGGGAGCCCACTGGGTGTTCAGCAAGATCAATGGTGAGGATTAAATCTTTCTAAGTCAAGGGTCAGTTACAAACAAGATCTCTCTGCTACAGATCTGAAGCTGTATTCTCTCCAGTCAATTTTGTCAGTAACAAAAGCAGTATTTTTTGTTCCATCTGTCTATCTTCTACCTCTTAATTGGTTTCAAACTTAAGAGGTGGTAGAGATTAGTAATTGCTCCCCACAAAAGCAAAAAACCAACCTGATGATCAATTAAGATCTCAAAAATGATAAATTAATATAATCCATGATACCAGCCAAAAATTTGTATACCAAATTTGTTCTTACCCCCATAGTTATCCTGTCTGAATAGTTAACTGAGCACTGCTCACTTTTAGATTCCTTAAGAGTTGTTAAAAAATAAGTCTTTGTACTCTATCATGGCATGCATGAACTCTCATAGCTTGAAATGACTGCATGAAAATGTACATTTTATAATTTCTTATACTATTTACATAGGTATAAGTATACACAGAAAGTGTGTTTAAATGTTTAACAGCCAAAAACAAAAACCAAAAAAAAGTCACTCTGCTGTAACAGAACACTGTTCTGCATATGGCTAGCTGTACATTGGCAGAACATAGCGATTTTAAGGATGAATTAGTGTTGTAATCTCTTTGGGATTTCCTTTATATTTGCGGTGGTTTATGACTGACATTTCATGTAACTATAGCTTTCTGTTTGGATTTAATAAAAGATTCATTTCTGTGGCAAGATACACATTTGCACTCCAGTGTTGAATAAAAGCTACTGTTCTGCAAGGGTATAAAATGCTGATTTATAACAACACGTTCCAATAACAGTGATCTAATTCTTTCAAACTATTTCTTCCCAGGTCCCAGGAACAGCATGGCTCCAGCAAAGGATGACTCTTCTCTTCCAGAATATTCAGCCTTTAACACATCTGTCCATGCTGCAATTAGACATGGAAATTGGAAACTCCTCACGGGCTACCCAGGTAGAGTCCTTAGCTTAGCAAACTTCCCTTCCCGTGGTAGACAAAGCAGGGCTGTGTCCTCAGGGCAGTATCTCCAGTCTATCTGCCCTCCTGGGATTTGATTCCCACGGCCATTTCTCTGGAAAGAGAGGACATTATCACTCTTGTTCTAACCGTTTCCCACCTCTTCCTCTGTGGCTCCTCCTCAAGGCCCCTAAGCCCTACCACTTACCTCACTTTGCTCAGATACCTGAAATCTTAATTTGTCTTTCTAATCTTTCATGATCCCTCCTGATATATGTCCTAGAAAGACAACTATTTATTCAGGGTTTTCTTTTCCCAATTCTAAGACTCCGCCTGTTCCCAATTACACAGCTTCCATCATTGTCATGGTGCAAGTAAGCTTTCCCAGTGGATCATCAAGGAGAAGCTTACCGAAGTAACAAATGCCTTTTGCAAAACATATCTCTGGGGCTGCTGAATGAGGAGATAGGAAGAAATGGTTTAACCTACTCGTCCTAACCAAAAAAAAAAAAAAAAAAAAAAAAAGAGAGAGAGAGAGAAAGACAGAGAGAATTAACTGTAGCAGGGGTGAAAGGAAGAAATGTCACTCTTATGCTTCATGGAAAATACGGATTTTAAATATATGTGGCTATCAAGCACAGCACATTTAGCTAACAAAGAGAGTCTCTGAGAGCTACACCCTCAACCAGTGGTATAGCTGGGGAAGGAGGTTGCTCCTCTGATTATATTCTCTAAGAGTGATATCTTTTCAATACTTTTAAAATATGTGGGATGATGGTTAAGGCTGTGATGTAATTAATCAATGTTTACAATGAGAACATTTTTGGCGTTTGCAATATGACAAGTCTTTTTTGACTGGGATTGTCCCATGTATTGCAAGACTTTAGCATCACTAGCTCATGCCCACTAAATGCCAGGAGCACCCCTATGCCCTAGTCCTTGTGACAAGGACATACACACATGCACACACGTTTCTGGGTGTCCTTGCTTGTGAAGCAGTGAGACATGTCTAGTTAAAGCACCAGAAGTCAAGTCTGAGAAGCATCTAGAGACAGCATCTAGGGCCGCATCTTTTTATGTTTCCACACCCACAACCCAGTGCAGCCTTGGCCTCAGACTCCTTCCCTGAAATTAGAACCTGCCTCTGTGCTTCTCCCTCAGTAAACTGTTTTGTTTTCTTTGCTAGGCTGTGGTTACTGGTTCCCTCCACCGTCTCAATACAATGTTTCTGAGATACCCTCATCAGACCCACCAACCAAGACCCTCTGGCTCTTTGATATTGATCGGGACCCTGAAGAAAGACATGACCTGTCCAGAGAATATCCTCACATCGTCACAAAGCTCCTGTCCCGCCTACAGTTCTACCATAAACACTCAGTCCCCGTGTACTTCCCTGCACAGGACCCCCGCTGTGATCCCAAGGCCACTGGGGTGTGGGGCCCTTGGATGTAGGATTTCAGGGAGGCTAGAAAACCTTTCAATTGGAAGTTGGACCTCAGGCCTTTTCTCACGACTCTTGTCTCATTTGTTATCCCAACCTGGGTTCACTTGGCCCTTCTCTTGCTCTTAAACCACACCGAGGTGTCTAATTTCAACCCCTAATGCATTTAAGAAGCTGATAAAATCTGCAACACTCCTGCTGTTGGCTGGAGCATGTGTCTAGAGGTGGGGGTGGCTGGGTTTATCCCCCTTTCCTAAGCCTTGGGACAGCTGGGAACTTAACTTGAAATAGGAAGTTCTCACTGAATCCTGGAGGCTGGAACAGCTGGCTCTTTTAGACTCACAAGTCAGACGTTCGATTCCCCTCTGCCAATAGCCAGTTTTATTGGAGTGAATCACATTTCTTACGCAAATGAAGGGAGCAGACAGTGATTAATGGTTCTGTTGGCCAAGGCTTCTCCCTGTCGGTGAAGGATCATGTTCAGGCACTCCAAGTGAACCACCCCTCTTGGTTCACCCCTTACTCACTTATCTCATCACAGAGCATAAGGCCCATTTTGTTGTTCAGGTCAACAGCAAAATGCCTGCACCATGACTGTGGCTTTTAAAATAAAGAAATGTGTTTTTATCGTAATTTATTTCCCCCCAGCCATTGCTCACTCTGTCTAGACTTCCTGCCACTTCCAATTCTTCTGTGGCTTTTCCTGCCTTTCCTTTTGACCTCAGTAGTCCTATCCCTGGGAAGGCCACTTTGCTTCTCTACCTGAGCACCCCTGATTTCTGGAACGCTGCTGAGCCCTGCCTTACTTTTGCCCCTAGGGCTGAAGCTAGAGGCCTCCCCGTAATAGGCGGTGGAGTTGCTCTGTGAGGATGTTCATGGTAGACACTAAGAGGGCTGGGTGGGAGATGCTTGGCTCTGTGGCATCTGTTCAGCGAGGCTTTTCCTATATTGCATGGAGTTAGTCATTGTGATTGTAGCTTTATTTCATAATATATTAAGACTTGCACTGCTATTTACTAGCAGTGAGAAGAAACCTCAGGAAAGGATATGAAAAAGCAAGTGGCCAGTGTCTGGGATACTGGGCCTTGGTAAAGCAGAGGAGGGCACACCCACAGTCCTCTTATTCTCTGTTTTACTGCTTGTTTTGAGGTTCTGGGGTCTGGCAAAGAGGATGCAGTTTGACACCTGCAGCCCTTTCTCAATCCCACTAATGTCTTACTAATGTGGAACAGTCCATATTAGCTCCAGAGAGTGTCAAACCCAGAGAAATGTGTGCAAAAATGATACTCTTTTCTGCATTAGCCCCACCATTGTGTTCACCAATGCTTGGAACACTGCCTGAAGGCACTCATTTTTTAATTTTTATTTTATTTTTAATTTTTTATATCTTTATGAGACGATCTCACTCTGTCACCAGGTTGGAGTACAGTGGTACAATCACAACTCACCGTAGCCTCAAACTCCTGGGCTCAAGTGATTCTCCCACCTCAGGCACCCAAATAGCTGGAACTACAGGCATATACCGCCACACCCAGCTAATTTTATTTTTTGAAAAGACAAGGTTCCCTATGTTGCCCAGCTGGTCTTAAACTCCTGGGCTCCAGCAATTATCCCAGCTTGGGCTCCAAAAGTGCTGGGATTACAGGCATGAGTCACCATGCCTGGCCTCATTTTTTAAAACAAATGAATAAATGGACAAATGAGTAAATGAGAAAGTCTCACACCATGAAAGATGCTAGTCCAATGAGCTGAATACAGAGGTAATATAAATGTCTTCCAGCTGTTGCTTTTCTGTTCTCAAGCTGCCCCTCCTGGGGTAGGAGCATAATCTACATCACTGGGCAGTCACAGGACACTCTATAGCAAGGTTGTAGCGTCCTCTCCAGTGGGGGGAGAAAAGGAACTGTGCCTACCAAAGGTACTCTCTTGTCAGCAATTTCCATTTCTATACTTTATGGGACACTAGAAACTAAAAGCAACAAATAATCTGATATAAGTCCTTGTATAGTCATCCTTCAATTCAGTAGCAATATTTTCTGGTCACTACTAACCTGTATTGTATTAAAATGAGACTATTGGAAGGAAATGGTGCTAAAACTAATAACATCTCTTACCAACCTTTACCCAACTCCTGGGTTGGCAAACAGCTGACCAAACTGCCATCACCTCCCACTTGGAAGTGTATGGCCGACAGCATGAAATAGCTGAGCCCAGATGTTCCTTCTGCATCCTCCGAATCCCAGGGCTGGGTGTAGGTAGCCGTTGGAGGCCATCGCTACAGGGCACCTATCTGTTATCGCTGCTGTCCTCCCAACAGCTGTCTCCAGTTCTAGTTCCTTGGTTTTCAGGCACAGTGGGGGATGTTCTGCACCCAGTGGACTTCAAAAGAGTTTTGAAGACTT
This sequence comes from Homo sapiens, assembly GCF_000001405.40. Lineage (NCBI taxonomy): Eukaryota > Metazoa > Chordata > Mammalia > Primates > Hominidae > Homo > Homo sapiens. Next base: position 78,778,005 of record NC_000005.10, on the reverse strand, counting down.
AATTTTTTGTAAAACAAGTACTTGAGATTTTGGTTTATCCATAATAGAATGTATTTCATTAGATTCTCTGATTCTATATAAGAATGTGAAAAGATTGATATATTGTTGTTAGAAATAATGTTATTTCTTTCCAATTTTTTTTTTTTTTTTTTTTGAGATGGAGTCTCGCTCTGTCACCCAGGCTGGAGTGCAGTGGTGTGATCTCGGCTCACTGCAGCCTCTAACTCCCAGGTTCAAGCTATTCTCCTGCCTCAGCCTCCCAAGTAGCTGGATTACAGGCATACACCACCACGCCTGGCTATGTTTTGTATTTTTCGTAGAGATAGGGTTTCACCATGTTGGCCAGGCTGGTCTCAAACTCCTGACCTCAAGTGATCCACCCACTTCAGCTTCCCAAAGCACTGGGATTACAGGTGTGAGCCACTGTGCCCGGCAAATTTTTTTACCTTTACAGAAGGTTTTGCTTATTTAATTGTGAGCTCATTTTTCTTTGTTACTTTTGTCCCCCCAGATTTGGGGGACAAAATAAAATTAATCTTTTAAAATGTGTCAGCCATATGTATGGGGCTTCCATTTGGGGTGAGGAGAAAGTTCTGGAACTAGATAGTGGTCATGGTTATACAACATCATAAATGCAATTACTGCCACTGAATTGTATGTTTTAAAGTGGTTAAAATGTTAAGTTTTATGTTTTATTACAATTTTTAAATGTGTCAACCAACTTTATAGTACATAAATTATATCTCAGTAAAGCTGTTAAATAAATAAATATAGTAAAAATTTTAGAACTAAAAAAAGTGTCAATCATTGCCCTAAGAATATAAACTATAAAATAAGGTATTAGAGGGAGGTCAAGGAAGGGTAGGAGTGAAAACAAAGTGACAGTAAAAGAGAGTATTAGCTCTCTATTGCTGCGTAACAAATTACCCCAAAACTTAGCAGCTTAAAACAATAAACATTCATAACTTCACACATTCTATGAGGGTAAGGACACTGGGAGTGGTTTAGCCCAGTGGTTCTGGCTCAGGGTCTCTCGTGAGATTGTTGTCAAGCAGGCCTGTGGTCATCTGAAGACTTGAGTGGGGCTGCAGGCTCCACTTTTAAGCTGACTCACTCACAAGGCTCTTGGCTGGAGGCCTCAGCTCCTTGCCATGTGGGCATCTCCACAGGCTGCTTGGATGTCCTCACACATGGCAGTTAACTTCCTCCAGAGCAAATAAACAGGGAGCCACAGGGCCTTTCATGACCTAGTCTCTAGAGGTGTACACTGTCACTTATACCATTTTTCTATTTGTTAGAAATGAGTCACTAAGGCCAGCCCATATTCTAGGGGAGGAAAATCTTACTTTTCAAAGGGAGTGTCAGATTTGTGGACTTATTTCACACCACATCAGAGGAAAATGGTCTCGTTTAGCCTCCTGGGGAATAGATTGTCAAGTCCACATGCATTTATCAAATGCTGCTGTTTGAAAAGAGATGGTAGAAAAAGCATTCAACTTTGCTATTTAGCAGTAGACTAACCATGAACAAATCACTTCATCCTCTCTGTGCCTCGGTTTTTTTCCTGGTAAAGTGATGAGTTGAATTAGATAATTGCTAAAGTCTCATATCCCTAGTGTCCAGAACAATGCCTGGCACACAGATATTCTATAAATGTTGGTTGATTGGCTCTCAAATGACTGAAATCCAATGGGAGGATGTGAAATAATACTGTGCTAAAAAAAATAGCCTGAGATTTTCTAAACTCATTTCCTAAATCTCATTTTCTGAAAGTATTCTAATAAAAGCTGCTAATTTTTTTGAGTGCTTACTATATGCCAGGCATTGTACTAGCTGCTTTAAAAAGAGTATCTTGTTTAACATAATTTTTTTCTTGCCTCTTTTTTTTTTTTTTTTTTTTGAGACAGGGGTCTTGCTCTATCACCCAGGCTGGTCTCAAACTCCTGCACTCAAGAAATCCTCCCACCTCAGCCTCCCAAAGTGCTGGGATTATAGGTGTGAGCCACCATACCCAGCCTTTAATATAATTTTTAAATAACTGGAAGTAATGTTTACATTCATTCAATCTTAATTGTAAAAGGCTTACTTGGTTTTCATCTCTTCCATTTTTTCAATAGCCAATCTTTGTTCAAGTGTAAAATGATTTATGTCAAGAAAATAACCAAAATGGGCTTGTAAACATAAACATTTGTGAATAAAACATTTTAAATGATGCAGAGGAATTCACTATTTGAAGAAACCTTTTTGTAAATCTTTTTGTAAATGCAAATTTTTGCTTTTGTATTTCCAAAATCTAAATACATTGACTTCGGTTTCCTAAATTGAGGTTTTGCTGCACAGGTTTTCCTGAAGAAGGATTCATACCCATGTATCAGGTGCTGGGGAGGAGGTATAGTGACCAGAGAAATGATACAAACAAAACTAAAGGCATGGCCCCTGCACCTAAGAGGCTTACAACCTAATTCTATGATATAAAGTTCTTTTCAGCTTAAGTGTTTTTAAGAAAATTGGCCAGGTGCAGTGGCTCACACCTGTAATCCCAACATTTGGGGAGTCTGAGGCGGGAGGATCGCTTAAGCCGAGGAGTTCAAAACCAGCCTGGGCAACATAGTGAACCCCCGCCATCTCTACAAAAAAATTTAAGAATTAGCTGGGCATGGTGGTGCATGCCTGTAGTTCCAGCTACTTGGGAGGCTGAGGTGGGAGGATTGCCTGGGAGGTCGAGGTTGCAGTGAGCCATGATCACACCACTGCACCGCAGCCTGGATAAGAGTGAGACCCTGTCTCAAAAAAAATTAAAATAAAATGCCAGCTGTATTAGTCCAGGTTCTCTAGAGGGACAAGACTAATAGGATAGATGGATATATGAAAGGGAGTTTATTAGGAGAATTGAGTCACATGATCACAAGGTAACGCCCCACAATAGACTGTCTGCAAGCTGAGGAGCAAGGAAGCCAGTCCGAGTCCCAAAACCTCAAAAGTAGGGAAGCCAAGAGCCTCTGGCAAATCAAAGGTATAGGTCCAAGAGTCCAAAAGCTGAAGAACTTGGAGTCTGATGTTTGAGGGCAGGAAGCATCCAGCACGAGAGAAAGATGGAGGCCAGAAGACACAGCCAGTCTAGTCCTTCCATGTTCCTCTCCCTGCTTTTATCCTAGCTGCACTGGCAGCTGATTAGATGGTGCCCACCCAGATTGAGTGTGGGCCTGCCTCTCCCAGTCCACTGACTCAAATATTAACCTCCTTCGGCATCACCCTCACAGACACATGCAGGAACAATACTTTGCATGCTTCAATCCAATCAAGTTGATACTCAATATTAACCATCATACTGGCCGATACTAAATATATTGAAATAATTATTATCCTTTGCAGTGACCACTTAAACTTTAAATCCTATTTTTTGTTCAAGTAGAGAATAGTCATACTGTGTATAGACTGGTTCCTGCTGAAAAGCCCTGACCATCCCTGCTACCCAGGTGGATTCAGATGGTATAGAAGTAACCACCACGTCTCTTGTACCTTTGCCCTGGTGCCATGGGAGCCACCGCCAGGATGGCAGAAGAGGAGAGCGGCAACTCCCTGGGCCTGACATCAGGGATTTGTGGCCATCAGGAAGCTGGAGAGATGTTTTCATTCTCAAACTAATTCACCAAAGTCACCAGTCATTGACTGCACTTCAGATATTTCATTTAATCACCTTTATTACTTTTCTGACAATAGAGATAATACATATTACTATTACAATTTTTAAAAATATAGAAAACATAACAAAATTAAACAATCCGTAAACCACCACCTGGAGACAGCCATCGTGAACCTTTACACCCCTGTAACAAGACAGTAATTAAGTGGCCCCTTCCCAGGTTGGTTTTCAAATCCTACTGTGCCCTGCTGAGCCCTCTTAGAGATTCAAGATGGTAGGTAAATGTCAGTCAGTCTTCAGGAAATCTTCCTTTTAATCTCATTAATGAGGTCCAGATGTTCCCAGGATATTGACTCCAAAGGGCCGTGGTTTCACACTCACACCCCACCCTGTGCTCACTCTCCTCCACGGGCCTCAGGAGGGGGCCTGGACACCGAGGGGCCAGTGTGTGATCATTCAGGCCAGCAAGGAAGGGACTCTGCCTCTAGTGCAGACCAGAGCCTTGCAGAGCCAGACAGAGGAGATAAACACGCACGCTCCTCCTTCCTCGGGAAAACAGGTAAACAGGATTTACTGGGCTTTTATTTGCATTAAATGAATCGAAGTTTAGATTTGCCCTTTATGTCAACATTTTATAGGTGAAATCATTCAAGCTCATGCTGTAACATGCACTGGGTGAAGATAAAGGCACCCAAGCCCGGCCAGACCCCAGCAGGGGGTGAGGGGGCATTTGATGAGTCCCTGCTCCCAGGATGCTCACTTGCAGCGGAGCACAAACGTGAGGCTTGGACAGGAGGAGAAGGACCCAGGACAGGATGGGAAAGCAGAGGGGCTCACCAGTCAGAGGAATGCTGCGTGAAGCCCAGCAAGGAAACCTACATTGTCTTAATTTTTGTTTTTTGTTTTTTGGGTTTTTTTTGTTTGTTTTGTTTTGTTTTGTTTTTGAGACGGAGTCTTGCTCTGTCGCCCAGGCTGGAGTGCAGTGGCGCGATCTCTGCTCACTGCAAGCTCCGCCTCCCTGGTTCACGCCATTCTCCTGCCTCAGCCTCCGGAGTAGCTGGGATTACAGGCACCCGCCACCACGCCCGGCTAATTTTTTGTATTTTTAGTAGAGACGGGGTTTCACTGTGTTAGCCAGGATGGTCTTGATCTCCTGACCTCGTGAGCCACCACGCCCGGCCTGTTTTCGTTTTTTACCCACATGAGAGCTGTGAATTCTTTCTGTATAAAGTATTTCTAAAGGCAAAACCTTTGATTAGCATGTACTCTGGATCTGTTAGGGAAGCAGCCGGTTTGGTTTGAAAAGGTTATTTGGACCGGGCGCGGTGGCTCACACCGGTAGTTCCAGCACTTTGGGAGGACGAGGCGGGAAGATCGTTTGTGCCCAGGAGTTTGAGACCAGCCTGGGCAACATGGCGAAACCCTATCTCTACAAAAAATATATGTATAAAAATTAGCCGGGCGTGGTGGTGCATGCCTGTGGTCCCAGCTATTTGGGAGGGTGAAGTGGGAGGATCACTTGAGCCTGGAAGGTCGAGACTGCAGTGAGGTGAGAGTACATCACTGCACTCTGACAGCCTGGATGACAGAGCAAGACTCCATCTCAAAAAAAAATAAGAAAAAATAAAAGGTTACTTGTTGGGGCTTCATAATAGGGCATCTGGTTTTCCTTGGTTCTTAGGCCAGAGCATGAATGAAAGTGTTTGGCTTTAACTCATACAGGTGATGGAAATATGGGGCCCCCCCACATCCAGGACTCCAGGACAAGGATAAGGGTTCGTCTCAGTGGGACCTGCAGTTCTATCACTGAGGTCCACAGATGCTCCTTTCCCGCCCAAAAAAGCAGCTGGAACGCCACAGGCAGCCAGGGCCGGGGGGATGCCAAGCGATCTCAGAGGTTCTGCAGCCCCCCAGCAGCCCCTCCCAGCCCCACCTCAGACCGCTGGGGCCCATGCAGGCCTTTTCGTCAGTGGGGGTCTTACCATGGTGCCTTTCCTTAAATTGATATTCTTTACTTATTCTAGTACTTTAAAGGAATGCTTTTTTATTACCATGATAAAAGAAATACCTCTATCATTGATAATCACAAAAATAGACACAGTAATATGTATTGTTCTTAAACTTGAGCTAGGAACTGTTTCCAGCATGGAAGGAAAGAAAGAGAATAAAGAGTGAATCACTTTTCACTGTAATTCAATGTCGGTAATGTCAGGTGTATGACTTGGCAACACTGCCCTAGAGACAAGGAAATGTTTCTGGGGCAGGCACGCTGGCTCTGATGTGCCCAGGCCCGACGCCTGGTGCTGGGTGGTGCTCCATGGTGACTGGCGACTTCACTTCCTGATGCACTACTCTCCCCTCCGCCTGTCATTTCCTCCAAGAAGAATCACAGCTGCACTTTTTTTTCTAACAGTTTGTTTTGCTCGTGTGCCTGGAGACCCCAAAGCAAGGGAAGAATTCTAAATGAGTGAAATGTATAAACACGATAAGAAATCAACATACACATCCTCTGCGAGACAGTAGAAAATCATAGGATCCAACCAAAGGAAGAAGCCAGGAAAGTCAATAAACAAGTTGGTAGAGATGCAATAGACAGAGATGAAATGTTTAGAAGAAATAAGTCAATACTGAGAGGAGGAAGAAAGAAACAACACGTAAGTTTCTTGGGTTAAGAAGTTCCCTGATTACATCAGTATAGTGTGGGAAGTAAAAGAAAGAACAAAAGAAGTTCCCTGAGTCAGGTTCTGATCCCCTTTCTCTACCTTAATTTCCAAGGTTGTGTGAAAGGAAAAGAAAAACTGGGACCCCAATTCACTATACCAGAAGAAAAAAAAACTAAGCTGAAAGCTGACTCATGCAGAAACTGCCTTTCCTTCTGTTCCTAAGCAGATAAAGCTAAGCTACAGATAAAAGGTTAAATATCTTCACAGGTTCACCTTATCGGTAAAGTGCCAATTTACTGAGCTTGAGACGAATACATAATTGACTATTGTCCTACCTGATCCTTTTTCTTGCAACACGTGGATTTCCATACCCTCCCTCTTTCTTCTCCAGCCTGCTTTTCCCCTTTAATTGTTTTTGTTTTTTGACTGGATCTTGCTCTGTCACCCAGGCTAGAGTGCAGTGGCACGATTTTGGCAAACTACAACCTCTGCCTCCCAGGTTCAAGCAATTCTCCTGCCTTAGCCTCCTGAGTAGCTGGGATTACAGGTGTGCGCCACCATGCCCAGCTAATTTTTGTATTTTTAGTAGAGATGGGGTTTCACCATATTGGCCAGGCTGGTCTCAAACCCCTGACCTCAGGTGATCCACCTGCCTCAGCCTCCGAAAGTGCTGGGATTACAGGCATGAGCCACCACACCCAGCTTCCCCTTTAAATATTGAAGCCATCTCTCAAAATTATCTTTGGAGAAAGGCACAAACCCCAGACCATTTCTTTGATTCCGTGCTTTTTGCTTCTGGGCATGTCCTTAACCTTGGCAAAATAAACTTCTAAATTGATTGAGACCTGTCTCAGATACTTTTTGGTTTACAATTATAATCTATGGTCCCCTAGATCATAAGGGCCCTTCCTATACCCCAGGAAACTCAGTGTTACTAATACCTAGAAATTGCCCCTTTTCTGTCTCATCAGCCAGCCCGTAGCCCCTGGGTGCCCACGTGGCCTCACCTGGCCCCAGTTCACCACAGCCTCTTTGGATTCTGTGGTTTAACTCATCAGATGTGCCATATCTTGCTAATTACAGGAGCAAGGTAAGGAACTAACCTTTACTAAGGATGCATTATTGGCCAGACACTACTGACTCTTACAGTGGCCACTAAACCCTTCACAATAATATCTACTCTTTAGATAAATGTTTTTGCCATTTTAGAAATTATGTTGCGTGAAGTCGCTCGGCCAGTAGCATTGGAATTGGAGCCCAGACTCAAAGCTCTTAACTCAAAGCCCCCGCTCTGTTCTCCCGCGCATGGTTGGACCCCTAGCCCTTGGCCCCCTTCCCTTGCCTTTGACCTGCCCCTCAAAGGACTGAGGATAATTTGTAGGAAATCCTGTTCAAGCAATCTATGATCCAGGTAATCTGTGGTGAGTGATGGCCAAAGCTAGAGTTGAAGAAGAACACCAGCATGACAAAGGCATGTGAGGAGTGGGGGCGGGGAAGCCAGGGAGGGGGCTGGCTTCTTGGTTCAGCCAAGAAGCAGCAACAACTAAAGAGGGAGACATAGTAGGATGAAATGCTAATTAGTGGCTTCCGGGATTTTACAAATATCTTTAAATTTAGTGAGTTTTTCATATACTTCACATGAAAATCGCCTCCCCACACACAGGTCGCAGAAGTTGGTGGCCATCTGTGCCATCTTCCCAGTGAACTTGCAGACAAAACCAACAGCACAATGCTGATATGAAGAACAGATGAAATTTACAGGTGGGTTCATAAAGTATCACTACAGCTTCTGATGAGAGTGCTGGCTTGAGAACGGAATGAATGTTGTATCTAGTTCTATGACCAGTTGACATCAGCTGTTATTTAATCTGTAGTTACAGTCAGGTACCGTCTTGCTGAATTCTGGAGGAGGAGGTGATTTCTACTAGCAACGTAGACTGTTCTCTTGGCTACAAAGTCAATAGGTCCTTACATTCTGTGGTTAGGGCTCTGAGGTGAAGAGTAACAAATACTTCAGATACAAAGAATATTTCTGAAAGTTCTGTTTGTAATGATTTATTTCTGGGGATTGGGATGAACAAAAGTGTTGGCCTGGATATGTGGACTTTCTTATAAAGAATATTGCTTTGTGAGGATCTCTGTTTTGGGGTGTTTTTGTTTTGTTTTGTTTTGTTTTTAGATGGAGTCTTGCTCTGTCACCCAGGCTAGAGTGCAGTGGCGTGATCTCAGCTCACTGCACCCTCCACCTCCTGAATTCAAGCGATTCTCCTGCCTCAGCCTCCCAAGTAGCTGGGACTACAGGCACATACCACCATGCCTCTGGGTTTCACCATGTTGGCCAGGCTGGTCTGGGACTCTTGACCTCAGGTGATCCACCTACCTCAGCCTCCCAAAGTGCTTGGATTATAGGTGTGAGCCACTACACCTGGCCAAGGATCTATCTTTGAAAAGAGGAACAAAAACTATGTTTAGGTTCAGATAGCATGTTTTGGATTAATATATAAATTAGAGGACTCCCTACTGGTCAACACAACCTGGTTAGAAAAATACATTGATGGCTAAACTGGCAACATTGTTGCCCCATGTAGCTGGGGCCAGGCATGGTGATTCATGCTTGTAATCCCAGCACTTTGGGAGCCCGAGGCTGGCAGATCACTTGAGGTCAGGAGTTCGAAACCAGCCTGGCGAACATGGCGAAACCACATCTCTACTAAAAATACAAAAATTAGGTGTGGTGGTGCATGCCTCTAATCCCAGTGACTCAGAAAGCTGAGGAAGGAAAATCACTTGAACCCGTGAGATGGAGGTTGCAGTGAGCTGAGATTGCGTCACTGCACTCCAGCCTTGGTGAGAGAAAGACTTTATCTCAAAAAAAAAAAAAAAAAAGTTAAGTAGCGAAGCCAGAGTCATTATGTCCACCACCCCTCTTACTGTTTGGGATGAGGCAAAGTCCCTGCTTCTCAGGCAACAGTTTTGGGGAGTCACCTTCTGAAGACAGGACCTGACTGGGGCTGCTGTGGGCTTCCGCTGATGGTGCTTTTAGAATATGTCATCCCGGCTGGGGCGGGTGGCTCATGCCTGTAATTTTAGCACTCTGGGAGGCCAAGGTGGGTGGATCACGAGGTCAAGAGATCGAGACCATCCTGCCCAACATGGCGAAACCCCATCTCTACTAAAAACACAAAAATTAGCTGGGTGTGGTGGCGGGTGCCTGTAGTTCCAGCTACTCAGGAGGCAGAGGTAGGAGAATCGCTTGAACCTGGAGGCAGAGTTTGCAGTGAGCCGAGATCGGGCCACTGCACTCCAGCCTGGATGACAGAGCGAGACTCTATCTCAAAAAAAAAAAAGAGAATATGTCATCCTGGTGATCACCCCAGTCCAAAACATCTAGTTACTAAGCAAAGCCAAACTAGGTCCAGCTAACCCATCCCCAGATGGCGGGAGACAGCCTCTCTTGGGACAGGGAAGGCATTGAGCAGTAAGCAGTGGGTGCCATTAGCCCTTCCCTTTGTTACTAAGGTTTTATCCATAACATCGTCAGTGAGTAGAGATTGACCTTACTTTTACCAGTACTTATTATACATTTTTAAGATTCTTGCTGGATTGACAGACTTTAAAATGTTAATTTGTGTTTCTTTCACTGCCAGATGTTTGCACTTTTCCATGTGTTTATTGGCCCCCATGGCTCTTTCCTGAGTGGCCTGACCAGCCCTCTCCCCCAGTCTCCTGGGCCCCATAGTAGAGGGAGCAGAAGAGGGTGGGAAGGAGCCCCAGCTGGGAGGAGACAGGAAGGAAAAACCAGCCTTTGTTTGAACCTGAACCCTCGTCCCAGGCTGGCTACCAGTCCTCCTGTTCCAGGTGGGCATTCTGAGCACACAGCTGTCTCTGATTTCTATTTTGTGTCTGGAATTGTGGCAGGAGGTGAGGAAAAATGAAGAGGTAGCCAGAGAATAGTCAAGGTCCTTTTCCTTTCTATGGACAGAGCCAAAGTGAGACTTGTGAGCACATTGGAAAGGCTACTCACTTGGTGATCCTTCAAAGTGATCTTTTTTTTTTTTTTTTTTTTTTTGAGACAGAGTTTCACCCTGTCATCCAGGCTGGAGTGCAGTGGCACAATCGTGGCTCACTGCAACCTCTGCCTCCCAGGTTCAAGCAGTTCTCCTGTCTCAGCCTCCTGAGTAGCTGGGATTACAGGTACACAGCACCACACCCAGCTAACTTTTGTATTTTTAGTACGGAAGAGGTTTCACCGTGTTGGCCAGGCTGATCTCAAACTCCTGACCTCAGGTGATCCACACACCTCAGTCTCCCAAAGCGCTGGGATTACAGGCATGAGCCACTGCACCTGGGCAATGTTCTTTTAATGTTGGGACATTAATATTGGAATAAGGGCCCTGCTGGGAAGAGCTAGAGAGGGAAGGCCACTGGGCGCTGCCCAGTCCTTGCCCTCTGATCCAAGCACACAGGTCTGGTCCCAGTTGGAACACCCTTTGGCAAAAGGAAAGCCCTACAGATAACTGACTGCCTTTTTTAGAAAGCAATTTAACAACCACTTATTTCTTACTAAGAGTAGCCCTTGGGACCATCTCACCCTCACTGCCAAGGGTCTTACTCCACCCAACCCCACACAGGCTTTCCCTGAGAGGGGTTCTGAGGATCTCTGGGGATGGTGCTTTGATGCCTTCTGGCCCTTCTACTTGGGTTGGCCCATCCCTGAGTCTGGATCAGTTCTGGGAACCCCTGAGCCCCTTTTCTTTTGAGCAAGGCTCAGTGCAGGAGGTCATGCCTTCTGTATAAACACCTTATTATAATGAAAACTTTCATTCAATTTTTAGCCTTCCTTTTCCAGTATGAATAATCCCAGTTTCTTTCATCTGAACTCCTGAACCTCCTTCAGCTCTTCCAGTCCACCAGCACCCTCGTGATTCTGGGCTTAACACAGGTGAGTCCCTTGGTGCAGTTCATTCTTCTCTTTTCTCTTTGCTTGACTAACGCATCCTTCAGGTTTAAGCTGAAAGGCCCCTTTCCCTGGGAAGGTTTTCCTAACCCCGCTGAACTGGAATGGGAGTTCCTGACTCACGCATCTCCCATAGGAGTGGTCATCACACTGTATTGTTAATCAGTAGAAATGGCCCGTGTCTGCTTTGTTTCATGGAATATCTGCCTCAGAGCAGGGCTTGGCTTAGGTAATACTAGTAGGATGAGTGTTCGATTTGTTGAATTCCAAGGACCTAACCACCTTCTGATTTTAGGATGACATTTTAGTCCTTGATTTCCCTCTGGTTCTTGTTCCAAACCCTGACGTTCTGCCTGCAGACCCTGCATTCTCAGCCTCCAGGCAGCTCCACCCTGCTGCCTGCTCTAGGGAAGTCTGTATCTGGAGCTTCAAAGGGCTTGTTCTCTATTAGCTGGGAGGGCTTCAGCACATTCGTCAAATCAGGGCGGACTATTACACTATCCAGACTCCTCAGGCAAGTTTTGTTTACCCTGGGATCTCCTCCAAGATATAAGCTTATGGCTTCAAACACTTTTTATGGTCTCCAGATTTGAACAGACTCAGATTTTCCCCCTTCATCTTCCAATCCTTCCCTAAGATTTTCCCCCTTCGTTTGTTCATGCTTTTTTACAAATGCTTTTCCACGTGTGACTTCCCTGCAGAAAACTGGCTCCATCACTTATACCTGGTGCTGAGATTAGTCTTGCAAATGCCGAGGACTAGTTACAAAGGGCAGGTGATGTGCTTCCTGATGCTGTTTAGTTATCAATCCATGTTTACAGAGGCGTTCCTTCTTCCACAGGGTGGGTGTGGGTGTTCTTTTGATTTAGACACAGTGAAGATAAACTAGTGGTTTCCTTAAGGAAAGTGAAGTTGGAAAAAAAATGTAAGGCAGGAGTTGAGGTTAAAGAAGACACAAGCTTGGTCTCCTATGTGTAGACTAAGATAGCTTGAGTCTTGGTGGTCACAGAGGCCAAACTCGTCTTGGCCCCTCCCTTACCTTCCCTTTCAGAACGTTCCAATTGCTTCTGGGTTCTGTGGCTCAACATACTCCCCCCGGTTATCCATGTCTCCTGCGTACTCTGCCCGCTCCAGTTAGTCCTTGCCTCCAACTTAGCTGAGAGCCATTTAAAGTATGCCACCTCCCTGGATGCTGGCAGAGGTTCCTGGTTATCCCAGTATTCAATATCTAAGCCCCAAAGTCATAAGGTGGCATGGGGAAGCAGAAGTTGTTACAGCACAGTGTTGACTGATGAACTTACCTGCCATTTATAAAAGGTATCCAAATGCAAACACCCCATCCTCGTTAAACTTGCCTCCTCCCTCTAGCCGGCCGCCTCATGCTCCTTGTCAGCCATCCTCCCACTGATTTCCCAGCGCTGTAACCATACAGAAATATGACGCAAAGCAAATGCACTTTTTTTATGCAGTGGGCAGTGAAGTTAGAGAACTACTCAATCATGGGTAAGCCCATGGACAAAGAAGAATCTGGCAGAATTAGAGCAGCTAACAGAGGGAAAATTGACAAGGATGTGACAAAAAAGCCTCTTCAAAAGAAGGTGATTTGAATATCAAAGGTGGAAGAGAGGCCCTCAGGAAATTATGAAACTCTTGAATATTTTTGCAAAAGTATTCCTCTTCATCTTCCTGCCTTTGAATGTGAAATAAAGGAAAACATAATGTGTTGTCATATCATTTTATCAAACAGCTAAAGCCCCATATAATTGACTCATTCTTTTTTCAGTCTCAGAATTGTGCACAATCATATATACCATATCTGTTTTATAAAATAGATAAAGTAAATGTATTTTTATGATTTTGAGTTTTGTTCAGAGATAAGTTTCCAATCTAACCCTTTTTGTCCTATTTACTGTGGCAGTTTGGATGAGGTTGCAGGTAGGGAGGTATGTGAGACTGAAGGCAGGTCTAAGGAAGGAGAAAGAGTATTTTAAGCAGAAGAAACAGCTAACAGGATATGGAATGGAACTTATCCTGTTGTCTCAGGTGTTGGCCAAAGCTTCAAAGTTGGAGTCAGTGGGTAATAAGCACTCCTACATTCTAAAGAGAGGTGCTAAAAGAATCCCATTGGACTTGCTAACGAGAGGCTAGAGGTTCATGGAGAGTTCCTTGAAGGGAATGTGTAAGAGGAGCAAGCTTTGCTTTTTCCTTCCTTTTCCATGGGGAAGGGGATCCCCTCCCCCAAAGCAAGCAAAGAGGGGTCCAAGAGAACCTCGGGTTTAGGGAGATCCTTGCAAGGAGAGACAAACTCTCATTTTATGGACAGAAGCTTGTTGAGTGGTGAAAACATTTCAGCCCGCATAGTGCTACTACCAGAGTTGCGAATGCCAAAGGTCTTGGGAGAGCTTGCCATGTGTCCCCTGGAGTCTGGGGGCATGATGACTGGCACCTGGCTCTCGAGAGCTGTGAAAGCAGGAGCCAGGTGGAGCCAGGAGGCAGGGTAAGAAGAGAGAGGGCAGCTGGGTAGCAAGATGCCATTTGAAAGTGTCAAAAGGCAAATTACAACACGTTTAGTTTAAAGATCTACTTGGCTTTTATTAGTGAATCTAGAAGTGGGCAACATCTCATTCAATAAAATACAATGAGTGTTCTGATGAGCTGAGCAGAAGAGGTTAACTTTATGGACAGAAAAGGGCTGAAGAGAGCAGAAATGGGGAACAAAAAGTGGATTGGTTAGCATCAGGTTACTTTCGGTTACTTTCCTTGGAAGGATTAAAGCAGAGGGGACTTCCTTGTCATGTCGGCTAAAACTGGCCTGTTTGGGGATTTGGCTGTAATCTCTCCTGGTTTCTCAGAAGGTCAGATAAACAGCAACATTTGGTGATGTGGAACTTTAGCGGGAGTGTTTCCATTTTGGTCTGATCTGTTGGAGCCTAGTACCGGAGCTCAGCCCAAATCAATGGCCTCCTATAAGTTTTACTTAACAAAAAGTTAAGGGCGAGTGGGTTTCCATGGCCCAGTGACAGCCAGAGGTATTAAAGAGAGATACCTGTTGGGGCATAAGTGTCTAGCAGACAGGAACTCAGAGATAGAGGGCATAGGACCCAAGGCAAGAAGTCCCTGTGCTGGGAGAAGATACCTCAAAGTCCCATCAATATGCCCTAAAAAGAGTTAGGCTTAGAGTGCACAGGACACCAAACACTCAGGCAAAGCCACAAACTGCACATGGTGCTCTCTGCCCCTTCCCTCTCATTCCTCCTCATCTGCTCAGTCCTGGGGAATCCTGAAGGGTGAGAGGGGAAGGGGAAGGGGATTAAGACGGGGAGAGGGCTGTGAGAAGATTAAATGACAGAAGGAGGCTGGGCACGGTGGCTCATGCCTGTAATTTCAGCACTTTGGGAGGCCAAGGCAGGTGGATCACCTGAGGTTGGGAGTTCGAGACCAGCCTGGCCAACATGGAGAAACCCCATCTCTACTAAAATTACAAAATTAGCCAGGTGTGGTGGTGCATGCCTGTAATCCCAACTACTTGGGAGGCTGAGGCAGGAGAACCCAGGAGGCAGAGGTTGCGGTGAGCCAAGATCATGCCATTGCACTCCAGCCTGGGCAACAAGAGCAAACCTCCATCTCAAAAAAAAAAAAAAAAAAAATGACAGAACACGTCACGCTGCCTTCTCCATTGAACATCAGACTGAGCTGGATAGAGAGAATAAACTTAAATTGGATATGAGATTTAAGTTGGGTTTAGACTGGACCTTTATTTATTTGTTTTATTTATTTATTTATTTATTTATTTATTTATTTATTTATTTTTGAGACAGAGTCTCGCTCTGTCACTGAGTGCAGTGGTGTGATCTTGGCTCACTGCAACCTCCACCTCCTGAGTTCAAGCGATTCTCCTGCCTTAGCTTCCCGAGTAGCTGGGATTATAGGCATGCACCACCACATTCAGCTAATTTTTTTATTTTTAGTAGAGACAGGGTTTCATCATATTGGCCAGGCTGGTCTCAAACGTCTGACCTCAGGTGATCCACCTGTCTCAGCCTCCCAAAGTGCTGGGATTACAGGCATGAGCCACCTCCCAGGCCTAGACTGGACCTTTTCATATCGCAAGTGAGACTGTTCAGATGTCTGAACGTGATCAAAGTCTTGGCATTTGCCTGGAGAAGTCACCAAAGAGCAAGTAAGGAGAACTAGACAGAGTCCATTTGAAGACAATGGTGGGAGAGAAAAATAAATGGAATCTTACCGACTTCAGTTTGCTCAATAAACTGGTGATGTGTTTGAGGAAGAGCAATATTCCCATTTGCAACCAGAGGATTTTTCCATTTCACATGCCCAGTTTCTTTTGGATGTTTATAACCAAGGCAGGGCTCCTGCCCTCAAGCAATGCCCAGTCTAGGGAGAAAACTGGAAAGGGAACAAGTGACAGTGTTATATCGGGAAAGTACAGCCCGCTATATGAACAGAGGGAAGGACTACCAATCCAATCTTGGGACCAGGGAGGCTTCCAAGGAGGTGACATCTTGGCTACATTTTTAAGGAGAAGCAAGAGCAACCAGCAAAAGGCCAGCAGTGGAATGGGGAAGTAAAGAAAGTTGCAGAAGGAATGGAAAGAGAGAAGGGACGACTTTGGGGAGTTTTGATGAGTTGACTTTTAGATGTGTTGATCATGCAAGAACATGTGGCCTGGAGGTCAGAGGCCCTGTTCTTGTTCTAGAGATTGTACTACCAGCCACGTGCAGTATTTGGAGCCCTAGTGTTTGATCAGATATCTCAGAACAAATATGTGTAGAAAAAAAGGCCGGGTGAGCGGTGGCTCACTCCTGTAATCCCAGCACTTTGGGAGGCCAAGGCAGGTGGATCGCTTGAGGTCGGGAGTTTAAGACCAGCCTGGCCAACATGGTGAAACCCCGTCTCTACTAAAAATAACAAACAACAACAAAAAAAATTAGCCAGGCATGGTGGCAGGCACCTGTAATCCCAGCTCTTCAGGAGGCTGAGGCAGGAGAATTGCTTGAACCCTGGAGGCAGAGGTTGTAGTGAGCCGAGATTGTGCCACTGCACTCCAGACTGGGTGATACAGTAAGACTCCATCTCAAAAAAAAAAAAACAAAAAAGAACAAGTATGTGTAGAAAAAAAGAGGCTGTGGATACCAGTTGGTCAGATAGGTTGCCTTTGTGAATGCCTGCTCCAAGAACCTCAACACATAAACAGTTGTAGGATCCTGGGGAAGATAACTTTGTAAAGAATGCAACCAGGCAAAGGAAGCCCCCAAGGAATGGATGTTTTAGGGCTTTAGCCCCTGACCTCAGTGCGGAGACTTATCCGTGGGGCTCCGGGTTTAACTAAAGGAGCCACTCTGGCCGGTAATAGACAGATCTGAGACAGATCCAGCAAACTGAGTGGCCACCTATTCCCTGTCCTCATAGGCCCAGATGCAAATCTCAGCTCTGTTTTATCCCTTAAAGAGGCAAGGTGAGCTCTAGAAATGGCATGGCCGAAAAAAGGATAAGGATGAGGAAATAAATTGGGGTTTGTTCTGGTGGCTGGAGCATTGCTGGTGGAAACTGCACCTTTAGGACAGGTTCTTTCCCAGTAGGGGCAGCCCCAGGCTGGTTCACTAGACCACTCACCTGGGGAGAGCTGAACCCCCAAAGCCAGGTCCAAGAGGAAGAAAGCACCAACTCCAAGCCCTTTGGCTCAAGAAAGGTCCTTGACTGTGAACCAACTGTGTGCCAACCAGCTTTCTCCTAAGAGCTGAAGAAACAGCAGTGCCCCTAGAGGCCAAGAGGAATCCCCAATGTTTGAGAAGTGGATGGCAGAGGATAAATGAGACAGAACAGTTGGAAAAGTGGGAGAAAAATAGGAGAGAAAGTTCCCATAGAAGCTGAGTAAGAGGTTTAGAAAACATTGATTAATAGAAGAATGAAAAAGTGCCCATTGGATTTGGTGAGGGGTGGTCACTGGTCACTTTGACAAAACCAGTTCCAGTGCAGCGATGGATTCAGGAGCCAAGCTGAAGTGAGCTCAAGTAGGAAGGGACTAAGCAATTTCAGGTAGTGAGTAGAGACCGCCCTTTCCAGAAGGCTGACTGTGAAGAGGAAATTGAATGCAGAAAAGGAAGTACCTATAGGGACATAGTGCCATAAAGGAGGAAGTTGCTCTTTTTTTAAGTTGGGTGATAGTAGAGCATGTTTGAATGATAATGAGGAAGAGGAAAGGAGAGGCTGAGAATGTGAACAAATGAGGCATAACTGACGGAACAAGAACTCACAAAGTAGGAAGGGATGGCCCTAGAAGAGCACAGGTGTTGCACAGGTGGGGGAATTAGCCTAGGGTGAGGACAGGAGCAGGCTTTCACTAAGCTATGGAAAAAGCAAGGCGCTCAGGAGCTAGGTGAGGATGTAGACAGGTTCTTAATGGAGGGCCAGAAAAATTAATGCTTGTTGCCTTCCTCGTGAATGAGGAAAATGGTGAATGACGCATCAACAAAAAACAATTTTGTGGCTTCAAATTATTTGTATAAAGATCTCATTTAATCCTCACAACAATCCAAGTGGGTCTTCCAGTTCCAAATCTAGGTTATCCCCCAATTTCTCCATTGTTCTCAGCTACCCTGACCTGGCACTTTTTCCTCCTGTAGCTCTACAATACTGGAACTCCCTCAAACTAATCCTTTCCCAGACATTGGCCCAAGACAACTCATAAGTCTCTCTTACAGCTTGCTATGCATTCAGTGTTTTTCTTCCCCTAAAATTCATGTTGAAGCTTAATCCCCAATGCAACAGTATTAAGAGAGGGACATTTAGGACGTGATGAGCCAGGAGGAGGGCTCTGCCCGCGTAAATGAGACTAGCGCATTATTCAAATGCTGGAGGGAACTAGCTTGGCCCTTTTCGCCCTTCCATTTATTTGCCATGTGAGGACACAGAGTGCGTTTCCTTCAAAGGACAAAGCGACAAGTCAATGTCTTGGAAGCAGAGACTGGGCCTCACCAGACACCGAACCTGCTGGCATCTAGATTTTGAACATTCAACCTCCAAAACTGTGAAAATACATTTCTGTTCTTTATAAATTACCCAGTCTCAGGTATGTTGTTCTAGCAGCACAAACAGACTAAGACACAGCTGCTGCCATTGAGGGAATCCGCGCAACAGTTGGTTCTTTCCCTTCTTATCTCTGTGCCTCAAATGTCCCTGCCATCCAGCAACAAGCAGTTCCAGCACAGCCTGCCAGTGTTCTGGTTATCAGTCCTTCTCTGACCTGTTGCACAAAAGGATGTTAACCAAATCCAGACCTACATTAGGCGCATGGTACCAACTCTTGTCTATAGCCAAGGACTATTACCTGCCTTAATGGGGGTTCAACTGGTGGTGATTTGTGTAGAGAACACTTGATCAGTTATCCTCTTACATTCATTTATTTATTTATTTATTTATTTATTTATTTATTTATTTATTTATTTATTTTGAGACGGAGTCTCACTCTGTCTCCCAGGCTGGAGTGCAGTGGCACGATCTTGGCTCACTGCAATCTCTGCCCCCTGGATTCAAGCAATTCTCCTGCCTCAGCCTCCCAAGTAGCTGAGACTACAGGCTCGTGCCACCACACCCAGCTAATTTTTGTATTTTTGGTAGAGACAGGGTTTCACTATGTTGGCCAGGATGGTCTCGATCTCTTGACCTCATGATCCACCCGCCTCGGCCTACCAAAGTGCTGAGATTAGAGGCATGAGTCACCACGCCCAGCCTCCTCTTATGTTTCTTATATGCACTTAATACCCAAAGGAATATTGGGTGTTACGCCCCATACACCATGGGGCTCTCTGATTCCCAGCTGTTGTTGGCCCCATAGTCTTTCTCCTGGACTTTTCCATTCCCAGGTAGCATCATTACAATATATTTAAAGGGTTGGGCGGGGGAGTCCCATGGTTATTAGTTCATGAAGTGAAAGAGGGGAGAAGGGCAAGGTTAAAGTTGCAAAAAGAATGTGAAAGGCAGAAAATTGGATGAGATCAAGGAAGCAAACCTGTGACTATCAAGTCAGGTGACATTTTTCTGCTTCTGTTCAAGTTGTCTTCAAGGCCACTCTGAAAGAGGAACTTTGAAAATAATTTGAGTAATAATAGCATCATGTGACTAAAACTCACATGTATTTTGGTTATACATTCTAATGTGTTTGTTTAAAAAGGTTTGTTATTGTTGGTCATAATTTATGCAGTCTTTCAAACAGTGCTCTGTTAAAATGAGGTTCTTCTAGCTGAACTAGAAAGGTAATTTTTTTAAAAATGTGGACCCAGGATTCAACTTTGTGCTAAGTATGTTTAAACTTTCCAGTCCAAAAGAAGAATGAAGCTTTTTGACATTGTGAATCAACAATGTGGTTAAAGGTCATAGGTTTAAAAAATCCGACACAGTTTAGGTTTGACTCATGCATTCAAGAGGCAAATCTTTTTGACCCCAAGGTGAAGGTGAAACTGCCTTTGCTGATAGGGCAGCTCCAGAAAGCAAAATCACTTTTGTTTTGAAGGCAGCTGTTTTCCTAGATGCTATCCTTTCATTTCAACCAAACAGATTCATTATGCACTGAGCAACGAATAAAATAAAAGCACGGGTACCATTTCCGATCGAGGAAATTGTCCAGGACAATTGTCCTGGACACTCCTGATTACCTCCTATCCCTTCTTTCACTTTCCATCCATCTCAAGGGCCAACCCAGCAGGTTATTTCACCTTATCCCAGGCTCCATGTGAAGTGTACTGAACACAGAATTGGACTTCTTCAGTCTTGATCCTTGGTGCTAATTCACCCCCAGCATGATGGACACACATCCCCAGCCTTCTTGGTCTGGCTGTTTCAGAGAGCACCTCTCAGCCCCTCCACAAGACTAGACTGTGCCTCTCTAGAAAACAACCAGTAACTCTCATCGTCTATAACTCCCGGGCTGGCCACAAGGCCTTATGCAACAGGTGAGGTAGCCGGGAGTCTTCTCCAAAAACACTGAAGTTCTAATTTGCTCTTTTTCCTTCTGAAGATGTCTCCTTAAAGAAGCCCTTCTGAATGCCATGGTGTGTTGGAGATGTGCCTTTGTATCATGAGTTTCACAGCAAAATCTAGCACAGGCTTATTTTACATCTCCTAAGCCCCCAGTGGATATGAGTCATCCCAAGTATATCAGAGTCTCCTAATCCCGCTCACCCAGAGCCCTACCCAGCTTCAGGCTGGAAACCAGCGCCTCCCAGTCCCCATCTGGATGGTGTCAACAACTCTTTCCTTTCATGAAAACCACATGTGAACATAGGTTTTGGGGTTTTTTTCTATTGGTTTTGGAAGAAAAGAAACACATGCAGGGTAGGGGCACCGTCATGTTGTCAGAGTGATGACTCGGCTTCTGGCAAACACTTGGTCTCATGGGAGGCAGAGAAGAGAAGCTCTGGTAAAAATTAGCTTGGAGATGTTCCTTTCTGTAAACACAACCTGAAAAGATGTAAATCGCCGAGTGGGCAGAGTCCTTGCCTGTCCCAAGTGCAGGCATTTATGGTATCAAAGAAAGTTTACTTATAGCCATTTCAACTTGGGTTTCCTGTGAATGAATGGGCAAGAACGTGAGTGGAGAAGACTTGGATGGAACTGGGCTTTCTTCATGTATTCAGCCCAGTAGAAACCACTGCCCTTTACAGGAAACAGTGAGACACTGTTTGGAAGATAGGTCTAGGGACTGGAAGAACTCTCTCACAACAAAGCTCTGGGTGTACCTTGGATTGAAATATGATTTCAAATGCAGTTCATCCCTGGGAGAAGTGTTAAGACTTGCCTTATATTTCAGAGGTTCTTGGACAGCAGGATTTTCTTCCCCAAAATTATGATGCAAATAATTCAAAGTATACAGCATGGTGGCTCAGGCAGCCCTGCCTTGACAACATAGAGCTGGTAGAACACTGTTTTTATTTATAACTTTAATAAGCAAGGCTCTTCATTAGGTGTTATATTCTATGGCTGTTTCCTCTACAGAATATAGACTAAGAGATGCACATACATCCCTACACATAATATATGGTCCAAACTATGTTTAAAGGGCAAAACTCATTGTTTGGACTCGAAGATCTATTACATTTATATCTAACCCATGTAATATTCTTTTTCCACCTAAATCAATCAGTACATTCATTGAGCACCTTCAAGGTGGGCAGTGCCTTCAGGCTGCCATACATAGAGAAGCCTTAGCTGTGGTCCTTGACTGCAGGAAACCTCATTAAGGAGACACCCAGCTGATGAAATGTTAATTA
The DNA here is from genome assembly GCF_000001405.40 of Homo sapiens. NCBI lineage: Eukaryota > Metazoa > Chordata > Mammalia > Primates > Hominidae > Homo > Homo sapiens. Next base: position 78,756,456 of record NC_000005.10, on the reverse strand, counting down.
ACAGTTCAAGACAGAACGTGATAAGTGCCAAATGAGAAAGGATGGAATGACCTGGAGAAATTCAATTTAGAGAAAATGAAGGGCACATGAGAGAACAGGCTTCCTTTTTCAGCAGGAATCTTGAACCTGTCTCCAGAAGGAAGAACTTCTGAGTTTCAGGAAGGATCTCAGCTCATCTTTAGAAAGAACTTCTAAATTGGGAAAGCCAACATAGTGAGGTTGCCCAAGGCATGCAAACAGACTGAATCACCATCTGTTAGGGAAGCAGAAACAGGATTTTCTACATTGAGAAAACTAAATAACCTTTAAAATTGGCTTGAACCTGTGAAATAGTGACAGGAGCATAACTCAATCTGCACCTCCCTGGGGAGCTGGGAGCTCTGCTGGGCCTCAAAAAGTAAGCAGCCTCTAGAGGGGTAGACCCTCTCCTCCCACGTGCTCCCAGACCACCCACCACTATCACCCACCACCTGTTCCCTGGCAGAGCCCAACCCACAGCAAAGCCATCTCTATGGCAACAGAAGCTGGACACTTACTAAGAAGTCAAGATGGATGCATGCATGGTGTACTTAAGGTCCGTGCATTTCACTGAATGTAATTTTTCTTTTTAAGAAATCTATAGAATATGTAGTCTAAAAAGTACTGATGTCTGCAGCTTACTTTAAATTGTATCAAACAATAAGATGGATTATGGATAAGAGATAAGTGAAAAAACATAGCAAAATACTAATTGTGGAACCTAGGTGGTAGGTATATGCGTATTCACTGTACAATCTTTGGCTTTTTTGTATATTTGAAATTTTTTATAATACGTTGGGGAGAAAATCCATGTAGCTCCATCTGTTGAAGAGCACAAATGGCTTTCGGCTCCTGCATATTTGGAACACCACAGAACATAATAATGTAGGTTTCTTGAGTTCTCACTGTTCACTAAGCACCTTATGTGAACTGTCTCATTTATCCTCCCAAGCACTTATGAAGTAAATACCATCATCTTCACTTCATAGACAGGAAAGCCAAGGCACAGAGAACACAAAACATTTGTCCAGAGTCATGCAGGTGGTAAATGTCAGGGTCAGGATTTGAACTCAGGTTCTAACTGACTCCAGAAACCAAAGCTGTGACTCCCACGCCACTCTTTGGACCCAGATGTGGATGTCATGGCCTTGCCTTGAGGAGAAGCCACTTGGTGTTGGGGGAAGGTGGGAGGGGTGACTGCATGGTAGCACTTACATTGCTTCTAATGGGTTTCAGATGGGTTTGGTTCTTCAATTGTTCTGTAATTGTTAATGGACACCTAGACTGCCACCTGCGAGTTTTGTTCTGGTTTCATCTCCACCCCCCGCTTTTTTTTTTTCATTTTAAACAAGTGTATTTAAACAAGATGACTTGGAGGGAAAGCTATCTAGGACTTATTTCTTTTAGAGTGATCTATCCCTACTTAAAGACAGACTGCCCTACATATAATGGCTGCATACAAAAAGGTTGCAAGATCATCCTTGCTTTTACAATGATTAATGAAAAACATAATTCTCCGAACAAGGCATGCAAGAATTGTTTACATTGTTTGTGTTGTTGTTAAACAGTGAGAGCAAAATAACTTCCTGGAATATAAACAGCTGAATCAGCATGCCACAATGGAGAAAAATGACATTTTCACAGAACCACTAATTTTTCCCAACCATCGCCATCTGATGTTGATCAAAACATATCATTGGCCATTTAGCTTTTTAAAAATGTGATAGCTTGTGCACACACACCAGTTACTTTAGGTACAGTCATGCATCACTTAACAGAGATACATTTTGAGAAATGTTCAATGATTTTGTTGTATGAACATCATAGAGTGTACTTACATAAATCTAGATGGTGTAGCCTACTACACACCTAGGCTGTATGGTATAGCCTATCATTCCTAGGCTACAACTCTGTATGGTACAGAGTACTGTAGGCAACTGTAACACAATGGTAAATATTTATGTATCTAAACATAGAAAATATACAGTAAAAATATGTATAATAGGTGGGACGTGGTGGCTCATGCCTGTAATCCTAGCATTTTGGGAGGCCGAGGTGGAATGGGTGGGGGGAAGGGGATCACCTGAGGTTGGGAGTTCGAGACCAGCCTGACCAACATAACAAAACCCATCTCTACTAAAAATACAGAAATTAACCGGATGTGGTGGCAGGTGCCTGTAATCCCAGCTACTCGGGAGGCTGAGGCACAAGAATTGCTTGAACCTGGGAGATGGAGGTTGCAGTGAGCCAAGATTGTGCCCCTGCACTCCAGCCTAGGCAACAGAGCAAGACTCTGTCTCAAAAAAGAAAAAAAAAATGTATAATATGTATTCTGATTATGGGACCACTGTTGTATATGCATGTATATCCATTGTTGACTGAAACACGGCACATTCAACACATGACTGTACAATAAAGCGATAGGGAAAGGGAAAATGAAAGACTAGAGAAACTGCTGTAGTTGTCAGGATGTGGTGGAAAGAAGTCGTGGTTTTCTCATTGAGAACATATTCTTGGTCTGTAGGAACAGAAATCTGGAATAACGTAGCCGGCTCCCTTTTTAGTAGGTACTTGCTGTCTGATGCTGGACCCCATCAATTGTATCTTCATCCTCCATGTGCACCTGTGCAGGTGTGTCTGTTTGACTGATTGGCTGCCTATCAAATCAGAATCTGCTCTACCTCACTGGCAAATCCTGTCATTCACAATAGGCTTTCATTAGCTTACTAAGTGATATATGGCTCTTAACTTTAAACTGTACCACAAACCATCTTCCCTGCCACCTTCAAATTCATGTGACTGTTGTTTTCAGTCTTGACTCCTGCCGTAGGCTTTTTGTCAGCCTTGATGAGTGCATGAATGTCCTTAGCTGCTGCAGCTTCTCAGAAGAGGTCCTAGGTCCCTGTTGAATGAATTTGATCTCCTATTGCCCCATGGAGTTGCTTCCAGTCATTTGTTGAATGTCTGAAATATGAACAGCACTGTGAATCAGATCCCTGAGGTCGTTTGCAGCTCCCTCATAGTTTGCAAAAAGAAAAAAAAAAAAAACATGGATGATATAATACTCTCACCCTTCCTGTTAAATTTCAAAGTCCCTAAATACTTCTTGACTGTGGTGTGGAGGCTTCCACAATGCTCTGGGGAGCTGGTCAGTCTGCCCTGGGTGTTTTTTCTCAGAAGGGCCTGGGAATTCCAGCTCAGATCCTGCCCTGCTGGGAGGCACCTACCCCTGCAGGATGCCGATCATCAGTCTCACAAGACTAAACAAATCTCTCCCTCTCCCCGCAGGCTGCCTGGGTTGCACAACACACCGTTTTGGGCCTAGGAAGGCCATCTCTTTGGTCCTTAGATTCAGATTTTTGGGGTTTCTATTGTTTATTTCCTCTTCCCTCTACCTTTTAAAAGGAGGTAGTGTCGGCTGGGTGCAGTGGTTCACATCTGTAATCCCAGCACTTTGGGAGGCCAAGGCAAGTGGATAACTTGAGGTCAAGAGTTCAAGACCAGCCTGGCCAACATGGTGAAACCCCGGCTCTGCTAAAAATACAAAAATTAGCTGGGCATGGTGGTGCATGCCTGTAGTCCCAGCTACTTGGGAGGCTGAGGCACGAGAATCTCTGGAACCTGGGAGGCAGAGGTTGCAGTGAGCCAAGATCGCACCACTGCACTCCAGCCTGGGTGAGAGTGAGACTCCATCTCAAAAAAAAAAAAAAAAAAAAAGGGAGGTCGTGTGCGCGTGGAGGGGAGGCCGCTTCCCAAAACTAGAGAAAAGGAACTACAGCCCTGGAGCCGACCACTTCCCTGGAATAGAGAGCAGGGAAAAAAGAATTTAAAAATCCAGAACCAGGGAGTAGGGAAGAAATTCCTCAAGACTGCACCTCTGGGTCTGCCCCACAGATAACCTGGAGGTCAGGCTGTCTGAAGAAGCTCTTGCTTGGTTTAAGTGCCCTGCAGGGACTCTGATCCCAGGGGTCCAACCAGGACCACTGCTCTAATTTTGCTGTGGAAGTGTTTAGACCTTACTAGACCACATGATTCCAGGACAATGGGGTAGGGAGGCTGTGCAAAGGGGTGTATGCACAGTCTCCCTCGTGCTGGAGTGGGAGTCCCGGACAGCATCTCCTGCTGAGCTGGGCCTGGCCCTTAGGGCCTTCAAAGCCAAAGTCATGTGGGGTCAGAAGGTAACTGCTTTAGAAATATTGGAAGGAATCTTAGCATTGGAAAGATATTCAGCCCAACCCTCTTTCTCTTTTTAAAATTGTAATTATATATAACATAAAATGGATCATTTTAACCATTTCTAACTGTAAAATTCAGTGGCATTAAGAGCATTCACAACATTGTGCAACCATCTCTATTACTCATTTCCAGAACTTTTTCATTTTCCCACACTGAAATTATACCCGTTTAACCATACCCCCTCTCTTGTTAGCAATGAAGAAATCAAAAAGGAAAGGGACTAGCCCAATGTCATGCAGTTGGGACAGGGGTCTACAATCTTAGAATCCAGTGCTCTGTTCCTTATACAACCTATCTGATTTCTTAAAATAAGTATTTTCAAATTACACACACACACACCCCAAGTATTCAATTTCCTGCCCTGGGAGCCACACTTTCAGAACGATGTTGGCAAACAAGGGTGTATCCAGAAACAGCCGACAGGATGGTGAGGGACCTGGAAAACTGATCCTTTATAAATGGAAAGAACTGGTGATGGTGATTCAGGACAGTTATGGGTATCTTCAGGGGTTTTCAAGTATAGTGTGTAGTGTGGAAAAGAGATTCAATTCACCCGACTTCAAAGGGCAGGACCAGGATGGAGGGTGCAAGTGGCAGCAAGGTCATTTCTATTGGAAACTGGAAGGATGTTTTCATTACTCAGCTAGAGCAGCAGTGATGAGCTCCTGGCTGCTGGAGATGTGAAGCAGAGCCTAGCTGACCACTTGTGCTGGTGTGATGTGGAAGGGATTGATGCAGCTGAGGAAATGCCCCTTCCCATTCTGAGGCTCCTCATGAAGGAGGGAGGAGATGATGTCTGAGGCCATAGACTCGCCTACCCCACCTGCACAGTTTACATACTCTCGAGCTGAATGGTGTAGGCCGGAGTCCTGAGACAAAGAGCTTTGGAAGCGTTTGATGGGAAGGTGCTCACAGTTTCAGCTGATAGCACAGCAGGGACACTGCATAGAATGGTTAGACTGTGTGCGTTCCAAGCTGCAGGTCATGAAATCAATCACCCAGCAGTTGTTTTTTAAATAAAATTCAGGCTGGGTGCAGTGGCTCACGCCTGTAATCCCACCACTTTGGGAGGCCGAGGCAGGTGGATCACCTGAGGTCAGGAGTTCGAGACCAACCTGACCAATATGGTGAAACCCTTTCTCTACTAAAATAAAAATAAAAAAAAAAATTAGCTGGGCATGGTGGCGGGCACCTGTAGTTCCAGCTACTCGGGAGGCTGAGGTAGGAGAATTGCTTGAATCCGGGAGGTAGAGGTTGCAGTGAGCCAAGATCGCGCCACTGCACTCCAGTCTGGGCGACAGAGCGAGACTCTGTCTCAAAAAAATAAAAATAAATAAATAAATAAATATAAATAAAATTCAAACTATATCAGAGTACAACAAACAGGGTAAGGGTAAACAGGAACGGGTGTTTTTCAAGAAATGCTTTTGGTTATATTGTATATATGAGTGTACAAAGTCAATGTAAAATGTATGTTTTACTGTGGGTTTAATTTTTTTTTAACTTAAAAGTTTAAAAAGTTTCTACTGTTTAATATAATGCATGGAACAGAAATGTCTGGAGCCTTAGAAATGGGTCACAAGTTGCTAGAGAGCTCACATGCCCGAGGGGAGAGGTGACAGTTCCTGCCAGACTGAACAACTCTGTCCACTTGTTTTCTTGCTCCAGTTGACTGTGAAGCTCATGTCTGTGGCACAGCAGTTGGGACCATGGGGTAACTAAGTGCATTGCCTTGGCTGGGAGCACTGCCAAAAACCCCTGCATGCCTGAGGGACAGACAGAATGGTATATCTGACATCTTATTAGTCTTTCTTTCTTGCCGAGAGATTGTTGTGAAAATGAATTTTGATCCTCAGACAGAAACTGGAGAGAAAACCTGGAGACAGAAAACTAAGTGTGAATATAACCCCTCCACACACACACACACACAGCACCCACATACCCACACATATGTGCAATTATTTTACTCCCTCAATACCTTAAATCAGGGACTTTGCTCTCCCTGGGACAGGACTGTGCACATGTACTGAATGGACTCTCCTGGCACTATGGTTAAAAAGCAGCTACTAACAAGTTCTAGAGACGGTTTGGAATAAACAGGCAAGTCATGGAATGCAACTTTTTGGACCACACTGCACAATAGGATGTCTATAGCAAGACTGAAAAATAATTTTACATGTGTGTGTGCAGATAGATAGAGTTTTCCAAACTAAGGGATGCTGCTGCCAGTTCTACAGGGAGTTCTTTCCATTATGCGGGATACGGAGAGTGGGTCTGTTTTTGTGTGCCCAACATCCCTTCCTGATTCTGACATCAGCATCCTCCTCCCTCCATTTCCTATGAACAATTGTTCCTGGTGGGCTACCCATTCTAATAGTGGTTCCAGTGGGACTGTTAATTACAATGTCTTGCTCCATCCCCCTGGCTTCAAAGAATAGCCCATGGGGAAGACGAGAGACCCAAGCTGGTCCAGCAAAGGTATTTCCCTAGCACATATATATATATATATGAATGAAATGGGCAAGAACTCAGTCTTTCCTAATGAGTGGCTAAGCTTGGAAGCCATAAGTTGGAGCTGTCTTTGGCCCCATTTTCTTCCAGCCAGGTGGAGAAAGACTACTGCTGCAAAAAAAGAACAAGGAATCTGGTCCCCAGTGATGTGACCAAACATAGGAAGGTGGGTGGTGTGTGTGTGTGTGTGTGTGGTTTTTGTTTGTCTTTTGCTTAAGCTAGAATAAGTTGGTTTTTGGAATTTGTACCTGGGAGAGTTTCTTCAGCACTTGTATAATAGAATGGGTCCAGGATGTAGAGTAAAAAATCCATGTTCAAATCCTAGAGCCACTTCTTATTAACTGTTTTAAAGATATCTCACTTGTCCACACCTCAATCTCATCTGTACAAGAATAATACCTATTCCTCAGAGTGCTTGTGAGGCTTAAATGAGTTATCTGCATGCAAGTGCCTTGTTTAATGATAAAATGTTGTCTAAATGTTAAACATAATTACTAATCCAAGCACCTTGCTCTTAAAAAAACAAAAAAAGTTCCCTTGTGCACCCTGCCAGTCAATCCACTCTCCCCCGGGGAACCACCACTCTGCCCCCTATCATCATAGATTGTTTCAGAAACCTAGATTTGAACCCCAGTGCTGCTCACTGTAACTGATGAATTTAAACCAAGTACCTTATTTCTCTGAGTTGCAGTTTTGTAAATGCAGTAAAATGGGTTGTTTTTTGTTTGTTTGTTTCATTTAAAGGCCAGGCTTAATGGCTCACGCTTGCAATCCCAGTGCTTCAGGAGGCTGAGGCGGGAGGGTGGCTTAAGCCCAGGAGTTTGAGGCTACAGTGAGCTATGATGGTGTGACAACACTTCAGCCTGGATGAGAGAGAAAGACCCTGTCTCTAAAAAATATTAAAATAAATAAACTTACATTGGAGGGTTGTTGCAAAGTATGCTAGGGTAGTAAGATAAGCTTTCTAATAAAGAGCCCTAACATGTAGCAAGCTAAGGAGCAAGCAGTTTATTTCTGTCACAAAACCACCCAGGATGGATGCTCTGGAATGGTGAGTGGCTTGGACACCAACTCTGATAAACAACTTGTGTTTTTTGTTTGTTCGTTTGTTTGTTTGTTTTTGAGATGGAGTCTAGCTCTGTTGCCTAGGCTGGAATACAGTGGCGTGATCTCTGCTCACTGCAACCTCCGCCTCCCAGGTTCAAGCAATTCTGCCTCAGCCTCCCGAGTAGCTGGGATTACAGGCGCCTGCCACCACACCCAGCTAATTTTTGTATTTTTAGTAGAGACGGGGTTTCACTGTGTTGGTGAGGCTGGTCTCAAACTCCTCACCTCATTTTCTGCGCACCTTGACCTCCCAAAGTGCTGGGATTACTACAAGCGTAAGCTACGAAGCCTGCCCAACTTGTGTTTTAAGACCACTCCATGTTCCACCAGCTCAGCTAACAGGAAAGGAGGAAGGAACATCAAAGAGGCAGCCTGCTTTCTAAAAGCTCTGGCTGGAGATTGGCAGGCCCTTGCTCAGCTTCCATTGGTGAAAGTGTGGTCACATGTCCTCACCTGGCTTCCAGGGTGACCGAGGAATGCAGTCCCAGGCTGGACAGCCATGTTCCAGCTACGACTCTTGGAAGAGGAGAACAGATTGTGGTGTAGAGCTACTGCATAAGGAGTAAATGAGAGAATGAGGGTAAAGAGCTTAGAATAGTCCCTGAAATGAGGTAGTAATCAAATATCAGCTGTGTTGATATTATGCATTCTCTCATGCAGTAGGAATTAGAAAAGAAAGCTTTTTCTCAAACTAGGCCACACAATGACTCTTTCAAGGAAAAATGTACTGATCTCATGATCGTATTCTGCCAGCTTCCTTGGCAGCTCTGAACGCATTTCTTAGCTCCTTTTCTCTAAAGGTCTCCATTCTTCTGCCCCAAAGAGCTTCTAAAATAATCCCTAGAGTGACAATCTTGAAAGACAGGCCATGGAGCAAGTTCAGCCTCATCTGCTGAAATGCCCCCTTATGAGATGAGCAAGAAGAGAAGACAATTAAAAGATGATAAATGGGCATCAGATTTGCTCCATTTCCCAGCCTAGTTTTGGCCTCACTATGAATTCATGCAGACCAGTGTGGAGACCCTGGGAGTTTTTTTCCTGTTAACCATGGCACTGACTACCTCCCATCCTGCTGGCAGACTTGTGGGGAGGGGGTGTGTGGTGGGCACCTGGCAAAAGAGGAGATCTGAGATTGATTGATGGGAAGCCTTCCAATGCCATAAATAATGCAGCCCTGAGTCCCATTAGCCATGGAAATTCGCAACAAGTAACTAATGAAGTCTTTAATTATGAAGCCTAGCTATTTAGTGTTCCAAGAAGGCACGGTTCCTAATAAATACTCTGGCAGAGGCCATAAGCAGGGGGTGGGCTGTGTTGTGTGGCTGGTCGAGTATATGAGAGACCACCCACAAGGCCGAGATGGCAGAGCAGCTGGAGTGTGGCTTGTTTGTGACCTCAGCAGATGGGCTGCCAAGGAAAAAAAGTTCCCGACTGCCCTTTTCCCTGCCCCTTACCCCGCCCTCTGGACCGCCCAGACGCGTGTGAGGAATTGGGCCATGGCTATGGCCAGCCCACCTGCACGCAGCTCATCCACAAACATTACCTGGCTCCTTAACGACTTGTTTTGAGCATTTCCACCAGTTAATTAATTTGCAGGTTCACCTGTTAGCTGTGAATAGGATGTGATTTCTTCCATCCTGCTTGTTACGGCTTCCAACTGTGACCATGTGCAAGCATTGCTTGGGGAAGAAAAAGTAGGAATGATTCTATCCTCTACATAGATTATGAAAAAAAAAATGGGGAAACCAGGAAGCACTTCTTATAAAAGTGCATTCAAGGTAGAGATGTCCGGTTTGGGGGGGCAAATGGATTCCCTAAGACTGTGTCCACAATACAACATAAAATGGAGGCAATTCTCCAGATCATTTGGGCTGAAATTATTTTACTGAAAGATCCAGAAAGTTGAAGCTGGGTTGCTTTTACATTTATTTTTTGTTTCTAGTCTGACTGGTCCAGAAAATTACCTCAATTTTCCAGCTCACTTCACTTGTCCGGCCAACTTACGGGGAACTCAGTTAATTGCTTTGTTCCTGACAAGGTTCAAATCTCAAGTCCAAGAAATGTGGCTTCTAGAGGCAGCCCTGGTGTGCTTGGGCCATCCCAACACTGCCTTCCCAATGACTGGAGGGCATCAGCGCTACATTGGGGTAGGTGATGGAGAGAATGCCATGTCATCTAAAAACTAAGAGCCATATAGACCCCACCATAGACTTCCAAGGGAATTATCAAAAGAAGGGAAGCCTATATTAGAAACTTTCAAAGCTCCTTCGGGTGGTATCCATGGAAACTAGAGGAAACAAAGGTAACAGGCCAGCCTTACTTCAGGTTGTGGAGGCGGCCCAGAGTGAGTCTGAGCTAATAAAGAATGCTCACTAAAGTTCCTGCACAATCTGTTGAGACACTTGCAAGCCTCGGAGCATTTTTTACTTTGGCCTGGAGCCCTCTGAATCTATTTAGCTGATGATTAATTGCAGGAAAGGTCCTGGGAAACAGATCAGGAATAGAAAGTGGTTTATATCAGAGTGATCATTAAAATTTGATCAAAAGCTAGACTTGGCTAGTTACATTTTGAAGGCATTTTCTGAGCAAGTTCTAAAAAGCAGTTCCCAGCCTTCCCCACCATGAACTCTCATTGAATTTCCAAGTAATGTTTTCGGGCAGTGCTACAAAATGGGTCAGAAAGAAGTGGAACAAAGCAGCTGAGTGGGTTGGGATCTTTTCAGGTGGTGATGTGGAGAGCAGAGCAAAAGAAGGGGTTTCAGGGATAAGGCAACTGGTGAAAAGCTTCAGAAGCATCCGCAGCAATGAGTATGATTGACTTCAATCTCTGTGTAGGAAAAAGTAGCATACAATCGATTTTGAACTTACATGTCACTTAGGTCTTATAAATTAGTAAGTCTGAAGGTTGGGATTAATAATATTTTCCCATAGCTGCAGTGCTACAAATCCTTAGTTTTAGGTGTCGCCTTAGATGACAGTTCTTCCAGAAGCCTCCCATCCATCCACCCAGGCTGCACCAAAGACTACCTCTCCTGGTGCCCCCAGCACCATATCTACCCAGGGTAACTTTATTGTACAGTTGTGAGTGTCTTTTTATATCTGCATCCCCTACTAGACTATAAGTTCATTTTGAGAGGACTTTTCAGCTCTAGCTCAGTGCTTAGTACTCATAAGTGTTTCATAAATATCTGCTGAATGAATGGAAAAATGAATAGTTGTTAAGTTTCCAGCTCTTCCAAAGAAATCTGTTTCAACAGGAGAAAAGTAAAACCCTAACTCTGATTTTTTATAGATGATATCTGTTATTCTCTGCTACCATCCTGACACAAGAATATACCCTACGTGACAATTCCTGATAGTTACATGGGTTCACACTGCTTCTGTCAGAAAAGGAATTTTGGCTTCCAATCAGGAACTCAGAACACCAAAACCATATTCATTCTGCTTCGATGCCTTTAATAAAGACAGTTGCTTTCTGCCTCCCCACCTGCTGTGGCTGGGAAAGAGGATTCTTTTCCTTTCTTTTCTGCTTATGCCCTTTCTACTTAGTATATAAAGAGGAGTATCTCCTAGGGGTTGCAGCAGAAAGGACTCGATACTCAAATTCATAAGCACAGTTCTTGTATCCCAGGGAACACCCATTAAGCAATGGATGTGTATCCTGGGAGCTGTCTGTCTGTCTCCCTCCCTCTCCCCCCCATATTAAAAAGGAGGAAAATAAATAGACCATTTTGAACTTTTATATTTCTCTTGTAATAAAATCATTAAGAATGCTCAGCTCAGTCTGTTCTTGCTCTGCACTCTCACAGCCAAAAAGAAGCAGCTATCCCCAGCCACTTTGAAAGCATCTACTACTTTTTATTTTTTTAACACTGTTTCCTTTGTGCATTCCTTAGCTTTGCTCTTGCCATCTTGCAATATACAAACACATCCCTTTCCATCTTGAGTTGCCATTTGATCAGGGAAGCTTTTGCCCTTAACTGTCTGGATTGTGGAGATTTTTAGCTACTTTATTGTTAGCTGATGTCCTTGGCAGCTGGAGTGAGGAGGTTTGAGGATAGCAAAAGTATAATAAGAAAGTAAATTATGTAGGTAAGAGGTAAAGACTGATCTGCCTTGAAGGCAACATCTATCCCATTCACGTTTTGTGAAAAATATTTATATAGTCAAATAATATAACTAGCGACTATTAATTTAACCAAAATGTGCTATAACTATCTGGGAGAATGAAGAATGGAAAGAAGGGACATACTGGGAGAAGGGGAAACATGGGAAGGTTTTAAGGAGTTAAATTTAGCTCTTCCATAGGAGAAAGTCAATACATAATGTGCAATGCTTTCAAAGCAAGGGATTACTACAAATTTTAATATGTAGCATTTTCATTCACTTCATGATTTCATTCACTTCATTCCAAAATATTTTCTAATTTCCATTTTGATTTCTTCTTTGATCCAGAGGACATTTAAAAGCATATTCTTAATTTCCATAGATAGGAAGGTTTTCTTTTCTTTTCTTTTCTTTTCTTTTCGAGACTGTGTCTCGCTCTGTTGCCCAGGCTGCAGTGCAGTGGCGCCATCTCCATTCACTGCAAGCTCTGCCTCCTGGGTTCATGCCATTCTCCTGCCTCAGCCTCCCGAGTAGCTTGGACTACAGGTGCCCGCCACCAAGCCTGGCTAATTTTTTTGTGTGTTTTTAGTAGAGACGGGGTTTCACCGTGTTAACCAGGATGGTCTCGATCTCCTGACCTCGTGATCCACCCGCCTCAGCCTCCCAAAGTGCTGGGATTACAGGCGTGAGCCACCGCGCCTGGCCGATGTGAAGGTTTTCTAGGGTTTTTTGGTACTGATTTCTTTTCATCTGCGGTGTGCAATTCTTTTCATATGCTATATAACTTCAATCCTTGGAAATTTGTTTCAACTTGCTTTATGACACAGTATGTGATCAATTTTTCTATATATATGCTTTACAAATATATGCACTGTAGTTGTTGAATGCTCCATCTTATCTCTCAAGTTATTTGGCACTTGTTGCTAAAGTGTTCTGTGTTCTTACCAATTTTTATCTGCTTGTTCTCAGTTACAAAATATGTTTTTTAAAAAATTCCCGCTAGGCTGGGCACGGTGCTGTATCACTTGAGCTTAGGAGTTCAAGACAAGCCTGGGCAACATGGGGAAACCCCATCTCTACAAAAAATACAGAAATCAGCCAGGTATGGGGGCATGTGCCTGTAGTCCCAGCTACTCGGGAAGCTGAGGTGGGAGGATGGCTTGAGCCTGGGAAGCGGAGGTTACAGTGAGCTGAGATTGCACCACTGCACTCCAGCCTGGGCAACAGAGTAAGACCCTGTCTCAAAAAAAAAAAAAAAAAAAAAAGAAGAAAAAAGAAAAAACCTCCCACTAAATCTAAATTAATATTTTTGTCTATTTTCCTGTTTAGTTCTGTTAGTTTTTGCCTTATATTATTTTGAAGATTAGATTTTTAGGTGGATACAAATTTAGAATTGTGATATCTTCCTAATAAGACGTATATTTTATCATTAAGTGTATGTTTTTGGAGATATGGTTTACTAGTAACTGATAGAAATAAGGCTATACCCACTTTGTTTTCATTGATATTTAAAATGTATTTTAAGTCCATCTCTTTACTTTAAAAAAGTATTATTATTTTACAAATAATATCTTGCTGGTCTTGAACTGGTGGCCTCAAGGGATCCCTCTGCTTCAGCCTTCCAAAGTGCTGGGATTACAAGTGTGACCCACCATGCCCAGCCCACCTTTTCACTTTTAACATGTCTATATTCACAGATAGAATTTTAATGAACATCAAATTGGTTTTTGGTACCAGTTTGAAGATATTTGGCTTTTCATTGCCTTATTGTATTACATGCAATTACTGCTATATTTGGGTTTGTAATCTTATTTTATAAAGTACCTTATTATTTCTCTGATTTGGTCTACATTCTTTTTTTCTCTCCTTTTTTTTTATTTAAAATTATTATTATTATTTAGAGACATGATCTTGATCTGTTGCCCCGGCTGAAGTGCAGTGGCATGATCATAGCTCACTGTACCCTCAAACTCCTGAGTTCGAGAAATTCTCCCACCTCAGCCTCCCAAGTAGCTGGAACTAAAGGTATGCACCATCATGCCTGGCTAATTTTTACATTTTTTTTTTTTTTTTTTTTTTTTTTTTTTGTAGAGACAGGGTCTTGCTATCTTGCCCATTCTTGTATTGAACTCCTGGGCTCAAGTGATCCTCCCACCTCACCTCCCAAAGTACGGGGATTACAAGCATGAGCCACCATGCCCAGCCCTTTGTTGTCTTTTTAGCTCTCGGATACCTTCAAGCAGGTATTTTTGTATTGTATCTCATTATTCTAGCTGCTCTCAGTGAGTGGATTGGTTTAAATTGTCTAGTCTATCATTACTAGAATCTCAGTTTTGGTTTTTTTTTTTTTAATAACAGTATGGAGTCTACTTAATTACAGGTCTTCATTACATCATTGTAGTTAAAATGTGTATCTCATTTCTGGGAAAATTTGCTCAGCTTTTATACCAATATTAGAGTATTAAAACTCATTTTCCTGGCATCTGTGTTGGCTCACACCTGTAATCCCAGCACTTTGGGAAGCCGAGGCAGGAGGATTGCTTGAGCCCAGGAGTTTGAGACCAGCCTCAGCAACATAGTGAGACCCTGTCTGTACTTAAAAACAATTTTAAAAATCAGCCAGGTGTGATGGTGCACACCTGTAGTCCCAGCTACTTGGAGCCAGGGGTGGCTGAGGTGGGAGGATCGCTTGAGCCCGGGAGGTTGACGCTACAGTGAACCACGATCCTGCCACTGTACTCCAGTCCGGGCGACAGAGAGAGACCCTGTCTCAAACAAACAAAAGAAAACTTGTTTTCCTATCTTACAGTCTAGGAAGAAAACTGCCAAAATTATAGTCACACTTTGTAATTTTTTATTTAATTTGGATATATTCTTATAGAGTAAAAATATAAATGTAGAACCACATACATTTAGAATTGGCCTTTATTGTTTTAGGGGAAGTCTGAAAATGATTTTGCCCTTCAAAAACTCTTCAAATTCTTTTCTCTTCTTTGTTTCTAAGATTTTTTTCCTTTGCCTTCCCATAGACTTTTTAGCTCCCTTCCTTCTGATCACTAGCTTATGCCAGAACCCCAGGGAATTTCCACTTAAAGAATCCAACATCCTGGTCCTAAGACAGCAATAAAAGTAGATTTTTAAATAAAAGTAAAACAGGCTACAGTATCTACAGTCTAAGATGAACAGAGTCCAATAAAATTGTTCTTGGATTAACATATGCTGGAACCTCTGGAACCTTCTAGGGGTGAATAATTGCTGAGTTCAGCATCTTGCCAAAACAGGTTCAAGAGTGTTTTGTGCTTGATATCTTTTCCAATTAAACCATTCTACATGCTATGCTTCCTCATAATAGTACGATTAAAATTTGATGAAAGTGTATGAGATTTTCCCTTTAAAAAATCAAGCACTTTATTTATATAGATTGGAGGATTTGGACCTAATAAGTTGACCCAATATGATCTTGATGCTCCCTTTCCTGAGACATGCTGATGATTCTTTCAAATAGATGATGGTTTCTTTCCATCACACTGGGTGCCTCTACTTAGGTAAGCAAATGATTGACTGACTGTAGCTTCCAGAATAAACTCTGCTTGGAATTATAGCAAAACTATCCCTGATAGAAATGTTAGCTGGCCACAGACACAGAGCAAATATTCCCAGTTGCAGTTGCTTGTTCATTTTATTCATAAAACAATATTTATTGAGTACTGGTCACTGGGAATAGAGCAGTGAAAAGTGAGACTTGGTCCTTGCCTCATGGGACTCATGTTCTAGTGAGAAGACATGATAAAAGTATATAATAAGTAAATAAGACAATTACAGGTTGTGCTGTGTTTATCAAGGAAATAAGCAGGATGATGTATTAGACAGTAACCAGGGAGGTCACTTTATATAAGAGGGGGAAGGGGGGGTCTAAAGAATTTAATCTTATCCTGAGGGATGAGAATAAGCCAGCCATATAAAGATCTAGGGGAAAGCAGGTCCAGGCAGAGAAAACAACCAGTGGAAAATGATTTGGTATAGGCCAGGACCACAAAAGAGACCACACTAGAGGATAGAACAGGAAAAAACAGAGAAGAGGCTGGAAAGGTGGGCAAATCATTCGGTTTTAAGGAACTTAGAGACTTCAGTAAAGGTTATATGTGAATCTAGTTGTCAATGAATATTTTCTCAACATGCGTGACTGGAGGGATCCAATAATCCTCCCTATAAGGCCAAGGGCAATTTGTCAGGATTGATCTCTCATAAACTGCATAGAGGTTTTGGCCTATAGAAAAAACACCAAGTCACCAAACCTGAAGTCAGAACTTCATGGGGCTCTTACCACATCTGGATGAAGGAATGCGAGTGAAAGCTTTTATCAACATGGAGAACTACATGAATACAAAGGGTTATTCTTTTTTATTCTAGCACAATCTGTCTCCTGTAATGATCTTTTCAAAGACACTTTACGAGGCAACAGGCCCTCCTGGCATTGCACAGTGGGTAAAGCAGGAAAGGCTGTGCTCATCCATGTGGTTATGGAAGGACTAAGTGGGTTGCATGTGTGAAGGTGCCCCTCCTCCCAATAAACGTGGTCCAGTACCTTCTGTTCAGAATTTTCTCCTATGTCATCTCTAGTTCCCACTCCAAAACTTACCTATCCGTGTAGCCCATGTTTTCGTGACACTTCTCTACAAGGTAAAGAAGGATGGATTTGTGGTGTGCCCACCAAGTTATATCTCCCAGGTAAAATGAAGTAATTTCCAGAAGGCCTAAGCAATAATTTTAATTTAGGGACTATATCAGGCATTGCAGAAGTCACCAGAAATATATATGTATAATTTCTGGATTTTTCTGTACTCCTCATATCACATCAAGTAGATTGCTGCTGATTTTGCCCACAGTGATACTGGCTCTCCCCAGAGTGTTAGACAAAAACAAGACACCAGACATTGTCTATGCATCTCTCTCCTCAACTGAGTCTCATCACTCATTTTCAGACAGATCTCACTGGTTTATCTGCTGCTCTGACATTCCCCACTCCTAATCCAACATTTTGAGCAGCTTTGCCCTTCCTTCCTCACTAAGAGCCCTATAGCCCAGGACGGTCCTGGATTCTACTTGTTTTTCTGGCATAATTAGGAATAGCACAACACCCCCTCTGTATCTTTCAAATGCATGCAAGTATAGAGGATACATTATTGGGTAACCCCACCTGTAGCTGAATGAGTTTGAGCAAAGCTGGAAAGCAGGTGTAGGGGTGAAAAAAGGAAAAGCTTAAAAGTGGAGCTGCCAAGACAAAGCTAAGGAGGTGCCAGGTGTTGACCTTTCTCCAGCCTCATTCTTCTGCCTGCTGGACTCGGGCCAGGAATAAGGCTGCTTCTCCAGAGAGGTGCCCGATGAGCACGTGAGGGCAGGAGAGTCATGGAAATCAGAGATGAAAAAGATGGGAAAGAAAATGAAGGGTGGTCTTAGGAAGGCATCAAAAGGTTGTGCAACCCCACGAGGATGTGTGGAAGACAGCATTTTGTTGCTTGTGTTTTACCTACATTCACATTCCTGAGGGGGTGGCAGAGTGCCAAACACTCCTATCTGGGCTCTATTCCCTTTGCTCTTTGTCACTCACTTGTTTCTGCCCAGGACCATAGAGGACTTACCCTTACTAGGAAGATTGCCAGTGTTAGACCTGCCTGACTGGGCAGGAGGCAGGAGACTGGGGTCTGGTCCCTTTTGTTACTTGGTGACCTTAAGAAAGTTACTTACAGAAGTTTTTCATTCACAAAGAGAGGTGAACCAGGTGGTCTCTAAGGCAATATTTCAAATTATTTGTGTATTGCTTAAAATAATTTGAAAAACTACTTCTTCCCTTTGCAGTTTACGTTATTTAAAATGTTTCTTCAGGCTGGGTGCAGTTGTTCACGCCTGTAATCCCAGCACTTTAGGAGGCCAAGGAGGGCACATTACTTGAACCCAGGTGTTGGAGACCAGCCTGGCCAACATGGTGAAACCCCATCTTTACTAAAAATACAAAAAATTAGCTGGGCATGGTGGTGCGGGCCTGTGGTCACAGCTACTAAGGAGGCTGAGACATGAGAAATGCTTGAAGGTTGCAGTGAGCCAGGACGGCGCCACTGCACTCCAGCCTGGGCAATAGAGTGAGACTGTCATAAATAAATAAATAAATAAATAAATAAATAAATAAATAATGTCTCTTTAACAAAAGATACAACTTCCAATACATAATAAATATGAACCTTTTAAAAACCTTCTTACATCATTCTTTAAAATGTATCCAAATACTATAGCCATTTTATAGCCACCATCATAATTTTAAAAATATATCAATAAATTATTCTTTAACACCTGGAAATTTTACATGGTTACTCTTTCACTTTTAACTCATTTTATTCTATTTCACCAAAAGAATATTACCCCAATATAACATTCTGAATACTTGAAAGTCTTTTTGAAAAGTCACTCTATCCTTCTTTCATGCAGCAAAAGTATATAAACAAATTGAAATTTAAAATATTTCCTGGGACTGGAAAGTTCTAAGTAAGGGTAATAAAAAGTTTAGATGGAGTATAATTGTTTTGACCAACTGTAATCATTAAATATTAAAATTTTATTAGAAATGTATCTCAGTAAAATCAATAGGGCTGTTTGGGTCTTTAAACAAATTCAGTTATATGTGAATGAGTATAATTTATTACATCAATTTTATTCCACTTTTCTGTCTTTAAAAAATGATGCTGTGGTGGTTTTTTTCTTGTTTGTTTTTGAGACAGGGTTGCCTCTGGAGTGCAGTGGCGTGATCTCAGCTCACTGCAACCTCTACTTCCCAGGCTCAAGTGATCCTTCCACCTAAGCCTCCAAAGTAGCTTTGACTACAGGCACGCACAACCATGTCCAGCTAATTTTTTTGTATTTTTTTGTAGAGATGGGGTTTCACCATGTTGCCCAGGCTGGTCTCGAACTCCTTAGCTTAGGCCATCTGCCTGCCTTGGCCTCCCAAAGTGCTGGGATTATGGGCCTGAGCCACTGTGCCTGGCTGTTTTTATGGCTGTTTTTAAAAATGTTAATGCAGAGGAACATTGTTCATATAAATAAGCAGAGGTCCATGAAAGGAGTTTTGTCAGAGTAAAATCACTCATTTCTCTGAAGTCCTCAGTTATATATAAAAAATGATCTGTGTGATCTATCATCAAAAATAATTTTTGGACCAGGCACGGTGGCTCACACCTGTAATCCTAGCACTTTGGGAGGCTGTGGCAGTTGGACCCTGAGCTCAGGAGTTTGAGACCACCCTGGGCAACATGGGGAAACCCCGTCTCGACTAAAATACAAAAAATTAGCTGGGCGTGGTGGTGCGCGCCTGTAGTCTCAGCTGCTTGGGAGGCTGAAGCACAAGAATCACTTGAGCCGGGGAGGTGGAGGTTGCAGTGAGCCAAAATCTTGCCACTGTACTCCAGCTTGAGCTACAGAGTCCAACTCTGTCTCAAAAAAACCCAACAACAACAACAACAATAATAATAATAATTTATGGCCAAGCACAGTGGCTCATGCTTGTAATCCCAGCACTTTGGGAGGCCGAGGCAGGAGGATCACTTGAACTCAGGAGTTTGAGACCAGCCTGGGCAACGTGGTCAAGCCCCATCTCTACTAAAAAATACAAAAATTAGCTGGGCATGGCAGCTGAGGTGGGAAAATCACTTGAGCCTGGGAGGTTGAGGCTGTAGTGAGCCAATTGTGTCGCTGCACTCCAGCCTGGGTGACAGAGTGAAACATTGTCTCAAAATAATAATTTTAATGTTCTTCCAGCTGATAATTCAATGGGTCCTCTTTTAATTTTATTGAAAACAAAAGCCTACAAACTACTTTTGCAAGAATCTGATCTGCAAAAAGATGTATTTCCCAATCTTTCACGTTGTTCACTTTCTCAAGATCAATGCCAACATTTTGAAATGTGCCATCCAAATAGAAAGAGGCTATTCTTTGTATGATGAGATGAAAATAAATCTCCAAAGTAATCTTAAAGCAAAATAACAAACAAATGTTGAATTGTTTGAATTGTTTCTTTATTTGGCTTCCCAAAATTCTTCCTGGCCTGGAGCAATGCATCAGAATAAAATGCAGGACAGGTGAGAGGTACTCTTGTCTTCCGTCAAGTGAGAGAAGAAAGGCTGAGAGGGAAAAGGAGGAAGAACCAGCAAGGTGCTTTCCCAGACTAATGAGTTTTATAGACATTCTGCATCTAGAAGCCAATTCCTTTAACCTCCTAGCCCATGTGTATACACCCTGGGGAAAAATCTTCCTGAATCCTCAGGACTGTATGTGAGACAGGAGAGTTCCCTGGCCCTCCTTGCAGGAAGTGTGACAGGGGTGTGGCTTTCTGTTCAGCCTCCATGAGCTCAAACCCCTTGCAGGAGGGGGAGCATGCAGACAGGCAGGTGCAGGAACCAGGGTGAGCACATTTGGGCTCTGGCCCCACAGCAGCATCTAGGTAGGGGTGGGTGTCTGTGACTCCTGAAGCGCAAGTGGGCGTGTGTTATAATGCGCTCTTTTAACCTTGCTGTCCACAAATGGCTTAAGTGTTAGACAGCTCAGTGGACCCTCTTGGCACCCAGGTCTAGTCTGTCATCCAGGAAGAATCAGGTCACACACGGACTTGAAGAGTGAATGCGGGGATTTTACTGAGTGGTGGAGGTAGCTCTCAGTGGGATGGATGGGGAGCTAAAAGGGGGATGGAGTGGGAAGATGATCTTCCCCTGGAGTTTGGCTGTTCAGTGGCCAATCTGTTTTGTGATCATCCCTAGCCAAACTCCTCTCAGCATTCAGATGCTCCTTCTCTTCTCTCTTGCTCTGCCATGCGTTCTGCTGTTTGTCTGCTCATCTCCCCCAGAGCCTGGGGTTCAGGGTTTATATGGGTACAAGATAGGGGCATGGCAGGCCAAAAGGCAACTTTTGGGGCATGAAAACAGGAATGCCTATTCTCATTGAGGGCTGTGGGTTTTCAGGCTTGAGGGTGGGGCTTTGCCAGGGAACTGCCCTCTTCCTATTATTTCCCTGTCTGCATGACATGTACCTCAGATTGACGATCCAGCCCTAATATCTAAAAGTCCAGTGTTAAGTAAAAGTGGAAACAATTGATAGAAATTTATTTTTTAAGTAAATCTGATTTATTTATTTCTGATTAGATAATATATTCACCTGGCATAAAATTAAGAGGTACTAAAAGCACACAGTGAAACTCTGCCCTCCCACTCTGATCTCTTAGTCTTCTGTTCTCTTCCCCAGGCAATGGATGTAGAAATTTCATTGTGTAACTGCTAAGATAATCTATGCATATTCATGCAATTATGGACAAATATTTTTTTCTTTCTTCTCTTTTGCAATTGCGACTGTGCTATACACACTGCCTTGCACCTTACTTTTTTGTTGTTTTGCATTAAAGTTGGAGATTTATTTTTATATAAACATACAAAGAATAGCTTCATTCTCTTTTAGATGGCACAATAATCTGTGGAATGAAAATTTGCTAAAACGGGCCCATATTTAGGTTGTTTCCAATAATCTCTATTGAAATAGTGCTGTGATAAATAATACTGTACATATGTCACTTTGCATTTGTGTGAGTATATTTGTTGAGAAAATTCTTTCTTTCTTTTTTAAAAAATTTTTTATAGAGATGGGGTTTCCCCATGCTGACCAGGCTGGTCTTGAACTCCTGACCTCAAGCAATCCAACCGCCTTGGCCTCCCAAAGTGCTGGGATTACAGGCATGAATCACCATGCCCAGCCCAAGAAAATTCTAAAAGTGGAATGTCTGGGGAAAGGGCTTATGTATGTGTTATTTTGATTAGATGTTAATAAATCACTAATCTTCAAGGAGGATGTAGCACTTTACTCTACCAGCAGCAAGTTATATGGGTATGTGCATTAGTTACCTATTGGTGCCTAACAAATCACCCCAAAACTTAGTGACTTCAAACAACAATCGTTATTTCTCATCTCTCACAGTTTCCAGATGCAGGGGCGGCTTGGCTGGACTGTTCTGGTTTGGGGTCTCAGAGGAGGTTGCTTTTCAGATGGGTAACTTTGAAGATTTCCTCACATATCTGGTACAGGACTTACACCTCTGGTGCACAGGCCAAAACTCTCAGTGATGGAATCACTGGGACCACTCAGGTATCTCTTTCTATTTCTATTTCTTTGTGGTCTCTCCACATGGTTTCTTCAACTTGGTGACGTCAGGGTAGCCAAACATCTTACATGGGAGCCCAGGGCTCCAGAGAGTACCTGGAAGACAGAAAGAGTGCCAGGTGGAAGCTAGATCCTTTTTATGGTCTAGACTTTAGAAGCATGTCCAGGGCTAGGGGAAGGCAAGAAAGATGCCTGGGGCAAGTGATCGAAGGAGGCATCCTTATAAAAAGACGTGTTTGGATGTCACATAGTATCCCTTCCACGATCCATCCAGTGGGGAGAGTTAACAAGCCCACCCAGGTGTAAGGAGAGGGGACACAAAGGGAGGGAACTCCATCTTGGTGGGAATAGTGTCAGTCACATTGTTATAAAGAGCAAACTGGATATATGCTCAAGGTCTTTTCGCCTTTCCAATCTGATGAGTTAAACATGGCATTTTGTTTGTTTTTGAAAACAAACTTCTTTTTGAAATGTAATTGAATTGTACTTTCAAATCATATTACACATATGAAAATCTATGAACGAGGTGAACATCTTTTCAGTGTTTGCTTCCTCTTTAGCAAATTGTCTCCATAGCCTCTGCCCATTTTTCTATTGGTTTTTAGATCTTTCTCTGTAAGAAAAGTGTGTAGGTGGTTGTGTGTATGTGTGTGCAGAGACAGAGGAAGAGAGAAAGGAAATTAGTCTTTTGTTTGTGATGTGAGCTATAAACATTTTTTCCCATTTATTATCTACCTTTCGACTTTGCTTATGATGGTTTTTCCATGCAAAAAAGTTATTTTTGTGTAGTTAAATTTCTCTTTTCTTTTAGTCTTCTGGATTTTTGTCATACTTGAAAAGGCCTCTCTCACTCTGAAATTATAAAATTTTCCCCATGTTTTCTTCCACTCTGTGTGTGCATGTGTGCACGCATGAACACATGCACGTATATATATGTGTTCGTTTTTTTACATCTTTACCTTTGCTGTATTCAGTATTAATTTTACTCTAAGATATGAGGTAGGGGTGCAAATATCCTTTTTCTTGATGGCTATCTAGTTGATTTGAAATGTTGCCTTTATTATATAAATTACTGAAGTCAACGTTTGTAATTCCATTTCATTCATGTATGTGGGTCTTTATGTGATAGTGCTACAATATTGTAAGAATTGTAGCTGTGAGATGTATTGTCCGGTAGGGCGACTTCCCTTTATTCATTTTTATAATTTTGTTAACTATTCTTTCTACTTTTTAAATGAAAACCATTTATTAAGTTAATTGCATGGTGGTATTACTGGTCATGAAATGTGATTAGGATGAGCGAGCTCACTGGGTGTTTCAGATTTTTCTGAACATAAAAAAAGGGAAATGAAACAGCCAGGCATGAGCGTCTGTAATCCCAGCACTTTGGGCGGTGGAGGCGGGCGGATCATTTGAGGTCAGGAGTTCAAGACCAGCCTGGCCAACATGGTGAAACCCTGTGTCTACTAAAGATACAAAAAAAAATTAGCCAGGTGTGGTGGTGCAAGCCTATAATCCCAGCTACTCAGGAGGCTGAGGCAGGAGAATCACTTGAATCTGGGAGGTGGAGGTTGCAGTGAGCCGAGATAACACCATTGCACTCCAGCCTGGGTGACAGGGCGAGACTCCATCTCGAAAAAAAAAAAAAAAAAAAAAAAAAGAGAAATGAAAGGTTCTCTGGTATCCTAAATAGAGAGAAGCCTGTCATTAGAAGGAAGAAGTTTCCATCTCAAATCTGCAGAATACTCTGGAGGCTTGATCTGAGCCATGATGATACTTGAAGAGAAATAACTTAAATTGGTGGAGATTAATGATGAAAAAAACCCCTAACTTTTAATATGGTTATCTTCCTATATTAATAATTTAGATTTAATGCCAAATCTCCCAAGATAACGGAACCTTTCTTTAATTATTAGAAATCATACATAACTTCCATTTGTTCATCTGTAGTACTATTTCTATATAATTTATGTTTCCCTAAAAGCATGGGAAAGGAGTATGAATGGGGTTCACTCATTAGAAGTTTTATTCACCAATATTGTGTTAGATTTTTCCCTATTTTTCAACAAACAAGTTATTTTGGTGAGTATCTCTTAGAGCCACATTCTTGTTACTTTTCCACTTATGTCTCAAGATTGTAAACACTCACATATCTATGTTCTGACTAATGCACAACAATATTAAAGCACAGGCCTTGGCTCCTGTTGAAACTTTCCTACTGAAGAGATCAAAGGCATGTTGCTATTGTTCCCTCCCATTCTCCTGGGATGCTAGGAGATCCTGCAGAGTCTCTCGAAGGACATGATTTTAAACTGCCTCGAATTTGCAGAGGTTTTGCTATTATTCATTAATAAAAGGTCTCAGGATTTCAGTATTTCTATCAAGTGGAAATCCAAAGCTCAACAGTTCAAGTAAAGCTTGAATAAAAGGCAAATGGAAACTGAAAATCTAAAGACCCCATAGTGGGTTGACTTAGGTTCTCAAGAATATATGCCCAATACCTGTGAATATGACCTTATTTGGAAATAGGGTCTTTGCAGATATTACTAAGATAAGGTTCTCGAGATGAGATCATTCTGCATTTAGAGTGGGCTCTAAATCCAATGACTGGTGTCCTTATAAAATAAAGGAGTGGGAGATTTGACACTCAGAGACACACAGGAGGCAGAGATTGCAGTGGGTGTCAGCAACCCGAGGAACAGTAAAGCTGGCCAGGCAGGCAGCCTCCACAAGCCAGGGAAGAGGCTTGGAAGATGCTGTCCTTCAGAGCCTCCAGAAGGGACCCACCTTGCTGACACTGTGTGCGCTTTAGACTTCTTGCTGTAGGAATACATTACTATTGCTTTAAGCCACCCAGTTTGCAGTAATTTGTTATGGAAGCCACAGGAAGCTAATACAGGCCCTTTTACCCATCAAGGCTTTTGTCTTCAGAGTCCAGCAAAATTGTGAAGTAGAAGAAACACTTCTCCAGCATCTCCCCCTGCAGTCCCCTCTATTCTCTCTCCCCTGTCTTACTGCCCACTCTGTCGCCCCTCAGCCAGATTTCTCCTTCCTGAATTTCCTCTCCTCCAAGTGCCAAAATATCCTTCTCCTTCCTTCAGACTTCCTACTGTACCAGGATCTCCGCTACCAGTCAGCTTACAACAGCTTACAGACGTGTTCACAGCAGGGTGGAGACCAATCCTGTGGCGGGGGCTGGCCCTCTCAGGAATATTCTTATTTTCAGAACAGTTGGAAAGGAATTCTCTCTACTGGGGGAATCTCTGGAACTGGCATGTTGTCAGATGGATAACTGCAGGGACACCTCTCTCAAGCCTCCCTGCCTCCTTCCCCTCACCTCCCCCTCAGGGACCCTAGTTTCTGTGGCTTTGTTAGAGAAAAAGTCCCCACCATCTGTACAGGCCCAGCACCCTACAGTGAGTGGGGCCCAGCTGGCCAAGGCAGATGGGCCTAGAGGTTAAGGCTGGTGGGGAGCTGTGGAGAAACTGCTTTGAAGGAAGAGAGATTTTCTAGGATGGCCATATGTGGACAGGACTGGCTACATAATTGCAGGGCCAAGTGCACTGAAAATATAGGGCCAATTGTTCAAAATTCTTAAGAATTTCAAGATGGCAACAGCAGTAGGTATATACCCCAAAGAAAGGAAATCAGTGTATCAAAGAGATATCTGCACTCCTATGTTTACTGTAGTACCATTCACAATAGCCAAGGTTTGGAAGCAACCTAAGTGTCCATCAACAGATGAATGGATAAAGAAAATGTGGCATATATACACAATGGAGTACTATTCAGCCATAAAAAAGAATGAGATCCTGTCATTTGCAACAACATGGATGGAACTGGAAGTCATTATGTTAAGTGAAATAAGCCAGGCACACAAAGACAAACTTTGCATGCTCTCACTCATTTGTGGGGGCTAAAAACCAAAATAATTGAATTCATGGAGATAGAGAATAGAATGATGGTTACCAGAGGCCGAGGAGGGTAGTGGATAGGGGAGGGAAAGGGGGGAAGGTTAATGGTGCATAAATATAGTTAAATAGAATGAATAAGATCTAGTATTTCATAGCACAACAGGGTGACTATAGTCAACAATAATTTATAGTACATTTAAAAATAACAAAGAGTATAATTGGAATGTTCATAACATAAAGAAATGATAAATGCTTGAGGTGATGGATACCCCATTTACCCTGTTGTAATTATTATGCATTGTATGCCTGTATCAAAATATCTCACATACCCCATAAATATATATAACTACTATGTACCCATAAAAATTAAAAATTAAAGATGGCAACAGCAGAGGATTAAACCACAGGCAGGAGCATTCTAGCCATGCGGCCTGTGCTGCCACGAAGGCTGCGTACCTAGAAGCCACCCGTGAGTGGGGTCCCCAAAAGCTTTGAATCTGAACTGAGGGGTGTATTACCTGGGGGGTCAGTGGGGGTCCACTTGTGGACTCGAGCTCATTTCAGAAATCAGTGTGGCATAGCGAGAAGCTGCCACCATCAAAGTTGTGGGCTCAGCTTGGCAAGGGGGACCTCCAGGGAGGCCATGTACAATTTGTCTGGATGAGTTTGTGCAGGTAACCGAAACAAAAAAAATTTTAAACCCAGGAAAATGATCAGGTATTTAAAATGTTTCCACTAGTGGGGCTCCTGGTAGCTGGGAGAGCTCTTGTTTATGAACCATAAAGTCATCTTGTCTCTGCAGGCCCAGGAACTAACTTACTTTGCATGAGAGAAGGGATGAGGTATTCGGGATGGGGAGTTTGGGATGAAGGGAAAGGTTAGAATGTTGATGCAAAGGGAGCTTTCAGAAGACGGAGGCAGGGGACATGGAGGGTGGGGGTGGGGAGAGATATGTCTAGGGGGCTTTTCTTTTTCTTTTTCTTTTTTTTTTTTTTTTTTTTTTTTTTGAGACGGAGTCTTGCTCTGTCGCCAGGCTGGAGTGCAGTGGCACGATCTCTGCTCACTGCAACCTCTGCCTCTCAGGTTCAAGCAATACTCCTGCCTCAGCCTCCTGAGTAGCTGGGACTACAGGCACACGCCACCACACCCAGCTAATTTTTGTACTTTTAGTAGAGATGGGGTTCCACCATGTTGGCCAGGATAGTCTTGATTTCTTGACCTTGCCATCCACCCGCCTCAGCCTCCCAAAGTGCTGAGATTACAGGCATGTGCCATTGTGCCTGGCCTCTAGAGGGTTTTTCTAAGGGACGTTCTGTGTGATGTGAACAGGGAGGCCTGTGGACCTCCCTACCCCACCCTCCCAGCCTGCCCTACCACCTCCTCCATCTCTGCCCTGGCACATTTTCCTTTAAAAAAAATTTTTTTTTTTTCAGAAATCTTTACGGAGTAAGCTTCCTTTGGGGGAACAAAGAAAAATATTTAGTCCATGGTGAGAGAAGAGAATTGTGGGGTGATGGGGTGAGGGTTAGTATATCATAACCTTGTTAAAATGGAGGTTACACCCCTGCAGAGCTCACTGGAATGAGGCAGGTAGTTTATGTAGCCTCAGAAAAATCACAAGACTTGCTTTATATTTTCATTTAGTCCCTTCACTTGGAAAAATCATGAAGGGAAAAAGGAAGGCTGGTAGTCACAGCCTGGTTGGAGGTGACTTCAGTCACTGGGGACAGAGGAGGGTATATGAGACCGATGGCAGTTTAGTTCTGGGGGTGAGGTGGGAAGTTGGGGAGGTAGAATTAAAGCCACAGGCTCCTACCTGGCTGACAGCAGATAAGACCCTGAGAGTACGCAGGCTAAAGCCATGCCACTTACGCTCCTCTTGCCTGTCTAGCTTTGGGCTTTTATCACAACCAGATTCAAAATTACTGCCCTATTCCATTCCCTCTGGATCCTGGATACTTTGATGATAGGCATAACTTTATTGCTAGACAATAAACACTCATATTAATGACATTTTACATTTAGAAAGTGCTATCTCTAGGTCACTGTAGTTGGTAGGTTGCGAGGGTGTATGGTTGTGGTCAAATTCACCTGTGGTTGAGTGGGCTGAGGCCAAACTGTGTGTCATGGCAGCTGGCAATATGGGGAAGGGAAACTGGGCATCTTTTGTTTACCGAGCACGCAGAAGTTTTTCTTTGTTCTAAGTACAGGTTCTGCAGATGAAATGCCTCAAGATACAATGTGTTCCCCTTAAAAGCCCAGAGAAAATGTCCACTGATACTGTCCAGTTTCTATAAACCACACTGGTACAAAAGAAAAGGGAGCACTGTGGCTGATGTTTGGCATTCTTGTGCAGGATGAGGAGAGGCATTTTCCATTACCTGGTTCACCAATGAGACATATCGCCACCCTTTCATACTCTTTCAGAGTGCAACCTTTGCTGGCCTCAGCTCAGGGGAGATTCCCAGGCAAAGTCCACTGGCCCATGACAAAGCAAAAAGCATTCACTTCTAGCTGGTGGTTTCAACTTCAGTCCTCAGGTGTACAATCAATTCAAGCATACCATCTTCTAAAGCAGTGGCTTGAAATCTACCCTATGTGACATAGTATCTGCTTATGGAACAGCTACTCATACTCATTAAAGCAGCCAAAAATATTAATATTATAAAGTCCTAAAATGCCATTTTGTAGAGGGTTTTTTGTTTGTTTGTTTGTTTGTTTGTTTGTTTTTGAGATGGAGTCTCACTCTGTCACCCAGGTTGGAGTGCAGGGGCTCAATCTCGGCTCACTGCAACCTCCGCCTCTCAGGTTCAAGCAATTCTCCTGCCTCAGCCTCCCGAGTAGCTGGGATTACAGGAGCCCGCCACGACACTCAGCTAATTTTTTACATTTTTGGTAGAGACAGGGTTTCGCCACATTGGCTAGGCTGCTCTCGAACTCCTGACCTCAAGTGATCCACCTGCCGCAGCCTCCCACAGTGCTGGGATTACAGGCGTGAGCCACCACACCCGGCCAAGTTTGTTTTTGTTTTTGTTTTCTTTTTTGAGATGGAGTCTTGCTCTGTCACCCAGGCTGGAGTGCAGTGGTGCAATCTTGGCTCACTGCAACCTCCACCTCCCGGGTTCAAGTGATTCTCCTGCCTCAGCCTCCCGAGTAGCTGGAACTACAGGTGTGCACCACCACACCTGGCTAATTTTTGTATTTTTAGTAGAGACAGGGTTTCACCAAGTTAGCCAGGATGGTCTCTATCTCCTGACCTCGTGATCTGCCCACCCTGGCCTCCCAAAGTGCTGGGATTACAAGCGTGAGCCACTGCACCCAGCCTCCATCCTTTACCACTTATCTCCCCATTCCAGACCACCACTCCTCCCTCACCCCCCATCAAGAGAAAGTCTGCAGGAGGCCAGTGGTCTCATTCCATTGTTTAAAGGGCTGAGTGAAATCATCCACCGGGGATTCCATCCATCAAATCAAATGTTATGGATTTGGTTTGTTTGGTAGATGAAAAAGCCTAAATTGGCTGTCTCCCAGTTCATTCTACATACCACTGTGTGAAAGCTAAGACCAAGGGCCCTCCCAAGAAACAACAGAAAATGGATAATTCTGTGAAATAAGAAGCCAGCAGTTCTCAGCACTTCCCACCAGGCCCTGGTCAAAGTCCAGCATGTCTGCTGGTCCATAGTCTCTAAAAGTGGAGAGCAAAGGAGCAGCCACTGCAGCCAGGTTGGTTCATTCATTCATTGCAACAAACATTTACTGAGTGCCTGCAATGTGCCAGGCCCCGTCCTGGGCCCCGTGGCTACAGCCATGATCAAGATTGTTGATGTGGAGGCAGAATGTTCAGGACACCATTGGCCAGGCACGGTAGCTCACATCTGTAATCCCAGCACTTTGGGAGGCCAAGGTGGGTGTATCACCTGAGGTCAGGAGTTCAAGACCAGCCTGGCCAACATGGTGAAACCCCGTCTCTACTAAAAATACAAAAATTAGCTGGGCAAGGTGGCACACACCTGTAGTCCTAGCTACTTGGGAGGCTGAAGCAGGAGTATCACCTGAACCTGGGAGGCAGAGGTTGCAATGAGCCGAAATTGTACCATTGCACTGTAGCCTGGGTGACAGAGCAAGACTCCATCTCAAAAAAAAGAAAAAAGAATGTTCAGGACACCCATAAATCATGCCATGTAGATACAGAGTCAACCCTGGAAATACATACGGTCACAGAACCTTCTGACAAGGACACTGTCACTGACTATCTCTGCTTTCCATGCTCGATCCCACAGCCATCCCCACAAGTGAATATTGCCAAGGGCAGAGAACTCTCTGCTTCTGAAGTAAGCTATTCTACTTTCCACCCAACCTAGTTTTGTCCCCTAGAGCTTCAAAGAGCCTCTGTGCCCCTTCTGCTCCATAATCACCCTTCCAATATTAGAATGCAGCTGCCATGTTTCTGTTATCCTTCTTCACAAAGAATATTGGGGACCAGGGCATGGGAGCATGGTCCAGATTGAGTCCAAGCTAAAGTTCATAGCCAGGTGTGGTGGCTCATGCCTGTAATCCCAGCACTTTCAGAGGCCGAGGCAGACAGATCACCTGAGGTCAGGAGTTCGAGACCAGCCTGGCCAACATGGTGAAACCCTGTCTCTACTAAAAATACAAAAAATTAGCCCCGTGTGACGGCACGTGCCTATAATCCCAGTTACTTGGGAGGCTGAGGCACAAGAATTGCTTGAACCTGGGAGATGGAGGCTGCAGTGAGCCAAGATCATGCCACTGCACTCCAGCCTGGGTGACAGAGCAAGACTCTGTCTTAAAATAAATAAATAAATAAATAAATAAATAAATACAAAATAAAGTTCAGAAATGCCTGGGCTTTTCTGGAAACTGCTGGGGCAGGCCCACCAGAAGTTTGAATGAGAGCCTGAGCATCCTGTAAGGAATGAACTTATCCAGAGAGAAGATGGCAACTGGGGTGACCACCTTGACTCACGTACCAAGCCTTGATCATCAGAGAAAGGGACAAACCTGAGCAGAACTCAGGGCACAAAACAGATTTTAAAAATGCATGTATATATGGGACAAAAGTGAAACACAATGTTAATTCTTTTTCTGGGAGGTGAGGTTATGAGTAATTTTAATGTTTTCTTATATTTTTAACATTTTCTACAATTAAAATATAAAACATAAATTGACTAAAACTTTATTTTTTGAGACAGTGTCTCATTCTGTCGCCCCAGGGTGGAGTGCTGTGGTATGACCATAGCTCACTGCAGCCTTGAGTTCTTGGGCTCAAGATCATTGGCGATCCTCCCACCTCGACCTCCCAAAGTGTTGGACTTATAGGCATGAGCCACTACACCTGGCCTGAAACTATTTTTCTTCCTCTTATTATTTTTTTGAGATGGAGTGTTGCTCTTTTTGCCCAGGCTGGAGTGCAATGGCACGATCTCAGCTCACTGCAACCTCTGCCTCCCGGGTTCAAGCGATTCTCCAGCCTAAGCCTCCTGAGTAGCTGGAATTACAGGCATGTGCCACCATGCCCGGCTAATTTTGTATTTTTAGTAGAGATGGAGTTTCACCATGTTGGCCCGGCTGGTCTCAAACTCCTGACCTCACATGATCCACTCATCTTGGCCTCCTAAAGTGTTGGGATTTACAGGTGTGAGCCACTATGCCTGGCCTAAAACTTTATTTTTAAGAAACCATTTAGAAATTGATTTTCTACAGTGATTTACTTATCTGCTCTATTTTACTGCAGAACAAAGGTCCTTTAGTTTACATAATAAACAACATTCAGAAAAATGCTGTTTGCAAATATGTGTTATGACACTGCTAACCATGTTGTTTCCTTGGAATTAGCCATTCCCCACCCCCATCCCCCCCCCCCCCCCGCCCAAGTGTATGAAAAAAACAAAAACAAAACAAAACAAAACACCTGGTGCCTGGCCCACAAAGATACTTTAAAATGGCTTAATCATGTTCTTTAAATAAGCAAGCAGCAAATCCTTATTAGCATCTGTATGGTTTGAAAAAAATGAAAGTAACCACCAATAGAAATTCATTTCCACTAAAGGATTACAAAGGGTCTTGCAGAGAAGGCCTGAGACTAAGAGCATTAGGACAAAATTTCTGGAGAAGTTATACACTGCTTTTCAACACACAATCACATTCCATTAAAACTGCTTTGCAGATGTTTGAGAGATTTGCAGAACTGATAAAGACATCCACACATGTCAAAACTACCATCTAGAGAACTTAGGTTATAGTTATAGGACTTAGGGAAATAATAACTCTGAATTTTATTTTGTGACCAGTGATTATTTAATGCATAAAGTAAGATTTCTTATTCTTAAATTTTTTTTTTTTTTTTTTGAGACAGAGTCTTGCTCTGTCACCAGGGCTGGAGTACAGTGGTGCAATCTCAGCTTACTGCACCCTCTGCCTCCTGGGTTCAAGTGACTCTCCTGCCTTAGCCTCCTGAGCAGCTGGGACTACAGGCATCTGCCACCACACCTGGCTAATTTTTGTATTTTTAGTAGAGACTGGGTTTCAGCATGTTGGCCAGGCTGGTCTTGAACTCCTGACCTCAGGTCATCCACCCACCTTGACCTCCCAAAGTGCTGGGATTACAGGCGTGAGCCACCGTGCCTGGCCTAGATTTCTGATTCTTAAAATAAGCATCTTAATGTTTTCAAAACTACAACTTCTGCTTTTCTAAAACCCTGTTGGCTGGGTGGTCATCAAAGTTTGTTTCTCATGTGATGGAGAACTTACAAACATACTGTTTTCTATCTCATTGCATGGTTTAAAGTTAAGAGGTGAAAATGTTCACACTTAAACCTATTTTAAATCTGGCTCACTTGAGACATGTGTTTCCAGATGGGCCCTGGGATGGGATGGGGTCTCCTCGGAGACAGAAGGCACTGAAGAGTCCCACAAAACAGGGTTAGGAATATACCTGACTCACTGGCAGTGACAGCCTTTGGTCTGGAGAGTGCTTTTTGATACAAATGAAAGAAATATTTCAAAACCAAAGTAAGAAGGGGAGGATTGGAAGGATTTAACTTATTGCCCGGGATTTGTGATTTTATAACTTAGGGGTTTTTTTTCTTCCCCAAACTCTAATTTAGTCTTCTATTTATTTTTATTTTTATTTTTTGAAACCGAGTTTTGCTCTTGTTGCCCAGGCTGGAGTGCAATGGCATGATCTTGGCTCACCGCAACCTCTGCCTCCCAGGTTCAAGTGATTCTCCTGCCTCAGCCTCCCGTGTAGCTGGAATTACAAGCATGAGCCACCATGCCCAGTTAATTTTGTATTTTTAGTATAGACAGGGTTTCTCCACATTGGTCAGGCTGGTCTTGAACTCCTGATCTCAGATGATCCGCCCTCCTCGGCCTCCCAAAGTGCTGGGATTACAGGCGTGAGCCACCGAACCCGGCCCTAATTTAGTCTTTTTGTTTTTTGTTTTTTGTTTTTTGTTTTTGAGAGATGGAGTCTAGCTAGTTGCCAGGCTGGAGTGCAGTGGCGCAATCTTGGCTCACTGCAACCTCTGCCTCCCAGGTTCAAGCGATACTCCTGCCTCAGCCTCCTGAGTAGCTGGGATTACAGGCATGCACCACTGTGCCCAGCTAATTTTTGTATTTTTAGTAGAGATGGGGTTTCACCATGTTGGCCAGGATGGTCTCGATCTCCTGACCTCGTGATCTGCCCAGGTCAGCCTCCCAAAGTGCTGGGATTACAGGCGTGAGCCACCGCACCCAGCCAATTTAGTCTTTTATGATGACTCTTTCACAGTTCTTGCAGAAACAGCTGATTTCAAAGTGACACATTAACCAGGTGCGGTGGCTCATGCCTGTAATCTCAGCACTTGGGAAGCTGAGGTGGGGGGACTGTTTGAGCCTAGGAGTTTGAGACAAGCCTGGCAATGTAGGGAGACCCTGTTTCTACAAAAAACAAAGCCAAAAACTAGACACGCAAGGAGGCACTCGCCTGTGTCTCAGCTATACAGGAGGCTGGGGCAGGAGGATCCTTTGAGCCCAGTAGATCAAAGCTGCACAGAGCCATGTTCACACCACTGCACTTCAGCTAGGGTGACAGAGCAAGACCCTGTCTCAAAAAAAAAAAAAAAAAAAAAGTGACACATAGCAGTGATAGCAGTGACTCTCTTCTTCCTAGAAGGAAGTATACACTGGGGATCCCTCTCACCTCTAGAAGGAAGATAACTTTAGGGAAAACAAAACTTGGAAAGATTGACTCTTTTGGCTTTATGATAAAATATTTGGGACCCTATGAAAGTAACTTTAAGTGGGAACCCATGTTACAGCCTAGCTTGTGACCTAATACTTAACACAAATATTCATGTAAAGTCAACACTCTACTTTTAGACACAATTTCTTCTGTGTGGTTTGGGGTGTTCTTACTAGCAGCATAGTTTACTGTTGAAAAACTCGGACCGTGGCACCAGATTAGCTGGGTTCAAATCTGAGCCTCACCACTTACTAGTTGTGTATCTTGAGCAAGTTGCTCAGCCTCTCTGTGCTGTGTTTTTCCACATCTGTAAAGAGGAAATGATAATCATAGCTACCTTATGCAATTAGTGTTGGGATTAAAACAGTTAATATACATAAACCATTGAGAATAGTCTTGAGTCAGGGTTGGCGGGGGGGTGGTAAAGAAAAGAGAATATTGTTTATGGTAAATGCCTTATAAGAATTCTTCCCCGTGTTATTTTTTTGGAATTAGCCCTCTCTCTCTCCAAAATGTATGAATAAATAAAAGTAACCACTGTTGTTATTGTAGCTATTTTTATTGTGGCCTAAAAAAGTGAATATTCTTCCCAAGGTCTCTAATTTATTATCAGATTAAAAAAATGCCTGGCATTAGAGAGAATGGAACTCCTTGTTTCAAAATCAGAAAGGTATTTTTTCTATATGGGCATTATTTTTTCTTTTTTTGTGGTTAATTTTCAAATGTGACATATGTGACATTTTAAAGGGGGCATTGTATGATTTCTTTCACGGGAAGAGGCTGAAAATTTGCCATCCTTTTTCAAGAAAATAAGGCAGTGAACCTAAATGAGATTTTTATGTAAATATTACATAGGAATAACAGCACTTCCTATGAAATTGTATCATCCTCCCGTTCTCCCCAGCGTCCTGTTTACCTTCACCCTGCAGCTGTTTGCTGGGTGCCATCCCTGGGAAATCACCTACTAACAATAACCCGGTTGGCTTCTGATCCGCAGGAAGATCATTCTCCCCTATGACAGATGAACACATTTTTCTTTTGTTATTTGTTTTTCTTTTCTTTCACTCACTTTTTCTTTCAAAACTTAGTTTCTTTCAATTCCTTCTAGAGTTTTCCTGTGATTCTTTCTTTTCACTTTTGTTCCCTTCTTAATAATTACTTGGCATGTCCTACTTGTGGGCTACACTTCCTGAATTTCCACACTCTGCAGCTCTTTGAAAAGCCTGCTTTTATTCTTCCCGTCCAGGTCATCTGTGCAAATCTTTAAAGTCATGGGGTTGCCACTAATGACTGGTCGACTCCATTAACGCAGCCTCCCCTCTGTGGAAGTTTGCTTTTCTGGGTCAGTGTCTTTTACTGTGGAGCTTGTTAAGAGTCTTTATTGCTTGAAGAAGGTGCACATTGGAACTTTAAGATTTCCTGTTTATACACAGGGCAGGGCCTGGCTGAACACTGATAGTGTGGGCAAGCTCTCGAGCTTTGCCAAAGGGCTCTCAGTGGGACCCAAGAGGAGCTGCAATGAGGATTTTAAGACAAGTGTCTGCTTAGCTGCCACGGCTATGTTAGAAACTGCAAAAAAAAGCACCTCACAGAGCTGAAGAAAGATCTGGTGCTGCCAGTGGAGAGGTCTGCACCCAGGTCAGGTCTCAGGGGGGCTGCTGTGAGCCCGAAGGCATCTTTGTGCTAGAGGGCAAAGGGCACCCTCTTGTAGGTCCCCCGTCTGAGTGGATAAAAACCTAGGACTGAGTCCCTGTAACTGTGACTGCCAGAGGACTGTTCTCCATACAAACGGTATGTACAGGAAATTTGGTCTTCCCCAAATCCTTTCAGGGTCCACCAGGGTCTGGGGAGGGGGTCACGATCTGCTTCTGCTATAGTGTGACTCCAGTCACAGACCTGAGCAGATCTGCTGGGGCTCAGAGTTTTCTGCCCCAGCTGGGTTTCTAAGCCCCACGTCTTGTCAAATGCTGCCTCTCCAAACCCTTCCTGGGAATAATTGCGTCACTTAGGGTGTCAGCAAACTGTTCCTCCAAGGAGGGGATCTCCTCTCCAGCTGGGGAGTGGGGTACTGAGGCTGACTGAATTACTGGAAGCTGTTTGATGAGTGTGGAACCTCAGCAGAGTGTCCTGGAGAGGGGCCGGGCACCCTGCCACAAGACACCCACAAGGTGTGGAGTTTCTGGGTCAGGAAGAACCAGATGAAGCTGCTCATGTGGCCAAAAGTAGCGAATCCAAGGGACGAGTGTGCATTTTCCAACATGGAGAGGGAAGGAAGCAAGGGGATTTCATCAACTCAGGACCAACCTGAGGGGTCTCATCCGGGCTTGGAGGAGCCTGTGACACCCAGAATGCCCACTCTCAAATGAGGTTCTCCCTCCCTAGCATGGCCCTGGATAAAGCTGGCCTTGTCTTGCTTCCTGGTCCCTGTTATCCAGGTTCTACACAACCCATCCCCTTCCTATCAGTAGAGTCGTCCCTCAGGTCATAGATGAGACTACAGCTTTTTTCCAGCCTAGTCTCTCCAAGATTAGAGCCCTGGAAACCGGATCTGTTTTGGTTTTTTTGTTTCTTTCTTTTTTTTTTTTTTAATCATTTTTCTTTTTCTTTTCTTTTCTTTTCTTTTTTCTTTTTCTTTCTTTTTTTTTTTTTTTTTTGACAGGATCTTGCTCTGTTGCTCAGGCTGGAGTGCAGTAGCACAATCTTAGCTCACTGCAACCTCAACCTCCCAAGTAGCTAAGACTACAGTTGTGCACCACCATGCCCAGCTAATTTTTTAATTTCTTGTAGAGACAGTCTCACCATGTCGCCCAGGCTGGTCTTGAACTCCTGGCCTCAAGCAGTCCTCCCACCTCAGCCTCCCAAAGTGCTGAGATTACAGGTGTGAGCCACTATAGCTGGCCCAAATCTAGTTTGGAAGTAGATAGATGCTTTGGTTTTGAAGTAGATTGATGCTCTGTTCACATGCTGATTTTGATCCATGGGTAACTATTTTTGAGCTCTGGGAAGCAACTGAAATCCCAGGAAGCCTCAGGCTCCTGCAGTTACACCCCAGGTGGGAACAGCCTGAGGCAAAAGGCCATATTTGTGTCTCTCTGACATTCCACATTGAGCTAAGTCTGTGGTTGCAGTTGGTGGGTGGCAGGGAATGGGCTGTGCTACTTGTGGAAGCTTCCAACAAGAGCTTCAAAGGAAACATCGCTCAGGCTGGGTCAAATACCAAGTCCATGAAAGTCTAATTCCAGCAGGAGCAGCCAGGGCCCACCAGGCCTGGGTCTCCCTCTTCCCTGTGGAGGAAGGCTTATTTTAGGTTCCCTCCAACTCTGTGGTTCCACACCCTGAGTGAGCATCCACACTCCCTCCCCCTTGAAGAGCCAGGAGTTAATGTCCTCTGGCCATCTTAGTGCCTGGTCTTGGTGGCACCCACCCCTGTCCCTTGGGAGTCCTTTCCAGCTCCTACGATGTCTTTCCATTCTCGTGAATCCTCTCCCACATGTGTGAGCTGGGGATTATTATCTTTGCTTTAGAAAGGAGAAAACTGAGGTGTGGGCAGGAGATAGAATTTCTCTGTGGGCCCCAGGCTTGTGAGTGGCTGAGCTGGGACACGAATCTGGATCACCAGACTCCGAGTTCAGTGCTCTCCGTATGCTTGTGTAAATATCTCTTCAACAAGAGCTGGTGCCAGGGGGCAGGAACTGTACTAGGGCTCCTCTTGAAACAGGTTTCCTCCCGCCTCAGCAGGACAGCAGGCAGCATGGGGCGTCAGTAAATATTTGTTGAATTGAGACTGCATAGGAAGGATGATGGGGAACAGGGAGCTGGTGAGGACAAGAGGCCAGGAAGGCAGCTACACACAGCAGCAAACCCCTCCCCGCCCAGCCGGAGCACTTCATGCTCATGTGTTGGGAGAGGGATTTGTTAGATGAGACCATTACCTTACTGGTTATGAGGTGTTGTTGTTGTTGTTATTGTTCAACTCCACCACTAGTATTCTTCGTTCTCTCCAGGTTCCAACTGTGCACCTGCAGAAAAGAGGTCAACCGACTCCTGAAGGTAATCATGTCTTCTTCCTGTTCAAAGTAATTTTCATTCTTACATATTTGCCTCATGGTATCTATCAGATAGCTCTTTCCATAACAATCCTACATAATAAATAACCACAAAGCCTCAGTGACATGTAATGGTAAACATTTCTTTTGCTCGTGTGTCTGGGGTGGTCAGCAGAGCAGCTTTGTGGGGGTGCCTCTCACTGCTAAGAGTCAGCTGGCTGTCACCGGGATGACTCAGCTCAGCTCCTTCAGCAGGCTGACCCAGGCGTGTTCTCATGGCATGCTTGAAGAACATAAGAGGGGAGTGGGCTCACGCAAGTACTATGTGATCCTCTGTTTGGGAGCTGTTGTTAACATCCCATTTGCCAAAGCCCGGATTCGAAGGGTAAGGAAATTGGCCATCACTTTAGTGAGAGCATCTATAGAATGACATGGCAAAGGATGCTGGATACAAGGAATGTTGCAAATAGCACGCTCATCCTGGTCCCGACTGGCATTAGGTTCACTCCATAGAGAAGATAAACTCCTGGCCGGGTGCGGTGGCTCATGCCTGTAATCCCAGCACTTTGGGAGGCCAAGGCAGGCAGATCGTGAGGTCAAGAGATGGAGCCCATCCTGGCCAACGTGGTAAAACCCCGTCTCTACTAAAAATACAAAAATTAGCTGGGCGTGGTGGCACATGCCTGTAGTCCCAGCTACTCGGGAGGCTGAGGCGGGAGAATCACTGGAACCCAGGAGGCGGAGGTTGCAGTGAGCCGAGATCGCACCATTGAACTCCAGCCTGGTGACAGAGCAAGACTCCATCTAAAAAATAAAAATAAAAAGGATAAACTCCTGAGTTAGCAACCCCAACATAGTGATGATTTACAACCACCAAAGTCAAATCTTCATCTCCATAAAAGATCTACAGAAGGATCTCTGTTGAGTGTTTAAAACAAAAATAGGTTTATCACAAAGGTGTTTTTTATTTGCTTGGTTTTGGTTTTTCAGGCAAGTGTTGAAAGATAATTCTCCAGGAGTCTCCTGTTTTCTTCATGTCTTGTGAGCAGGGACTTTAACTGTCACTTGTTCCTAATTATATTTTCAAGTATGTTTGTATGATTCCCATGGGGAGCCTATTTCCATGACAGCATCTCCTGCTATCAACCCTGGTCCCTATCAAGGATGGCCATCATCAGACTTCTCAAAGATGTCAGTGCCTCCCTCACCTGTACCCTTGCTACTCTACTGACAGGAATATTCTCTCCACCTTCCTGAGGAATATAGCACAGTGGTGGCTCCTATGGTTTTGTATAAATCCACTCTAACATTCCCACATATCTGAACTTTCTGAACCCTTCATGAATACTATGCTGAGGCAATATCAGCGTTTTCACCTCATTTCTTTTGGGCCATTGTTAGCAGAAACTTTAAGGAGCTATTCTAGCCGTCTATTAGGACAGGTTCTAGGTGTCTTTTCCCTGATGTTAAACTTCAAGTCATGAGAGAGGGCTCCTATATCAATAAATTGCACTCTATCCCATCTTATTTATATTCTACTCTTGCCAGTAATACACACTTGCCACCCCCCATCCACACACACAATCTTATTCCTTTAAGATCTACACCCCCATTGTGATCCTTGGTTGCTACTGGGACACATTAACCAAGCCCAGCAATGTCTTTGGTATGTTAGATATTTACTCTTGGAGCAGGGAGCTGTGTTTCTCTGTTCAGATTGTGCTGAGACATAATCTTCGTTATTGGTCTGAAGACAATAAAAAGAGGCAAGGTCATCTTGAAGAGTACAAATCAGGTGAGGCTTTAGCAGGGTTCCCAGGCAAGGGGCATCTGCTCTGGTCTGCAAGGGGAGAGAATTCAGAGAAGCATGAGAGCTTGCATCTCAGATTCGTGCATCCAAATATCCCTAAATCAAGTCTCAGAGTCTCTCTTTTTCTATCAGGGCCCTGACTTTTACCATAAAAGACTTGTTGGCATTTCCACCCTTTTGGCTGTCTGAGCAGCACCATGATGGTTGGCAAGAACAGGTGCCTTACAAAGGCAGCAAAAAGGAAGCCAAGAAGAAAGTGGTGGATCCATTTTCTTTTTTTTTTCCATGTGCCACTTTATTTTTTGTTTCTTTTTTTAAAATTTGTGATGAGAACACTTAACATGAGCTCCATTCTTGTCCTGTTTTTTTAAAATTTTTTAAAAATTTTATTATTATTATACTTTTAAGTTTTAGGATACATGTGCACAACGTGCAGATTTGTTACATATGTATACATGTGCCATGTTGGTGTGCTACACCCATTAACTCGTCATTTAGCATTAGGTATATCTCCTAATGCTATCCCTCCCCCTCCCCCCACCCCACAACAGTCCCCAGGGTGTGATGGTCCCCTTCCTGTGTCCATGTGTTCTCATTGTTCAATTCCTACCTATGAGTGAGAACATGCGGTGTTTGGTTTTTTGTCCTTGTAATAGTTTGCTGAGAATGATGGTTTCCAGCTTCATCCATGTCCCTACAAAGGACATGAACTCATCCTTTTTTATGGCTGCATAGTATTCCATGGTGTATATGGGCCACATTTTCTTAATCCAGTCTATCATTGTTGGACATTTGGGTTGGTTCCAAGTCTTTGCTATGGTGAATAGTGCCGCAACAAACATACGTGTGCATGTGTCTTTATAGCAGCATGATTTATAATCCTTTGGGTATATACCCAGTAATGGGATGGCTGGGTCAAATGGTATTCTAGTTCTAGATCCCTGAGGAATTGCCACACTGACTTCCACAATGGATGAACTACTTTACAGTCCTACCAACAGTGTAAAAGTGTTCCTATTTCTCCACATCCTCTCGAGCACCTGTTGTTTCCTGACTTTTTAATGATCGCCATTC
This sequence comes from Homo sapiens, assembly GCF_000001405.40. Lineage (NCBI taxonomy): Eukaryota > Metazoa > Chordata > Mammalia > Primates > Hominidae > Homo > Homo sapiens. Next base: position 78,715,203 of record NC_000005.10, on the reverse strand, counting down.
TAACTGGTGTGAGATGGTATCTCATTGTGGTTTTGATTTGCATTTCTCTGATGGCCAGTGATGCCGAGCATTTTTTCATGTGTTTTTTGGCTGCATAAATGTCTTCTTTTGAGAAGTGTCTGTTCATATCCTTTGCCTACTTTTTGATGGGGTTGTTTGCTTTTTTCTTGTAAATTTGTTTGAGTTCATTGTAGATTCTGGATATTAGCCCTTTGTCAGATGAGTAGGTTGCAAAAATTTTCTCCCATTCTGAGGTTGCCTGTTCACTCTCATGGTAATTTCTTTTCTTGTGCAGAAGCTCTTTAGTTTAATTAGATCCCATTTGTCAGTTTTGGTTTTTGTTGCCATTGCTTTTGGTGTTTTGGACATGAAGTCCTTGCCCATGCCTATGTCCTGAATGGTATTGCCTAGGTTTTCTTCTAGGGTTTTTATGGTTTTAGGTCTAACATTTAAGTCTTTAATCCATCTTGAGTTAATATTTGTATAAGATGTAAGGAAGGGATCTGGTTTCAGCTTTCTACATATGGCTAGCCAGTTTTCCCAGCACCATTTATTAAATAGGGAATCCTTTCCCCATTGCTTGTTTTTCTCAGGTTTGCCAAAGATCAGATAGTTGGAGATATGCGGCATTATTTCTGAGGTCTCTGTTCTGTTCCATTAGTCTATATCTCTGTTTTGGTACCAGTACCATGCTGTTTTGGTTACTGTAGCCTTGTAGTATAGTTTGAAGTCAGGTAGCGTGATGCCTCCAGCTTTGTTCTTTTGGCTTAGGATTGACTTGGCAATGAGGGCTCTTTTTTGGTTCCATATGAACTTGAAAGTAGTTTTTTCCAATTCTGTGAAGAAAGTCATTGGTAGCTTGATGGGGATGGCATTGAATCTACAAATTACCTTGGGCAGTATGGCCATTTTCACGATATTGATTCTTCCTATACATGAGCATGGAATGTTCTTCCATTTGTTTCTATCCTCTTTTATTTCATTGAGCAGTGGTTTGTAGTTCTCCTTGAAGAGGTCCTTCACATCCCTTGTAAGTTGGATTCCTAGGTATTTTATTCTCTTTGAAGCAATTGTGAATGGGAGTTCACTCATGATTTGGCTCTCTGTTTGTCTGTTATTGGTGTATAAGAATGCTTGTGATTTTTGTACATTGATTTTGTATCCTGAGACTTTGCTGAAGTTGCTTATCAGCTTAAGGAGATTTGGGGCTGAGACGATGGGGTTTTCTAGATATACAATCATGTCTCTGCAAACAGGGACAATTTGACTTCCTCTTTTCCTAATTGAATGCCCTTTATTTCCTTCTCCTGCCGGATTTCCCTGGCCAGAACTTCCAACCCTATGTTGAATAGGAGTGGTGAGAGAGGGCATCCCTGTCTTGTGCCAGTTTTCAAAGGGAATGCTTTCAGTTTTTGCCCATTCAGTATAATGTTGGCTGTGGGTTTGTCATAGATAGCTCTTATTATTTTGAGATATGTCCCATCAATACCTAATTTATTGAGAGTTTTTAGCATGAAGGTTGTTGAATTTTGTCAAAGGCCTTTTCTGCATCTATTGAGATAATCATGTGGTTTTTGTGTTTGGTTCTGTTTATATGCTGGATTACGTTTATTGATTTGCGTATGTTGAACCAGCCTTGCATCCCAGGGATGAAGCCCACTTGATCGTGGTGGATAAGCTTTTTGATGTGCTGCTGGATTTGGCTTCCCAGTATTTTATTGAGGATTTTTGCATCAATGTTCATCAAGGATATTGGTCTAAAATTCTCTGTTTTGGTTGTGTCTCTGCCAGGCTTTGGTATCAGGATAATGCTGGCCTCATGAAATGAGTTAGGGAGGCTTCCCTCTTTTTCTATTGATTGGAATAGTTTCAGAAGGAATGGTACCAGCTCCTCCTTGTACCTCTGGTAGAATTCGGCTGTGAATCCATCTGGTCCTGGACTTTTTTTGGTTGGTAAGCTATTAATTATTGCCTCAATTTCAGCGCCTGTTATTGGTCTATTCAGAGATTCAACTTCTTCCTGGTTTAGTCTTGGGAGGGTGTATGTGTCGAGGAATTTATCCATTTCTTCTAGATTTTCTAGTTTATTTGCGTAGAGGTGTTTATAGTATTCTCTGATGGTAGTTTGTATTTCTGTGGGATCAGTGGTGATATCCCCTTTATCATTTTTTATTGCATCTATTTGATTCTTCTCTCTTTTCTTCTTTATTAGTCTTGCTAGAGGTCTATCAATTTTGTTGGTCCTTTCAAAAAACCAGCTCCTGGATGCATTGATTTTTTGAAGGGTATTTTGTGTCTCTATTTCCTTCAGTTCTGCTCTGATCTTAGTTATTTCTTGCCTTCTGCTAGCTTTTGAATGTGTTTGCTCTTGCTTCTCTAGTTCTTTTAATTGTGATGTTAGGGTGTCAATTTTAGATCTTTCCTGCTTTCTCTTGTGGACATTTACTGCTATAAACTTCCCTCTACACACTGCTTTGAATGTGTCCCAGAGATTCTGGTATGTTGTGTCTTTGTTCTCGTTGGTTTCAAAGAACATCTTTATTTCTGCCTTCATTTCGTTATGTACCCAGTAGTCATTCAGGAGCAGGTTGTTCAATTTCCATGTCGTTGAGCAGTTTTGAGTGAGTTTCTTAATCCTGAGTTCTAGTTTGATTGCACTGTGGTCTGAGAGACGTTTGTAATAATTTCTGTTCTTTTACATTTGCTGAGGAGTGCTTTACTTCCAACTATGTGGTCAGTTTTGGAATAGGTATGGTGTGGTGCTGAAAAGAATGTATATTCTGTTGATTTGGGGTGGAGAGTTCTGTAGATGTCTATTAGGTCTGCTTGGTGCAGAGCTGAGTTCAATTCCTGGATATCCTTGTTAACTTTCTGTCTCATTGATCTGTCTAATGTTGACAGTGTGGTGTTAAAGTCTCCCATTATTATTGTGTGGGAGTCTAAGTCTCTTTGTAGGTCACTCAGGACTTGCTTTATGAATCTGGGTGCTCCTGTATTGGGTGCATATATATTTAGGATGGTTAACTCTTCTTGTTGAATTGATCCCTTTACCATTATGTAATGGCCTTCTTTGTCTCTTTTGATCTTTGTTGGTTTAAAGTCTGTTTTATCAGAGACTAGGATTGCAACCCCTGCCTTTTTTTGTTTTCCATTTGCTTGGTAGATCTTCCTCCATCCCTTTATTTTGAGCCTATGTGTGTCTCTGCACATGAGATGGATCTCCTCAATATGGCACCCTGTTGGGTCTTGACTCTTTATCCAATTTGCCAGTCTGTGTCTTTTAATTGGAGCATTTAGCCCATTTACATTTAAGGTTAATATTGTTATGTGTGAATTTGATCCTGTGATTATAATGTTAGCTGGTTATTTTGCTTGTTAGTTGATGCAGCTTCTTCCTAGCCTTGATGGTCTTTACAATTTGGCATGTTTTTGCAGTGGCTGGTACCAGTTGTTCCTTTCCATGTTTAGTGCTTCCTTTAGGAGCTCTTTTAGGGCAGGCCTGGTGGTGACAAAATATCTCAGCATTTGCTTGTCTGTAAAGTATTTTATTTCTCCTTTACTTATGAAGCTTAGTTTGGCTGGATATGAAAGTCTGGGTTGAAAATTCTTTTCTTTAAGAATGTCCAATATCGGGCCCCACCCTCTTCTGGCTTGTAGAGTTTCTGCTGAGAGATCAGCTGTTAGTCTTATCGGCTTCCCTTTGTGGGTAAGCCGACCTTTCTCTCTGGCTGCCCTTAACACTTTTTCCTTCATTTCAACTTTGGTGAATCTGACAATTGTGTGTCTTGGAGTTGCTCTTCTCGAGGAGTATCTTTGTAGCATTCTCTGTATTTCCTGAATTTAAATGTTGGCCTGCTTTGCTAGATTGGGGAAGTTCTCCTGGATAATATCCTGCAGAGTGTTTTCCAACTTGGTTCCATTCTCCCCATCACTTTCAGGTACACCAATCAGACGTAGATTTGGTCTTTTCACATAGTCCCATATTTGATGGAGGCTTTGTTCGTTTCTTTTTATTCTTTTTTCTCTAAACTTCTCTTCTCACTTCATTTCATTCATTTCATCTTCCATCACTGATAGCCTTTCTTCCAGTTGATTGCATAGGCTACTGAGGCTTGTACTTTCATCACATAGTTCTTGTGCTGTGGTTTTCAGCTCCATCAGGTCCTTTAAGGACTTCTCTGCATTGGTTATTCTAGTTAGCCATTCATCTAATTTTTTTTCAAGGTTTTTAACTTCACCATTGGTTCAAACTTCCTCCTTTAGCTCGGAGTAGTTTGATCTTCTGAAGCCTTCTTCTCTCAACTCATCAAATTCATTCTCCATCCAGCTTTGTTCCGTTGCTGGTGAGGAGCTGCATTCCTTTGGAGGAGGAGAGGCGCTCTGATTTTTAGAGTTTCCATTTTTTCTGCTCTGTTTTTTCCCCATCTTTGTGGTTTTATCTACTTTTGGTCTTTGATGATGGTGACGTATAGATGGGGTTTTGGTGTGGATGTCCTTTCTGTTTGTTAGTTTTCCTTCTAACAGTCAGGACTCTCAGCTGCAGGTCTGTTGGAGTTTGCTGGAGGTCCACTCCAGACCCCGTTTGCCTGGGTATCAGCAGCAGTGGCTGCAGAACAGCGGGTATTGGTGAACCACAAATGCTGCTGCCTGATCGTTCCTCTGGAAGTTTTGTCTCAGAGGAGTACCCGGCCGTGTGAGGTGTCAGTCCGCCCCTACTGGGGGGTGCCTCCCATTTAGGCTACTCGGGGGTCAGGGACCCACTTGAGGAGGTGGTTTGCCCGTTCTCAGATCTCAAGCTGCATGCTGGGAGAACCACTACTCTCTTCAAAGCTGTGAGACAGGGACATTTAAGTCTGCAGAGGTTACTGCTGCCTTTTGTTTGTGCCCTGCCCCCAGAGGTGGAGCCTACAGAGGCAGGCAGGCCTCCTTGAGCTGTGGTGGGCTCCACCCAGTTCGAGCTTCCCGGCCGCTTTGTTTACCTACTCAAGCCTGGGCAATGGCGGGCGCCTCCCCCAGCTGCGCTGCTGCCTTGCAGTTTGATCTCGGACTGCTGTGCTAGCAATGAGCGAGGCTCTGTGGGTGTAGGACCCTCCTAGCCATGTGCAGGATATAATCTCCTGGTGTGCCGTTTGTTAAGCCCATTGGAAAAGCGCAGTATTAGGGTGGGAGTGACCTGATTTTCCAGGTGCCATCTGTCACCCCTTTCTTTGACTAGGAAAGGGAATTCCCTGACCCTTGCGCTTCCCGGGTGTGGCAATGCCTCGCCCTGCTTCGGCTCATGCACGGTGTGCTGCACCCACTGTCCTACACCCACTGTCTGGCACTCCCCACTGAGATGAACCTGGTACCTCAGTTGGAAATGCAGAAATCACCCGTCTTCTGTGTCGCTCACACTGGGAGCTGTAGACTGGAGCTTTTCCTATTTGGCCATCTTGGCTCCACCCCAGTTGATCCATTTTCTAAGAAAGATTGGCATGATGTGAAAGCCCCTGCTGTGTTCAATATAAGAAATATTGGAAAGACCCTAGTCACCAGGACCCAAGGAACCAAAACTGCATCTGATGGCCTCAAGGGTCACATGTTTGAAGTGAGTCCTGCTGATTTGCAGAATAGTGAAGTTGCATTTAGAAAATTTAAGCTGATTTTTGAAGATATTTGGGCAAAAACTGCATAACTTCCATGCCATGGATCTTACCCATGACAAAATGTGCTTCATGGTCAAAAAAATGGCAGACAATGATTGAAGGTCATGTCCATGTCAAGACTACCACTGCGCGGTGGCTCATGCCTATAATCCCAGCACTTTGGGAGGCCAAGGCAGGTGGATCACCTGAGGTCAGGAGTTTGAGAACAGCCTGATCAACATGGTGAAACCCCATCTCTACTAAAAATACAAACATTAGCCAGGTGTGGTGGTGGTCACCTGTAAGCCCAGCTACTCAAGAGGCTGAGGCAGGAGAATTGCTTGAACCTGGGAGGCAGAGGTTGCAGTGAGCCGAAATCATGCTGCTGTACTCCAGCCTGGTTGACAGAGTAAGACTCCATCTCAAAAAAAAACTACCAATGGTTACTTGCTTTGTCTGTTCTGCATTGATTTTACTAAAAAAAAAAACAATACCACAACAATCAGATATAGAAGACCTGTTATGCTCAGCATTAACAGGTCTACCAAATCCGGAAGAAGATTTGGAAATCATGACCTGATAAGTGCAGAGAAATGACTTGAAAGAAGTGGTCAATAAATTGATTCCAGACAGCATTGAAAAGACACAGAAAAGGCTTGCCAATCTATTTATCCTCTCCATGATGTCTTCGTTAGAAGACTAAAAATGCTGAAGAAGCCCAAGTTTGAATTGGGAAAACTCATGGAGCTTCATGGTGAATGCAGTAGTTCTGGAAAAGCCACTGGGGACGAGACAGGTGCTAAAGTTGAACCAGCTGATGGATATGAACCACCAGTTCCAAGAATCTATTTATAGTTCAGACTTATAATAGTGGCACATAAAAAGTCCTATTTGTTAAAAAAAAAAAAAAAAAAAGACTTGTTGAAGCCATGAGTTAACTGTCCTTTGCAGTTCTGTCACCCTTATAATCGGTTCCTGGGACTGATTTTAACCACATTCTACCCTACAATGGCTAGAGGCCTCTGGCTTTCACATCATACCTCAGTTGACACTTAGCTAACCTGAATCATTTGTTTGTCAAGACTTCCAAAGAGTTAACAAAATCTGACCAGTTCCCAAATCTTTGTAATTTTATTGGCTCAACTCCATTCAAGTGTCAAAGTTGTCACATAACCCAGTGTGTCACCTTCTACCTGTACCTGTGCAGGTGACAGTCTTGGTGATTGTGATGTTACTGCCTGCCCAGGTTATCACCACTGTACTCCAAAATCCCATCCTGAGAGTCTGAGTTTTAAAACCACTGTTACCAACTCTCATGGCTTGGTTCTCTTACAGGCAGAATCTGAGACAAAGGTCATATCAGGTCGTTTACTTGGGAGTGATACCCAAGAGCAGGAGTGAGGAACCAGGGGAATAAGACCAGGGAAGATGGAAACCAGTAGAAGGGAACAATGCATAAGAATGTTGGCCTCGTCCCACTCCCAGTGAGACTGAGTATTATACATGATCTGTTTTTGATATTTTAATAAGTATGTTTTTCCTAGGTAATTTTGAATTTTAATTTTTAATGATTTACAATATTTTTCTCATGTTTTAAAATTTTTATTCCATTTGTGGGTTTTTTTTTTCCTGTCCTTTTCTCATTTATTAAGATCCAGGGTTGGTTTTTCAAAAAATGTATCTTGGGCTGGCAGAGTAGCTCATGCCTGTAATCCCAGCTCTCTGGGAGGACAAGGCAGGAGGATCACTTGAGCCCAGGAGTTCAAGACCAGCCTGGCCAACATGGCAAACCCCATCTCCATGAAAAATAAAAAAATTAGCTGGGCATAGTGGCATGCATCTGTGGTCCCACCTATTCAAGAGGCTAAAGTGGGAGGATTCCTCGAACCTGGGAAGTCAAGGCTGCAGTGAGCAGTGACCACACCACCTCACTCCAGCCTGGGCGACAGGGTGAGATCCTGTCTCAAAAAAAAAAAAAAAAAAAAAGAATATATCTTTAAAAAGCCATTTTCATAGTCACTTTCATATGTTACTGATAGGTCAAACACTGATAAAACATTTCTGTAAAGCCTTTTGCAATTTGTATCAATAACTTAAATTTTTCACCTACTATAATTTCTCGAAGACAAGCTGAACTTGGGTCACAGAAACAGGGTAGGTTTCTGGGTGCCTGGCTTAGGAGTCTCAGTAATGCAGGGTTGATTTTTCATGGATGTTTCTCCCCAATTTGTTGCTTATATTTGTTGTTGTCAGTGATGTTTTGGGGCATTAGAAATTTTAAAGTTTCATCTGGTTGAAACTGTTAACTTTAGAAAGTAATTCCCCTGCCAGAAATCAGAAAATTTTCACCCACGTTTTCTTCTAGTTTTCTTCTGGAGATTTGAGATTTTTAAAACATTTAACTCCTAACGCAACTATAGAAGCAGCTGACATAAAAAATGTAAGAAAATAATACCAAGTGCTGGAGAGGATGTGGAGAAATGATCTTTCATACATTGTTTGGGAGAATGTAAAATGATATAATCATTCTGGAAAATAGTTTGGTAGTTTCTTCCCGAAGTGAGCATTACGATATTACCCAGCAATTGTATTCTTGGAATTTTTGTCCTAGAGAAATAAAAACATTCACATGAAAGGCTGTGTGTGAGTTTTCATAACAGATTTATTCATAATAGCAAAATACTGGAAACAGCCCAAATGTCATTCAATTGGTGAATGGCTGAACAAACTCAGGTATAAGCATAAAATAGAATATTCATCGGCAATAAAAAGGAATCACCTATTGATGCGTATAACAATTTAGATGGACTTCAAGGGTATTATTTTTAGTGAAAGGAGACAGTCTCAAAAGGTTACATGTTGTGTGATCTCAATTACATAACGTTTTTGAAATGACAAAACTTTAATATGGAGAATAGTTAGTGGCTGTCAGGGGACAGGAATGTATGTGTGTTGGAGGTTGGGAGTAGCAAGGAGTGGGAAGCAGGGGTAGAAGTGAATGCAAATACAAAGAGGTAGCATGATGGAGTCTTTTTGTGGTGATGCAACAGTTCTTAAGCTTGTTTGTGGTAGTGGTTACACCGATCTGTTAATGGGATAAAGTTGCATGGAACAAAACTTATGTCTATACAAAAACCTGCACATAAATGTTTACAGCAGCTTTTTTCATAAAACTTGGGGGTAGCCAAGATGTCCTTCAGCAAGTGAATGGATAAATAAACTGTGGTACAACCAGACAATGGACTATCATTCAGTACTAAAAAGAAACGAGCTATCAAGCTATGAAAAGACATGGAGGAAACAAATACCTATCACTAAGTGAAGGAAGCTAATCTGAAAAGGCTGCAAACTGTATGATTCCAACTATATGACATTCTATTGTAGAAAAGGCAAAACTAGGGAGACTGTAAAAAGATCAGTGGTTGCCAGGGATTAGGGATCAGGAGAAACAATGAATAGGTAGAACACAGAAAATTTTTAGGACAGTGAAACTGCTCTGCATGATGGCATAATGGGGAATCCGTGTCACTACACGTTTGTCCAAACCCACACTACAAATTTTGGGTAATAATGATGTGTCAAGGTTGGTTAACCAGTTGTGACAGATGTGCTACTCTAGTAAGGAATGTTGCCTGTGTCGGGGCAGGAGGTATATGGGAAATCTCTGTATCTTTCACTCAATTTTGCTCTGAACCTAAAACTGCTCTGAAAAAAAAAATAAAGTTCCTTTAAACAAATGAATAGATAAATAAGTAATAAGTGAAGTTTACTTATAAAATTGCATAGGACTACACATATACACATACGCAAATCATGATTTTTAAAACAGTGAAAAAAAGCAAAATGTGTACTTTTCTTTTTTTTTTTTTTTTGAGACGGAGTCTCGCTCTGTCACCTAGGCTGGAGTGCAATGGTGCGACCTTGGCTTGCTACAACCTCCACCTCCTGGGTTCAAGCGATTCTCGTGCCTCAGCCTCCTGAGTAGCTGGGATTACAGGAGCCCGCCACCATGCCTAGCTAATTTTTGCATTTTTAGTAGAGACAGGGTTTCATCATGTTGCCCAGACTGGTCTTGAACTCCTGACCTCAAGTGATCTGCCCATCTCGGCCTCCCAAAGTGCTGGGATTACAGGCATGAGCCACCGCACTGGCCACAGTGTGTACTCGAATTAATGATAATGATCCATTTCCTGGTTTTGATATTTGATATGGCAGCTACAGAAGATGTTATCTTTAAGGGAAGATGGGCAAAGAGTACACAGAACTCTGTACTATCTTTTCAACTTCCTGTGAGTTTATATTACTTAAAAATAAAAAAAATTTAAACACTTAATTCTTTACTTAATCTGAAATTTATGCTGTATATGGTATGAGGTGAGAATACTAAATTGATTTATATTCACATGGTTAACCAAAGATCCCAGTGTTATATCTTAATTAATACTTACCTGCCCCACTAATTTGTAGAACCTGCTATGAGATTCATTAAACACTTTAAAATTCTGGGATCTGTTTCTAATTCACCTAACTTTATTGTTCTGTGTTTTCTTGAACGCGTGCAAGGATTACACTGATTTGATTATATATAACACATATATCACATATATATTATATATAACACATCTATCACATATATAACATATATATGTTATATATTATATATATAACATATAATGTATAATAATATCATATATAATATATATTTTATATATATTTATCACATATAATATATATTTTATATATATTTATCACATATAATATATATTTTGTATATATTTATCACATATAATATATATTTTGTATATATTTATCACATATAATATATATTTTGTATATATTTATCACATATATATTTTATATATATATATATATATATTTTTTTTTTTTTTTTTTTTAGACAAGAGTCTTGCTCTGTTGCCCAGGCTGGAGTGCAGTGGTACTCTCGGCTCACTGCAACCTCTGCCTCCTGTGTTCAAATGATTCTCTTGTCTTAGCCTCCCGGTTAGCTGGGACTACAGGCACGTAACACCACGCTGGCTAATTTTTGTATTTTTTTGGTAGAGACAGGTTTCACCATGTTGGCCAGGTTGGTCTCAAACTCCTGGCCTCAAGTGATCCACTTGCCTTGGCCTCCCAAAGTGCTGGGATTACAGGTGTGAGCCACCACACTTGGCTCCCAGTCATGATTTGATTATATTTACTTTATAATTTATAATTTAATTATATTTACTTTCAGTAGCGAACAACACCAGTGATTCCTTAATAAAGAGGTGGAAAAGAAAGAAAACCAATATTTTCTGAGCAAGACTAAGATCTTCACATGGATTATGTCACTTAATCCTCCCAATACTCATATGTAGTAGGTCATATTATTATTCCCATTTTACAGATGAGAAATAAGAGGCTCAGAGAAATTAAATAATCATTCAGGATATCAAGCTAGTAAGTGGCAGAGCTGGAATCAAACCCAGGCCTAGAATTCTGAACATTCTTCGCTCTGTTGCCCAGGCTGGCCTGAGGCCATCCTTCTGCCTTGGCCTCCCAAAGTGCTGGGCTTACAGGTGTGGGCCACCAAGCCTGTAATAAAATTTATTTAACCACCACTCCATTCACACAGTTAGTTGTTCAATCTTTCCTATTAATAAATAGTGGGATAAAGAACACCCTTATACATAGTTTATTTCACATGTGTGCAAGAGTATCTGTACATTACATTCCTAACAGTGAAATTTCTGGACCTAAGTGATGGTGCAATTATAATTTGGATAGGTGTTTTCCAAACTGCCTTCCAGAAAGTTGGATATATTCACACTTCTACTAACAATAACACAGTACCTGTCTCTGGAGCCCCTATCTGATTTTTCATCTGTGCCAGTTTAACAAGAGAAGATAGTACTTAATTATATTTTATTATATTATTATGATAGTTTTAATTTGTATTTCTTATATTTTGTATAAGGGTGATCATGGGTTATTGGTCTTTTTCTTAATGATTTGTAGGAGCTCTTTATACATTAAAGGATTTTCTCCTTTATTTCTATTTTGAACTGCACATTTTTTCCCAGTGCCTTTTCTTCTGATTCTGCTTATGCAGAGGGGTTGCCATGCAGAAATTTTTTCTTTTCATGTTCATAAAAGACAAGTTTGTCAGTCTTGTCTTTTATAGTTTCTGAGTCTTATATCTCTATACTACTAGATTACAAAAAATAAAAGTGTCCTTTGTTTCTTCTAGTAATTGTATGGTTCTTTTACAGTTTCAACTATCTAGAATTTATTTTGTTTGGATGGTTACCCAGTTGTCTCAATATAATTTTTAAAATGATAATTTTTCCCTACTGATTTGAAAGCCAGCTGACTCTATACTGAATTTTCTGTTTTATATTCAGAAATGGCATTTCTGAGGCAGGAGGATCACATCAAGCCATCCTGGGCAACAGAGTGAAAAATGTTTAGGCTGTTTCATTGTGCTTGATGACTATTTGTATTAATATATAAATACCACACAGTTTTTCTTATTATATTTTGATAATATGTTTTATTATCTGGTAAGGCTTATGCCCTGATCACTTTTCTTTTTCAAAATGGCAAGTTTGTTTATTTTTAATTTCACCGTGGTTCTGGGCCCATGCCTAAGGGGGAGACCTGGCTCTCCAACCTCGCTTATGTGTTCTTCCCCAGCCCCAGTCCTTAGGGTCAGGTTCTCTATGCCATTGTTCTCTGCACATTCAGAAGATGGTTTAGTAGAAATGTGAGCCCCTGGCCCAGCACAGTGGCTTACTCCTGCAATCCCAGCACTTTGGAAGGCTGAGGCAGGAGGATCTCTTGTGTCCAGGAGTTCAAGACCAGCCTGGGCAACATAGTGAGACCTCATCTCTACAAAAAATAAACAAAATTAGCTGCACATGGTGATGTGCACCTGTAGTCCCAATTACTTGGGAGGCTGAGGCAGGAGGATTGCTTGAACCCAGGCCATCAAGGCTGCAGTGAGCTGAGATCATACCACTGCACTCTAGCATGGGCGACAGTGCAAGACCCTGTCTCAAAAAAAAAAAAAAGAAAAAGAAAAAAAAAGGAAATCTGAGCCCCCTTTATCCATTTCCCCTCATTGGAGGCTTCCTTAAAGGCCTTTACCAATAGTGTTTCTAAGTCCTAGGGGGATCTACGCTCCCCTGGACAAGGCACAGGGCTTCTTAAAGTACGTCTCTTGTTCAGGTTCTCAGAATAAGTTCTGAGGTTTGATGTTTTTCTCCAACTAATGTCAAATAGCAGGCCTGTAATTTTCCCAAATTTAAGAGTATTTTCCCCTGGCTTCCTGGCTGGCTCAGACTTGTGAAAATATTCTCAATTTCAACTTCACTTCCTTTAACATTGTGCAAGACAGTATGTGGCAAAACCCTAGAATATAAAACGTTTCTGACATTTTCACTCAGTAACTTGCCAATTTCTCATTTGATTCTTTTTTCTTTTTATAAAGACAAATTAGAAAGCAATCACTCCATAACCTTTGGCTTTGTTATTTCTTTATCCTTTGTGCTACCCAGTCCTATTTCCCTATCTATCACTCTTCTGTATTGATTTTGGATGGTTTGGTGTTTGCCTTTGTGCTTTGCAAAGAAAGCCATTGATTTTGAATAGATCTAGAAATGTTGGGAGCTCTTGGCGATGTACCCAATCTTAGTGTTGTTACTAAAGGTATTAGACATTGCCTTGCAAGTGAGTTTATTGTCTCAGTCTATGATTATGGAAATAAAGACTGCTAACAGCTATTGGCAAAGACCTTCAGAGTTATCATCTGCCTATTCATGACAATAAGAGCTAGGAGATTGACCTGCTAAATGCCCTACTGAACCGCTGATGACAAGTATGTCTTTAATTTCAACTCTAAAAAATAGGATATGGTGTAACAGAAAGAGAACTTTGGATAGAAAATCAGGATACCTGGCTGGGTACGGTGGCTCACGCCTGTAATCCCAGTATTTTGGGAGGCTGAGGTGGGCAGATCACTTGAGGTCAGAAGTTTGAGACCAGCCTGGTCAACATGGGGAAACCCCGTCTCCACTAAAAATGCGAAAATTAGATGGGTGTGGTGGTGAGTGCCTGTAATCCCAGCTACTCGGGAGGCTGAGGCAGGAGAATTGCTTGAACCAGGGAGGTGGAGGTTGCAGTGAACCAAGATTGTACCACCGCACTCCAGCCTGGGTGACAGAGTGATACTCCATCTCAAAAAAATAGAAAAATTTTTAAAAATTAAAAAGAAAATCAGGAGACCTTAATATAGTCTTGATGTGCTCTAGCTAGGTGGAATTCCTCCCCAGGCTCTGGAGAGTAAAGCTGCTGAAGAACTCATGAACAGGAAGTTGTAGCATATAGGCCATTCAAAATTGTCTCTAGGCTGGGCGCAGTGGCTCATGCCTGTAATCCCAGCACTTTGGGAGGCTGAGGCAGGTGGATCACCTAAGGTCAGGAGTTTGAGACTAGTTTGGGCAACATGGTGAAACCCTATCTCTACTAAAAATACAAAAATTAGCTGGGCATGGTGGCATGTGCCTGTAATCCCAGCTACTTGGGAGGCTGAGGCAGGAAAATCACTTGAACCCAGGAGACGGAGGCTGCAGTGAGCCGAGATGGTGCCACTGCACTCCAGCCTGGGTGACAGAGTGAGACTCCATCTCAAAAAAATAAAGATTGTCTCTAAATGATAAGGGCCAGAGATAATGTGGGTAGCTAGGGCTATCTTATCCTTTTATCTTTCTTGATCACATATCATCCATCGGATTTTCACCCAGTCTCTGGAGTCAATCATATGACAAATTAGGTGGCCAAAGGGCAAACAGTAGAAAAAAATGAAGGAAAAAAAATGTAAGTCATCCCCAGGCTAGAGGACCATATGTTGAACAGTTGAGAGGTGCCTATAAATGTGTGGGAAGGCTGATGGGGAGGGGTCAAGTCTGCCAGCTTCCCAGCCCCAGAGACGGTGCCATGGGATGGGCATAAGGAAGCCTTTGCCCAGGACATGTCTAAGGTATCCGCTGTGGCCCACTTGAAGCCTGCCAGGCGTACCTGCCCGGCTGTGTCTTCCCTTACTTAAGGCCACTCTTGTCGGTGGCCCTGCCTCTGGTGGAGTAAGGAGGTGCTCTGCCATATAAAGCACTTTTGATTTCATGGGCTGACTATGATGGTGCTCCAAGGGAGTATACCAAAATCAGAGATGTTCCTGCTCTTTGACTCAGCAATTCCGAGGTAAAACTTGAGAGAGGGTTAATTTGAAAAATTGGGTTTTCATTTGCTTGGGCTATGGAGCAAAATGAGATATACCTTCCATGTCCCCCTGAAACCATCCATAAATTCTGCGATTCTCACAGGAAGGGATAATTTTAGTGAAACTGAGGAAGGAGCTCACCTATGTGGTAAGGGGTAAATAAATAGGAGGCTGAACAGTGAGAGCTGTGATGACACTCAGGCTTGCAAGCTGATTCACCTACCAGTCGAGCAAGACTGCCCCAGGCAAACCTTCCAAAGCAGAAGGAGAAAAATGTCTCATGAACACTCACCCATGTGACCTGAGGCTGAGTCATCCGTGGTTAATTCCGATTCATTTATGCCTTTTATCTTTCTGGATATTCAGGGAAACAAGGGTCTTTTGTCCAGCTAGAAGCCAGACATCTTTTTTGAAACCATCTTGTTCTTGAGTTGCATCTAATGGGCCATCCTCACATTGGTGAGTCACTGTGTCTCAGGCCAGCCTTCCACCCTCATCCAGCTCTTCCTCAACCAGAGTGGCCCCAACTCTTTCCTCACTGATTGCGTGCCTTCTGGGTACTGTTTGTGTGCTGGGTGTGGGTGTGGCAGGGAGCAGGCGGTCTCTCTCCTGTGGGTGAGCACATTTCCAGGCTGATGAGGAGAGACCCTGCCCACATCACACCCTAATGTACCTTACCCCACTCTCCTTATCTGTAAGATGACTCACATGTACTCTCGGTGGAGTATTTGGAATCCTGGAATCTTATAACATTCAATGCAACTTGTTACCTCCCACAATTGTTACCTCACCCAATCTTTGATTGAAAGAATAAAGCAAATGTAATATCCTGGGTATCATCTCAGTTCAGGGGAAAAACCAGTCTTCTTTAATCTGATAAAGGAGACTACCTAAATCCTACCGAGAATGGATAAGTAATACATGATTTTATATATATATATATATATAATTTATTTATTTATTTTTTGAGTCGCAGTCTCACTCTGTCGCCCAGGCTAGAGTGCAGTGGCACAATCTCAGCTCACTGCAAGCTCTGCCTCCCGGGTTCAAGCAATTCTCCTGCCTCAGCCTCTCAAGTAGCTGGAACTACAAGTGCCCACCACCATGACCAGCTAATGTTTTATATTTTTAGTAGAGATGGGGTTTCACTGTGTTATCCAGGATGGTCTCGATCTCCTGACCTCGTGATCCACCCACCTCAGCCTCCCAAAGTGCTGGGATTACAGGTGTGAGCCACCACACCCGGCCATGATGGAATATATTAACCAATAGTGAAAATAAAGGAATTACAGCTACATGAAGTAAAATGAATAAATCTTAGAAACAATGCTGAGTGAAAAAAACTCAAGTCCTGGAATCTCTCTGGATAAGAACATAGCAATTGTATAAAGATAAAATCTAGCTACGTGAATATTATAGATATTTTGGTAATTTGTAGAAAACACTGTGTGTGTGTGTGTGTGTGTGTGTGTGTGTGTATTAGTTTCCTGTCACTGCTGTAACAAATTACCACAAACTTGGTGGTTTAAAGCAACAGATTATTATATTATGCTCTCACAGTTCTGTAGGCCAGAAGTCTGAAATCCATTTCACTGGGCTAAAAATCAAGGCCTTGGCAGCACTGTGCTTCCTCCAGAGGCCCTGGGGAAGAATGTGTTCCTTGCCTCTTCCAGTTTCTTGTGGCTGCCAGCATTCCTTGGCCATATCCCTCCAGTGTCTGCTTTGTGGTCACATGGCCTTCTCTTCTGTAGTCGATCCTCCCTCTGCCTCAATTCATTAGGACACTTGTGATTGTATTTAGGGCCCAACTGGATAATCCAGGATCATCTCCCCAGCTCAAGAGCCTTAACTGAATCATATCTGCCAAGTCTTTGCCATTCACTGTAACATTTCCAGGTTCCAGGGATTAGAATGTAGGCATCTCAGGTTCATTGTTCAGCCTATCACTGTGTGTGTGTGTGTGTGTGTGTGTGTGTGTGTGCATGCGCATTTTTTTCTTGGAATGATAAATACCAAGTTTAGCAACAGTGGTGCTGGAACAGATTTGTACAGGCTTGCCACAACCGACTACACACATCTCTTCCAGCTCCGCACTCAGTTACTTTAGGTTGGTAGCTTGACATCAGTCACATGGGATTATTTACACCATGGAAGTTGACAAGAACTGCAAATCAGTGTTTTTTCCCAGAGAACTGGTTTACACTGTCAGTAGCGTGGTTACCTTCTTAGTGGGAAAGGCAGAGGGGTGGAATTAGGTTTGGTAATGCTTTAGTTTTTAAATTGGATGGTGTGTTAACAGGTGTTTGTTTTACTATTATGCTTTAAATGTACATAGGTTTTTTTGTGGGTTTTTTTTTTTTTTGAGATGGAGTCTTGCTTTGTGACCCAGGCTGGATTGCAGTGGCTCAATCTCCGCTCACTGCAACCTCTGCCTCCCAGGTTCAAGCAATTCTCCTCCCTCAGCCTCCCAAGTAGCTGGGATTACAGGCCTTCACCACCATGCCTGGCTAATTTTTTTTTTAAGTAGAGATGGGGTTTCACCATGTTGACCAGGCTGGTCTTGAACTCCTGAACTCAAGTAATCCACCTGCCTCAGCCTCCCAAAGGGCTGGGATTACAGGAGTGAGCCACCATGCCCAGCCTGTACATAAGGTTTTATATACAGACATAATACTGATTTTTTTAAGAGAAAAAATGGAAGGCAGCAGGAAGTTTCTGATCTTTCAAAAAAGAAATAAAACAATACCAAAGGCTGGTGAGAATGTGGAGACAGTGGACCTTTCATATATTGCTGGTGGGGATGTAAATGACACAGATACTCTGAAAAATAGAAAGGCAGTTTTCTTTTCATTTTGTTTCTCTTTTTTTTGAGATGGAGTCTTGCTCTGTCGCCCAGGCTGGAGTGCGGTGGCATAATCTCGGCTCACTGCAGCCTCTGCCTCCTGGGTTCAAGCCCTTCTCCTGCCTTGGCTCCCAGGTAGCTGGGACTACAGGCGCACGCCACCACACCTGGCTAATTTTTCTATTTTTAGTAGAGACGGGTTTTCCCCATGATGGCCAGGCTGGTCTTGAACTCCTGACCTAAAGTGATCTGCCTGCCTCGGCCTCCCAAAGTGCTGAACCCCCAAGCATGAGCCACCATGCCCAGCCAGGATGGCAGTTTTCTACATAGCTAAACATATTCTTACTATCCCAGCATTGCACTCCTGGAAATTTATGCCAAATAAATTAAAACTTATATCCATACAAAACCTTGACATAATGTTCACTGCAGGTTTACTTGTAGTAGCCCCAAACTGGAAACAACCAAAATGTCTTTTAATAGGAGAATGGTTAAACAAGCTATTGTGCTTAATTATTGATACATGCAAAAACTTGGATGGACCTCAAAGGCATTATGCTGAGTGAAAAAAAGCCAATCATGAAAGGTCACATATTGTATGGATTTATTTATATTGCATTCTCAAAATGATAAAATTATGAGTCACCATGCCTTATCTGAAGCAAGCTTCCCCATTATAATCTGATCATCAGTATGGGGAGCAAATACAGTGTTTCTTCCTTACCCTGACCTGCTGGACTTTCCTCATCTGCCCCTGCTTTTAAATCTCTGTCCAAAGCTGCCTTGATGCTCTTTATCATGGACACTGAGCACAGAGCAGCAGTTTAATAAGATTTCCTGACAAAAGCAGCCCACTGAATTGGATGTTTTCTCTCTCTTTCTTTTATTATTGTATTTGAATTTCCCCCTAGCCAGATGGCTGATAACAATTCTGTTTCTCTTCTTTTCCAATAAGTAAATTCCAGACTCAAGAATATCCCCTCAACAGGCCAGAAAATTCCATCTTTGATAAGCCAGTGGGTAGAGTTAATGGAGGAAGAACTTGCTGATCAGGGACTCTCAGTGTGTTAGTCTGTTTTCATGCTGCTAATAAAGACATACCCGAAACTGGTTAATTTATATGGGAAAAATGTTTAATGGACTCACATTTCCACGTGGCTGGGGAGGCCTCACAATCATGGTGGAAAGCAAGGAGGAGCAAGTCATTTCTTACATGGATGGCAGCAGGCAAAGAGAGAGCTTGTGCAGGGAAACTCCTGTTTTTAAAACCATCAGATCTCATCAGACTTATTCACTAACATGAGAACAGCATGGGAAAGACTCGCCCCTGTGATTAAATTATCTCCCACTAGGTCCTTCCCACAACACGTGGGAATTATGGGAGCTACAAGATGGGATTTGGGTGGGGACACAGAGCCAAACCATATCACTCAGTTTATAACATACAGAATCACAGCCTCTGAGCAGAGGAGACCTTGCAGCCCCATGCACTACACTGGGGCTGGTGCCTGGGACTAGGGCCATTTCAGGCTATGGCGCCTCCCCCCACCATTCTTCCCTCTGTATTTCTGCAGATTCCTGCTGGGAACCAATGCCTATTAATGAGGTTTCTACTTCTAGCCTATGAGTTAACATTCTTTTTGTAAATTAATTTTTTAATATTTTATCTAAACAAATATAAACCAAATTGTATTTAAAGGCTCATGAAGGAGGACTGCATTCCTCTACTTCACGCTTTAGTCTCATGCCTCAGAGGCAGAACTTTGAACTTCAGCTATTTCTTCTGATATTTGCCATATTTACACTGCCATTACAGACACATCAATTTTAGATGTTATCTCTTGACTTTCTAACAAATGGCAGAATGGGGATTTAGCTCTCTTTCTCTAACATCCCCACTTGCCTTGTCTCAATATAGTGTCACAACTTTTTAATTCAATTGATATTTGGCTAGGTGCGGTGGCTCATGCCTGTAATCCCAGGACTTTGGAAGGCTGAGGCTTGGGGCCAGGAGTTTGAGACTAGCCTGGCCAACATGGTGAAACCCCATCCCTACTAAACTTACAAAAATTAGCCAGGCATGGTGGCACACTCCTGTGGTTCCAGCTACTCAGGAGGCTGAGGCACGACAATTGCTTGAAACCAGGAGGTGGAGGTTGCACTGAGCTGAGATCATGCCACTGCACTGCAGCCTGGGTGACAGAGTGAGACTCTGTCTCAAAAATTTTAAAAATAAAAATAAATAAATTGATATTTAGTTTTTACATTTTATGTTCCCAGGCAAGTTAAGTAGTATAATTTCCTCCATTTTATAATTTTTTGCCTATCTGCAGTTATTATTTGCATTTCTTTTTTTCTTACTTTTACTCTTGTACATATGTGTCCCTTAGTCTTTCTAGATCCTCTCACAAAATTATAAAATTCCTCTTAAAACAATTTTCTACATGGTAGAATCTATCAGATTATCTAATCAGATTTTTTAACCTAGAGGTTACCTTTTCAGAGCCCAGAGCTCTTCTAGCCTAAGCAGGTCGTTAACACAGAGTTAAGAGTGCAAAAGATTTATGGAAGAGCAATTGCTCTGAAAGGAAAAGGGAATTAAGGATTGGACAGGGGAGCTGCTGCCCTGAGTTGCAAACCTGACAAAGATTCCACCCGTCCAATGGGGAGCGCCAGTGCAAACACTGCCTTTTTAGACGCCCACGTTATTTCTTCAACATCTTGCTTAGTCATTGACTAAGGGCTACCCCAAGAAAAATGTGACCTTGGCTCAAAAGTTGAGGCAGATCCCAAAGGAACTACTAGCTATAGGTTGTCAGCTAATCACACCCTTTTTGGTTGGGCAGCAAGAGCAACAAGTCATTTTCTGAAGGGGATCTGAGCAGTGCTTTTTGTTTTGTTTTGTTTTGTTTTGTTTTGTTTTGTTTTGTTTTGTTTATGCGGAGTTTTGCTCTTATCGCCAAGGCTGGAGTGCAATGGTGCGATCTTGGTTCACTGCAACCTCTGCCTCCCAGATTCAAGCTATTCTCCTGCCTCAACCTCCCAAGTAGTTGGGATTACAGGCATGCACCACCACACCCAGCTAATTTTCGTATTTTTAGTAGAGATGGGATTTCGCCATGATAGTTAGGCTGGTCTCGAACTCCTGGCCTCAGGTGATCCACCCACCTCAGCTTTCCAAAGTGTTGGGATTACAGGCATAAGCCACCATGCCCGGCCTTGAGCAGTGCCTTTCTAGGTCTGCACAGATCCCATTTTCTGAATCCCACGTGTTCCTCTTTCTTGTTTTATACCCTCATTTTGGTGTAGCACATTTTTAGTAGTTGCTGAAATGTAAAGTTTTTGAGACCTAGGATGTCTTAAAATGTCATTTTACCCTCATACTTGACAGTTTGTTTGGGCATAGAATTCTATATCTCTTTGACTTATAATTTTGGTAGCTCTATTGTCTTTTAAGTTCTGATGTTGCTGTTGATAAATCCGATAGTATTCTGTTTCCTACTCTTTAAATTTTCACTTTTTTCCCGCACTATTTTGCTTTCTCTGGAAATTTTTAGGATCTACTCTTTATTTTCAGTGTAATTTCCATCATAATTTAAAATAATGTGACTTGGTGAACCTTGTTCATTCATTAGGTTGGGCATACAATTCTCATGTTCAATCTGGAGAATGATTTCATTAAATACTGAGAAATATCTTTTATTATATATTTAATAATTTCCTTTATTTTTTTCTGGTCTCTCTTTCTTGACTCCTATTAGTCAGATATAGAACTTTCTAGATTGACTCTAACTTTTTTGATATTTTCTCTCCTATTGCCTATTTTTTGTCTTTTTCATCAACTCTCTGGGAGATATTTTATCTTCCAATCTTTCTGTTGAATTTTTATTTCAGCTATCAAGGGCACTTTTTCAATACTCAAATTGTTTTTTCATAACACCCTATTCTTGTTTCATGTTTTCTCCCATTTTTTGGAGGATATTAGAATTCTTTTAATATTCTGCTCTCTGTAATATCTCTATTTCCTCTAGATCCTTTTTTTCTTTTCTTGTGTGTTTTGTTTTGTCTTTTATCTTGGAGGAATCTGCTGACCTTAATTGTCTGATCAAATTTAATAGTGACATATTATGGAGCTCATTGATAGTTGTTTAATGGCAGTCCCTGCTCTAGAGAGATCAAGTGGTAAGCTGTTCTTTAATTGCAGGTCCTAAAATGTCAGGGTTTGTAGACCTTTTCTTTGGAATCTTCACATTTCTTTCAAAGAAAAAGACTCCAGTCTTCCACCTGTGTGCTACTTTACTGGCTGCCATTTGTTTTCCAGTAGAGAAAGAGACTGAGGGACTCTTAGTTTACTACTCAAACTTTTACTCCATCTTCCTATTTTCAGTGGAACATCTCCCTTCCACCCTTCCCTAAGATCTAAGATGTGCTGATGTCCCAGAATAGAGAGCCTCTTATGTCCACTTTTCTCAGAGAATAAGTGTGTAATTTCCAGACTACGGGGGTGGGAGTGTTGGTGGGGGTGGAAGGAGTAGTTCCCTGCTGGGTGGGGGAGGGGAAAACATGGCATTATAAATTCTCTTTCCATAACTTTCAACCAGTCCTCTGTTTTTATTTCCATAATTAACCTACATTTTCCAAAATACCTAACACTCTTAATTCCTGAGATATCCTAGTTTTCTGTAGTGTGAACTGGCTTGCTTCTCATTGATGCCTCTCTTTGAAAGTTCTTAGATTTCAGCTTTCTCAGCTCTGTTCTACCAGTCACTACTCCTATATCCACTTTTTTGAAATATTTTATTTTACTTTATATTTTGTACAGACAGAGGTCTCACTATGTTGCCCAGACTGGTCTTGAATTCCTGGCTTCAAGTAATCTTCCCACTTTACCCTCCCAAAGTGCTGAAATTACAGGCATGAGCCACTGTGCCAGCTTCAGAACTTTTATAATTCTAAGTGGCTGTTGCCTCCTCTTCTTTGGACTATAATAACATACATATATATACATTTTTCATATGTCTTGACTGGTGGTCTTTTGGACAGAAGAGATATAAATGCATGTACTATTTTTATTTTTTTGAGACAGAATCTTGCTTTGTCACCCAGGCTGGAGTGTAGTGATGAGATCTTGGCTCACAGCAACCTCTGCCTCCTGAGTTCAAGCTATTCTCATGTCTCAGCCTCCTGAGTAGCAGGGATTACAGATGTGTGCCACCACGCCCAGCTAATTTTTGTATTTTTAGTAGAGGGTTTCACCATGTTCACCAGCCAGGCTGGTCTCAAACTCCTGACCTCAGGTGATCCACCTGCCTCAGCTTCCCAAAGTGCTGGGATTACAGATATGAGCCACCACACCTGGCCTAATGTACTATTTTTAATTTAAAATATCTGACACAAATTTTCAGTAGGCTTACAGGAAGTCCATACTGTTTTCCTTTTACCTTTATTCCAATTTTTGCAAACATTGGGGCATCTGTATGATGCATTTAGGAAAACTTACAGTTCCAGCATCCCAAGACTCACAGATAATACTGTTTCCTTAAATGTTCTAGAGGTAACAGCATTGTTTATGCAGTGGGCATGTCCATCAAAACTTCTGTATGGTTATTTTCCTTGCTATTCTGGTATGTATTTTGCCATAACTTTGTTTTGGGATTCACATTCCAAGCTTTGTTATTAAAGATGGAATAGGAGTGAACATTGTGTAATGTCTTAACTTCCCAGTAGAAATCATGAGGCCTCAGATTTTTAAACTCAAAGGTTAAAGGCTGGCCGCATAGAGAGAGTAAATGTTTTCAGTAAAAGCAAAAGAACAATTTTTTTATAAGCACAAAAATATGTTCCCTACCTTCTCTAAGAGCCATAAAATTGCTCAAATGTTTCCCTATCCAACCACTCAAGTGATGCTTAGACCTCTCCCTGCTGCTCACTCATCCCTTCCTAAGGGTGAGTGGAGACTGTGCTTGCACACCTGTGGTGATGGGAAACTGACTTCCACTTTAGGCAACCCCTTCACCTTTCTCAGCCTTGACTGTTCTTATTTTTATAATCTACCCCATATGGAGCTCTGATTATGTGCCCAGCACTCTGCTAAGAGCTTTACAAATAATTCATTTAATCCCTGCCACAGCCCTGCAAATGTTGTTATTTCCATTTTGCAAATGAGGAAATGCAGAGAGCTTAACTGCTTGCCCAAGTTCCCACAGTGAGTGAGTGAGGGCAGGGCCAGCAGGTAAGCAGCAGCTGGTCTGGCTGTAATTCCTTGTTCTTTCTATTTGTTCTTCCTTTTGTCAAGCCCAAAATACCCCCTCTCCATAGCTTCTACCCACTCAGGAGCATGGGGCAAAAGCCAAACCTCTGTCCCTCAGGAGAGCACGGGGAAAGGCCAATTCTGTCTTCCACATGAGCACTCTTCAGCTATTTCGAGATATTTATCTGACGTTCATTCTACTCCTGGCTAAAGTTTTCCTGAAAAAAGAAATTTTAAAAAAGATCAATACCTGTTTTGAGAATATTAAGTGTACTTCTCCCTTCAGTTTCTAAGCTTTTTTCCTACTTGAGGCACTGGTTCAGCCTCATAAAGGGGCATAGGCTGGGTGGGTGTCTTCAGTGTGTGCTTGGAAGCTGCTGCTCAGAAAACAGCTGAGACTCTGCCTTACACCCACCTTGTGAAGGGCCACAGTGGATCTGTACAAGCCAGGAGCTTCTTTAGTCTTGTCCTGGCACACCCAGCACATCAGCCACTTTGAATGGAGCTCCTGCAGGAGGAGACTCAGCTGAGTCCCAGAGCAATAGTAATTGCTTCATAACAGGGATCATAAAGAGACTTTGTTGTGTGTCCTTAAAGCAGCTTCAAATTACAGATTCAGATTGGGCAAATACCCCTATAAATCCCACCGGATAGCCTGGTTCCTTGGTTATAAGCAGGTTTGTTTTTCTGTACTGTTACCCAAATTCCCCTGATTGTAATCCCTCATAAGCCTATTTAAACTGCAGAATCCTGGACTCCACAGAGGAGTTCTGGACCTCCTAAGTCCGAATCTTCAAGAGAGGGACCTGCAGTTTGAATAAGCCTCTCCCAAGGGTTCTCATCATCCCTTAGTGTATTAGTCCGGTTTCACACTGCTATAAAGATACTACCTGAGACTGGGTAATTTATAAACAAAGGAAGTGTAATTGACTCACAATTCCGCATGGCTGGGGAGGCCTCAGGAAATTTACAATCACAGTGGAAGGGGAAACAGACCCTTTTTTACAAGATGGCAGGAGAGAGGGAGAGTGAATGTGCAGGGGAAACTGCCATTTATAAAACCATCACATCTTGTGAAAACTCACTCAACTATCACAAGAACAGCATGGGGGAAACTGTCCCCATGATCCAATCACCTCCCACCAGGTTCCTTCCTCAACACCTGGGGATTACAATTAAAATGAGATTTGGGTGGGGACACAGAGCCAAACCATATCACCTAAGCTTGGAAAGCATTGTTTTGAGGAGTTCTTTGCGTGAAATTCCATTCCTTGTCCTTTATTTTTTATTTTTTGAGAATCTCGCTCTGTTGCCCAGGCTTGAGTGCAGTGGTGAGATTTCGACTCACTGCAACCTCCACCTCCCAGGCTCAGA
Source organism: Homo sapiens (assembly GCF_000001405.40). Lineage (NCBI taxonomy): Eukaryota > Metazoa > Chordata > Mammalia > Primates > Hominidae > Homo > Homo sapiens. Next base: position 78,689,854 of record NC_000005.10, on the reverse strand, counting down.
TGATTCTCCTGCCTCAGCCTCCTGAGTAGCTGGGATTACAGGCATGCACTACCACACCCAGCTAATTTTTGTATTTTTATCCATTCATCAGTTAGTAGACATTTGGGTTATTCCAGTCTGGAGCTATCATGAATAAAGCTACTATGAATATTCCAACTCAGGTCTTGCTGCAGACATGTGTTTTCATTTCTCTTGAGGAAATACCCAGGAATGGGATTGCTGTGTCATATGCTATGTGTATGCTTACCTTTATCAAGGTGTATGCTTACTCTTTGTCAATCAAGAGATTGATCAGCTGTTTTTCAAAGTGGCAGTATCATTTTGCAATTGCACCAGCAATATACTACTGAATTTTTTTGAAAAAGACAATTATTTGTAGAGAGATCTACAAATACCTTTATTTTGCATCATCAGCACAGATGTAGAATTAGTTTTGTTAAAGCACTTCTTTTTTTTTTTTTTTTTTTTTTTGAGATGGAGTTTTGCTCTTGTTGTCCAAGCTGGAGTGCAATGGCACGATCTCCACTCACCGCAACCTCCGCCTCCCGGGTTCAAGCGATTCTCCTGCCTCAGCCTCTCCAGTAGCTGGGATTACGGGCATGTGCCACCATGCCCAGCTAATTTTGTATTTTTAGTAGAGACAGGGTTTCTCCATGTTGGTCAGGCTGATCTCAAACTCCCGACCTCAGGTGATTCACTCGTCTTGGCCTCCCAAAGTTCTGGGATTACAGGCGTGAGCCACTGCGCCTGGCCTTAAAGCACTTCTTAAGAGTTCTGGGCTTGGAGTCAGATTGAGCTGGGTCTGTTACAAAATTCAACAATACTGTGTCCATGATTTTGGACAAGTGGCTAGATCTCTCCAAATGTATTTCCCTTATTTGTAAGACAGAGATAATAATTCCTCTCTGCTTAGAGAAGTCGTAAGGATTAAAGGAGATGAAACACATAAAGCACTTAATACATTACCTGATATATAATAATCATGATTAACATGTTACTCTTATTATTTTCATTAACTTCTTTATAATAGTATTTGTTGCAGTAGGGTTTAAACATATGAGAACATGTACTATGAACTTCACTTCTTTAGGGTTTCTTTTGGGTAATAATTTAGAACTCAAGAAAACCACAGGAAGCTGAAAAAGGACGTTTTGTCATTGAAAAAAGATATTTGTAGTTATTTAGAATGAACAACCAGCAAGTCATTTTACATTCTTTCTAGAATTTCTAACTTCAGTTTCCTAATTTGTAAAATGGGGGTCAGGGTGGCGGTGGAGGTAGCCATTCTTACCCTGCCTTTCTCACAGTGTTGCTGTAAAGGTCAAAGGAAAAACTGAACATTATAAATTGTCAAGTATTATATAAATATTTACCACCAGTGAAAGTTTTAGAGGAATTTTTTTTTTTTTTTTTTTTTGAGATGGAGTCTCACTCTGTGACCCAAGCTGGAGTGTAGTGACACGATCTCGGCTCACTGCAATCTCCACAGCCCTGGTTCAAGTGATTCTCCTGCCTCAGCCTCCTGAGTTGCTGGGATTACAGGCACCTGCCACTGCGCCTGGCTAATTTTTGTAGTTTTAGTAGAGACGGGGTTTCACCATCGTGGCCAGGCTGGTCTTGAACTACTGACCTCATGAACCACCTGCCTCAGCCTCCAAAAGTGCTGGGATTACAGGCATGAGCCACTGCACCTGGCCAAGGATAAATTTTGTAAGATATGATTTAATTAGAAAATAGAAATTATAAGATAATAATGTCCTTTAGTAATTTCCTTTTTCTTTTTTTTATTATTATACTTCAAGTTCTAGGGTACATGTGCACAACATGCAGGTTTGTTACATATGTATATGTGTGCCATGTTGGTGTCCTGCACCCATTAACTCATCATTTACATTAGGTATATCTCTTAATGCTATCCCTCCCCAACCCCACCCCACAACAGGCCACGGTGTGTGATGTTCCCCTTCCTGTGTCCATGTGTTCTCATTGTTCAATTACCACCTATGAGTGAGAACATGCGGTGTTTGGTTTTTTGTCCTTGTGATAGTTTGCTGAAAATGATGGTTTCCAGCTTCATCCATGTCCCTACAAAGGACATGAACTCATCCTTTTTTATGGCTGCATAGTATTCCATGCTGTATATGTGCCACATTTTCTTAATCCAGTCTATCGTTGATGGACATTTGGGTTGCCTCCATGTCTTTGCTATTGTGAATAGTGCTGCAGTAAACATACGTGTGCATGTGTCTTTATAGCAGCATGATTTATAATCATTTGGGTAGATACCCAGTAATGGGATGGCTGGGTCAAATGGTATTTCTAGTTCTAGATCCTTGAGGAATCACCACACTGTCTTCCACAATGGTTGAAGTAGTTTACAGTAAAAGTGTTCCTATTTCTACACATCCTCTCCAGCACCTGTTGTTTCCTGACTTTTTAACGATCACCATTCTAACTGGTATGACATGGTATCTCATTGTGGTTTTGATTTGCATTTCTCTGATGGCCAGTGATGATAAGCATTCTTTCATGTGTCTTTTGGCTGCATAAATGTCTTCTTTTGAGAAGTGTCTGTTCACATCCTTTGCCCACTTTTTGATGGGGTTGTTTGTGTTTTTCTTGTAAAGTTGTTTGAGTTCTTTGTAGATTCTGGATATTAGCCCTTTGTCAGATGAGTAGATTGCAAAAATTTTCTCCCATTCTGTAGGTTGCCTGTTCACTCTGATGGTAGTTTCTTTTGCTGTGCAGAAGCTCTTTAGTTTAATTAGATCCCATTTATCAATTTTGGCTTTTGTTGCCATTGCTTTTAGTGTTTTAGACATGAAGTCCTTGCCCATGCCTATGTCCTAAATGGTATTGCCTAGGTTTTCTTCCAAGGATTTTATGGTTTTAGGTCGAACATTCAAGTCTTTAATCCATCTTGAATTAATTTTTGTATAAGGTGTAAGGAAGGGATCCAGTTTCAGCTTTCTACATATGGCTAGCCAGTTTTCCCAGCATGATTTATTAAATAGGGAATCCTTTCCCCATGTCTTGTTTTTGTCAGGTTTGTCAAAGATCAGATGGTTGTAGATGTATGGTATTATTTCTGAGGGCTCTGTTCTGTTCCATTGGTCTAGATCTCTGTTTTGGTACCAGTACCATGCTGTTTTGGTTACTGTAGCCTTGTAGTATAGTTTGAAGTCAGGTAGTGTGATGCCTCCAGCTTTGTTCTTTTGGCTTAGGATTGACTTGGCAATGTGGGCTCTTTTTTGGTTCCATATGAACTTGAAAGTAGTTTTTTCCAATTCTGTGAAGAAAGTCATTGGTAGCTTGATGGGGATGGCATTGAATCTATAAATTACCTTGGGCAATATGGCGATTTTCATGATATTGATTCTTCCTATCCATGAGCATGGAATGTTCTTCCATTTGTTTGTGTCCTCTTTTATTTTGTTGAGCAGTGGTTTGTAGTTCTTGAAGAGGTCCTTCACATCCCTTGTAAGTTGGATTCCTAGGTATTTTATTCTCTTTGAAGCAATTGTGAATGGGAGTTCACTCATGATTTGGCTCTCTGTCTGTTATTGGTGTTTAAGAATGCTTGTGATTTTTGCACATTGATTTTGTATCCTGAGACTTTGCTGAAGTTGCTTATCAGCTTAAGGAGATTTTGGGCTGATACAATGGGGTTTTCTAAATATACAATCATGTCATGTGCAAACAGGAACAATTTGACTTCCTCTTTTCCTAATTGAATGCCCTTTATTTCTTTCTCCTGCCTGATTGCCCTGGCCAGAACTTCCAACACTATGTTGAATAGGAGTGGTGAGAGAGGACATCCTTGTCTTGTGCCAGTTTTCAAAGGGAATGCTTCCAGTTTTTGCCCATTCAGTATGATATTAGCTGTGGGTTTGTCATAGATAGCTCTTACTATTTTCAGATACGTCCCATGAATACCTAATTAATTGAGAGTTTTTAGCATGAAGGGGTGTTGAATTTTCTCAAAGGCCTTTTCTGCATCTTTTGAGATAACCACGTGGTTTTTGTGTTTGGTTCTGTTTATATGCTGGATTACATTTATTGATTTGCATATGTTGAACCAGCCTTGCATCCCAGGGATGAAGCCCACTTGACCATGGTGGATAAGCTTCTTGATGTGCTGCTGAATTCAGTTTGCCAGTATTTTATTGAGGATTTTGCATCAATGTTCATCAGGAATATTGGCCTAAAATTCTCTTTTTTGGTTGTGTCTCTGCCAGGCTTTGGTATCAGGATGATGCTGGCCTCATAAAATGAGTTAGGGAGGATTCCCTCTTTTTCTATTGATTGGAATAGTTTCAGAAGGAATGGTACCAGCTCCTCTTTGTACCTCTGGTAGAGTTCGGCTGTGAATCCGTCTGGTCCTGGACTTTTTTTGGTTGGTAAGCTATTAATTATTGCCTTAATTTCAGAGCCTGTTATTGGTCTATTCAGAGATTCAACTTCTTCCTGGTTTAGTCTTGGGAGGGTGTATGTGTCGAGGAATTTATCCATTTCTTCTAGATTTTCTAGTTTATTTGTGTAGAGGTGTTTATAGTATTCTCTGATGGTAGTTTGTATCTCTGTGGGATTGGTGGTGATATCCCCTTTATCATTTTTTATTGCATCTATTTGATTCTTCTCTCTTTTCTTCTTTATTAGTCTTGCTAGCGGTTTATCAATTTTGTTGATCTTTTCAAAAAACCAGCTCCTGGATTCATTGATTTTTGAAGGGTTTTTGTGTCTCCATCTCCTTCAGTTCTGCTCTGATCTTAGTTATTTCTTGCCTTCTGCTAGCTTTTGAATGTGTTTGCTCTTGCTTCTCTCGTTCTTTTAATTGTGATGTTAGGGTGTCAATTTTAGATCTTTCCTGCTTTCTCTTGTGGGCATTTAGTGCTATAAATTTCCCTCTACACACTGCTTTAAATGTGTCCCAGAGATTCTGGTATGTTGTGTCTTTGTTCTCGTTGGTTTCAAAGAACATCTTTATTTCTGCCTTCATTTCGTTATGTACCCAGTAGTCATTCAGGAGCAGGTTGTTCAGTTTCCATGTAGTTGAGCGGTTTTGAGTGAGTTTCTTAATCCTGAGTTCTAGTTTGATTGCACTGTGGTCTGAGAGACAGTTTGTTATAATTTCTGTTCTTTTACATTTGCTGAGGAGTGCTTTACTTCCAACTATGTGGTCATTTTTGGAATAAGTGTGATGTAGTGCTGAGAAGAATGTATATTCTGTTGATTTGGGGTGGAGAGTTCTGTAGATGTCTATTAGGTCTGCTGGGTGCAGAGCTGAGTTCAATTCCTGGATATCCTTGTTAACTTTCTGTCTCATCGATCTGTCTAATGCTGACAGTGTGGTGTTAAAGTCTCCCATTATTATTGTGTGGGAGTCTAAGTCTCTTTGTAGGTCACTAAGGACTTGCTTTATGAATCTGGGTGCTCCTGTATTGGGTGCATATATATTTAGGATAGTTAGCTCTTCTTGTTGAATTGATCCCTTTACCATTATGTAATGGCCTTCTTTGTCTCTTTTGATCTTTGTTGGTTTAAAGTCTGTTTTATCCGAGACAAGGATTGCAACCCCTGCTTTTTTTGTTTTCCGTTTGGTTGGTAGATCTTCCTCCATCCCTTTATTTTGAGCCTATGTGTGTCTCTGCACATGAGATGGATCTCCTCAATATGGCACCCTGTTGGGTCTTGACTCTTTATCCAATTTGCCAGTCTGTGTCTTTTAATTGGAGCATTTAGCCCATTTACATTTAAGGTTAATATTGTTATGTGTGAATTTGATCCTGTCATTATGATGTTAGCTGGTTATTTTGCTCGTTGGTTGACGCAGTTTCTTCCTAGCCTCAATGGTCTTCACAATTTGGCATGCTTTTGCAGTGGCTGGTACCGGTTGTTTCTTTCCATGTTTAGTGCTTCCTTCAGGAGCTCTTTTAGGGCAGGCCTGGTGGTGAAAAAAATCTCTCAGCATTTACTTGTCTGTAAAGGATCTTATTTCTCCTTCACTTATGAAGCTTAGTTTGGCTGGATATGAAAGTCTGGGTTGAAAATTCTTTTCTTTAGGAATGTTGAATATTGGCCCCCACTCTCTTCTGGCTTGCAGAGTTTCTGCCGAGAGATCAGCTGTTAGTCTGATGGGCTTCCCTTTGTGGGTAACCCAACCTTTCTCTCTGGCTGCCCTTAACATTTTTTCCTTCATTTCAACTTTGGTGAATCTGACAATTATGTGTCTTGGAGTGGCTCTTCTCGAGGAGTATCTTTGCGGCATTCTCTGTATTTCCTGAATCTGAATGTTGGCCTGCCTTGCTAGGTTGGGGAAGTTCTCCTGGATAATATCCTGCACAGTGTTTTCCAACTTGGTTCCATTCTCCCTGTCACTTTCAGGTACACCAGTCAGATGTAGATTTGGTCTTTTCACATAGTCCCATATTTCTTGGAGGCTTTGTTCCTTTCTTTTTACTCTTTTTTCTCTAAACTTCTCTTCTCGCTTCATTTCATTCATTTGATCTTCAATCACTGATACCCTTTCTTCCAGTTGATCGAATCAGCTACTGAAGCTTGTGCATTTGTCACATAGTTCTCGTGCCATGGTTTTCAGCTCTCTCAGGTAATTTAAGGACTTCTCTACATTGGTTATTCTAGTTAGCCATTTTTCTAATCTTTTTTCAAGGTTTTTAGCTTCTTTGCGATGCGTTTGAACTTCCTCCTTTAGCTCAGAGAAGTTTGATCGTCTGAAGCCTTCTTCTCTCAAGTCGTCAAAGTCATTCTCCGTCCAGCTTTGTTCCATTGCTGGTGAGGAGCTGCGTTCCTTTGGAGGGGAGAGACACTCTGATTTTTAGAATTTTCAGCTTTTCTGCTCTGTTTTTTCCCCATCTTTTTTGGTTTTATCTACCTTTGGTCTTTGATGCTGGTGACGTACAGATGGGGTTTTGGTGTGGATGTCCTTTCTGTTTGTTAGTTTTCCTTCTAACAGTTAGGACCCTTAGTTGCAGGTCTGTTGGAGTTTGCTGGAGGTCCGCTCCAGACTCTGTTTGCCTGGGTATCAGCAGCGGAGGCTGCAGAACAGCGAATATTGCTGAACAGCAAACGTTGCTGCCTGATCGTTCCTCTGGAAGCTTCATCTCAGAGGGGTACCCGGCCGTGTGAGGTGTCAATCTGCCCCTACTGGGGGATGCCTCTCAGTTAGGCTACTCAGGGGTCAGGGACCCAGTTGAGGAGGCAGTCTGTCCGTTCTCAGATCTCAAACTCCATGCTGGGAGAACCACCACTCTCTTCAAAGCTGTCAGACAGGGACATTTAAGTCTGCAGTAGTTTCTGCTGCCTTTTGTTTGGCTATGCCCTGCCCCCAGAGGTAGAGTCTACAGAGGCAGGCAGGCCTCCTTGAGCTGCGGTGGGCTCCACCCAGTTCGAGCTACCCGGCTGCTTTGTTTACCTCCTCAAGCCTCAGCAATGGCGGGTGCCCCTCCCCCAGCCTCACTGCTGCCATGCAGTTCAATCCCAGAATGCTGTGCTAGCAATGAGTGAGGCTTCATGGGCATGGGACCCTCCGAGCCAGATACAGGATATAATGTCCTGGTTTGCCGTTTGCTAAGACCATTGGAAAAGTGCAGTGTTAGGGTGGGAGTGATCTGATTTTCCAGGTGCCGTCTGTCACAGCTTCCCTTGGCTAGGAAGGGAATTCCCTGACCCCTTGCGCTTCCCGGGTGAGGCGATGCCTTGCCCTGCTTTAGGTCACGCTTGGTGGTCTGCACCCACTGTCCTGCACCCACTGTCTGACAAGCCCCAATGAGATGAATCCGGTACCTCAGTTGGAAATGCAGAAATTAGCCATCTTCTGCGTCACTCACGCTGGGAGCTGTAGACTGGAGCTGTTCCTATTTGGCCATCTTGGAACTGCACTCCTAATTTCCTTTTTCTAGTGTTACACAGGAAAAAATAAGCTGATAGATAGGAAAAAATTGCAAAAAAAAAAAGATATTAAAATAAAGGATGTAAGAAATATTTTTAAAATGCGATTAAAATAAAAGATGTAAGAAATTGGTACCAAGAAGACCAAGGTATCACATAGATCCCAAACTAGCACTAATATACCTCCAGCATAAAAAAGAACATGCACGCATGGCACTTTTCACATACCACAGTAGGTCAGCAAGCCAAATTCAGCACAGTAATTTAGTAGCCACAAGAAAATGGTTAGTCTGTGTTTGCATCTAAACATCTGCTTTCTGTTGATTACTTAGATGACACATGAGTTCACACATGCCTCTTGTAATTCTTGTTGGGATTCTGTCAATTGCATTTAAAAAGCTGTTTACACAATGGAATTTTTGACAGCACCAGGAAAGTTGCAATAAAAATATAAATTATTTCATTCTCCATTAGAACCACGTGGGAGAACAGAATATAAAGTACAAAGTTGCATTTGAGAACAGATAAGTTATGTGTATTCAGAATGGAAAAGAATTAATTATGCCTTCCATAATTTATGAGGAATGCCAGACAGTCAGCCGAAGCTTCTAGGTCATGTTCTTTTTCTCAGAACCTGGAAATTCAGGTACTGGTCCTGTCTGTATTGTGGAGGAAGTCTAATTCTTCCTCAACTGTTGAGGAACACCTCCAACATAAGGAGGTGAGAGAAAGGGACCTCTGACACAGCTGCCCTTCATACTTATCTAGTTAATGTGGATTCTCAAGTGTAGACACTTAGCATTTTCTATTCAGTAAGTCACTTTTCTGCTAAACAAAGTCAGAGCATTTCTCATACATTGTTTTTAAAACTCAGAAATAAATGAATTAAGTTGTGTTTTTAATTTGCCAATTGATAAGTGTATTCATGTATAATTTTTTCTACATATTTTTAGTGTAGACATTTCGCTATTTACTGTATGGTCTAAAATTATGATGTGTGGCCAAATGTACAGAACATGTTTCCCCTAGAACTCAGCCTGAAATGTCATGATTCAGAAGCATTCACAGATTACCCACCCACCTCATGACAGTCACTTTCACAAACATGATCATATATTTCATTCTTATGATCATTCTATAAAAAGTATTTTATATATACATATATAATACATATATAAAAATGTGATTACAATAAAGATGTAAGAAATTGGTACCAAGAAGACCAAGCTACCACATTGATCCCACACCAGCACTAATCTACCTCTGATGTGAAACACGGTATATTTCACATGTTACAGTAGGTCAACAAGCTAAATTTACCACAGTAATTTAGTGGCTACAGGAGGATGGTTTGTCATTCTTCTTGTAATAGTATGTGTATATATATAGGTACATACCATTTAATTAAATGGTATATATATGTACCACATAATTTAAAATATATATAGTGTGTATATACATATATTTTAAATTATATATATATATGTGGAGAGAGAGAGAGAGACGGAGTCTTGCTCTGTCACCCATGCTGGAGTGCAGTGGCACAATCTCAGCTCACTGCAACATCCATCTCCTGGGCTCCAGTGATTCTTCTGCCTCAGCCTCCCAAGTAGCTGGGATTACAGTGCCCACCACCATGCCTGGTTAATTTTTGTATTTTTAGTAGAGACAGGGTTTCACCGTGTTGGCTAGGCTGGTCTTGAACTCCTGACCTTGAGTGATGTGCCTGCTTTGGCGTCCCGAAGTGCTGAGGATTACAGGCTCAAGCCACCACCCCGGCCTATATATTTAAATTATATATAATATAAATAAAGAAATAAATCATATATAATTTAAATATGTATTTATATAAATACATATTTAATAAGTAAATAAATACATAAATAATATTTACATATTTACCGTGTGTACACACTTTATTTCAAATTATATATATTTAAATTATATACATAATATACAAATTATATATATAATTTAAAATACATATATAGTGTGTATATATGGTAAATATATAATGGCAATACATACATATAGATATTTAATTTTACAAATGAGGAAACTGAGGCCCAAAAAGGTAAAGTAAGTTACCCAACATTTCACAGCTAGTAAGCAGGAAAAATAGAATTGAAATTCATGTCCTGTTATACGGCTGCTGCCATGCAACAGATGTATACCCCAAACAACTAAGGACATGAAAACCCTAGAAATACCGTATTTTGGTGTGACCCCAAGAAAAATTGCTGGTATATATCTATTATTCTCCAAGGAAATCAGCCTTAAAGTGAGGCATGCATCTCATCTATCACCAGTTACCTTAATAACCTGATAGAGATCTATAATCCCTAAATTTTAAAATATTTCTTGAATGTATTTGTAGTTCCAATCTGGAATATCTATTGAGATAATAATTACCTTAAGTTTATGACCAGTTGTGTTATTCAGTCATTGCATTTCTATACACCTAAAATGTCTTTCAAATTTCAATGGGCATTCCCCCATTTCTAGTATTCCAAATATGGGGGTGTACATTCTTTATCCATCTTCTCAGGATTTCATAAAATTTGCTCCTTCCTTCTTTCTTGAGAATATTTCTGAGCCTTTCTGAGTCTGTCCTTATTTGCAAGCCTCTTGATTGCAGAAGATGACTCTAAACATTTTGCAGATGAAAAAAAAGATAAAACTTGCCCTACCTGGCCTCTTGCACAAGACTCTGAGGTATCTCCTTTCCCCTCTGGCCTGCAAGTCTGCCTTAGGACACTTGCTGCTCTCTCTCTTCTACTCAAGAAACTGATGATCGGTTAGACTTCAGGTTCTTTCTTGCCCTTCAGGTTTTGTTTTGTTTTGTTTTGTTTTTAGACGGAGTCTCGCTCTGTCGCCCAGGCTGGAGTGCAGTGGCACAATCTTGGCTCACTGCAACCTCTTCTACCCGGGTTCAAGTGATTCTCCTGCCTCAGCCTCCCAAGTAGCTGGGGCTACAGGCACATGCCACCACGCCTAGCTAAATGTTTTTGTACTTTTTTAGTAGAGACGAAGTTTTACCATGTTGGCCAGGCTAGTCTCGAACTCTTGAGTTCAGGTTATCCGCCCGCCTCGGCCTCCCAGAGTGCTGGGATTACAGGCATGAGCCACCGTGCCCAGCCGCCCTTTAGTATTTCACACTGTTAATGGGCCTGAATTTGTTGTACCTTTCTGTTGAGTGGTAATATTTTGGACTTAGTTGTTATATTAAGAAAAAATTCTGAGCAGAATCAAGCAAAGGATGTGGCAGAATGAGAAAATGACCACTTTCTTTGGCATTGGTAGGGCTATGGATTGCAAGTGTGGTGGACATCAGAAACACCTGCAGATTCCTGGGCCCATGATCCCTCCCTGAGGCTCTCTGGAGTGGAGTCCAGATATGTGTGGTTTAACTGGTTTCCCTGGGGTGATTCTGATGTAAGTGGTCAGAAACACCACAAGGGTGTGATGTGTCAAACCAGTCTCTTCTGGAAAGAGGCACTACAGCTTCTCTAAAGCGAGTATTATTCATGACCTCCCACTTGCAGTAGAAAGTCCTAGTTAAAACTGTGAGTAATCTTAGAGGCTCTTATTCTTCTGAATTATCTAAAACAAGAAACTAAACAAAACCAACCAACCACTCATCTAGTCAAATAAATGCTGCCTGAAAGAAGAGCAACAGCTGTTCTTTCTTTTTATCCAGTGATTTGGAGAAAACATTGTAAGTTCTTCTCCATAAAGCAGTAGAAAAAGATGACATGATAAGAGATCCGTGGGCTTTTCCTCCAGAGAGCAAATAGAAAACCCTTGGTTTTTGTCCTGACTGAGAAACGCTTAAACGTCTACATGTACAATCAGATAATCCCTAAAATGCCTTTCCCCTGGTCTAACTCAATTCAGATAACTGTGTTTGTCTGTGAGAAACCCTCAGAGAATATATTCAAGCCAAATGATCTCATGCCTGGATTTTGCAAAACAATATGTGCACAAGACCAGAATTTATGTCATCATCGAATATGTGCCTTTCCCAAATCCAGCCCCGGGATGTTCTTCAACAACATGGCTTCTTTGCCACATCTGAGTCACTTCCTGGGCCTGGATCCAGGACAGCCTGCAGACCCCTGGCCACCAACAAGCCACATAAGGAAGCAGTTCTGTACTATTTCTAGGAATGGCATCTTTTAAAATTATTTTACACTTATCTCACCCATTTTGGTATCCCAGATGGCTTTAAAGGGGAGTTAGCATGGCTGAAGTGATATATTTTTTTCCTCAAAATAATTTTCTGTTGTGCTCAGTTGAGAGAAAAATCAAAAGCGTGCAGTGGTAAAAATGCCTGACAATCCCTGGAGATGCTGAACTAGTCTCTTTGCGGAAAATTCTGGAGATCTGTTTGCTGCCCTGGGGTATTAGCTGCCTTTGCACCTCTGCAGGGGAGATTCAGGTTCCATGTATTCTTTAGGGAGGTCAGAGAAACAGGAAAAGTTGTCCTGGATTGAACTCTCACCTCTGACCACAAACAATTGCTAGGTTGAATCTCCCCTATCCAAAAAGTTTGGAACCAGAGTGTTTTAGATTTTTTATTTTTTTCAGACTTCGGAATTTTTGCATATACATAATGAGATATCTTGGAGATGGGACCTAAGTCTAACCATGAAATTCACTTATGTTTCATATATGCCTTATACATACAACCTGAATGTAAGTTTATAGAATATTTTAAAAATTTTTTGGAAATGAAACGAAGTTTGTATACCCTGAACCATCAGAAAGCAAAGCATCATGTCAGCACTTTAAAAAGTTTAGATTTTGGAGCTTTCTAGATTTTGGATTTCTGGATTAGGGATGCTCAACCTGTAACACTTCTTGGTACTTGTGTGTATTAGACTACGCCTTTGCAGTTGAAGAGCTTTGACTCCGTTTCCCTGGTTGTCACTTCCAGAAGGGCTGCCCTCTATGTGGTGTAATGAGATCTCTCATTGAGGGGAGGAATGAGGAGTTACTGCATGCTCTGCCTCAGAAGAGGAGGCCACAGTTGTCAGGCCTACTCAGCAAAGTGTCCCAGAGGCTGGTCTGCAGTCCCTGCAAGGAGGCATAGCCAACCTGGGGACTGCAGGAGGACATGTCTGGGCCCACACTACCCCACACACTGCCTGCTCCAACGACCTCTTTTGGTTTTAAGATCCAATATGCCACCATTGGAAATTCATTTGAATTGGTAGATCTCCTTTTTGAGAGGTCAAATAAGAATGAACGGGATGGCCTAGAATGCTTTTCCTGTAGCTCTTGTTATCTTACTAACCATGGTCCTATAAAAAATCAGGCAATGACTCCTGCAGAAAGCTGTTCCATTCTGGGATCATTGGTCCTTCTACGAGGCATCCTAGCCTAGTGCTGTGCTGTCACTTCCTGCTTGAGATTAGTATTCTCTGCTGGCCTCCCTGAAGGGAGGACCTGGGTATTGTTCTTTCATCGTTGTGTTTCCACTGGGCCTGACACCTGGTTTACTCTATAAATATTTGTTGAATGAGCCCAGTATCTTTGATTATAAAATGATAAAGTAATTCAGCTATAAAATGATGATGGTAATGATACCTTCCTCAGGGTATTTGTGAGTAGGAGAGGAGATAATCTACGTCAAGTTATTGGCAAACTGTAAAGCTCTATACAAATGGAAGTCTTCAGGATAACTTGCCAGGAAGCGTGAGAGGGGTTCCAGAAGAAGACACAGAAACCTCACCCACTTTCAGGATTTTCCTGAGGCCCATTCTAAGCAACTATATTTAGACCTGCACACAGAACCACACCCAAAAGGACTTTGCTCTGTCTTTCTATCAAGATCTTTGCCCTGAAAGAACCTAACCCCAAAGGTACTCCCAGAGCTTGTCATTTTCTAGAGTGAATAACCAGAGGTTAGAATAATTAGACACTAATTCTCACAGAATCTGTTTGACAAGTAGTTTGGCAGATAATTGCGTTAATTATTAAGATTAAAAGTCTAAGATGATAAGGAGCAGAAATTTGCTCATTACCCAGATAGACCAGAACAGAGTGGGAGATTGTAGGGAATTGTAGCAGAGATACCAGTTACTCCCCACCCACATCCCCTCCTCAGAGAACCCGCCTATCCTCCCCGCCTTGGCCATCCACAGCTGTCTGGACCAGAATAGAAGGCTATGGTTCAGGCCTTCTCACCTCAAAGAAGAAAAGCCATGGGAGAGCCATGCTGTTTAGATTGTTAGAGTTTGGACAGAGACACTGAGAAAGTCTGCCTTCTAAACATGAACCAGGGGGACTACATTGAGCCAGGCCTGAAGAACCGGTGCACATCAAAGCAAAGAAAGCCAGGCCATCAAAAGACACCGTGGTGAGGCCCCTCGGTCCCCACCCACCATTTCACCAGGCCCTGTCTGTGTGCCAAGCTCAACCCTCAGAAAGGATATTTCATGTAGGCTGGGTACATGAAATGTAATCCTGTAATCCCAGCACTTTGGAAGGCCAAGGCAGGTGGATCGCTAGAGGTCAGGAATTTGAGACCAGCCTGGCCAACATGATGATACCCCATCTGTACTGAAAATACAAAAAATTAGCCGGGTGTGGTGGTGTGTGCCTGTAGTCCCAGCTACTCGGGAGGCTGAGGCAGCAGAATTGCTTGAACCCGGGAGGTGGAGGTTGCAGTGAGCCGAGATCATGCCACTGCACTCCAGCCTGGGCAACAGAGAGAGACTTCATCTCAAAAAAATAAAAAATAAAATAAAATAAGGCAGAAACAAACAGAAAAAATAACGGTGTTACTTATGGTGAATGCTAGAGTATACAGCAATGAACCAATACAGGGCTTCCAAATCAGTAAAGAGGAAGTCAAACTGTCACTGTTAGCTGACAATATGATCATTTACTTTGAAAACCCTAAAGACTCCTCCAGAAAGCTCCTAGAACTGATAAAAGAATTCATCAAAGTTTCCAGATACAAGATTAACGTACACGAATCAGTAGCTCTTCTATACATGAACAATGACTAAGCAGAGAATCAAATCAAGAGCTCAACCCCTTTTACAATAGCTGAAAAAAACAAACAAACAAAAAAAAAACTTAGGAATATACCTAACCAAGGAGTCAAAAACCTCCACAAGGAAAACTACAAAACACTGCTGAAAGAAATCATAGACGACATGAACAAATGGAAACACATCCCATGCTCATGATGGGTACAATCAATATTGTGAAAATGACCATACTGCCAAAAGCAATCTACAAATTCAATGCAATCCCCATCAAAATACCACTATCATTCTTCACAGAATTAGAAAAAACACTTCTAAAATTCATATGGAACCAAAAAAGAGCCCGCATAGCCTAAGCAAGACTAAGCAAAAAGAACAAATCTGGAGGCATCACACTACCTGATTTCAAACTATGCTATAAGGCCATAGTCACCAAAACAGCATGGTACTGGTGCAAATATAGGCACATAGACCAATGGAATAGAATAGAGAACCCAGAAATGAACCCAAATACAGCCAACTGATCTTCGACCAAGCAAACAAAAACAAAATGGGGAAAGGACACCCTTTTCAGCAAATAGTGCTGGGACAATTGGCAAGCCACATGTAGGAGAATAAGAATCTCTCACCTTATACAAAAATCAACTCAAGATGGATCAAAGACTTAAACCTAAGACCTGAAACTATAAAAATTCTAGAAGATAACATTGGAAAAACCCTTCTAGACTTTGGCTTTGGCAAGGATTTCATGACCAAGAACCCAAAAGCAAATGCAATAAAAACAAAGATAAATAGCTGGGACCTAATTAAACTGAAGAGCTTTTGCACAGCAAAAGGAACAGTCAGCAGAGTAAACAGACAACCCACAGAGTGGGAGAAAAGTCATCAAAATCTATACATCTGACAAAGGACTAATATCAAGAATCCACAGTGAACTCAACCAAATGAGTAAGAAAAAAACAAACAATACCATCAAAAAGTAGGTTAAGGACATGAATAGACAATTCTCAAAAGAAAATATACAAATGGCCAACAAACATGAAAAAATGCTCAATGTCATTAATGATGAGGGAAATGCAAATCAAAATCACAATGCAGTACCACCTCAGTCCTGCCAGAATGGCCATAATCAAAAAAGAGTAGATGTCGGCATGGATGCGGTAAACAGGGAACACTTTTACACTGCTGGTGGGAATGTAAACTAGTACAGCTGCTATGGAAAACAGTGTGGCGATTCCTTAAATAACTAAAAGTAGAACTACCATTTGATCCAGCAATCCTGCTTCCCAGAGGAAAACAAGTCATTATTCAAAAAAGACACTTGCACACACATGTTTATAGCAGCACAATTCAGCAAAAATCATGGAACCATGATTATATATATTATGTATATATATACCATGATTATATATATATTTTATATATATACCATGATTACATATTTTATATATATATATGAGATCAAGCTGCCCTTTCTATTTTTCTATGCGCCCACTTATGTCTTGAAGGTCTCATTCTTCAGGAGATCTTGCAGAGCCAGTAGACATTGCTGAGCATCTAACTTGTCCCAAGGGGCTTTCTTGATTCTAGAGAGAATAGAACACTATGATACGTTCTGAATAACAGTGGGAAGGGCTTGAAAAAGGGATTTTTAATTTTCAGGGAGGAAAGATTATGTTGTGTAAATATAATATGTATTTTCTTTTGGATAATGCATTTGCTCATACACACACACACACACACACACACACACACACACACACACACACCATGGAATACTATGCAGCCTTAAAAAGGAATGAATTAAACAGCATTTGCAGTGATCTGGATGAGATTAGAGACTAATATTCTAAGTAAAGTAACTCAGAAATGGAAAACCAAACATCATGTTTTCTCACTACTATGTAGGAGCTAAGCTATGAGGACGCAAAGGCGTAAGAATGATACAGTGGACTTTGGGGACTTAGGGGGAAGGCTGAAAGAGGAGCGAGGGATAAAAGACTACAAATATGGTGTAGTGTATACTGCTCGGGTGATGGGTGTACCAAAATCTCACAAATCGCCACTAAAGAACTTATGCATGTAACCAAATGCCACCTGTACCCCAATAACTTATGGAAAATAAAAAATAAAAATAAATTTAAAAAAACAAGCCAGAAACAAATAAACAGAAAAACTAACGGTGTTACTTATGGTGAATGCTGGAGTATACAGCAATGGACCAATAGATTTTTGTGGTATTTCTGGAGAGACTTTCTAGGCTGGCTCGAGTTCTTTGGAGACTGATAATGCTTGTGTCTTATTATGTTTGGTAAGTTCATGCAAAAAATAGTCAGAGGTAAAATTTAGTGTCTTGTGAATGGTGGGAAATGGAGATTAAAAAGGATTCATGTGCAGATGAAAGCTGAGAAGGTGATAGCCTGTTTGGCTGCTATCTGGAGTTGATGGAAGAAAGGCTTTTGGTGGGGCAGGGGTAACCGGGTTGACTATGACCAACAGTTCACCAATGCACAACTTTCTAAGTGATAATCATAATTGGGTTTTGCCTGTTTGTAGATAGTGTTTCTCCTCAAGATAAGGAAGAATTCATGGGAAAGCTATATCCCTGGCAAAATGTAAACACAAAACACCATGCTGCCCTCATAAGACTTAGATATATCTTTATGTTTCAAGACTCCCAAAGACCTCTGCTCTGTGGTTACATTTTTATTGTTTTTTTCAAATAGGGCTTCAAAGGCCCTCCTCTTAAGAAGCTCCTGGAACGCTTATTCTTATTTGTGCCTTCTTTTCCTTTGCTTTCCTTAATATACATATTTTTCCAAATATCCTGTTTCTTATTTTTGCTTAAAAAAATTTCCTTTTAGATTTTTTCCATTTTAAAAGACAGCCTGTCCTCATAAACTGGCAACCAGGGAGAAAGAAGGCGAACCCCTCCTTCCTCGTGCATCTGCCTCACTTGCTTTTTTGGCACAATCAGCAGGCCATTGTGGTATTTCAGGCCCACCACATCTTACAGCAATAATGTGAAAAGTTTAAGAGAACTGTAACCCCGAGGCTATTTGCAAAATGTTCATTCTGTAAGTACAAAGTTTAAGTGAGTTTGAATGTCAGCTTATCTCAGATTCTCATTTGTAGTTCATTTTAATGATGCATACACTCCATTTATTGCTCTAATCGTCTGCAGGCAGAACTCTGGAACTGCCCGGACTTTTCTGGCCCATTTCCAAGCCTCCACATTCCCAGTGATCACCTCCTCATATCTCTTCACTGGGATCCAAGGTTCTTCTCTATTTGCCAAACTGCATATTATGTGGGGAGATTGGTGGTGCTAGGGGTTTTCTTTTTGGCTACTTCCTTACTTTCATTAAAAAAAAAAAAAAAGCTGCCAAGATAGTGGCTCAAGCCTGTAATCCTAGCACTTTGGGAGGCTGGGGCGGGAGGATTGCCTGAGCTCAGGAGTTCAAGACCAGCCTGGGCAACACGGTGAAACCCCGTTTCTACTAAAATACAAAAAATTAGCTGGGCGTGGTGGCATGCGCCTGTAGTCCCAGCTACTCAGGCGGCTGAGGCAGGAGAATTGCTTGAACCCGGGAGATGGAGGTTGCAGTGAGCTGAGATTGCGCCACTGCACTCTAGCCCGGGCGAGAGAGTGAGACTCCAACTCAAAAAAAAAAAAAAAAGAAAGAAAAAGAAAGCTATGCAGTACTCTCAGGCAGTAGGTAATGAAATACATCCATTTTTAAAAAAATCAAATGCTCAGTGAGTGCCTACTGTGAACCAGGCACTATGCTTGATCCTGGGGATGCAGTGACAACACAGAAATGATGACAATAGCAGCTTGCTCTAGAGGTACTCACAGTCTAGCAAAGGTGTCATAAAGAGAGTGAATTATAGAGCTAAGGTGTAGCCTTTGGAGGTTCAGTTTAACACAATCTCGAGGAAGAGGTTTACATTATTTAGAGATTTACAAAGAACATTTTATTACATCCTTCTGAGGGTCATTTTAACCTCACTGTTAAACTTAAGGCTATTTCCTGTTGTTCTTAGCAATGATGAAGGCCGTTTGCTCAGTGTCCTCCTGATGAGAACTCTGCATATATTCCAGTAGACAGCCATCAAGCTGCCCTTTCTATTTTTTCTATGAGCCCACTTATGTCTTGAAGGTCTCATTCTTCAGGAGATCTTGCAGAGCCAGTAGACATTGCTGAGCATCTAACTTGTCCCAAGGGGCTTTCTTGATTCTAGAGAGAATAGAACACTATGATACATTCTGAATAACAGTGAGAAGGGCTTGAAAAAGGGATTTTTAATTTTCAGGGAGGAAAGATTATGTTGTGTAAATATAATATGTATTTTCTTTTGGATAATGCATTTGCTCATTTGGGTTACTAGGTTGAAGGAGGAAAGAGGGCCTAAGTAATACGTTTTTCACCAGTAACTTTTTTTTTTTTCAACTGAGACTGGGTTTTGCTCTGTTGCCAAGGGTGGAGTGCAGTGGTGTAATCATAGCTCACTATAACCTTGAACTCCAGGGTTCAAGCAATTCTCCTGCCTCAGCCTCCTAAGTACATAGGGCTACGGGTGGCATCACCATTCCCAGCTAATTTTTAAAATTTAGGCCGGGCGCGGTGGCTCACGCCTGTGATCCCAGCACTTTGGGAGGCCGAGGCGGGTGGATCACGAGGTCAGGAAATTGAGCCATCCTGGCTAACACAGTGAAACCCTGTCTCTACTAAAAATACAAAAAATTAGCCGGGCGAGGTGGCAGGCGCCTGTAGTCCCAGCTACTGGGGAGGCTGAGGCAGGAGAATGGCGTGAACCTCGGGAGGCGGAGCCTGCAGTGAGCCGAGAGCGAGCCACTGCACTCCAGCCTGGGCAACAGCAAGACTTCGTCTCAAAAAAAAAAAAAAAAATTTAGTAGAGACAGGGGTCTTGTTCCATTGCCCAGGCTTGTCTCAAACTCCTGGCCTCAAGCAATCCTGTAACCCTGCTTTGGCATTCCAAAGTTCTGGGACAGGTATGAGCCACCATTCCTGGTCCATCAGCAACTTCTAGAGCCCAGATTGTGCTGTTTTGTGCTGTGTCCAAAAAAGGTTAATATCTGACTTTATACAAATGAAAGATGCTGTTGCTACTAATGGCTGTTGCTTAGAGCGATGGCTGACTCTGCATGTTAAGCATCTGTTAGGACCTGGAATCCTACAACGTCCTATCTTATCTCCCATGATCTAGTTGAATTCTCTTATACGGTTACTACTTCTTTTTCTTTTCTTTTCTTTCCTTTCCTTTCCTATTCTTTTTCCTTCCTTCCTTCCTTCCTCCTTTCCCTTCCTTCCCCTTCCCCTTCTTTCCTTCCTTCCTTCCTCCTTTCCTCCTTTCCTCCTTCCTTTCTTCCTTCCTTCCTTTCTCTCTTTCCTTCCTCTCTCTTTCTTTCTTTCTCTCTCTCTCTCTCTCTCTCTCCCCCCCTTCCTTCCTTCCTTCCTTCCTTCCTTCCTTCCTTCCTTCCTTCCTTCCTTTCTGTCTGTCTCGCTCTGTTGCCCAGGCTGGGGTGTGGTGGCACCATCATGGCTCGCTACAGCCTTGGCCTCCTGGGCTCGGGCAATCCTCCCACTTCAGCATCCCAAGTGGCTGGGACTACAGGCATGTGCTAACATGCCCAGCTAATTTTTGTGTTTTTTGTAGAGAGGGGGTTTTACCATGTTGTCCAGGCTGGTCTTAAACTCCTAGGAGCTCAAGCAATCCACCCACCTTGGCCTCCCAAAATGCTGGGTTTACAGGCATGAGCCCCTGTGCCATTACTTCTTGAAGAAGCTTACTGATACATACAATAAGCCTAGTTCTTCTACCTTTTGACAACTTTCAAATCTTTGAAGGCAGCTGCTCTGCCATTAAAAATTCCCTATTTTCTCAAGAGTTACTTATATATGATCCTTGCTGCCTTCTTCCCAATCCAGTGAGACAATAAGTCCTACATTTCTTCCCTTGCTGTATCTCATACATTGGTCCCTTCTTTCTTGCTGTTCCAACAATTTTACCTGCAATTCTATGAAAATGAACTACTTCACCACAGACATGATAAAATGGTTGAAACCTTGGGAAATGTAACAACATCAGACTGATGTTTGTGATTGTCTTTCAGAGGACATGGGAAAAAAACAGTGAATATAATCATTGCCACTCATTCTGGGGCAGGGTTCAATGGGGACATCTAGTTTTAATTTTAGCTACAATTTACAAAACAGACTGGAACTTTTGGACAAGGGAAAGCAGTGTACCTCCTCCAAGTGTAAGGAGAGAGGTAATTCTAGGTGGAGCAAGTGCCTGTTATAGAAACACTTTGTATTCCTTAGATCTTCACCCCTCCTCAAAAACCATCAATGAGGCCAGGCGCGGTGGCACACACATGTAATCCCAGCACTTTGGGAAGCCAAGGCAGGTGAATAGCTTGAGCTCAGGAGTTCGAGACCAGCCTGGGAAACATGATGAAACCCTGTCTTTATAAAAATACAAAAAAATTTAGCCAGTCATGGTGATGCACATCTGTAGTCCCAGGTACTCTGGAGGCTGAGGTAGGAGGAGCACCTGAGCATGGAGAAATTGAGGCTGCAGTAAGCTGAGATCACACCACTGCACTCCAGCCTGAGCGATGGAGTGAGACCCTGTCTCAAAAAGGAAACAAAACAAAACAAAACAAAAAAACCATTAATGGCTCAACTTTGCATAAAGTATAGAATCCAAACTTCTGAGCTGCCTTTCAAGCACTAATATACCAGCCAAGCTAGTTTTTTTCTTGTCCACCCTCCCCCAGATAAATAAGCTTTGTACTTTCCTGCCTGTCTTCATTGGATAAACCTGTTTCCAACATCAAAACCATCTTCCTTATCTCTGCCTGGCCAAAACCAATAGTTCTCAATATTGATTACCTAACTCAGTTATCTGTTAAACTTAAAAATGAAGGAGAAGAAGAAAGGGGAAGAAAAAGGAGGAGGGGGAGAATGAGGAGGATACAGATGAGGAGGAGGAGGAGGAGGATACAGATGAGGAAGGGGGGAGGGGGAGAGGGAGGAGCTGCTAGGTATCATATTTCTAGGGTTATGACCCCAGCACATATATTTCTTTAAAATGGGTTGAGAACCTAAAATAAAATGAAATATAATAAAATAGGTTGAGAACCACTGTCCTGCCTTAAATTCAAACCCCCGCCTCGTATGGGAAGCCTTCTCTGAGCATGCCAGTGAAGAACAGTCCTTCCTGGTTGCCATTATGAATGCACTCAGTGGCACCTAACTTACAGCCTAGAAGGCCGTGAGTCAGCTCAGAAGCTGTTTGATGATAAAGCCAAGTGATTTTTTTTTTTTTGAGGCAGACTCTCACTCTGTCACCCAGGCTGGAGTGCAGTGGTGCCATCTCAGCTCACTGTATCCTCCGCCTCCCAGGTTCAAGCAATTCTCCTGCCTCAGGCTCCCGAGTAACTAGGACTACAGGCATGTGCCACCATGCCTGGCTAATTTTTTTATTTTTAGCAGAGTTGGGGTTTCTCCATGTTGGCCAGGCTGGCCTCGAACTCCTGACCTCAGGTGATCCTTCCCCCTCAGCCTCCCAAAGTGCTGGAATTACAGGTGTGAGCCACTGTGCCCAGCCGAAGCCAAGTCTTATAACCTGCCATTCTTGGGCCACTAGTACAGCATCTTGTCCATAGAAATCTTCACAAATATTGGCCAGATGCAGTGGCTCATGCCTGTAATCCCAGCACTTTGGGAGCCTGAGGAAGGAGGATTGCTTGAGTCCAGGAGTTTGAGACCAGCCTGGGCAACACAGCAAGACCCCATCTCTACAGAAAAGTTTAAAATTACCCAGGCATTGTTATTTATGTCTATAGTCCCAGCTCCTTGGGAGGCTGAGGCTAGAGAATTACTTGAGCCTGGGAGGTCAAGGCTGCAGTGAGCCTTGATTGTACCACTGCACTCTAGCCTGGGCAATGACGCGAGTCCTCATCTCAAAAAAAAAAAAAAAAAAAAAAGAAGAAGCAAAATAAAAAGAAATCTTCATAATGATTTACCAGTTATTGGCTCAAGGCGGCAGGGGCACATGTAACCAAAAATGGATGTGGAGTATGTGATGGAGAAAAACCAATGCTAGGGTTTGCAAGGCAGGACGCAAGGGCAGCAGCGAATTCTCTAACACCTTAGCATCCACAAGCAAAGGCAAGCAGCATGAGAGCGAGAGAGAACTGCAAAGGAGCCCACTGAGTCCAGGTGAGCTGAGAGCCGAGTCCTTAGAAGTGGGGAGAGGTGGAGTCATAGTCTGTGACAATGCAGAGGGGCCATGATTTGCATTTTCAGGGAGTTGAGGACATAGCTTTTGTCTGAGAGAGGCTGCCTTCCAGCCTAGGCAGATAACTTGGGTCCAAGAGTATTAAAGGAGAGCTCCCAGACTTGGACAGAGTGCCAGAAGTGAGGTGAAATACAGGAAAGAAGCTGCCCCAAGATGGAGATGAGTGAGGCATGAAGAGATTGGAGGAGAAGGAGGCAGGCCTGCCTCACAGAGACAGATGTGTTTCTTGAGTCATGTTTTAATGGTTCCTGAGTTATTTGAGTACCAGACTTACACATCAACTCACTCTCTTCATTCCGTCTCCTAATTCCCAAGGCACTCAGGCACTTTACAACAGCTGAGCTTGCTGAACAACTTACCATGCTGCAGGGAAAGGGCAGGAGTGGGGCCGACTGCCAGGGACCCCGGGCCAGCCAGGCAGGAGTCTCCCAGGAAGACTCTGCAAAGGAGCCTCCTGTTGGGAACTGCCTGGGGTGCCTGTTTCATACAAAGCCTTCCATTTCTGTGATTTCACAAGTGATAAATATTTGTTTAAACAGAGGAACCAGATCTTTCTGGTAAAACATTCATGGAAACATTCCCACCCTACCACAGCAGGAAAAGTCCTCCAGCCAGAACATGTGATTAGAAACAAATTAAGAAAACTCAATCTGCTGGCTCAGGTGGTCCCTCTCGCCTTGATGGGCCTTGGGGTAGTGGGGATCCCTGGGGCTTCTCCACTCAGCAGAACCTGGACCCTAGCAGGGAAACATCCAAATGCCAGCACCTGTGCCTCCCTTCCTGCCCGGAAAATCCTCCATCCCCAAACCTCTCTCTTTAATTCGCCAAACACCTGCTCTGTGATGTTGAGTGTGGTGGGCTTGTTAAGAAGCCTAAGACATAACTATTTCCTGTGTGCCCACTGTGAGCATGCTTTGTAGCTGCTTTGCACAGAGCTCATTCAAATGCCAATCCTTACAGTAACCCTGTGAGACAGGTCTTACAATACGAATTTGGGGAGAAAATGGAAGTACTGAGAATTGTTAAACAAGGTACCCAGTGACATTCAGGGGCAAGTGGAAAGAGGAGCTTCCAACCCAGGGCTGTCTGATTCTCATTAATAATAACAGCCAGCATTTGTTACATGCCAAGCACTATTAATAAGCACTCTACATGCATCTATTCAGCCCAACAAGGTAGGAACAATCATCACTTTCCTCCTTTCACTGATGAGGAAACTGAGGCACAAAGAGATTAGGTGCCTTGTCTGCGGTCCAAGTAGTCCATAGTATGGATGGATTTGAACCCATAGAAGTGGTCTAGATGTTTCTCCACAGTGAGTCCGGTTCATCCCTACTCTACTTGGCCAGCCTGGCCTTCCTTCCCAGGCTGGCCACCAAAGACACCATTAAACAACAATGCAGGACACATGGTGTGATAGAAGATTGAGGTTTTAAAATTTTATTATTTTTTTGAGACAGAGTCTCGCTCTGTCACCCAGGCTGGAGTGCAGTGGTACGATCTCAGCTCACTGCAACTTCTGCCACCCAGGGTCAAGCGATTCTCCTGCCTCAGCCTCACAAGTAGCTGCGATTACAGGTGTGCACCACCATGCCCAGCTAATTTTTGTATTTTTAGTAGAGACAGGGTTTTACCATGTTGACCAGTCTGGTCTCAAACTCCTGACCTCAAGTGATCCACCCATCTCGGCCTCCCAAAGTGCTGGGATTACGGGCATGAGCCACTGTGCCTGGCCCCATTGTGGTGTTTTTTAAGTGATTTTTGAAATCTGGGGGTCCTAACAGACATGTATGAGAACTGTGGGGATTTTCTAGTGGAATCTGCACTCTGGGTTGTACTAGCAGGTACAGAAACGGGCCTTGATGGGGGCGGGGGAGGGATTTAAAATTCAAGCAGACAGAATTTTTATTAACATGAGGAAATTCTTAGATTATGGGATTACATGACAAAAGAAAGCTACAAGGCTATAGTATAATCGCAATGATATAAAAAGACTCATTAAAATTATGGAATAAGCTAAATTACAGGTTTTTTAAAGGACCTTTCAATGTTTTGAGTCAAGCAACAATAAAGAAAAATATTTCTACTGGTGTATGCTTTTCCTAATTTAGTAAAGTTCAAATATTTTTTGAGCACATCTTGTGTTGGTAAGTCAGTGTGACACAGGCACCCCAGCATTACCCTGGCGAAGTCTGCATTCTGGTAGTGTAGGCCAGCTGGGCTATAAAGTCTTCTATCACGAGTCCAGTCCTAGAAAAGCAGCCTTTACCCAGCCTGGCTTGGCAAACTTTTGTAGCAGGCAAAGGTTTATGTCGTGCACTCTCCTACCATTTTCCTTTCACACCCTATCCTATCATCTAGTCAAATTCCTGGCATATAGAAGAGAGCTTAATATAATTGTCCATCAGCATCCATGGGGGATTGGTTCTAGGATTCCCATAATTCCATAAAATTTATGGGTGCTCAAGTCCTTTATATAAAATGGTGTGGTATTTTCATATAACCTGCACACATCCTCCCGTAGACTTTATTTATTTATAAATAAATAATCTCACTCTGCTGCCCAGGCTGGGGTGTAGTCACATGATCATGGTTCATGGCAGCCTTGACCTCCTGGGCTCAAGCGATGCTATTGCCTCAGCCTTCTGGATAGCTAGGACTACAGGTGTATGCCACTACACCTGGCTAATTTTTCAATTTTTTTGTAGAGACAGGGTCTTAGTATGTTAACCAGGCTGGTCTTGAACTCCTGGCCTCAAGTGATCCTCCTGCCTCAGCCTCCCAAAGTGCTAAGATTACAGGTATGAGCCACCGCACCCAGCATCCTTCTGTATACTTTACATTGTCTCTAGATTACTCATATACCTCATACAATGTAACTGCTATATAAATAGTTGTATTGTGTAGAGAATAATGATAAGGAAAAAAGTCTGTACGTGTTCAGTACAGATGCAACCATCGATTTTGCGGGGTTGGGGGGAATATTTTGATCCACAGTTGATTGGATACATGAATGCCAAACCCATGGATATATAAAGGGTCAGCTGTATTTATGGCATTCAACCTAAATGATTCCTCAAAGCTGAATAACCCCATTGCTAATCATTAAATAATACCTTAGACATAATATTTGTCCTTTTCCATTTTTTTCTTTAGAGCAATTCAGTGTTCTGTATCTACAAAGAAAAATGTTTCACCACCTCTCAGTCGCACCCTTCCACTTTTGTAGTTTTGCAAGATGAACCAATGGATTTTAATATCATAGAATATGAAAAGTTAATTGATTTGGTTTCAGACTCCACATTATAACTAACCTCTAAAAAACTATCACTTGTTGAATTTTGGTGTATCAAAGATGAACATCCACAATGATCTGGAAAGCCTATTAAAATCTCCTTTTTTTCCAACTACACATCTGTGGGAAGCTGGATTTTCTTCATATACTTCAACCAAAATACATTGCCACAGCTTCAATGCAGAAGCTAATATGAACATCCAACTTTCTCCCAGTAAGTCATATGTAAAAGGGATTTTTCAAAAATATAAAACCATGCCACTTTTCTCACTAATTATTTTTGGTTTTGGAAAATACAGCTTTTAAATTGAGAGAAAAAAATCACATATCATGAAACATAAATAAATCATAATTTATTATTATTAAAAAATGTTTCCAACTTTAATTTTTGATTCGGGGTACATGTGCAGGTTTGTTACCTGAGTATATTGTGCAATGCTGAGGTTTGGAGTATATAGGATCCTGTCACACAGGTGCGGAACATAGTACTCAACAGTTAGTTTTTCAACCCTTGCCCTCTGCCTTTCTCCCCATCTAGTAGTCCCCAGTATCTATCATTGCCAACTTTATGTCCATAAGTACTTGATGTTTAGCTCCCACTTATAAATGAGAACTAACCATATTTTAAAGTTTACAATCCACAGCTTCCAGTACAGTCACAAGGTTATACAACCATCACCGTTACCTAATTTCAGAATGTTTTCATCACCCCAAAAAGAAAGCCTGTAATCACTAAACAGTTATTCCTCATTTCCCCATCCCCCCAACCCCTAGTAACCACTAATCTGCTTTCTGTCTCTACAAATTTGCCTATTCTGGACAACTCATATAAATGGACTCATATACTCTGTGGCCTTTTTGTCTCTGGCTTCTTTTCATCTAACATGATATTTTCAGCATCCATTTGTATCTATGCATGTATCTGCACTTCATCCCCACCCCCCAACTTTTTTTTTTGAGATGGAGTCTCACTCTCTCACCCAGGCTGGAATGCAGTGGTGCCATCTCGGCTCACAGCAACCTCTGCCTCCTGGGTTCCAGTGATTTTCCTGCCTCAGCCTCCCAAGTAGCTGGGATTACAGGCATTCACCACCATGCCCAGCTAATTTTTTTTTTTTTTTTTTTAGTAAAGATGGGGTTTCACCATGTTGGTCAGGCTGGTCTTGAACTCCTGACCACTCACTTCAGTGATCTGCCTGCCTGCCTCAGCCTCCCAAAGTGCTGGGATTACAGGCATGAGCCACTGTGCCCGCCTTCATCCCTTTTTATGGCTTAAGAATACTCCATTGTATGGATATACTACATTTAGCTTAGACTTGGTTTGTTTCCACTTTTTGACCACTGAATAAAGCTGCTATGAACATTTTTGTTAAAGTTTTCATTTGAACACCTGCTTTCAGTTCTCTTGGATATATGCCTATAAGTAGAATTGTTGGGTCATGTTTTAACTCTGTGTTTCACTTTTGATAAACTGCCAAACTGTTTCCCCAGCAACTGCATCATTTTACATCCCCACCAACCAAGTATGAGGGTTCCAATTCCTCATATCCTCATCAAAACTTGTTATTTTCAACTTATTTATTTTTTATTATAGCCATTCTAGTGGTATGAAGTAGTATCTCATTGTGGTTTTGATTTGCATTTTCCTAATGACCAATGATGGTGAGCATCTTTTCATGTGCTTATTTTCATTTGCACATCTTCTTTAAAGAAATGTCTACTCAGGTGCTTTGCCTGTTTTTAAAAATTGTCTTTTTGAAGTATAAAAACTATTTTTATATTCTAGATACCAGACAGGTGATTTGTAATTATTCTCTCCCCTTCAGGGTCTCCCTCCCTTCCTTCCTTCTTCTTTCTTTCTCTCTTTCTTAAGACAGGGTGTCACTCTGTCACCCAGGCTGGAGTGTGGTGGTGTGATCATTGCTCACTGTAGCCTCAAATTCTTGGGCTCTAGCCATCCTCCCTCCTCAGGGCACTGGGACTACAGGTGAGCACCACCACATCTGGCTAATTAAAAAAAAAATTTTTTTTTTGTAAAGATTGGGGTCTCACTACATTGCCCAGGCTGATCTCCAACTCCTGGCTTCAAGCAATCCTCCCACCTTGGCCTCCTAAAGTGCTGCAATTACAGGTGTAAGCCACTGTGCCTGCCTTCTTTTTACTTTCTTTTCTTTTTTAAACATTTTATTTTATTTTAAGTTCTGGGGTACATGTGCAGGTTGCACAGATTTGTCACATAGGTAAACGTGTGCCATGGTGGTTTGCTGCACCTATTAACCTATCACCTAAGTATTAAGCCCAGCATTCATTAGCTATTTATTCTGATGCTTTTCCCCTGCACCCCCTCTTTTTACTTTCTTAATAACATTGTTGATGCACAAAAATTTTTAATTTTGATGAAGTCCAATTTATCTATCTGTATTACTTCTTGTGGTTTTGATGGCATCTCTAAGAGTCCACGGCCAAATCCAAGGTACAGAAGATTTACTCTCATGTTTTATTCTAAGAGTGCTATAGCTTCTACCTTGAGGTCTGTGTTCCATTGTGAGTTCCTTGTTTTATCTGGTAAAGGTCCAACTTACCCTTCCACTTGAGAGGTTTCTATAAGTTGATTATGAGATGTTGGCTGAAGAGCAACACTTGGGTAAGTAGACATTTGTTCTCTGCTGGAACTTCCCACTCAGCAAATGTATTTCACCATAAAGTTATCTCAAGATACAAATAAAATTAAACCTGGAAATGAGGCTTTTAAAAGCATTTCCTTGCCATGCAATTGCCATAACAAATGTTTGGTTAGGTTTCATTATTTAAAAAACAGTCTGTAATTAAAACACGGTCCTGCCTAGTGCTTGGACAACAAACTGTAAGAAAAGAAACTGCTTGGTCTTCCCACTCCATCACTACCTGAGACAGCCCGAGATAACAATTAAACCACCATGGTTGCAGTCTGTACTTTGTTAAATGCTGTAAACTATTGCCATTAATTTCCATAAAGATGTGAAGATGTGAGATTTGAGTTTTAAACAATATAATAAAACTGAATTTGTTAAAGTTCTACTTAGGCATATAAACAAGCATTATTAAATGACATTATTTTACACTATTGAAAATGAGGGAAATGCATACATTTTCTCAAAGTCATTTCATGAGCCTGTGTTTTGAGGAATACAGTAAACGTACAGCCTCTCACATTGAAGTGTTAGCAGGTTGCACTGACATTGCTGTCTTTAGGTGCTGACACATTTCATCTATTTACAATATAGTTATGAACTTGGAGCTTTGGGGAAGGGTTCTGGGCTGAGAGAAAGAGAAGCTGGGCTTCTGGGCCACAGCCAGTTTCAGACAAAGATAAGAATGACTTAACAATTTGTTTTCTACGTTTGCAATGTTTCTCCTAAATTCCTTTTGTGTTATCAGTAGACATGGTAGTTGCTTTTTCTTTTGAGGCCTTTGAGGTTAAAATGCACTTAACAGCAATTGTTTATTTTTGGACATGCATATCATACTGTCTTTCATCCGATGCTGACGTGGCTACTTTCCATCAGGTCAAAGAAAGTTCAGGTTTCTAAGGGAATTTTGCACTGACAGAATCCCACATTAGGAAACAGATGGTTTCAGATGTAACTTTATTTTTAGGATGTGTTTATCAATTATTTTTTCATGTTAATTTGATCCCATTAGCAATCAATAAATGCATTAAGAGTTGTCCTGAAACTCTATTTGACTTGAGAATCAATAATTCCATTAGGATTGGAGGGCCTGTTCTGGTTTACAAACCTATGATGGTTTCTAAAGTAGTAGTCTGTGTAACTCCAAAAGATTAACTCAAAAGAAGTGAATTTCTTTTTCTGTAGTTATTTTAGTTGTTGAACTAACCAATGTAGCGGTGTCCATGAGGAATACTGATTTAGACCACTGGTGCACTTCATGTGCCTTTGAAATAAACAACAATGATATCTCATTCACTCCAGCCTGGAGAAACTTATAAAGAGCTAGTGTCCCGGGCTCTACCAGAATCTGGATCATGAAGTCCCCTGGGGAGAGTGTTTCCCCTAGTCTGTTAGCTGATATTTTTCATTAAGCTAAGCTGAAAAGCATTCAGTAAGATTTATCGGCACAATTTAATGTTGGTGTAGTCTGAGTTTTTGAGACAGAAGTTGGCCAAGGAAAGTATAGCTGAACCCAATTACACAATCTGGTGGCAAAGGAAAGGATTTGACACTGGCGTTTAAAGTTCCAGGAGGGAAGCTCCAATTTTGCCTATCCCATTGCCTGTGGTCTTTTCCACTCATATGAAGAATATGTCCCATTTACCATGGCCCCCACCAGAATCCAGCCCCTTATCCATGTTTGCTGCTTCCATGGCCTGGACAACCTGCCATGCATCACTCAGCCTCAAAACCTGGACATCATCCTTGACGTCTTTTCCTCTCAATGACTGCCCAATCAGTATTGCAAGCTCACTGCCACCACTGATCCTAATCCTATCCCCACTCTCCTGGAAGACCAGTCTTTCCATTCTTGGTCTTGCTCCCATTTAATGCATCTCTTCACAGAGCAGCCAGAGAGATCTTTCTAAAACAAGATCAGATCATTCCTGGGATTTAAAACCCTCAATGGCTCCTCAGGGCCCTCAGTTTAAACTTTGTAATGTGACTTCTAGGACCCTTGGTGTCCCCACTAACATCAACCTTACCCCTGAGTTAATATCTTCTCATTTTCCCTCCATTTGTGTCTTCTGCCATTCTCTCTGATGCTTCAGGGCTTTTGTGTACTGCCTTCTACCTCTCACCTTGTTAACTCTCAGTCCCTAGAGAACCTTCTCTAATTCCATTCCCCACCCAGCATCTGTTTCTAGTGTGGATGGACCCCCCTGGCACCTGCTCTTATCTTTAGTGTAGAGCTTTTGCCTAGTTCCTTCTCTCTCACCCAAAAGCCTGGGTGACTCTAGTGGACCAGGACATGCAAACTCTACCCCTAGATGTAGCACAGTCCTTAAAGGCATTGAGTGTTAAGCAAATACTATGTATTACAGCTCTTTATTTAATTCTGGTCACACTGGCAATTAAAATATTCATTGACCTTCACTGAACCACATAAATACACTGGATTTTAAACTCCTTGAGGATGGAGGCCTTGCTTAGTTGCCTTTGTATCCCTCTCACACACATAGTAAGTGTTCAGCAAATGTTCACTGAAGTTGCTCCTGGTTGTTGAGAACACAACTGTTTCTATCATTTTTACCTTGATTTCATTTTTTTAAATTGAGATATATTTTACATATCATAAAATTCACCCACTTGAAGTCTACAGTTCAGTGGATTTTAGTATACTCACAGAGTTCCGCAACCATCACCACAATCTGATTTCAGAACATTTTTATCACCCTAGAAAGAACTGGGTACCCATTAGCAATCACTCCACACTGCCCTCTACCTCCCACCCCCACCCTAGCCCTAGGCAAACACTAATCTGTTTTTTGTCTCTTTAGATTTGCTTTTTCGGGACATTTCATATAAACAAAATTGTACCATAGGTAGACTTTTGTGACTGGCTTCTTTCACTTGGCATAATGTTTTCAAAGTCCATCCATGTTGTAACATGTTTCAATACTTCGTGTTTTTTTATGGCTGAATAATATTCCATTGTATGTATTTACCACATTTTGTTTGTCCACTCATCAGCTGATGAACATTTGGGTTGTTTCTACTTTTTGGCTATTATGAATAATGCTGCTGTG
The DNA here is from genome assembly GCF_000001405.40 of Homo sapiens. Taxonomy (NCBI): domain Eukaryota; kingdom Metazoa; phylum Chordata; class Mammalia; order Primates; family Hominidae; genus Homo; species Homo sapiens. The sequence goes on along the minus strand of NC_000005.10, from coordinate 78,657,576 downwards.
AATATCTGTGTTTAAGTTTTTGTATGGACATATTTTTCTTTCTCTTGGATATTTACCTAGGAGAGGAATTTCTGAGTCATATAGTACAATAATCCTAAGTTTCATCTTTTGAGACATTATCGAAATGTTTCTCAGACTGGTTGCACCATTCACAGTCCCACCAGCAAACAAAGTTTGACAATTTCAATTTCTCTACATCCTCACCAACACTTGTTATCATATGTCTTTTCTGTTTTAGCCATCCTAGTGTGTATCACGTGGTACCTCATTGTGGTTTTGGTTTGCATTTCACTGATGATGAATGATGCTGAGTATCTTTTCATGTGCATATTGGCCATTTGAATATCTTTTTGGAGAAATATTTATGTGCTTTGCCATTTTAAAAATTGGTTTGTCTTTTTATTGTTGCTTTGTAAGAGTTCTTTATATATTGTAGAAACAAGTCCCTCATGAGATACAGATACACATTTTGCAAATATTTTCACCCATTCTGTGGGTTGCCTTTTCACTTTCTTGATGATGTCCCCTTGTCACACACAAGTTTTTAGTTTTAATGAAGTCCAGTTTATATATATTTTTTCTTTTGGCATTTATTCTTCTGGTGTCATAGCCAAGAAATTATTGCCTAACCCAACATCATGAAGATTTACTCCTACGTGTTCTTCATACTTTCATAGTTTTAGCTCTTATGTTTAGGTCTATGATCGTTTTGAGCTAATTTTTTTACTTGTACAAAGTAGGAGTTTATATTCATTCTTTTGCATATGTTATCCTGTTGTGTCAGCACCACTTATTGAAAAGACTTCTTTTCCCATAGAAATGTTTTGGCATCCTTGTTGAAAATCATTGACCATAAATGTGAGGGTTTGTTTCTGGGCTCTCTATTCCATTGATCTCTATATCTATCCTTATGCCAGTACCACATTGTTTAGACTCTTGTATCATTTTTAAAAAGCAGTATAAGAAAGCTATGTAACTGGCAAGTTGGGAAGGATAGTCTCCTGGACTAGTAGAAAATTCTGTTTGCAAGAGTATGGGTGTCAGTGGGAGGGAACAAACATCTATTGAGCACCTATTTTTATGTTAGGCATTGTAGTAGATACTTTTACATACATTGTAATAATAATAATAATAATAGTCAGAACAACCCCATGCAGTAGGTAATATTATCCCAATTTAAAGGTGAAGAAACTAAGATTTGTAGAGGTTAAGTAACTTGCCTAAAATCATGTAGTAACTGGTGGAGGAAATGCAATTTGTACACAGTCCTAGGATTCTAAGGCCCATAATCTTTTCCTATCAAGAAGATTTTCTCACTACACATCTAGAAAACATAAACATCTGTGAAGCATATCTGAATGTAGTGGAGAGAGCTGAATTAATATCAAATATTTTTCTCATGACACTGGAAAAACAGGCATTTATAACTATTTTGAGACAGTTGTCTTAGAGCAAAATTTCATGGGATATTTAAAGAAATCACTTCTGAGCTATAAAACTAGTTTTATGGTTCATTTTAATTTCACAGCTTATGTTGTTCTCATTTATATGACCTCAAAAGTGATTGAACATTATTTTGTATAATTAGCATAGCACATGCTATTCTGTTGGAAGAGAACTAGAACTAATCTCAGCTGTGTGGATTGGCCTTGTCCCTAATTCTTGTTTTCATTGAAAACCTTCCCAAAGTTGTTCTGAAATGAACACAGGTCATAGTTGTCAAATGGGTTCTATGTGGAATAGTAGAAGATTTAAAATTGAGAAAGATTTGTGAAGTTAATGAAGAAGTGGAATTATCTTTGCATAATTCTCTTAACACAAGGCTCATTTATTTTTCTTATTTATTTATTTTACTTATTTATTTATTTTTTGAGACAGAGTCTCACTCTGTCACCAAGACTGGAGTGCAGTGGCATCATCTCGGCTCACTGAAACCTCCACCTTCCGGGTTCAAGTGATTCTCATGCCTCAGCCTCCCAAGTAGCTGGGATTATAAGTGTGCACCACCACACCTCGCTAATTTTTGTATTTTTAGTAGAGACAGGGTTTCACCATGTTGGCCAGGCTCATCTCAAACTCCTGCCCTCAGGTGATCTACCTGCCTTGGCCTCCCAAAGTGTTGGGATTACAGGCATGAGCCATGGCTCCCAGCTCTATGTTTCTTTTTTAAATTGAGGGCACAGAGGGTACACTATGCATTCTAGAGTTTGGGTAGAAGTTAAGTTTAAATAATGCAATTTCAGCCATAGCAGAAACATAGTCTAGAGCAGGCTTTCTTCTCTTGTTAATTTCCACATTCACTGTTTCTCTGAGGCAAAGTCTACTGCTTCCTCTGAGTGAAGTTTCTGCACCTACATGTTTAGATTGTCCAGTGTCTCTTATGTGAGGCCCATGATTCAATTCCTTTTGGAAGTTTGTGCCAGGAAAATGTTTGCCTGACTTGAAGAACAACTATGATTCCTTTACCAGACCATGAGAACTATATCATTAATTGTATGTCATTCTTGTCTTGGCTCTGGGAAGCCCAGAGCTAAATTTAATGCTTGACTGTGGTAAACCAGAACCCTGGCAAGAGAGTCTCTTACCACCTTCTGTTATTTCTAATAAGAAGTTCCTCAGATCTATTTGGAAGTATGCAGAATACATACTATAATCAGTGATATCCAATATTTTTATTATCAATAGAAAATAATATATCTTCTAACTCTAGCATTAAGTGAAAATAGAATGCCCAAACCAGCAATTGCTAGTATTACAGATATACATTTTTGTGCTTCTTGTTTCCAGGAAAGGGACTGGAAGAGTTTTAAAAAAAAAGTTCCTTGCAGGCAGGTTTTTAGATTGGAAATTAGTTTTTCAGTCAGGGCTAGATTAAGGACAAGCATCCTCTTCATGATGCAAAAAAATAGCAATGGTTTCTTCAAGTTCTCATTTTAAGCATTGCTACTGAATCATGCTGAGTGGGTATTTTCCAAATTTCATTATAGGTACTAGTGGGGAGGGTAACAGTAAAATCTTACCTCTTAGAGGTTTTGAGAGCTGCACATAATTCATAATAGAAAAGATGAAGCTCTTGAAAGCCCAAGTCACAGACCAGATGCACAGCATTATTGTTAAAAAGGGCCAAAGCATGCTTTCCCTGGGTGGTTTTATGCCTGTCATGAACACCGTAAGACAGCTAATCCCCCTAGATTCTTTGTACTTTATACCTCTTCTGAGAAAGGTTTGTAATCCAGGAAAATGCCTGCAGGTGAGGATTCCAAATGAATAAGATTCATTTAATTGAATTTGTCAGTTACATGTTATTGAGCATTTAAGAATGTTGCAGAATTTGCATGCAACTTATAAAGTAATATTGCAGTAAAAAATTCTCACCATATGGAAATTTCCACCTCACTTCAAGGATAAGCTCAACTGGATGAGGGCCAAATGGATTTGTTTATGGTAGTGGTGACATAATAGGAGGAAATGAACGGAGTACCTTCTTAGGTTGAAATTTGCCAAAATCACATGGAGTCTAGTTTTGGAACTAGAGGCAGGAAAACAGACTATTTTTTAAGGAAAAGTCAGTGGGCAAGTTAAAGCTACTGCTTCACGTATAGAAGAAATGAAGGCCAGGAGGTAGAGACTGTAAGTGGAAGATAAAAGTTGCCAAGAGTCTTCAGTTTTTCCAGGAAGAGCACAAGTGCCCAAAGTTCTGTGTGTTTATTTCTTTTATGACTTAGCCACAGTGAGTATTTTGAGGTTCATGTTTTTCTTTGGCTGGACTGGAACGTGGACTGTTCGGATCCTTTAACAGATCTGTGAGGGAAAAAGGAGTCTTTTCTACAGATCGTGGAGATTTTCCTTATTTTCCTTATTGGGATCCTATGACCCTCGTGTCTGATTTAGTGCTATTGCTCTCTCTGTTATGTGGTACTAGAATATCCTACATCTCTATTTGCACCTGTAATCCTTGTTCTTAGTTGGAGATATTTTGTTACTTTCATTCAAGAGACAGCCGAGCACCTTGATATAATGAGATTTCAATAAAAATAGAGAAATTTCGTTTATATTTACAGGCTTCATTTTGTCACCAACTTAAAAACTGCCAACTGGAAGCAGAAATAAATATACGACATTTCTAAGTCCATTGGAGACTTTGGCCAGACCTTTTCTGTGGCCAAAAAGTGGCTTCTGTCTCATGCAGGTCAGACTTCTGCTTTTCATCAGTAAAGCCCTGCAAGTGTTTGTGCTCAAAATTACCTTTTCTCAACCCTTATTTGTAGAGAAAAAATGGATTCTTAGAATTTCAGATGGTTTCTTTGTATAATTACATCCACGGAACAAAAAAAGCTGAATAATCATGTTTAAGTTAGTGACTTTCCACAAGACCTTGTGGGTGGGAACTGCAATCTGCTAGTTTCCTTGAAGAGACTCTCAGCTTAAATTGTCTAGTATTTTATGTGATCTTCAAAAGGCATTGAATTCTAAGTTTGCACCTAGCACTGAAATTCTATGATCATTTGCAGTTTTAGGAAATATAGGGCTGGGCGTGGTGGCTCACACCTGTAATCCCAGCACTTTGGGTGGCTGAGATGGGTGGATCACTTGAGGTCAGGAGTTTGAGACCAGCCTACTGAAACCTCATCTCTACTAAAAATACAAAAATTAGCAGGGCATGGTGGTGTGCGCCTGTAAGCCCAGCTACTAGGGAGGCTGAGGCAGGAGAATCACTTGAATCCGGGAGGTGGAGATTGCGCCACTGTACTCCAGCCTGGCAGCAGAGCAAGACTCTGTCTCAAAAAAAAAAAAAAAAAAAAAAAAAAAAAAAAAGAGAGAGAGAAAGAAAGAAAAAGGAAATATCAATTAATCTCTTAAAGTGGGTGGTGGTGGATTTGGGAAGTAGGTTTTAATGAAGATGAATAGGCAAACTTAAAGTTAATCAATAGTCAGTATGCTGACAATCATGAAAATATATCAGTGCTTTCCTGTCTGTTATAAATGCATATTTTATTTAACTCCAAGCAGATTCTTACTCAGAAAAAAATAGGATGCAAAGTGTTCACATATGAAAAATTGCTAGCCGTGTTGAAACAAGGTACTCTAGGTGGAGTACAGTGTTCAGACATTCAAAGAATAGAGTGATTTGCACAGGCAAGTAAGTTCAGTACCATACATTTTAGCCAGACATCACTGTAATTTCACCGCATGACCTATCCAACTGGCTCAATAATCTTCTTCCAAGGCCTCCTTGTCATTTGACCAAAATGTGCAGACACCCTTTAATTTCTCCTAATTTCCTCTTCGTTTATGCCTTGTAGTGAGTGCTTCTTGAAAATGTGTCTGAAGCACATGATAAAAGCAGGATTCACGATATCCCAAAGTTCCTGCTGTTCTCTTTCTTTCCACAGAACTTAGAATGTACTTTCTTCATGAACTACACTTTTTAGCATCTGTCTCCTTCTCTATTCTTCCCTACTTTGCCATCCCTAACTTCTTGCTTCATATTAAGTGTAATTTATCTGCTCTTTAGACCCAAGTTATCCCATCTGGGGATACATGTCTTGATTTTTGCCCAAAAATCTGCAAACACAGTTTTGAGAAAAATTAGTTTTATATTTTACAGGTAGTTCTCCTGTGAATTCCATAACACAGAGTATTAAATGGCTATAATTGCCCTAATTTACATGTCCCAATAGTAGTTTACTGTGTCAGACACTGGGGAAGATACAAAGACGTAAGTAAGGCTCAACCCTAGTCTTCAATAGATTAAAATATACATGCATCAATTCAAGCTACACACATATGAAACATATATCCTGAATAATACAAACCATCTGGTGATGTGTGTTCAAGTCTCCACAACCCATGAGGGCAGACATTTTTGCATTTCTTTTTGTTCACTGATGTATCCCCAGTACCTAGAACAGCCAGTCCCTGGCATATAGTAAGTGCTCAGTAAATGTGTGGGATGAAGTATAGTCTACTTTTTTTTTTTTTTTTTTTTTTTTGCCGGACTCTCTCTCTGTTACCCAGGCTGGAATACAGTAGTATGATCTCAGCTCACTGCAACCTCCACCTCCTGGGTTCAAGCAATTCTCCTGCCTCAGCCTCCTGAGTAGCTGGGATTGCAGGTGCCCACCACCATGCCCAGCTAATTTTTGTATTTTTTTTTTTTTTTTTTGAGGTGGTGTCTTGCTCTGTCGCCAGGCTGGAGTGCAGTGGCGTGATCTCTGCTCACTGCAACTTTGCCTCCTGAGTTCAAGCGATTCTCCTGCCTCAGCCTCCCGAATAGCTGGAACTACAGGCGTGCGCCACTATGCCCAGCTAATTTTTGTATTTTTAGTAGAGATGGGATTTTACCGTGTTGGCCAGGATGGTCTTGATCTCTTGACCTCATGACCCGCCTGCGTCGGCCTCCCAAAGTGCTGGGATTACAGGCGTGAGCCACTGTGCCTGGCCTAATTTTTGTATTTTTAGTAGAGACAGGGTTTTACCATGTTGGCCAGGCTGGTCTTGAACTCCTGACCTCAGGTGATCCGCCTGTCTCGACCTCCCAAAGTGCTGGGATTACAGGCGTGAGCCACCATGTCCAGCCTTAGTCTACTTTTTAAACATAGAATTAAGTACAGTGTACTCTGTTATCAAGGCTGTTTCTGTAATGAGAGCATGGATAACACAAACTAACTCATTAGTTATTAGATATTAGTAAAATGGGTGGAGTTGTGTTGGTTCATATTCAAGGGTTCCCAGCACTTTAATGTTTCTGCACCACCAAGTAACTACAGCTGCAAAACACAGCAGGGTGCATCTAGTTACAGAGAACACAGGGTGCTGTAGGCCCATTTCACCCTACATTCTTTCTCTTGGATTGATTTGGCCTTGACCTCTCTACCTTGGAAGGATTTGTGGGATGTGGGTTGGGGGACAGGACAGAGAGTTCTCCTCTTATTTGTACATTTTGTGTTTATCTCAAGTCAGCAGCCTCAAACAACTCCCCTTCAACAGTTATCTTCATCTTTTTATAAAAGTAAAGTCGTATATTTACATGTACTATAGTATTTATTAGGAATTTAACACAGTTCATTAGCTCTACTGGTATTTTTTTTGGAATGGTTAGTTTTTGTTAGTGCTGTGGTTACAATGTTACATAGATTCTGAGTCATTTTCTAACCCTACTTTCCCCACAAGCCCTGTTATTTCTAGTGTGTGATTTCACAAAATGGAAAGAGCACATATATCCTTTTAGAGCAAAAATGTGGTACTGCAAACTTCATTTTCAATGAAGATAAGTGGAATTTGGCTGCGGGAGAAGATGAAAGAGAGCATTCCAGCTCTGGGAAGAGCATCAGCAACTCTCGTGTAGATACAGGCATGGATCTTTCTCGGGGGGAGGGGAGGATCCCCATCTAAAGAGAGTCCCAGGCTCTGAGAAGTGCGTATGGAGGTGCAGTTGTTGTATGGTTTTGAACTGATGATTTTTAAGGAATTCAGAATGTTCTCTGGCAAAGTGCCTCAGAAAGCTTCTAGAACAGGAAGTGGCCTGCCTGAGGGGTATTCTAGAGCCATTCACCTGTAGGCCTGCGCATATGGATGCAAGTGTAGAGAGGACCCCAGCAGAGAACCGGTAGGAGGCCGCTCACGCCATCCAGTGCCAGATAGCGAGAACCAGAAAGGCGGCAGTGGGCTTGAAAGGACATGGCACCTGGAAAGGCATTAAAAATGAAGAACTAATGGGACTGGCTACCGGGAGTGGAGGAGCGAGGCCCAAAATTGACTGCTAATCTGAATCTGGGCGACTGGTGGATAGAGGTGTCCCAGACAAGGGGCTGAGAAACTGGGAATGGGAGCATTTGACTGGGCGGGGGGCGGGGGGGTGGCGAGGGGTGGAATACAAGATGGGTTTGCCTAGAGAGGTGCCACGTCCTAACAGTTCAATCACAAACAATACTGGCACCTGAATTCATGGCCATTTAACTCTGTTCTTTGCTCCCAGCCCTGGGGGCGGAGCTGGGGAGTTAAAGCATCCCCTCTCTGGACAAGAATGCCTTTTCAGGCTGTTCCTAAAGCGCCTCCGAAAATCATCCTGAAACCGTAATTTTGAGGGCAGGGAAGCTGAGGACACCAAGCATTCTATTTAGGAATAATCTTTGTGACTGTTGGAATTGAGTTTCCACACCTAGATATTCAGAGGGCACGGGAACTTATGTCCGGAGCCTCCTCTCCGGAAGAGGGCGGCGAGGATGGGGGTCCAGGCGCCCCTTGGCCCCTTTCCCGTTTCGGACTCTCCGGGGTCACCAGACGGCCGTTCTTTCCGCTTGGGCCCGGGTCTGGGGGAACTGCTCCTAGCGCCCCGGGGCCCGCTCTCCGCCGGAGCAGCCTGGCCTCTCTCCCCCGGCTCCGTCAGCGCCGCTCTCCGCCTCCGGCCCTCCCGGCAGGGCTGCTCGAAGCTGCTCCGGGAGCTTCCCCGGTGCGGCCCGGAGGAACCTCGCAGGACCCCGGGAGACGCCGCCGCCGCTGCCCGGCGGGCTCAGGGACCGGTTCCCAGGCCCCCACACCCCCTCTCGGGGATCCCCTGTCGCCGACTCCCTCCCGGACCCGCAGGACACTCCCCTCCGGAGGCCGGGCCTGGTCCGCCCGCCCGCCGCCCCCGTCCCGCCCCGCGCGCCGCGCCGGGAGCCCCGAGCCCGACCCCTCCCCCGGACGCCCGGCCCGCTCGCGGGACGGAGGCGGCGATGGTGACTGGGCAGCGGCGCGGGGCCGGGGCCTGGGCAGGGCGGCTCGGCCGCCTCTTTCTCTCGCTGCCCCCGCCCCTCCTCCTCCTCCCTCTCCCCGAGTGCTAGCCCGGGCGGCCGCCGAGCTTGGCGCTCTCTCGCCTCGCTGCCTCCTCCCCCGCGCCGCGGACCCTCTCCCCTCCCTTGCGTTGCCCCCCTCTCCCGCCGCCTCCTCCCGCTCTCCTCTCGCTCTCCTCCCGCCTCCTTCTTCCAGGCGCGGCCAGCGGGGGCAAGAGCGAGGTGGCTGCGAGGAGGCGTCACTGAAAGCCCTGACTTGGGGAAGGCTGCGGGCTCGGAGCCGGAGACGCCGAGCTGGGGCCGGGTGAGTGGCAGGCGTCGGGCCCGCGCGCGCTGCGGGAGGGGAGAGCCGGTGGGCCCGGCCAGGTGGGCGCCCCGCGCGGGCGCATGGGGAGCCGTTGCGGCCGGCCGAGCCCTGGCTGCTTGAGCCGCGGCTGGCGCGGGAACTTCGCTTCGGCGCCCTGGGAGACCGCGCCGAGCGGTCGGAGGTGCTGCGGGATGGGCGTTGGGTGCTGGGAATGGGAAGGGAACAGCTGCTTCTCAGCGCCGCCGGCGGCCGCAGAAGTGGAAAAAAGTTGTGCCGGGAACAGCGTCTCCTCGGGAAGCCGGCGCGAGCCCTGCTCTCTGGGCGTCGCTGGCGGGCTTCGGACGGCGGCGCGTGGGTCCCAGGCGCAGCTGGGCGCCGGGTTCCAGCGCGCCTGGCACCGCTCCCTGGGGGCCGCCCCGTGGTCGCCCCTGCTGTCCCTGGTCCGTGGCGTGTGGGTCACTCTGGCCACAGACGTCAGCTGCTTCTCAAATCTGGACTGCATTTTTGTGGGCAGCTCAGTGATTTGGGGTGCGGGCTGGAAGAGGTGGGCGTGGAGTGGGGAAGACCGCATCTGGGATGGGCGGCTTGAGCCCACGGGCTGGGCAAAGGACTGGGGAGACTCTGCGTGTGTTTCTGGATGTTTTTAGGCACACAGTTTTTTTTTTTCTTTTCCCTTCCATTCAGCGGCCCAGTGTTCTTCGAACTTAGAAAAGCAAAGGATTTTCTTCAATCCCGTTCGACTTTTCTGTTATTTCAGGATGGTCATGAGTTCCATGAAAGTCCATGTGCTTGTTTCAATGGGAGCAACACCAGAGTAAAGACAAAGTCCTATCCCCACCCCCGTCCTCGCCTCCACCCGGGCCATTTCCTGTATGTCCCATTTTCTCTGTTGTGATTGTGCGAGTGTGTTTGTGCATGTAGGTTACCATCGGTGGGTGACCTACGTGGAAAGGAGAACTCTTTGAAATTGCAACGCGGCCGCTATGGAAAGTGTGTGCTGGAGCCGAGGGAGGAAAGATTCCGGCGAGCCAGAGCTGTTAGAGGCTCACCCCAGAGAGGTAAACCGGAGTAACTGAGCTTGAAGGGACATTTATAACCTGCACATTGCTTTTGCCTTACCCCTTGGCCAGAGAGCTCCACTCCTGCTAGGTTTAAGAGAGGATCAGATACTGACTTCTTTGATGTTGACTTTTGCTGGTATTCCTGATTCTTTCCTACTGGTTCTCTTTTAGAAACTACTCCTTTTTAAATTTAAGAGATAGAGAACACATGTTCGCGGGAAGAGGAAATGTTTTTTAAGATAGGAAAGAGAAATAGAATCCAAGAGTCTCATTTCTTTTTGCTGTCATACTGTGATAAGCTTATTGATCTGTTAGAAATCTGATTCTGATTTTGAAGTAATATCAGATAAAACACTATCTTATAATAGTATTTTTCTCTAAGTGGTCACATGGAGAGCAGACTGTGGCTTCTTGTGGTTTGCAAAGGGTGCAGCAAACATTTTATATCAGGAAAAAGACATTGTGTGTTGTAGGAGAGGGGGATGGGGAGGGGCAGTCATTTGTCTTCAGAGCAGCCTAATTAGGAAGAATAATTACACTGCAAATGAACATTGTTGAATATAAATTGAGTCATGATATGTGAACCAGTCATTTGTCTATAGGAAGGAAGAAGGATTTTTGTAGATGAGAACAAAGCAGTGCCTTCTGGAAGAAGTAATGTATGCTGTTCACCGTATGCATGGGCTCGGTGTTGATGGCACCCAGTGTTTGGGCAGGGAGGAAAAGTCCATAGTAGGAGATGATAGAAAAACAATATATAAAAAACTACATATTTATTTTTAATGAACACTATATACAGCTTCTCAACTTCTTTACTGCAAAGAATTGATGAAGTGGTAAACCCAAATATAGGAGACCCAAATTTGGGCTATTGGGCTCCCAGATGTACCTAAACCTTGGGCATGTTATTTAATTTCTCTGTTTCTGTGTCTATAAAATGGTGATGATAATAATTCAGCTCGGATAATTCCCTTGAAGATTAACTGATTGCTTTTGTGCAGGACTTAGGATGGTTCCTCACGCTAAGTGCTCAGAAAGTGTTACTGATGATTATCAGGTATTCCAAATCCCTAGGAAAAAGTGGTGCCTGTTAAACAGCTATAATGCAGAGATACCTGGTTTTAGAGTCAGTGGCTCTGAGTTGAGTCTGGACCCATGCCCTGCCAGCCTACACTCAAAAACACTGATCTTTCTGGAACTTGCAAGCTGCATCCTTTTGGCTCATTCTGATTAGCCTTTTCTGGGCCTCCATTTCCAGGGAGTTTGTAGTGCAGGCAGTATTTGGGTCTAGAGGTAGAACCCAGATGTGGCTTGCAATTCCAAGCTACATGTCCTGTTGCAATGGCAGCTTCAGGTATTAGGTCCCACCAAAGTGAATATCCAAATTTTATTTTAGGTAGAAAGAAAACTATAGTAATGAACATGATAAGTGCCTCTCTTGGGACTCTTAAAAGCAACATTTTACCCAATGCTTACTGCTCTTAGATACAAACAAGAAGCAAATAGCTGATCTCTAGAATTTACTCCAAAAAGCTTTAATATATGCCTTGGGGGCTGGGCCCACAGTGGCTCACACCTGTAATCCCAGCACTTTGGGGGGCTGAGGTGGGTGGATCACGAGGTCAGGGGTTCGAGACCACCCTGGCCAACATAGCGAAAGCCTGTCTCTACTAAAAAGACAAAAATTAGCCGGGTGTGGTGGCATGCATCTGTAGTCCCAGCTACTCAGGAGGCTGAGGTAGGAGAATCGCTTGAACCCGGGTGGCGGAGGTTACAGCGAGCTGAGACGGCACCATTGCACTCCAGTCTGGGTGACAGAGCAAGACGCTATCTCAAAAAAAATGTGTGTGTGTGTGTGTGTGTGTGTGTGTGTGTGTGTGTGTGTGTGTGTATGCATCTGTCTGTCTATCTTGGGGTTAATGATGCAATTCCCAGTTTTTGCTAAGATTGTGCCCAAGAGAAAAGTGAACTGAAGACATTCTTAGCACAATAGTACTTCTTGAGAAGAAGAACTCTGCTAATTTAGGGAGAGTGCCTGTTTGTTCCTTCATTTATCCAGTCATTCAGCAAATACCTAGGGAGCCACTCCCTTGGGCCAGGCTCTGTTCTGGGCTCTGGTAACACAGCAAGTACCAAGAGTAGGCCTCTACTCTTACAGAGTACACATTAGAAGAAAAAAAAAAAACCCATACACCTCTGTTTTCAAAGGACTTCCATAGACCCTGGAAGCTCCCTTTTTGACTCAGAAGAGCTGTACTGGAATGCAGCATGTTGGGTGTCCTTGCCTTCCACTCTCCAGCCTGGTCAGAGGGAAGTGATCTGGCTGGGGCTGGGGGTGGTAGCAGGGTATGGCTAGTCCTGTGGGTCTTCCAAAGGGAGAAGGGGAGGCCTATTTGTTTCTGTACTTTAGAAAGTATTCAGTTTTAGTGGCTGAGCACAACTACTGGCCAGTGAATCAAATTGTTTCGCATGCAATGAAAACAAACAGCTTGCAGTGTACTGAGCACCATAGAGACAGCCCTGGGGCAAGTGAGAGCCAGACAGGCACTGGGCGACTCTGTGGCTCACTGAGGAAAAAAAGAACTAAACATGGGCAAAGGAGATCCAAGGAAGCTGAGAGGTAAAATGTGATATGCATTCTTTGTCCACACTTGTTGGGAGGAGCACAAGAAGAAGCACCCAGATGCTCAGTCAGCTCCTCAGAGTTTTCTAAGAAATGCTCAGAGAGGTGCAAGACCATGTCTGCTAAAGAGAAAGTGAGATTTGAAGACATGTCAAAGATGGACAAGACCCATTATGAAAGAGAAATGAAAACCTATGTCCTTCCTAAATGGGAGACAAAAAAGAAGTTCGAGGATCCCAATGTACCCAAGAGGCCTCCTCTGGCCTTTTTCTTGTTCTATTCTGAGTGTCGCCCAAAAATCAAAGCAGAACATCCCGGCCTACCATTGGTGAGTTGTAAAGAAATTGGAAGAGATGTGGAAGGGCACTGCCGCAGATGATAAGCAGCCTTATGAAAAGGCTGTGAAGCTGAAGGAAAAATATGAAAAGGATATTGCTGCATAGTGAGCTAAAGGAAAGCCTGATGCAGCAAAAAAGTGAGTTGTCAAGGCTGAAAAAAGCAAGAAAAAGAAGGAAGAGGAGGAAGATGAAGATGATGATGAATAAGTTGGTTCTAGCACAGTTTTTTTTTCTTATCTATAAAGCATTTCAACTCCCTGTATGCATTTCACTTCTTTTAAAGAAATTGAAATGGAAGACTATGTAACAATTGTTTTGAAATTGTACATTGTCTTTTTTGTATAGTTAACACACTACCAAATGTTATCTTTAGATACCCTGTGCTGGTGGTATTTTATTTTATTTTCCTTTTGAGATGAAGTCTCTCTCTGTCACCCAGGCTGGAGTACAATGGCATGATCTCAGCTCACTGCAACCTTGTCCTCCTGGGTTCAAGCGATTCTCCCATCTCAGCCTCCTGAGTAGCTGGGACTACAGGTGCACGCCACCACACCTGGCTAATTTTTTGTATTTTTAGTAGAGATGGGGTTTCACCATGTTGGCCAGGCTGGTCTCGAACTCCTGACCTCAAGGGATCTGCCTGCCTTGGCCTCCCAAAGTGCTGAGATTACAGGCGTGAGCCACCATGCCCGACCCTGATGATATTTTCAATAGCCACTAACCTCTCCTGATACAGTATGGGGCTTGTAAACTGGCATGTAAATTTAAAGCAGGCTGTCGTTGGTGCACAGCACAAATTAGTCAATATATGGGGTTAGTAGTGTTTTCATCTTCAGTTGTCTCTGATGCAGCTTATGTGAATGTTCTGCTAACTGAACACTTCTGTAATTTCAAAAAAAAAAAGTTGTGGCTGTTTTGTTGACATAATGAATGCTTCTAAGTAAATACAATCTTTTTTATTAAAAAAAAACAGCAATTTTTCCTGCATTTGAGACATGTCAGCCTTAGAAAGGCAAAGAAGGAATCAAAGGTAGGATCTGACCATCGACTTATAAAAGCCAGATTGTGTCCAGAGAAGAGTCTTAGCTGGCATTTGAAATACTTGATTCTCTTTTGGTATAGAAGATGTGGCTGAAAGAGGAAAGAAAAGAGTGAATACTTGGTTCATCATGCACCTTCAAGGTTTTGTTTTTTCTTTTTTTTTCATTACTTTAAAAATTGCAATAATACATGATAAGATAACACATAAGTTTGGAGTCTAGAAGGCTTGGAAAGGTATAGTGCAGCCAGGGCGCTGACAGTAGTTGTTGGACTAGAGTCAAGGTTGTGCTGGGAAGTACCTGAGGGTTTGGGGTCTTGAGCACTGAGCGAAGGGAGTCTGTATTTCATCTCGAAAGCTGTGTGAAGGTTGGAGCATTTGTAGCAGGTGAATGCTGTGATCATATTGCACTTTAGAAACAGCTCCATGGCCATAAGGTGGGCTAGGTAACAAGGAGGGGGGGGAACAAGGTGAGCTGGGAGGCTAGTACCAGAGTGCAGAAATCCTGGCAGGACTGGGTGGTGGAGAGAGGAGAGGCCTGCAGATATTGACCCCACTTCCTGTTCATCTAGGAGAGGGAGTGCACTTTGACTGTTATGGGTCATGGCACCTTTCATTGAGGTAAGCAGTTGTGGGAACCTCAGTTTGGAGAGAGATGGCAAGGAGTAATGAGTTCAGTTGAATCCAAAACTGAACTACAAGCCCTCCAAGAAGAGATGTCCAGCAAAAAGTGGGATTTAGAGGCAGGAGGCGAGGTCTGGAGCTAGAGATGATAGAGGGAGTTCTTTTTACGGTAGTGGCAAGTGTTTGTAGGGAGGCCTCCCTCTCTTGCTTGGCGTGTTGAGGTTTACTAACTGATGCTAGGTGCAAGAGTAATTTGTGTCCTTGTAAGTGAAATTTTCTCTTTCATCCCTTTACCAGGCCTGACTGGCTTGATTGTCCATCAAGCCCTTGACTTTAGCCTCAAATGACCAGGCTTGTACTGATGTTATTTTGCAGACTTGGTGAGTTCTGCTTGTTATTTTAAACTGAGCTAGTTAAGAGGGATGTACCTGGAATGGTTGTGAATGTGTTTGATAGCTAGGATGTGTAACTGACAAAATTGATACCATACACGTGTCTGTTAAGGACTGAATATTTGTGTCCCCCAGATTCATGTATATGTTGAAGCCCTAACCCGCTATGTGATGGTATTTGGAGGCAGGACCTTTGGGAGGTAATTAGGCTTAGATGAGATACTGAGGGTGGGACCTCCATAATAAGATCAGTGTCATTATGAGAAAAGGAAGAGAGACCAGAGCTCACTCTCCAGTGTGTGAGGATGCAGCAAAAAGGCGACTGTCTGTCTGCAAGCCAGGAAGAGGGCCCTCATCAGGAACCAAATCTCCTGGCACCTTAATCTTGGACTTCCCAGCCTTCAGAACTGTGAGAAATAAATGTTTGTCATTTAAGCTACCCAATCTATGGTATTTTATTATAGCAGCTTGAGCATATATGTGTGTGTGTGTGTGTGTGTGTGTGTGTGTGTATACTGTACATTTTCTTAAATACAATAAATATATTTAAGAAAATGTAAGATGAACTTCACTTGCTGAGAATGTAAACTAGTTTTGTGTATGTCTACAAAATATTGAATACGGTTAAAAAGGTGTGTTATCTGCACATTTTCCTAAACTTTAATCAGCTAGATCAGGAGAAACACCCAACTTTGATTTTGACAGTTGGCAGGTCCAGAAAGGAGAACCTCAGTGTATTTGGATTTTTCTTCTGGGTTTGTTCTGACTTTGATTTAATAACATGTTATAATGATTAAGTGGTTTTATGGAGACTATTTTACAAATATTTTTGTCAAACTTTATTTAAGACTTCCAAGGTATTTACTTGGGGGTGAACTTTGGAAGTTCAGTCAAACTAACTTTCACAACTCTTCACCTTAAAAAAAAATAAGCAAGGAAACCTGCACCCAGTTATAGTATTTGAAAGAAGAATATTTCAGCTGGTTAATAATGAACAATGTTTAACGCTGAGGTGACATCAGCAGTAGAAACAATTCTTTCCTTGTGCCTTAAGCACAGAGCATGGTTCAACTAGACGTAACCAGGTTGTCTGGCCTTTGACTGCACAAGGGTAATAGGTGGATGATAGTAGCCCAGGTTGATGTATGGAAACTAGGGTGTTCTGACAGTTTTAAAGCTCTTCCTGTTTGTGGGACTAAGAACATTTCCCTTGTGGGCTGAATCTCTCTGGTCCTAAAAGCACACAGATTCCCAGGAACCCTTGCATTGCTAATGGGCAGCTGCACATGTGTGTGGTTCCCAGGTCTTCATCTCCAACTGCTTTGCACACCCTTCCTCTGAAACATTTCCTTCCCTGCCTTAGAGAGGGTGGCCAGGCTCTCCTACTCTCTGTACTAGGATAACTAACTCTTGTTTTCATGTCCACCAGGGATGAGGTTTATCTACCTTCTTTTTTGAGGTTACCAAATGGCCCTCAAGGGCTACTGGTGTTAATTTGCATTTCATTCATTTGTGGCATAAATGAGAGTGTGCCAAGCAGGCCCCAGTGAATGCTTGTTGAATTGCAGGCACAACCGTTACTCCTCTTACTGCTGTGGATTTAGGGTAAGTCCAGTGGGGATGATTAATCATTGTTAGTCTGTGTAACCAGCAATAACACCTCACCTCATCCTTGCCTGCTTAACAGGGTTGGAAGGACAGAGACTAAAATTTTAACTGGTTATCTTAATGGGGCTATGAGTGACTAATTTTTTTTCTTTATTTTTCTGTTTCTCAGATTTTCTACAAGTAGTATGTTACTTTTTGAAATGAGAACTAAAGAGCTGGGGAAGTATTTTGGTTTTTGTACAAAACTGGATCAGTGGTTTTGGTCACAACATCATACATTGCTTGATATCCATGGTGCATCCTTTGTAAGGCAGTTCCTGTCTTTAAACAGAACTGACGTTCCTACTCATTGTTGATATAGTTATAAATACTGGAAGGCTGCAGGAATGTAACTAGGACTGGGGGTTGCAACCCAAATCCAGAATGGGGCAGCTTCCTCTGAATGATAGGGAAGACCCCACCCCTTATAATGGGTATGTTTGGTATGTTTTCATAAACATTTTAAGTGTGATTTGAGAGGTGTTTCTGTTGTATTGATAAGAAGTACTGAAATAAACCTGATTGATAAGAAATACTGAATTAAATAAGTGCTGTACTGGCATGTTTGATTTTTTTTTTGTTTTTTAATTTCACTGTTCAGTTGAACCTTAACCAGCAGTGAGATCTTAAATATTTCTTTAGCAACAAGCTCCCCACATGCCCGGAAAATTAAGAGGGACTCTTTTTCCTCTCCTGATTCTATTGTTCAGCATTTTCTTTCTTTCCACACTGTGCTGTGTTGTCGGGGCACCTGGAGTTCAAGCTTCCTTTCTCCTGGGGCAGGCTGCAATTGGACTGAATTTCACATGTTTTCTAGTTTTAAGGCATTTAGCCAGTTGTTTAAGGAAGGCTGTAATTGCATTCACAGGAGCCTCATTCAATCTTCAGATAAGTGGTGCATGGCACACACTTATTAAGGGCAAAATAACTTCTTAAAAAATTAACTTTCTCTTGCTCATAGAGAACACATTTTCTGAATTAAAAATAACAGACTGGATAGTCTGGGAATTACAAACTTACCAGTAAGCAGTGTTTTTGTATTTGTAAATGACTAACACTTGTATATTAAATAGATACGTAAGAAAAACATGGCTCACAACTTTAAAAACAATCTAAAATCACATTTGTTTTTTTTTTAAAATGGCCAACTGTCCGTTCTTAGAAGATGATTCTACATTCTAGAGAGGTATGTCTAAACAGATACTCTTTCATTTGCTCCTTCTTACAGTGGGCCTTTCAGGGTTCTTCTGCAGTGAAAACTCATAATTACCGACTTAATTACTGACTCTGCATGGATTCATGCTGTAATTCGTAGCATAGTGTGCCGGCTTAAACTGGTGACTGTAAGTCATTTTTGATCTGAATCCTTTTGGTAAGTGGGTGTGCTTAGGTTGTCTTGACTATTTATGCATTTTGTTTGTTTGTTTGTTTGTTTGTTTTTCCCAGCTTGTGCTTAAGTGTATTGTAAAGAAAGGGCAGCATGAGAGGGAACTAAGCTGATGTGTGAAATGTTTACACTATGTTACCAAGCCAAAAAGAGCTGTAGTCAGGGACAGTATGGGTGAAGAGGCCACACTGAATAATAAGAACCCCAATGGTGGTGGTGGTGGGAAGGTGTGAGAGTTTGTGTGTACACCTGTGTGGACAGGTGGCTGGGGGGCCTCTTAGGATAGTCTGACCAGCCATGTTAGGCAAGAACCACTGCTCCTTTTGGTCTGGAAACTAGACTTCTGGTCCTAAGAGGCTTCTGGCTTTCTTAATATCCATATTGGTCAACAAAACTTGAATGTTTTAAAAAATTTTAAAAACTTAATAACTGCCATCCAATTAGATTTCCTCTAGTTTGGGATGTGTATATTTGATTTTTGAAACCTTGATCATGAGACTTTCATTTCTTCTTGTGAAATTTCAGCTTTCTCAGTTCTGGCATGTTTGGCCTGTCCAGATAGTTTTGAATTCTGACCTGGTCGTCTGTCTTGTCAGCCTTCCCTCTGGGCCACAAGTCATTCTTTGATACATGCAGCCCGTCAGCCACTCAGGTTCTTTGAGTCATTAACTGGTGCTGCTCTGTTAGCCTCCCCTTGTCATTCTCCTCCAGTCCTCTTAGTAACCAAGGGTGCGTCAGCCTTTGCAGGCGGCCGGAGGGCAGAGGGTTGGAGTCTGTGCCAAGATACAGAGGAAGCTAATCATACCCGTGACCTCGACCTCATTAACATTGTGCTGGAACCAAAGAGCCAGCATTCCATGGTATTGTTTGACTTTGGATTGTCTCTGCTGATTTACGATCACGAGGTCTATAGTCCTGCCCTCGAAGGGAGGCAGATGTTAGAGCCAGATGAGAATGTGAGACACAATCAGAACTTACTGCCTCCTTTTTTATGTTTTTTAATTTATTATTTATTATTGTTATTATTATTTGAGACGGTGTCTCGCTCTGTCACCCAGGCTGGAGTGCAGTGGTGCCATCTCGGCTCACTGCAAGCCCCGCCTCCCTGGTTACACCATTCTCCTGCCTCAGCCTCCCGAATAGCTGGGACTACAGGCGCCTGCTACCATGCCTGGCTAATTTTTTTGTATTTTTAGTAGAGGTGGGGTTTCACCATGTTAGCCAGGATGGTCTCAATCTCCTGACCTCGTGATCCACCTGCCTCGGCCTCCCAAAATGCTAGGATTACAGGTGTAAGCCACCACGCCCGGCCCTTATTGCCTCCTTTTAACTTCCTAAAAACTGGGCTTTGGGTTGTCAGCTATTCATTGGGTCCTGCTGATGGTGATCTGGCCCCAAGACAAACCAGCACTGACAAGACTTGAGTGAACAGTGTGAGGGAGGAAGGCCTCTGAGAGGCTGGTGCCCGAGTGGGGAGGCTGATGTTCCAGAGTTGTGGGTAGAAGTCCCTACCCCATCAGGAGGGCTTCTCAAGCTTGACTGTGCCCAAGAATTGGCTGGAATCCTGTTAAAATACAGACTCTGATACAGCAGGGCTGGGTAGGGCCTAGGATTCTGTATCTCTAACAAGCTCTCTCCGTGATGCTTCCCCTGCTACTCCCGTGGAGCTCACTTTGAATAGCAAGGCCTCACATTAAACTGGAGCATGAAAGAGACTATGGAATAGGCATCTGGCGGCTGAGAAATGTCAGGGCTGAACCGTGCATGCCAGGAGGGCCTGTGAGGTCTGACTTGAAGTTGGTCACCTGCTACTTAGGGCTGGCCTCTATCAGGATGAGACTGCGAGCCCTCAGCCCTGGCACTTCCATTTGGGCCTTTAATAGCTGTTGGGAGCCACTGTGCAGGGATGCCTTTAATCCTTTAGGGCAGGGAGGTTATGAGCTCTTCCAGTTGAGATATGGTAAAGGTATAGGGGAAGGCTTCCCCCCCTCCCCCCAAGCTAGTTAAAATGATTTCCTCATTACATGTTGGTTATATTCCATAAGTTTAACTAGATTAGGAAGGCTCTAACTTCCTTCCATTAAACCTGCATTTTCCCACATACCCTATAACTTCAAGGTTATGCGATTACAAAGCTTTTAAAAGGTTGCCTATTGTTTCATTTGGAGCATTATTTCTGAAACTTGCCTGACACTCTGCTAAGGTGCTAGCTAGACATATGTGACCAGACCCTACCCGGGGTTTTGGCTTCATAGGTCTGGAGTGGGTCCTGGGAATCTGTGTCTTTTAAACAAAGCTTCTAGGTGGTTCTTATGATCAGGAAGGCTCTAGAAAAACCAATTTAGAGGAGTATCAGTTTAGAAACCTGTCTGTCTGAGCTTGTGATATTGGCCATGTCTGAGGGACACCCTTGCCTGTTTATTTCTTGGCCTCCTAGATACTTGCTTGTGAAGGGCTGTCTTCTGTCCCATTGGATCCACTTCACTTTTTATCTTAATACATGCTTTTGCTTTTACAGAGAGGCTCTTATCTTGGATGGAGCCAAATCAGAGAGGCCTTTGTTAATGGTGTAAGAAGTCAGTTCTGTGAAGCCTTTATTTTTAGGAAGGTTTTACAGACACTGATTATTAAGTGCTCAAAGATACTGGACTACATAAGCTTTGGGCCTCTGTAGAGAAGTCTTTAAGAATGTCTCGATAGTGATTTTCCCACTCTTTCCTACTTTGGTTCAGACACTGGAGATAATGAGCGTTGTTAAGTAATGGATGACCAGAAATGGATGAAGAAGGGGCCCCATCCTCCACAGACCAGCTTGATTCTGATCCAGGTGAATTGGAAGGTTAAGGAGTTTGCCCTTCCACAATTGTATGAAAATTAACCTCTATTCCTAAAGATGCAGGATCCATCTCAGCCTTACCTTAGGGGCAAAGTCAGCTTATGAAACCAATGAAGTAGGAAATGGTCAGTGTGGGGGGATCAGCTGGATATAGAAGTAGCTCCTTACCCGAAAGGTGGAATTCACTTACTGTTGTACTTACAATTCTACCATTAGAGAAATTGGGTGAAGTGTTTCCCTTTAAGCCTCTTATTAGACGTGTAAGCACACAGAGGACAGGCAATGCATTTGTGATTTATACGTTAACAGGAATAACTTAATAGAATGCTTCTCAGGATCAGAGTATGCAAGAGTGGATTCTGATAGGGTGGAGTGTGGGGCACTCTTCAAGGAGGGCAGAGCAGGAGGCAGGGCCACAGACGGCAGCCTCAGGCACCAGGTGTCCAGGCAGCTCAAGAAGAGCACAGGATGCCTGGGAGGGCACTAGGCAGAACTTGTTCCCATTCATTTAATTGGTGTTTGTGTGCGCGTGTGTGTGTGTGTGTGTGTCTGTGTGTGTGATGGGAACTTTAATATAATTTACGATGCATTTGGCACACTTCTAATGTGGCCATTTCACATACTAGTTGTAATGAAAAGCCAGGTGATCTATATATGAAAACTAAGACTAAACACCATAATTGTACCTAGGATTGTTTTGGTTGGTTGGTTGTTTTTTGTTGTTGTTTGTTTGTTTGTTTGTTTTTGAGACGGAGTCTCGCTCTGTCACCCAGGCTGGAGTGCAGTGGCGCGATCTCGGCTCACTGCAAGCTCTGCCTCCCGGGTTCACACCATTCTCCTGCCTCAGCCTCCCAAGTAGCTGGGACTACAGGCGCCCACCACCACACCCGGCTAATTTTTTGTATTTTTTAGTAGAGACGGGGTTTCACCGTGTTAGCCAGGATGGTCTCGATCTCCTGACCTCGTGGTCCGCCCGCCTGGGCCTCCCAA
This sequence comes from Homo sapiens, assembly GCF_000001405.40. Classification (NCBI taxonomy): domain Eukaryota; kingdom Metazoa; phylum Chordata; class Mammalia; order Primates; family Hominidae; genus Homo; species Homo sapiens. Next base: position 78,635,558 of record NC_000005.10, on the reverse strand, counting down.
AGTGCTGGAATTACAGGCGTAAGCCACTGTGCCTGGCCGGTTTTGTTTTTTAAAGTCAGTTTGGTTGTGAGAGAGAAGCTAAATCCAAGACTTGGAAAATGATCCATTTTCTGTACCTGCTTAGCAGGTGAGCTTGGCCAGCGGCAGAAACCATCCCTTTTCCCTGGGGGAAGAGGGGGCGGTGGGAGTGTTGGGGGCGTCTTTCCCAGAGGACTTGAAGAGAAGGGCTTGACTCTCCTGAGATTGCATGCCACCTAGGTAATGTGCATTAGTGCATGCTTTCTCTGTCGTATCTGAAAAGAGTCATTACATTTGCAGAGTTCTCAGCCTCTGGCTGGCAAAAAGAAACTGAACTTGGGCATTCTGCTGCCAAAGCCAAAGCTTGTGTAAGTGGTGGAGTATGTTTTGAGAACAGAGTGGGGATGGGTTGGGAGATTCTCTTGTCTCTGCTGTCGGAGTAAACCAGAACCGACAGAGGACTTACACAGAAGCACTCCCGAGGGACCAGAACTCTGGGAATGTCTGTGAAGAACTGACCCACTCCACGGCTCACAGCCATTTCCCGACTCTTCTTCCCCTGGTGTCCCTAGATTGGGCTTAGTGCCCCACATTCTAAGATTCATAAGATGTTCCTCCATGTTCTTGAAATGAAACACACAAAAAATGATTCCATTCTTATCACAAATAAAATGTCTTTGTCCTCAAGGGGGCATGGTACTCAGGAAAGATGGGAACACAGCCTGTGAAAGGCAGAAATTGATAAGAACTGTCTGTTCTGCCTCCCTGACCTTCCTTTGCTGTTAGCTTGCTCTGCGGCCTTGGGCAAATCATTTTGCCTCTTTGGATTGGAAAGGGTGAGGGGATGGAATGCAGGCCTGAAACTCTTATTCCAGGTGAGTCCATATGGCTATGTATTCAGTCATTTATTCAACACATGCTTATTACACCCCTTGGAAAGCTCACAGTCTAGTGGGGAGAGACAGGTGGAAGAGCCATGATCGTTGAGGGCTAGCAGGTGTGGCGGTGTGTTTGGCCATGGAAGGCCTTTGGAGGCGTGGGACCATAGGCACAGGGGCAGGTGGGGAAGCCAGAGAGCTGCAGCATGCAAACACAGTGTGCTGCCCAAACCTGGGGTGGCAGTTGGGTTTTCTGCAGCACTACTTGAGGTGCACTGAGAATACAGTGTCCTCACTGCCCCCATACCACGCATGACTTCCTGTGAGTTCCTGCAGCACAGCCACCCTCACGGTGGCATTGGTGTTGGGGGCAGGCCCTGGGAACTGAGTGGAGCATCATCTCCCTTCATGACCTGAGTGCTATTTTGATGCTTTGGCCTCCCCACCGCCCCCTAACCCCTTTTGTAAAGAAAGCAAGAGCTATAAAAACACAAACAAGAATGTGAGAACTTGTCTGCTGTTTACAGAAATATGCTTTTTTTGGGGGGAGGGGTAATCTTTTTTCTTTTGGTAAGGAGAAGATAGATATTCAAAGAAAGAGGCAGATAAACTGGGCTCTTCTGAATCCTGAATTACTTTATGGCTCCTGGGCCTTGGTGTCTTTGTAACCACAGAGTTCATTTCACTCTCCAGGAAGAAACTTGACCCTCTAATAAAACCACATGGAGCCTTCCAGGGCGACCTCACTGTTTCATTTATGGAGTGGTCAGATTCTGTATCTAGGTGGGAGGAGAAATGTCTAAAAGGAGAAGCATGCATTCTCTTTCCTTGAAGCTCGAGTTCCCTTTGCCTGTCCTAAAACAGATGAGGGCCCAGGAGAAGAGGAAGGGCCTTGCCTGCACTCCCATCTCCACCTCCCTACCCTGAAGGTGGCTCAGTCCCCTACCCCATTGGTCCACAGGACTAGGAATGGTGCCATGCGTAAAAACCAGCTTTGTGTATTTTTTACAACAGAAATGGGCTTCAAAGCACTATGGAGTGTGAGGCCTTGAGCACAGAATTGCTGCTGGGTTAGCAGGCTGGGCCATCTCTGTACTCTGTCCCCCAGGACTTGCCCTTAGCAAGCATCACCGTCACCCAGAGGACTTGTGAAAACACTGAATGTGGGTCCCACCCCAGAGATTCTGAGTCCCTAGGTCTGGGATGGTGGAGACTTTGTGTTTCTGACACGTTCCCAGGTGATGCTGCTGCACTACACGGTGCCACCCAGGCATTTGGTGGGGGTGTGTTGAGGCAGGCAGACTCTGCCCCTGAGGCAGTGGCACTGAGCTGGTGTCTGCCTGGCAGGAACCACCTCATGCTGGAGGAACCTGGGCTTCAGAAGCAGTGGTTCACTGGAGATGCTGGAGGGAGCTCAGCTTCACTTCTGACCATGAGGGTTGTCTTTCTGTCCTCTCACAACCGACCAGGATGTGGCATTTGGGGCAGCTAAGATGGGGTGTCGTTGCCTCCTTCCAGTTTATTCTCCTCTCTGGTGTTGCTGAAAGCTGTCTGAACCATCACAGTCTCCTCTCCTGTGTCAGAGCTTGCATTAGCCTTAAGGTCCAGTCGAAACTCTCCTAAAGCAGCTGCAAGAAGGCCTCTTGTGACCTGAAATGCTTCAGTGGGCACCAACTTCTTTCTTTTGTGAACTGTGTCCTTGCTTCCAGGACCCCCCCGTCTTGCTGTTCCTTTTGCCTGGCATGCTCTTTGCTTGCCCTCTAGTTTGGCCACCTCCTCATTTTAGCCCTCACTTGCTCTGAGGAGCTTCCTTTGATGCCTCTGAAATCAGCTGGTGCCTCTGCAAAGGCTCATATATACCCTTGTATTTTCCTCCCTTCAGCTCCTATCAGCTGCATCAAAGTCGTGAATGCGACCTATTTATTTTTCTTTGTGGACTGTAAGCTCCCTGAGGGCAGGGAACCCATCACATGTTTATGCAGGCATTTCCAGGCATATAGAAGGTACCTGGCATATAGAAGACCTTCCTAATCATTCTGAGGTAGGTACTGCAGGGGAGGAAACTGAAGCACAGGTAGGTTAGCTACCTGGCTGCAGTTACCCTGTCACTGAGTTGTAAACTAGCATTGTCACCTAGGTCTGTTTGATCCAGCCCCTTGGCCAGGTAACACTAGACTTGTTTTCTGCTCTGAGACCAAAGAGCTTAGCCATAGACTGCAGGTTTCTGTTGGAACCATCGAAAGACTGGCTACTCCCGTTAATAATAAAAATGACTTTTTCCAATTGTTTTTCAGGTGAGTTGGGAATCAGACTCTTGAGTTGACAGCTGGCCTATGGTTTCTGCATTTTGTTAAGAAGCACCTCATGCAAGCGAGGGACCTGGGACTGCTCACAGCCAGGTGGGTTGTCCTTATACCTAGATATGACAATGCACTCTGATAACCACCCGATGTTCTCATTCAATAGAAAGAAAATCCTTAAATGTGGGGCAGCATCTTCTCTAAGAAAGGTGTAAATTGGTCCCTGTGGCTGTTGTGAGTGGCCTGATAAAGATGTTTACCTTGCTGGCTTGCTCCTGGGCATGGCTGGCTTTCTCATTACTCAGCCCTCTTTCCTTTGTTTCAACACCCTTTTCTCTTCTGTTTAGGTCAGTGCTTTAGAATTCCTTTTCCTCCTTTAAGATCCAGCCCAAATTTCTTTTTTTCTTTTTTCTTTTTTTTTTTTTTTGAGATGGAGTCTTGCTCTGTAGGCCAGGCTGGAGTGCAGTGGCGTGATCTTGGCTCACTGCAACCTCCATCTCCCAGGATCAAGCCATTCTCCTGCCTCAGCCTCCTGAGTAGCTGGGACTACATGCATGTGCCACCACACACAGCTAATTTTTGTATCTTTAGTAGAGACAAGGTTTCGCCATATTGGCCAAGCTGGTCTTGAACTCCTGACCTCAAGTGATCCGCCTGCGTTGGCCTCCCAAAGTGCTGGGATTACAGGCATAACCCACCACACCTGGCCCCAAATTTCACCTGTTTATCAACTGTCTGAATGAGAGGCTTTTCAGAGTGTAACCTTTTTTTGCTTCGCAGCAAAATGAATGGCCACTTCTCTGTGCTCACACAACACATTGGACTTGTCATGGTGAGCTTTACGTACTTGTTTGTGCACATCTTTTTCCTCTTGTCTGTGAGTTCCTTTTGGTACCATCTCCCACCTAGCATGGTTTCTGGCATGGAGCAGATTTTCAATAAGTGGAAGAACGTTCATCCCAAGTAGCGTAAGTTATGCTAGGTCACAGAGCAGTAATGCACTAAATGGCAACCTGTGGCCATGAGCAGCCAGACCCCTTGGCTTCCCTTGGAGAGACACAGAGTTGTCAACTAGACCCTGGAAGCCCCAGGCAACCCTGCCATTGGCATGCAGACCACCATAGGATTGAGCATTATCTAAACGTAAAGGCAATAGGGAACAAACAGTAGACTTTCCCAATGGGCAACCTGAAGGAGATTAAAATATGCCTCAGTGGCTTGAGCATTTGTTTTAGAACACAGTTTAGGTTTAAATCATTTTGATACGACACTTTTAAATCAGTGCACTTCAGTTTTCCTTACTCTTCTTAGTAAGTTGGGTGCTTTGAGAGGTACCCGGATTGGCTTGAGTTGATCTCGCATTATCCCGTGGGTTGGGAGTAGAAACCCTCAGGGCAGTGGATCACCTGAATGTTGGAGCCAAAATGAGAGTTGAGTCCTTTCAGGAGCTGCCGGGTGGCTGAATTCTCTGATGCCTGGGGTGGCACTTAAATCTAGCCAGACTACTGTCACTAGGAGAATGTGGTCTTGAGGTTTTGCCCCCGCCTTATTCTGCTTTTGCGTTAACACTACACATTGTTCAGCCTTCCAGTTGCCATCCTGGGTGTTTGCAGCACTAAAGCAAAAGAATTTGTCTTCTGGTTTCTGTGTGTGCTTTCCACAACCTAGTAGAGGTTCCCAGACAGTAAGTGCCATGTAAAAGTAGTCACTTCCCCGTGGTTTCTTCTGCTTGGTGCTGAGTCCCAGCTGTACAGCTTCCTGAAGGAGAATTGAATGAAAGACAAGGCAGTAAAGGAACCTTGACTCCCAGCTGACCCTCTTCATGGTCTTCAAGTTTCCCAGGGGTTCGATAGAAGGAGGATTTCAGCTTTGCCCAAGAATGTCTAGTCTCCATGGAATCAGTTCGTCTATCATACTTGAAAAATAAGCTAAGAAAATACATTGAAATGAAAAAGCCCAGATGTTAAAATATGCATGGGTTTTAGCAGTCTTTGGAACTTGAGATGTTACTGAATGTTTGTGTCACACCATCCCTGAAGAAGCTGCCGCAGGGCATTTGTGGGGAGTCTGGTCTCCACACTGCCCCATGCAGGGAGAGTGCCGGCCACTTCCTAGTGAGCTGCAGTTTACCGAGCTTCTAGGAGATATCTGATCCTCAGACCCCCTCTTGTTTTACAATGCAGTTCTGATCATGTTAGGAAAAGCAGCAACCATGATGAAGTAGGTCAAACCCTCAAGTTATTGAGCTGCCCGGCTCCATGTAGGGGCTCACGAGGTGTGTGTTCAGGCTCACTTCACAGAGGTCGCTAGTTGAATCTTGACTACCCCAAGTAGTCCAAGAAGTGGTTTAGTTCCTGAATCTCCTTAAAGCTTCTGAACTTGTCATACGTGTTTTGGACTTGTTAATAAGGTACTGCGTTTTCATTCAGTGAAATGTTTACTATTTCTGAAGATGGGACTGCTAGAGCCTTATCAGTTGAATTTGTATGTCAGGGTGTGTGTGTATTTTTAATACAGCTGCTTTTATAGATTGGCCTTGATCCAAAGACACTGTCCAACATGGGCCCCTTGTGTCCAGGGTTGACATTTGGGAGAAATCAGAGCAAAGGCAACTAGCAGACACAGCAGCTTGTCTCCTGATCTGGGACTCCAGTGACATTAGCATACTGGGCTCTGCATCGCAGTTTCCTTTATTGCTGAAATGCCTGGGAACCAGGTATTAGTACAAAGATTAATACATGGCACATCCTCCCTCAGCCTTTGTGGATTTTTGTTTTTCAGGTGAAGCCTTTATCTTTAGTTGTAGTTCCTTAAAGAGGAAGCAAAGTCTCTGAAACAGCCTTTCAAGTTTCATTGCAAAGCTGCATGCATATATTGACATCTCTGGGAAGAGTTTGCTCTATTCCATTTCCAGAGCACAATCAATGCATAATTTAGGAACCACCATTTACTTGGACTAGGTAGCTTGTCAGCTGTGATTGGGTGACCAGTTTGTCTTACCTACTGTAGGGGTTTTGTTGTTGATTTCAGGAAAACGTACAGGTACTTGTTTCCAGGAAAAGTTGATTTTAAATTGAATATCTTAGACTTTTTCCCTTACAAAAAGATAGGAGGTATTGTTTTATCATTATCATGTCCCCTTTCAGTTAAGAAATGACTGTTTCCTGTTCCTTAGCATCTTCTTAACACTATGGGCCTTTTTAAGAAGGAAGTCCTTTGGATAAGTAGTTAATAGGAGTAATATTTCCAAATAGGCAAAAGACTGAAAAAAGTCCTCATCCATCTTTTTTAATGTTAAAGAGTAAATATTCTGCGTTCTATGATTCCTTTTCCCCCTTTTCCCTATAAATCATTCTTATATTGAGCAATGTCTCAGGCTTCTGAAATCCTGTTTTCTCAGGTTTCTTCTTCAAATCTGGGGAAGACTTGGTTGGCTCCCTTCAGACCTCCTCCATTGATGCTTATCTTTCCTGACTTTATTTCCTAATGGCCAAGCTTCAGGGCTCACCTCGCCTGCATTTCATCTACTTACTTGACATGACTGCAGAGAAGTCCTTCTTCCCTTTATGGCCACAATTTGAAAAAGAAAACAAACAGCTGAAGCTCTCCTTGCAGCCCAGCAGGCTGGGGAAAATAGTTCTCATTCTCCTTGTTCCCGGGTTCAAAGTGCACTTAACATTTTATGGGGGTGACCAGCCCTCCCAAGGTGCTGGTTTGAGTGGGCCTGTGTTTTAGCCTGGTGGACAGTTAACCATGCTGACCTCCTTCTTTTTGCCATTGCCTTTCTGGCTGAGTTGACGCCAATACTCTGAGTGAGAAGGGGCTGCTGCTCCTTTGAGCGGAGCACCAGGGAGGGGTGGGGAAACATCTGATCTTGTTCAAAGGGGATGTCTCTGAAGCATGAAGATTGAACTGATTGTGACCCCACCCTGGGGGAAGGAGACATTCTCTCTGGAGAACAGGCCAGGAGGAAGAAGCCAGCAATTACTAATCCCATTGGCCTGTGGGTGTTCAGGGTCTCATATCCGTTTAAAAGAGAGAGAATTGGGGTAGAAGGTAATAAAGTAGGCCTTAAATTAGAGGAGCAGGGGGTCATTTTATCTAATTTTGTGGTTGTTACTGAGGAATAAAAGGCAGAGGAGATAATTTCATTAGCCCTTTTGAGGTCTTTATCACAGCAAGATGGCATTTTGGGATCAGCAGAGCCACACAGGGCCTGTCCACGTCTCTCCTGGTAAAACGAGAGCTCGATATCCAGTGTGCCAAGGGAGGGGCCGGGAGGCACAGTAACCCTTCAGGGCACTGTGGTCAGGAACAGATGGTGTCTCCTGCCACAGTGAGAGGTTAGTTGCTATAAGTCCTGATGTAGGACTCAGCCAGCTACTCAGGAACATGGCATTCCATCTGAAAATGAAGAAATCCACCAGAGAAATGAGCTCCTGCAGAGTTGGGACTTAGTCTTTTGCTTCTGAGGAAGGCTTGTGGGTCCTCTGCTGTTGACTTGTTTTATTTGCAGCATAGTGGTCATCGGACAAATTCCTTTGAGTTGAGCATTATTCGGAGTGTCAAAGCACATGGTAGAGTTAGCAGAGAGTCAGTCAGAGCTGTGCCTTCTGTCAGGTGAATGCAGTTCTGTTCAGAGTGGAAGTAGCTATCGAGGGCTTCATAAATGCCCTGCTGAGTAGGCAGGTATTTCTGTTCATGTTTGCAGAGAGGGAGTGAGGCAAAGAGAGGTCCTGTGACTTGCCCGAGGTCTCCTTGTAGGGAAGTGGGGAATCTGGATTCTAACTTTGAAATTAAGCTTTCTGTGATCAAAATTAGTAGAAACAGAGGAAAAAGGATGAGGAGGAGAGCAATAAAGGTTTCTTTAAGAGAAAGGAGAGAGAAGTAGTGGTGAGAAACAGTTCTTTGTACTAGCCACCAGCTGGCACCATTCCCCAAAAGCAGCTTGGTTTCTTTCTGTGGGGAGGGAAGCAAAGTGACCAGGGGAGACAGGGAAAGTGAGGGAGGCTGGAGAGGGGAGGATAGAAAGGGCTTTTAGAGTGTCTGACACAGCCCTAGGCAGTTGCTGGTTAACTTCGAGGGCCTGTGCATATCATCTGAAAGGACAAGGCATCCACTGCCTCGTCAGGAGTCTTGCTGGGGCTCAGCCTTTCCCATGTCCGTCTTCATTCACACCCTTACTGTCTCATGTCTGATGGCTTTCTTGTCCTCAGCTTCTCCCTCTCTACTGCATACATTTCTGCTTACTATATTTGTTTTTTGTTGTTGTTGTTTTTTTGAAATGGAGTTTCGCTCTCGTTGCCCAGGCTGGAGTGCAGTGGTGCGATCTCGGCTCACTGCAACCTCTGCCTCCCGGGTTCAAGCAGTTCTCCTGCCTCGGCCACCTGAGTCGCTGGGATTACAGGCGCGTACCACCATGCCCGGCCAATTTTTGTATTTTTAGTAGAGATGGGGTTTCACCATGTTGGCCAGGCTGGTCTCGAACTCCTGACGTCGGGTGATCTTTCTGTCTCGGCCTCCCAAAGTGCTGAGATTACAGGCGTGAACCACCGCGCCAGGCCTGCTTACTGTATTTCAACTTAGCTCTGAAGAAAAAAAAAACTTCTCTTGAGTTGTGCTCATGAAGACCCTACCCACTGTTAAGTACATTTAATCATAGCTTAGGTTCGTATCGTGCTTATACAAATCTGTTCCCCCCATTGATTCAGGAGCTGGTATTTTCCCCTGCCAGTTGATGATGGAGACTGCGGACACCTCCCTTTCAGTTGGATGCGGTGCCCTCAGAAACTCCCAGAAGGCAAGACTCCAGCCAGGGGTTCTCCTGAAATGTCTGAAGGGAATTGCTGGGGGTGGGGCGTGGAGAGGGAAGAATGTGCACTTGATCGCTTAAGGCTTCTCCGTATCCTGTACGTGAATCTTTGCCCTTCTCTACGCGGATGCAAGAGTCCTCTTGCTTTGGCCACGTGCTGCTCCTTTCCTTCAGGACTGTGGCTAATCAGAAGTTGGCTGCACTTCAGTGCCTCTTAAAAGCTTTTTTCCCTGGCTGTGTTCAGGATGTTGAAGTGCAGTGTCAGAAATGATGTGAGTTGATGAAGAAGAAATAAACAAACCCAGGCAGCATGTGAGGAAGGCTTGGCAGCCCTGCTCCTGTTTTTCTTTAGTTTGGATCTGAAGGAACCAGATTTCCTCATTGGAAGGAATGGGGCTATGAGGGTCCCTGTGCCATGGAGCCTGAGATGTGCATGCCAGTGGGCCTTCTGGACTAGGGCACCGGTTAGTTTAATAACTCTGGGATGAAAATGTGTAGTTTATGGTTGGCAGAATGGAGAGAAGTCACCTGGCCGCAACCCGACCTATATGTCTATATGTAAGTGGAGTTAAAATAGCATCTGTTCAGGGAGGCGGAACATTCCAGAATGCTTCAGTCCCCTCTTGGCGCCAATGCAGAGAGTGGAGAATAGGAAAGCTGGGAGAGACTTCACAGAGCTTCTTGTCTAAGCCCCTTAATTTCAGTTTAGGACACTGAATAACTTGGCTAAAGCCCCGTGAGGCCAGGGGCTCTTGTCTGTCTTGTTTGTTCACCTTCATACCTTTGGTGCCTGCATTGTATTAGGTACTTAAACATGCATTTGTTTGGTGAATGAATGACATAAATGAAGATACGACTTCCGACTCCTAATCCAGTGCTCTCTCTGAGATATTTGTAGGCAGAAAAGTCTGTAGAAGTGTTGCCAAATAACTTGTATGTAGTTGAGGCTATCTTGAGATTATATATAGGTTAGAAAATGGAGATGTAGCAAAATCAAACTGGCTCCTTAAAGTTGGTGGTGAAGACAGGCTTGTTCAGGTTTGGGGGTGGGTAGGAGGCAGGACTGCCACTTTGCTCAGCAGATGGGGCTCCTTTCACATTGGATTGTGTGTGAGTGGTGCCCTCTGAAGTTGGACGATGGCCCCAATAGCTCAGCTTCCCCAGAAGAATCAAGATGACTGTGGAAAAAATAGGCTTGAAGTTGCCCCTTTCCTTACCAGCAGCTAGGAGCCTACCCTCGTTTTGCAGCCCAGTCCCCGCCTTTTCAGAGGGATGTGTGACTTGGAGCTCATCAGACTTACCCTCTGTTTGTAGAGGGGTGTGTGTGTGTGTGTGTGTGTGTGTACGTATAGAATGCTGCAGGTGTGACTGGAAGGTCACGTTTGGTCACTGTAGCAACAGGAGTAGGATGAAGTCCTGCACACAGGGTCTCTGCCACTGTCCAACTCCATTTGGAGAATTGCAACTCTGTTGCCATGGGCCCCAACCAAGGAAACCAGGTCTTACAGTGGGCTGCACTTAGAAAACCAGGGTAGTCCTGGCCAGCATGGTGAAACCCCATCTCTACTAAAAATACAATAATTAGCTGGGCGTGGTGGCAGGCACCTGTAATCCCAGCTACTTGGGAGGCTGAGGCAGGAGAATCGCTTGAACCCAGGAGACGAGGTTGCAGTGAGCCGAGATTGCGCCACTGTACTCCAGCCTGGGTGACGAGCGAAACTCCATCTCAAAAAGAAAAAAAAAAAAAGAAAAGAAAACCAGGATGGTAAGCCACACAGCCACTTCTAGGCTGGTAACTCAAAGCATTGCTGTTTGTTTATCTGTCTTATTTAACTTCTTAGTTAATTCACAAACAAGAAGAGATTTACAATTACAAGGGAGTTTTAAAATTTAGAATAGTTATAGGAGGTTAATTCAAGATTAAAAGTTGCTAAAGAGAATTTGCAAAATCAAGAAATGTTATTTAAATTCGCAAACTCTGATCTGCGGAGACTTTATTGCTTGCTGCTTGCTAGGTTTCATCTGCCCACTCTGGGCCCTCCTCCCAGCCTGGCTGAGGATGTGTCTCTTGAAATTGACCTTCAGGCTTTACCACTTGGCCTGCTATCTAGGGGAGAGTGTGCTTCCTCTGGAATCCTTGACAGCTGACCATTTTTGGGTGGAATTTGTGTGCCTCCTCTGGGACAGAGAACACAGTTCCTCCTGGAAATCCCTTTCACTGGTTTCCCTGACTTCTGCCGGTGCCTGCTTTATACAACCCTTCTCATTTCTCTCCAGGGGATGTGTGGCAGACAGCCCATCTCCCGGTGGGTCAAGAGATAAGCTGGAGTCAAACCCTGATTGATGACTACAGAAAGAATCAGTTGGGTTGTGGCTTCTGTTCTGTATTAAAGATCACAGGACTTATTGATCTAAAGCTGGCAGGCTCTCTGCAGGCCAGCAATGAGTTGAGCCAGTTGCCAAAGCAGCAAGAAGAATGACTGTTGTCTAGGCTATTAGAGCTTGAATGAAAAGAGTGTATTTCATCTTGCACAGTGGCATTAATCGTTACTTTGTTATTCTGGGGAAAACCAGGCCTTTAGGAAGTGATTTGGTGGTAGTGTCCTTATAGTCTGGTGTTTGAACTTCTCATGGGGGCTGTTTTTTGGCACTGATATAGTTATCTATGAGCTTGTCCTGTTGTGTGGTGCTAGCGTAGTGCTTTGGAGCAAATGGTAAATGTTTACTTGAACCCAAAATATACTGTGTGCAAAGCCATGCAAATTAGAAACAAATTAAGAATACATATGTGTTAATAAAAAATGGCTTATTTGGAAAATCTAGTTTCATTCATTCATTTACATGTGGGGAAAACTTGATTATTCTCTTCAGGATTCTTGAAAGTATAAACAAAAGTGAGGTGGGAGTGCCCACCTTCCCCAGCTATGAGCCTTAAGCATTTATGGAGGGTATTTTAGAATGCACACTCTTTAGTGCAGAAGAGTTTCAGCATTGCCTGTGGATGAAGGCACACCTTTTGCTTATTTGTATACTTATTGCATGTGACATAGTTTCAATGCAATAGTTCTCTCTCTCTTTCTTTCTCTTTTTAAAGCAATCTATGGGGGTCTATAACCATAGTGGCAGAAAGAAAGTTAATGGAGACTAAACAATAGTGTTCATGTTTACAAAATTAAATGCTGAAACATGATGGAATTCTGTATTAATGGGGTTTCAACTTGCTATAAAATGAAAATAATGTGATGGAGTTCTGTATTCGTAAGATTCCAATCCGCTATAAAAATTAATGTTAATAAGCAAGAAGATTGGTTCATATTCGTGGTTTTCTTCCTGCAAAGTCAAATAGTATACATGCATTTGTTAATGACTCCCTGAATAAGGTCTAAATCACTTAAGTACAGTTTTATATGGAGTGGAAGTATAAGAATCAAAGTTTGTGGTTATTTTGTAAGAATTTGCTTCCATTTTTACAATGCAAGTCAGAGAAATCTTGATGTGTTCCATCTTTTCTTCCATTTGTATCTTCTCTATTTTCCTCTAGATGATTTCCTCCCCTATTACACATGCTGTTTTCCCACAGCCTAGATAAGATCCCCAATCATCACCCCAGTTTCATCCCCCTTCTTTACAAGGCCTGACCCCGTTAAGGGTCTCCAAGTTCTTCCTCCAGCTAGGCAGGCCTCAGTGGTGTCTCAGTCTGTATCTTCTGGTCTTTTCTGGATCCCAGTTGTACCTCACAAGCAGCCCAGCTCACCCTGAATCTAAAGAGCATGCCTTTTCTGTAGCCTAAAAATGTTAATGATTAAATACACAAGGTTAGATTTTGTTTGGTGATAATGCAGCCCCTTTAAATATTTTACCAGTTAAGAAACATTAGAGAGACTTGTCAGGTTCCTTGGAGGAAGAGAATGCTTGGGAGACAGCCCCTCCCAGCTGCATTTTGCCACAGTAAGGAAGGACTGAATTCTGGGCAGAATGTGTGGTGTGTGGTGGGAAGCCCCAGCCTTAAGAGTCAGGCAGGCTCAGGGTCCAGGCCCTGCTCCCCATTCCCAGGCTCTATGACCTCAGGCAAATTATTCTTCTCTCCAGGGCTTAGTCTTCTCATCTGCAAGATGGGGATAATCATGCCTACTTCATAAAATTGTTGGGAGGATTAAATGAGGGAACCTATGTAAGGCATACCTGGAATTTAGTAAGTAGTCATTGGCGCTGCTATCGTAATAGGAGGGAGTCTGCTTTGAGTAATCCAGTGCCTTCTGAAAGTTTCTCCCTAATTGTTGCCCCTCAGCCAAGGTGCTCAGAGCGTTTAGGTAGCTGATGTTGTTTTAGGCATGTAGTGCATGTAAGTGCTGGTGCCACCCTGTCGCTTTTGAAGCCTGCTCCTGAGTGTCCTGGAGCTCCTGTGTCATGTTTGCTCTTCTCCATAGCAGACAGGTGCTGGAAACTGGCATTTACCGGGGCTTCCTATGCTTTTAGAATCAAGGGACTTCTAGAGTGTGTATTTTGAGATGAGTTAAAATTAATAGTCATTTAAAAAATTAAATGAGCCCTGTGGTCAGATTTCTTAGAGAGTATGTGTTTCTCGGGAGGAACACTGACTAGTGAGGACCATTCTTGGTGGCCAGCTGCTTTGTGGGGCAGTTAGATTCTACTTCCTGGACCAACAGCTTAGGGGGAAAGGGGAAGGCAAAGCCAAAAAATTGTGTAAAATGTATTTATGTTTGTCCTGAGAGAATAGCAATGTATCACACACCATTAACAGGCCTGACCTGCTAACAGTTCTGCACTGCAGTTTGCACCAACCCAGCAATGCAGTAATTTATTTCACTGAGGGAATTGTGGTTTTACTTGCCATGTATTGGTGTCATTGAAACCACGTTTTAAGAGGAAAGTAGCAATTAATGTTTAGAAATGGGAAATAGCTTTACAAATTTGTGGTGGAAGAGACCCAATAAAAATGACTATCAGGAGTTTTCCAAAGGTGAACCCAACAGTTTCTAAATGGTGTTTTCTGTCTGGTAGCTTGACAGCTTTTGATTTGTAAGTGTTAACCAAAGCATGACTGCCACAAACAGAGCAGGGTGTGTGAGAGAGAGTATTACTGCAAGGAAGAAAGTAACTCCACCGAGATGCAGGCAGGCATCTGTGCTGACTTAGGAATGGGTGGAGAGGTCTAGAGTGTGTTTGCTCAGATTACACCCTGTCTGTGTCATTGCTGCTGCTGTTCTCCCTCTGCCAGACGACAGCACTGAAAGAGTGGCTGTTACTCTCTAACTTGGGGTTTGCCTGCATCCATGCATAAACATTTCAGCTCATTATCTTAAGAAACGGAGGACCAGAGCATTTGGGAACCACTGAATACTGAATCCTTTAAGGTTTGTTTTCTGTTTGTTTTTATTATGATTGATGAGATTGGGGATTCTAAATTAAAAGTGACTCCTAAGGATTCAGTTAAAGGATGGTGTCATAATGAGAATGATGGTTTTACCTGGGAGGCAGAGGTTGCAGTGAGCCGAGATCGAGCCACTACACTCCAGCCTGGGTGACAGAGCAAGACTCCATCTCCAAAAAAAAAAAAAAAGGAGTTTGAGAATGATGATTTTCTTTTAGTAGGAGAACTCTTTTTAAAAATGAGATATTTCACTGGAGCCACGGCATATGTGCATTTAACTCATAAAAATTAAACTGTACACACATGGTCCGAAAATAGAGAGAAATCACATTGAGAATAGTTTGGAGCTGCTTGGCAGTCGGCTCCATTAGAGCGGGCGCCCCAGCACAGGGTTTCTCAGCCTCGGTGCTCATAGCGTTCTGCGCTGATCATGTGGCATTGTGGGTGCTCTGTTGTCCTGTGCTTCCTATAGTGGATGCCTAGCGGTGTCCCTGGCCTCTGCTGACTAGATGCCAGTAGAACCTTGCTTCCCCATTCGTGACCATGAAAAGTGTCTCTAGACCTTACCAAATAAATGTGCTCTGGAGGTGTGGAAGAGGGCAGAATTGTCTGGGTTGAGAACCATTGCCTTGGCGTGAGACTGATGGGAGGTGCTTTTCAATCTGTTGCTCCCTTAGATGATCACTGTTTGAGGTCCTTGTTGATCATTGTAGATCATCATTCATAGATCATCGTCGCCTTTCTATGATTGAATAAATTTAAAAAAATAAAAAGAACTCAAACAAATTTACGAGAAAAAAACAAACAACCCCACCAAAAAATGGGCGAAGGACATGAACAGACACTTCTCAAAATAAGACATTTATGCAGCCAAAAAACACATGAAAAAATGCTCACCATCACTGGCCATCAGAGAAATGCAAATCAAAACCACAATGAGATACCATCTCACACCAGTTAGAATGGCAATCATTAAAAAGTCAGGAAACAACAGGTGCTGGAGAGGATGTGGAGAAATAGGAACACTTTTACACTGTTGGTGGGACTGTAAACTAGTTCAACCATTGTGGAAGTCAGTGTGGCGATTCCTCAGGGATCTAGAACTAGAAATACCATTTGACCCAGCCATCCCATTACTGGGTATATACCCAAAGGACTATAAATCATGCTGCTATAAAGACACATGCACACGTATGTTTATTGCGGCACTATTCACAATAGCAAAGACTTGGAACCAACCCAAATGTCCAACAATGATAGACTGGATTAAGAAAATGTGGCACATATACACCATGGAATACTATGCAGCCATAAAAAATGATGAGTTCATGTCCTTTGTAGGGACATGGATGAAATTGGAAATCATCATTCTCAGTAAACTATTGCAAGGACAAAAAACCAAACACCGCATGTTCTCACTCATAGGTGGGAATTGAACAATGAGAACACATGGACGGACACAGGAAGGGGATCATTACACTCTGGGGCCTGTTGTGGGGTGGGGGGAGGGGGGAGGGATAGCATTAGGAGATATACCTAATGCTAAATGACGAGTTAATGGGTGCAGCACACCAGCATGGCACATGTATACATATGTAACAAACCTGCACATTGTGCACATGTACCCTAAAACTTAAAGTATAATAATAATAAAATAAATATATATATATATAAATAAAAACTCTGAGGCATAGCGAGTGTAAACTGTAAACTCTAAAGGATGAGTTGGAGATGATGAAAGCATTAGATTTGCTCCTCAAGAGAGAGCAGCCTCATTGAAATATCTTCTAGAAATTTCTAAGGGCCAAAGCCCTATAAAGAAAAGTGATTGGGGCCAGCACCATGGCTCACTCCTGTAATCCCAGCACTTTGGGAGGCCAAGGTGAGTGAATTCCTTGAGGCCTGGAGTTTTAGACCAGCCTGGGCAACATGGAGAAACCCCATTAATAACAAAAAAATACAAGAATTAGCCAGGTGTGGTGGCACACACTTCTAGTCCCAGCTACTTGGGAGACTGAGGTGGGAGGGTCGTTTGAGCCCAGGAGGCAGAGGTTGCAGTAAGCTGAGATTGCACCACTGCACTCCAACCTGGGTGACAGAGCCAGACCTTGCCTCAAAAAAAAAGAAAAGTGATTGGTCTATTGACACAAATCTTGGCCTTGTCAGTTCAGATATTTTTTTGGTGATAGTGGGGCTCATGGCCTATTTCTAAACTCCAAGTCTGTATAATACCATTCTGCTGTGTCCCGTCTGGTTTTGACCGATTTTCTGAAAGGCAGGCATTCTGGTTCTTTCTTCTCAGGCTCCGAGTCCCGAAGCAGGCCTTTTTCAATGTGTATGTTCAAGTCTCAGTGCATGTTACCTTTAGAGTGTTTGAATTTATATACGGTATGGCTGGAAAAGTTTTGGATTTTAAAACAGGGTCCCTCTCCTTGAATCTGGGTGGACTTGTCAATGCCCTGACCAATAGAGATGACGAAAGTACGTGTCACCGGACTGACTTCTAGGGCCAGTCACAGAAAGCCATGCAGTTCCTGTCTTGTTGGAAGGAACACTGCTCTTCAAGCCCTGAGCTCCGCTTCGTAAGTCCAACTCCCCTAAGGCCATCATGGCAGGAGAGGCCATATCTGGGCGCTTCAGTGGATGTTCTTATCTGGACCCAGCCTTCCAGCTATCCCCACTGACATGCAAACCAAGCCTCTAGACCAGCCCGTCCACCGGCCGAATGCTGCCTGTGACCGACCTCTGCCATTGCCACATGGAACAGAAGCACCTCCCAGCTGCTCCTTGCCCAAATTCTTGACCCACAAAATGTGAGACACCATTAAAACTTGTTTCAGATGACCCCTAAAAAATAAAATCAACCTCTTCATCTGGTGCTCTTATAAAAACTTACTACGGAAGCTTCTTGAGAGACAGTTCGTTGGTCTTCCTGAATAATTTTTTTTTTTCTTTTTTGAGACAATGTCTTGCTCTGACACCCAGGCTGGAGTGCAGTGGTGCGATCTTGGCTCACTGCAACCTCTGCCTCCCGGGTTCAATTGATTCTCCTTCAGCCTCCCAAGTAGCTGGAATTACAGGCGCCTGCCACCAAGCCTGGCTAATTTTTGTATTTTTTAGTAGAGATGGGGTCTCACCATGTTGGCCAGGCTGGTCTCAAACTTCCGAACTCAAATGATCCACCTGTCTTGGCCTCCCAAAGTGCTGGGATTACAGGTGTGAGCCACCGCGCCCAGCCCCTGAATTTTTTTAAGGGTCATGATGCCTGGGAATAAGTTTTGCCCCACTCTGCAGACTTTAATGCCTCTTTGGCATAGTCTATCAAACTATTAACAAATATTTTAATTTTAATAAATATTGCTTATGACAACTATTTTTTAAAAAGTGGAGTTGTTCTGTTTAATCTGGAGAGTAGGGTCAGAGTCCTGCCTTCATCCGGCGCCCTCTCCTAAATTATTGCTCTCATACTCTAAGGCAACTCTGTGGATCCTCCCTGAAGTTCACAGCTTGAAAGAGCTTTGCAGTTATTCTTTCAAGATGAGATCGGCTTGTCCTAAATCCAGCCCTGGGGTTGGAAGCACCTTTTAGGGAAGCACCCTAAAAAGTGTGTCTCCTGGAGGTGAACAGTGTTAAAGTATAGGTTGAAAAATTGCACCCATGGGTGCACAGATGGATGTCTGTGTGCCTACAAGCAGGTAGAACAAACTATCCATTAGGCTGAGCTGGTGAGAGTGGAAAAATAAATAATTATTCAAACTTACCTCTTTCTTAGAGAAAACGAATAGCTTTCACATAAGTGTGGAGTTCCTGTTCCTTTTAAGGAACTCTAGGCTGGGCATGGTGGCTCATGCCTGTAATCCCTGCACTTTGGGAGTCCGAGGTGGGTGGATCACCTAAGGTCAGGAGTTTGAGACCAGCCTGGCCAACATGATGAAACCCCGTCTCTACTAAAAATACAAAAAATTATCTGGGCGTGGTGACACGCACCTGTAATCCCAGCTACTCAGGAGGCTGAGGCAGGAGAATCGCCTGAACCTGGGAGGCGGAGGTTGTAGTGAGCGGAGATTGAGCCACTGCACTCCAGCCTGGGCAACAAGAGTAAAACTCCATCTCAAAAAAAAAGAAAAAAAAAAGAGAAACTCTAGAAGTGTCATAATTACTGTCATTAAAAGGGACTTGTGACACTTCAGATTTTGAGGCCTACCTTATGAGTTCTTCCAGAAGCTAGGGTTTGCTTCAAGAAAGTCAGAATTAACAAACCATATGCAGGGATCTTTCTCCTTAATTAGGGCAGGTGGGCTGGATAAGCTGTCTTTTTGCAGATCTCTGCCGAAATGCAAACCAGTCCAGGTTGTCAGGGCTGTGGACATCAGGCGTGTCACTGTTAATGCTGGGGTCATTGAGAAGAGTCAGACTCATATCAGGAACTGTTGACTGAGGTGTTGCAAGGAGAGCAATAGTTCTCTCCTAGCAAAGGCTCTGAAGGGCTGCCAGTGACAATTGCATGTCCTTAGACTTCCTAAATCCCTTCTAGCATCCTTTTCCTTCTCCTCTGGGACACATCAGCACACTGAGCAAGGATTAGGGGAGGTGAGCATTTATTGGCATAGTATTCTGAAATCTGGATATGACTGCCTTGGAATTCTTACTGTAACCTCTTTCGTGACTTTTATGTAAAATGTCTTCCGAAGCAATCCATAGTCGGGGTGGTCAAGAAGAAAACCTGGGAAGAGGATGGACGCGGTGGTTCATGCCTGTAATCCCAGCACTTTGGGAGGGCGAGGCGGCTGGATCACAAGGTCAGCAGATCGAGATCATCCTGGCTAACACGGTGAAACCCCGTCTCTACTAAAAATACAAAAAAATTAGCCGGGTGAGGTGGCGGGCACCAGTAGTCCCAGCTACTCAGGAGGTTGAGGCAGAAGAATGGCGTGAACCCGAAGGCGGAGCTTGCAGTGAGCCGAGATTGCGCCACTGCACTTCAGCCTGGGTGACAGAGTGAGACTTCATCTCAAAAAAAAACCCCCAAAACAACAACAACAACAAAAACCTGGGAAAAGAGGTTGGATTGCCAAGGGAATGGGAGGATGGGGAGGAGAAGAACAGAGGGCAGAAGGAAGGAGGACAAGAGGGAGGAGTGTGGGTGAGCAAGTTGCAGAAGAGAGTGCAACTGTTAGGTAAGCATTCCTGGTCCTGAGAACCTACCTAGCACCAGCTTTGCAAAGGTAACCTCTCTTCTGTGGAGTCATCTGGGTGAGTCACCTGTGACTGCTTTCCAGAACATTGCCCTTATCAGATGGTCGAAAAGAGAGGACAGGCTGAGGAAGGAGTGTGGGTGTTGTATTTTTTGTGTATCCCTCAGTTTGACCTTCTTAGTCATTTATACTTATGGAGCCAAATGAGTGGCTCCCTTATGATAGTATAGGTTCTTACTAGTCCCAGCATGAGGTTTTGAATCAAATTTTGTTTTGTATTTTGGGACAATCTGAGTTCTTTTAGATTAGGCTGAATAAGGGAAAGGGCTTCTCACGATGCTTCTATCAAGAGGCTAGGTTTGTAGATGTCTGGCAGGTCATAAGTTAATTGGAAATCTTGTGCTTAGAGTTTATGAAAGAGCAGATGAAGAATGCCTACCATATATGGATTTGTTTTTAGAAAACAGTTTTCTGTTAGCTATTGAGCCTTGATGACTTTTTAAAAATTTGGATTGTTTTTAGTCTAATTACCAGTTTAAGATTATGTGATTTGATGTAGGAAGAGGGAAGAAATATGTTATGCTGTTATGTATCTTCCCAGTGTCTCTCCTTCCTTTTTTTCATCTTCCTTTGCTTGATAAACAGGTATTTCTTGCATAAATTTTCTTGCTGCCTTTTGATTTCGTCTTCTGTTTACCGTGATGGTTCTCAACTGGGACAGGACTCTCGCTTCTCCCGTCTCCTCTCTCCCTTCCCCACACTCCACACACCAGAGGCTTTTGGCTGTGGGAGGGGGATTGGTTTGCCCAAAGGCTGTCAGGGAATAGAGACCAGGGATCCTAAATGCTTGTACAGACATCAACTCCTGAAATGTTGATACTGCCCCCATTGTAGGTGGAAGTCAAAGTCTCTTCTGCAGTTTATGGTGGAGAGAGTCTTGAACTTTGATTTTAAAATGTGGCTAAGATAAAACAAGCTAGTAGAGTAGTAAAAAGCCCAGGCTTTGGAGCCAGACTGCCTGGGTTTGGAATCAGCCCTAACAATTACCAGCTAGGTGATCTTTGGGAAGTTACTTGAAGTTTCTTTGCTTCAGTTCCTCATCTGTAAATTGGAGCCAGTGTTATCTCATAGGTTTTTGTGAAGATCAACTGGGTTATAACAGAACCTGCCATGTTTGAAGTGTTCAGTAGTTACTTCTTTTTGGTAAAATATAATTTGAAAGGGTCCGAAGTCACTTTTTTTTCTAAATTTTTTAGTCCTTTTTTCTTTTTCTAAACATGAGCTGTATTGATGCTCTTATTTTTATATTTGCAGAGTCAATATGGGTTCCACCATAAGTTTAAGTTCAAATGTAACAAAATGATTTTAGAATGTTTCCTAAAGACTTAACAATAAAATGGGTAGAGTCTGGCATGTAGTAATAGAAACAGTAGGTTTATGTGCCAGATAACTGTGAGAACCACTTGTATCAGTTTGATTTAACACTGCTTTTCTAATTCCAGAGGTGGAGCTTAGAAGTAGATTATTTTTTCTTAAAATGAGTGAGCTTTACCCAGAGGCTCATTGTACAGGTAAAGAACAAGCTTTCTTGCCATCTCCCACCCTTTGGGGACCTAGTGGAAATAAAAGGAGACTCCCAAGCCAGAGAAGGTGGATAGAGTTGTTCTAGTAGCATTTGTCTGTTGGACCTTGCTTGCTAAGGGGCCAGCTATAAATGCCCAGGCAGATCAGGCCAGGCTGCCCCTGGACGCTGAGGGTGACCACATCAGATTCAGGGCAAAGACTGTCTAGCCATATTTCACCCATGAAGCTTTTTAAAACTTGGAGCTAAACCCTTTCATTAACTCGTGTTTCTCATAGCATCGGCGCCAAATTTAACATCAGTGAGCAGGCATTATTTCTAGGGGCCTGTTCATCAGCTGCCGTAGGGTACTCTGGTGACCAAGACAAGACAGTATTGTGATGAAGTGGCATTTGCTTAGGGTGTCCTAAGCCCCAGGGAGTATGTTGACCAGGGCTCTCTTACAGAGATAGCTGTTTATTCCTCCCCATTATCCTTCATATAATCAGTCCTTTGTTGGAGATATTAACCCCCTTCTCCCTTTTTGTACCTGATGAATCTGAGTCAGAAGTTCAACAACTTTACTAAGATCATACAACCAAGTAAGTGGTAGAGCTGGATTTTGGACTGCAGCTCTGCTTGATTGAAAGCCTGTTTTAAATCATCATCCTGGCTGGCTTTTCTTTTAGTATGAAATAGACATGGATAGTCCATTTCAAATGGATTTAAAAATTTGAACCTGAGAGTAATAAACAGTGAAAGTTACAGATAATAGGAGGAGGTTGACCTCATGCAAACAGGAGAAAGTGATAATTAGCATCTATTTTATTCCAGACACTGCCCATTCATTAATACATTTAATCTTCACAACCACCTTATGGGGTATTAGACCTGTTTTACAGATGAGGCAATAGAAGCTCAGTATAAGTGACTTGTGTAAATGATGCAAAGTGACTTGTGTTAATAATGCACTCTACTAGTCGGTGGCAAAGCAGGGATGTGAATCCTTTTCTCACCATACAATGCTGTGAAAAGGCTGGGACGATCTCCTTGCCTGGTCACTTCTGGTTGCCTCTAAGGTATGTGGGATAAGTCTGGATTTATGAACCAAGAAAAATGAGTGCATGTTCCAAGTTTGCCATGATCTTATAGAACCAGCTGCATTTGTTTCTCATCCAAGAAACTTACCTATGTCTTGAGAGAAGCAAGCCCACAACAGAGGTAGAAAGCTGATAAGGGAAGTTGACCTCTAAGCAGTATATTCTGTGGCCTTGGCCTCATTCCTTGGCCTTGCCCCTGCCCCTCAGGAGGCACCTGGAAAAGGGCTTATTGGCATTCTTTGCACTAGCTTCTGTGTACAGCTGCCTGCTCCATGGAACCACCCATCTTCTTGGTGCTTTGTCTACCAGGAGAACTTCAAGATCACCAGCTATGCACGTGGAAGAGCTGGGTGGGGAGGTGAGGCTGGATGAATCTCTACCTTCAAACTATTAGGGGACCATCATTAATGCATTATGAAGCTTGGCTCAGCCTTAATTCATTAGGAAATCACTGTCTCCCCAGCTCATTTGGTGCCAGCCTTAAGGGCACTTTAAATGCAGGATTAAGTGCTGCTGTAAAAGGGAGTCCAGCTCTTTGAAGACTGCGCCTGGCACCAGGCCTCTGGGTTGTCGCTGTTTACTGGAGCTGGTTTCATAGAAGTGATTCTGGGGATTGGGGCAAGGAAAGGCAGCCTTTATGTAGAGGAAGTGTGCCATGGGTAGGTAGTTGACTGCTTATTAGTTTACTCTTTCAGCCAAATTATTTTTGTTGCTGTTAAAAATTAGTTTTAATAATTGCTTTTGGATCAAGCTGTTGAATAACTGAGCCAAGTTTTCATGCCCAATGAACTTTTATAGCAAACTCTCCTCTCTTTATGGGGTTATTTTGAGGATGATATTTGTAAAGCACTTTAAGTGCCTAGGGAAGGCTGTGGATAAATAGTAGTCATATTTTCAGAGTTCTGGAGGAATGACTATACAATGGCATTCCAGTTCTGAAAGATGCAAATCCTACTCTGCTACTACTGATTTGTTTTAATGGCTATTTTCCTATTTTTAATTTTTAAAGGGAAATTTATGCAAAGATCAGGATGATTTTTATATTTTCATTAAAATTTTCAACTAGATTAAAAAACCCTCTTTAATCGGATGGGAGAAGTCTTCACAAAGTCAGTTTGAATAGTAAGTAGGAGATAGTAGGAAAAATGCTCCATTGTCAGCCAACAGCTAACCAAATTAATGTGTAATGGAATGTCATAATCCTTTTCTATAAAGTAATATTTTGTTTCTCTCTTCCTATTCTCTTTTGTCTTTTGGGAGAAGAAACAAATAAATAAAAATAGTTGTTTCGTTGTTTCGGAGAGAAATACACTGTCTAGAAAGGACTGTCTTAAAATGCACTGTGGCTTTTTAACTCATGAAGCTCCTACCATGTGTGCATGCGTTCTCAGAACTCGTCTGTATCACATGTGGGAAAATGGAATTAGAAAGACTTCTCCCTTTGTGGCCTCCGTATATTCTGAGTTTTAACGATAGATTTTCTGTAAAAAAAGTTTGTGCTCCTACATGATCTGCGATACACACAGCAGCTTTCAGAATTCTTAAAAATGTAAATTAGGTGGCAAATTAGACCACTTTCACTCCCTTGCTTAAAATCTTCAGTCTTCTCCTGTCACAGGTAGGATAAAATCCACATTCCTCCCAGACTCCCTAGGCTGGTGTCATCTGGTCCTGCCTGCTTCACCATCCCCCTTAGTAATTGCCTCTGGGCTCCTTCTGCCCCAGCCCTGAAGCCTTTCTGATCCTCAGCCCTCAGGCTTCTCCGGAGGGACTTCCCAGTCTTTTTCCCCAGGATTCTGGCGGGACTTCCTGGGGCCAGGGGCTGAGCTCAGCATCCTCTCCTTAAGCTCTGGAATGTGAATTACTGAGCAGGGAGCCCAGAAACCTCATAGGCCAGGGTCAGAAGATGACACTGAGCCCTGCTGGAGTGCAGAAGCTGACAATGGACAGAGTTCAAAGCCCAGGTGGAGTTCTCCTTTGAGAGCCTTTCTCCTGCCCCTCAGCCCACACTGGTCTTGCCCTGCCCTGGACTGGCCCTGCAGTTGGGCCACAGTTCACAGCAGCCTGTGCTCTGCCTGGGGACGCGTGCTGCACTGAGCTCAGCCTGCTGTCAGCTCTCCCACAGCAGGGCAAGGACTCTTAGCCCTTGCTTAGTGGACACTTATATCATGTTTTGTTTGGTTTTAAAGACCAAACAAAATTGTCTTAGAAGAAGAATTTATACCTCCTTTGTCTGTCTGCTTATAGCAGTTAATGAACTTTTTTTTTCCCTTCTCAGTAACAAAGCAGTGAAAGCCTAACTGAATCAGAGCTGCACCACTCCCTGTGCCTGTGGCTCCTTGAGGAGGACACTTAAATGTTGTGTTAATGCCCGTGCAATGCTTTTTTTTTTTTGCTTATGGTCTAATGACATCTCCTCTTTGCCACATGATATGTGTCAGAATATTGGTTCAGTCCATGCATGTGGCCATTTTTCAAATGGATCAGCAATGATTCAGTAATGCACAGGAGAGGAAGGTGGAGGGTGTGGGAGGGAGGGAGCAAGCGTGGGAGGGAGAGGGGACAGCAACAGCTAGTGTAACTCTTCTTAGCTGCTTTCATTGTTAGAGGCTGGATTTTGAGGAGAGTCTGTACCAGCGGGACTACTGATGGCACACTTTTCCCTGGAGTTTGTTTGGATTCGTAGGCTTTTTGCTTCATATCGTATGTGCTGGTGTCCTGGGTTTTTGAAGCCCATGAAGAGGGCCTTCTGGCCTCTCCTGCTCACCAGGCCATCCTCCCATGCACACCACAGTTCTGGGTCCCCAGCAGGCCCTTGGCTTCCGAGTGGAATCTTGCCAGTATTTGGCTTACTCATCTCCATGGACCGAGTCTCTCCTGGGGGCCCAGTGGCTCCATCTATGGAAAAGTGGAACAAGCCCAAGGCATCTGGATCTTTTCTCTTCTCCCAGACCTTTTCGTGAAGACGTTTCCGTTTAGTAGCCCTTTCCTTCTCAGACAGGAACATGTGCTGAATGCAGAAGGTCCAGCTGGCGGTTCCTGAATGAGGACCCTGCATTCCTGCCTGCCCTTGGTGGGACCCAGAGTCCACCCAAGGGCTCTTTTCCTACAGTGTGGCGTGGGTGTCAGCATTGCTGACTGGGAGGCTGGTGGTCTGCCTGGGGTGGGGTGACTTGAGTGGGGTCTGACTGGAGCTAGCTATGCCCAGCTCATCTCCTGGCAGGCTAGGTAAGTGACTCTAGTCCCCTGGCAGGCTAGGTAGGTGACTCTGATCCCCCGGCAGGTTTAGGTAGGTGATTCCCATTAATGCTGGGAGCTGCTGCCCAGGGCAGGAGTTTCAGCAGCCTGAAGGTCAGGCTGTTTCCATTCGGAGCTTCTGATGTATGACAGAGAATTTTCATCCTATAAATAAAGGATGGCTATTATTCTGTCCACAAAAAGAATTTTTTTTTTTTTTTAGGTACACCAATGACTTTTTTTCTTTCAAAATAAAAGGAGCTTAATTTTCTGGTTTCTTTTCTGTCCAAAAGAGAAAGTGCTTATTGTAGAAAATTCAAAGAATAGGTAAAAGTACAAGTAATTGCAAACCATGTCAAATACCCATTTTCTAGAAATTGTTGTTGCCCATATTTTGATGATCATCATGTACATATACACCCTCAGAACCTTAGGTATGAGATCATATCAGAAAACACTGTTTTCTTTTCTTCACAATGGATTGTGGTAGTCTTTATGTGGCATGAGTTTAGAGACACCTCATTTTTAATATCTGAAGAATATTCCATTGTATAGATGTGCTGTAATTTACTTAAGCAAGCTCTCTCTCTTTTTTTTTTTTTTTTTTTTTTTTTTGAGACTGAGTCTCGCTCTGTTTCCCAGGCTAAAGTGCAGTGGCTCGATCTCGGCTCACCTTAACCTCTGCCTCCCGGGTTCCAGTGATTCTCCTGCCTCAGCCTCCCAAATAGCTGGGATTACAGGCCTGTGCCACCACACCCAGCTAATTTTTGTATTTTTAGTAGGGACAGGGTTTCACCATGTTGGGCAGGCTGGTCTAGAACTCCTGACCTCAGGTGATCTGCCCAAACTGTTGGGATTATAGGCATGAACCACTGTACCTGGCCACAATCTCTTATAGATGGATTTTTCTCCAGTTGTGAATAATGCTCCATTAAACATCTTTGTACTACACTTGTCTAATTATATGATAGTAAGTGGATTAAAACTCCTGAGTCAGAGTATAAACATTTTGGATATTCATGCAGGTTGACAAACTCTTGCAGAAAGGTCATGCCATTTTTTATTATCCCATAAAGAAGGAAAGTCTCTTGCTGACTTTAATGTTATTCTCTAATGTATTTTTTTTTTTTTTTTGAGATGGAGTCTTGCTCTGTCGCCTAGGCTGGAGTGCAGTGGCTCAGTCTTGGCTCACTGCAAGCTCCACCTCCCGGGTTCATGCTATTCTCCTGCTTCAGCCTCCCGAGTAGCTGGGACCACAGGCGCCCGCCACCGCGCCCGGCTAATTTTTTGTATTTTTTGTAGAGATGGGGTTTCACCATGTTAGCCAGGATGGTCTTGAACTCCTGACCTCATGATCCACCTCCCTCGGCCTCCCAAAGTGCTGGGATTACAGGCGTGAGCCACCGTGCCCAGCCTCTCTAATGTATTTTAAGTCACTAAATACCTGAGAGTTTTTAGGCACTTTTTTTTTTTTTTTGCAAATAGAATTTAGATCGCTAATTAGGGAGAAGTTTAATGATGAATGTTGAAGCTTCAGTAGTTAAAAACCAAAACTGTATAGCCTGATTGTATTTCCCCATATATTATTCTAGAATGCAGTTATGTCTTTGCTTGACTTGTATTTTAAATAATTGTCACATGGAGGTTGTGTAAGTAAAACAGTGCCCTTTATTAGTCTCCATTTTGGGCAATCTGTTATGTTCCATATTTTCATATTGCTCCTAAAACTTTGCTAAAGAGAGCTTTTGTCAGTGAAAGTAGCAAATACTGTTTTGTAATTTGATAAGCATTTTAAAAAATAATTCTTATTTGAAGGTATAATCTTCAGGTGAGTATTCTGGCATTCCTGCTAAGGAAGCACTGCTTTCATGACCATCTCTGGTTCCTTTTAGAATGTTTTCTCTGCTCCTTTCAGTCTGTGAGGGTTTTCCCAGATCCATGTGATTAATGACCTGTTGTTCCACCTCTTTGAACTTTATCTCCTTGATCTCATTTGTCCATCCCCTGGTGTCACCTGAAACTTTTTACCAGTTCATTGTTTAATTGCTTATCTTTCTTTTACACTTTCTTGAGTTCATCTAATGGTAAGGATATCACATATCTTCTTAAAAAGCTTTTTAGTGTGTGTTCTTTTACTGCCTAGAGTGATTTCATATTTAACATTCACTTTGTGCTCCCTTTGGGCATTACATAGATCTACCAAAGATAGACTTTGCATGTTCAGACTATTGCAACAACAAGCAAGATGCATAGGTACCTTCGGCTTAGGGGAAAAAAAACCTACCACTTTTCTTTGTAAACTTACTTGGAAATTGAAGCCGTATTTGAAAGATTTTTCAGTGTCTTGTCTTATCAGGTAAAGCCTTCTAGAGGAGATGGACTTTTCATGCTGACTTTTGATTGGAAAGATTGGGGTCAGTAACTACAGGGAAGAGCCAGCTAGTGAAGAGGCTAGTCTAGGATAAAACAGGAATGAGAGGTGGAACCAACTGGATGGGGGTAACTAAGATGCACAAAAAAGACATTTAGGAGGAGGTTCTCAGAGGAAATATGGCAAATTTTGTTTGTAATTAGATCATAACTTATTTTTAAATGTCTTTTATTCATGTCAGAATGGCGAAATACAAACCTATGGTAGAAGATACACTACATTGGCTGGGCGTGGTGGCTCATGCCTGTAATCCCAGCACTTTGGGAGGCCGAAGGGGGTGGATCACTTGAGGTCAGGAGTTCAAGACCAGCCTGGCCAACATGGTGAAACCCCGTCTCTACTAAGAATACAAAAATTAGCCGGAGGTGGTGGCGGGTGCCTGTAATCCCAGCTACTTGGGAGGCTGAGGCAGGAGAATTGCTTGAACCTGGGAGGCAGAGAGGTTGCAGTGAGCTGAGATCATGCCATTACACTCCAGCCTGGGCAACAGGAGGGAAACTCCATGTGAAAAATAAAAAAAGAAGATACACTACATCTTGGGATGTGATTAGTAAAAGAGACAGACTGTGATGGACCATGTTGGGGATGTTGTCTTGTTACACCCAGCACTTAGGCTGCAAGGCAAATCAGAATGCCAGGGACTTGCAAGGGGGGATGGCTTGCCTGTGTATGGCTCATGCCTGTAATCCTAGTACTTTGGGAGGCCAAGGCGGGTGGATCACTTGAGGTCAGGAGTTCAAGACCAGCCTGGCCAACATGGTGAAACCCCGTCTCTACTAAAAATATTTAAAAAGTAGCTGAGCGTGGTGGTTGGCACATGTAATCCCAGCTACTTGTGAGGCTGAGGCAGGAGAATTGCTTGAACCTGGGAGGTGGAGGTTGCAGTGAACCAAGATCACGCCATTGCACTCCAGCCTGGGCGACAGAGCAAGACTGTCAAAAAAATAAAACAAATACATTCTTGCTCAGCTGTCCAGCCAAATGCCAGGGTTTCTGGCTGGAGTTGGCTACTATGTGATAATTCACATTTCACCCCCGCCCACCCTCGGCAAACAGCTGGATTTCCCCAGAGACTGTCTGATCATGGAGAGTTGTATGGAAATGACCCTTTGAGGACACTAAGGTACTGTTTAATAAACTGTTCCATTAGTGCCTTTTAATAACTCTCAGTCTTAAGTGGTATTTAATTACCGACTTTTTGAGCCACTAGGGAACTGTTTAGTAATTACTACTTCATTGCCATTTAATAAATTTCTGTCTTGTACATTAAATAGCACTGAGCACAGTAACTCACTGCCTAATCCCTGGTGGCATAAAAAAGTGAAGGCTGCTTCTAGAGATGCTCATCTGAAACCAGATGGTCGCTTAGGCATTGGGAAAGTAAAGGTGCAATACAAAATTTCAAATATAGAGGCCCTAGACTTTTGGATTTCATGGACCAGTTTTTAAAAAACAAATGTTTAGGGACTGGCATAAGGTTATTTTGTTAAGTTTTGTTCCCCTCAAGAAACCTGACCCAGGAGCACGTTGCCTAAGGCAGAGTGGGCACTTGGTGAGTATCAGTTGAATCAAATTGAGCTCTGCATAGGAGCACAGAATTTTTGTAGGTGACACCTGTTTAATTTTGTTATTGTTTCATCAGTCCTCATATTAGAGAAGTTAATTTTGTAAAATGTGTTATTGAGTGTGGCTGACGAAAGCAATTTCACTTTATATGGGGATCGTGAGGGTTAAATAGCATGTGTGTGAAAGCTTTGGAAGAACCTCACACCAGATTGTAAATGTAAGATGATTAATATTGTCTGCTGACAGTACTATGAAGAGATGATTCATCTTTGGATTATATTAAATTCTGGGGAATTTTAAGATGGAGAGATGATTAATCCAAAAATAATCTGCAGGTTGTTGTGTCTTCATGCTTGAGTGAAATTTTGTGATAGACCAAAGGAGAAAGTGGCTCAGTAAGAATTATTTAATTAAAATTGACACTTTAAGGTAGAAGTGTAAAGGTACTGCCTTATCTTTGATTTCACTTATCTTAGAAGCCTATGTTGTAAGGTGACCTGTGTACATTCTATCCAGTTCAAGGTGGTAACATGGTCATGGGGTTGGTAATAATGACATAAAAGACCCTAAAAATCCTGATGTGTATTTTGAAAGAGGCTGGAAGGGGTGATTGTCAGCCTATGGTGGCACAGAGGAGTCGCCAATGAAACAGATCCCCTGATGCCCCTGTCAGGGCCATGTATTTCCCAGACACAAGTCACCCTGCTCAGAGTCCAGGCAGTGCATCAGTGCTGGTCTTGATCCTGATGCCCACCAGCTTTTGAAGTTGCGTTGATTGCCTGGGTGTCCTATAGAATGTCTGATTTTAGCCACTCAAAGGAGGTAACAATTAATTGTAACACTTTTCATTAAAATGGCCTCCTTAATAATGTTTGAAATATAACGAAAACCCAAGCCAAGCCATGGCTTCTGCACTTGGCTTTCGAAGCCCAGTAACACACACTCAGTCTGCAGTGGGGCTGGACAGCCTTTTCTTATGGGAAGTAATGGAAATCTCCTGTCATATTTTCTGATAAAACAATTTTGAAAGATGAGTTTTTCAGGCACATTATGTTGTACAGGTTCATTCAGCAAATCACTAAAGTGTGAAACTGTGCAAATACATTGCCCAGACATAAAGTTAAGTACATTCTGTTAGAAAATTCACCACGTCTTTAATCCTAGTGCTTTAGTGCTGTGGTTTAAGTAGAAGGGATTTAGAGAGTTCATAAATGCAGGGAATAGAATAAACAAAAGGATTAAAGGAATGTTTTCTGAGCAGCACTGATGTAGAACTTTGTACCTTGTTACTTTCCCCAGAGATACTGTCAACTTTATTTTAAAGCCAGCCGTCAAGAAGCTACAGTGCAGACAGGTACAGTAATAACAAAAATTAAGAAAATGAATTTCAGTTATCAGGGTTTGCATGTAGTGTTGTCATGAATACAAGTTTCTTGGATCACATAGCAATCTATTATTATTCTCTGTTTGAACTTTTCATACAGTTTGGGCTTCTTTATTAGTTTCACAACTAGAAAAAAGAGACTATAGCAGATTGAATTCTCATTTACATTTCTGATTTTGGTTCTTCTTTTTTTGTTTTTTGAGACGGGATCTTGCTCTGTCACCCAGGCTGGAGCACAGGAGTGCAGTGGCATGATCTCAGCTCGCTGCAACCTCCGCCTCCCGGGTTCAAGCCATTCTCCTGCCTCAGCCTCCCGAGTAGCTGGGATTACAGGCGCCCACCACCACGCCCAGCCAATTTTGTATTTTTAGTAGAGATGGGGTTTCGCCATGTTGGCCAGGCTGGTGTCGAACTTCTGACCTCAGGTGATCCGCCTGCCTCGGCCTCCCAAAGTGCTGGGATTACAGGCATGAGCCACCATGCCCGGCCTGACTTTGCTTCTGATATTATATCTATGTGGGACCATTTTATGGTTTTAAGTGGTGGGTATATAGTATTGCTTTAAAATATTTAGTGTTATTATAATTTTACATTCCATGTATCTGCACTAACTGCATTCTACTCATTTTAAATTAATTAATTTTTTAGAGATAGGATCTTGCTATGTTGCCCAGGCAGGTAGGGTCTTGCCGTGTTGCCCAGGCTGGCCTCAAACTCCTGGCTTCAAGCAATCCTTCTGCCTCAGCCTCCCAAAATGTTGGGATTACAGATGTAAGCCACTGCACCTGGCCCACATTCTGCTTCATTTTGAATAGCTCATTTAGTATTTCATCATTGTATGTGTCATAGTGTACTTAGCTAACCCCAAATTAGGGTATTTGAGGTCTTTCCAGTTTGAAGCTGGCATAAATAATGCTGCAAACATCTGTGTGTTTTTTTAAAAATTTTTTTAACTGAAAAAAATTTTTTAGTAGAATAGGGTCTTGCTTGTTTCCCAAGCTGGTCTTGAACTCTTGGGCTCAAGCCATCCTCTCATCTCAGCCTCTCAAAGTGCTGGGAATATAGGCATGGGCCACCATGCCCGGCCAGCAAACATCTTTAAGTAGATTGCTTTTCCCCCTCTCTTGGGGTCCATTCCTGCGGATATATTTCTCCAAAGAGAAGTTTCTGGTAAAGGGTATGGACTCATTCGTAGCTCTCATTCCATGTTGCTAGTTCCCATTTGTTTCAAGAGCCCTCTGAGGACATATAATGAGAAAGAACAAAACAACTGGAAGGAAAAAAGAATCGACTTGGAGGTTTAAACCCTTTTTACTGATGGGGGATAACAGTTTTCAGATATCTGAATTGAGACTTTGCTTGCTGTAGGCTAATCAATAAATGAGAAAATTCAGTGTAGTGGTTAAGAGCACAGGTTGTGACATCCAAGTCAGTTACTTAACCCTGCGGAGCCTCAGTTTCCATCTTGCTAAAATGCATATAATACCTACCTCGGCTAGGTATGGTGGCTCATGCCTGTAATCCCAGCACTTTGGGAGGCCGAGGCAGGTGGATCACGAGGTCAGCAGATCGAGACCATCCTGGCCAACATGGTGAAACCCCGTTTCAGCTAAAAAAAATACAAAAATTAGCTGGGTGTGGTGGCACGCGCCTGTAGTCCCAGCTATTCAGGAGGCTGAGGCAGGAGAATGGCTTGAACCCAGGAGGCGAAGGTTGCAGTGAGCTGAGATCGCACCACTGCACTCTAGCCTGGTGACAGAGCAAGACTCCGTCTCAAACAAAACAAAACAAAACAAAACAAAACAAAACCCTACCTCATTGTGGGTGGTAGTAAGGTTTAAATAAGATAATTGCTATGAAGTGATTAATTGCATGGGCCCGGCTCATAAGGCTCAATAAATGAGAGCTGCCATGATTGGTTCTGACCAGGGCAAGTGGTGTAGACCTCTGGGCTGGGTTGCAGGCAGCATTGGCAGGTTGTTTCCCCAAGGCCTTGGGCTCTAGGTGTCCTGTTGGGTGTATTCACTGAATTCCAGAACTTATCTGCCCAGGATAAGTTCTCAGATTTCTATACGAATTGATGTTGATGGTGAAGGGTCCCTGTGAGTCAGACTCACTCCCCTATGGGAGGTGTTTGTTCTTAAAGAACAAACAAATGAAGACTAAATCTAAATCAATCATGTCTATGTGGTAACCTTATACCATTCTTTTCTGGTGCCATACTTTTTTGTTCGGGTGAAAGAATGGAAAATTTGAGAAGGATATGTTTCTTTCAATCCTGTATTCCTTAGCTTAATAAAATGCCTTTAGTGAAGCTGGTGGATAAGAATTTTAAGTTGTTTCGGTTTTGCAAATACTGCATCTTTCATGTTTCTGTGACATTAACAGAAATCTTTCTATTTTACAAACAGCTAATTTCAAAAAGTCAAAGAAGTTGTCAACATCATTGGGCCTTATTTTTTTTTCTTTTTTCCTTTCTTCATTGCCATCATCATCTCCTTTAACCTTGTGTACACTTTCAGGTTAATGATTTGTCATTCTCTCTCCAGAGTATACATCAGATAAGTATACTCTGCCTTTTCTGGAAATTTCAGTGGAACTTCTTTTCAAAGTAGTACCATATTTCATGAGTTTTTTTGAGAGGAGTAGGGGGAAGTCTAAAGTTGTGTCTGCGTATTTTTTCCACATTAATACAGTTTTTTAAAAGTCTTTAATTTTTTTATTTTAAGGGAAACTTCCCCACACCCATTGACTCCTTCCTACTGACAGCAGCAGTATTTATGATTGTGGAGCAGTGTTTAACTAGGGATGTGGTGACCACAGCTGTGTTTCCAGTGCAGGATGAACACAGGCTCTGAGGGAAATGACTTTCCCATGAAGAGACTGAAAGTTAGAGCAGGAGCATTCCCCCCAGCCTCTCCACCCTCCAAGTCCTCTGGCTTCTCTTCTTTCTGCAGCACGTTTGCAGATGGCCTAATGAGAATGCAGCCAAGGTAGAGGATTTTATCCTGTGTTCAGCCCACCCTAGAGACAGTGCGTGAGAAGCTGGAATGATTTCTTTCCCTTCTAGTGCTGTTGAATTCACTGGTGGTATAAATTTGCTACACAGACATGGTTTATAGTCTTATTAGATTTACTCGTTATTAGTTTGTTCTTAAAGAATAAAAACAGTTCCTTTTGGGGGAGGCTGCCTAACTTACAGGGACCCTTCACCATCAATATTAATTACATACAAACATGAGAATAATTCACATTGCTAGTGAGAACTTCCCCTGGACAGAGGAATTCAGTGAGTGGGCCATGTCTGTACATTCTTGGTACTGTCTGCTCTGGGACCTGCCTTCTCAACTGTGAACATGGCTGAATCATCTCAGCTTAGTAAATCTCAAGGCACACCAAATCATCCCTTCGAGAAAAGATGTTTGTTCTGTTACTTTATCCTCACAGAGAAGTCAAGGGTCCAAATATTTATCATCCTCAGTGACACCTCATTTCTCCTTTCATCACTAGGCCAAATGGTAGGAATTGTTCTACTTTATTGTGTTTTCACAGTTTTTCCTCTGAGGCTTCCCTGCCTGTTGTTACTTGATCTTTTGGACTTGAGTACCCCCAGGGCCTGCAGGGTCACTCTGATGTGGGGTTGGAGCAAATGGCACACATGCTGGTCAAGTGTTGGGCAGATTTAAATCCGATTTTCTTTTACTTTCTAGTGTTTTTGGAGTTTCAGTTAACTTTTTTTTAAACAGCTAATTTGAGTTCAGACACAGGCCAAAATAAAACATTGTCCTGGTCATCTGCTATTTATGTTCCATTGTGGAAAGTGTTTTCTCAGCCAGAACCTTTGACTTTAGTTACCAACTTCCTTCATACTATTTTGTTAGTAGTATCTCTCTGAGGACGTTAAGTATATTGTCTGCTTGTCATTTATTTCTCTGAAAGCTTTATTTATTTATTTTGAGACGGAGTTTCGCTCTTGTTGCCCAGGCTGCAGTGCAATGGCATGATCTTGGCTCACCGCAGCCTCCACCTCCCGGGTTCAAGTGATTCTCCTGTCTCAACCTCCTGAGTAGCTGGGATTACAGGGATGTGCCACCATGCCTGGCTAATTTTGTATTTTTAGTAGAGACAGGGTTTCTCCATGTTGGTCAGGCTGGTCTTGAACTCCTGACCTCAGGTTATCCACCTGCCTCAGCCTCCCAAAGTGCTGGGATTACAGGTGTGAGCCACTGCACATGGCCTCTTGCTGAAAGTTTTATGATTTGATATTTGAAACTCAGAAAGTGGAGGAATTGTCTTTTGAGCCAGGCTGTAATTTTAATTTTTTTTTTAATCACCTGTAACCCCAAACTGAAGAGCTTACTGATAAACTCTTACTTTGAAACTTTGGTGTGGCCATCTATGGGGAGAATAACATGAAATAACAGAGCTTTTGTTAGAATTGGTATCTAGTTTGCTCGCTTGACAACAATATATTTGTAAATTTTTTACTTGAAAGGCTTATCTTGAAGAACCTCATCCTGAAATTTTTAGAACTATTCAGGAACTTAGTAGGTGGAATGCTATCAACTTTAGTCTTTCAAAATAATTTTCACCATGAATAAGCTGTTGTTTGATCTCCCCGGCTTTCTTGGGAAGTAGCTCTTTCTGAAGGGTATATTGCATGTTCATTATTAATCTGAGTGAGAGGTTAGTTGCTATAAAGTTACAAGATTTTCCTGATCACTTAAAATTTTCTTGTAGTCAGAGATTTGACTCTGAATCGTCACTTCAAAAATTTGTCTTTTCAGGTACTATGTAAAGAGAACTCCAGAAACTACCAATAATTTGGGGAATAGTTTGAAAAATCTCAGATTTTAAGGGATGGGAAGCATTCAGAATGGTTGAAGCAGTTGTACATGCTGAAGGCTGTCTCCCATTGTCTGCCATTATCTGTACTAAGTCACAACTAGACAAGATCTCATGGGCTAGGCAGCAAGCCTTTATGTTTTTTATTCACTTAATTGTTGAACTGGCAAGCAGAATCTGTGTGTAGGCATGATAGTCTCTCCATTAATAATGCTCTACCTGGTAGAAGTAGGGGCTGGGTGTAGTGGCTCATGCCTGTAATCCCAGCACTTTGGGAGGCCGAGGTGGATCACCTGAGGTCAGGAGTTCGAGGCCAGCCTGGCCAACATGGTGAAACCCTGTCTCTACTAAAAAAAAAAAAAAATACAAAAAATTAGCCGGGCATGATGGCGGACACTTGTAATCCCAGCTACTTGAGAGGCTGAGGCAGGAGAACTGCTTGAACTTGGAAGGCAGAGGTTGCAGTGAGCCGAGATTGAGCCACTGCACTCCAGCCTGGGCAACAAGAGCAAAACTCTGTCCGCAACCCCCTGTGCTCCCCGCCCAAAAAAAGGGTTTATTCTTCGCTTTCAATCTTGGGAAGTTTTTATATCTAGTAATCATGGTCGTCTCTAACAAAGTACAATTTACATTAATTGAGAAAATAAAACTTTATCCATAACACTTGGGAGGGTAGGGGAATGACGCAGTGTGATAAAACAGTACGGCTGAGCCAAGCAAGGGCTGGAGATGAGTAGGACTGGCTGGGGACATAGGCAGACCAACAAGTGCAGTGAGCGCAGCACTTCCTGTGACCAGTGCTTGAATGCTAGGGATAACTGGACTTGGATTGTCTAAGAAGGCTGTTACTGAAATTACCGTATGTTCAAATTTTGTGAAGTAAATTTGAAGGTGTTGTACAGGTATAATAATGCTTCCTATGAAAACAAGATAATATATCTATACATTTTTACTTTGGAATGCTATTTGAAATATAACATGGAAGAAAATAATTCATGCAGTTATTGACCAATCAGTGGATAGACATATTCATGATTGTCATTGTTCTCATTTGAGAATACTTTGAAAAGCAGCATTCTGGAATGCCTCTAGAATGCTTTCTCTATCAGAAGGAAACATGAGATCTATTTTGTTGGAGTGAATTAAATTTTTATGCTATAAAAAGAATCCCATTGTAAGGTTGTCTTGACCCAGAAGATCCCAAACTTTCTCTGTTCTTGGTCCTCTAAGTGTCTAGTTAATTTTTTCAAAGTAAGTACTTAACAGTTTTGTTTAAGAGTTACATACAAACCACCTAATAGGTACTTCTGTTCTAACAACTTAATGGCCATTTGAAAAAGTAGTATGTATAAATTGAAAGAAAATATGCTTTTCTTTTTATAAGATTTTAGAACTTACTTTGTTCTTGAATAACCACCTTCATTTACTAGTGAGCTGTGTTTCTTTGTTGGATACCTCATGGCTTCGCAAGCCTAGGAGTCAGATTTGACATTCCCACCTTGGTTTCCTGTTCCACATTGATGTTCAAATGTGCTTGGCTTATTATCATAGTAATTGCAAAAACCAGTTTCACAAAGAGATGATGTCATCAAAAGGAATGTAATGCATTTTGTGAATTAACTTGAACTAGTAGTTTGTATAATTCCCACACTTCACCATGCTTTCCTTAAAAAACTGTAGTATCCCTTCATGCTCCTGTGAGTTTGCTGTGGCTCTCCAGATCATCTTGACACATGGGGTGGGAACCCAGGCCTTAACCTATATTTGCTATCTATGACTAAGTCAGGGTTGCCTTAAGGGGTCTTTGTATTAACTGCATTATTCAAAAGTTGGATTCCATTGTTATTTAGTTTGTGGTTGTCAAGTTTTGGTGAGCAACAAAAACATTTCTGGCTCTGCATCCTGGAAATGGATTTATAATGTTTGGGAAGAGGGGTGTGGACCCAGGTGTCTGTATTTTCTAACAAGCTTGCCCAGTGATACCAATGCATATGAAGATACTAATTCAGTGCATATGATGCACTGAATTCCATCACAAATAGCTTGAGTTCAGGGACCATGTTGTTCTTCACTTAAATTCTTTCTTATTCCTGTAACATACCATCATGCACATTTGGTAAGTGTTCATTGAATACTACTGACTTATTTGTTACTTCATTTCTCTTTCCTCCCAACTTTTCTTTTGTTCTGTATCTTAAAAAGAAAAACAAAGAAGGAAGAATTGAAGAATTGGGTCTTAGAGTTTCCTGACTTTCCAAGCTGCTTGTTCACAGTCTTCCATAATCTGCTACGTCAGTTCACCACTCTCCCACACAAACTCTTACGTCATGTTGAATCATTCTACTCTGAGACACACTTTGGTATATTTGTCTTCATTTTTTCTTGCTTCTGTCCCACACAAAGAGACCTTTAAGTTTCCTAAGTGGAAAAAACACTAGGTTTGGGAAAAAATTAGAAAAACTTGTGTTAGTTTCCTAAGTGGAAAAAACTCTGGGGTTGGGAGAAAATTGAAAAAAACTGGAAGAGACTTAGATTATCTTTTCATACAATGCCCCCATTTTAGAGCTCCCTGTGAGGAAACACAGGGAAGAGATGTGATGTCCCAGAGGCCACACAGGAAGTGCAAAGTCTAGCTGGGATTAGACTGCTGCTCTCTTGGCGCCTCGCTCGTGGGCTGTTTCCACTGCACCCCAGCCCCACCAGACCTTACTCTCCTAGGGTGGTGCTGATCATCAGTGATTTTCCTGAGTCCCACAGGTGACTGTGATATGGAAACAATGGCTGAGAACCAGGTTTAGCAATTTGCTTTGCTTACAAAATTATTGTTTGGTGTGTTAAATATTACTTTGCAGTTTAGTCAATAGTAATTGAATTTCTTTTTATGAGGTTAAATTTTTGTTTCATATGAATGTATAGACTGTGCAACATGGGCAACCTAGATCACTTAATTTTTGTTGTTTAATGGGAAGAAGGCAAAAATTTGGGAGCAGAAGAAACTGTCAATATTATTATCAAAGGAAGATTTGTATTTTCTGGATTTTTGCTTATGACTGACAACCTACCAGCATCAGAATGTGGCTTGCTGGGCTTTGGGCAGCATTTCCTTGGTAGATTGCTTTTCTGGGTTCCTAGCTGGGTTCTGGGACCATGGCGGGGAGGTGTCCTGACTTTTGGATAATTCAGACATGGCTATAGGAGACAATTTCAGACAGGCACGTGACACTTTTATCCCTAAGCAGAGTTGGAATGAATAGGTAAGAGTCACAAAGATTGCCAAGGAAGGTCAATCATTTTTACTAGGTTTCTCTTTATCACATTAGGTATGTCTTAGAAAAGGTAAGACAGACTTATGTTAAAGGAAAACTGGGCACTGTGAGACTCATGAAAAATATTCTTGGAACTTTGTGATCCCAGGGCTATTTCATTCAAATGTTCATTGATTCGTTCATGCCTGCATGCTTTACTCTTTTATCAGAAAGGTCGTCCTCTAGGCAGCTGCTTACCTTCTGTAGGATGATGTGAGCTTGTGTTTCCTGCAAGTCCAATCTTTTGGGATGAGGACCCTTTCTCCTTGCATCTTTCTTGAGAAGTTCTTGTAACTGTATATCTTTTCAATTCAATTTCCAAAATTTGTCGGGCTTTAATTGGAGACATTATAATGATATTGTGAAGGAGGAAAATAAATGTATAATTTAGATGTCATGAGGGTTGCTTATAATTTATTATAAACTTTGTCATCTTCGGTCTAGAACAGCTGCAGAGAGGGCTGCTTTTTTTAACTGATGAAAGAATGTTTTGACTTTCATATTTCATAGAATCAAGAACAAATTTAACTTAAATCCACAAATAATATTTGTAATGCTACTTAATACCATTATTGTTCATTTAAACCTCCTTTCTCTTGGACTCCCCTTTACCAGAATGCTTATAGGAAAAAATGCTGTAAGTTTTTGAGTTTCTTTTTTGTTTTTTCCTCATCAGGAATCCCCTCCAAAGAGAGGCAATTTAAGAAAGAAGGAACAGCTGGGTGCTGCAGTGGCTCACACCTATAATTTCAGCACTTTGGGAGGCAAAGGCAGGAGGATTGCTTGAGGCCAGGAGTTCAAGACAGGCCTGGTCAACATAGTGAGACCCTGCCTTTACAAAAAAAATTTTAAAAAATTAGCCACGTGTAGTGGCTTAAGCCTGTAGTCCCAGCTGTTCCGGAGGCTGAGGCGGGAGAATTGCTTGACCCCAGGAGTTCAAGGCTGCAGTAAGCAGTGGTCACGCTGCTGCACTTACCTTGGGTGACAGAGTGAGACCCTGTCTAAAAAAAGGAAAGGAAGAAAGAAGATTCTCCTAGCCTGGTCCTGAACAGCTAGAAACACTTGTCTTGCCTCCCACACTGAGACATTGTTCACCTAGGTGGAAAGGGCTTATAGATTTCTGGTGGCAGAAATCTGTCCACTCACCACATGAGGGTTGCCTTTAAGCACTGACGTGGCTTAAACTGCATTTGACCTGGTGCTTCGGATTCAAGCCAGTATGACTCATTATTTCAGATGTTTGGTTTGTGCTGTTATAGTTGAAGCAATCTGTAAGGAAAATAGAAAAGCCTGTTGTAAAAATATAGTCTGTCTCCAGGAAGGAGAATCCCCACGTCCTGACTGGAGGCGGGATGTCTGCACATGGCTTGTCTAACTTGTTATTTTACCTTAGTTCCTGGTTTGAAGCAGTCCTGAAAACTGTTCATCAGTGCATGTTGAGATGGCATAGCTGATTATTTTCACATTCTTGAGTGTGAATTCGAAACACACAGGGTACAAAGTTTGCTATCTGGTCCCTGAGAGATAGCTAGGCCAGCCAGGCTGGTCCCCAGACTCTATTCTAAGAGCAAGGAAAGAACACAGTGCTAGCACCCACTCAGAAGGCTAGCCACATCAGATGGTTTCTCTCTGAAGTTGAGATGTGACATGCAATTTATATTCTTTCTTTGGTCGTTGGCGGCTATGTCCATTCTATATGTGATTTAGTAATTAGGGACTGTTTGGCTTTCTAGAATCAAACAAAGACTATTATAAAATGTCAAGTTTTTTTACCTTCAACTTTTGCACTGTGTTTTCAAGTAAAACATTCTGCTAACTTGTAAGTTTGTCCCTTTTCTCTTTCTTGTGTCTTGGTTCTTATCCCAGGGGAACACTTAGGAAAAATTATAGAATCCCTACCCAAACAGTGTAGTGAAGGAACTGTTCATGATTTGTAGGGCTCTGGCTATGAACTGACTGCTGTGTGCCAGTTTAAGCTTATAGCCACTATTACTTTATTACAGGATTTTGATTAATTTGTTAGATGGTGGCTGTGTGTCAGCTGCTTGTTTTTAGAGCTTTCACCTGGGTGAATAATAGCTTCTATCTATTATGTATGTGCTAGAAACTTGATTTAACCCTTACAGATACATTAGACAGCGTATATTACAGATACAGTGAATAGCTAATAGTTAATTAATGTGTCCAAGGCCACACAGTTAGCTGACATCCTGCCCAAGTTGAGTCGGAGGATGTCTATACAAAGCTATGCTGCCTCTCCCCCTAAAAATAGGGGAACAGAGTTAACATGCTACATAGGGCCGAATGTCTTTAAGCCTCTCTTCTTGTCTAGTGTTACAGAAATAGCCATTGTTTTAGAGAAGCAGGATTGCATAAAGGCTAAGAGCCAGGATAACTGTCTGGCCCCCATACTTAACTAGCTCTGAAACCTTGGGCAAGCTCCTTAACCTTTTTCTATCTTGGTTTCTCTGTCAGTGCATAAAATAGTACCTGGGCTGGTGAGGCTTAAATGAGTTCCTATCTACGAGTTATTGGAAGAGTGTTCATAACAAGCAGTATGCAAGAGTTTGCTATTTTTGTGTGTGTTACCTTGAAGACGAATAGGAATGAGATATCCTCTCCATCCCCCCTCCTTCTTGCCTCATCAAGCAGGGTTCCCTGGGTCAGCTTGTGGATAGGTTTCAGAGTAGGGAAGGACTGGGGACAGTCATGCCGTCTGGTTTGTGAGTGAGGCCTTCATAGACAATTGGTCCAGCCTTGCTCCTCTAGGCTGTGTATGGAGCTCTCAGGTTCTTCCACACACACTTGGTCCTTCCAGTCTCTGGTCTGGTTACTTCTCAGGTTGCCTCTTCTCCCAAAGAGTGTATCCTTGACCACTACCAGATGTACTATAAATACATCATTGCTTGTTCAAATATTGATTTAGTACGCTCACCTGTTACCCATATGTTTCAACTAGCATGGTCACAATGGTATATCATAAACCATGACCTTCTGGAGACAGGGACCAGGTCTGTGAGGACCTTATGGAGCATTTTTTAAAAGAGCTTTTTGTCATGAAAATGATACTGTTTTTGGAGTGTGAAGGGAGAGGTGCTCGGGAGAGACAGCTGGGGCCTTTAAGTCCCCAGGCTGTCTTCCTCAATCGAAAACAAGAGGTGGAAAGATGTCACCAGGGATCTCAGGACCTTGCACTCTTGACTTTAGCTCTTCTTTTCCTTAATTCCAGGAACCTAGATGTCTTACTTGAGGGCTGTGAAATCTTTCTCCTGATTCCCATGGGGATGAGAAGTG
This sequence comes from Homo sapiens, assembly GCF_000001405.40. NCBI lineage: Eukaryota > Metazoa > Chordata > Mammalia > Primates > Hominidae > Homo > Homo sapiens. The sequence continues at coordinate 78,593,240 of NC_000005.10, read as the reverse complement.
AATCAGGAGTGTCTGATGCAGATACTGTGTCTGCTCCCCGGGAAAAGCACTCACTGTGAGCAGCAGCTGGCATCTCCTTTCGCCCCCCGTGAATGTCAGCACCCGGTAGTGTCCTGGAACTGCTGTGTAGTGACTGCTTCCAACCAGACACCGGGGACAGAGATTATGCGCGAGTTGCCAAAACCAGGCATGGGAGCACCTGTTGGCTTTTGTTTTTAATTGTGATAAAATACACATAACATAAAATGTACATTTCAAGCATACAGTTCATAGTATTGAATGTTTTCACACTGTTGTGCAACCATCACCACCAGCTCCAGAACTCTTTTATCTTGCAAAACTGAAACTCTGTACCCAAGAAACAATAACTCCTCATTCTGAATAATTTTTAAAATTCAGAAAGAGTAATCTGGATGGCCAGGAGTAATTCAGCTGATTGTGTGTGTGTGTGTGTGTATCTGAATTTTTCACTAAGTTGAAGAGTAATGTGTGTGTGTGTGTGTGTGTGTGTGTATCTGAATTTTTCACTAAGTTGAAGAGTAATGTGTGTGTGTGTGTGTGTGTGTGTGTATCTGAATTTTTCACTAAGTTGAAGAGTAATGTGTGTGTGTGTGTGTGTATCTGAATTTTTCACTAAGTTGAAGAGTAATCAGGCAGAACTTAATGTAGATGAAAGTGGAAGTGAAGAAAGCAAAAGATGCTCAAGAAGGGCCAGTCTCGTACATAATTGTGAAACTTTGGTGGAGAGAGAAGGAAAAAGCACCCTGCTTCCCGCACTGGGCAGAGAATTTATGCAGTTTGCACTGAGAAGTAGAAACCACACAGGAGACAAACCCAAATTAGCTCTTACTTTTTGTTACTCTTAGAGCGTCTTCTAGAGGAAAGAATTCCCTCAGTAGAATTTGCTGTGGATCTGCAGAGGCTACCTCTGAAATCTGAGGCATCCATCCCGCACTCCTTTGAGAGAGGTGCTCTCTGTCCTTCCTGAGCGTTTGGGAGAGAATGCCTTGCCGTGTCTGAGTACTTCTGAAGTCTTCCAGAATTTCCTGGCTGGAGTTCTGTTGCCACGCATTTGACTTCTCTTTGACCCCTCATTGTAGGTCCATGTTGCTTGTTAAAGGACTATTGTACTGCCTGTTAATTGAAGACTGTGCTCTTGAGCACTGGGAAAAGACCATCAAATGAAAATGAGTTGAAGGGAACCACGTCTTTCAGACACTCTCCAGATGGAGCAGATAGTGCCCACTTCCCAGCCCTCCTGCGCCAGCTCTGTCTCTAGGAATCAGTTCTCAGACCTGTCAACCACATGTTCATGCCAGTTGTGTGTGCCCAGAAAGAACAATAAGAAAACCTGGTGATTATATGTGCTGCCCTTTATTTTTCTCCTATCCGTGTTCTACATGTGCCTTGTGTTTGCTCTTGCTGCCTCAACTAGTAAGCTTCCTTTCTGTTTCTGCAGCCCCCATGGCACAAGGTCTCCTGGCTTCTCCTCCCCTCCTTTCCCTTGTACCAGAGTTGGTTTTAACAAAGCTAAGTGTTCCACAAGAATGTCTTATTTAATAATTGTCAGAAAGAAAGTGTTCCATAAAGGCAGGAGGGTAGACGCGACAATGTCAAGGATTACAGGACACAAAGGATCACAAACATTTTCTCAGAGTTGGCCTCGGGATTTGCTTTGAATTTTATGTTGTCATCCTCTCTTCCTACCCCCACTTTCTGCCTTGCTTTTCCCAGATGATTTCATTGAAAAGCAATGGCAAATTATGACTCGTCTTTTCTCCTAGAGTCTTACCAGATAGTTTATTCTCAGAGGTAAACATTTTAGTAAGCCTTTTGTTTAGTGACTCATTAATTTGATGAGGAAAATGTCCTAATAAAGATAAAGAAACTAAACGGTTTCAAAAGCTGCAAAGGGAAAAATGTTGCAGGGCACTTGAGGTCAACTGCTTCCCCCGTTCTTTGAATTTCATTTGTTGTTTGGTCATGGGAACAAACATTGGTCATTAGGGGGTTAGGCCCTCGTCTTCATTTTTTTCTGTAAACTTACATGTACACACCAAGTCATTAGCGTTTTACTTCCTGGGAGTTTCTTTCTGTATAGATAGGGACTAAGCCTGAGGAGATTTTACAAAAGTAGGAAGTCAGATTTCCCTCTTCCACCACAAATTAGTGCATTCATTTTGTCACTAGGTTAAATATTTGGCTAACTTTTTATGGCAAAAAAATAGAAATATTTGGCTCAGAAATATTTGTCTAATTTTTACTGGTAAACAGTTTGATTTTCTCAGAAATGTCACAAACCCCCAGGTATAAAGGGTCAAAGATCCCTAAATAGAATCGGAGGCCTTTGAGAGACTAGGAAACATTCTTAGCTATAAACCAGTGGTAACAAAAAACATGATCTGCATTATCCATTTAGAGAACATCTTCTAGAGACGTATTATGACTTTACGCTGTTCTACATTATTTTGGTAAGACTAAATGTTCCAGCATGGATGATACAACTATTTCTAGGTTTCGTATGACTGTTTAGTGAAATATAAATGTATTCTGGGTAAAAGGCCCTTCGTAGCATGAGTACATTGACTTTTATTAAATCCAAGAGTAACATCATAGATGTTTCAAAAAATAAATTGTCCAACAATTTTACACTTAAATTTTAAGAGAGAATTGTATGCCTCTGTGATTCTTCTCAGGAGGAAGACCCAGTTCTAAACTGGAAAAAAAAATTGAATAACATCCCACCACACTATCTTTGGTACAAACTTTACTTATAGTATTTATTAGTTGTTAAAAAAATATGTGAAATCAGAAGGAAAAATGATTTCAATATAGTTAGAAAAAATGAAGAGGCAAGGTAAAGTGACTTTAAAGTTCTAGGTACAGTATAAAGACCTTGATTTCATTTTGCTTATGTTTGTATCTGCTCTCTTGCCAGATACTTGTCAAGGCGGAAAGATAATGACCTGAAAGTAGCTTTTCATTACAACATACCTCTAACACTGTTGCCCGTTTGTTGTTGTTGTTGTTGTTGTTGTTCCTGGCTAGGTCTTCCTGGACCAAAAGGGATGAAAAAGAGCTATCATGAGGAACGAGCTCTAGTAGAGCCATGTGTGTGAAAGTGTGGGTGTTTGTATAATGATGCAAGAGCATTTCGTAGCAGGCAAGTTTCATAATGATATAAATATATTTTAGTTATATGGATATCTAATTACATAGACTAATGAAATGCCGTTTACAAGAGGTGGTCTTACATGTGACACAGGTCATATTCTGAGATGACCACCTGCAGGGGCTAGGTTTAATTTTGGGCCCCTTTTAACTTACAATAATTGTCAAATGAACCAATCCTTGGTGCATCAGGGACTATCTGGATGGCCACCATTCATGCATTTATTCAGTTAACTGTGTTGTGTCCTGCTCTGGACTGGGCATCAGGCGAGGCCTTGAGCATATGAGGTGAACCAGACATAGTGGCCGTCCTCAAGGAGCCAACCCATGGTCTGCTGGAGGAGGCAGACATGAACCAGCACGTATGCTGCTGGGTGGTGAGTGCTGTAGAGAAGTGCACAAGGCTGGCCCTGTAGCAGACATCTCTGCTCACCTATTCATGCGGGTGCAGGTTGAGGAGGGACAGGGAAAGGCGGGCAAGAGTAGACACCATTTGAACTGTCCTCACAGCTTAAGTCCAAATCTAATGCTGTTTTTTTGCAATGACTTTGAATCACACTTCCTATATAAATTAGATGACTTCTAATTTTTTTTTTTTTTTTGAGATGGAGTTAACCCTGTTGCCAGACTGGAGTGCAGTGGTGCGATCTCGGCTCATTGCAGCCTCTGCCTCCCGGGTTCAAGCGATTCTCCTCCTTAGCCTCCCGAGTAGCTGGAATTACAGGCGCGTGCCACCATGCCCAGCTAATTTGTTTTTATTTTGAGTAGAAATGGGGTTTCACTGTGTTAGCCAGGATGGTCTCGATCTCCTGACCTCGTGATCCACCTGCCTCAGCCTCCCAAAGTGCTGGGATTACAGGCGTGAGCCACTGCGCCTGGCCAACTTCTAATTTTTTTTAGAAATGCCTTTATTATTCTCCCACTTTGTATCTCAATGGCAACTGGATGCAATGGAAAGCACAGTCTGGGTCATCCAGGCCTGACTTTGAATCCTGGCTGCCACCTGACAGCCACTTGACCTTTCTGAACTTCATGGAAAAAGGGGATAATAAAACCTGCCACACATTATGGTTGGCAGGATTAAATGAGATATGTAACAATATATATTAGTCCCTCCCCTTTTCTTAGCACATTGAAACAGAATGGCTTGAAAAAGGTAAGTTATTTTGAAAGGGGCTGATGAAACAAGAACACAGGATTCACTATGAATAAGGAGAGTAACTTACATTAGGTACCATTTATTGAGTCAGGCACTGTTTTAAGTGCTCTCTTTGCAGTTACTTATTCCTTCCTCACACTAACAGTGTCAGGGACTGTTATTTTATCTCCACTTTGCAGATGAGAAAATTGAGGCTAGAGAGGTTAAGTAACTTTTATCAACCCTGCCTGGCTGGCCTCAGAGCTCTTAAACATCAGCATGGAGCTTTTGAAGAGGATAACAGCAGTAATGATATCTTAGATTATTTACAGAGCTTCATCCTTTGAAGAACACTTCTATGTACATTGTTAACTTTGTTTCTCATTAAAAAAAATAGGAGATGGCTAGACATTAGATTAGAAAACTAAGGTACCCAGATGGAGGTGTTATTTGCCCAAGGTTACTAAATCAATATGTGGCCTTGTTGGTACAAGAACTTTTTCCACTTGACTCTTGTGAGTGTTTATAGAATGAAAGATAGAAGAGTTCAGAAATTTTTTTAAAGAAATGTTTGCTGTTAAATTTTTTAAGATATAAGCTGGGTGCTGTGTCATGCACCTGTATTCGTAATCACTCGGGAGGCTGAGGCAGGAAGATCACTTGATCCCAGGAGTTGCAGGCAGCAGTGAGCTATGATTGCACCACTGCACTCCAGCCTAGGCCACAAAGCCAGATGCTGTCTCTTAAACAAATTAAAAAACAATATGGAACAGACACAGGAAGTTAGTTTTGTTGCTTAAGGTCTCTGTCAGGCTGTTGGCCAGCTAGAATTAGAAAAGATAGATCCAGCTTCTGAGTGACTCAAGTGAAAGAACTGGAAAAGTACCAATGCATCTATTTTCTTGGCCACTTGGAACCAGGGTACATCCTCATGTCTCCTGCGATTCTGGAACCACCGGAGGGAGGGGCAGAGAACATGAACTGGCCCTGGGACCTCACTTGCCCTTAGCTCAGATTGCTTCCTCCAGAGCCATAAGGCTTCTTTCTGAAGGTGGGCCAGGGAGGCCACAGCCAGAAGGGAGATGATAAGGATTTGCACTGGCTGTGTGGTAGGGACGATAAAGAGGGCTTGGGCCACCTTCAGACCAATGCTAATCGGCGCTTTCTGTAAATTGAAGGCTTAGTGCAATTTTAAAGACAGCAAAAGACACAAGAAACCAAGTAAGATTTGACTGAAAGCCTCTTAGGATTATGTGGTGTTTTGTCCTGTAGCTGGGGATCCAGTTACAGATGCCTGTGATTATGGCCTTTGCAAACAATTGTCAGAGAAATTCATAAGATTTCCAAAGGCTGCAGAAGAGCAGATGTGGAATTAAGTTTCAAGCACAGTTATCCATAATGGCTTACATGTGGGCATAGAGTATTTAGGATTCAAGCCTAAGTCTCCCACTTTGTCCAGGAGGTGTGGGATGCAGAGTCAAAAAGCAGGGCTCAGAGATGTCAGCATTTTCTGGTGGTCTTTTTCTGCTGTATCATTTCTTCGTGGCCTGCAGACCCTTTAAAGTGGTGAAATTCTTCCATAATGGTTAGCTTGCAGTGTCTACCATTGTCATCATTTGTCCTATTTAGTAAGAAGACTCTATTCGGCATCTTTGCCAACAAGCATCAACCATGCCAGCAGACTGGAAAATGTGAGTCTTTGGGACCAACTTTAATTGGCTTTGCAACAGACATTTTAACTTAATATTGCTAGCAAAGTTCAAGGTATTTAGACTTGCCTCGTTTGGTTTCTGTTTTTCTACAATTCATATGGCAAGGACTTTAGATGACTGACTATAAGAAATACCTTCATTTTATTACTAATAATGAAGGAAGAAAATGGAAGGAATAGAAGTAGTTGTAATAATTTAACAGTTGTATGCTACTGAAGCAGCAGCTGCTGAGTTTCTCCACACCTCAAATAAAGAAGTAGCTTACTGAGTTTAAAAATCCAATAAGTATTCATTAGGCAGCAAAAAGAATTAAAAAGACTATTCCAAGTGTTGGTATATATAAAAAGAATATTCTAGTTTTTGTTGTGTGGAAATGCTCCTTTCTAGAACTTCTCAAATAATAATTGCTAGAAAATATAACTTATACTGTATTAAAAAACAAAGGAGCCAAAGTTGAATAGTGGGGCATAATTTAGGGATTGGCTTTTTTTTCCCCCCTATAAAAACCGGGAAGTTTTTGCTGTTGTTTTATTTGAATGTGGAATCTCCTACCTGAGTGGGTGGAGCAGGATTGTGTGTCAGCCTTGCGTAGAATCACTGTTAGGACACTGAAACCATGCCAAGTGGTGGTCTTCGTTACAGACTCTGTTGCCTGAGAGTGTTGAGGTTTTGTGTGCCTGAGACAAAGGGCAGAGGAAGCCGAGGATAAGAAGCCTGTGGTATACCAGCTGTGTGATGACTCAGTGCGCCTGGGCTTCACTTACTGCAGTTATGAAATGAGGACATGACTGTTCCTATATTCTACCCAGTCTTCTGGAAAGCCAGATGGGATAGCATTCCTCCACAAATGAGACAACATGAAAATCAAATGGGGCAGCATGAAAGAATGGCAACAGGCAGTACGTGTGTCCTGTTTGATCACTGTGAAATCATCTCACGTAATCCTCACAGCAGCCTGGTGAGGTGCATTTTGTTGACTCCCATGTTTCGGATGAGGAAAAAAGTTCTTTGAGGTTTGAGTAACTTGCCCGAGGGAAGAGAGAGGAAAGTGGACAGTTACCACCCATGGGAGCTGGGCTCTGCTAAGCAGTGTCTCTTGATTAGTTCATTACATTTCCAAATGGCACATGATGAAGCTGCTACTTAAACCCAAGAATTTGAACTTCAAGGTTGGTGCTGTTCCTCATCCTCAAGCCCTTTAGAGACGTGAACCATGTATTTAAAAAATGACCTTATTACTCCTTCCACATTAAGCTCTGATGTTCCATGACCTTTTAGGCCACTGGGAGGTAGTACGTGAACGGCTTGTGTTGCTTGTTAGTGGCAGGACCTCGGGCAGGCTCCTTTATGCATCCCATCCCCAACCCCAACCCCAACCCAGTCTCCCCATCTGTAAAATGAGGTTAATAGCCTATCTCATAAAATTGTTGTGAGTTTTTCATGAAGACAAATGCTATTAAGTGCCTAGCACAGTGCCCGGCATATAGCCAGGGCTCATTCAATACGTGATGATGGTGATGATGATGATGAGGAGGAGGAGGAGGTGGAGGTTGTTTTAGTGCTCTCAACTAAAACCTTGAGAGCGGGAGGAGGAGCCAAGATGGCTGAATAGGAACAACTCCAGTATGCAGCTCCCAGCATGAGCGACGCAGAAGACGGGTGATTTCTGCATTTCCATCTGAGGTACCGGGTTCATCTCACTAGGGAGTGCCAGACAGTGGGCGCAGGTCAGTGGGTGCACACACTGTGCGTGAGCCGAAGCAGGGCGAGGCATTGCCTCACTCGGGAAGCTCAAGGAGTCAGGGAGTTCCCTTTCCTAGTCAAAGAAAGGGGTGACAGACGGCACCTGGAAAATCGGGTCACTCCCACCTGAATACTGCGCTTTTCCAACGGGCTTAAAAAACAGCGCACCAGGCCGGGCGCGGTGGCTCACGCCTGTAATCCCAGCACTTTGGGAGGCCGAGGCGGGCGGATCACGAGGTCAGGATATCGAGACCATCCCGGCTAAAAACGGTGAAACCCCGTCTCTACTAAAAATACAAAAAATTAGCCGGGCGTAGTGGCGGGCACCTGTAGTCCCAGCTACTTGGGAGGCTGAGGCAGGAGAATGGCGTGAACCCGGGAGGTGGAGCTTGCAATGAGCCGAGATCCCGCCACTGCACTCCAGCCTGGGCGACAGAGCGAGACTCCGTCTCAAAAAAAAAAAAAAAAAAAAAAAAAAAAACACAGCGCACCAGGAGATTATATCCCGCACCTGGCTCAGAGGTTCCTACGCCCACGGAGTCTCGTTGATTGCTAGCACAGCAGTCAGAGATCAAACTGCAAGGCGGCAGCGAGGCTGGGGGAGGGGTGCCCGCCATTGCCCAGGCTTGCTTAGGTAAACAGAGCAGCCAGGAAGCTCCAACAGGGTGGAGCCCACCACAGCTCAAGGAGGCCTGCCTGTCTTTATAGGCTCCACCTCTGGGGGCAGGGCACAGACAAACAAAAAGACAGCAATAACCTCTGCAGACTTAAATGTCCCTGTCTGACAGCTTTGAAGAGAGCAGTGGTTTTCCCAGCATGCAGCTGGAGATCTGAGAACGGGCAGACTGCCTCCTCAAGTGGGTCCCTGACCCCTGACCCCCGAGCATCCTAACTGGGAGGCACCCCCCCAGCAGGGGCAGACTGACACCTCACACGGCCCGGTACTCCAACAGACCTGCAGCTGAGGGTCCTGTCTGTTAGAAGGAAAACTCACAAACAGAAAGGACATCCACACCAAAAACCCATCTGTACATCACCATCATCAAAGACCAAAAGTAGATAAAACCACAAAGATGGGGAAAAAACAGAGCAGAAAAACTGGAAACTCTAAAAAGCAGGGCGCCTCTCCTCCTCCAAAGGAATGCAGTTCCTCACCAGCAACGGAACAAAGCTGGATGGAGAATGACTTTGACGAGCTGAGAGAAGAAGGCTTCAGATGATCAAATTACTCCGAGCTACGGGAGGACATTCAAACCAAAGGCAAAGAAGTTGAAAACTTTGAAAAAAATTTAGAAGAATGTATAACTAGAATAACCAATACAGAGAAGTGCTTAAAGGAGCTGATGGAGCTGAAAACCAAGGCTCGAGAACTACGTGAAGAATGCAGAAGCCTCAGGAGCCGATGCGATCAACTGGAAGAAAGGGTATCAGCGATGGAAGATGAAATAAATGAAATGAAGTGAGAAGGGAAGTTTAGAGAAAAAAGAATAAAAAGAAATGAACAAAGCCTCCAATAAATATGGGACTATGTGAAAAGACCAAATCTACGTCTGATTGGTGTACCTGAAAGTGATGGGGAGAATGGAACCAAGTTGGAAAACACTCTGCAGGATATTATCCAGGAGAACTTCCCCAATCTAGCAAGGCAGGCCAACATTCAGATTCAGGAAATACAGAGAACGCCACAAAGATACTCCTCGAGAAGAGCAACTCCAAGACACATAATTGTCAGATTCACCAAAGTTGAAATGAAGGAAAAAATGTTAAGGGCAGCCAGAGAGAAAGGTTGGGTTACCCTCAAAGGGAAGCCCATCAGACTAACAGCAGATCTCTTGGCAGAAACCCTACAAGCCAGAAGAGAGTGGGGGCCAATATTCAACATTCTTAAAGAAAAGAATTTTCAACCCAGAATTTCATATCCAGCCAAATTAAGCTTCATAAGTGAAGGAGAAATAAAATACTTTACAGACAAGCAAATGCTGAGAGATTTTGTCACCACCAGGCCTGCCCTAAAAGAGCTCCTGAAGGAAGCGCTAAACATGGAAAGGAACAACCAGTACCAGCCGCTGCAAAATCATGCCAAAATGTAAAGACCATCGAGACTAGGAAGAAACTGCATCAACTAACGAGCAAAATCACCAGCTAGCATCTTAATGACAGGATCAAATTCACACATAACAATATTAACTTTAAATGTAAATGGACTAAATGCTCCAATTAAAAGACACAGACTGGCAAATTGGATAAAGAGTCAAGACCCATCAGTGTGCTGTATTCAGGAAACCCATCTCATGTGCAGAGACACACATAGGCTCAAAATAAAAGGATGGAGGAAGATCTACCAAGCAAATGGAAAACAAAAAAAGGCAGGGGTTGCAATCCTAGTCTCTGATAAAACAGACTTTAAAGCAACAAAGATCAAAAGAGACAAGGCCATTACATAATGCTAAAGGGATAAATTCAACAAGAAGAGCTAACTGTCCTAAATATATATGCACCCAATACAGGAGCACCCAGATTCATAAAGCAAGTCCTGAGTGACCTACAAAGACACTTAGACTCCCACACATTAATAATGGGAGACTTCAACAGCCCACTGTCAACATTGGACAGATCAACGAGACAGAAAGTCAACAAGGATACCCAGGAATTGAACTCAGCTCTGCACCAAGCAGACATAATAGACATCTACAGAGCTCTACACCCCAAATCAACAGAATATACATTTTTTTCAGCACCACACCATACCTATTCCAAAATTGACCACATACTTGGAAGTAAAGCTCTCCTCAGCAACTGTAAAAGAACAGGAATTATAACAAACTGTCTCTCAGACCACAGTGCAATCAAACTAGAACTCAGGATTAAGAATCTCACTCAAAACCGCTCAACTACATGGAAACTGAACAACCTGCTCCTGAATGACTACTGGGTACATAACGAAATGAAGGCACAAATAAAGATGTTCTTTGAAACCAACGAGAACAAAGACACAACATACCAGAATCTCTGGGACGCATTCAAAGCAGTGTGTAGAGGGAAATTTATAGCACTAAATGCCCACAAGAGAAAGCAGGAAAGATCCAAAATTGACACCCTAACATCACAATTAAAAGAACTAGAAAAGCAAGAGCAAACACATTCAAAAGCTAGCAGAAGGCAAGAAATAACTAAAATCAGAGCAGAACTGAAGGAAATAGAGACACAAAAAAACCTTCAAAAAATTAATGAATCCAGGAGCTGGTTTTTTGAAAGGATCAACAAAATTGATAAACTGCTAGCAAGACTAATAAAAAAAGAGAGAAGAATCAAATAGATGCAATAAAAAATGATAAAGGGGTATCACCACTGATCCCACAGAAATACAAACTACCATCAGAGAATACTACAAACATCTCTACGCAAATAAACCAGAAAATCTAGAAGTAATGGATAAATTCCTTGACACATACACTCTCCCAAGACTAAACCATGAAGAAGTTGAATCTCTGAATAGACCAATAACAGGATCTGAAATTGTGGCAATAATCAATAGCTTACCAACCAAAAATAGTACAGGACCAGATGGATTCACAGCCGAATTCTACCAGAGGTACAAGGAGGAACTGGTACCACTCCTTCTGAAACTATTCCAATCAATAGAAAAACAGGGAATCCTCCCTAACTCATTTTATGAGGCCAGCATCATCCTGATACCAAAGCCGGGTAGAGGCACAACCAAAAAAGAGAATTTTAGACCAATATCCTTGATGAACATTGATGCAAAAATCCTCAATAAAATACTGGGAAACCGAATCCAACAGCACATCAAAAAGCTTATCCACCATGATCAAGTGGGCTTCATCCCTGGGATGCAAGGCTGGTTCAATATACGCAAATCAATAAATGTAATCCAGCATATAAACAGAACCAAAGACAAAAACCACATGATTATCTCAGTAGATGCAGAAAAGGCCTTTGACAAAATTCAACAACTTCATGCTAAAAACTCTCAATAAATTAGGTATTGATGGGACGTATCTCAAAATAATAAGAGCTATCTATGACAAACCCACAGCCAATATCATACTGAATGTGTAAGAACTGGAAGCATTCCCTTTGAAAACTGGCACAAGACAGGGATGCCCTCTCTCACCACTCCTATTCAATATAGTGTTGGAAGTTCTGGCCAGGGCAATTAGGCAGGGGAAGGAAATAAAGGGTATTCAATTAGGAAAAGAGGAAGTCAAATTGTCCCTGTTTGCAGATGACATGATTGTATATCTAGAAAACCCCATCGTCAATCAATGTACAAAAATCACAAGCATTCTTATACACCAACAACAGACAAACAGAGAGCCAAATCATGAGTGAACTCCCATTCACAATTGCTTCAAAGAGAATAAAATACCTAGGAATCCAACTTAAAAGGGATGGGAAGGACCTCTTCAAGGAGAACTACAAACCACTGCTCAAGGAAATAAAAGAGGATACAAACAAATGGAAGAACATTCTATGCTCACGGGTAGGAAGAATCAATATCGTGAAAATGGCCATACTGCCCAAGGTAATTTGTAGATTCAATGCCATCCCCATCAAGCTACCAATGACTTTCTTCACAGAATTGGAAAAAACTACTTTAAAGTTCATATGGAACCAAAAAAGAGCCCGCATCGCTAAGTCAATCCTAAGCCAAAAGAACAAAGCTGGAGGCATCACACTACCTGACTTCAAACTATACTACAAGGCTACAGTAACCAAAACAGCATGGTACTGGTACCAAAACAGAGATAATAGACCGATGGAACAGAACAGAGCCCTCAGAAAGAACGCCGCATATCTCCAACTATCTGATCTTTGACAAACCTGAGAAAAACAAGCAATGGGGAAAGGATTCCCTATTTAATAAATGGTGCTGGGAAAACTGGCTAGCCATATGTAGAAAGCTGAAACTGGATCCCTTCCTTACACCTTATACAAAAATCAATTCAAGATGAATTAAAGACTTAAACGTTAGACCTAAAACCGTAAAAACCCTAGAAGAAAACCTAGGCATTACCATTCAGGACATAGGCATGGGCAAGGACTTCATGTCTAAAACACCAAAAGCAATGGCAACAAAAGCCAGAATTGACAAATGGGATCTAATTAAACTAAAGAGCTTCTGCACGGCAAAAGAAATTACCATCAGTGTGAACAGGCAACCTACAAAATGGGAGAAAATTTTTGCAACCTACTCATCTGACAAAGGGCTAATATCCAAAATCTACAATGAACTCAAATTTACAAGAAAAAAACAAACAACCCCATCAAAAAGTGGGTGAAGGACATGAACAGACACTTCTCAAAAGAAGACATTTATGCAGCCAAAAAACACATGAAAAAATGCTCACCATCACTGGCCATCAGAGAAATGCAAATCAAAACCACAATGAGATACCATCTCATACCAGTTAGAATGGCAGTCATTAAAAAGTTAGGAAACAACAGGTGCTGGAGAGGATGTGGAGAAATAGGAACACTTTTACACTGTTGGTGGGACTGTAAACTAGTTCAAACATTGTGGAAGTCAGTGTGGCGATTCCTCAAGGATCTAGAACTAGACTAGAAACACCATTTGACCCAGCCATCCCATTACTGGGTATATACCCAAAAGACTATAAATCATGCTGCTATAAAGACACATGCACACGTATGTTTATTGCGGCATTATTCACAATAGCAAAGACTTGGAACCAACCCAAATGTCCAACAATGATAAGACTGGATTAAGAAAATGTGGCACATATACACCATGGAATACTATGCAGCCATAAAAAATGATGAGTTCATGTCCTTTGTAGGGACATGGATGAAATTGGAAATCATCATTCTCAGTAAACTATCGCAAGAACAAAAAACCAAACACCGCATATTCTCACTCATAGGTGGGAATTGAACAATGAGAACACATGGACACAGGAAGGGGAACATCACACTCTGGGGCCTGTTGTGGGGTCGGGGAAGGGGGGAGGGTTAGCACTGGGAGATGTACCTAATGCTAGATGACGAGTTAGTGGGTGCAGCGCACCAGCATGGCACATGTATACATATGTAACTAACCTGCACATTGTGCACATGTACCCTAAAACTTAAAGTATAATAATAATAAATAAATGAAAAACAACAACAACAACAAAAAAAAAACCTTGCGAGCACTAAGAATCTTAGCAGTAACAGAAAATCCTCCTCCTCCTCCACCCTCTCCTGCTCCCCCTCCCTCTCCACTCCCAGTATAGAGAAATGGCCAGACTTTAACAATAGCAAAATCACTAAACTTGGGTCACCTTATTGTAGGTCATGTGAGGGTGTTTTGCTTTGCTTAAGGACAATTTTCATCTGTTTCTTTTGCAGAGTCAGATTCTAAAAGGTGGAGGAAATAACCTACCCCTTGATACTGGGTTCAAGTTAATAATCCCTGTTAGACGGAATGTACCTCCCCAGAAGGGCCTACCTCAACCACAGCTCTTGGTGAATAGATGCTCTCTCTGCCACTGGATTGTAACTTCTAGGAGCAGGGAGCAAGACTTGGTTGGCGTCTCTGAGCCCCCACATTGCTCACCTACGTTGCTGATAGATCACGTGGCCATTGTACTTTGTTACAAGACAGGTAGCTGGGAACAAACATTCTACTGAGAACCTAGAGTTAGAGATGGAGTAGAGTGGAATGTTGTCAAAAACCTTGTACATAGATGATTCCTGGAAGACATTTCCCAGAGAAAACTGACAGCAAAGTCAAGTCATTCATTTCACCCATTGATTTCTTGGTAAAGTACATGTCTCTAGGCAGAGGCTCTCTTGAGATAAGAAGCCCTTGAAATACATATGACCTGTCTCTGTGTGTGTGTGTGTGTGTGTGTGTGTGTGTGTGTGCACATATGCAAGAAAAACAGCCTAAGCCCTTCCTAAACAGGGGTAAATGTGGCTATTTGAAATGGAATTGCCAAAACCTCTGTACCAGAACCTTCCGTCTTGCAAGAGAAGGAAATTAACTAAACCCTGATTGTAGTTTCCCAATTCCAAAACTCCCCAAAACCCCCCTGTGAGAGAGAGCCTGGACCCAGCCTCATTTAGATCCTTTAACTGGCAAAAAGTGGTTCTCACTCCTCCTCTTCCCAGCCCCTGAGGTTATATTTCTTTCAGCTCCCTCATTGCTTTTGAAAATCCTGTAATACTCCTTTTATTCTTCCTGTGATGAGCATCTTGTTTTTGTCAAAAAGATAATGTGCTGGCATTTCCTATCTTTACATTGATCCTCTAAGCAAGTGAAGTACAGAGGACCATGCCAGAAGAGGGAGCATAATTAATACCTTTGTGATTCTGTCCAAGTTCCTAAGAAATGATTAGAACTCAGTTATCCTGGTGTTTGCCAGTTGAGATCAAGCCAACATCTGTACTTGTCTTTCTTTCCCAGAGGGCATGACAAGGAAAGAGAAAGAGAAGAGTTCAAAGAATTAAAAACAGAGTTTTCATTAGGATAACATTTGGGGTCAGGTAAACATCTCTTTCGAGTTTCATTGAAAAATTCCAGGAGGCCAAGGGCAAAAATCTCTGGAAGACTTGTTTCAAGGAGTGTAGCTCAGTGGAAAGTTCACTTTTAAAAAAATTTAAGAAAACTGAATATGATATTGCTTAGGGGAGTCTAAAAAAAAAAAAGCTCAAAGGACATCAGAAAAACAAAATTGTCTTTTTCTCGTTTAGAAAGTGTGGAAGGCCTGGGAAAGATTTTCTCCAGTGACTAGGAAATATTTCTTCATTGTATGTAAGCTACTCTCCTTTTAGGAGCTGTGGAGTCATTTCTTAAGGCTGTGAGCTTGAGTCTTGAATGGACTCAGCTTGGGGAGAGTGCAGTATGACTGTCCGTAGTGAGCCAGGCAAATGGACCCGTGTACGGCAGATAGCCTAGTTCTTGGTCGTTCACTTTTGTGTTGTTCCAGTTGCCAGTTTCAGCGTTTAAATGGCACCTTTTATGTGAGTTGAGCTCTTATTTAACTTAAAAAAAATGTTGAGAGAAACAGCCCCCTTTGACTCTGAAGGAAATAAAATCACAAGTCAAGATACCAATGGGAGATTGTGGAATTTCTGTCCTGGAGATCCTCAGAAGTAGAACATAAAAATTAGGTCACTTAAGTAAGTCTGCTTGGAGGCTGACCAAGATGGCCTTTTGCAGTGTTCCAAGTTTATGAAACAACTCATGTTGATATTCATATACAGTTAGGGCATCAGGACGATCAGTCCTTTGTTACCTTATCCTGTGACTTCTTAAAATGTTTTGACTTCCCTGTGCCTGGAAGGCCTGCGTCTCTCATTTGCACTGTATGATATTGTTGCTTGTGGAAATTTAGGAATGAGTGGGAGGGAGGAAGTAAGAGGGGTTATCCTTTTAGAAAACATTTGATCTTTTCAGAGGATGGCACTGAGAGGACACTTGGCATAGACAGAGCTGACTGGACTGAACCTATTAACAAAATCTCTAAAGAACTGCACTTAGCTTGTGGGTACTTCCTGTAAAGAACTATTGCATTGCCAATGATCAAGTTTGCTGGCTTTAAATGATCTATAAAATGCTAAAAGATTGCTTGGTTCAATGTCACTGGAAGCTATTTCACTTTAAAAAGTTAAGAAGACTGTTGGTATCTATATAACAAATCTGCCTATGTACCCCTGAACCTAAAGTAAAAGTTAAGAAACAAACAAACAAAAAAAGATTGTCAGAAGATTTTAAATTCATCTGGCTCCAGTGGGAGCCTAGAATGACAAAGAATTGAAAAGTCAAAGAAAAGGTTATTAGTGGAATGTCAAACCACAGTGAACATAGTTCTTGGTGACTTGTTGAATTTCCAGTGTCCCTGGGGCCTTCTCTTCTCCTGCAAATTGTATCCAGTTCAGACGCCTACAGCATAGTGGCAAACCAGTTTCCCTCCCTCCACTGCCCTTAAAGAGACACAGCTCATGGTTCATGAGCACCTGTGGGGAGGACTTGTTTTTTTAGGAATGGGAGAAATTTAAGGCTGATAAAGGTGCTCAGCGGACAGGAGAGCAAAAGGTAAAATTGGGAGACTTACCTTTACGTATTTATTTACTTTTTCGTGGGTAATTTATGAAGACTCTAATTTCTTTCATTCATTCTTTTTTGAGTAAAAATTTATCTTTTTTTTTTTTTTGAGATGGAGTCTCGCTCTGTTGCCCAGGCTGGAGTGCAGTGGCGCGATCTCGGCTCACTGCAAGCTCCGCCTCCCGGGCTCACGCCATTCTCCTGCCTCAGCCTCCGGAGTAGCTGGGACTACAGGCACCCACCACCACGCCCGGAGAATTTTTTGTTTTTTTAGTGGAGACGGGGTTTCACCGTGTTAGCCAGGATGGTCTCGATATCCTGACCTCGTGATCCACCCGCCTCGGCCTCCCAAAGTGCTGGGATTACAGGCGTGAGCCACTGCGCCCGGCCAGATTTATCTTACATATTTTGGCTGGGCACAGTGGCTCATCCCTGTAAGATTGCACCAGGCCACTGCGCTCCAGCATAGGTGACAGAGCAAGACCCTGTCTCCAAAAAGAAAGTTTTACAAATTTAAATTAGAAGATTAAATGACCTCTGCGACTCTACTTCTTGAAATTGTCCAGTCTGTGCAGGATGAAGACTTTTCCAGAGACCTAGAAACTAAATTACACTATCTTCCCTTTGTTTTTCTTCTCTTTGTCTTTTGTAGTGTGTGTGTTATTTTCCTGGTCAGGGAAAAATAAAGGAGAGAACTCTTAAGCTATAACATTTTGTTTTAGTGCTGTTTTCTTTGCTTGTTCCATTTTAAAAAGACACATTCATTAAAATAAAACCTATGTTTTTAGTTATTTCTCTCTTTTGACATTTTGTGGAGTTAGTTTTGCCATGTGGGTTTTTCTTTTTTTCTTTTTTTGAGATGGAGTCTCGCTCTGTCACCAGGCTGGAGTGCAGTGGCGCAATCTTGGCTCACTGCAACCTCCGCCTCCCAGGTTCAAGTGATTCTCCTGCCTCAGCCTCCCGAGTAGCTGGGACTACAGGTGCGTGCCACCACGCCCGGCTAATTTTTTTGTATTTTTAGTAGAGACGGGGTTTCACCATATTAGCCAGGATGGTCTCGATCTCCTGACCTTGTGATCCACGCACCTCGGCCTCCCAAAGTGCTGGGATTACATGGGAGGGCCACTGTGCCTGGCCCTCCATGTGGTGGTTTTCAAGGTGTTTGTTTATTTACAGCAAAACCCTTTCTTTCAAATGAAATCTTGTGTTTAACCCTAATATAGGAAACAGATCAAGAGCTGCTGCCCTGTGGGGGTTGCCTGCAGCCTCCTTCTTGCCACGTGGTCCCTGAGGCACAGCTGAGCAGCCTGTTTTATAATCCACTGGCAAGAACACAGGATTAGGAAGCAGTGTCTGTTTAGCGGTCCCTAGCTCTGCCACCAAGACCTTTGGTCACTTTACGTCTCTCGATTCTTTTATGAAATGATGACTTTGGGCCAGAGTCTCTCTGAGGTCCTTCCTGCTCTGACAGCCAGCAGTTCTGAGTCACACAGAGAGACTGAGGTGGTGAGGTGTTTGGTGACGCTCAGCAAGAACAGGTCTGGAGAGAGGAAGAATCACCCTGCTTTAGCATGAATAGCCTTCACTTCATGTAAGCGAAAGCTCAGGAACCAAAACATGCATCAGCAGAATTGCCTCTGAGGACAGTGTTTTCTGAAGGTTTCAGCGAGCCATCTGCAACCTGTTAGCACAGAAAAATCTTGTGGGGAAAAGGACTTCAATCAATTGTAGGTGGTTGTTTACCACTGATTGTTGAATTTGCTGATCAGCAGTGGTTTGGTTAAAACCGTTTTCCCTTACTAGACAAAATTATGTCCCATCACTTTTTTGTTGTTCTTAGTTGGGAAATGCATCTGAGACATAGTTCAAGAATCTGCAGCCAATTAACACATTTGGTTAGAGAATGGAGATGGTGAGGCCAGGGTCAGGGTTCAGTTGGTATGTGGGCCAGTTAGCTGAGCTGGGCCCTCTGGCCAGACTGTACTTTTAACCCCAACCAACTGGCTCTCACATGTGTGCCATGGGTCACAGGGAAGGGTTAGAGGGCATGGAAGGATATCCCAGCTCAGCCTCTCCTCCTGGGGCCAAGCTGGGCCTTTGCCCTGCTGCTGGAGGGCTGGGCCTGGTGTACAGAGGGCACCCTCCCCACGTCTTTAACAGCTAAAGGGAAATGTGAAATACTCCCCACGGACCAGTATCTTCACGCCCACTGTTAGTGGGCCTCTTCAGTCTGAAGACAAAACTTCCTCCTCTAAGTTAGAACAGACATTATGTAAATAATGCTTCATAGTTCTCATCGTGAGCGTACTCTCCTCCTCTTTGGGAATTGGGAGAAGAGCTGGCATTAAAAGAGAAATTTTCTTCTGTTTTGGGTATTTGCTTCTATTGGATTTAGTTACAATTTGTTTCCTATAAAATATAGGAAACACAAGTAGTTTGAAGTAAACGATCTTAGTTAGGCACTTTTGATGAGACAAGTGTTCATTCCTATTATACAAAATTCAAACATTACAGAATTCTAAAACTTACACACTTCTTAATCTATGCACAAACCTACCCCCATGGTAGCCATCAAGATAATCTTGAATCAATTTAAAAATGGACATAAAAATTAGAATTTTAAAACTTGTGATTTATTTTTCCCCCAGAATTATTTGGGTCCAGGGCAATGGCTTCCAAAGTGTTTGTTTCAACAGTGAGTGCTTTCTTCAAAATTTTAAGTCAAATTCTAACATGGGGGGAAAAAAGATGAAAGCAGAGACAGGCTGTGCAGGAGCTCTGCTCACTTCCTCCTCTGCCTAACCAGTGAAACTTACAGGTCCCTCTGTTGAGAGACCCCCTCTGCAGAGATACCTCCAACATGCCCTTCCCTGCTGTTTCAGCGGTTGAGTGTGTTGGCCTCAACTTCCCTGACCAACTCTTCTAAGTGGGGCAGCTGTAGTGACGCTTGTTTCCCTGCCATTCACTTGGGGTGGTTATTTTTAGCTAAGCTATAGTTAGTTGCAAACTTAAAAGCTAACCACCTAAGCCAACCAGTATTTTTTCCTATCTTAAAATTGGACCTTTACATTTAAGTCATCCTTTCAGTTTAGCTCAAATGCCACATTTGTCACTACTTTTTAGTCTGTGCCAAGAAGTTTTTCTCCTCATGGATTGGGTTTAAGGCTGTCACGATAGTGCTTGCACCCACCATGGTAGACAATTCTGTTCATGGATCTTGTAGAAATGAGTTTTTTCCTTGTACTCCCCGTTCCAGGAAATTGAGTTCCTGCCTGTTTTCTCTTCCCCACTAGATAATGAGAAGCAATGCAGTGTTATTTCACACTGTAGGTCTTGGGTGCCCAAGCCTTTTTGGGACCCAAGCTGCACAGCAGGACCAGGCGAGCGAGCATTACGGCCTGAGCTCCACCTTCTGTCAGCTCAGCAGCAGCATTAGATTCTCATAGGAGCACAAACCCTATTGTGAACCGTGCGTGCGAGGAATCTAAGTTGTATGCTCCTTATGAGAATCTAATGCCTGATGATCTAAGGTGGAACAGTTTCATCCCGAAACCATCTCTCCCTTACCCATTGCCCACAGAAAAATTGTATTCCAGGAAACAGGTCCCTGGTGGCAAAAAGGTTGGGGACTGCTGCTGTAGATAATGCAGGATTATCTATTAAACTCCGTATCTGTTAAATAGTATATCTGTTAAACTCTGAACAACTCTTGAGTAACTCCTAGCCCTAAAAAAGAAAAACACAGCCTGGTGTAAATGTTCAATTTTTAGGTCCATGCTGTACCCAAATACTTGTCATTTGGCACTGAAAGTGGTCTTTCACAGTCTTACAATGTCCTCATATATTTAGTTAGTATATATATATGTGTGTGTATATATATATATGTGTGTGTATATATATATATACACACATATATATACACATATATATACACATGTATATACACATACATATATATACACATACATACATATATATATATGTATATAAAATGTACTTTGTAGAATTATTTGGCTAAGCTTTGAAGAGATAGCTCAGATATTTCACATGCCCTAACTCTTTTAATACATACATACCTCTGAGGTAGATGCTATTTTTTCTTTTTACTGTATAGTAGCCAGCTCTTTCCTTAATTACTTCACATGCTTTTCTGGGGGTAATCTCACTCTTTCATATGACTTCAGTCATAGGAAACTTCATAGGTGACTTCAGTCACCTCCTATATGTTTGCAGTTTTCCAAACTATATTGCCTGTGCTACTGGAATCCCCCCTACCTGGTTGCCCAGCTAGGTACTTCAAACCTTAAAAGCTTCAACAGAGCAAAATGTCCTCCCTATCTCGTCTGATCTCCTTTCCCCCCAGCATTTGGTCAAGACATTATCATCTGCCCACGCGTGTATTCATCAACTGATATTTACTGAGAGAGTGCGTTATTTCTCAGGCACTATTACTGGTGTTAGGGATCTACATATCACAGACCAAAACTGATTAAAAGCCTTGTCTGCAGGGAGCTTACATCCTAGTGGATAGACAACTAACTTAAAAATTCAGATCTATTTCTGTACTTACCTAGCTAGACATTTCTGTCTCTGTATATCCACCTTATCCATCCATATGATGGGCTCCAGGCAGTGGTGAGAGCTGTGGACAGGCAGTGCTGGAGGCACAGAGGGGTGTGTTGCACTTTTAGCAAGGGTGGTCAGGGAAGGAGATAACATTTGCATGGAGATTTGAATGAAGCAAGGGATGAGTATGAATATCTGTGATTTGGGGGGGCCTGCCTCACCCTCTGTTAGTCCTTCCCAGTCAAGGACTGTTTTGGTCATTTTTGGATGTCACCCCAAGCCACAGTTTGTAAATGTGAGCCATGAGATGAGTGGATGGACTTGAAACAGGGAGTTAGACAAGCGAATAATTATTAGTATGGTGGATGTGACCCCTACCACTCTCTGAGCTGCGTGAGCTCAGAGAAGGGTGGCACGGAGAGGGCAGAGGCGAGGGTGGGTTCAGAGAAGGCTGCGTGGAAGATGACACTGAAGTTGGGTCTTGAGCAGAGTTTCATGCATGGAGTTGGGAAGGATATAGAGGCAAAATAGTTACAGAGGCAGATGCCCTGGGCCTCAAATCTGAGGTTTGCAGAATGCAGCATCGAGTTCAGGGTCCACACAGGCCAAAAAAAGGAGAGGAGCACAGCACCATGACCTGTGATGGGCAGTGTGCAGCAAACTCCAGGACAGATGAGCTGGGGGTGGGTGTGTTTTAAGAGGACAATTTCCATTTACCTGATTTTGAGTGCTGCCTTTGGAAAAGGAAAGATGCGAGAAGGAACCGGAGGCTTTTCCACCTTCTCTTTCCAGATGCCTCCATGAGAGTGTTCCTTCCCTACATCTCCCTTACTCTGTGTCTTGTCTTCTAGTTTTAATCTTGGCATCTGCTTTTCAGAAACATTGGTCTGTTATTACTTAAAGCTTATGCCTAGATTTGGAATGCAGACCACTAAGAACTGTCAGGCACAGAAAGCGCTTGTCAGCACTTACAGCCCAAGTTATTCACTGCGGCCACCTGTTTGCCTGGCCTATTCCCCAAGTGTGCTGCACTCACCTGTCTGCCTGTAATGCCCTGTGTCTGTGGATCTTAAATAACCTATTCTGGAACAAGTAGGATATTTGATGAGGTTTGCACATTGCTCGTGCTCAACACTATTCACAGTAGTTTCTGTCTTGCAAAATGATCATACGTATATATATATATACGTATATATATATATACTATATATATACGTATATATATATTCAAGGTTAAAAGCAAGACAGTTGAGTAATTGTCATCTGGAGGAGGGTTTCTCAGAATTGCCTATACACATTTGCTCCCCTGTCACTCTCCTTCATCACTCATAGTCTAGGGCTACCCTACAATAGAAGGAGTTCACAGAGGTGGGTCCAGACACTGGTGTTTTGGAAACACACCCACTGGAGGATCCCCCCTGCCTTGGACAGCATCACTGCTACTCTGTGCTCCATTGCTGCCTGCGATTCCTCCTTGCCTCCTGCGCTTTCTTCTCATGCCGGAATTCCTGCTGTCATGTTTGCCTGATGATTTTCTCCACTCTCGTTAACCCAGTATTTCTTTCTTCTACATAGCCTGACTTTTCTAACTACTATCTGTAGGGAATGTTCATAGGGCAATGATCCTTTTGTTTATTCAGTAAACATTTATGAATTGTCTACTCTATGTCATGCCCTATGTTGAGTGCAAGAGATATTGAGAGGAGTAAGCTAGAATTAGTTTTGTTCTCAAGGACCTTGTTGTCCCATAGATTTATAACTAAATATTGGGGAAGAGGTAAGAATTATGTGAATGAACATGGTCCCAGCAGTGTGGGAATAACAATAGCAGTGTTTTGATATGCACACCTGGCATGTTAAAAAGCAGTATAATTGAATATGACTTGTGGCTGGCACGTTATAGGCTATTCTGTTGTACCTAGATATTTAAAAACATACTCTCTAACAGCTTTACGTTGATGGGATAATGTTTGAATCAAGGAGTTTCTCCTTCCTTAAGAGAAGGAATTTTTCCTGATTAGCAACGTTTGGCTTAGAGTCCGCGAGGTCTTTGGAAACTTGAACCTCAGTCTTTCACCACTGTGGTTGAGTGGCAGGGCCGGCGTTGTTGGGGTTCAGGTTCCCAGCGTCTCACATGCGTTTAACACAGTCCAGCCTTTGGCAAGCTGCCACTTTCTGTGCTTGGTAGACGGTTCATGAAACTCGACACTCTCATGTCTTTCCTTGAAAATCTTGCAAGGTTCAGCAATCCTTCAATGGCTGACCCAGTTCTGTTAAACTCCTGTTGTCAGACACAATTGTGAGGTAGTCCTGGACCTGTTGTCAGAGAATGCATTTCAGACTTTAAAAAAAAAGTTACACCAGCCTAGTTCTGGAGCAACGATTAATGCTTTGGCTGCAGAAATGGGGAGTGCTCTTTGTGCATAGTATGTGGCCACAGACTCCCCTTAAAATGTGGACAGACTTCCTCGAGCATTTGTTGTATCAGTAGAGCACAGTAAAGTAGGATTTGGACAATTATTCCTTTAGTTGACTCATGTAAATAAAGCCTTAGAGAGTGTGTCTACTGAAAATATAATGAGCTCTTCCTAGTCAGGTAGAAGGGATGGTTTTGTGAAAGTAGCAGAGCTCTTACTGTATTTTTGTTTTAGCTAATCTTGCTTTGGTATTTGCCTCGGTGCTTCAAGTCTTTGGGGCCCATCCTTGCCCCTGTTCTTAATATGAGGAGATAATACTTAATAAGAATGATGGTTGCAGGCATCTTACGTTGGTTGTTGCAGTATTGCCTAGCTGGAAATACACTGGCCTGCCTGGGGGGTCAGAAGTCCTAGATTGAAGGCCGTATTCTGTCATTTACTAATGGTGTGATTTAGCTTAAGTGGCTCAAATTCTTGGTTTATAAAATGGGGATAGTAAAGATGTCTCTCCCCACCCACACTCCGGCCCCCTTTTAGTAATAGTGCCTATAAAATGAGAAAATGAATTGCAGAGTGTCCTGTGATACACAGTGCTCTGCCATGAAGCTCCCATTCTTGCTGTGGATGGGCATAGACCTCAGGTCTCAGGGAAGGATTGTGAGAGGACAGTTGCTGAGACTTTCCCCCTCTGTGGCCTCTGTGATCCTGACTTACTGTTTCTTAACCCACCCCAGAGGCAACCTGGACCACCTCGGGTCAACTCTGTTTATTACACAGTTCTTTCTTCATTCAGCTGAAATTCACCCCTGTCATTTCCAAGGTAATTTTCACTCCTTGGTTCTAGTTTTACAGAGTAACATGAAACAATTCAAATCAGTGCACTTCAAGTCTTAGCAATCTGTAACTGATAAAAGGGGTCTTACAACTCTGCTTCCTGTTTTTGGCAATTCAATTCAATAAATAAGTGCTGGTGCCCATCACGTGGGGGCCGTGTTCTCTGTGTGGCACTAAAGGCAGCTATTGTTTCTCCTGACATCCGGAAGTGTAACAGAAGGGCATGCAGCCCAAATGGAGATGAATGGGAAGCGAAGACTTTTTAACTCCTTAATGTGCAAAAACACGGTAGTTTTAATTTTATTTACAATGTTTGTTGGAATAAACAGTGCCTACTTTGATTGCACTGTAAGTGGCCAAGCAGATTAATAATATACATATATACAGATAAAGACCAATATTTACATGAACCCATGTGTTTAACAACCAGTAAGTGAATAAAAACCCATATTTGCATTTAGGAAAATGGAAAAAAGGTGACCTGGCAGCGTGAGAATACCATTGTATGTGCTCTAATTGATGTTCTTGTCATCAGCACATCCCATGAGAGGATCCTGAAGTGTCTTCTCAGTGATTAGAGGAAACACACTCTTTACACTGAGTTTTACACGTTGATTATAGTATCCAAGACAAAAATGAACAAATGAAAAAGCAGTACAGCCTTAGCAGTAGGTGCCCCTAGCAGTTCTTGACCCCTGTTACTGACTAGCTGTGTGCCTTTGAGGAAGCCAGCCCTTATTCCTCAGGAATTTGTTTCCCTCATAGTTAAAATGCGGCCAAAATTTTCTCTCCTGCTTGCATTATATAGTTGTTAGGATAAAATGTGATCATGTATACGGATTTGAATATTAACACCACTTCTTGCAAGCCATGTAACTTTTGGTAAGGTTAAGTTTCTTTTTGCCTGCTTCCTCATCCTTAAAATGGGATAATACTGGTAGCTACCTCAGGGGTTTTGTGAAAGCAAATGAGTTAATTCACAAAAATTGTTTTTCAGAAACATTAGTCTCTTATTACTTCATAAACTTTAAGTAGTAACAGACCAATGTTTCTAAAAAACAGATGCCAAGATGAAAACTAGAAATAAAGACACTGTTCTAATACATAGAACAATGCCTGACAGTCCTGATATATTAACTTTTTAGGTGAATGTTTGAAGGTTCTGTGACTTAGTATATTTTTAGTATACTGTATTTTCGAAATAGCATATTTAAAAAAAAAATGAAAATCACACCCTGTAAACTAACCAAACCCAGAACAGAACTGGCATGTTTTTATCTTCCTGACTACTCTGGTGGTTTCACAAGATATTACTTCTTTGTCAGAAAAGCTTAATCATGATACTAAGAACCTATTCCTAAATGACTGTTATTTTCAAAGCTTTGGGTCAAATTAATTGATTCTAGAAAATGCTTTTTACTGTCAGTGTGAATTTGGAAAGCTTTAGGTGGGAACTGGGATACAATTCTGCCTTTTCCGTTACTGTTAGGGTCTTGACTGTCTTAACTGTCCAGAGCTTTGCTTGGTTTATATGTAAAAAAAGGAGATTTTAAAAAATGTTATCTTTGAATTTTGAACAGTACCAAGGTTGAAGTGACTCATTTTGTTGTGACTCATTTAGCTTTTAGAAATAAGGAAATGTTGATCAAGAACTCCATTTATAACAGACCCATTCATAATAATCCTAGTGGCATATTTCGCAGAAGCCATTTCCAGATAAAAATACTGATCATGACTTCCCCTAAAGGGTAAAATAAAATTGTGGGAAATGTTTAGAATTTAGCAAGTAATTAAGTTAACAAAGAACCATTTTTAAAAAGTCATCGTTTCGCCGGGCGCAGTGGCTCACGCCTGTAATCCCAGCACTTTGGGAGGCCGGGGCGGGTGGATCACTTGAGGTCAGGAGTTCAAGACCAGCCTGGCCAACATGCTGAAACCCTGTCTCTACTAAAAATACAAAAATTAGCTGGAGGTGGTGGCACATGCCTGTAATCCCAGCTACTCAGGAGGCTGAGGCAAGAGAATCGCCCAGGAGGTGGAGGTTGCAGTGAGCCAAGATCGTGCCATTGTACTTCAGCCTGGGTGACAGAGGGAGACTCTGTCTCAAAAAAAAAAAAGTCTTAGTTTCCTTAACTGTTATAACAAAGGACTTTATGAATTCAGAATTCTTTTGTATATTTTTATTAAAGTGAAACCCAATGACTGTTGTCCAGTATCTTCAAGTTTATTACTAAACTAAAATGACGTTTTTAGATAGTGGCCTTTGTGCCACTGTTGGCTTTTCAACCTCAGGTACACTTTGGATTAACACTGGTGCTGCTGATATTAAGCTACTTACCTGCATATAAGTGTGGACATTCGTAGCTTGATATTACAGATTTTGATTGTTAGCCCATGGCTGTATTTGAAAATTTGATTATAGAAAATAAGCATGTGGACTTCTTGTTTTCTTGCTTATCAGTGGAATTGAGGCTGTTGAATATTTTCTGTTTAATTTACCTTATGTGGAATTACATATTTATACACCCCAATTACATTTTTAATATCTCATGAACTCAAAATGCTTTTTTTCTAAATATTTACTCGTATACAGTGTTACCTTATAGTCCTAAATAACATAAGCCTAATCATTTTTAAATGAAGAAATTACTTTTAAATGTGCAAAAAGAAAAAGCTAACTGGCTAGTCATCTGCTAGCCAATTTCTTTTAGAGTTTGCATTAAGGAATATGTGGTTTCTATCAGGGGAGGTGATGAATAGGCTTTGTAGAGTGGAAGAGATTCTTTTAAGAGCAAGATTATCTGATAGGAGGAAAAAGGCGTGTTTGGAAACCCTGGATCCTATGGTATTGAGGAAGGTTCTCTACTTCTTTTAACATCAGTTTCCCCATCTGTTAATGGGTATCTTTGTCTAGAAAGGTTGTAATATATTCCTATAACAGTCCCAGGTGCATGACAGATTTTCAACAAATGGTAATTGTGACATTTTATGTTAGAAATTTGTTCCATTTATGTTTAATATTTCAAAGCAATGCTGAAGAGATATTTGAGGATTCTCTGTTTTGTGAATGTATTAGTAGGCTTATAATTTTCTAAAGGTTCCCTAAAGACTTTGAGACCACCAAAAGGAATCCTTGATTTCTAAATAAACTAATCATTAATAAGTTCTTACTTTTCAACTTTTCTTTTTACTATGTTAGGGTTTTTCTAAAAATGGCCCTTTTTCCACTTTCCCAGTCTTGACATCTTTGTGAATTTAGCTTTAGAACATTAACCAGCGTAACTGAAAAGGATATAAAGTGCTGCTAGGATAGTTTTTTCAGTCACAATTTTGTATTTTATTTCTTAATTTGTTTCTGGATTTTTGAGCCTTTTTATGGTCATTCATAAAGTGTCCTCCCGGACACAAGTTGTATTTTTAAGTTGGTCCCCTTGTGAGGGGAAAGGAAACGATGTAATTAGGTACATGTTCACAAGCTGGACATTCCCCCCTGGCCTTTTACTTTTTCTGGTTCATCAGTGGTTTGGACCCTGTGTTCGTGTGTCGGTGTTCCTGGGGGGAGTGGCCGTGTTCTAATGCAAGTTGAGCTGTGTGCTGCCTGGGGACCAATATTTGAATCGTCACATATTTTAATGAGATATAAAATTGCATGCTAAGTCTTCTTTGTGTGTATGTGTTTTTAAAATCTAACTCTTTGTTCAATTTGTTTTTCCAGGTGGCATTTTTCTGAAGTTGTTCATTAAGACTTCCCAGCATTCCTACAGATATAAATAGGTAAGTAAATGAAATCACATGACCTTATTGTTGGTGATTATTTGGAAACAATTTTCCAGCGAATGGCAACTTCTTGAAAAAGATGCAGTGTTTCAAACTTTTGAACCCTGTGTGGTCAGCACTAATTTTTTAAAGGCTAGAAACATCACTTGGATCAGCATACATAAATGTTATAAACAACCCTGTGAAGTTTCTTAAATGATATTGAATTTAATGCTATAATTGCCACACTTCAATTCTGACATGCTTTGTTTGTCACCATTCATACCCAAGTTTCAGAGCTCTTTATAATAGGCATAGCTGAATTTGTCTTTCCTTTCGAGCTTCTCTGTGGACCATTTCATCATTTTTATCATTTCTCTCAGAGAAAGTAGAGATAGCCGATTAAAAATACCCAATTTTATTACTCAGTGATAGCTCATATGGAAGGCTTGTGGGAATAAAAGTTAAAAACAGTTGACTAATAGGTGATTTATGATTAATTCTACAGGTTCTAATTTATAAAGGTCACTTTTTGAAAATATTAGTGACGATAATAGAGGTTGAGTAATCTTGTACAGTACACATTTAAGAAAATCAAGGCAGTACATAGTCAAATAATTGTCCCAAAAGACTTTGATCCAGCCCTGCTTCTCCCAAGGGAGAAGCCTATTCAGCCAGGTCCTCTCAGGTCTTATTATAAACTGGAGGTTCGGCTCAGCCCAAAGAAGCCAGCTCAAGGTATGGATTTGGGACTGACTGACACCCTTTCCAGGAGGGTCTGCCATGTTGAAGGGATTTGCACACAGCATTTTCACAGATACCGTCTCATTTGTAGAAAAGTCTTTTAGCTTGCAGATTCTAGGGAAGGAAAAATTGCTCTTATGTTATGAAATGAACTGGTGACTCCTCAAATGTTAAGTTGTTCTAACAACTTCTACTGCTTAGGTTAGGAAGCTTGAGGTTTTTGTTGTTGTTGTTAAACAGGAATTGTAAATACTTGTGTGTTACGAAATTATTTGAGCAGAATTCCTTCTCATAGGAATGCCAGGGCTGACCTGAGACAGATGGTGTCCTGAGCAGGCTAATCATTGGCACCTTATCAAACTGATAATCTTTTTTTTTTTTTTTTTGAAGTGGAGTCTGGCTCTATCACCCAGGCTGGAGTGCAGTGGTGTGATCTCAGCTCACTGTAACCTCCACCTCCTGGGTTCAAGCGATTCTCCTGGCTCAGCCTCCTGAGTAGAGTAACTGGGACTACAGACATGCACAACTACACCTGGCTAATTTTTGTATTTTTAGTAGAGACGGGGTTTCACCATGTTGGCCAGGCTGGTCTTGAACTCCTGACCTCAAGTGCTCTGCCCACCTCAGCCTCCCAAAGTGCTAGGATTACAGGCGTGAGTCACCATGGTCGGCCCAAACTGATAATCTTTATCTACTCCGTATTTATTTAGTGGAGGTGGGAGAAATTAATTTTCTATTAATAAAGATTATTAATAAAAATATATACCTTTGCCTGTATGTTGAAATTAAAGAACTTATTACATGTGATTTTCTGAACCAGTTGCTCATAAACCTGTTTAAAGTTTGGCTAATAGTACTGCCATGTGCTGTTCAGATGCAAAATTTCAGATGCTTGTCAGCTAGATGACACTGGGGTTGATAGTGAGGTCTGGTTTGTGCTCATAGAGTTCTACAACTGTAGATATTCTCATTGGAGGCAGGCCTGTGCCGGGGAGGGGCATTTATTTCTACTCCCAGGCACTGTCTGCCTGAGTGGAAGCAGGAGCGATTTTCATTTTACCTGTTATTTAAGGAGCTGCATGTGAAAACCCGAGTGAAGAGGCCCTACACTTCTCATGTGTTTCCCAGTAATGGCTTAGTCCCCCCTTTGTGGGTTGTCACCCTGGTCACTGCCAGACTGGCCTGTTTAATCCTGCTCTGGGGAAAAGCCAATTTCATTCTGCCAAAGCCTTCAGGATCCAGGTGGTGTGTTCCCTTGAAATGCCCCTCTCTGAATACTTAACCTAATAAAACCAGCCTTCTCTGTCTTTTTTTTAAAGTTGTGAATTCATCCCATAGAAATACAGTAACACTTTATCAAGTCAGACAAACACAAGAACAGACATTCTGAGTTAATTGTGTCTGAATTGTAGAGCAATCTGATCCTGCTTTCTTTCTTTTTTTTTTTTTTTTGAGGTGGAATCTCACTCTGTCACTCAGGCTGGAGTGCAGTGACATGATCTTGGCTCACTGCAGCCTCCGCCTCCCCAGTTCAAGTAGTTCTTCTGCCTCAGCCTCCCAAGTAGCTGGGATTACAGGCATCTGCCACCATGCCCAGCTAATTTTTGTATTTTTAGCAGAGACTGGGTTTCGCCATGTTGGTGATCTTGCTTTCTGTTATGTAGTCAGTCGCATTATATGAACTTGGTGGAAGGTTTGTTTTGAGCAAAGAGCACAGTTGCAGTCTGGGGTGAGCCTTCATGTCAGGTGGTCCTTGGCAGAGGTTCCGTCTCTGTGGACACAGACCTGGATTGGGACCCTGGCTGTGGTACCAGCAGGCTCTGTGACCTAGGGCACTTTTCATTACCATGTGGAATTCTCATCTCTACTCATGGATAATCCTTTCTTCCCAAAGTGGTGGGAAGATTGACCAACAAAAAGATGGGAATGCGTGTGATACGTAGTAAACAGCAGGTGTTCCTCTGCCTGTTCCCTGGCACTGGGTATCATGGAAAGAGCACAGCATGTGGAGTCTGAGGGGTTGCTCTGCCAGGCTCTTTCTGTGCCTCTTTGGGGGAATCTCTTACCACCTGTGCCTCACTGGCAAAGTGGCAAGGGTAATACCTGCTCAGTTTTGCCTGTCTATTCCATGAGAATTGTGAGAAGGCTTTGAAAAGTGTGAATTTAGGGTGGGTGATTAGCATAAGGGGCCTCTACTAGGCATGCTTTTTAATAATCCAGACTCTCTGGGATTAAATCCCTGCTCTAACCACTTATAATTAGGTGAATGTCCTCGAGCAAATGACTGTCACCCTGTCTCGTTCTCACCTATCTCACCTGATTTCTCTGAGAGTAAATGATGTACTGTTTGAAGACTGGGGCATACAGAACTAGCACCTAATGAATCTCAGTAAACATGCTCGTAAATTCACTAGGACATAAGAAGGGAAGCCGAGAATCAGACATGAAAAAATATCCACAGTTTTAAAACCCCTCATGTTTGAACCGTGTCTTGTTGAGCTGCGTTTTATCATGTTATGCAAGTTTGGACCAGGGAAGATGATCTGAATAAACTGAGGATGACCCCACAAGGTGGGACTCCCTCATGGGCGAACGCAGCACTGGGAGTTGGTCTTCCTGGGTTCTCTTCACAAGTGAACTGGGGACAGGTCTCTTCCCATCTAGGGGAATTCTAGCCGAAGGGGCAAAGTGAAAGCGCTATACCTGCACCATCCGATACGGTAGTCTCCCCGTTAGCATCTCCCCGTGTGGCTGCTGAGCACTTGACATATGACTAGTGCGACTGAGGTACTGAAGTTTTCTTTCTACTTACTTTAAAATTTAGAACTGAGAGTTAATTCAGTTTTTGGAAAATGTTTAAGTATGTTTGGAACAACTTTCATATGTGATTCTACTTTTTCTACTGTAAATTTTATAAATTTTAAACCAGATCAATTATTCCTGATGGAAATTTTGAGCCTTAATTGAAATGTGCAATGAGTGCAAAATACACAAGATTTTGAAGTGTTAAGTATTAGAAAGAAGAATGTACAAATTCCATTAATAATTTTTATGCTGATCACATGTCAAAATAATGTTTTAGATATTTTGAGTTATATGAAATTTATTAAAATTAGTTTATGCTTTTTAATGTTGCTACTAAAAATTTTAATTAATACACATGGCTTACAGTAATATTTTTATTGCACAGTGCTGTTCTAGAGTACCATAAAATTGGATAGTTTCTAATTTATCAAGTAAAATACTATTTTCCTTATTAGTTTTTGAAGATTATGAAAGTGGGTTTTTTCTTTTTTTAAGGTTTTGTTCATAGTCTGACAATTAACAGGTTTGAGAAATGTTTTAAATATTCAGAATTGGGAGGAAAAAAAGAAAAAATGCATAGCAAACAAGTTACGTAAGCCTTGTGTAATACAGCTTAAGGTCTGTTTTTACTTTCCTTGCAGTCCTTTGGCCTCCACTGCCTCATGAAGCTGTCAAGGGGAGCCCTCAGAGCCTTCCCCTCACAACCACTCCCTAGGATATGAAACCAGTGTTTTCAGCTAAATGATCCCCCTCCTTCATGATTGTTGACTTTGACATTTGTTGCAGGTGCCATGTTCCTGGTGTCACATACTGCTATGCCCCGGGAGATCAGTTTAGGAACAGTCATCTAGGACAAAATGACTTTTAATTACCCATGGTGATTCAGCACTGTCTTCTTACCATGGTACCAGAAATATGGAGATATATTGCCAAGGGCATGATTGCTGGCTAGATGCTTAGTTTTCGGCAGCAGTTGTAGGAAACATGAGAAGGTAATATAAGTAAGGTTATCAGTATGTTTGTTTCACATTGATGCCCTAGTGGCACTTATGTGCATTCTGAGAGGCAGTGGGTAGAGTGTTTGATTCAGAATCATACTTGTCTGGGTTTGAGGATAGGCCACATCCCTTATGAGGTGATGGTGGTGAGGATAGCTATTCTCTGTCATTCTGTTCCTCTGTAGTTGGTGCCAATCGACACTGGCCGCTTTTCTTGTTAAAATTCTTTGATTGTGTGTACTCAGTCTGTGATGCCTGTATTCTTTCGTGTAATAACCACAGCAAATACATCGCCATTGTTGTATTTTTCCAGACTGAGCAGATGGGTGGTACAGTTAAAAGCTCTGTCTAGGAATTAAGCAGGATTGATACTTCTATATTAAATAGAAACCATTATCAAATTTTTTGAAGAATCTTTAGCTGAAGAAAGGTGGCTTTTCCTTGCACAGTTTAATTGTTATGATACTGATCTTCTTAAATTCCAATATTAGAGTATAGGATACATTTATACCATCGATTTGGAAGCAGTCAATAGGTATAGGAAGCATTTATTAAGAGAAAGTGTAACAACCTTCTCCCTTTACTCGATGGTAAATTGGACCAAATATAGGGTCCTGGGAGGGGAAAAATGGTAAAGTAGAAATCGACAGTGATATTCAAGATTTAACAAAACAAATCAGAGTAATTAAATGCAGTGAAGACAAAATGGATGTAGTTCTTTTTGTCATTTTCTAATTTTGTTACTTGCATGTTGACAATGTATCTTTTTTCTGATGAGACTTCTAACTAGTCGTATCCCACAGAAGACTTCTGGGGCTTCTCTCCAGCAGGGGTATTCTCTTTCTATGAAAAGTTGCTTCCCTTGATGGACTATAAACTTCACAAGGGCAGGTGTGAGTTTTGTAGTATATCCTCGATGCCCAGTGCAATGTCTGACATTATAGACTATCCAGCACAGTGCCTGATACATATATTTGCTCAGTAAATGTTGGTCAAATTGAAGAGTGAATGGGGGCTTAACTATAACATCCACTTTGTAAGTATTTGGGAGTATGGCCACAAAATAATATAATTTGGGAAGCCACAAAATTTCTTTTAAGCCAAAAAGTAAAGTTGAACATTAAGAAGGCACCACTGGAGCAGCTGACCAGAGGCCAGGAAAGCAGATAGGAAGGCATCACTGGCAAGAAATGATGAGGACTAAAAGGGAAGTTTGGGAGAGTAGGGTGGGCAGGGCTGCAGCCGACTGATGAAACATAGCCTCATGGAGGCAGGTACCCAGGGAGTTAGCTTTGGACAGGAACAGGGCAGCTCTCTGTGGCACAGGAGGTGCACTGCCATAGGTAAGCTGAAAATACAGGGAATAGGCCTTAAGAGAATTCTTATGTTGTGGCTCAGTTCTTTTGAGCAGTGGGAAAAAAAGTCATCTGCTCTGGGGAGAGGAGGTGAAGCCTGGAGGTTTAAGAAGAATGCATGTTTTCCCTCGGTGGAAAAGATCTCTTCTCAGTGTTGATGTGACCGGAGTGCCCATGTTCCGGTAGATTCTGGCCTTCTGTCTGATGGATTATTGCACAAAGAATTCTGGTCCTCTATCCAATCAGATTAGTCCACAGGGATGTTTTGGATCTCCCGTAATAAATGTATAAGCCTGGCACAGACATGCACCTGTAATCCCAGTATTCAGGAGGCTGAGGTGGGAGGATTGCTTGAGCCCAGGAGTTTGAGACCAGCCTGGGCCACATAGCAAGACCTGTCTCTGAAAAGAAAAATGTATAGTTTTGTTGTGATCAGTGGAAGTCCATGAAAAAGGCTATATGCAAATCTCCCAGCAGGTAGATTTGGTTCCAGTTGGTACTCCTGTTGTCATTCCATCTGCATGAAGAATCCTCCTGATCCTTCCTGAGAAAGCTTTTTTATTTTAACAATCCAGTTTTAAAAATTGCTCCCAGAAAGGAAGGTGGTTTAATTGAACTCAGATGAATGAGCGTACACTGGGATCGTGTAGGGGTGTCCCCTTATCATCCCTGTATAACGAATGTATGCTTTTATATGAAGCTTGTTAACATAGGTAAATAATAGCTGTATATATTTTTATTTAGTATTCTTATTTAAAATAATTTCCCATGCCAAACCACAGCAAACCCTGCTTGCCACTAAAGAAGGCAATAGCGTATCCCTGAAGTTCTGAGATGCTGCCCCTGTAAATACCGTGTCTGCTCTTTGAAACGTCATCATGACTCCCTAACTGAAACTGACCTCTACTGAATTAAATATTGATTTAATCTCTATTCTCTTGGATTAATTCAATTCAAATTGCAATAAAGTTTTTGTAATCTTTGCTTTCTTTCATGCTCTGATGCTGGGTGGAACCGTTAGTCATACAATGGTCCTGTCCTTCTAGACACCCCTCGCACTGGCATCCCCAGAGCCACAGGCCAGCCACTTGGCACATGTTACAGAGCCAAGGTAGCAGGCAGCCTCTAAAAATGGGGTTGGCCTCATCTCTGTACCTTATGTTACCATCCCAGAACAATCTGTGAAAAGCTTTTAAGGCTATTTGGCAAGTCCGAATGAACTTGGAAACGTACCTGATTTTGATCCAAATTGTTCTATAACTGTGGCCAAGTGGTGTTAGGAGGTGGACACTTCCTGTTGTTAATTTACATCTCTTTCACGTAATGAAGGCAACTTTGACTCAGGGTCATGTTAGGAATCTAATGTGACTGGTCTGAAAGAGCTGGTCTCCTCTGGCTGCCTTGCCACCACATTCTGCCTCCTTGCTTCATTCTCAGACTACATCTGTGATTCAGTTGAAGTCCGATCCATTTTTCTCCTAGCATTCATGGAGTGACTGTGGATTGGAAAGATACAGTGCAGGGTGGTGGTCAAGTGCTTTCATGGACTTCTCATTCAAGGTCAGGGTCACCAGTTTTGGGCCATTATGTCCCACATCAGGTATATTAAGTCTATTCATCTGGAAACTGGCAGGCATTTTGGTAAAAGAATGGTTGCAGAGAAAGTCATTGGGGCAAACCCCTAGAAGCTATACCTTTCTTTCAGTGCTGTGGTATTCTGTGTTGTATGCTTGCATATTTACATCATCTGCACATCTTAAAGCAAAGGTGGTTTTTCACCTGCCCAAAGGTCACATTCAGTCTTCTCTGGTGACCTTGAACACTGGTATACTCTTGAAGCCAAGCAACAGCCCTTACATATATATTATTATGGCTGGACTAGGATTGCCAGACACATGTCTACATATGTAACAAACCTGCATGTTGTGCACATGTACCCTAGAACTTAAAGTATAAAAAAAAAAAAGGATTGCCAGAAGCTGTTTATGTGTGACCTGTCCCCCCAGTTATCAAAATCACCCAAGTTCATACAGAAATGTATAAGCATGCAGGGAAAAAATCAGTTCCCTTAGGGGTCACCACTGGTAATCTACTGTCCAAGTTCCTAAGAGTATCCCTTTTTGTACATTCTTTTCTTTACATAACTGAGTTCTTACTCTGTATATAACTTTATTTTGTTACTTTTTTGTTTAATATTATAAATATTTCCTCATGTCATTATAAGTTCCTTTTTTAAAGAAATCTTCAGTATTCTGTCTTATGATGTATATCTTAAACCATTTTAACCTGCTTTCTAATTTTGACATTTGAGTTCTGATTTTTTTAAACCATTAAATATCAACCTTGAATATCCTTTTATGGATATTATTATTTAGTTATAAAAAATATTTCCAGGAAAGTTGGGCCCTCATTGGCAGTATAAGAGAGCACCCATTGTATGTCCCCCTAATCAGGAATGAGTTATCAGTTCTTAAGTCTTTGCTAGTTTGTGAGGTGAGAATGGCATCTCATTTTGTTACTGTTTTTATTATTGACCACATCTAATGTTTTCCTAAATAGAATAGTTGTTTGAAGTTTGTCTTTTCTGAATTGTTTGTTCATGTTTGTCCTTTAGGTGAAACTCTCATTTATGATAATAGTGACATTTATGACCTTGGCCCATTTTCCTAGAAAAGTTTATTGGAATGCATAATTTTACATGTATTGTATGCTCTGTAATTGTTAACTCACACAAAAGTGTCCTACGTTTGAGGGGAAGTCAGGTGTGGAAGTATCAAAGAGAACACAGCTCAAAGTTCTCATGTGGCTTCTTGGTTGTGACTGCCCCCATCTGGAAAGTTAGCCCTGCCCAGTGGGTGCCCCTGTCCCACCTCACCCACACCTCATGAGCCCCTCATTGTCACCCTCATCCTGCCCTGGTACTTTTGATTCCACTCTGCCTGTTCAGGGCAGACAGGGTATAACTTCTATTGTCAGAAGAAGAGGAAGAAACAGAACATGTTGGCTCATGGACCCCATGAAGTGCTTCTCACCTGCTTCTCCTCTCCTGATGTTTCTTCTCAGTCTACCTGGCTGACTTCTTTTGCCTGCCCCTTCATCAAGGTCTCTGGGTCATCTTTGGTCCCCTTTTCTCCCTTACCTTTTCGCATCCTCTGGCTTTTCCAGCCCACTCTGTGGCTTCAGCTGCTACTTGCAGGCCAGACCCTCTCCTCCAGGTGCAGACCCATCCAGCCAGCTGCCTGTTGGGGTCTTCCCCTGGTGTCCCACTGACATTTTTAATTTAGCATGCCCCCAAGTGAAACTCTCCTTCTCTCTTGACTGGCCCTGTGGCCTGGGTCCCCACTTCCAGTAGAAAGACCTTTTACCCCATCTACCAGAAATACCTCTTTCCCCCTCTGCCCACATCCCATTGGTTTTATGAATTCCTGTCTGTCCTCCTTCCTCCTTCCATGTTCCTCCTTTCTTAGTCCAGGCTTCACTTCCAGAATGAGTGAATGTCTGTTTTCCCAATTAGAAATAGTCTTACACAATGGATAAACTAGATTTCTCTAAAACAAATGAAAGTTGATATTTTGCAGAGTATGCTACTTTAATGGAATCTATTTTAAATTCTCTGTATGGAGTGAATTCTCACCTATTAATTTACCATTTATAGAAATTAAGTTTTTACCTCCTTGCTTGGTTTAAATCAAAACATGCCTAGAATACTGTCTAATGTATAGTATTCATGTGAGTCCCTGGACAATACTTTCTAGTTAAAGGGCTTTGATTTGAAGACTTGATGTTTTCTTGGGACCTTAATTATTTCCATATTTCAATATGCATTTTTTTGGTTACATTGGAATTATCCTTTATTAGCTAGTTTTTCAGCTTACCTCCCAGGGAACTCAGGCAAGAAATACAAATATTTTCATAAGATTCTTTAAGGGAGTAAAATTAATATTTTTGAGATGAAAATATGATGATTTGTCTCCTAAGGATTCAAAGACTTTATTAATATAGCAAAATATCCTTCCCCAGGGGTAAGTTTTTTTAGGGCTTATTGGAAATATGGTGCTGGGAAGAATAAAAGGAAATTTAATACCATGGAAGTTGGAAATGGCCCCTGAAATCCAATCCGTTTTTAGAACACATATGACACACAATTCCCCAAGATCTGAGACAGCTCAGTTCACTTCCTGAGGCTGTCAGGCTCCTTATGGCTGTGACACGGAAAGTTTCCTCAGCACGAATAAGCCATGGCAGTGTTTTATTTGCTGAAAATCTTTCCTATACCTGATGATGGGGCTGCCCTTGGGTCTGCCTTCCCTTATCTGTATCAAGTGGCTTTAGTCTGGTACTTTTCTTAGGTTGGGTTCCCCAAAAGCAGATTCTGCAGCAGGGATTCAAGTGCAAGTAGGTGACTTGGGAGGTAAACCTGGAAAACGTTGTTAAGG
The DNA here is from genome assembly GCF_000001405.40 of Homo sapiens. Taxonomy (NCBI): domain Eukaryota; kingdom Metazoa; phylum Chordata; class Mammalia; order Primates; family Hominidae; genus Homo; species Homo sapiens. Next base: position 78,554,492 of record NC_000005.10, on the reverse strand, counting down.
GAATAGGGGTGTGAAATAGGAGAAGAGAGCCAATAAAGAGATGGCATTGCTGCTGTGGGCACCTGAGGCTCCATCTCTAGTGAATTCTATGAGACTTCCATCAGAATTATCCCAGCTGGGCCAGCAAGATCTGGGATATGTCCTCTCCAACTCCTCTCTGTCGTTAACTAACCACTTCTGAGACCAGCACTTAAGGGCCAACTCCTTGTGGGGCCAAAAGAGAGCCCTCAGGTGGAAGTCCTGGGTGCTCGCTGTAAGCGTGTGCAGGAACGGGGGCTTGAGGTGCAGCAGGCGCGCACAGTGTCTGCCCCTTGCACTGTCGTAAGTTTTCAACACTGATAGACAAGTCTGTCTAAGCGAGACACTTCAGTGGTCAGGAAGGAAGCACATGCAGAGATTTCCAGTGGAATGTACTTAAAATAGATCAGCGCCTGATCAATGCTGGAGTAAATGTAAAAGAGGTAAGAATTTGATACCACTGATCCTGAAATGGGGAACGCAGGGAGAATCTTGGAGAGGTGTCTAAATGTTGCTCCCCAAATGACATATTGTGCCTCAACAACAAACACTGACAAACCATTATAATCACAAATGGGACAACTGAATTGTCAGGGCTCCTTGTAGGGTTGAAATTTCCTCAGAGCTAATCAGCCTACAGAATTATAACTAGGTCCACAAGGAAATTACGGTATTTTTTCCATGTAGTCAGATCTGGAAGAAAACAAAAATCTGACGGAAGTCTGTGGCCAGCCAAGTCTGAGCAGAGCTACCTTCATTACTTGGGGAAATTCCTGGGGAAGGAAAGAAGGTGGAATCAGTGCTGTCAGTGGACCTGAAGAATCCTTCTGCGCTGTGTGTTTTCTATTCCTATTTTATTAATGCGGAATCCTTGTTGATACAACCTGGAAAATATATCCTAATACCCTATCAGCTCTTCCATTCTTGTCATGTAGTGGGTGAGGGGATATGATCTGGACACTACAGATATTTAATCACTTAGAGCTATTGTGTGATGCTAGAGCAACAGTACCAAAGTGTCCTTGTCCTTAAAGGCCCCCAACCCAGCCATGAGAGGACAAGCAGAGAAGTCACTGCTGCTGTGGTCAACCAATTATATTGGGGACAGAGGAGGGAACAATTCTGCCAGCTGGAGAAGGCATGCTGGAGCCATGACTTCTCAATTGGGCCTTGAAAATGACTAGCTTTTGCCAAGGGATGAAAGAGGGGAATGGCAGTCCTGGCAGAGACGAGTGTGGGCAAAGGCAAGGAGATGCGGAAGTGCAGAGTGTGGTCAGGAAGTAGTGAGTGGTTTGGGGTGACAGATATATGAGGTGGCGAAGTTGTGAAGGTAGGCAGGAGAGGTCACCTTGTGAAAGTTCTGAAAGCTTTGTCCCTGCTTTTACCATTTCTTCCACACGAATGTCCAAAGGCATGCACCATTTGTGGCGAACCCATTTCTGTTGACTCACATCCAGATTTCCACCAAACATCCTGCCATCGTAGGAACAACTTAGGTGCAGGATGATTAATGGAGCCTGCAGAACTTCTGTGGGGTTCCAAGTCCCAAAGGTGTGGCGTTTGGATAGCGAAACCAACAATTTGTGCTACATGGCTGGTTGGCGATTCTGTATAGCCCGTGACGCTTTGTTGAAGGAGAAATTGACACGCTTTATGCACTTGGACAATATTATACCTGAAATATTTATTGTTTATTTGCCATATATTTTCTATCATTCCAACAAGTCCCAAATGTGCTACATCCCCTGCATCTAGCTAGATTTAATAGTACACAGAATTGATCATGCTTATTTTTCCCTAATTCTTTCCCCCCTGCAGTAGTTCTCTCATAGCATTAGTGTGCTGGTGCCTTTGGCCGTGCCAGAGGAGCATACCTGCTCTTAGAATCCTTCAGTACATGGATTGAGAAAGGAAACAAAGGAATAAGTTGGCATCAGGTTTCCCCCTTATTACGTTAAGCAGCTAAATCCCTTTAGTTGTCTTTGTCTTGTAGAGGCCGGGGCCCTTGGCCCCCAAAGGTTAGCTAAAAATATCACTGACATGGCCAGGCGCGGTGGCTCACGCCTGCAATCCCAGCACTTTGGGAGGCCGAGGCAGGTGGATCACGAGGTCAGGAGATCGAGGCCATCCTGGTTAACACGGTGAAACCCTGTCTCTACTAAAAATACACAAAATTAGCCGGGCATGGTGGTGGGCACCTGTAGTCCCAGCTACTCAGGAGGCTGAGGCAGGAGAATGGCATGAACCTGGGAGGCGGAGCTTGCAGTGAACCAAGATCGCGCCACTGCACTCCAGCCTGGGCAACAGAGCGAGACTCTGTCTCAAAAAAAAAAAAAAAAATCACTGACATGAGGCAGATTGATTAATAGGAGGAAAGGCATACAAATTTATTAAACACGTATACACGAGTGCCTTCAGAATGAAGACCCAAAGATACAGGGGAAATTGCCCATTTTTGTGCATAGGTTCAACAGAGTATGAACAGGCATGTAGATATATGATTTGACAAGAGGGTATGATCTAATGCTAATAGCTTGAGTGGGGAAACCTAGCCTGTCTAGATTCCTCTTGGCCTCTCTGGGCATGCATTCCTTTCTTCTGGGTGTGGGGCAGTACCCTCTCTGCAATGAGGGTCTTAGGACCTACAGTCAAAAAAGGTAGATCAGAAAATTTCTTTAAGGCCAGTTTTTACATAGAATATTTTTAGGTTTCATGGCTGGCTTTTGGGAAAGGGGGTTCTGGCTTCTATAACCCACCTTGGGGAAGTGGGATTCTAGTTTTTGTGGCCTGCCTCAGGAGACTGGGACTGAGACATAGGAGGACAGGAGAAAGAGAATAACTTCATGTTTCTAAGGCTGCTGCTAGGGCTTCGTTTTGGGGTGTTGTTTTCTGAGCCCCAACAGTCTTTTATTTCTGATTGAATAGCTACCTTGTTAGAGGGAAAGACAGCTCAAGGTGGTGTCCAGGGCCTGGAGCCATTTCTCAGGGTGAATTAGGACCAGGAGCTGAAGTGGCCCCCAGATACAAACCTAGGAACCCCCAGGACAGTAGGCCCAATTACCAACTCACCAAGTCTTGGACTGACTGATCTCTTGGCTCTTTAAATTCAAAATTGCCCATAAGATTTGACGTTCAGCCATTCTCAAAAAGGCTCCCCAAATGACTTTGCTATGGAACTCTTCCAAGAAGTTACCTTGTTTATTTCTTAGACCAATGCACTCACAATTCCTTAGAAATTTCTACTTCCTCTTTTATCATTTATGAGGTGTTTTTTCCCACGGAATTCCCCGTTCCTCTAGATTCACTTTTATTCCATCCTTTGAAATTGCAGTTAGGCTTCCAGGAGATGTTTCCCTGATGATTTTACAATGTAAGAAAAGGGTTTAAAAATATTTGACACCCAAGAAGGAATGGTAGGATGTTTTGAGTCCAAGTTAGTAAATTGGCCACTGACTGCTCTGTCTTTTGGTGAATCACCATTGTTTAGTGAATGAGGTAAGAATCACTAATTCTAAGAAGCTGTTTCAGCAGCAAGATAAAAATAAATTCTCTCTATTCCCTTTGTCAGACATTCTGTCCAATATGAGAATAAATACAGAAGTATGGCTGGGCACGGTGACTGACGCCTGTAATCCCAGCACTTTGGGAGGCTGAGATGGGCAGATCACTTGAGATGAGGAGTTCCAGACCAGCCTGGCCAACATGGCAAAACCTCGTGTCTACCAAAAATACAAAAATTAGCCGAGCCTGGTGGTGGGAACCTGTAATCCCAGCCATTCAGGGGGCTGAGGCAAGAGAATTTCTTGAACCCGGGAGGCGGAGATTGCAGTGAGCCGAGATCATGCCACTGCACTCCAGCTTGGGCAACAGAGTGAGAATCCATCTCAAAATAAATAAATAAATAAATAAAAATAAATAAAACAGAAGTAAAGAGGATCCTTTTTCAGTCTTGTGTTCAGCATCCAGTGTCTCCCTGTGCCTTCACTGCATTCCGGCGCTCTCCCTCTCCATGCATAGGGACTATTTTGGAGTTTGGGCCCTGAATTGAGACTGCTCTTGACTGTTCTTGGTCTTGTGAGAGCTCTCTTCATAACGGCCTGAATCCTTGGTTTGAGTTTGCCCTCCTCTCATGAATCTTCACCCACTATTGGGATCATCATGTTCTCATGACTAGAGTATTAGTTCAATGTCTTCCGTGCCATGGCTGTTGAAAGTGGAGAACCTGGTTGTGAAGATGGATGAGCCTTTTCTTTTCAAAGGAGTAGAAAATTGTATGGGAGGCTCCAGATTGGTGGCCAACAGGCAGGTAAGAAGTAGCGTGGTTTGCTAGTGGTCCAGTAGCCTGTGTGCAAGCTTGGCCTCCTGATCCACTATGGGTTATATTATTTATTGTTATTGAATTTCAAACGTGGAATTTATTCAGAGTGAATTGTAACATTTGTTCTGTAGGAATCAAGACTTCTGTCAATGCTCAGAAATACTGTACCTGAAGAAAACAACCCCCAGTTTTTTGCATATAACTTCTAGGAAAGTTTTTCAAGGATCAAGATGATTTTGAGTGGAAGTTTCTTAATGTCTAATTACTGGAGAGCTGCACTGTGGTGACCTTTAGAGTCATAACCCCCACTCAGGAATTACCATATTGTGTGCTACTTCCACATATTGGAAGGTATTTTAGACATGGATGCAACATTTATGGGACATGTATTAAGGCAGCAAGACAAAATATATTCAACTGGAACTGTTCTAAAAATCCAGAACTCATGACCAGACTTTCCAAAATCGTGTTACAGGAAAGTGGTCTTCCTCCGCCTCTATAAACTTACTCCTGATGAAAGAAAATCGAGCAGAATTTATTGTTATTGGAGGGCTACTCAGAGTCTTCAGCATGCCAATGTGTGTTGTGGCTCTTCAAGGGGATACAGGACTCAGTGTCTGTCCTGGGATTGCTTTGATCTCAGAGTACCTATGGCCCTGCCCCAGAACTCCTATAACTCTGACCCAGTTGGGGAGATGCTGACATGTGGTAGGTTAAAAATGGTTGCACATTCTTTTTCACTCTGCCATTAATAACTGGAGTCTTATTTCCCTGCCCCTTGGGTCTGGGCTGGCCTTCTGACTTCCCTTCATGGCTGAAATGTGGCAGAAGTATTGTGTAAGTTCTAGAGTCTCAGCCTCAAAGGGTCTGACTACTTCCACTTTCACCTTCTTGGAACTCTGCTCTGAGACCTCTGTGTAAGTAAGCCAGTCTCGCCCCAGAAGGATAAGGGGCCTGCAGAGGAGAGCCAAGGTTCCCCTGTTGGCAGGCAGCATTCATGACCAGACACGTGAAGGAAGCCTTTGTGGGCCTTCCTGCGCAGCTGACTAGCTGAAAGCCATCGTGAGCCAGCCCAGGAGAAACCAGCAGAGGAACAGCCAGCCGAACCCTGGGATTGTGAGAAATAATCAGGTATTTTAAGCTATGAAATGTTAAGGCACTTTGTTACTCAACAATAGTTAACAGATACAACCAACATAAGCAGTATCACCCAATAGAAATGCTGATATAAGACAGAAAAATACAATTTTCTTATCTAATCTGATACTTTCTAGGAGGCTTTTCTGGTTTAAATCTAAATTTCTGGATAGGAGTTTTCCAGAAACCTGAATCAGGTGAATAGTTAACAAGCACATAATATGTTTGGCACATGAGGAACAGCACAGAAAATGGCATTTAATCCCAGGGTGCGTGATCCAGCATAAGTCTGCCAGTGCTGCCTAGGAAAGGTGAGGGGAGCTGAGGGAGAAGTTCTAGCCCTCATAGCTGCCCCCAGCAACAGCTTTCCAAGGGCTGACAGCTACCTGTGAGGGTGACCAGTGTCACTTAGGGCTCATTCTGACAGCTGAATAAGATTTACACAGACATGGCTGTAGATACGGCCCTTCTGCTCTGTTTGCTGACCAGCTGTGGGATGGGAGACCTTTCCAGTGTTCCTTTCATAGACCAAGTTTAATTATTACTGGCTCCAGGGGCAAATCTGATTAGCAGATGTCACAGGGGGCCTGTTTTCAGCAGGCCTTTGGTGAGATGCAGAAATGTGAGAGGGCTGCTGGTGGGCGCTCCCCACGGAGGCTGGACAGGCAAGTGCTTGGGACTGGGCCTGGGCCAGCACCAGCTCCTTGGATACAACATCCACTACCTTCTCCATGCCCCAAGGCCGGGTGGAGCTCTTTACGTGGAAGTGCAGACTGTAGCTTATGTACCGTAGCTGGGAGGCCTCTGCATCGCCACATCCAGGCCTTAAAACACTCAGAGCCAAGGATCGTGACAGTCATGCTACAGCCGTGCTGGCCAGAGTGAGTTGGGAAGAACCAGAAGGACCTTGCAGTCATGGGAGCTGGAGCTGGAAAAGACCCACTTGGTCATGAAGGCTCTTCCTCCGTCTCGGCCTGATCATTCCCTCGGGATCCTCCCGAGTGCTTTGTAAATCTGTTTCCGAATGACTCAGGCTGGGAGTCTTCCAGCCATTCCCTGGGGAGATGTAGCGGCCTTTCCTGAGGAGGAAATATTTTCTTCACGATGGGTTGGGATATTTTGTTGGTTGGCTCCAGCCCCAACCCTCCTGGCCAGTCTCCCTCAGACCACCCTGAACAGGCCCCCTGTACCTCTGGGTTCCCACAGTGAGACCTACGTCATGCTTCCGCTGAGCGGCAGTTAAACCGAGGAGGCGGGGCCTGCTTCCTAGTCCTGGTGCTTTCTGAAGCAATGACTTTCTCCAGCTGCTTTGTTATCCTGATCCCCTCCTCTGAATTTCTCAATTTTTTTTTTGTCCCTGTTAATATTTCATACGTGTGGAAACTGTGCTGGTACTTCACAGACATTGGAAGGACTGTGTATTCCACCATGAGAAAGGCATTTTCATTGCAAATTATTTTAAAATTTTGGTGAGGTTTTGATAGATTGGATTGACCTTGGTTTCCATGCCACTGCTCAGTGAGTATAAAGAAGTGTAAATGCACTATGGCTCCTCCAGAAGCCCAGAGTAATGATATCAGACGTCATGTGTGCTGGCTGGCACAGCCATGTAAACACTGTGGTCCTAGGACATTGCTTTTGGGGAGTTGATGTAACTCAATGTGTAGTCAGTAAAACAAAGAAAGGAAGGGTTTGTGTGTCTGCCCAGCCCACAGCCATGTTGGGAACATTTAGGAAGCACAAGATCGTGGTTTGTGGGCTCTGCCTCTGTTGTTACTGATGCAGCCGTGAGATGAGGAGCAGGAGTGCCCCGGTGAGCCTCTTAGGGTTCGGGCTGAGTGGCATTTCTAGGCCATAAGATGGAAATTGGAAGGATGGTTTAGATCAGCGCCCTTCTGAGCCTGTTCCACAGAGTGTTCCACTTTCTAGGGACATTTTAGGAGCTACCTGGAGGTGATGGGGGCCAAGGGGACCCTCCTCAACCCCCTACTTTTTTTTTTTTTTTACCAGTACAGTTCTGCTTTCATCTGTTTCCTATGCAGAACTGGGGTTGTTTGTCAGATTCTGTAAACAGTGTTTCATGCTCAAAAAGAAAGTTTGCAAACCACAGGTTCAGAGGACTGACTTCTAATAAAAACAAACAGAGAGAAACCTCTTTAGCCAGGCAACTAATGATTACATTTCTGGGATCTGCATCGATCAATCCACAGACATTTGGAAGCAGCCAAAAGCAAAGCACTAAACAAATAGATGTTTCTGTGTGACCACTATGTCATCAAGAAACTCGTAGTCAATATACACAGAAGACGCAGACTGTGACCTCTAAGTAGCAAGGAGACAGGAGGCCAGTTCTAGTCATATGTGCAGGTGATTCTGCCAGATTGTGGTGTTCTAAGTAAGCACCAGCAAGTCCTGGAGTCGAGGTTACTGAGAATCATGTGATAAAAAATATCATTTATGGAGAGCTTTCCATTTGTTGATCACTGTTTCTAGGATGCATTGCTCATCCTACAAAATGTAGGTTCTATTATTATCCCTGTTTCATGCATGGGGAAGCTGAGTCTTGAGGTTGAGTGGTTTGCCCAAGGATAAAGTAGTGGGGGTGGGGATAGGCCCTCTTGGCTAGAGCCGATGCCCTTGCATACACTGCTGCCGTGTCCCTCTCATGGTTTTAGTGAGTGGAGTGCCTCAGAACGGCTACTTTGAAAAGTGTCTTTCCTGCCAGAGATGCGGCTTTATGATCAATCCACTCAAAAATTGCCCCATATAAAGTTGAAATTTAATGTTGCATGTAAATGATCTTTATCGTAGAAAAGAGAATATAGAGAAAATAAGCCAGCAGTATAATCTTAACAATGTGTGCAAAAACTACGCAGACATGTACAGCCCTGAAAGTGTGCGTTTGTGCTTGGGTTTAATGGCTCACAGACGGTCACTCCAGAGTTTTTAGTGGTACCGTAGAAATTAGAACTCAGTAAGTAACATGACCAAGGTATAGGAGAGCAACTTTTGCACAGGTTTTAAGTTTTAAAGTTTGGGTATTTTTCTCAGATTGTATCTTAGTTTCTTCATTTCAGCCTCTGTATCATGGCCTTAGCTAAAGACTGAGAAGTAAGGATGAGTCTTTTTGAGGGTCTGCCCTTGACTGACTTCATACCCTTCCAAATGTATATGAACCAGTGTCTTATTCTTTATTCTGGCCAATAAGATTGTTCAGGCGAGTGTCTTAGATTCTGCAGAAAGTTATCTTCGGTCAGTTGACTCTGTTGGAACAAAGTAGGTCTCCTAAAGAGTGAATTTAACAGGCACTTAGGTTTGTTTTGATAGGTGCATTTGGAAAAGCTGGGACTGCTTGAGAAACTATTTCACAGCACATCCAGGTGGCTCGAATGATCGGCCTCCACGCATCACACCAAGTCTTTTTAAACAAGATGAACGCTGTAGTGAGTTCGTCTCATGGAGCAAGTGAGGCCCTCAGGGAGAAACATGAACTTATGTGGGTGCTTGGGAAGTATTGAATAATAACTCTTTCAAGCCATGAGGTCCCCATTTGCCTAGCAGACATTTATGAACAGTACCTTGGTGGCTTAAAAATGTTCATTTTCTTTCCCAAGTGCCTAACTCTCTTCCTGAAAGTAGTGTTTTCATTGAAGGCTTGGACCATGCTGGATCTTCACAGAGAAATCCTACTCTTGATTCTATAGCAGACAATGGTGACTTTGCTGAGATAGAGCCTTCGGTGTTGCCTCCTGATGGGGAATGTGTTGGGTAAGGGGGACATGAAGAAGTGGCTAAGTATCAGCCATCTAATACCCTGCAGATCGTATTGGAGCTGGACGTGAAGAAGCGCTCTCTGCGTGGTTTTGGACCAAATGGCTGTGAAAGTGTATGATCCGCCTCACAGTGACAAGCAGCTTGTCAGTGGTTTCCAAAACATCTGTCTCAAAGTGGCGGTTGAAATTCCTACAAGGGAGTGTTTCCATTCATTGTCCATGAGAAATGAGAGAGAGTGGGAGTGAGTGATGCACGATCCAGAGGAAATGCGTGCACTCTCCACTTGGGATTACAATGCAGATGAATTCCATATTTTGGTTAGGGAATTTTTTCTTTTAAAAAAAGAAAAGACAAGAAAGAAAAGCTTGTCGCTGTCCTGGTTACTGAAAAGCAGACTAAAATGGAGTTAAATGCAGGCTGGAACGTTCATTTCAGCTGGATTTTTTTTTCTGTTTTGGGGTGTGTGTGTGTATACGTGTGTGTGTGTGTGTGTAAGAAGATGGCCTGGGACTTCCTGGCACACTTTTCTGCCTTTGGCCCCAGTTTCCCACCAAGGTGGCCTGACCTTGCTGATGAGTCACTTTAAAACTGCTGCGGTCAGCAAGCTGTGGCTCCGTCACTGCATCCGCACAGATCAGCTACTTGAAGATTCAGACAACTGCTACATATACATCCTATTAACAAAAATCACAACAGAGGTTTTCCCAGCTAAAGTTTTACTGTAAAAATGGTAGCCCTATAAGAAAGCCACTATTAGTTTTCATTTAGAGATTTTTTTTTATGTCTACCCCTGTCCCCTACTATGTCAATTCAGGAGTGCTGAAGCCGATTTGCTTTTGTATATTGTGTTCAAAATGTGCTACCTGTAATGATGCAAAACCAAAGACCTGAGCTCTGCTTTACCCTCTGAGGTGTCGTGCAATAGATATTTATTGCAGACCTGCTCTGTGTGCCAGATGCCTGTGCAAGGATGCAGTGTTGCCTGTGGGAGAGACACATGATCCCCTCTTGGAGTTTACTGTCTACAGCAGCTGGGGTGTTGAAGTTCTCACAGGTTGGGGGCTTCAAGTAAGAGGACAAACTATATCTGGAAGACAGCCACGTGGGAAGCTGCCATAACAAGGGACTCTGAATGGGCAGGTCAAGCCATTGCTGTCCTGGCACTGGTGGGTGGTCAGTGATTGTCCTCAGCACTCCCTCAGTGCCCTTCACTAGAGCCAGGGAAGAGTGCTTGCCAGCCTGCCCCTCTCACCTGGGCATATCTGCCACTGGAGGTAGATTGACTTCCACCATTCTGAGTCTCTGCTATCTCCACCTGGAATTGCAAGAGACAATCAAAGGCAAAGTCAGACTCTCCCCTCCACCTCCCGTCCCAAGTCATCTTCTCTGCCTTTAGTTCACGTGCAGCAATGGCATGATGTCTTGCTCTAATCTTCCTATTTTGTCCTTGTCACTATACACACATCTCACCTGTCTCCCTTAGTCCTCCAGCTGTGTGTTCCTGAAGGTGACTTGACTTGCTGAGGAAAGGGTCGCTCTTCAGCCTCACCTTGGTCCCCTGTATCCTGGGGATTTCTGGGACCTGCAGCCCTAGTGGGGCTGCCCTGGGCTTTGCTGGCTCCTGACCTCATCCCTGCAGCCAGAAGGCCAGGCCTGGGGTCTGAGGATTCTCTCAGGGACAAGGCTGAGGGCTTGGCTCTCCTACTGTGCCGCACTCTCTCAGAGGGGCAGTGAGGGAGAATGGCCAGGTGGAGGCCCACCTGGAGCCCAGAGAGCTCTGTGGATGCATGCTGTGCCCCTGCTTGTAGGGACAGAGCCCCAGGGAGATTCCCACTGAAGCAGCCTCGTTGTCTGGGGTGATACCTGAAGTTCGTTGTCTCACTGAGGAAATCAAGGACGTGGACACACAAGGAATGAGGTTAGGAGGAGAAATTTAAAAGGCAGAAGAAAGAGAATGGCTGTCTCTGTTGCAGAGAGAGGGGTCCCAAACAGGTTGCCGATCTGCGGTGAAATGCAAAGGGTTTTATAGATGCCGGGTGAGGAGGTGGTGTCTGGTTTACATAGGGCACAAAAGATTGGTTGGACCAGGTGTGCCATTTGCATAGGGTGCAAATTTCTGGTAGCCCCCCACCATCTTTTATTATGCAGGTAGGTTCTCTGCCTGGCCTGCACCATGCTGCCTATTCCTTTAACACAGCTGCTGGCATTCCCCCATGCAAGCTTCCAGCTTGCCTGTCTTTGCTTGCAGCTCGATTTTTCAGGCTGCTCTTTGTTAGGAAAAAATAATTTCTTGGGCTGCGTTTTGTTAAAAGAGGACTCTTTTACCCTCACTATCTGCCTAAGTAATTTCTTTCTACCTTCCATATCACCATTGGCACTTAAGGAGCATTCACTGAGTGTGAGGCCCTGTAGGGGATGTGAAGGTGAGTCCTGAGGATTTGGACCTCAGGGTGCATGTGCACTGTCTAGTAAGGGAGCAAAGGTGTCCTCTGAAGTCCACCAGGCTGTAGAGAGTACCTATACCATCAAAGTGGCCCAGATAGAGACCAGACCCCTTTCAGTGGGAGAAGCAGTCTGAAAGGCAAGGCTTCCCTGGAAGAGGTGGCCTTGAGCTGTCTCTTGAAGGGCAGGCGAGAGGTGTGCATGTGGAGATGAGGGTGGAAGAGGTGGCATGAGCACGGCGTGGAGGTGGGCTTCAGCAGGAAATCCATTTGGCTGGAACTGCCCAGATCAGGGGGAAGGCTCAGCTCTGTCAGAGCCTCCCAGCCCCCGGGATGCAAGCAGAGCAGCAGAGCTGGAGAAGCCCACTAGGGTGATTCCTGGAAGTCCCAGGAAGCCATTTACAAGCAGCCTTTGCTTGTGGATTCGACAAAGGGGACAAAGGGACAAGGGCGCTTGGATGTGGCAGCTCTGTAAGAGTGGGCTTCTTTGATTGGCCTACTGGTGTGGTCACAGCAGCATTTCCCATTCAGAAACTGGAGCCTCTCAAGGGACCCCACTGGGGAAAGCCAGCCCTGGGGTGATGTGAGGCCTGCTGGAGATCAGAGCTGGCACATAGTGCTGGAGAATTTATTTTTGAAGGATGTGGAAGGAGTTGGACAAAAGCTTAATGACATTAAAAAAAAAAAAAGCTTAATGACAGTGGTCTTTTAAAACAAATCCAAAGGGTCGCAGAGCTATTAAATTCCTGTAATTTAAGGATTCTACAGTTGCAAATGGCTTCCCTTTTGAAATGGACCCTTGTCATAATTCAAACTCTAGGTATTCTAACATTATTTCCACCATAGAAAGATATTTTTTAAAGTGAGATGCTTTTTATAAAAAAAATGTAACTTAACCACTGTGGTTCTGGCTTCTACCATCTTCAGGCTAGGTGGGCACAAGCTAGCGGCTGCCCTCCTCCTAATCAGGTCGCAGGCACTCCAAGGCTGCTTTACTTATGACCATTTTCCTGCCATGCAAGTCTGAACTGAAAGTTCTCTTTTGTGTGGCTTTTGCAGCACAGTATTTTATGGATTTATGTTTTATGTTCTTCCCCCTCTTGAGTGTTATTGGATCCCCAGTCACCGGAAGGCTGAGATCTGTTTTAGTAACTGATTTATCAGGTGGCAGGCTGGTCACACACCTCACTGCAAGAGTTTATGAAAGGGACCCCCACCTCCTTCCCCAAAATCTTTGTGACCAGCTCAGTCATGAGCTCCTGACAGAGTGAACTGGGCCGGGGACTGACTTTGCGTTTTCCACACCAGAGTAAATGTGAAACGGCTTTAGCAAGTGGGCTGTGCGGTTTGAAATATGAACTCTGTAATCTCTTCAGTGGCTCCCACATCCCAGGGCTGCGCTTTGGGTAATTCAGGAGTGGGCAGGAAACTTCAGAGGAAACACTCCTAAGACCATGGGGCCTTGGTCAGTGAGTTCCTATTTTGCTGTCAGTGACTACTTAGAAGATGCTGTCCCCACCTTCGCCCCCTCCCTCTAGTTGCCCAAATGTCTTACCTCCCCCAGCTTCACTCGGGCTAGTGGAGGTCTTCTTAGACTTCTTTCAAGGCGGAGGATTTAGAGTCTGGGGTGAAGTGGCGGTGATGGATGGCTGGGGACGTGGGGCTGCTGACTCAATGGTGATACATCAAGCAGTTAATTAAGGGACAAGTTATCTTCTAAGTGGGAGGTAAAGGATTTTCTGTTCCTTTGTTCTTAATGCTCATATTAATGCCATTTTCCCTCATGGAGACCTCAGGCTGTGCTTAAAACGCTTCCATAATTCCTTTTGGCACTGCTAGAGGTCAGCATTGTCCACTCGTGAAGGACACAGGTAAGTCACAGACATTGGGGCTTCCTGGTTGTTAAAGGCCAAGAATGTGGGATGAAAACCCCCCGTGTCCCCATAGCAAGTTAGGGGTTGCTCAGCAGGGCTGTTTTCATTCAGACAAGCAGCTCATTCCAAACCAGCCCCAGAGAGCCGCTTCAATAAGCCATTGTCTGCCCCAAGGAGGAGGAGCTGTTGTCCAGGGCTGTGGTTAATGCAGTGACATTGGTAGTTGTTCCAACAAGTCAAAGCTGGTTACAGAGAGGCAGCAGTGACAGGATGCTTGAATAAATGCCTTGGACCACAGGTGCCAGGAATTCTCCCACGCATCTCTCCGGCCTCCCATCTCAGAGACCTACCATCACCAGTGTGGGGCCCCTCTCTGCCAGTTCCTGCTGGTGGCCCTATGTGTTCTGAAGGCCATGAATGGGAGGCTATGGTGGTTCCTAAAAAGGATGGCTGAGGCCAGGATCTGAGGCCTGTTGCAATCAGTGACTGATATTTTGGAACCGAAAGGAGGAACTTGCATGAAACCATTGTTTTTGGAAAGATACATCATGTTTTTTCCATCAGTTTTGCAGCATTGGCAGATAAAATGCTGCAGCCCAGACAGACATCATCTCCAGTCCCTTTTTAAGGAAACAAACAAACAAGACAGTGACCCAATTCAGTCCTTTTTCATTTATTATACCAAAGAAAACTGGAAGAGTTCCATTTCGTAGTTCAGTTAACATAAAACATGTCTCTTAGCGTACAGGCAGTGGGTATTGATGGGCATAGTATGTATTTTGTTGATTACATTGCTTAGCACTTTGCTAGTGCAAAAAAAGTCTGTTTTGCCTGAAAGAAAAATTGTGTACGTGTGTGCACTTCTAAAAACTTCCATTGGTAACACACTCTGCCAGTCACCTCTGGAGGCCATTTAGAATTCTTGTAGAGACTCATACAGCCTATATGAAATATTGAGAGAACATTAAATGCTCGACTGTGTGGTCCTAACCAAGCACAGTGGGAGATCAGAGAAGGGAGAGATTTGTGTGGCCAGAATGGAATTTAAAAATATATCTTAATAACTTTGAAGGGAAGCAAATGAAAATGCTAACTTAAAAAAAAAAAAAAAAAAGCAAAAGTCTTGCCTGGTTCATGTAGAAGTTGTTAGTGGGGCAAGAAAAATGCCCAGTGTGGCTTAGCAGGCTATGTGGTTTTAGGACTGCATCCCACCAACTCAGATGCTGATGTGGGCAGCCTGTCCGGAGACCCCACAGACTGCAGAGCCTCATTCCCATCCCTGGGTGATGGTGTGGGGGGTTTGGAAGTCCTCAGTTTCAGTACAAGGTGGGATAGTCTGAGATGATGGAAAAGTCAGTTAACAAACACCTGTTGAGCACCATGTGTAATAATAGCAGTAACCACCTTAACTGAGTGCATACGATATACCGTATGCTAAGCACTTTACCATCTTTTATTTCTCAGAGTAAGTCAGTGAAATAGTAAGCTAAGTGCCACCTCCGACTTCACAGATAAGGAAACAGGCTTCAAGGGTTGTCTTGAGGGGTTCACTTCGTTCACTTAATTCACTTAGTTCCTGCTATAAAAAAATACCTCAGTCTGGGTAATTTTAAAGAACAGACATTTATTTCTCACAGTTCTGGAGTCTGGGAGGTCCAAGACCAAGGTGCCAGCAGTGGTGTCGGGTGAGGGCTGCTATCCGCTTCCAAGATGGCACCTTGCTGTTGTGTCTTCACGTGGCCGAGGGCAGAAGGGTACACAGGCACTCCCTTCAACCCCAAGCCCTTTTGGAAGGATGCTGATCCCATCCGTGAGGGTGGGACTCTCATGACTTAATTACCTCCCAAAGGCCACACCTCTTAATACCATTTTGTGGGGGATTTCAGCATGAATTTTGGTGGGAATCATCATTCAAACCATAGCAGGTGTCAAGTGCCTTGCCTAGGGTCATTATGTCGCCATTGGAGAGCAGAGCTAGGAATTTGAAGTAGGTTGCAGACTATGGCTCATGCTCTTAAGGATTATGCTTTCTGGTGTGTGGTTGGTGCTAGGTCACTGGACAGTACAAAGGATACGTGGTGTGTGGCTGCAGACCTGAGGCAACCTGTGCATCTCAAAGACAATGGGACTATATGAAGGGGCAGCTTATACTGTGGGTGCTCCTGTCCCCACACAGGGATCATATGGAGAAAGTGAAACTGTGCCCGTGCAGGTGTGGCTTCTCACCTTCAGAGTCAGTGGAAAGAATAAGCAGATGCAGGTGATGGTGTCATGGGCAGGTGTTGTTGTTGTTGATTTTGGACACAACTGTAGTCTCTCCTGTGGTATAGTCACACATTCAGGTAGATAGCAGGAATGAGTAAGACAGGATGGTGTGAGGCAATATGAAGTATTGGAGACTGGGACAAACTAGAATACTGTGTTGTGTCTAACAGAGCAGCCACTTCTTACCTCTAATCACCTGTTGTCACGTTGACATGTGGGCCCAGTATTGATAGATGCACTGAGATTTTTCCCCCTAGAAAAGCAAAGAACCTGGCAATTTTACATTTATTCTCCAATCTTTGAATGTTTGCTATTAATTTAAAAAAATGTTTAATGAGCCACCTGTTGTATATAAGGCTTCAGTTTGAAATCTTTGGAGAAGTAGGAGTAGAAATTGAGACATGAACGTTGGAACCCCCAGAATAACAGACTAGGAGCAGCAAGTGTGTCTCACTTTGTCAATCTACATCAGGTGACTGCAGCCCACATCAGCCTTTCATAAGCTTTCGTGTGCCTGTGAATCACCTGGGGATCTTGTTAAAACATAGATCCTGATTCAGGAGTTGCAGATGGCTGAGATGCCGCAGGACTAGGGGCTCTATTGAGAAGATTCTAAGGCAGCCTCTAGGCTGAGTGGGGGAAAGTACTGTGATGAAGTAGTGCCATCTACTGTGAGCAAAGAAAAGGGAAATGGCCTCACACATTCCCCATCCCTGTAGCGCCCCAAGATAGGTAAATCATGCGTTTATGGCCATTTCCAGGTTTCCCCTAAAAGTCAGAATTTGAGCTAGATGAGAAGCTTTCGCATTTTATATCCTTTTAATGCACACTCTTCCACTTAAGATAAACTTGGATGTATACCTCTATCATCTGGGAAGTTGGGATTAGAATATCAAGCTTTCAACTTGGGTGGGATAAAGGGAGAGTTAACTGATTAGCTCTCCCTTCTTTCCGTTACATTTTGAGGGTGAAAAATATGTCTTGCACATGTTAGTGTTCTGTTACTTCCATGTGGCCTTGGCGCCTCTTTAACGTGGGGTCCGTGTGGGAGGAAAGAGTGGGTGCTGAGGAAATTGCTTTGAGCAGAAATCATCTTGTTTCCATTCACTAAGAGCTGTTCTTGGATCTCTTCTCCAGGTCCCTTGCCTGTGTCCAATGCCCTTGGAATTGTATGCCAGGAAACAATATAATCTTTCTAATTGGGCAAAGCGGGAGGAGAGAGACTGGGTGAGCCAGGATGGGCTGGCAATTGACACCTAAAAATAGATCTTTTTTTTCCCACGAATAACCATTTTTGGGGGGCAAGAAGCCTTGCACATTTCTAACCATCTGGGACAAACATCACCTTGGCAGGTCAAGGGAGGCAGCTGATGGGGCCAGGGTGCAGCCAGGTGGGTGGAATGCCAGCCAGAGTGATGTTGCTATGGCAGCTGGGCCCCTCGGAGAAAGCTTCAGTGGCCTCCAGGGAGCAGAGGTGGATCTCAGATCTGGGGCCAGAGCATGTGTGTAGGGAATGAGTGGGAAGAGGACAGTCGTAGAGCAGCGCTTCTTAAACTTTAATGTGCCTGTGAATGTGAAATGCAGATTCCGATTCAGTGGGTCTGGGTTGGGGTCTGAACTTCCACAGTTCTCACAAGCTCCTAGGTGCCACCAACGCTGCTGGTCCAGGGAGCACACTTAGAGGAGCAAGGGGCTGGAGCGCTTCTGTGATCTTCAGGGCTTTAAGGAAGACTGAAGGCGGACACACAAGGAAGTTACCCTGCTCAATTTTTGTTGAATTTGGCTGAAGCTGGAAAAAAGCCAGTGTTTGACAGCTGTTTCTTGTCATATTGTCATCCTATAACGTTTTTGCTGCATGGTGGTGGTGGCACTTATATAAGGACAAGATTACAAGTGTTGTATATTGTGATTTTACTGGTAAAAATGCATATGGCTGGGTAGAATCTGAACATTGTATAATAGACATAATGACTTAATTCAGAAAAACACAGCCCTGAGCTAGCTGATGAATAACTGAGACTGTCCTAAAATAATGGAATAGGCTTTACGAGAATTCTAAGGGCAGAAGAATGGCCCAGATGTGGAAACTGTGAGGTAAAAATCATTTTGGTCATTTAAAATTTTCATGAGGATGTAGGTAGTTTTTCCCTTTGGGGAAGAATAAAACCATTCCCTGAGAGGCCAGAGTTCTTACTGGGCTCTGTGGTCTCTTGGAGAACAAATTAGACAAGGCCATGTTTGGGAGAGAAAAAGGCCAGAACTTGTGTTGGTTCTATGAGTTGTTGAGATTTATCCCAGAGGCAAAGAGTAAGTGACACTCGCCTATTTTCTTGGAGGGCTTTCCTCTGGATGGGTCTTTTTTCTGGGCGCCCGGCCGACTGCTTGCATCTGGACAGTAGGGGCAACAGCCATTTACAGTGCCACGGCCAAGCCCCACTTGGTACGGCATCCTCCCCTCCCCAGCCCCGAAATGAGTTCTGCATCCCATTAGCTGTTTCTGATCCCCCCACTCTCCATGGGATCACGTTCAGCCACTGGGGCCTTTTTGAGACTCTCTTGCATTGGCCTGTTCTTGATATGGGCTCCTGATAAGCGTTAGTTAGCTTTGGTATGGAAGCTGTGACTGGTGGTCTTCATAGAAGAAAGGCCAGGAATACCTCTGCACAGGTGTCCCACACGCCATGTGACTCCCATGTCCCCATGGAGAATGCCTAGGTCCCCGTAGGGCATAAACAGTTATTCTGATGCTCAGAACTCTGAGACTGGGGGGCTCCCACTTGTGATTTTGATACTAACCTATAGATTGTTATGAGTTCGTGTCAGAGTCCGGCACCTGTTGTCATGTGAAATGTTGAGGTCAGGTCTGGGAGGAGCCACAGCCTGCCCTTCCCCAAGGTGTTCCCCCTGCCGTAAGGAAGCTACAGCCATGCGGCAGTGTCGGGGCTAGATAGGAGCTCCAGAGGCGCCCCCAGCCACAGGCTTGGTGGGGAGTGGGTCTCAGCCTCACCCACCTACTGCAGCATCAGCATTGGGGTGGGAGCTGAGCTAGCAGGTGGAGCAGGCTTGGGAGGAGACAGCGCTGGGGGCTGACGGTGAGGGAGGGGCCTTCTCTCTCCTGGCCCCTTTAGTGTCCCCTGGCTGCTCTGGCTTTGTGTGGCTCTGGTGGGAGAGGGGGTCCTAGGTCGTCTTTGCTCTCCTTTATTCCTCCCCTCACACTAGCCATCGTGGACAATCCCCTCTTCCCTTTGGGAGGCACTGAGAGATGAGGCAGGCAGCAGGGGGTGAGATGGGAAGGGAGGCAGCTCCAGATCTGGGGAATCTGAGGGGGGTCTGTCTGTCAGTGTCTGTGTCTGTCCTCCCTGATTTGCTCAGGGAGGAGGTGGGTGGAAGGCCAGGACCCTGCCTACGTGGGCGCTCAGCGTAGTGCCAGTTCAGGACTGTCCGTGCAGCCCCTCGGCAAATGGCCTGCTCTGGCGACACCACTCCTTGATGTCTGACCCTGTGGCGTGGCTTGGGGTTCAGATGAAGCCTCATTTCCTCTTGTGGGATTCAGAGGAAGAAAATGTAATGGAACCAGTTCTAGAACACTAGAAAATGGGCTTTCTCTCCTCCTAAGAAGTCGTTGGGTTTTTTCCGTACATTCCAACAAACTTGTTCAGCTTATGACAAAATGCCATTAAAGCTTTTAAGTTTTTGCCGTCAACTTACAGTAGAGGGCAAAAAATAATATTCTAAGATCTGCAAAGCTGAAGTTGAGGCGGCCGTGTGACTTTGGCAGTGTTTCTCCCCAGGCCTTGCCCCTGCCTCTACCCGCTCCCACACATGTTGGCAGGTCCGGGGAGTTTTGCCAGGACGGCAAGGTGGCTGGAAGTGGAGGAGCTTGCTGTGATTTCATGGCACCATTTGCTGTTGATGGGGCCTCCTGACAAAACACTGCCTGTTTGGGCTGAGAAGGCCCTGGGCCTTCGGTGACGGACTGGAAGCCAAAGCTAAAGCCATTGCTTCCCTCAAGGACCTGGAGCCGCTTCAGTGACATGGGAAGGAGGGAAGATGGGCCCTACGTCTGGAGTTCCACTGTTCTGTTCCTATTTTGCTTTGAGTCAGGAAAAGAAAACCCAGCAGTCACAAGGCACCAGAGTGAGTCAGCGCTGGGGAGGGCGGTGGAGGCCGCGGAATGGGGGAGTCATAGACACGGGTGCTGTGAGGGTCCTGCAGCCGCTCCCTTGCTCACAGCCCTGTCCTTTGTGGGGGAGCCTGCTACGGCCCT
This sequence comes from Homo sapiens, assembly GCF_000001405.40. NCBI lineage: Eukaryota > Metazoa > Chordata > Mammalia > Primates > Hominidae > Homo > Homo sapiens. The sequence goes on along the minus strand of NC_000005.10, from coordinate 78,534,398 downwards.
GGAAGAGCAGTGCAGCCTGCTCGAGGACACACGGCTGGAGGCAGAGCAGCTCCCTGGACTCCCGGCCATTTCTCCCTCTCGGCGTCATGGTGATTCCCAGGAGGCCTGTGCTTCCTGTCCTCTCTGTGGAGCACACTGCGGGGCCCAGGCCCAGGGGCCGCCTCTCCTGTTCTCTCGACCTACGGCTCCTGAGAGCCCCCTCTGCTGTCCCTCCAGGAGGGACTCCAGGGGACTGTACAGCCAGGTCTCTGGACCCCTGAGAGCCTCCGACATGTACCCTCCTGGGGCAGTGGGTCCAGCCTTGTTGTTGTCATATCCCTCCTCTCCCTGCCCCAGCATCGGTGATTGGATGTGTCTCCTTGCTGGGCCTTCCTGTGGAGCCCTGCTCTCCTGAGTGGTCCGGGAAGGTCGCACGAAGCTCCTCCCTGGAGCATTTGGCATCTCTGCTGGGCTGCAGGAGGGCTCAGGCCTCCACTCCTCTGTTGTACTAATAGCATCTCTGGCATCTTTTTTCTTTCTTAGAGCAATGGTTTAAAACCCGAGGCAGGGCCTGTAGATTTGGAGGGGAGTGGTGGACCTCAGGTTTAAAAAATTCAATAAAACAGCTTCAGTTCTGGGAATGAAAAGCAACAATTTCAGGTGTTGATAAATGCTTGGCAGAGTTCTTTTTCTCTTTTCAGAGCTGATCCTGCAGATGAGGTTTTGGCACATGGCTTATGACTTAGCCCCTACAAGCAGGCAGAAATGTAAATGATGCTTGCTTTTCTTCTGCTTAAAAGGGTGCTCTGACCAGATTATAAACCTTTAGTTCAAGCACTGACATTGTTCTAGCCATAGAGGGCGTTTTTCCCTCTGTCTTTCATTCAAGGTGATAGAAGAGCTGTGCTTATACTTACCTTTTCCATAGCATCCTACACCGCCCATCCCCTACTCTCACAGCGTGAACAGGACTTTTACAAACTAATACTTGTTTATTACCATTTCTTCTCATATGCATTTGTCATAAGTCTTCTAAGGAATTTCACCAGGCAGCACTTTGTTCATATGGTTGGCATTACTCTCATACCTAATAGATAGAACAGAGCTTCATTTCTTTAAAAACATCTTACGGTGAAGGCTCAATGTTCAGTGCTCCTCAGCCTCTATCTTCATATAGTGATGTTTCTCTTTTATTGGGAGCAGTATCAGGAATGGGGGAGATATCTTCTGGAATCTTGGTTTGTGAAAAGCTGACGGCACTGACCTGGACCTAAGGAATTAGTTTTCACCCCCGTAGAGCAGTAAATCCTTAGCATCCTGAGGAGGCAGAGGGTTTGGTCTACTCGGCCACATCGGTAAGGCTGTGAGTGGACTCAGAGAGGGAGAGGAGAGAGGACAAGAGATGGTCCCTGAAGTCAGTGGCCACCGCCCAGTCTGCAGCACGACAGGGTTGTTGGCACCACGGGCCTCACTCGGTGTGTCCCTTTGTCCACGTGCAGCAGGCCCACGTGCTGTCAGCCTGGCTCACCATTGGGGAAAACATTTCTAATCCCTGCCCCTCCCTGATTTTTGCCTCTGACATTACTTGAAAGGCAAGTGAAATGATCATGGTAATAGTAAACTGACCCTAGAATTGTCAGGGTGAAAAGGCTGGTGTTTTGGTTAATAAGATGGAAAAAGTGGCATCTCGGTGGCATTTCTCTAGAACAGCCCCATTTAAATGACGGTGATGGTTTTATTATTCAGTTTTTTAAAAAAGGATTCATAGTATCTCAGTGAAGAACTGCATGTATCAGTTATTAACTGAAACCTAATGATGGTGCTTTAAACAAATTAAAAGTTTTGTTGTTTCCAGGTAACAGAAGAGATCCCGAAGCAGGTGGACTACGGTGTTAGCTTCATGATGTCATCAGGGCCCCAGGCTCTTTCTGTCTTTCTGCTTCATCATCAATAGCACAGGACTTTCATTCCCTAAGTCCCCCATGGCTGTAGGATGACCACAGGAGGCTTTATGGCCACATCTCTTAGCAGGAGAAAAGCCAAGGTCAAAGCTGAGTCAGGGTTAGGTGCAATGGCTCATGTCTGTAGTCCCAGGACTTTAGGAGGCCAAGGCAGGTGGATCGCTTGAGCCCAGGAGTTCGAGATGAGCTTGGGCAACATGGCAAAACCCCATCTCTACTAAAAATACAAAAATTAGGCTGGGCGCAGTGGCTCACACCTGTAATCCCAGCACTTTGGGAGGCTGAGCCGGGTGGATCATTTGAGGTCAGGAATCCGAGACCAGCCTGGCCAACATGGTGAAACCCCATTTCTACTAAAAATACAAAATTAGCTGGGTGTGGTGGCACGTGCCTGTAATTCCAGTTACTCAGGAGGCTGAGGCAGGAGAATCACTTGAACCTGAGAGGTGGAGGTTGCAGTGAGCCAAGATTGTGCCACTGTACTCCAGCCTGGGTGACAGAGTGAGACTCTGTCTCAAAAAAAAAAAAAAATTAGCCGGGCATGGTGGTGCTGCTTGTACTCCCAGCTACACAGGAGGCTGAGGTAGGAGGATCGCTTGAGCCCAGGAGGCAGAGGTTGCAGTGAGCCGAGATCATACCACTTGTGCTCCAGCTTGAGAGACAGATCGAGACCCTGTCTCAAGAAAGAAGCTGAGTCAGATCCCTTTTAAGAGCTTTCACAGAAGTCCATCCCCATCTCATTGGCCACTGTATCTGCAGAGGAGGTTGAGAAATGTAGGCTTTTGAGCCGGGCCCATTGCTACCCCATCAAGTAGGGTTTTATTCAGGGCCAGGACTGAGGTGGGGTGAGTAAGACATTCACCTTTGGTGCATAATTTAAGGGGGCACCAAGAAACTCAATCGTCAAGGTAAAGAATGTTTTATTTCAGTATAGCAGTGCCATAGTGGAACCTGAGGCAAAAAGAAAGGAATGCTGATGCTATCTTTATTTTAAAAATTGATGTTTTGTTCATTGTGAATTTTTTTTTTTTTTTTTTTTGAGATGGAGTTTTGCTCTTGTTGCCCAGCCTGGAGTGAGTGCAGTGGCACGATCTGTGCTCACCACAACCTCTGCCTCGTGGATTCAAGCGATTCTCCTGCCTCAGCCTCCCCAGTAGCTGGGATTACTGGCATGCACCACCATGCCCGGCTAATTTTGTATTTTAAGTAGAGACGGGGTTTCTCCATGTTGATCAGGCTGGTCTCGAACTCCCGACCTCAGGTGATCCGCCTGCCTCAGCCTCCCAAAGTGCTGGGATTATAGGCGTGAGCCACCATGCCCGGCTCATTGTGAATTTTTAAATTTTGATTTTAAGAATATTGTATAATAAAATATTATTTATCATGATTAAACCATTTTGCACCCCCTTAAATTTTGTGCCTCTGCTGAGTCCTACTCTATGCCAGGCCTGGCCATAGGTTCTGTTAATGAAGAAGGGGAGAATGGGTATTGGGTAGGAACCTAGCAGTCTCTGCCAAAGAAATGTTACCCTCTGCTTACTCAAATCCTTGCATTGCTGGTGATGAAATGAGTAAACTTGTAGTTGAAGGGACACCGTTGTCAAGGCAGGGGCTATGGGGCATTCTTTCTGCCACCCAATACCTGATAAGAAACAATCCTAATCCTTCTAGAATAAATGGGCAGTCATATCTTCATATTTGCATATGGAATTCTCTGGCAGGTACAGGTGTTGTTGGTGACCAAGGATGAGTCTGTGTGGTCAGAGTCTTATGATCAGTTTGGGTTCCATGTTATAAAAGTGATTAATAAGGCCTGACCCAATAGGTACAGAGTCAGCAGCCATGGAGCATGGAACTTCTGGGAAGAACCACTGACTCACAAGGCCTTATCAGTTGCTGTAGAACTCAGGGCAAATGACCTCACTCCATGATGGACGCTTTGAGGAAGGGAATAAATGAATAAATACATCATATCTAGGGAGAACTCACTCCCCAGCACCCTGTTCCGTGTGTAGACAAATCTCTTGGGATGACTGTTTATGGTTCAGCCTGATTTCATGTGAACCTTCTTAGTGGTTATGCTTCTACAAGAAGTATTAGAGAAACAGTAGACTAAAGCCACATGTATATGTGAAACCAAAAATGGTTAATTTTCTGTTTTTAAATACTAATGGTATAATTTGATTATTAGAGACATGGGTTAGAATTTTTTCATTATTTTTAACAGTCACTTGGTATTTCAGAGAAACTCATTTTTTAAATTAAAAAATTAAAAATTTAAAAAAATTATTTGCAATTTTGAAAAAATTTTACTGATGATGTTTAGCTATGAATTGGAATGTCCTTGAGTAATTTACTAAAAATAATGTGCCTGATGGATCTTATGGCTTAACTTGGCATGGGCAAAATGGCATTTGCCCAATCTTCTGTTCTGGGAACTAGTTTATTTTCTCTCCCTTCTTCCAGTTTCCACAAATTTGGTCTTGCAGGTAGATTTTATTGTAATTTTTAAAATAAGTTGTAAATCAGTTAATACCTGAAATAAAAAGACAAGTGCTGTTGGAAGAGTTGGTACATTCATGAGCCTGATTTTTGCAAAGATATTAAAAAACATTTTGTGGGTATGATTCACACCCTGATGCTTTTATAAATTCTTGCATTGCACAAATTTATGATTCAGTCTGTCAGATGATTTCCTTCCTTGAGACTCTCTAATATTGCAAAAATTCAGTGATTTGTTTCACAAATTCTTTCATCTGTCTCGTCATGTAATGCTTTCTGTTCTTAAAGCTGTGAGCATTTTCTTTTTTTTTTTTGAGACGGAGTCTCGCTCTGTCGCCCAGGCCGGACTGCGGACTGCAGTGGCGCAATCTCGGCTCACTGCAAGCTCCGCTTCCCGTATGCTACATGCCAGCCTTGCTGCGTGGCCTGGCTCCATCCTGCACCAACCCCCTGTTACTGCTAGGCTGCAAAATGCTTTCCAGGGGCAATGTGTGGCTTCATGCTTCAGGGAAAAGTGTTATACTTTCTCTCTGCTTTTCAACCTTTCACAGGAATACTGTGACAGTAAAGCGAGGTCATCAGTAAGAGTCCTTTTCAGTTCTTATGAAGGCAGTTGCTACAGGATTCCAGGTGTTGGTCTGCGCAAACTTTTAATTCTTATTATTTATTTAGAAATAGGTCCTCACTCTGTTGCTCAGGCTGGAGTGTAGTGGCACAATCATCGCTCACTGCAGCCTTGAACCCCTGGGCTCAAGTGATCCTCCCACCTCAGCCTCCTGTGTAGCTGGGACTACAGGCGCATGCCACCATGTCTGGCTAATTAAATTTTTCTTTTTTTTTTTTTCAGAGACGTGGTCTTGTTATGTTGCCCAGGCTGTTGAACGCCTGGCCTCAAGCAGTCCTCCCGTCTCAGCCTCTCAAAGTGGTGGGATTACAGGCATGAGCTACCATACCTGGGAAAAGTTTTAAAGTATGAAAATACTTGCCTTTGACAGGGCTCTGCCAATTAACATTTGGCTTTCAAAAAACAAGCTGTTTTTATCTGTTAGCATTAGGCTGGTTAAAATAGACGTATCTTGGTTGTTGGTATTTATTAACATCTTTTGAATGTGGATGCTTGTGACTGTCTTGGGTGTTGAAGGGAATGCTCTATATTTATTGATACACTTAAATGGCCATTGCCTCAGTTTCCTATTTGTGAAACATAATAGCACCTACCTGACAGCTGTGAGGGAGTTAAGGGGTGGTGCATTTAGTGGGTACACATACATAACTGTGCCTGCTGCTTTGGTAGGGCCTCTAAATGGCACCATCATTGTTAGTTATTGCTGCAGAAACACATTCTATAACCAGTGTACAAACATGGTAATGAGTTAACATGAATACAATAGAGCAACGGTCCCCAACCTTTTTGGCACCAGGGACCTGTTTCGTGGAAGACAATTTTTCTATGTATGATGGGGTGGGATGGTTTCAGGATGAAACTATCTCAGATCATCAGGTATTAGATTCTCATAAGGAGCATGCAACCTAGATCCTTTGCACACACAGTTCACAATAGGGTTTGTGCTCCTATGAGAATCTAATGCCACTGTTGATATGACAAGAGGCAGAGCTCAGGTGGTAATTCTGGCTTGCCACCACTCACCTCCTGCTGTGCAGCCCAGTTCCTAACAGGCCACAGACCGGTACTGGTTTGTGGCCTGGGGGTTGGGGACCCCTGCGATAAAGGAGTCTTAGAGCATAAAATGGAGAGTGTGTCAGCAGAGTTGAGTTAGAACAATAGAACTTGGAAGCCCATAGCAGGTACAGTTCTGTGACTAAGTGCCCACAAGAAATGCATTGGTTTAAGCATTTCAGTATTGTTTTATGTTACTGGGAGCACAGTTAAGCCAAAGAGAGATCCAATTTTAGACAGATAGTGGTGGTTCAGAGATGGAAAATAGCTGGCAGCTCCAGGTTCAGAAAATCAAGGAGGGTTATCAGAACTGAGAAACGAGAAATAAACAGTAGAGATCAATGACCATTGGATGTTACTCTTAATCGCTTACACTCCTCAGGATTCAGAACGAGAGGTGTTGCTGACTTCATGTTCTTATCCAGGCAGTTCAGTAAATGCCATGTATCTGAATAAATAAAGCTTGGGGTAGGGTGGGGACCAAGATGGGTAGCTAATTTTCCCAGCTGAATGATGTTGTTTAGTCTGTCTTTTGCTGGGACTAGAAACTGTTGTAATATTACAAGTTGAAAATTTCACAATCTTTTTTTTTTCTTTGTGAAGTAAAATCTGAAATCCTTCGTCCCTTGACTTCATTAGAAGTGCAGTGAAACTGGCCTTCTAGATCTGTTTCCAGTCAGAGGACTTTATATACAAAGTTCGTGAACACAAAAGGGTCTGGTGAAATAACGAGATGGGAGGCTGGTCCAAATTTCTGATCCTTTTGAGTTAAAAGTCATTCTGAGCAGTGGCTGTTGACTGTACCACCCAGGGGGCAATCTGCAAGTGCGGTTGTCATTTATTAGCCTTCTTTACTTCTAGGCTCTCAGTGACTTCTCATTTGAACTTTTGGAAAAAAAAAAAAAAAAAAAAAAACTCCTCATCAGCATTAAGAGCTTTCCCGAAGCTTGATCTTCAGAGTCTTGCTTCCTGATTTCCAGACAGAACTGAGTTAAAAACATAGTAACTGGGTTCGTTTGTTTTCCTGTCTCCAAGGCGTTTGGCCCCATGTTAATCTTCCCAGCTGAGGCAGGAGAGGAACACTTAGTCACTCACACTGCTCACTGACATGAGCCAGCAATGGAAATGGTGACTTGACAAAATGCTGGCCGGGGAACTGGAGTTCTCCTTCAAGCAGGACCAAATATTTCCCAAATTAATTCTGACAAAGCGAATTTAACATTCAACCTTCTGGAGTTTCTCAGAATAGTTTAGGGTATTTTAAGTCAACTCTGTATTTGTTGCCTGTTATTCAAATTTCTAACCTCAACTACCTATTGGGTCCTTCCACATTGGCATCAAATAGTTTTCTTTTCCAAGCTGGGCTATGGATGTTTTTATCTTGTGAAAATTCCCCGGGAAAGCGACGCCATGGTGATGTCTTTGATTGGATGTTGGGGTCACATGGAGGGTGCTGTGTAGCCTTCAGGAAAGAATGGAGGTCTGTCTTGTCTTCTTCATTTGGTTTTTGAAGTGCATTCAATTGACAATAACATAATAATAGCATATCATGGTAAAAAATCACTCGCCTCCACTGGGTTTTTGTGTGGACCCAACTTGGGCTCAGAAGATTACAGATGGTTGGGGCACATTGTTGAATGTTAAAGTGTGCAGCCTTAAGCACTAGGCACAAGCCCACTGCTATTCTGGGTTATTTAATTTACTTTGATGAGGAAGGAACGATCTGGTGCATTTGAATGACAGAATAGATAACTGCATATCACTGGGATGTAAGTATAACATGGGTTCAGAAGAAGACCGCAAAGACAGTATTTCAGTAAATATTGCCAGGCTTTGTCTCACAAAGACTTGGTTGTATTTCTGAGTGGCTAATTAGGAGGTGTTTTCAATTTAATGTTGCATTCGCTATGAGTCAGATAGAAAGTCAAGATGATTGTTTTTAACAGCTTATTTCAGACTTCAGCTACCGGAAAAAGTCACTGACTATTTCTAAACCCAAGGAGATTTGAGTGCTGATTGACTCACAGTATTTGTGTTCCAGTGAGTCCGTCCACACCCAGCCTGTATGTGACACACAAACTTGGAGTGTGGGGAGGAGTGGGGAGGCAAGAAAATGGAGTGCTCTGTAGAGTGGTGGCGGGGGCCAGGGCTACAGAGGCCAGCAGAAGAGGCAGAGAGCGGGGCTTTGTTCAGTTTCCTACTGAGGGGCCGGGGAACAGCTAGTGGGAGAGACCCAGGTTTGAAGCCCCTGGCACTGGACTTGGGGAGGCTGGGGTGGCTCTGCTGCCTTCTTCAGCAGGCTCAGATAGGAAGAAGCTGGAAGGCAGCTCTTGACCAGAGAGGAGGCTCTATCTACCGTGCTCACACTTTCCTACTTCCTTGGTGTTGAGCCATATTACTTTTCTTCTTAGCTCCATCACAACTGTCCTCTGCACCTTGCAGTGGCCATTTTCAGCTATTTAGATACTCACCAGCTCTCACTGTGGTATCCTATTCCCAAACGCAGCATGTTTATTTTAACTTGTGTCTTCAAGCAGTTTTTAGAAGGTGCACACTTTTACCTTTTCCTCTTTGTGTCAGGATATTTCTCCTTAGTCTGTATCCGTTTTCGCATTTCATCTCTTTTCTCTTTATTCTCTTTACTCCCCACTTTATCCTCCAAGGGATGAAAACAACTTGATTTTTATCAAGGTGAGTGTTAATAAGTGGCCGTGTGTTTCTAACACACTAGCCTTTGTGCCCTGTACAGACTGCTTAGATGTGAGCTGTGTGGGCATTCGTTCTTATTAATGACCCCATGAATGACCTGCTCAATTCATTTTTCCAAGGTTATGGATCTGTGACTTTTCTTTAACCATTATCATTGCTACCATTTACTGAATGCTTACTCTGTGCATTACAGTGCTTTATGCAAAGCACTTTACATGTATTCTCTCATTTAGTCTTCATCTCTACCCTATAAGATATCCTCATTTTATAGCTGGGGAAATTGAGGCATAGGGAGATTAGTGATTGCCCTGCTTTATTCTGCCAGTGTGTCCTATAGTCAGCATTTGACGCTCATCTCAGTCCCTGGGTCTAAACCACAGCAGTACCTTCTGGAGCAGGATTGTCCCCTGGGAACATTCAGCAGTGTCTAAAGACATTGTTTTTGGCCACGACTGAGAGCGCGCTACTGGCATATAGTGGGAAGAAGCTAGGAATGCTGCTAACCATCCTTCAATTTATAGGACCAGCCCCTGCAACAAAGAATTATTCAGCCCCAAGTGTTAGAAGTACTGAAGTTGAGAAACCCTGTTATATCTAGAAACATTTACCTTTAATACTCAAGGAGTACCAAGTATTAAATATCCACACAATGTTCTGAAGTTTTAATTATTTCAAGAAATATTTATTGTTTGCATAGTTTCAAACATTTAAAAAATACTCAACAGGGAGAAAAATATGTAACTGTTTCCAAAGAGAAAACATTTCATGAGATTCCTAACTTTTGAGATTCTGAGGATGTCTAACAATTTTTTTTTTTTTTTTTTTTTGAGAACAGGGTCACATTCTGTCCCCCAGACTGGAGTGCAGTGGTGCAATCTTGGCTCACTGCAAACTCTGCCTTCTGGGTTCAAGCGATTCTTGTGCCTCAGCCTCCTGAGCAGCTGGGGCTACAGGCGCCCGCCACCACACCTGGCTAATTTTTGTATTTTTAGTGGAGGTGGGGTTTCACCATTTTGTCCAGGCTGATCTTGAACTCCTGGGCTCAAGTGATCCGCCTGCCCTGGCCTCCCAAAGTGCTAGGTTTACAGGCATGAGCCACTGCGCCTGGCCGGATATCTAACAATTCTTATACCTCCATTGTGATATTATTGTTGGAACAGAGCATGACATTTGAATAATTACGCCAGACATTTTTTCTTTGGTTCCCACTTAGAAGCTGTATACACATAAATTCTCTGCTAGATGTCAGTAGGAAATTCTAAAATTGTGAAACTTGGTGTCTTGGGCTTATTGGGTCCCATGAGTGAGTGTGCCCGAAAACCTCACTGAGCAGCCCAAGGGAAAAGGCTGTGAGGCCGAGGAGCATAACCTGGGCGCAAGGTGAGCAAGGCCCGGGTTTTCCTGAGAAGGAGGCTGGGTGTGGGTTCTGTGTGGAGCGAGTCTTGTAGCCTTAATGACAACCTTCTGTTTCTGTGTTCTAGTCATGTGCTCAGCCCCTCTGCTCATCAGGCAAAACCGAGTGTTCCCAGTTGGAGAAGTTTAAGGTCTTCCTGTTTGTCTGAACTCCTGGCAGCGAAAACATAGACATCTGTGCATTGTCCGGCTCGTTTCCTTCCCTCAGCCCCCTGCCCAGCCCCTCCACAGCATCTACACCATTGTATTGTTCACATTCTTCCTTATCTTGACCTTGTACTAACTGCCTGTTTATTGTAATGACTCCTCAGATAAAGTACTGCTTGGGACTTTTTTCTTTTAATTAAATGTTTGGGGTTGAGAAATTGAGAATCTAGTGAAACTGCAGCGCGCAACATTTTGAAGTGTATCTCGGGCCACGGCAAGACTGACTTCAGTTCCTGCTGGACTCATTACTTCTTTTTAGGGGGAAATGTTTGTTTCTCAGGCTGTGACTGTCAATGACGTCCACTGGCCCCTGTGGGCCATTGCCACCCTCATTCTGTCCTCGCCCTTGCCTTCTAGGACCATCCCCCCTCATTCTTCGCCCTTGGCAGGTTATCTCTGTGGCAGGTTGTCTCTTGTCCTCTGTCTCTTTGGCAGATTTCCCCCCTTTGCCTGTCTCAGGCAGATAGCATCCCCAGGGTACATTCTGGTCCTCCCGCCTTCTTCTACCCCCTCACTGTGGGGGAGCTCCATCCTACCCCAGGCTTTCTGTACACTGAGAGCTCCCAAGTCTCCTGAGTGCCTAACATATTTAAAGTAGTTAAGGGTCATTCTAGTTCCTCGTAAACCATTATAAAAAGTTCACAAATAATCCTGTGAGTTAAAAAGTGAATTCGAATGGGTACGAGGGGCTGTGAGAACATAAGGTGAGTTTTAATTCTTCTGTTTGAAATTCATCATACTATATAGCTAGCAGATATGCCTGGGTTAAAAAATCACTCGCCCCTTCATTTTCCATTTTTACTTGCAGAAATACACACACACACACACACACACACACCACAGACACACACACGTGCACACGCCAGAAAAGGGTTATCAGCCACTTCTGTCTTGCTGAGAACATAAGCAGTGTCAGCATGGTCCACCCTTCTTGACTTCTATTAAGAAGTGTTTTTATGCGACCATCTGGGGTTATACAACAGATGCAGAAAAACGTCAACCTTTTCTCCCCCCTCAGCTACAACTCTCCCATTTGAATTAACCGTCTGTTTACTTCCCAGATATCATATCCCTGATAAAACCTTATCTTGGTTTTCTCAAGATTCTCACCCCTCAGTCCTGCCCTACCCACATCAGGGCACTGAGTTCTCAATGACCTAGTTATGGTCTTCAGTGGCTCAGGTCTTTATTATATCTGTGTATTTCCTGATTCCAGTGTTAATAAGTTTCCGGAGGGCAGTAAGAGTATCTTCAGGTCTCCTTCCCTGCCTTCCCTCTCCACCCCCATTGTCCAGTACTTCAACCTTGGACAATTGGTTGTGAACAAGGGTTGGTTCTAGAGGTGTCTGAATTGCCTTACCACTTTAGAACTTCAGTGCTTGGTTCAATAAAAGTTGGCTGTTAGTAATCACAGTGATAAACAAGTGTCAGCAAACGTATATTAACGTGAATTCTTTGGTTTGGGAGGTCAGCAATGTGAGAGACTCCTTTTTAAAATTTTTTTTTTATTTTGAGACAAGAGTCTCACTCTGTCACCCAGGCTGAAGCGCAATGCGTGATCTCGGCTCACTGCAACCTCAGCCTCCTGGGTTTAAGTGATTCTCATGCCTCAGCCTCCTGAGTAGCTGAGACTACAGGTGCCCGCCACCATGCCTGGCTAAATTTTTGTTTTTTTTAGTAGAGACAGGGTTTTGCCATGTTGGTCAGGCTGGTCTCAAACTCCTGAGCTCAGGTGATCCACCCGCCTGGGCCTCCCTAGATTACAGCTGTGAGCCAACATGCCTGGCCAATGTGACTCCTTTTTAAGTGCTTTAGTTTTAGCTGATGTTTAATGAGTATTATTTTCAAGAAGCATGAGTTTTGGTGAGAAGAGAGGAAAAAGCAAATATTCTGGGTTCTGGGAAAAATTATTTTTGCAGAATTGATGCAGCTTTACCTATTACCTCAGAAATCCATCAGGTCTGTTAAGAGCCTGGGCCCTTGGTTTCCTGGGGTGGGAGTAGGGGTCGTATCTGCACACAGCATAGGGTTATTGCTCTCCTCCGCATAGCCAGCCGTAGAAGGTCTGCATTTTCATTCCTGCCCATATCACAAAGGCCTGAGATGGTTCAGCACTTCCTTTTATGAATGCCCATCTCTGCTAAATGGCAGATTGGAGCAAAAGTCAGGAAATTAGGAGGAGTGAAAGTGGACGTGTTTGGGTCATTCTTGTTGTTGACATAGCTTTATTCTCACAACCCAAGCTTTCAGCCCACCTGTCAATTTAGGATGTGCGTGGCTGACTGCCAAGTAATTTATCTTATCAGAACCTCTCACCCCTGACCTTTGCTATTGGTGATTATCATGCTAATCAGCTCAGTTTTACTGAACCTTATAAAATATTGCCTTTAACAGCATGGGAGGCAAAATTTTTTTAAAAAAATTTAAATCTATCCATGGTGTTGTTGATAATGCCAAATAAAATTGCAAATCACTTTAAATTAATGTCATCTCAGTAGCTTAATCACCAGACTATTGGGTTGGAGTATTAGATTTTAAAACATCATTTGAATCATTTAGTTGATAACAAAACAAGACATTTTATTAGATCATTAATAAAAATACTCATCAGAAATTGCCCCTGGATAGATGTAAATCTGCCTTCTAGGGCCATTTATAACTGATGAGAGAATTGTACTGCTTGATTTTAATAATTTACTGAGGAATGGAGGATAAATAGCACACGTTAATTTTATAGGACTGTTTCATACAGTTTATGTTTTGAAATGAAAGGGATATGACTTCTGACTCTTGCCTGAAGCTAAGTCACTTAAAAAGGAGTCTCCCATAGTGCTGGCTTTTCAGCTTTAGAATTCCAATTGATATGTATGTGTTAATCAGTTGGCACCTTTCTTGACATATATAAGAAAGCAAAATAGAAATCCTTTTAAAAACGGTTAAGACTTTGTATTCTGCCATGTCTTTCGGCATACAGCTATCAAATTGTTCGTGATTCCAAGCATTTTAGTTGTCTGAAACAGGAAGGAAAAGTATATAAGAAAGGAACGGTCAGTGATTTTTCAGAACTGAGTAAGGGTCCTTTAATGGCAGGGTCCATCTCTGCGGCCCGGGGCAGGGGGGCCTCATTTGTAGCAGTTAGCAGTTAGCCGAAAGACCGTAGTGGGAAATGCTCTACCGTTTTCCCAAGAGTAGAAGTCAGAGTTAGGTTCTCCCACCCCAGGAAAAAAAACATATGAGCAGAAGAGGGAGCCAGGCCAGCTCCCACCCTTGGCCAGGGCCATTGTGTAGTGCCCACGGGTGTGCCCTGGCCATGGCTGCTCAGCTCTCCATCAGCCACGGCTGTCCGTTGCCATTCCTGGTAACCTGTGGGGTCTCCCCGTCTCCCTTCCAACCAGAGACCTCCCTCTCCAGAGGAGCAGGTCCTATGGAGCCATCTGCTCTAGAAGGAGCCTCTAGTCTGGGAGAAGGTAGAAGAGGTGGTCATATGCTTGAAGTGACTGACTTTTGGAGCTGAAAGTGACAGTGGTGATCTGCAAGTCCAGCGCCTTCACTTTGGGCCTGAGACATTGAAGCCAGAGTAGGCAGTGGAGCTGTGCGAGGTCACACATCCATTAGCCGAGAGCCTGGGTCGGGACCCGTGTTTTCCTGCCTGCCTGCCTAGTGGGTCTTTTTCCCTTGCCTATGACTTTGCCATTGGACAAATTTCCTTCTACAGAGAGTGAGGATGATAATAGAAGGTGCTTTTGTGGCCTTGGGGAGATAAGCGGCAGAAACATAAATGTTGACCTATATGATGGTAATAGTAATGATTCCTACTATGTCTTGGTACCTACGATTATACCTGGCTCTCCGTGCACAGTTTTTGTGTTCCACCCAAAAAGCGTGGCAGCGACTTTCCTTACCCCCACTTTAGAGATGAGGAAACTGTCCTTAGAGAGGTGACGTTTATTGCCCAAAGACACAGAGCTAGTTAATGCTAGAGCGTGGTTTATAGCATTGAAGCAGTTCCAGCTCTGTGTTACATCCTTTCCACCACACAACTCCTTTTACATGGGGAAATTAGTATTTGAAGGAAAGGCTAATTACCTACATGCCAGATGGGCTCCAGAACCGGAAGATCTAAGTGGCAAAAGGAGTGCCTGAGACACAAAGCCAGAAGTGGTCGCATTTATGCCGGGTCAAGGGACGGGGAGGCTGGATCCTGTTGCAGGGGCATAGTCCACATGGATGGAGTGCTGGCCATGTGCTAAGTGCTGTTCTAAGCTTGATACTTACTTTAACTTAATTGATCCTCACAACATCCCTATGCGGTAGGCTATTACTCCATTTTACGGACACAGGAACTGAGGAACACGGGCCCAATTTCACCTAAGGTCACTACTGAGGACCAGGGTTCAGATTAAGTGTCTGCCTCCAGACTGAATCATTCTTACATGGTGCCTTTCTGGATGAGCTCATTGCCCTGGACGGGTGGAGGTGAGGGGTTTTGTCCTGTGTACCCTTCCTGAAGCCTGACAGATCCCGCCCCAGAGGCAGATTCTGGCTGTTGCCATGTTATACTGGAACCCAGAATTATCAGCCACCCACTTGTAGGGTACAGAGAAAAGGAACTGCTCTGCAGTGATCAGGGCTGTGAGAAATGGTTTACTGTGATGAGGTCTGTCCTAACCACCTCAAAGAAGTATCTGTCAGCACCCCAGGGACATGCTCCTTTTTATCACCTAACCAAAATCCAGTCTAGTTTTTCTTCTGTGGATTCCCCCAGGCTCTCTTGCCTCGCGTCTCTCTCTTACGGAGGGCTGTGTGGGTTCTCAGTGGTCATCTTCTCCAGCCTGGCTCATGTTGGGGAGCAAGGTAGCTGGAGCTCCTGGGAGTCCATAGCACTGGGCATAGAATGGGACAGACTTCCCCTGTCCACGTTGCTTAGCAGCCCATACAGGTGAGCACCTGGGGAACAGGGAGTTGGGAAGCATCTCTTATAGAAATGAACCTAAAGCCATTTCTGCCTCAGCCTTTTGCTTTGTTTTTAAGTGGCCTGGTTTCCTCACTGCTTCTGGGACATCCAGCTGAACTTTATCTCTGTTTACTATGCCTCACTATTGTTAGAAGCTACAATAATAAGTCCCTCTTCCCAGAAAGAGGACACTGGATCATATGAACAAGTACAAGAGTTCAGACTTTTTAAAAAGGGGTTTTTCTGTGACCATCTTGAACTTTGAGCGTGCAGTGACTTCATCTAGGCTGCAGCGAGGAACACTCACTGGGCCACCTCCTCCCAGCTGGCACATTCCTGAGTCATTACACCGGCTCAGTCCTGCAGGCCAGGCTGCTGCCCAGAGTTGAAGGATCGTTCTGTATTCAAAAGTACCTATGGCTACTGGCAGCTGCGCGTGGAGCTCACGTTCCCCTGAGGAGTGTGCATCCCTTTGGAAGCTGCACTGAAGCCCATCTGTTTTCAAAGCGTAATATGAATCCTAAATATTTGGGGATTTCCTCTAGTTAATAAATGGAGAAAGTATAAACCTTTCTACAGTTTTGAATGTGGCATTCTCACTAGGGAAAGTTGGAAAACGCTGCGTACCTTGATCCCTGACCGCAGGTGATCTGCCCGCCTCGGCCTCCCAAAGTGTTGGGATTATAGGTGTGAGCCACTGTACCCAGCCTGTTACTTTTCTTAGTTAAAACTCTCTTATTATCCTGAGAAGACACAAGAGGTTCACTTTAAGACTTATATTTTGCCCAGTATCACAGAATTCATTATAAACTTGAGAAACACCTTTCATTTAAAATTCCTATAAAGCAGTGGCATTAAAAGGCAACTCCTGAAATTCAAGTTTTAATTTCATGTAAAACTGAAAATGCTTTTGACCCTATGGTCTGTACAGGCATAGGCATATGGCCCCGGCTTATGGCATCTGGGCTACATCAGATTTTAATGTCTACCTTAGAGGTTGGTTTATTCAGCCCCTCCTGCCTGTCGGACAGACACACAAAGAAAGACTTGCCCCCTAAAGAGCTTTTAGATGAGGACATTTGTAGAAATAGAGGGAAAACAAACATAAAATACGCAAGTGGGCTTTAGAAGAGAAGGAATCATTTAGAAAATAGGACCAGACAAGTGGACCTTCCGTCTCTGGCTATAGATGCTGGTATGGTTTGGCTGTGTCCCCACCCAAATCTCATTTGAATTGTAGCTCCCATAATCCCCACATGTCATGGGAGGGACCCAATGGGAGGTAATTGAATCATGGGGGCGAGTTTTTCCCATGCTGTTCTCATGATAGTCAGTAGTCTCACGAGATCTGATGGTTTTATAAAGGGCAGTTCCCCTGCACATGCTTCCTTGCCTGCTGCCATGTAAGGTGTACCTTTGCTCCTCATTCACCTTCTTCCATGATTGTGAGGTCTCCCCAGCCATGTGGAACTGTGAGTCCATTAAACCTCTTTCCTTTATAAATTACCCAGTTTCGGGTATGTCTTTATTAGCAGCATGAGAACAGACTAATACAGATGCCTCAGGATGGGAGGGTGAAAATGGCCTCTAGAAATGAGTGGCCAGAGGTAGATTAATTGGATACAGGAGGAGTTGGAGTTGGCATCAAGAAAGAAACCTATGACTGGCCAGGATGGGTGTATTAAACAACAAACTTGGCAGTGAGCATGGGGGTCAAAAGAGCTCAGTGGGGGATCCCATGCCCAGAGAAAAAGAGACTTGTTCAGGTGTGTTTGGAGGGAGGGGCTGCGAGGCAGCTGAGAATGTCAACAGTTTCAAGGGGAAAAGAAGCATGTTTAAGAGGGGTCAGGTAAGAATCAGAATGCCTGAAAATCTTATAGGTCTACCTTGTAGGGTCCTTGAGATTCCCTGAGATTTGGGGTGGCCAAGGCCACCTGAGTACCTCCTGAGTGACCAGCCCAACTCTGGAGGAGAGGAGTTTGAGAGAAGCAGAAGCCTGTGTGGCCAACCATGCAGTTTTCTGAACCCATGTCCAGGCCCCTCAGGTGTAGGTGAAGAAAGGTAACAGTAATGAATGGGGAGCCCCATTTTGCCATTCGCAGAATAGAGATTTATGAAAACAGAAGTTAACTTTAGCGTGTGATGCAGAGACCACCCAGGACCCCAGGAAAGACAGGCTCAAGGGCACAAGGTTCTGAGTCAGTCTGCCCTGGCTTCGGGGGCCCCAGTCCCTATCATCCTGTCATCTTGGACATCCAAACTAGCATGGCCTTTTTTAAAAATGGAGAAAAACAACTAAAAATATATTTAATTTAGTAAATATCATGAATGCGCAGATTATAGACATACGCATCAGAATAGACCTTTTAAAAATAGATCTTAAAAATCATCTCAAGTTGCTCCTATACATTCAAAATTGCCCTCTGTGAGAAGCCCCCAGAGCAGGGTTTCTCAACATTGACGATACTGACATTTGGGGCCAGGTAATTTTTGTTTGACAGCGCCCCTGTCCACCAGATACCAGTAGCACACACCCCTACCCCCACAGCTGTGACAGCCCCAAATGCCTTCAGACATTGCCAAACGTCCCCTGCAAAGTTGGTGTGGGGACAGAATTGCCCCTAATTGGGAACCATAGCTTCAGAGTTTTCCCAGAAGTCAGAGATGGGATGGAGAAGAGGAGTCGATCAGAAGTTGAGCCAAGGAAATTGGCAAAAGCAGGAGGTCTTGAGCATGTTTAGACGTACCCTAAAGAATAATAGAATTGTTAGTGCATTTGGGTCCTCTTAAATATAATCAAGATGTCTGTATTTCTGTAGTGAATGTGTTTTACGGGGTGGCCAGAATGAGAGTTTCAAAACCTCCTTTGGTACATTTTTTTTTAAGTCATGCAAAGTCCTGTACTTTTTGTGCCAACACTATCCTTCCAGTTCTTAAGGCTCCTTTTGTCTTCTGAAGAGAAGGACCTGAATGTTTGGGCAGATCGTTTCATGCTGTACGAGGATTATCAGACAACAGATGAGCTGGGAGAACAGCTGGTTTCCCTACAGTCACTGGGCCCTGTGACCTGGGAGGCATCATGAGCTGTGCAGGGGACAGGTGGTCTGGCTGCTGGGTCTGTCCTGACTGAGCCAGGCCACATTCCTCCTGCCTCTGCCCTTCAGCCTCCCCTCCCCAATACCAAGGAACTGACCTTTTCCACGCTGCCTCACAGTGGCCTTTCTGTGAAAGGCTCTCCTAGGAACTTGTTAGAAATGCAGATTCTGGCACCATCCAAAAAGTTTGATTCAGTGGTTGGTTGGGGACCAGGAATGTACTTTTTAAAACAGGTAGCTGTCATTCTCCTCTGGGAGATGGTCCAGGAACCCACACTTTAAGAAGCAACACTCTGGAGGGTCTTTCCAACTCTTGGAAGGCAAAAGCACATACATTCTAATTCTCTTAATCCTCCCATCCTTGCAGAAGAAACGGGGATGGAGGCCATATTGCTGACCCTTGTGGGATTCATGTGTCTGAGGGAGATTGCAAGAGTGAAAACAGAGATCGGCCAAGCATCTACCAGTCTAGCCTTTAGATGTAACTTCCAGTTTCTCTGAAATAGAGGATAGAGAACAAGTTGAAATGAAATCATGAGGAAATCGACAAATCCAGATTGTCAAGTATTTTGTAGGACAACTAGCCCAGTATCTTCAAATAGTCAATGTCGGGGAAAATAATTGGGATGGGGTGGAATAGGTTGGGTGGGAAGACTATTCTTGACTAAAAGAACCTAATCAAATGCAATGCATGAGCTGTGATTGAGTCATGGTTTTAAGAAAACAGCTATTAAAAACAGGGCAGGGGTAGGGAAATTTGAGTAGGAACTAGGCTTTGGATATAAGGGGATTATTGTCCATTCTCTTGGGTGTGCTAATCTTGTTGTGGTTATATAGGAAAATGTTCTTATTTTTAGGAGGTGTATGCTAAAGTATTTAGGGGTGAAGTGTCAGAACATCTGCAACTCATTTTCAGATAGTTCAGAAAATGTGTGAGTGTGTATGCTATAAATTGATGGAACAAATACGGGAAAATGTTAACAAATGTTGAATCTGGGTGTTGGGTATGTGGGTGATCATTGTCTGTTCTTGCCAACTTTATGTTTGAAAACGTTCATAAAAAAGTTGAAAAACAGAACCAGGGTGAGTAAGCAAGGTAGTGTTCTTCAAAACATTGTTTGTCCTGGCATCATTCTTTGGGTGTGCTGTTCCCATCAGGGTGGGGAGTGAGAGCTTTTTGATGCAACCTTGATTGACATCCTTCAGGTTTCCCTCATTCTTTCCAGGTAGATGTGAACTTTGCTCCTGAGTTTCTGTCCGGGTGATCCAGCCGGCGGGCACTGGGTGGTTCTGGCTTCACATACACTTTCTTCCCTGCTGACAGCAGGAAGCTGCCAAAGACAGATCCGGGATCTAAGTGACAAACCCCGGCTCAGCTCTACTGAGGACCTTCACTCTACCTTTTCAAATTAGGGCTCTGGGAAGAATCTGTACATAGGACTGACTCCCACAGACCAGCCATTTTGAAACTCCTCTTTGCTCCCTATTCTCTGGTATTAATGTAGGTTTCTGCAGGATTCTCATTTGTCTTTTTTTTTTTTTTAAGTGAAGAGGCTTTACTTTGCACACCGTTGTGCCAGTCATCATTTTCTGAACATCAGAGGGCTGTCTAGATGATCCACAATCACCTGGGATGTGATAGTAAGGTCAGGTGTTGTCGAGGGGAAACGTATTTAGTGGCCCGTAGAGAAGAAGTCTTTTAGGTAGAATGGCAGCGAGGGCCTAGTTTATGAAATGGGCTTTGTGGAAGCAGGCATTATGGTTAATAGCAACGGATGCCAGGCCGAAGAGGGCTGTGCCTCGTATCCCTGTGGTTAATAAGGTTCTGTCATGAGGATCTCTTTCCCCTTTGATACAGATGTCTCAGCAGGTACCTGCCTTTCAGTGCACCTAGCCAAACTGGGACAGAGCACAAACCACTGCAGAAGCCCCCTGCTGCACTTCCAGATGGTCCCTTGTCCTGCCACCCTGAGAACTTTGCTTGCAGCCTCTGTTAGTCCGTTTTTACACTGCTGATAAAGACATACGTGAGACTGGGTAATTTATAAAGAAAAAGAGGTTTAATGAACTCACAGTTCTGCATGACTGGGGAGGCCTCACAAACATGGCTGAAGGTGAAAGGCATGTCTTACATGGTGGCAGACAAGAGAGAATGAGAACTAAGTGAAAGAGGTTCCCCTTATAAAACCACCAGATCTTGTGAGACTTATTCACTACCATGAGAACAGTATGGGGGATCCGCCCCCATGATTCAATTATCTTCCACCGGGCCCTTCCCATAACACGTGAGAATTATGGGAGCTACAATTCAAGATGAGATTTGGGTGCGGACACAGCTAAACCATATCACCACCCCCAGGAAGCCTCGATTTTAGTCAGCCTTGCGTATCACCACTGTTCCTCTGATAGTAGCAGTTAGCAAACTTACTAGGGAGAACAGAGCATCTTATCCCCCTATTGAAAACAGAAGAATGAAGCCCTTATCCCAGCCAATCTTGTATGGGTGTGAGAATTTGGTGCAGTGAATGAGGAAATGTTTTAGCATAAAGGAGAGGGAACTATATTATTTTTACTTAAGCATGTGGGTCCTTAAGTAATCCTGCCTTCAAATTGTTCTCAGGCATTTTGCTAAGCCCAGATGTCCCATCTTCTCCTGTCCTGAACTTTTACAGCCTTTTTCTTCAGAAGCTGCAAACTAATTGCATTCCTTACTCTGAGTAGAGCTTGCTGGCCAGGGCAGTGGACACTCGAGTAGTCATTAAGATACAAGTCACCCGAGAGGTTGTAGGAGCCCTGCAGTTCTGCAAGAGGACAAATATGAATGTTCTCATTGAAAAATTACATTCAGGCAGGGGTGGTTGCACACGCCTATAATCCTAGCACTTTGGGAGGCCAAGGTGGGTGATCACCTGAGGTCATGAGTTTGAGACCAGCCTGGCCAACATGCTGAAACCCCATCTCTACTAAAAATACAAAAATTTAGCCAGGCATGGTCGTGTGTGCTTGTAATCCCAGCTGCTCTGGATGCTGAGGCAGGAGAGGGGAGGCAGAGAGGTTGCAGTGAGCCGAGATCATGCCACTGCACTCCAGCCTGGGTGACACAGTGAGACCCCATCTAAAAAAAAAAAAAAAAGAAAAGAAAAATTACATTTAACAGAGAAAAGGGATGGGAAAGAGATTGTGCATAACAGTAAAATGGTTTTCTAATCAAATGGGAAGGCTTTATAGCTCTCAACAGGCTGGGCTTGCCACCTGTGGGCCCAAAGTATTTGTGAGCCTGATGGGTACGTGCAGGCTCTCAGGGCCTCCTGGGAGTCCTTGTGGCTCATTTTCTTGTTCTCTTTTAGAATGATCATTTTCATTACAAACAATCTCCTCTAAAGCCCTTAGTAACTTTTTTCTCAAAAGGCTTTCTGTTTGGTACTATCTGGAGGAGGGAGCTGAGAATGAGTGAGTCGGAGTAGGATATACCTTCTGGCTGAATGCTAATTTATCTCCACCAGTTGGATATAAATTATCCAGCTTGTGGAGATAAATTAGCATTCAGCCAGAAGGTATATCCAATATAAAAACACCAGCTGAGTTAGGTAGTGGGGAAACAGGAAGACCAGGACTCTGCCCTTGAAGGCTGCAAGGTAAGTTTAGACATGAATGACTTCGTCCATCTCTAAGTAGCCTGTGCTTAATGTTTTCTGTGTGCAGTGGCCAGGTTTCTGTAATCTGCTGGGCACCTCAGTTGGATCAATAGTTGTCTGAACGGTGTCATCTATGTTACAGGAAAAGCTTCGGAGGGCAGGGAGTTGATATTTGTTGAGCACTTACTCTGCCAGGCACTGTGCTGGGTGCTTCAGTAGGTTCTTGTTCATTCCTTGCAACAATCTGGTGAGGTAGGCTACCCTTACCGGCTCAGACGAGGGAGCTCTGAGAAGTTAGGCATCCATATGGTCAGTGCTGGAGCTGGCTTTGGAACCCATACCTGATGGACTCCCTTCCCTTACCCAGTGCTTGGCACAGCGCTGTGACACACGCACACACACCCTGACAATTAAGTGCATATGTTCCTAGTAGTGCACTAGCTGTGTCCCCAAAATAGCATCTTGTATAGCAACTACCATGATATGAGGATTTTAAAATACATCATGTTTCAAGGGATGGGTAGAGTCACATGCTCACTAGGAAGTCAGCCAGCAGGCAGACAGCTGGTGCAGGGTGTAGAAACGGGCATTTTAAGCTTTGACACTGGGCTTCCTTATTTCTCCGCTTCTCTTCCTCTTCGATAACTCCCTGCCTCACCCCACTCCCAACATGCCAGGGGGCTCTTTGCAGTTCTCATGGAGTTGATTTGACCTCGGTTAATGAGATCTAATCATTCAGAGCAGGGCCATGTGCCCAGATGTGAGCTATGTGATTGTTCCTGGCCTTGGAATGGGGCAGAAAATGGGGCTGCAAACCAGCCCTGCTGGCCCCCATTTCAGGGTCCAGACTCCTCTGAAGAAGGCTTGAGCCACTGGAGCAATGTCTTCTGGTAATGAAGTCATTCCTCCGTGGAGACAGAATGAGGCCTCTGTGAAATGAGAAACAATGGGCATGTTGAGTTCCCGACCTGGGGTGAATCGAAGCTTAGGCAGAGGCACATGGGATGAATTGGGACAATTCAAGGGATGCATTCTTCATAGACAAGGTTCTGTTGTCAACAAGTCCACTCAGTTGTAATGATGCTTAGTTAACGGTCATTAATGTCTTTTAAAAATAATTTCCCCAAGTAAGTCATGAACTCTTAAGGTTTTTTTTTTTTCCCCTCTGAGTTTTAATTAGTGTAAATTATTTTGTCTAAAAATCACCCTGTGAAAAATGGATAAAGTATAGGTATGGGAGCAATGTTTTGTTTATTCTTTTACATGTGATTCTTTCCTATTTACCTATGAAGCAAACACACTTATGTCTCTGCTAGTAATTTAATTTCGAGGAAATAAAAGCGGGGTGTTGCTACTCTCTACTGTTAAGCAAAAGCGCTTGGTCCAAGTTTCTCAAAACTTAGCTCACCTAGTACCAAAACAGCAGGCAAAAAGTCTTGCAAACTTAAAAACAAAACAAAACATCCACTAATAGAGTTGATTGCCAGTCTTGCCTCCTCCTCTCTGGATCCCTGTGCTGTTTGACTTTTTCCAGTAAAAGATGAGGGAGCGGGAGCCCTGTCCTAAAAGTGCAGCAGCAACCAGGACAGTGCCCCCTGGGTTGGGAGCAGGACCTGGCACTGGCCGCCTCCTTCCATGGTGCTCCCTAGAGATAAGGTTAACTGCCACATAGAGTTCTAAGTGCAGTGAGGTCAGGAAGAACTTGAAACAAACGCAGCCAGTGCAACAACCGCCTGGCATGCTAGCCAGGCCCGGGGCTTGCTGGCAGGGTTCTGCGGGCACGGGCCGGACTTGGACGGTGTCGCTGCGCGGCGGGAAGGCGGGGCGGGGCCTGGCGGCGCTGCTAACCGCCCTCCCTCTCCCCTAGGTGAGGCCGCAGGCGGTGCTCTGGGTCCGGGAGCGCTGTCCCCAGCATGAACGCGGCCGGCGGCGGGAGTGAATGACTGCAGCTGCGACTTCCTTCCCGGGCCGCCCGAGCCTCCTTCCCCACCGACTTTCTTGTTTTGATTAACTCCGTGGACTCCTGACTCTTTCTTCGCCCGGAACATCAATATGTGTCATGTCATTGTCACCTGTCGCTCGATGCTCTGGACCTTGCTGAGTATTGTGGTGGCTTTTGCCGAGCTCATTGCCTTCATGAGTGCAGACTGGCTGATCGGGAAAGCGAGGAGCCGCGGCGGCGTGGAGCCGGCGGGCCCGGGCGGGGGCTCCCCGGAGCCCTACCACCCCACCCTGGGCATCTACGCCCGCTGCATCCGGAACCCAGGGGTGCAGCACTTCCAGCGGGACACGCTGTGCGGGCCCTACGCCGAGAGCTTCGGCGAGATCGCCAGCGGCTTCTGGCAGGCCACAGCTATTTTCCTGGCTGTGGGAATCTTTATTCTCTGCATGGTGGCCTTGGTGTCCGTCTTCACCATGTGTGTACAGAGCATCATGAAGAAAAGCATCTTCAATGTCTGTGGGCTGTTGCAAGGAATTGCAGGTAAGAAGGCAGGACCCCGGGCACGGTGGGATGGAGGGATGGAGAGCTGCCGGTGCAGCGCACTCTGGTACTGGGCATTCGCTTCCTGCTAGTTTTGGAGAAGACCACTTTCTGTCTATTCAGGTTTCCTTTGCCCCTTCCGTTCTAGGCGACGTTTGTGTGCTGCTCGCATGGGTCTCTTTCCCCTGTCTTACCCCACAGGAAGACAGGCTTGTTCTCTGGTCTTACGTGGTCCTCCTCATTGCTTATTTCCTCGGGGTCTAAGCTGTTGGTTTTAGTTTGAGTAACTACTCCTGCTTTTTGTTTTTCCCATTAAATTAAAAGCATGCTCTCCACTTCAGTGCAACTCCCTGAGGAATTATGGAGAGCGTGAGTCCCACCTGCAGCAAGCACTTTATGCTAAGAGGAATGTAAGCGGGGGCGCTCATTAAGAAGCAGCAAGCCTGCTTTCCGCATCCACTCTCAGCTCCAGCCCCCAGATGATTTCAGCTTGGGTGGGAAAGACACGGGCTGGGAAGGAATTAGTATCAGCTGCTCTGTGTTTAGTGATGTTCTGGTTTAAATTGTCTGTCTCCTAGAGCCTGACAGAATGTTCTGTGCATTCAGATCAGAAAATGCAAGCGAACTCTTCCATTTTCTGGGAATTTCTCACTAACGAGCTTATTAGAAATGGGTGGAAAGTAAAAGCATGAGCTCTTTACAGTGGTCCCAGGGAGAAGGTTGTGAGCTGCAGGAAAGCATCCACTGCTACCAGTATTTTCGTAGGCTTCCCCGCATGGGTTTGAAAGGTGAGTCCTGAACCAATGGGGTAACAATCTGTCTAGGTTTGATTCAAGGTTCTTGTTCTGGGTGACAGAAATTCACACACAAAAACACATGGCTGAGTTTGAATACATCCCCAAAGAAGTAGAGTAGACTCTTGCTTTGATATTCAGAAAACAAGTGCTTACTTTTTAACCAAGACATTAATCTAGACTCTAACAGGACAAAGTTACCCACCTACAACACTAAATGAAGGGCACAGGTGATTCATCCCTCAGCAAATTCTAGAGCTGTGTGCACAGGATTCTTCAAAATAAAGCTATGCATTGAGCCATATGTCCAGGGCTGTAAAGCAGCAGCCCCCAAACGAATTCACTCTAGCTGGCCTCATAGCAAACTCTTGAGCTCAGCAGGGCTGGCTTCCAAATAAACAGATCAAATGACAGTTTTTTCCCAAACAGCCGATAAGATAAAGTTTACTGTTCCTCAGATCTTAGGAGGCCCCTGTGTAGGGTGGAGGTGGGGGATGGGGAGTAATGGGCCAAGAGAAATGACAGAGGGCCTGCTCCTTAGTTCTGATTTGCTTTCATGGGGGAATACACCATCCAGACACCAGGCCCTTTAAACTTTCTGGCCCAAAGGGACAAGTCTCAGGTCCCTCATCTCTACATCTGCCAGGATCAGCCACACCACAAGTGACTCAGGCACTCATGGAATTTGGGAGACCAGGATTCTGTATTTCAGCATTGCTCCTCATTAGCAGTTTCACTTGAGATAAATGTACCACCCCGGGTCTCAGTGTTCTCCTTCTGAAAAATAGGGAGATTGGAAAATGTGACCTTCCTTTGGACTTTTTAGGCTTAGAGTTTGATTCTGTGAAGCTCCTTGTCCCCTTTTGACTCACTTCTGAAGATGACTCTCCCCTTCAGCTTGGCATCTCACCACCCAGAAATATTAAAGGTGGGTTTCAAGATTGATTCATCATTTTCTTGTCAGAGAAATATCCCTGCTTTATTCTCCTTGGACACACGGTGCCTCAGGGGCATGTGTGTGTGTGTGTGTGTGTGTGTGTGTGTGTGTATGCATGTGTATATCTTAAAACTTTTGCAGGGAAGTATTACTGAAGGCTTTTGAAGAGTCAAACATGTAGCTCAAGGGAAGCCAGCACACACTAATTATTAATCCTGTTGAAGAGCCCTGGTTGACCAGAGAGTAGGATTTCTGTTTAGTTTTCCCTCGCTCTGTTGTATTTGCACATCCTTGATGATTTCATGCCTTTATTATGGGCTTTATTGATTTGCTGGTATGTAGATGAGACTCCTGGTTTGTCATGTAGGAGTGCTTCTTATCCTGAGGAACTTGATGGTGATCTAACTACCTTCGAGCAAACCAGTGGCCATTTACTGGAAGGGGTGGGACATCTTGGGCCATAACACTAAACCTATCTTTGGCAGTCATTCAGAAGCAAAGCATAGGTATCCTTCAAGACTGTTTACATGCAGTTTATAATAAGGCGTTAGTTGAGTGAATTCCATGTCTGAGTGTGGATTAGTCCAACATATTTTGGTACTCTGGTGTGCATCACATTAATGGCAAGGTGTTCATTATTGCACAAAGATTAGTATGGCTCTCAGGTATTATTTGAACACTCCAGTGAGTTTTCTTTTTCTTTTTCTTTTCTTTTTTTTTTTTAAGACAGATTCTCATTCTGTTGCCCAGCTTGGAATGCAATGGCAGGAACTTGGCTCACTGCAACCTCCACCTCCCAGTTTCAAGCGATTCTCCTGCCTCAGCCTCCCAAGTACCTGGGATGACAGGCACCTGCCACCATGCCTGGCTAATTTTTGTATTTTTAGTATTGACAGAATTTCATCATGTTGGCCAGGCTGGTCTCAAACTCCTGACCTCAAGTGATCACCTGCCTCCGCCTCCCAAAGTGCTGGGATTACAGGTGTGAGCCACTGATCCTGGCCTCCAGTGAGTTTTTTCTGACTTTTCTCTCTGCACAAGGTCTCTTGGAGGAAGGTTGAGGAGAAAGAAGTGGGAGCACTGCTGAGGGCTGGTGCTGATCTTCTGCCTCTTTCCAGTCTGGAAGCTTTAACTTCCTCCCTACCCCTGTTACTTATGCAGCATCTCAAAAATTCTGAAATTACTCAGAATTTTAAATTGGCACAAGGCAGAGATTCCTGCATAGTTTGACTGCTGTCTAGGAGCCACTGATCTAAGACTAAGTGCTGAAATACAGGAAAGAACTGGTTTCTTTTCTCCTTCCAGCCTAGCATCACCCCTCAGAGAAAAAATCATAAAAAAGAGGGACTGAGCTATCCTTCTCATGATTCAGTGGGCACTTTCTCCCCTATTGGAGGTCTCATCATGCACATCAAGCCAATGTAAAGGGCAGCTGTGGTTCTTGAATCTGTGGCTGAGGACATTGCCATACTGGCATCTGAAAGGGCTGGCTTGCTTTCTCCCGTTGGCCAATCTGTGATAGCCTCTGGTCAGCCCCAGCCTCAGCAAGGACTTGCTGCAGCTGGGAGCATCTGCCTTTTCTCTCCCTATGCCCCCTCTCCCTCAGCCCTGGATCTCTTCAACACTGAAACAAATGGTGAGAAAGGAGGCTGTTGCCAGAGCAACAAAAGGATTCTTTAGAAATACACTCAGGCTGTGTTTGTTCTTACAACTTACATTTTGGCAAAAATGTGACTGGATGAGAAATGATCGTAAGCATATTCTTTTGCTACACCTAATTTTAAGATATAAATAGGCCACAGGCTTGTGTAGCCTTCACTGTCTATAAAAAAACACAGCATAAATAATCAAAATCTTGATATTCTGAGTTTAGAAACTGGGTGTGAAAGAATCTGCTACTTCAATGGAAATCCCAAACTCTGGGCTAACTTAAGCAGTAATGAAATATAATCATTGCCTGTTATGTGAATCCAGATAGCAGGATCTGCCTTCAGGGCACCATTAGGTGGACACCCGGCTGATACTTTCTAAATACTGTGCACATGTCCTTGACATTCAGCACTCACTCAGTAATGAGGGTTCAGGCCTCACCTGAATGTGCCTGTGAAACACGGACCAATTTGCCTCACTTTTCTGAACCATAGTTTTCTCACTTGTAAAATGGGCATAACAATAGGTTTATACCTCAGGACTGTTCTGAGGATTAAGTTAGATAATATATGAGAAAGGCTTAAGCATAGTGCTTAACACACAGTAAATAATAAATGGTAGCTATAGAATCATTATCAAAGTATTTCTGCTTTCTTGGCAAGTTTTAGTATATTATTTGTTTCCCGGATTTGTTGCATTCTACGGAACAGGGATATCTTGTAGCTTTTAGAATTGACCTTACTCTGTTCCAATCAAACACAAATACAGTGTGTAGGGGCCTTCCCTGTCCTTAAGAGCCTGCCTGTGTTGGAGCTCAGGGTGCACAGCAGTCCTGTGGCTTTGGTGTAACCAGGGGTGTCCTCAGATCATTTTTTTAAAAGGCAGGAGAGAGCAGTCAAATTGACAAGAAAACAGAGCTCCTTCCTCCCCCTCCCCTTCCCCTGACACACACATTTTCCATTCCTTCTCTTTCTGGAGGCAGCTTCTAGCCGTTGAGTGTTGATTGCAGGTGGCTTCTGAGATTCTCCTGGCGGAGTAAATCACAGGTTGATTAGTCTTCATGAGGTGAGAACTTGTCCAAGGACTTGGCAGAGGCAGCAACACACATCAGTTTGCATCCCTCTGGGATTCATTACAAAAGCCGGGTGATCAGCCAGCAGGGTTGGCTTTTTGCCAGCTGTCTTCCTTAGGTTGTGACCTGGATGTAATCCATCGTGAAACCATAGAATGCAAAGATCCAGGTTTTCCATGACAACATCAAGCAGTTTGTTTTTGGAAATGCGTGTAGGGCTCTCTTAGAAGTCCATGGAATCCCCAGTGACTCAGGTTTGGGACCGAAGCCATTAAACTGAGCTCAGGATTTGGCTCACTTGTGCTGGCTGGGCCTATTCCACAGGGACTGCCATAAGCATGAGCCACCGGCCAGCTGCCTGCTATCTTCCAGTCTTCCCTTTATGCTGGGCTGGCTCTCACACTCTACTCCCTCCAGCCCTCTGCCTGCATGGGTCTCAGTCCAGCAGGACAGCCTTAGCAAGCTGCCCCACCAGTCTGACCAGATAGATTGCCCTGGGGCTGAACCCTGCCTCTGCAGGGCTGGGGTGAAGGGTGTGTGGTCGTGGGAATGGCGCTGGCAGTGGCGGTGAAGGGCCTGGTGTATGCAGGCTCAGCCTTCTTGGAAGTGAGCAATGATTGAGGGTGAAAGAGGACAACATGAAAAAAAGCAATAAAAGGAAAAGCAGAGACAGACACGTGGGGGTTTTGCCTTTGCTGCTTATATAATTGCTTTTGTCATAAATCTGATGCATGGAAGTATGGGTGGGCATACGAAATGCAGCTGATCACTCTCCAGGATTTGGTATTCTTACTGCTTTTTACACAGGGTAAAAAATCACCTTAAGCATCAAGGTTATGACCATAGCCCAACCCCATGACTGATCTCATGCCCTACTCATTCACTCTCAGGCCCAAAAGACAAGGTCAGCCACTGAGAGGAGAGAAATCAGAACAGGGGCTTGGGAAGCATAGGGAGATGGACGGAGATGCCTGGCACACATGGAGCCCTGCCTCAGAATTTTTCTCCTGAAAAAGTCACCGGGCTTTCTCTGGGGTGGTGTGACCTTGGTTGCCCACCTTCAGAACACCCTCAAAGAGGCATGGGGAGAGTAGAGGGAACAGCCCTTCCTTTTGTTCCTGGTGAGCACAAGGCCCTGAGGACTTCTGGCTGCCAAAGGGAGGCTCTTGGTTTCTGGCTGTCCAGACAGATGATGCTCCACCAGAAGTCAGGTCCAACAGTTCCGTGTCTGAATCAGTTTTAAAATACCACTGATAGGACACATTTCCTAATTCATCAGCCTTTAGTAGTCCCTTGGTAAAAAGTAAAAAAAATGCAGACATGTTATGAGAAGGTAGGTCAGAATTCAATTTCAGTCCTAGGCACTTGTATTGGATGCCTACTATGTGCAGAGACCTGTAGACGCAGGTCTACAACTTGCTGAGTTCTGCTTCCAGGCTGTATTAGAGAGTCATCATTTCACAAACTGTACCATAGAGAAGCAAAAGAAATATAAAATAAATAATATATAAAGGGAATGAAGAATTCAACCATATCATAAATAAAAAAATGACTGCTGAAAAGCAAGTGGACCAAGCAGGTATTAATTTAGTATCTCTAGAGATGGGGACCTGTGTTTGTTTGTTTGTTTTTGAGATGGAGTTTCGCTCTTATTGCCCAGGCTGGAGTGCAATGGCTCGATTTTGGCTCACTGCAACCTCTGCCTCCCAGGTTCAAGTGATTCTCTTGTCTCAGCCTCCTGAGTAGCTGGGATTACAGGCACCTGCCACTATGCCTGGCTAATTTTTGGTATTTTTAGTAGAGACGGGGTTTCACCACGTTGGCCAGGCTGGTCTCGTACTCCTGACCTCAGGTGATCCACCTGCCTCGGCCTCCCAGAGTGCTGGGATTACAGGCAGAGCCACCGCACCTGGCCAAGACGGGGACCTGTTTTTAAAGAATGAGTTGGAAAGTCTGGAAGGAAATGGCAAACTCTCTTAAAATTCTGATATAGCAGTTGATATGCAAATAAAATGCAAAAGTGGTTTGCCATGGCAACTACTTAATTGTCGACATAAATTATCACAGAGCCATGGATGATCTATATTCAAATTACATTAACAAATAATCATTTAAGCATGGCCCTGAATATTTACATGAGCAGTTCTGGCACTCTGTTGTAGGGGCTTAATGCAAAGGTGGTATTCTTTTAAGCTATAAAGCCACTTCAAAAATAATCTGCATCTTCTATGAAGAACTGTCCTACAGCGCGGTCAGCCACATTTATGAGCTCATTTATGTAGATGGTCTTCCCAGTAGCTTTATTAAATGGCCAGCAACTTTTTTCTTTTAAAGACAGCCACCATTACATATTAAATCTAAAACTACACATGCGGAGAAAATGAAGCCAATATTAAAATGCTTTAAGAATCAGTACAAATACGTGTCCACAACTCTTAAGTAATTTCAACTCAAAATGCAGAGTGGCTGTGTGTTCAGAGTGACAGAGGCCACGTTCAGGGACGTAGTGTTGAAAAGACAGCACCTGGTTTGCTGTAGTAGGAATTATTTAACATTATCTGCACCCAAAGACCTCAGCAGGCAAGAAATTTACTTGTCCTAGAAATTCCATAGCTTTAGTAACTATGTTTTTTAAAAGTGCCTTTTACCTTGTTACACATTACATTTTGCAGTTTATTTTGGTAACTTACTTTGAATTATCAATGTATTTTGGTTATAGTCGAGCAGGAGCTCTGTCTTTCGTGATCCTGCCTGTCTGATGAATAACTTATGGAGAACGTATTTCATAAAGTTCTTTCAGTTGCATGTAAGCCAGTTAACAAACAGCTTCTCACCCCGAATGTGAAGTAAGGCTTCATCACTAACTGATGGGAAGGAATCATCTGGCTAGGTTAGTCTGTTGAGATGTATTTCAACGTTCTAGAGTTAAGGCTTTAAAAACTGCTAGCAGAAGTAATTTGCTTTTAAACAGGAATTACTGCTGAGAAAGAGGGAGGCTTCAACAATGGAGAAACTGCATCTTTCTTCTAGATTGTTTCTCCACATATCCTAAGGGCATCAGACAATTTTTAACTGATGGCCATTAATTTCAAGTAATTATAACAGAAACTTCCTTTGGGGACCTTGGTTGTAAGATCTTTTTATGACAACTATGCTCTGATTGTCTTCTAAAGAATGCTATTTATGTTCATCTGTCATCTTGTCTCCACCCTGGAGAGTGTTTTTCTTGCCAACTATAATATCATGGGAGTATTTTTAGTAGAAAATGGATATCTTACTAGATTTCTCTGGGGAAACAGCAAAAGCATTAATGCAAGCTTCTTTTTTTTTTAATTGACACTTGAAAATAACCAGTTCCTTCCCTTTTTCTCTTGCTTGTCTCTGAAATCTTACTGGTTAAAGCTTCTAAAATTATTGATCATGTACTAAAATAACATGTAGATACCTGCTCTCAAAGATGCTGTAGTCATTCACAAAAACTCTTTTATTGCCAGGAAACCCTTTGACTTCTAGTTCCTGATCTGGCCCCTGGAGCTAAATGAGTTACTAAATGTCGACGTTAAGCCTGGTTTAGCTTGTCCACGAACTCTTGAAACTTTAAAATGAGATGGAGTAAGCCATGTAGGCTCATGCCTGTGGTCCCAGCTACACGGGCAGGAGGATCACTTGAGTTTGGGACTGTAGTGCAATATGATCACGTCTGTGAATAGCAACTGCATGCTAGCCTCGACAACACAGTGAGACCTCATCTCTTCTAACTTAAGTTTGGACCTAGACTCCAAAGAGACTCAGAGCCTCCTTACCATGTATCTTGATACTTGCACAGTAAATAAATAGGCTTCTTAGAAAGGGGTCCGCATCTTAACGCAGGTACCCTCTACACTCCCCCATCTCTTACCCCGCAGAAGGGCCCTCAGCCAGAAGTTGCTTCCTTTGAACGAGTGCTGGTCCACTCTGTGCTAAGGCTTCTCCCATTTCACGGCAAAATCAAGGAAGTTTAGTAAGTGTGGTAACATTTCATCAAGCCGATGTATTCACTTCAAAGAAATGTCATTTATTTTCCAATTACATCCTTCACCCTTCTTGTATTAAAATATTCTTTTATGAAATGATGAGAGGAGATAATAAAGGCTATTTTCAGTGTCTTTATTAGCAAAATAAAAAATGTTGCCCTCCCAACAATCTTTCTGGACTGTAAAGTCCAGAAAGTGTAGGAACCACTGTTTTAGAATATAAGGAAGTCCCACAAGGGTGTGACGTGTCTTTTCAGTTATACCTCTAGTGTTCAGAATGGAACCCACTACGTACATAGTAGATGCTCAGTAAATGTATGTTCGCTGACAGGCACATATCTGTGGAACCACTGATTAGTCTCTTCTAGCCCCAGCTGTAAATTTATAGGTGTTGGAATTTAACGAATGCCATTAAGTCTCAATTCTGATATAGACCCGGCCCTCCTAGACAGTTATGGCATAAGTAACTGATGAGCCATCATCTGAAGAATCACTTCAGAACTGGTCATCACTGAAACCAAATTCTGCTTGGACTTTGAAAAAGTTTTCATTGGAGAACCTTAATGGGCAAAGGTATAGATTAACCAAAAGTGATCATTATTGGGCAAAAATTCTTGATTCATGTTATAACTCCTACTTTGTTATATTACTTTTATTTATTCAGACTCTGAGTGGCTAACTGAAGTTTTGGTACTGAAGATAGCAGCCCATCTGGCATCTGGGGAAGACAAGCAGGATTGAATACCTTTGCTAATTTCATTTGGGCTTGTAGGGTACAGAACCAGAACTCTTCCTGGGTGGAAGGAAGAGATCTTGCCTCCCCCCAACCCTCGGTGTTTACAGTTGTTCTAAGCAAGATTTCACGAGAGCCAGATGCCTGAGATTATGAGCAGCTTCCCCTGCATGCAGACATAGGAATAAGCAGATCCCTCAATGACATGGGTTTAACTAACACCCACTGGATCACGGATAGTGGTGCAAGGATTCAGGGGTAGGAGGCAATCAGGAAAGACAAAGATCATCTAGCTCTATGAATTGAGAAAGGCTGCTTGGGAGGTGAGATGGCTGAACAGTGGCCTGACCTATTGGAGGAGAGATTTGGGACTGAGATGCTCATTGCCCAATTTTGTCTAATTGGCTACAGATGGCTTTCTTGGATGTGTTTTTTTATGGGTGATTTTGTGGATGGCATTATTTTTCTGGATGGATCTGTAATTTCAAATGGTTCCCAAGCATAGAAGATCTGAGCAAAAACTAAGTCGTCAGTTGATTATACTGCCTTTTTTTTTTTTTCCTTTTGGTCCAGTGGGTTTGGTGCTGTTTGCAGTTTTCTGCTCACACAGGTGTTCCACATTCTGTACAAGGTTCACATCATAGTGAGCCTTAAATTGTTCTGACCTGTTCATTAGGCTTCTTTCTAGAAGTTGGTCGGACCAAGGGCAGCCATTCCAAAGTGGCATCTAATGCTTCAGTAAGGTTGGTGACACTCAGATCAAATGGAAGAGAGTGGAGATGGAATTTCTTTATCTTGCTGTTGTTTTGCAATAGGATTAGCAAGTCAACCTGCTTGACAATAGGCTACCTTTATTTTGGTGCAGTCTTCCACTCTCCATAACCCCTCACGGCACTCCTGTGGTTTCTCACTTGATAACAGTTCCTTATCACCTGCTCTCTAATCCTTGTAGATATAACTAAGCAAGCTTTTGAATGCATATCAGTCTCTCCTCTTCAGCTGGACAAATGTTTTTGTCTTGGAAGTTAGTCTCTGGTCTGCAGTAAAACAGCAGTCTAGGATAAGGCTCAGGAAGTGGACTCTGGAGCCAGATTCTCTAATTTGAGTCCCTGTCCTGCCGTTGATTAACTGTGTAACCCTACTTAGCCCTTCCGTGCCTCAGTTTCCTCATATGTCAAATGATATTAGTAGTATCAGCCTCATAGGATTGCTATCAGGACTGCATGAGTTATATTTAAAGTGCTTAACCAGTGCCTAGCACAGAGTGCTCAACAAGCATGAAATGCTCCCATTGTTAGTGTAAGTTATCTTCATGATTATTAAAGGGTTCTAATCATCTTTACAAACTTCCAACTAAAGTATCCATTGTGAATGTATATTATAAATTTGGGGGAGGGTGTTTATAGTTTCATCTCCATTTCATCTTTAGAGTCTATCATTTTTACTATAGAAGACCTTTCCAGAAGGTTCTTCCAAAGAAGTGATGCTTGGAAAGGAAATGGGCATCAGAAATGGCATGTGAAGCTGGTCAACACTGCCATTATGTGTAGAGGACTGCATAAGAGGCACTGAGTGTAGATGGGGATAGGGCTGGAGACATAGAAACTGAGGAATAGGAACACTCTTTACCACTATCAACACGTTTCCAGTGGAATCGTAGTTCAGGCCTCCAGTCTGTCTTGGAACCAGTGCTGTTTTATAATGGGACAAGTGCATCTATGTCACAGTAAGACTTCTGTTTTTTACAGGATAGTTTTCCAGATAGATGGTTATCCACTTTTTATTATTTTTACCCAAGACATTCATTCTAAATTGTATCATGTATGTCTCTTTCTTCTGAAGTAGGGTGTCTCTTGTCTTGGTGAGTAAGGATCAGTACTGCAGAGTGTCTCCAGAGTCCCTGCACATGGGAAGTCTGCAGGTTCACACTGTGGTCTTTGGGAAGAGAATATCTTAATGGCAAATTCAGTGGCGAGGGAACTGGATGTGGTCTGATACATGTGCCCTCCTCAAAGCACAGTCTTCAGACTGTCTGACAGTTTGCCTTAGGATATTGTAAAAGAGAAAATATCTCCACCTAGCAACAGTTGGTGGCCTACAAATAGCTGCTAGGGGCTGCCAGAATGACTTCTGACTATCAGCATGGAAGATGACTTGGGGAAAGATTAAAAACGTAGAAAACAGAGGGAAGCACACAGATGAGCATTAACCACACACAGAGATGCTGCTTATTACTCAGTCACCAGTTGTTGTACACTTGACTGAGACAGATGGCCTGACTTCTAAACATCTACTGGAAACAGAAAAACACACCCCCACCCTGAGAGGTTGATCTGCGATGCTGCCAAGAGGAGTGGGCGTTTTCCTGGGCTGCAGAACAGTTCTGCATCCTCTGCCCATAGTGCTGGTACCTTCGCAGTGGTGTTTTCCGTTCTCCAGGCTCACACTGCTAATATTTACCACCCTGCCTCTTTCACAAGTGGTCGTGGCTCACCTCATTCCCCCACGTATCCTTTGTCTTCTCTCACCTGTCCTTTCCCGTCCTTCTCCCGCGTGCTGCTCCTCTCCTGGCCAGTGCCTGGCCAGCTCTCACAGGTCAGCCGCGGCCTGTCTTGGCAGCTGTCCTTGCTGCAGCCAGGCCAAGCTGGAAACAATTTCAGAGATCTGAGCCTAGACTCAGGCTGGTGTCTAGATACCTGAAAGTGTATTACATTTAATCAACTGACTACTTTTTTCTGTGTGATTTCCTAACAACCAGGTATTTTCTGTAGCCAGGAAGGTTTTCAGTGCAGGCAGTTATGCAAAAGACCAGTCCTGTGGTTTGGTCTGCACATGTGTTTCAGTAGTAACTGTGTAGCTGGCGTTCTGTTGGCCAGAATTGCAAACTGAAGCTTTTCCTCCAACCATTTCAAAAACTTGTCAAGAACTTTCTACAATGGCTTTGTTTAAAAATGTAATATAATCACATCACCTTATCTTTTCATTCATCCATTCAAATCAGTGAATATTTACTAAGCACCTGTTACATGTCAGACCTTGTTCTAGGCAGTTGGGACACAAAGAACAAACTGCATAAAGTTCCCTGTCCTCATGGAGTTTACATTCAAGCTGGCGGGGGTAGACAATAAATAAGATAAGTAAACTATATAGTATGTTAAAAGGTAGTGTGCAGTAGGGTAGAGGAGCCAGGAGAAGGTGTAGCCCGGGTGAGAGAGGCCGGGGTATGCTGGAATAGTGAGAGGGAATGTTGAAGATAGTTAGGGTAGGATTTATTGAAAAGAAGAGATTTAATTAACCACAGCCTTAAAGGAGATAGAGGAGTTAGCCATGTGGGTATCAGGAGAAAACATTCCAGGCAAAGGGAACAGCTAGAATGAAGGCCCACAGGCTTTGCCGATAGAGTAAATTGGGATTTCTGAGAAAGGAGTCAAAGATGATAGCAAGGTCTCTGGCCTGCACATGTCTAAGAATTGAACTCCCATTTGTTGAGATCAGGTGGACAAGGTGAAGAACAGGTTTTGAGTGGGGAATGGAAATCAAGAGTCCTGGTTTGGACATAATTTTCAAGTGCCTTGCTAGAGGCCAAGTAGACAGCTGGATATGCACATCTGGAGTTCAAAACTGGAAATGAAAACTCAGCTTGGGGTAGTACTTAAAGCCATGGGGCCAGCTGTGATCAGGAGGGGAATATAGATAGGGAAGAGGACCAAGGAGTGAGCCCTGGGCACCCTTGTGTTTAGACTGGAAAGGTAAAGGGGGAGCAGCAAAGAACACCAAGAAGGAAAAGCCAGTGAGGCTTCCCATCTGGAGGCAGAGCACTGGCTGATGATCTTAAATTCATATGAGAATAACTGTCCTGTCAGAGTTTTCCTTTATTCTAGTACCATCAGTACTTTGTGAAGCTGTCCCCACTGAAAAGCCTGGAATGCTGTCTAAGCTGTGTCATATGGAACACAGGAAGCAACTTAGTGGCAGGGCAGCCCTTGGGCATTATGCTGTAGTGAGCTGTGCTGGGTCAACAAGGGCTGGGGCTCAGACTTAGCTAGATCCACAGCCCTCTGAGTCACAGGGCAGACCAACACAAAACACTAGAGGGATTTGTTTTTTATTTTTTCAGAAAAATGTTATAAGAGAAATTGATGTTTAATAGTTAGATGGGCTGCTATGTTCCTAAAAGGGCCAATGGCCAGCTATTTCAAAGACAGACAGAATATGAACTCTTGACCTAGTTGTGTGACACACCTAGCAGGTTTATCAGTGAATGTTAAGGCAAAGTTGCAATGTCTCATTAGAATTCGTATCGATTCTAATTAACCTATAACCAAGTTCCTAAAAAGTGTCACGAAGTGTGCTGGGTGTGGGAGATACCAAAGCTTTTCTGCTTCAAGAGGCTGAGTCCCACTAGGATACTGTTGTATCATCAGGGTTGAGAGTAATGCCCTCAGTAAACAGCTATTGAATAAATTTTTAAAAGTGAGAAAGAGCTCAAGAGGGATGTACGTTGGAGGTGGGAACACAACGAGAATAACCCTGTGGCAGGAAGTGGTGACAAACATTTCCCGGGGAGGCAACATTTGCATTGGAATGAGGGAGAGAATGCCCAGATGCGTGAGCGTCCAAGGGGGTCACTGTGAATAACAGGCCCCTGTTCGAGGAATGGTGATGTGTGTAGTGTGACCAGATTGTTGACTATCACCAGCCTCTGAAACCCTACAGCATCCCACTCCTATAACCCAGCCATGGCCATCCATAAATGGTCTGTGAAGGCAAGCATATGGCATGCACTCCGTGGACACGCTTGGGAACTTCCCAAGTGGGGCCCACGTTGATCAGAGGTACTTTACATCTGCTGTCAATTGTCTGCTGTGAACTCTCTCCAGAGACGTTCCGATATTTCATAGCTGTGGAATAAGCTGTTTGATTTCGACTTAGTAAAGGTGCTGAGTGTTGGCCCTCTCAGTGGTGGCCTCTCCACAGATTGCTGGTAGTGGTAACAGGTGACCTTCTTTTGTTTCTGTTCTTAGAATTTCCTTTGCAAGCTGAGGTCTAGTCTTTAATATTTAGTCTGGAAGCCTGTGTGACGGGGAAGTGGGAGTGTGGTGTCTAAAGACTCACTTCTTCAGACAGTTACTCTGTGGAACAAGAGCCAGCCTGTAGTGCTCCCTTTTCAGGCAGGAACAAAGGCCTTTTTCTGTACAAATGGTTGGTGACCCACAAAGACAAGAAACCTTGAGTCCCATCCATTGGCCAGCAGGTGGTGAAGGAGGGTAGTAATCATGACTGATGTGGAGAGGGTGGGTTGGTCAGGGAAAGGCTGTGAAATAACCATGGAGCCTTATCCCACTTCTTCACAAACTGAAATGCTGTGGTTCAGAGTTGGCTCCTCCATTCCTAGCATCCCTCACTGTGAGACTGACATGGTCACCTTCAGACCCAGTGAAATACTCACTGTATGCAGCAACATCTAGCCTTCCCCAAACTGGGGGACTGGCAGGACTATGGAAATGCTTTTCTTCCCACCTAAGGGATTTGATTAAAAGTATTTGATATCCCATTATTTGATTCCAGGGCAGTATTTTAAAAATTTACCTAAGACATAAATTTGTGACTGGTCTGATCACACTCAGTGCAAAATGTTGCTAGGAAATCAGGACTGTGACTTGGCTTTTCCTGGTGTGTTTCCTACGTTTGCATTGGGAACACAGTGATAAAACTGTGTTCCTCTGTGTAGCCTCTGCCCTCACGGAGCCCAGTCTGATTATTTCTGTTAAATGCAAACCACGTATTTAGATTCCCCAAAGAAACTCTGAAGATTCTTGCACGGGTAGATAAAACTTCTGTGAGGAAAATATGAAAATGGCAGTGGGGTGTGGCAGGTGCTGCGCTGGGATGGCTGGTGCCCAGCTGATTGGGAGGGCGAGCACCAGCTATCCCAATACAATACCATGACCATCGGTGAGGTTGTCAAGGCTCTGTCTCCAGCTGGAGGTGGCACCTGTTGGGCAGTCCAAGTGACTGACCATCAGCTTTTCATTTGTTTTTTTCCTCTACAGATAAGGTTGAATCATGTGATCCCCCCATTGCCAGCAGATGCTAACGTCTTCTAACCTCCTTGGTACAATGAGGCTGTTAGAACACGGGGATGAGGATGTTGGAGTCTTTTAAGGTTATGAAAATTGTTACCTTCTAGGGCACCATTCTGTCAAGTTGAGCCATCGCAGAGGTGAGCAGCCCTCCAGGTGACCTATGGCTTCTTTCCATGGTGGCTGCGTTGTCTTTGGTGGCTGGCCAGTGTCATTCTCCCCCCCATTTCTTCTTCCTCCCAGCTGGGCTTGCTGCGACCCAGTCATGAATCAGGTAGAGATGCCAGGCAGAAGAAAATAAATGCCCACAGCCCTAGTCCCTTCCTTCTTCCATTGCCCTTCACAACACACA
Organism: Homo sapiens; assembly: GCF_000001405.40. Taxonomy (NCBI): domain Eukaryota; kingdom Metazoa; phylum Chordata; class Mammalia; order Primates; family Hominidae; genus Homo; species Homo sapiens. The sequence continues at coordinate 78,494,149 of NC_000005.10, read as the reverse complement.
AACACACCCCCAAAACAACAGTGCAGTGAGGCAAGGTGATGGCAGGGCCCCAGAGACTACCAGAGAGGGTGGCCTCACTTCAGGAACTGCTTTTTTAATAGCTGCAAAGGGAGAGCAGACAGACCATTTTCTGGCTCAGCCGTCATGTGAAACCCAGTCCAAAGCATCCTTTACCTTCCATTTGGCCTCTGGACGTAACCTATGACCAAGCTGATAGTCCCTGAGTGTACTCCAAATTGAGTATCAGAAAAACCATTCCAAGTCTCCAGCAAACTTCGTATCTGTTACTGTATTCTCTTGCCTTTGTCTCATATGCCCATTGAAGAAGTTATTGATTTTAATTGTTTTATTAGTATCAAGCCCATTTGGAATTCAGGGCACAAGATTGCTTTTAAAACCCAGGGCTCACCGGCCTAGAACAGGATACATCAATCACCCAAAGGTCTCTATTTTCTTTCTTGCTGACACATTTCATTCTTATTGACTGGTATCTCAGTTATTTTACTGATTTCCTCCATGGGCACTATGGTTTAGAAATATTTTATTACAAAGCAAACTGCACTGTCAGTAAATTTTTATTAAGGTCCTGCTGTGTGCCCAGCATCATTCTAAGCACAGGCATTAGAGCAGTAAACTAAATACACAAAAATCCCTGCCCTCATGGAGCATAAAGTCAAGGATGGAGATGGATAATCATCAAATGGTAGGTTGAGTCGTATGAAATGACAATTCTTGTAGGTAAACATTATCAACTACTGACAGTTTCTTGTGACTGCTAGGATGAAGTCTGTGCCTGAGGGATGCTTGTCAGGGCCCAGGAACTCCTGCCCAGGCTGCTCTGAAGCTGCTTCAGCCTGAGAGCAGTGGAGAACCAGGGCCAGGCTGGGCTCAGACAGGTAGCTTTGCTTCCCACTGTGGACCTCGTGAGGGGAGGACTACGTGTGGCATTCACCACAGAGGGACACCCAAGTCACTGATCTTGCTGGGATTCCTTTGGTAGAAGAGGCTTTATCTACATACCCAAAGAAATGATAAATAAGATTTTTTAAAAAAATTTATTTTTGCTTACCTGAAGGCCCAGTTTTCTCTTAGACATTAGTCCATTTTACAGGTGAGGGATCATAGAGGGCAGAGCCTGGATTCAAACCCTATTCCATGGCCTCGGCTATGTTAATGATAACTGTGATGGGCACTGGGAGCAGAGGCCCGCCAGTCAGGGCAGAGTGGACAGTGGTGACTTCCTCCACTGCCCCACGGAGCCCTGGGTTAAGGCGCTCTTGTGCTTGTCGGGGCTGGCTGCCCAGGTTGCAGCGTGTGGTTGGCACACTTCACACCCACAGGGCAGATATACCTCACCCGCTTTGTATTACTCTGTCACATGGACTTTCCTGTGGGCTTATAAATATTCAAGCTGAAGCTTTCCACAGGCTCACAAGCATGGCACTCTTATGTGACTTAAACAACAGCAAGAGTCTCCCTGCTTTACTTATTCACAAACTGAGCCAGGAGCAGCCACAAGATTTGAAGATGGCCTGAAGCCCCTCAGCAGTCACACCTGAGCCATTAGAAAAGGGAGCGCCTCAGGGCAATTAATGCTCCTGGCTGGGCTCAGCACGCTGTGGAAAGGAGCCTGATTGCTATCAAAAATAAGGATTGTATTAAGTGATGTAAAACCTGCCTGCTTCCCCAGAGAACCCAAGACAGCCAAATTAAGGTATTTTTTGTGCCTTACAAACTAGGCAGAGCCTGACACAAGGTGGCAGAGCTGGTATGTGACAGCAAACTCCATGCTTTGTCTTCTGTCCCTAATATATTAAAGTGCACATATAATACAAGTGCAATGTGCAGTTAATGTTGAATTGGAACAAAAAATATGAACACTTTGGTCTTTTAAAGGGAAGAGCAGCTAATGCTGCCTCACCTCAGGCCTACACTCAGAGCTTTAGGGCAGAGGCTACAGCACACCCAAAGTGCCTTTGCGTGCCGGGCTGGGGGAGATTGTACAGAAGGCCCATGGAGGGTACACCAGAGTGGCACCTTAGGACCTGGAGGGAGAAGACTATTAACATCCCCATCATACCTTGTGGGGAGGCTTCATAGGGAACAAAGTGGGATGCAGACAAGATTAATTGGGGTTTATCATAGGCCTTAGAAATATTTAAGAATTGGTTAAATCATTTAAGATCTCAGCTGAACAAACCTCTGTTCAGATGGAGAATATTTTTTCAAGAGTACTGAATGTAGCCTGGGGATCTCCTCTCTCCCCAAATTATTATACTTCTCAAAATATGCCCTTAACAATGAGCTGATCTGCTTCTGTGTGAGAGGGGCCTGCCGAGGGCTTTTGACCTGTGTTCAGGCTCATCATCTGTTTCCAGTTTTTGTTACGATGGTAGAACAGACTTCACAATTCACAGCCACCTATGAGTGATGGATTAGTCCATTTTACAGGTGAGGAATCGTATGTCGGTCACTCAGCTCATACAGGGCGGAGCCTGGATTCAAACTCTAAAGTCAGAGCTCTTAACTATTAACAGAATCACCTCTTAATTTGGTGAGTCTCTGCTGTGGTCCACCATATTTCTGGTTTGTGTTCTAGCCTCCTGTCCTCACACTAGACTATGGGGTCTTTTCTGCTACTTGATTTCTACCCTTTCATTGCTGTGGTTCAGGACCTTCCATATTCTAGACGACCAAGAGTCTGCACTGGCTGCCTTAGCCTTGGGGGAACTGGCTGCTGGTCATTTCTAACAGCCTCTCTCCAGCTTCACTTGCTCTTCCCAGCACCAATCACATTTCCTTGCTACAACTCATTGCCTCCCAGGTTCCCACCATTCAGATCTATAGAGAGGGCCGTGGGGTTAGAAAGACTTCCTTGTGAATCACCCCTCTTCAAACAATGAGCATCTGAATTGATTCCCTCTACTCCACCCCTGCTACAAAGTCCCTTGAGGCCATCTGAGAAGAACAATGGGATGGGGTGGAGACACTGAAATCCCAAAATGCCCTGGTAGTGACATGCCAAGCTGGACACCATCACAGGATGAAGACCACTGTGAAAGTTGTGATGTGTAAGTTGAAACACTGTCCCCAATCTTCCTTCACGCCTCATACTGCCATAAAGTCAGTCATGTTTTCTTTGCGGGGAAGTTGCTGTAAATGACTTAGAAGCTTTGGTGGGGTAAACCCAGAGAATTTCAGTTAAGGTAGGTAAAGAAACAGAACTCAGAGCCAAGATGCCAAGATTAATTCACCAGGATAGAATTGATATTCCCCAGTATCTAAAAAGTGGGAACTTTGATTATGATACAGCATTCTTGATTACATAGGTTGAATTTTTCAGAGAAAATGTTTTTGCCCTCCTCCTCCTCTTGCAGTATCTTGCTTTTTTTTTTTTTTTTTTGAGAGGGAGTCTCACTCTTTTGCCAGGCTGGAGTGCAGTGGCCCAATCTTGGCTCACTGCAACCTCCACCTCCCGGGTTCAAGCGATTCTTCTGCCTCAGCCTTCCCAGTAGCCGGGACTACAGGTGTGCCACCACGCCCAGCTAATTTTTGTATTTTTAGTTAGACGGGGTTTCACCATGTTGGCCAGGATGGTCTCACTCTCTTGACCTCGTGATCCACCCACCTCAGCCTCCCAAAGTGCTGGGATTTCAGGTGTGAGCCACTGCACCTGGCCTAAAGAAGATCTGTTACCAAGAAAGTTTTAAAGTTTTGCTGGGTAAAATCTGGGGGGGCCTAGGTTGCCTTTGTCATTTCAGGCCTCTGGCTTTTTTGGGAGGAGCTACTGTCATGTGACTGGCAGCCAGGGTGAGGCACCCACTGCAGGCACAGGGCTGATACCTGAAGGTCAGCAAGCGACTCCTTTTGTGGCTCACCCTAGTCCTAGCTCTGGTGGGACTAGGCAGGAAAAATAACTCAAGTGATGCATTCTGGTTATATAGTGAGCAGTAATGCTGTGAAGAACAGGAAAATAGGTGTTTAAAATGACAAGGTAGTAGGGTCAGCAAAATGGAAGTAAAGCTTATTAGTGTCCACTCTCTTAAAAGTACGCAGACAGAAAGTCCTTACAAAGTTTGCAATTTGTTTGTAAATGTGTATATAAATACAGAAACATCTGGCTTACTTAAAGCACTAACAATCAGGTAAAGACCTGGTCTCCCTCGTGGCCCTTGCTCTTGCATTTAATCAGGTTGACATCAGATGGTTCTGTGTGAATTTCCTTAGACCAGGAGTTGGCAAACTCTTTCTGCAGAAAGCCAGACAGTAAACATTTTAGAGTAAACATTTTAGATTTTGCAGACCATAGCAAAGCAGTCGTAGGCATCCAAAAATGAATGGCCACAGCTGTGTTCCAATAAAACTTTACTTATAAAGTTAACATTTGGCTTGAGGGCCTTAGTTTACCAACATCTGCCTTAGACCAAAAGAGAAATGCTCAGTGCACCAAAAGCCCTGTGGGAATACATAGTAACAAGTTGGCCACTCGTGGTGGAGGCCGAGGTGGGAGGATCACTTGAGCTTAGGAGTTTGAGACCAGCCTGGGCAACATAGCAAGACCTCATCTCTACTTAAAAACTTAGCCAGGTGTGGTGGTGTGTGCCTGTAATCCGAGCTACTTGGGAGGCTGAGACAGGAGGATAGCTTGAGCCCAGGAGTTCAAGTGCAGTGAGCTACAACTGCACCACTGCACTCCTGCCTGGGCAACAGATTGAGACTCTGTCTTAAGAAGAAGAAAAGTACCAATTTGCTTTTCTAGAAGAGAAATTTTTAGTGGATTCACATTCCAACATGTAAAAAAGTGGCTGAAAATATTTCTAATAATGTGATACTTCTTGATCAGGTCAGATTAGTTTGCATGAAACAGTCCCAACACTTTCTATTGCAGAATAGATGCCCTTGCCCAAAGCAAGCAAATCAAGTAACAATTACAACAGATCTGGACAGTTGTAGCACCATGGGGATTTTCTAATCTGTTTTCTCTTTTGTTCTGCAGGTCTATTCCTTATCCTCGGTTTGATACTCTACCCTGCTGGCTGGGGTTGCCAGAAGGCCATAGACTACTGTGGACATTATGCATCTGCCTACAAACCTGGAGACTGCTCCTTGGGCTGGGCCTTTTATACCGCCATTGGGGGCACAGTCCTCACTTTCATCTGTGCTGTCTTCTCTGCACAAGCAGAAATTGCAACCTCTAGTGACAAAGTACAGGAAGAAATTGAAGAGGGGAAAAATCTGATCTGCCTCCTTTAGTTTGGAAGAGACAATGCCATTTTCTCCCTTGAGTAATCTTGTGAAACAGTCCACAGTTTCATCATTTGAGTCAAGTGGAGAACTAACCTTTACCTACCAAAGCCACGTTCCACGGCCCGAGGCTTAAACAGGACCAATGAGAGGCCACATCCAGCTACGCAAAGTTACTGGACATGCGGTCTGCAGTGCACATTATAAGGAATGGAACATGAAAATAGTATATAATCCTAGACCTGGAGTTGCCAAGTTCTGTCAGACTCCATCTCCCCCAGGTTCAATGAAGGATAATAATCTAAATCATTAGGGCAGCAGTTTCTCTGGTAACGGAAGAGACCGTCCGCCAGATCTGCAGGCTGTTTCTGCTCCAACACTGCTTGCTTGTGAGCATCTCTGCCTCAGAATGGGGTTTTGGGTTGGAGTTCTTGTTTTCCTCTGTTCTTTCAAGTTGTCTCCAACGAACAGAAAACTATAAACTTACTGGGGACAGGATGTGTGCTAAAGGGCACAGCAAGACACTGTCTTTTGCTTAGCTGACCAAAGGGGTCAGCAGGGATGGCGTGGAGTCATGCTGTGGAACTTATTCTAGGCTGAATCCTAGGGTAAGGTGGATCAACTGAACTGTCACTCCAGAGATTTTAGAAATTTGAGTAAAGAAACAATAAGGACCTATACAATCATATGAGAACAAAAATATGAAATCTTGCTAGTGAAGACGTATTTTTTCTTCTTCCCAGCAGCCAGGCTAGCACCAGTTCTGGCCCAGTCTCCTCTTCTTCTGGAGATCACATGTTTTTCTTCTAAGGTTAGGATTGTGCTTTGACTGCGAAAGGAAACCTCACTGTTTCCTCCTTCCAGGGACTGAGGTCTCCAAGCTAGCTGTGGCTTATGCAGATGTTCACTGGGAGGACCTGCCAGAATCTCGGCACTTGGGGGGAGACCTTTACTCCCAGTTTGGTGACCATGCTGTAGTCAGCTCTATTTCCAATCCCGACAGTAGCAGAATGGCATTCTACAACAAAAAGAAGCTAGTTATGGGAGTTAAGTTTTTGTAGTTACTGGTGTTGATCCTGAAAGCAGACTGAGATAACATTAAATTGCTGCAACTGAAGAACTGCAGCCAAGACCTTAATTCCAGGAAAGCACAGAGGACAAAGTTAATTCAAAAAGAGGCGCTAGATCAAGGTCACAGCACTGCCTACACCTGTTTACAAAAAGAATCAAATACCACTATGAATAAGGATTCAGGGGTTTTTAATCTACTTTCCATAAATTACCAATATCACTGATTCAGGAAGATAGTATCTCAGAATGACCAGAGCAGCACAGAAACAAGCTACTCTGACATTATGGGAGCTTCAAAATTGTATCATGATACAGAAACACTCCTTAGCACTTTAAGAAAGTGAGATGGAACTGCCAGATTTCTGGAAGGAGAAAAAGTGTAGGTATTTGGGTTCATTAATCTGCTCACTTGAGGACTTTGTTTTGAAAAAGTACCTTCTGTGGACAAGGTATTGTGCTACCAGCTATACAACCCTGACTTCAGAGTTTGCAACCTTGCCCTGAGTGAATCATGTTAAAGCTGTCTGAGTCTAAAGCACCGTATCTTGGTGCAGAACAGATAATTATACAGAGATGGAATGGGACAACCGCAGTTTTACTACATTCTGGTGTTTGGCCTATATGAGAAACCATCTTCTCACAGATTAAGGGCTAAGGGCAAAAGGGGTGGGAGGTGTGGAACTAGCCTTAATGAGTTTCCCATTCCTGAACCAAAATTCAAAGTGAGTGAGATGTAAATCCTGTGATTTTGGTGAAGAAAAAAACGGGTATCTTCATAGCAGCCTAGGAAACCTTAACCATATCTCTAACACCACACAGAAAGAGGCTGGAGGAGCCACTGGACAAAGCTTCTGTCTCTGTGTGTACATTTATAATGTTCTAACCAAGTCTCAAACCTTGATGAAAAACACAAAATTTTTCCATAAACTTATCAGAAGACTCACTTTTCTTTCTTTCTTGGATAGAGAAACCATTTTCTGACACTAGGTTTACAATCTCAGTGTCCTTACAAGTTAAGTCCTAAGCTCACAGGATCCTCCGAGCATGTCCATCACCTGCTCTTTGGCTAAGGTGGCAGTGTACCTCTAGATCAACCTGGGAACAGTCACAAGGGAGTGTGACTTCTTGGCCATAATAAACTCACTCGATAGTGTTTATGTTATTAATCTGAATGCAACAGAAGACAAAAGCACAGGCATGCACACACACAGAACCCCAAACCACTAAAAACTACCTAAACACTGACTTAGTAAATAGTAAAAAGGTAATGTTGGGACTTTTAAACCTTGAATCCATTAGCCAGGCTTGGGATGAAAGGACCATCTAAAATCATGCTAGTCTAAACCATGCTCTTCCACACAGCTGTTTAAAAACCACTGGGTATGAGGAATATGCTAGAAAGAAATGTTAAAAATAGATTGTTGGCTCACACTTATTTTTCTAATAAATAGGACCATTATTACTACCAGGAAAGTCTTATTTATTTTGCCTGAAATTGGCTTAAAGAAAGTCTCATGACGGGATGGGATGGGCTGCGCTTCTCAATGAACTCTGAGGCAGAAATATTTGCCTTGGATTCTGTGGATTCTTTAAACCTGTGTGCTAATAATTCAAACAATGTTGCATTAATTGTATAAGGGTTTTTGTATAGTTTTCAAACATCTGTGGTGTAATGATCTTTGTTAAACATATATTCTGTAAAGTGCCATAGTCTTTTTTTATGTGTAGCATATTTAAAAATATATATGTATATTATACATACACAAGTTTGTGTGAAAGATGTGCAATAACAAAGGTGTATGTATGTTTTGTTGTTTTGTTTTGGAAACTGGACAGGAGTCAAAACAGGGATGTTTGTTTCTGTTTTGGCAAGGAGAGTTCCACATTTTTGCCTTCATGGCTTATTCAGTAACCCATAATTTTAATGCTACACAAATCTTATGTGAAGAAAAGACTGGTATGAAATCATTTTTTCCTGGGTCTAAAATAATCGCTAGTGTTATGTCAAAGTTAAGCCCGCACGCCAGGCCCAGTTAATGCTAGTCTTTCATGTGAAATGTGAAGCTGCCATGTTGCCTTTTCTCTTAGTAGGATAACTAGTAGCTGGTACATAATCACTGAGGAGCTATTTCTTAACATGCTTTTATAGACCATGCTAATGCTAGACCAGTATTTAAGGGCTAATCTCACACCTCCTTAGCTGTAAGAGTCTGGCTTAGAACAGACCTCTCTGTGCAATAACTTGTGGCCACTGGAAATCCCTGGGCCGGCATTTGTATTGGGGTTGCAATGACTCCCAAGGGCCAAAAGAGTTAAAGGCACGACTGGGATTTCTTCTGAGACTGTGGTGAAACTCCTTCCAAGGCTGAGGGGGTCAGTAGGTGCTCTGGAGGGACTCGGCACCACTTGATATTCAACAGCCACTTGAGCCAAATATAAAATTGTATTTACAGCTGATGGACTCAATTTGAGCCTTCAAACTTGTAGTTATCCTATTATATTGTAAACTAATACATTGTCTAGCATTGATTTGGTTCCTGTGCATATGTATTTTCACTATGTGCTCCCCTCCCCAGATCTTAATTAAACCAGATTTTGCAATTCATTCTTATTCTTTCAAGTCTGAGTATACTGGCTTCAATATGATGTGTATAATCTGATCAAGAAAATACCTATCAATCAGTCAACATTTATTTTAAACACTAACTTACATGTAATATTGATGAATGGAAAAAAGATATTCAGGTATTTTAAACTATCCCATTCACTAGTAACATATATGTCCCTACCCTGGGCTATCTTTCTTTAACGTCAAGTATGTATTTCTTCCTTGAAGAAGCATCAACACAATTGTAAATAGGAAAAAACATCTCAAGTATTGTAAACATATATTTTAAAGTAAAGCTATGAAATATGAAAATGCTCCGAAGTATTAAAAAGGGATTTTCAAACATAAATATGTAACAATGACAAGGGGAAAAGTTAACTGAAAGACACATCCTCCTCTTCCAACAACATCCCTAAAAATAAAAGCCAATGATACGGTGCCATTCCACATCCATGTTTCCTGAAGGTAATCCTGGCCATATAAACCCTCATCCAGAAGAGGTGGAATTCTAATTTATAAACTCAAGAATGACACTAAATGCCCTTCTCAACTCTCAACTCTCTGTATCCCATGAAGCATTTATTATTTCATACCAAAAAAAGGCAGTTTCTTCCCCTGATCTAGGGCCTATGACAGTTGAAATTAGATTCATGTTTTGGTTTCTAATAAAAGCTGACAAAGTTACCCATATCAGTTTAAAAAAACCACACACAGTTTTCCAAATAATCATGATTTGAATAACCCAAGAAAAATTAGAAAATTTCCATTGCTTTTTCAGCTGTTATTGTATTCCCCAAAAGTTAATCCACACAGAGAATGGACCCTGGTTGAATTTTAGCAGAAGCTGGGGAATCCTCCCATGTGCTTCCCCCGCTTCCCATCCTTAGTTGTTATCTAGCAATTCTGCTACTAGGTCCACTTTCCACACTGATCTTTCTGGAACATGCTGCATTCAAATTACACCTACACCCCCTTAAAGTTTTTGCTTAACCAAACAACCACTTACAACGGTCCTTACTAACGTGGATATTTTATGTGGATATTATTTCAGTAGTTTCAAACAATCTTTTTCAACTCTCAAACAATGAAGGGTAGGGTATCAAAGCAAACTTTACTCTTCAAAGCAGTAAGAACCAATAACTTTATTTCAGAGGCCCTCACTAGCAGCTGAGTCATTTGGCAGAGCCATCCCACTGCTCCCCCTACTACTATCTTCTTCCTTGCAACTTCCTCTCCTTACCCTGAACAGTTGTGCAAGATAAGTCTTGCAGACAAGAACTGCCAATTTTACTAAGGTACACAGGACACAGATAAAAGCACACAAAAAGAGGAAGTAGTGAAACCAAAACCACATGGGAAAGAAAAGTCAATCAAGTAACACATTGCTATTAGCAGCTTTTTAGCTTTTTCTAGCCAAACATCCTGAAAAATTGAACACCTACAGGTAGGCAGTCCAAATGCCTATGTTTAGGGGAAACCACTATGATTTTATTCACAAGAGACGAAAGCCTGAATTAAGGCAGTGATGGTAAAGGACAGTCAATGGGATGAATTCTATGTTAGGGAAAAAGAATGGGCAGGTGACTGATCAGAAGTGGAGAGGAAGGAGAGGAAAGAGTCTAGGATGACAGCCAGGTATTTAGCGTAGACACTGAGTGGAAGGTGATGTGATCACCAAGATGAAGACTCCAGAAGAAGCAGGGACAATGAAGGTGAGGAGGTTCAGCTTAGGCTGCCAATGTAGAAGTCCTGTGTGCAGCTAGGACTATACTAAGGAGAGAGAGAGATTTGGGAGTCATCAATACACCTGAGAGATGGTAAGTGTCCTTAGTTATTGTGCAACTTCTATGGGCAGATACTATGCTAAATACTTCATAAAATTCATTTATTCATCAAAATCCTATGAGATAGAAACTGTTACTATTGTTTTACAGATAACTGTCACTTAAATAACTGAGGTTAAATAATGTATCCCAGGTTAGAAAGCTAATAAGCGGAAAAGCCAAAGCTCAGATACATGTTTGACACCAAAGGCAACTCACTCAAACTGCTATGTTGTTTCCTTCTACCTGGAATGCACAAGGTGGGAAGGCAGCCAATGCAAACTCCTGGGCAATATCTCTACATTGTAAACACTTAGAATAACTTCCAAATAAAACTCCAAAAGGGCCTCACCATCACAACTGATGAAAACACTGCTTCTTCCTCCCTTTCAGAGAAAACACCTAGTGATTTTTCATAATTTTGAAGATGACACCATATGTCTCAATTTATCAATCATGATTTAGCTCAATCCTGAAAACAGACACAAGAAATTCATTAAGTATGTGACAGTGGGAAAATAAATGATAGGCTTTGACAGTTTTTATTGTTTTCTTAGTATAAATAATCTCTCATTCAGGGTAAGCAACTATTATAATCACATAAGAAGCATATTTAACCTAATAATAAGGATTTGTCCTCGACTAAAGTTTCTCCAAACACACAAACGCCAAAGACCCTTTAGTAAATTTACACTGCTGAAGAATGGGCAGCAGGTACTCACCTTTAGGTGGCAGGTGTTAGCATTTGGTCTGGAGACTTCAAAAATATATGTAAAAATTTTTTTTGTTGATTTTTTTTCTAGTATCTGTTGTCCCTAAAGGATGGACATGAATGACTGGAAATGTGGAAGGATGAAAGGGAAGACAACTGGAACGAGGCGGCATGGTGGGGCAGCCACGCTTGGCAGGAGTCAGGGGACCTGCCTGTTCTCATCATCCCTCTCCAGCCCTTCACCACCACCACTCACTGAGTGACCTTGGGGTAATTTCCTAGAACTCTACAAAAACAGAGCCAACAACAGAAATTATATCACAAGTTTGGTATGAAAATTAAGTGATGTATATAAAGCATTTAGTACAGAACACTGGTATATAATTAAGCCCACAATAAGCTATTATTAGAAAAAAACTAAGAAAATACTACCCACCCAGACTAATATCATTTTAAAATTACATTCTATGAAAGGTAACATAACTTGTCGAAACCAGTGTAATTTTACCTGGAGAGACTCAGTGGATTGGCTACCTGAGGCCACCATTTCTTTTTCCATCCTGTTATAACAGAGCATTCAGCTAATTATCTTTACCTTAGAGCTTTCAGGAAGCAGAAGATTTCTCAGTGGATGCAGGGTACTCAGTTACTCCTATTTAGCAAAAACAAAAACAAACAAACAAACCGGTAGCATTGGGTGAGCACATAAGCCATGTGAAACCAGAATGCTCAGAAAAGAAACCTGATTTGTCAAAATCTATTGGGATAAAAGACTTTTTAGAAAAGGAACATCCAATGCTGGCCAAGGATGTGAAGAAAGAGGCCTTTCCGTACATTGCTGATGGAGTTACATATGGATAAAATTTTTCTGGAGAGCAACTTGGCAAAGCACATGAAAGGTGCTTTAAAAACTATGCATAATACCCTTTAACTCAGCAATCTGTCCTAAAGAAAAAACAAAAGCCCGAGTCCCCAAATTTAGCAACAATATATTCCTTGATAAATTATTTATAACTTTAAAACCCTGAAAATCAGAACCTAAAGGAATAACAAGACTTTATGATACATACATATGATGTTAGCTATATAGCTATACTAAATGTTACAGAAATATATTCAGAGATATTAAAATCTTCAATACATATTTATATCATAACTGAAATAAGATAAACTGTTGTGTTAAGATCCTCCAGTTAAAAGTAATAAGAAACCAATTCAAGATAGTTGAGGGAGAAAAAGCGGTAAGATTATGAGGATAATGGGATAAGGGTGAGAAGTAGGGCTCCATAAAGGAAAAGGAAAGCCACTAAGATCTTTTCTATGTCATTCATTTTACATCTCCTGTTATGTCTGTTTCATTCTTCATTTTCATTGCAGACCAGCTTTCTTGGTGATTCCTTCCTCATGGCAGAAAATGGCTACCTCTTATGTTCCAATTCTGGAACAGTAGAGTTCTAGACATATCTACATTCAGAATAAAAAACTGATAAGCCAGGAATGAGTCCACTATGGCCAGATGACATCCAGTACCAATGTGGACTTTAAGGACCCAAAGAAGTGGGGCTTTTGAGGAGTAGGTAGACATCCCTAAAGGATGTACAAGGATGTACGGGGTCATCTCATTTTTAATATTAGGAAGTTGTCTTCCTAGAAAAATAGAAAGATATAAACCAGATTTTAATAGAAGTTATTCATGGATGTAAAATTATGAGAATTTTGGTTATTTCTTTTGCTTATATTTTCTATAATTTATACTGAAATATACATTAATTTTATAAATTAAAAAAGTTAATTTAAAAAACTAAACTATTGCGCCATTATGACATAAAGCTAAGTGAGGGGAAAATAAGGTTTTTAAAAATCCATATTGCTTATATCTCTTAACTAAACAAAACACATATGCATAGAAAAAGAATGGAAGACAATAAAATATTAGCAGAGGTACCCCAAGATGACAGAATTAAGGATTTATTTTTATTTTCTCATGTATCACTTTCTGAATTTTTAATTGTTCTACAACACATTATGTATTGCTTTTATACTAGAAAAAAAGTGTGAGGGATGCATAGGCCCAGTGGGTTCAGTTTTTGTGCAGGAGACTAGAATACTGTAGATACCACAGTGATCACCAGATAAAAGACACTGATTTTTGGTGTTTTCCCCCATCCCCAAAATACCTGAATACTACTACAAACTGCCAACAGTAACAACTACTACAATCATGATTTATCTTGAGAATCACTGGCATACAAAATATTAAAAGTTGTGGAGGAATTCTAGAATTACATTTAAGTAAGCACTGAAAATAACTAGAATTTAAAAATAAAACTTGTATGGTATTATTCTACAAACTAGAACTGTTTTAATGTATAGAAGATAATATTCACAGTAATCTTATATTACTAGGTGGATGATTAACTATTTTCTGCTCCTATTACAGAAAAGATTAAATGGCTTTTAGTGTTAGGAGGGTTTCAGCTACACCATCAGCCATGTCAAGCCCAGAAAGATATGAACTGAAAAATAAATCAGGATTTGGACAAACACAAAGTTTAACACTCACTACATTGCCACATGATAGTTCCCATGTTCCCTTGCCATTTGAAACACGGCCAGCACTAATGAAAATTCTTTTTTTTTTTTCTTGAGATGGAGTCTCGCTCTGTCGCCCAGGCTGGAGTGCAGTGGAGAGATCTCGGCTCACTGCAAGCTCCGCCTCCCAGGTTCACGTCATTCTCCTGCCTCAGCCTCCCAAGTAGCTGGGACTACAGGCGCCCGCCACCATGCTCAGCTAATTTTTTTTTTGTATTTTTAGTAGAGATGGGGTTTCACCATGTTAGCCAGGATGGTTTCGATCTCCTGACCTCGTGATCCGCCCACCTTGGCCTCCCAAAGTGCTGGGATTACAGGCGTGAGCCACCACACCTGGCCAAAATCCTATACATTAAATGTTTGTCTTACCCAAACCCCAAAGTTAAATTGTAAATATAAAACCCACAGCGGGGGTGAGAAAACTGGAGAACAGTCTTTCTCTATTTTCCTACAATCTTCAAATAAGAGGTATCTGCTTATATAAGACAGGTTAGTGGCAATACCTGGCTTAGAAAGTTTCTAGATTTATTTCTAGCTCTCTACATACTGTGATAAAGTCCTAAAGTTTAAAAATACCCACCAATATTACAGGCATGCTGCTTTATAAAATATGCCCTAAAATTCTAGCCAAAATACTTCACTTTCTGTAATACTTAATATGTGAGATAAAACTTTTTAGCTCAATAAAAAAGTATTTAAAACAACTCATGTTTTAAACACATTAGTCTACTCTAAATAAATGTATACTATTGTACTTTAAAATGTATCAAAGTAAGGTGTTTTCTATTTTTTAACCATCCTCAATTTTTTTAAAATTAACCAATCTTATTTCATCTCTAAAGGGCTTAATCACATGAAATGAACAAATTCCTCTAAACATTTTCCTTAAGGAAAAACTGAAAGGAGATATAGTGAAATGGTATATGACAGCCATGGTAACTCTAAGGTATACATAAGCAGGGGAAAAAATGCTCAAAATGTAACAAATTCTGTATATAAACAGTCATGCCAAACACAGATTTGTACCAATAAGGATACTGAATTAGATGTTAACAACAGTGTTTTCAGAAAAAGATACAGCAATGAGTAAAAAGCACTATGCTATTACAAATGATTTACAGAAACAACTAATTAACCTAACATAAATCCCCTTAAAATGCAAACCATACATAATCTTAACATGAATTACAGAATAAAATATTTTCCTAGTAAATTAGGTGTAAAAATCCAAACTTGCTTTTTTAAATATAACACCCAGAAAATAAAGAATACTGTTCCTTTTTTAACATGTATTTCTCAAAATAAGATTCACCATGAACATTATTTTAGATATTTTTACATCTTCTTTAGCTAACCAAGTGAAAAATCCAATATACACAAATAGGTACTTTCATCAGTACATAAAACAGCAATAGGTAGCAAGGATAGAAATCAGAATACAAGTTCAATTGAATAAATACAATACTAGTACAGAGACACCCATTTTTAACCCACAATGAAAAATCTGAGCCATGAATAGGTTTTCCATTTTGAATCTAACTTCTAGATGATCTGTATTTTG
This sequence comes from Homo sapiens, assembly GCF_000001405.40. Taxonomy (NCBI): domain Eukaryota; kingdom Metazoa; phylum Chordata; class Mammalia; order Primates; family Hominidae; genus Homo; species Homo sapiens. The sequence continues at coordinate 78,478,538 of NC_000005.10, read as the reverse complement.
ACCTTAAAGGGGCCAAAATATTTAATATGGGTGAAGCTCATGTTCCATTACCTGTAAAGGTCTAATGCAACAGAAAAATGGTCATTTTACATTGGTTAGAATTTTTAACTAGGTCTTTCATATTATTTTGTTTAGCACATGACAGACTTATACACATATTTTAAAAAATCAAACATGGAATTTCTATATACATCAAACCTTTAACAATGTCTGTCTCTGAATTGCTATTATAGTGTTCAAAATTATACAAACAAACATCCAGTAAACAGCATTTTATTTTATGACACTCTGTGTTAATACAATAAATATACAAAACTTCCAACCCACTGAAACATGCAACATTAGAGGGACACATGGAGGGCATTTCTGTAGAACCATGACAGTCACCATGATGGCAGCGCAGTATTAGTTACTGACAAAATATACAAACATCTCTAGATAAATAATCCAAGTCCCAAATTACAAATCACTGAGTAATGACTTTCCGGTGTTCAAACTTTAGTTTGAAATAAAATTGCCATAATTTAATATTACAAAATGATAAATGACACGGATGACTGCTGTGTGAAGACCATTTTATGACTATGATTTCATGACTGTGATTTTAGTACTAAATATAGAACACTTAACAAATGCCAATCTTTTGCTGAGTGAAAATTTAACAATTTACTGAGAGAAAAGTAAATATAAGAATTTAAAGTTCCTTTCATACTTGATCATACTATAAGCATTGCCATCATTTCAATGCACATATATTTTTAAAAAACAATTTTCTCTCTCAAACTCATATTAAATAACTGGATTTTAAAACATTTTCCCCATCCACACAAAAAAAGATATGTGGGTTCTAATTATTCTTTGCTATTTAATAATGCTACCTTTGAAGATTTCTACATAATATAAACATTCCAATTCTGAAGCAAAGTATTTCAGCATTTTTCAAAAGTCTCTAATATATCTTTTGTTTGTAGTGTACAGGAAAAAATGGACTTGGGATATAAGTTAATGGTGAATATAGGTGCACTTGCTGTATTTTGTGGTTAATGTTTTGAATGTATGCAAAATCCACACTCAATAAAGCACACTGATAAAATAGATTTCCAATAAGACTACAGGCTCTGAAAAACAAACTGGCTAAGTTGGTTGAGAACATAGGTAGAAATTATCGCTGATTAGAAATATTTACAAAAAATAGCTTTAAATTCATACGCTGAAGAATAAAAGAAATGTCTTCCAAGTATACCTGATGTCAATAAGATCCCAAATAAATCAAATGTAAACACCATCTGGATGGATCTGTGTTACCTAGTGACATGCAGCGCTGCTTCATGGATAGTGAAAACTTGGCATCCCACCTCTAGCATAAAACTTTTTCTGTAACTACAGGTTTGGGGAGAATGAAAGTGATTTAACTATTTATGCCTATCTGATTTTTTAAAAAATAAGGATTTCCAGCCTCTAATATCACAATCCTTACTTAAAATCTAATTGAATAATCACTATCATTCTGCAATCTTAATTTAGTTAAAGACTTTCAAAACACAGCAGCATGACTTACAGATGTCTTTGAGTCATTTATTTAATCAGTGGTAAAATTGATTCAAAGGTTGAACCCAAGAATACTATAAGAATGAAGTTCTGTGCTGCATAGTAACAATTTTAACGTGATTATCTTAATGCAGTTAACTGTATTTATATTTTCTTGCTTGGTGCAAGTTAAATGCTTTTTTTTTTATTGCTGGAAATTTTAGATATATTCAGTCTGTCTCAAAAAGTGAAAGACAGGTGCATTTAGGGATTCAAGTATGTGAAAAAATGCCAGGGTCTTTTTATGTTTAATGCCACTGGAGATGAAAAGCTAAAAGGAAAATCCCTTAAATACTGTACAATCTTTTTAGACAACAGTTAGGCTAGCCTTTAATACCTCTGTTAAAAATCACACACACACATCCCCAAAAAAGAGCTGCCAGACACAATCTTAGTTGTAACCACAGAATATACCAAAGTTTTCATATAGCAAAATGTTACTATATGACTACCGAAATTTTTTTAAAAAGGAATTATTACCACTACTTTCTACTGCATTAACTACCTTCTCTTTTGGATAATGTACTGCATATTATATAAACTTCTTATATTGCACCCCCAAACTTTTTATTTAAAAGAAATTCTTGCAGAATATCATTTCTGTGATTCCATTAACCCCTGAATCCTACAACCATAAGCAGTACAGAAGCCAAAACACTAATTCTTTTAATATAAGAAATGTGGTGCCCATGCAAATTAGAGATTGTTATCAAAATATCAGCTATTCTAAAAAAAAGAAAAGAAAAAGATGACAAATTTTACATTATCTACTACAAAATGCACATAGGCTCTTCACTGGTGACTGAAACAGCTAAAAAGCAAGCCAATTTAAAATCCCTAAGTCTCTGCTGGCCTATTTCTTTCAATATAAATAGGGAAAAAGGAATGAAACATGGTTTACTTTTCCAATGTGCAATCCTTATCTCTAAAGATTCTTGAAAGAACTACTGCAGTTAGTATTAAATGCGTTTTTAATCATAAGTACCATTATTAATTTTCAGTGGGTCACCACTGAAATAATTCACTGAATGTCATCCCCCAAAAATATGGAGAATATTTATTTAGCATGTAATATTTTTTCTGCAAGGGGCACTGAAATATTAAGAAACTATTAGGTAAAGTAATAAGACAAGGAAGTTTTCCTGGTTTTAGCCCATGCACAAGTGAACAGGAAATATCCATGCTGTCTGTACTGTGTGTTTTGAACATAAAAATATTTGTAGAATACAGTAACTGGAGAAAAAGGTACAGTCAAAAGGTAACAGTGTATTGTTTGAAGATTCTTAAATCTGGTTACCCTTGAAAGCATTCTGAGCTGCACTAGATGCTGCAGTTGAAGCTGCATTTGCAGCTGCGGTCTGGACAGTTTTGTTGGACATCACACCTGTTGCAAACTCCTGTTGGGCCTTCTCAAAACTAGCACCTGTTGTGCGATATAGTCCATGTACCTACAGAGGCACAAAAAAGTGGGAGAAGGTAAGTAGCAACCTACGCATTCATTTCCAGCAGCTCTTAATCTCAACATTAATCAAACATAAAAATACTAGATTGTAGTCATGATTCCTAAGATCAAGAATATTAGCCACCAAACTGACACACAATAATTGTATTTAAACATTTTCTTAATATAGGTTTTCCTTTTCTTCTCCAAGCAGAAGAGATAATTATGCTAATTTAAACCAAAAATAAAGAACTTCTTAGCCAACTTCAAAAAGTTGTATTTTCCTCTGCACCCAATTAGTCAAGTGAAATTATTACAGCATTACAATGAAATGGTTTAAACATAATAACAAGAAACAATACATTAATTTATTACCCCAGACTATTCAGAGAGAACAGTACCTTATCTATTTCCATTTTATCTACATATACACCACAGGCCCTGTTATAATCAAATGAGATCATTTTATCATTTAATGTACCAAGCACTACTTATGTCCTTCAACATATTGCCGCTATGCACTCTGTATACAATTTAACTTTTTGTGTATGGTCAAGTCCTAAAGAATGCACAAAGAAACACTTCTGGGAATTGTTTCTCCATACTGATTAATCACTCAAATCTTGGAATTTATTTTCAGGAGTAGGGTTCAAAAATTTTCTATCAGTATATGTCTTAAAACCTGCATAATTAAACTATGAGTCCATCAATACATAACATCAGCCACTTATTTTAACACAAATTTGAAGAAGGAAATAACAAACATTTATTAATTATATGCCCACAAACTTCGCAGAGTGGGGACAGAAAGATACTGGTAATTACACTGCACTGTGACTGGATCTAAATTAGAAGCTTGACTGGAATGCAATCAAAGCAGGCTTAGGGAAGGGCCAATGCATCCAAGTCAGTATTTTTTCCAAACCTGGATAGGAACTGGTAACTGTGAGGTAAGAAAAAGAATGAGTCAAAGATTCTCAAAGCAAGCTTGCATTTGGGAAAGTAGTTTCAAGAAGACAGAGAAAAGAGAGGATAGGCTGGTTTGGGGAGAAGGCAGATGATAAGTTCTAAACATTTGTTCATTCATTCCAACTCTACTGACAACCTACTCTAGGCCTGCCACAGCAGGCAGGTAAAGGTTTGGTTCAAAGCTTGGGAGAGGAATGGGCTAAAGACATGGACTTGGAAACCAACGGCATATGTTATGGACTGAATGTTTGTGTTCCCCCCAAAATTCTTATGTTAAAATCCCAACCACCAATATGATGGTATTAGCAGGCAGGCCTTTTCGGGGGTGATTTTGCCATGAAGGTGAAGCTTGCATTAATGGAATAAATGCCCTTATAAAAGAGACCCCCAAGGCCCAGTGTGGTGGCACACACCTATGGTCCCAGCCTTCCACTCCAACCTGGGCAATATACGTCTCCAAAAAGAACTTTTTTTTTTTTTTAAAGAGACTCCAGAGATCTCTCTGACAACCTTCCATCACAAAAGGACACAGAAACTGTCTATGAACCAGGAAGTTGGCCCCCCTGAGATACTGAATTTGTCAGTGTCTTTCTTATCTTGGACTTCTCAGCCTCTAGAACTATGAGAAATCATTATCTGTTGTTTAAGCTACCCAATCTATGGTATTTTTGTTATAGCAGCCCAAAGGGACTAAAACAACATATAAATGATAGCTGAAACCTTGGCATTTATGAAACTGTCTATGGAGAACCCAGAGTAGAAAGAGAATAAAATCAAGTATATAACCTAATTAATGCAGAAACAGAAAACCAAATATCACATGTTCTCACTTTTAAGTGGGAGCTAAACATTGGGTATACATGGACATAAAGATGGCAACGATAGATATTGGGGACTTAAAAGATAGGGGAAGGTGGGAGGGGGAGAAGAGTTGAAAAACTACCAATTGGGTACTATGCTCACTACCTGGATGACAGGCTCAACTGTCCCCCAAACCTCAGTATCACATAATATACCCTTGTAACAAACCTGCACATGTATCCCCTGAATCTAAAATAAAACTTGAAATTGTTTTAAAAAGACACTATTTAAGAGGCATCCACAAGAAGAAAGAATGACTGGGAGAGGAAAGGGAAGAACCAGATACAGATACTTCTCACTGATGCCAAGAGAAGAAAGCATGTTAACACATGAAAAGCTGTCAGAAAAACTATCAAGAAAGCAAGTTAATGCATGAAAATCTATCACGGTACAAGACAAAAATAACCCACACAGCCCTGAGTGCTTCTGATACAGTGGTAAAAGCAAACGCCATATTACTACAGATCAAAGTGTCAAATGGTCAGGAAGAAAAAGAGCACTGACAAATACATATACTGGTAAATCCAAAGATTCCTTTCCCCTAGTACCTTAGCACTATCATTAAGTATAAAAGTAATTATTTTTATTCCCTTTTAAAACCAAGTTTTCTATGGAAAATTAAAGATATAGATAAATCACTACTCCTATGTTCCAGACACTTATCTCAAAGTGAGTACAAATGACTGGATCCTAGAAAATGAAGTGTATTATAGAAATCTTATCAACCTTCTTTACTTACTAGACCAAACCAGAGCAATGCAATTGGATTCACTTGTCTGTCTCTTCCCCTCTTCCCCCAAGTTTGTGAGCATGTAATAAATAAATGTTAATTCTTATTTGCTTTATTATTTCCTTTTTCAAACTTGCACTAAATTGAGCAGCTGATACTATGTGTTCATGGGCTTCACAGTTTACTAAAATGTAATTCACAGTCCCACAGAACACAGAAGCAAAATAAAGGTAGGAATAGCCACATTTCTCAATAGTTTGTATCTATATAGACCCAGAGAGCCACCTAGAGGGAAAAGACCACATATATATACAGTGCATAATGCTAAATACTGTATTAAATCCATTATATCCATGTGAAAAAGGGTGGATTCTTGATTTCAGGGCCCCATGAAAGATGACAGGCTAATCATCAGGATGAACATCTTTAAAAGCTTATTACTTCCCTCCAGGGTTTCAGATGGTATCTATTAATAATTCATACTGCTGATATCAGGGACAAGGTTTTGACACCAAGTACTATAATTTTTTTTAAAAAATTACACAACTTGGGGGTGGGGGGCAAGGGGAGGCATAGCGTTAGGAGAAATACCTAATGTAGATAATGGGTTGATGGGTGCAGCAAACCACCATGGCACATGTATACCCATAACAAACCTGCATGTTCTGCACATGTATCCCAGAACATAAAGTATCAAAAAGAAAAAATATTTCAATTTTGATAAAATCTAATTTATCTTTAAAAAAATGCACCAGTTGATGGTTGCTTAAATGGAGCACAATTATCACCAAGTTGCACAGCCTTTTTATCTGTACTGTCACTTTAGAAAATCTCACTGTGTATGTGACCTGAATGCATATTACCTAGTGGAAAATTCCATAAATGCAGAATAGCCTAGAGAATTCAAAAAAAAAATTAAACAACTTAAATACTATCTTTTCTACTTATGAGAACTGCATTACTCCTAAAATAATATTTAGTTCTAGGAAAATCACAGAAAAGGCATTAAATTTGGTATATACTAATTCCACTACTTTCTAGCTGGCTGGCCACCACTCAAAACTTCAAGTCTGCTTCCCATAAAAAAAGAATATTTGTTACACTATCTGCTCCTCTGAGTTTTCCTAAAGATCAAATCAGAATGTATATAAATGAGTTACACTAACATAAGTTAAATTAATTTTTAAGTATCTGCCGAAGTGTCACAGCCAAAATGTAGATGCGGCTCCATAAAGGAGTCCTGCCTCCTTAATGCAGCTTCAGAGACAATACATGCTGTGGTGGTATATGACACAGAAAAACTGTATCGTGTGGGAAGTAAAGAATAATGGCACTTTATTTAAATAACCCAAACATATGTCTTCATTAAAACATATAGAATACCATTTCAAGAAACTGTGCTTTTATTAAGATCCCTGTCATGCCAAAATTATTTCAACTTTTATAAAAGCTGGGAAAATAAAAACAAATGAGTTTTTTAAATATATTTTTTAAATTCTTGTTTTGAGTTTTTAAAAAAGTATGGACGTCTAAGCCTAATATTTTCAGTTTGAAATTTCTGGAAACCCTCTATGAACCCTCCTGCCCACAGATGGGTCAGATATCCCTTTTGTAACCCCTTGAATTGCCAGTCTAGTTTCACCATGTCGAAATCTCACGCACCCTTTAAGCACTATCTCAAATAATGCTCTGTCTGCCATTTTGTGCCTGAACTAGCTATGGCTTTCCCTATTGAGAGTACCGCCAATCCTTTGTACATTTTGGGGAGCATGTATGTACTTTTTCTTTTACAGGGTTTCTGTCCATTTTGTATTATATCCTACATGCTTTTACTTGCCTAAGGGCAAGAACTAATTCTACTCATTGTTACACCCCCTAAAAGACACAGCTTAGTAATCTGCAGTAGAAGCCACTGAATAATTATTATTACTACCTGCTGAGGATTAAATGTTCCAAAATTGTCCTCATTAATAATAATTTTTAGAAGGTACCAAATAAGTGCAATATGGCTTAAGGAGACTATACCTGTGTTACAAAGTAAAATGCTTAGTTTGCAGTCACCTCAGAGGTTAAATGTTTTTAAAGTATACAACTACTTCACACCTGCTAGGATGGCTGGAATGAGAAAAACGGAAAATCACAAGTGTTGGCAAGGATGTAGAGAAAGTGCTGGTGGGAATGTAAAATGATACAGTCCTTCCAGAAAAGAGTTTGGAGGTGCCTCAAAAACCTAAACATAGAATTACTATAAGACTACATAGGAATTCCACATTGGGTATATATGTACACAAGAGAGGTAAAAGCAAAGACTCAAACAGATAACTGTACACCAATGTTCACGGCAGCACTATTCACAATAGCCAAAAGGTGGGAAAATCTCAAATGCCCATCAACAGATAAACAATGTAGTATACAGATACAATGGAATATTATTCAGTCTTAAAAATGAATGCATTTCTGATACATGCTGCAACACGGATGAACCTTGAAAACATTATGGTAATGAAAGAAGCCAAGTACAAAAGGAAAATATTGTATAACTCCATTTATATGAAATATCTAAAATAGGCAATTCATAGCAAATTAGAGGCTGCCAGAGGCTGAGAATAGGGAGGAATAAAATTATTGCTTAATGATTAGAGTTTCTGTTTGGGGTGATGCAAAGTTCTGGAAATAGACATTAGTAATGGTTGTACAACACTGTGAATGTAATTGATGCCACTGAATTGTATACCTAAATGTAATTAAAATGTCAAAGTTTATGTTATACATATTTTGCCACAATTAAAACAAATACAATACACCAAAAGCCATTAAATTGTATACTTTAGGTTTTTTTAAATTATTTTGTATTTTTTAGAGACAAGGTCTCACTCAGTAGCCCAGGCTGGAGTGTAGTGGTATGCAATCATAGCTCACTGCAGCCTCAAACTCCTGGGTTCAAGTGATCCTCCCACCTCAGTCTCTCCAACAGCTAGGACAATAAACTCACACCACCATGCCTGGGCTGTGTTGTTGTTTTTTTTTTTTTTTTTTTGTTTTTTTTTTTTTTTTTTTTTTAATGTCTTGTAAGGGGTTGGAGGGTAGTCTCATTATGTTGCCCAGGCTGATCTCAAACTCCTCGCCTCAAGTCATCTTCTTGCCTCGGCCCCCCAAACCCTCCCAAAGTGCTAGAATTACAGGTGTGAACCACCATGCACAGTCTAAACCGTATATTTTAAATGGGTGAATTGTATGTGAATTATATTTCAATAAAGCTGATAAAAATATGCATATAAAGATGACTTAGATGAAAGTGCCACATGAACAGCATTATAAATACTCACCAATCTACGAAATCTACCAAATTTGAAGATGCCTAAGATAATAATAATTTAGTTATAGTAACCTAGATTTGGGATCTATTAAGTAGCTAGCTTAGTACTTATTGAAAAAGGTAACAAAATTAAAATTGGGGGTAAAGTTTTTTTTTTTTTGGTGAATATACTAAGAGTATCAGCCGAGGACAGAATATAAACAATCTGCTCAAGAGTGCCATTTTTTTCTAGGAATTCAAAAGTATTACTCTATCTGTGTCCCTTAGAAGAAGGTGACAAGTAACTGGATGACTATTTTAATAGACAATGTGAACCATCCAGAATTGATTCCTAGTCAGCAAAGACGACAGTGCTGAATGGTTCTGAGAGAGAAGTAGCATGCCTATTTGTGACTATAGAAAAATAGTACAGTGGAATTATCAGCTTTCTATCCTAGGTCATAAATAAAGTTACAAAGTGGAAGAGACAAGGGGGAGAGGTGAATGATAACAATATTTTCAAGAAAGTATAGATGATAATCCTTGAACTGGGCAGGTCCACTTATAATATGTGATTTTTTTCCAACCAAACTCACATAGAAAATACAGTATTCATGGGATGTAAAACCCAAGTACACAGAAGGCTTTTTGTATACATGGGTTCTGCAGGGCTGACTCCAAGACTTGAGTATGCATAGATTTGGTATATGGATGTGTGGGTTCTGAAACCAATCCCCTGCATATAGAGGGATAACTGTAAGAGTCACTTTTCACCTAAGAAAACTATCACTTTATATATAATAGGATATCTTCACAAAGCATTTACCATAAAACACCAACTAATGAGACTTAATCACAGTGTTCTCTATCATAGACCCAATTCAGCGCTCCCACAAAAATGAGTATCTGCAGAATATATACTGTAGTAAATAAACAAGATTTGAAACACTTCAGAAAACTTGTTTTTTAAAGAGGTAAAATAACTTTTTTCTAAAATTCTTTCAAAATGCAAAAAATTCACTATTAAAAACTACTTAATGTGAACATGACAGTCTATGAACAAATTTCATGGAAGTGATAATCATTCAAAATCAGGTCCCAAAAGGAATACAAATGATATATCATCTATTAATTACTTCCATATTAAGTTATTCTAGCCATACCAATTAACAGAAGGGAAAAGTTTTGGATTCCCTGATCCATAGTCTCCTGTGATGCATTCATTTACTGTTATTTGACACATTTATAACAACTCCCTGCTTGGCCCAAAACCATTACTCAATTCTTTCTGATAGTTCTAATAGAAAGAGGAGCTTTTGTAAAAACACCATTTGGAAATAATCTGAAAGAAAACAAGAAATCTATTTGTGAAAGATAAGGACTAAACTAGACCCTTCTCCATGCAGATGTATAGGAGACATATATTCTTTCAATATTTGAAATGTGGAGTATAAAACAACACTGTGGGGGAAACAAACAGCACAATCTCATACTGGGCCCTGCAGCACCAATGATGACCCACTTCAGTTATGCAAGACAACAGAAAGCCAACGAAATTACCAAAATCCTATTCACTTCAATTAGGATAAATATATAGGACAGAGCACATTTACCTTAAGAGAAGAACAGCTTAATAAAACCCAACAATTCTAGAGTCAAAACCGTGCACAGATTACGGTTAGAGGGCATTAACTGTTCTTGAAAAGCATGACCCCTAGTGGTTATAAATACTGCTACATACCTGCAAAGGATTTTTTGTCATTAAACTGCCAGTTTTGACCAAGTGTGAAACAGAAAATTAAAAAGGAAAAATTAGGTTTTTAAAATTGGATCTTAATTTCTATTACAGCAAGAGAAATGCCTGCTATTAAAATATGAAAGCTGGTGCAAATTATATTTTAGCTTATAGTATCCCTATCGTACTTCATAAAATCATACAGAAAATCATCTCATCTAAACTCCTTATTTCACAGATAAAGAATCTGAGACCCAGAGAAGTTTAGGAACTTGTGAACACATATAAACAGAAGTTCTGGTAACTTCTTTAACTATGAGGTAAAAACAACAACAACAACAAAATATTAGAGTATGCTGCATGATATCCATATCAATACTTTTATTCGAGAAAGTCATATTTCTTTTCAATGCCTGGCATATGAGCACCATTCTATAACTTTTCCTTTGTGTGGTGGATCCTGAAAAACTGTATACCTGGAAAATGGAAAGGAAAAAAACTGCTGGTCAAAGTATTCAGAGTGTGCACAGAGTAGTTCATTATAGAACAGCTACAGAATAAACACTTCCTCCACACCCTGGCTCTATTGATCATCTGTGCCACACATTCCTCAACCACTGCCAGTGATGGTTAAAGTTCCCTTTATACTTCACCCACAGCAGAGTCTTAATTGTTGTGAGTATTCTCCCCAAAGCCCTCTTCTGACTCCATACACTTTCTAGGCTTCATTTACTTCAACAAGTCAATACTTTCCAGTCTAGAAATCCAGCCTAAAGTTCTTCCCTTGCTCCTAACTCATATATACAAAAGCCTACTCAATATTTATATTTTAATGCCCCACCAGTTAATTTAAACTCCCCAAATTCAAGGTCAACGTGGAAAACATCTTGATCCCCAAACCATTTTTCTTGTACTCTCTTCTTGAATGGTCCATCATCTAAAAACCTGGGTGTCATCCTTGAGTCTTATCTTGTCCCCTACTTCCAGGCCCAGTTGGATTAATCCTTACCTGCTCGTTTTCTCTTGACTACATTTTCTTCACATTTCCTCAGTTCAGGCCACCATCATTACTAATCAGCTTCCTAGCCCGTCTCCTAAGTGTTTCCAAGTACGACTGCTCGGCCCCGCAAATCCCAAATGTATTTCAGAATAAATGCTTCTAAAATTCAAATCTAATCAATTCAATTACTCTCCTCCTTAAAACTCTTCTATGGCTCACTACCACTTTTTGGAGAAGATTTAAACTTCTTAACAAGACCCTGTAGGATAAAACTATACTTACGTGTTCAATTTCATCTTCCAATACCAACAACCTACAATTCTCCTAGCCCCAGCTCACACACCATGTTTTATCTCCCATCCATTCTGAGCTACATTTAATTCCCTGAATTTGCCATGTTATTTCCTACAACTAGATGTGAACGTGGTATCCCCACTCTCTGGTACCTCCTTATCCCTCTTATCCTCTTCCCTGTCCCTTATTCTTTTGCTTAGATAACTATAATGATGAGCAGCCATCATTATATCTCAGCTGAGGCAATACTTAAAAAGACCTCCAAAACCTGATAGGTGTCCCTCTGCTCCCTATACTTACCTCTATCATGGCCATTAAATAACTGAATTGGGGGGCCCACCAATTTATTTCTCTTCCTCACCAACAGGTGATCTCTCTGAGCTCATGCACAGCCCAGTGCCTGGCACGTAATATATGCTCAATAACAGCTGTTTAACAAATGAGTGAAAACTGCCACACACCACAAAACCCTCTACTATACTCAAAATGTATTACATTTCTACTTCTATAAAACACCCTCAATAATACATGTGAAATAATAAAGGAATTCTCCAAAGAATGGTGCTGTGATGGTCAGTGTTACATGTTAATTTGGCTAGGCCGCAGTCTCCAATTATTCAATCAAACACTAACCTAGGTGCCGCTGTGAAGGTATCTTGTAGATGTAATCGGCATCTGCCTTCAGTTGACTTTAAGAAGAGTGTTCTAGATTATCTGGGTATGCCCCATCCAATCTGTTGAAAGGCCTTAAGAACACAACTGGAGTTCCTCTGAGGAAGAAGAAATCCCACTTGTGGACCAGAGTTTCAACTTCTGCCTGAGAGTTCCGGCCTGCCCTCTTGATATCAGACTGACCTCACCAGCCAATTCCCCGCAATTAACCTTTTCATTCTTTCTGTTTCTGATAGCATGCTGACTGATAAAGGCATCTACTAAACAAAAGTAGACACTAAACCAGACCCTGAATATAAAATGATAAAAAGGTCAAGATCAGAAAGGAAAACTATTAACTGAGAAGGCCCTATTCTATGCAGTTTACATTCACTGTTTCATTTAATCCTCACACCAACCCTATGAAAGTGGTTACTCTTCCCATTCCTTCTTTTATTCAACAAATATCTGAGTGCCTATCACATGCCAATCACTGCATGTCACTGTTCCAGATGTGAGAATTACAACCTGAAAGCATACAGAACAGGTCTCCACTCTCACGCAGCTTGGAGTACAGTTGAGGACACCAAACCTGAGTGGTTACAGAAGTCTGTCTCAGGTCACAGAGCTGTAAGTGAAGCTGTCAAAATTTCAACCTGAGTTGTATGGTTCCAAAGCAAAACTCTTGCTCTTCTCATCTAATTCCAATGCTAAAAGACTTGTTCACGCGGGGGGTGCTTAACAGCTGCGTACCCAGAATACATGCACCATAAGGCATAAAAACTGGCTTATGCCCAGGTGCCACAGTAAGCAATATAGACAGTTAAGTTTCCCCAAGAAAACAGAGAATGACATGGTCCCTAAGATACAAGGCAACAAAAAACATTCTGGGAGACACAGCAAGATCGGAGCTGGGTCTTGAAAGAATACTAGTAGGTCTTCAAATAGCAGAGAAGACGAATTAATGCACGGATTAAAAAACATCATATAAACAAAATCTGGAACAAAGGAATGTACATGATGTATTTGAAGAAACCGAGCAGTACAGTCTGACAAGAATAGAAAGTGTGAATCATGGAGCTGTGAGACGTCACCATTAGCCCTTCTTCCCACCACCACTATAATCCCAATCTGTGATTCTCCGAGAGGACAAAATGGCATAATACTGGTGAAGTGTTCTGCATAGGGCCCAGAGTATGGCTGAGCAAAATAAAAGTGATTTCATCATTAGGTTATTAAGGCCCATTTGATGGCTTTATGGCATGTAGTGTGTTTTTACAACCTTAGCAATGCTGGTGTTTCTGAATGTAGCCCTTCTTCGCACTGCCACCAAAATGCCGTTCCCAATCCCAGATCCACGTCAAAAATCTGCAGAGTGCCAATTTGTTGGGGTTTTTTTAAGGTTAATATAGGAATTATATATTAAATGGACTGCGAGAAGGATGAGGGAATATAAGTAACCTGTAAAAAGAATTTCTGGATTAGCTGAGGTTGGAAATGGAAAAGATACTAAAAAGGTATCTAAGAAAGTGAATTAAAAAGTAATGGAAGTGGCTGTGCGTGGTGGCTCATGCCTGTAATCCCAGTAGGCAGAACACGAGGTCAGGAGATCAAGAGCATCCTGGCCAACATGGTGAAACCCTGTCTCTACTAAAAATACAAAAATTAGCCAGGCATGGTGGCACATGCCTGTAATCCCAGCTACTCAGGAGGCTGAGGCAGGAGAACTGCTTGAACCAGGGAGTTGGAGGCTGCAGTGAGCAGAGATCACGCCATCACACTCCAGCCTGGTGACAGAGCAAGACTCTATCTCAAAAAAAGAAAAAAAAAAATAGCTGAGTGTGGTGGCGCATGCCTGTAGTCCCAGCTACTTGGGAGGCTGAGTCAGGAGAATCGCTTGAACCCGGGAGGCGGAGGCTGCAGTGAGCCAAGATCGCGCCACTGCACTCCAGCCTGGCGACAGACAGATTCTGTCTCAAAAAAGAAGTAATGGAAGCACTGACAGAAGCAATCACAGCACTGACAAAAATGTTCAATGGAATTACATAAAGTGCTTAGTGCCATCTCATTAGTAGGTATTCAATAAGTGTTTCTTCAAAAAAAAAAGCTTCATTAAGATAAAATCTGTATACTATGCATTTTACCCTTTAAAGTGTACAATTCAATGATTTTTAGTATATTCATAGAGTTGTGACTATAATATCTACACAACCTAATTTTAGAATACTTTCATTACCCTCACTCCCCACCCCACCCATAAGCCACAGGCAAGCTGTAATACATTTTCTGTCTCTATATATTTGCCCATTTTATACATTTCACAATAATGGAATCTATACAATATGTGGTCTTAATAAATGCTTCTTGAATATTACTCAGAACGTTCAAAAGGAACATCTATCACTAAGAAACTGAAGAGTTTATGAGGCATTACTGTGAGAAGATGACATCAATCAACAACTGGAGATGAAAATGACCAATTGAAGATGCAACTAAAGGTTTATGCAATGCATTATCTTTTCCAATTCCAAGATTCTAGGTCATCTAGGTAGAGAAGAAACTGAAATAATAAGGGAAGATGAAATTCCCAAAGAAAATGACTGCATAGCACAAAGAGCCGATTACATTTAAGACCTTAATTTATGAACTGGATGAAGAAATGGAGGAGAAAGAATAGCCAGAGAGTCAAGAGAATTAGAACATCATTGCAAAGTCTTAGCAGAGGAGCCATCTGTGGTGTAGAAAGCTACAGAGGTTAAGGAGGAGGAAAACTGGAAAAGGGATTTAGTAACATTAGAGAGCTGAGTGTCAATGGTATGTGTGTTTGGTGCAGAAGAGAAGTTAAAAATTTCAAATAGAGAAAATATGGAAGAACGGACACAGTCTAACCTTCGTAGGGTTTTGAGAAGGATAAAAGACAAATGTCTGAGTAAAGTACTGAAAGAGTAAAAGTGGTTTTAAATATAAGGTAAAATTATTTCTATGCATTCCTCATACATAGTCTCAAGTAATGAAATGGTAAAAAAAATTATAAGGACTTATTTTCTTTAAAGTGAGACCTATCAAAAAGTCTTTTTCATTTAAAACATAGGTGTTATTCCCAAGGTCTCAATATCATGTTTGAATACATATAAAATATATCAAAATTACATATATCCAAGACAAAATAAAACTTTAAATAAACAAATAAAAACACTAATTTACCTTCCTCTATGTAATGATTTTTTTTTTAAAGCTGTGAAAACAGACATGGGAATTCTACAGGAAGAAGTGTAGCTAAAACAACTGGGCAGTTACAAATCCTAAATGACTCCTAAACCTGATAACTAACTTGAGTAAAGTTTCAAGATACAGACTGGGTGTGGTGGCTCACACCTGTAATCCCGAACTTTGGGAGGCCAAGGCAAGTAGATCACTTGAGGTCAGGAGTTACAGACCAGACTGGCCAACATGGCGAAATCATCTCTACTAAAAATACAAAAAAAATTAGCCAGGTGCCACATCTGTAATCCCGACTACTCAGGAGGCTAAAACATGAGAATTGCTTGAACCCAGGAGGTAGAGGCTGCCGTGAGCCAAGATCACACCACTGCACTCCAGCCTGGGCAACAGAGTGAGATTCTGTCTCAAAAAACCAACAAAAAGTTTCAAGATACAAAATCAACATACAAAAATCAGTAGCATTTCTAAACACCAACAACGTTCAAGCTGAGAACCAAATAAAGAACCCAATCCCATTTACAATAGACACACACACACACACACACACACACACACACTCCTACACACATCCAGAATACATTTAACTAAGAAGGTGAAAGAACTCCATAAGAAGAATTGCAAATCACTGATGAAAGAAATCACACATGACACAAAGAAATGGAAAAACATCCACATTCATGGATTAGAAGAATCAATATTGTTACAATGACCATACTGTCCAAAGCAATATATAGATTCAATACAATCCTATCAAATTACCAACATCATTTTTCACAGAAGTAGAAAATACAATTCTAAAATTCATATGGAACCAAAAAGAGTCTGAATAGCTAAAGCAATCCTAAGCAAAAAGAACAAAGCCAGAGGCATCATATTGCCTGACTTCAAACTATAGTGCACAGTGGCTCACACCTGTAATCCCAGCACTTTGGGAGGCTGAGGCGGGCGGATCACTTGAGGCCAGGAGTTAGAGACCAACCTGGCCAACATGGTGAAATCCCGTCTCTGCTAAAAATACAAAAATCAGCCAGGCATGGTGGTTCACGCTTGTTAGTCCCAACTACTTGGCTGTCTGAGGCATGAGAATCACTTGAACCTGGGGAGGCTGAGGGTGCAGTGAGCCGAGATTGTGCCACTGCACTCCAGCCTGGGCGTCAGAGCAAGATTCTGTCTCAAAAAAGAAAAAAGACTATGGTAAGCAAGCAGCATGGTAACCAGTACAAAAACAGACCAATCGAACAGAGAACCCAGAAATAATGCCACACACCTACAACCAACTGATCTTTAACAAAGCTGACAATAATGAACAATGGGGAAAGGACACCCTATTCAATAAATGGTGCTGGGTAAACTGGCTAGCCACATGCAGAAGAATAAAATTGACCCCTACTTCTCACCACATACAAAAATTAACTCAAGATGGATTGAAGACTTAAATGTAAAACCTCAAACTACAAAAATCCTAGAAGAAAATCTAGGAAATACTCTTCTAGACATTGGCCTAGACAAAGAATTTACTACTAAGACCTCAATAGCAAATGGAACACAAACAAAAATTGACAAATGGGACTTAAAGAGCTTCTGCATAGCAAAAGAAACACTAAACAGGCTGGGCGTGGTGGCTCATGCCTGTAATCCCAGTACTTTGTGAGGGCTGATCATTTGAGGTCTGGAGTTCAAGGCCAGGCTGGCCAACATGGTCAAACTCCATCTCTACTAAACATATAAAAATTAGCCAGGCATGCTGGTGCACACCTGTAATCCTAGCTACTCAAGAGGCTGAGACAGGAAAATTGTGTGAACACGGGAGGTGGAGATTGCAATGAGCTGAGATTGAGCCACTGCACTCCAGCCTGGGTGACAGAGTGAGACTCTCTTTCACAAAAGAGACAGGAAGACAGAAAGAGAGACAGATAGAGGAAAGACAAGAAAGGAAGGAAGGAAGGGAGGAAGGAAGGAAGGAAGGAAGGAAGGAAGGAAGGAAGGAAGGAAGGAAGGAAGGAAGGAAGGAGAAAAGAAACCAAAAGAAAGAAAGAGAGAATAAACAGAGTAAAGAGACAATCTACAGGATGGGAGAAAATATGTGCAAACTATGCATCTGACAAAGGACTAATATCCAGAATGTATAAAGGACTTAAACAAATCAACAAGAAAAAAAAAACCCCATTAAAAAGTAGGCAAAGGATATCAACAGACACTTCTTGAATGAAGACATACAAGCAGCCAACAAATGGAAGAAAACTCAACATCACCAATCAGAGAAATGCAAATCAAAACCACAATAATTCCCATCTCACACCAGTCAAAATGGCTATTATTAAAAACTCAAAAAACAACAGATGTTGGCAAGGATGCAGAGAAAATGGAATGCTTATATACCGTTGACGGGAATATAAATTTGTTCTACTTCTGTGGAAAACAGTATGGAGATTTCTCAAAGAAGTAAAAATAGACCTTCCATTCAACCCAGCAATCACCCTATACTGGGTATCTAACCAAAGGAAAAGAAATCATTTTATCAAAAAGACACCTGCACTCATATGCTTATTGCAGCACTAGTCACAATAGCAAAGTCACAGAATCAACCTAAGCGTCCATCAATAGTAGACTGAATAAAGAAAATGTGATACATATACATCACGAAATACTACACCACCTAAAAAATGAAATTATGTCCTTCGTAGCAACATAGATGCAGCTGCACGCCATTATCCTAAGTGAATTAACACACTAACAGAAAATCAAATACTGCATGTTCTCACTTAGAAGTGGGAGCTAAACAAAGGGTTCACACAGACATAAAGATGGAAACAGACACCGGGGACCCAAAAGGGAGGGAGGGAGAAGAGCAAAGCTTGAAAAACTATCGGGTACTATGTTCACTATTTGGGTGATGGGTTCAATAGAAGCCCAAACCCCAGCATTATGCAACATAACCATGTAACAAACCTGCACATGTTCCCTCTGAATTTATAATAAAAAATTAAAAAACAAAACAAAAACCTAAGAGATATATATGAATAAAATGTACATATCACATAATAATTTTACTTCTATTTATTAACAGGCTAATATCCTTCATATCAAAAAAAAGAAATTTAGAGTATATTTAAAAATCCAAATTTTAAAAATGAGGCTGACTCTTTAACTCATGAAAGCCTTCAGTTAAAATGATTTTAAAATATTCCCTTTTTACTGAAGTTTAAAATGTGATGCAATTTTCTAAAATGTACTTATGCATAACTTTTAATTGTAAAAAGTAATCCTCAGAGAGCAAACTCATACAATAACGATAAAATGGCTTCAGGTTACACCAAATTATAGCAAAATAGGAAAATGAGAACTTTACATCACGTTCACTATAAAAATTTAGACATAAAATTTCACTTACTTTTTTGAACATAACTAGTGAGATGACTGCTGATGCTGTGAAAAGTGCTGCTATGATTATCATCATGATTCCAACAGGAATATTTTGGTTGAGACCAGTAAGGGATGAAATCCAACCACTAAAAAGTAATAAAAAGTGTAATTAGGCAAAAGTTGATGTAAACTTTTTAAAAATAGCATAATATCTAACACATATTCAACACTTATCAGCCAGGCAATATTCAAGTTCTTTATGTGTATTAGTGCATTTAATTCTCACAACCCACCCAATAGGATAGATGCTGTTTTAAATCCCCATTTGACAAATGAGGAACTGAGACATTCAGTAATCTGCCCGAGGTCACACAGCTTATAAATGGCATAGTCTAAATTCAAAAGCAAACCAAACTCCAGAGTCTCAAGTGTTTAATTCCAGACTGTACATTTTTTAAGCTGTACATTTTTTAAGCTTATGAGTTTTGAATTTATTATTACTCTTTTTTTTGAGACAGAAGCTCGCTCTGTTGCCCAGGCTGCAGTATAGTGGCATGATCTCGGCTCATTGTAATCTCCGCCTCCTGGGTTCAAGCGATTCTCCTACCTCAGCCTCCTGAGTAGCTGGGATTACAGGTGCGTGCCACCACGCCTGGCTACTTTTTGTATCTTTAGTAGAGACGGGGTTTCACCATGTTGGTCAGACTGGTCTCGAACTCCTGACCTCGTGATCCACCTGACTCGGCCTCCCAAACTGGGATTATAGCGTGAGCCACTGCACCTGGCCTATTATTACATTTTTTTAAATGTTTATTTTCAATTCTGCTGAATTATGAAAGAAGATATTTATAAACCATATATCCAACAAAGGATTCACATCTAGAATATACATAACTTTCAAAGCTCAACAGAATACAAAAATTAAGAAAATGGATAAAAGACATGCAGAGACATTTTACTAAGAGGACATAAAGACGACAAATAAGCACATGAAAAGATGTTCAAAACCACAATGAGATATCACTACACACCTATTAGGATGGCTAAAATAAAAAGTAATAACCACTAAATGCTGGTGAGGAAGTGGAGACTAAATTGCTCATAATTGTTGGTGGGAGTGTAAAATAGCACAAGCATTCTAGAGAACAGTTTGTCTGTTTCTTTAGAAAACTAAACATGCGGAGAGGAGCCAAGATGGCCGAATAGGAACAGCTCCGGTCTACAGCTCCCAGCGAGAGCGACGCAGAAGACGGGTGATTTCTGCATTTCCATCTGAGGTACCAGGTTCATCTCACTAGGGAGTGCCAGACAGTGGGCACAGGTCAGTGGGTGCGCGCACCGTGCACAAGCCGAAGCAGGGCGAGGCATTGCCTCACTTGGGAAGCGCAAGAGGTCAGGGAGTTCCCTTTCCGAGTCAAAGAAAGGGGTGACAGACGCACCTGGAAAATCGGGTCACTCCCACCCGAATATTGCGCCTTTCGGACCGGCTTAAAAAATGGCGCACCACGAGATTATATCCTGCACCTGGCTCGGAGGGTCCTACGCCCACGGAGTCTCGCTGATTGCTAGCACAGCAATCTGAGATCAAACTGCAAGGCGGCAGCGAGGCTGGGGGAGGGGCGCCCACCATTGCCCAGGCTTGCTTAGGTAAACAAAGCAGCCGGGAAGCTCGAACTGGGTGGAGCCCACCACAGCTCAAGGAGGACTGCCTGCCTCTGAAGGCTCCACCTCTGGGGGCAGGGCACAGACAAACAAAAAGTCAGCAGTAACCTCTGCAGACTTAAATGTCCCTGTCTGACAGCTTTGAAGAGAGCAGTGGTTCTCCCAGCACGCAGCTGGAGATCTGAGAACGGGCAGACTGCCTCCTCAACTGGGTCCCTGACCCCTGACCCCCGAGCAGCCTAACTGGGAGGCACCCCCCAGCAGGGGCACACTGACACCTTACACGACAGGGTATTCCAACAGACCTGCAGCTGAGGGTCCTGTCTGTTAGAAGGAAAACTAACAAACAGAAAGGACATCCACACCAAAAACCCATCTGTACATCACCATCATCAAAGACCAAAAGTAGATAAAACCACAAAGACGGGGAAAAAACAGAACAGAAAAACTGGAAACTCTAAAACGCAGAGCGCCTCTCCTCTACCAAAGGAACGCAGTTCCTCACCAGCAACGGAACAAAGCTGGATGGAGAATGACTTTGACGAGTTGAGAGAAGAAGGCTTCAGACGATCAAATTACTCTGAGCTACGGGAGGACATTCAAACCAAAGGCAAAGAAGTTGAAAACTTTGAAAAAAATTTAGAAGAATGCATAACTAGAATAACCAATACAGAGAAGTGCTTAAAGGAGCTGATGGAGCTGAAAACCAAGGCTCGAGAACTACGTGAAGAATGCAGAAGCCTCAGGAGCCCATGCGATCAACTGGAAGAAAGGGTATCAGCAATGGAAGATGAAATGAATGAAATGAAGCAAGAAGGGAAGTTTAGAGAAAAAAGAATAAAAAGAAATGAGCAAAGCCTCCAAGAAATATGGGACTATGTGAAAAGACCTAATCTACGTCTGATTGGTGTACCTGAAAGTGATGGGGAGAATGGAACCAAGTTGGAAAACACTCTGCAGGATATTATCCAGGAGAACTTCCCCAATCTAGCAAGGCAGGCCAACGCTCAGATTCAGGAAATACAGAGACCACCACAAAGATACTCCTCAAGAAGAGCAACTCCAAGACACATTATTGTCAGATTCACCAAAGTTGAAATGAAGGAAAAAATGTTAAGGGCAGCCAGAGAGAAAGGTCGGGTTACCCTCAAAGGGAAGCCCATCAGACTAACAGCAGATCTGTCGGCAGAAACCCTACAAGCCAGAAGAGAGTGGGGGCCAATATTCAACATTCTTAAAGAAAAGAATTTTCAACCCAGAATTTCATATCCAGCCAAACTAAACTTCATAAGTGAAGGAGAAATAAAATACTTTACAAACAAGCAAATGCTGAGAGATTTTGTCACCACCAGGCCTGCCCTAAAAGAGTTCCTGAAGGAAACGCTAAACATGGAAAAGAACAACCGGTACCAGCCGCTGCAAAATCATGCCAAAATGTAAAGACCATCGAGACTAGGAAGAAACTGCATCAACTAACGAGCAAAATCACCAGCTAACATCATAATGACAGGATCAAATTCACACATAACAATATTAACTTTAAATGTAAATGGACTAAATGCTCCAATTAAAAGACACAGACTGGCAAATTGGATAAAGAGTCAAGACCCATCAGTGTGCTGTATTCAGGAAACCCATCTCATGTGCAGAGACACACATAGGCTCAAAATAAAAGGATGGAGGAAGATCTACCAAGCAAATGGAAAACAAAAAAAGGCAGGGGTTGCAATCCTACTCTCTGATAAAACAGACTTTAAACCAACAAAGATCAAAAGAGACAAAGAAGGCCATTACATAATGGTAAAGGGATCAATTCAACAAGAAGAGCTAACTATCCTAAATATATATGCACCCAATACAGGAGCACCCAGATTCATAAAGCAAGTCCTGAGTGACCTACAAAGAGACTTAGACTCCCACACATTAATAATGGGAGACTTTAACACCCCACTGTCAACATTAGACAGATCAACAAGACAGAAAGTCAATAAGGATACCCAGGAATTGAACTCAGCTCTGCACCAAGCAGACCTAATAGACATCTACAGAACTCTCCACCCCAAATCAACAGAATATACATTTTTTTCAGCACCACACCACACCTATTCCAAAATTGACCACATACTTGGAAGTAAAGCTCTCCTCAGCAAATGTAAAAGAATAGAAATTATAACAAACTATCTCTCAGACCACAGTGCAATCAAACTAGAACTCAGGATTAAGAATCTCACTCAAAACCACTCAACTACATGGAAACTGAACAACCTGCTCCTGAATGACTACTGGATACATAACGAAATGAAGGCAGAAATAAAGATGTTCTTTGAAACCAATGAGAACAAAGACACAGCATACCAGAATCTCTGGGATGCATTCAAAGCAGTGTGTAGAGGGAAATTTATAGCACTAAATGCCCACAAGAGAAAGCAGGAAAGATCCAAAATTGACACCCTAACATCACAATTAAAAGAACTAGAAAAGCAAGGGCAAACACGTTCAAAAGCTAGCAGAAGGCAAGAAATAACTAAAATCAGAGCAGAACTGAAGGAAATAGAGACACAAAAAACCCTTCAAAAAATTAATGAATCCAGGAGCTGGTTTTTTGAAAGGATCAACAAAATTGATAGACCACTAGCAAGACTAATAAAGAAAAAAAGAGAGAAGAATCAAATAGACACAATAAAAAATGATAAAGGGGATATCACCACTGATCCCACAGAAATACAAACTACCATCAGAGAATACTACAAACACCTCTACGCAAATCAACTAGAAAATCTAGAAGAAATGGATAAATTCCTCGACACATACACTCTCCCAAGACTAAACCAGGAAGAAGTTGAATCTCTGAATAGACCAATAACAGGATCTGAAATTGTGGCAATAATCAATATTTTACCAACCAAAAAGAGTCCAGGACCAGATGGATTCACAGCCGAATTCGATCAGAGGTACAAGGAGGAACTGGTACCATTCCTTCTGAAACTATTCCAATCAATAGAAAAAGAGGGAATCCTCCCTAAGTCATTTTATGAGGCCAGCATCATTCTGATACCAAAGCCTGGCAGAGACACAACCAAAAAAGAGAATTTTAGACCAATATCCTTGATGAACATTGACGCAAAAATCCTCAATAAAATACTGGCAAAACGAATCCAGCAGCACATCAAAAAGCTTATCCACCATGATCAAGTGGGCTTCATCCCTGGGATGCAAGGCTGGTTCAATATATGCAAATCAATAAATGTAATCCAGCATATAAACAGAGCCAAAGACAAAAACCACATGATTATCTCAATAGATGCAGAAAAAGCCTTTGACAAAATTCAACAACACTTCATGCTAAAAACTCTCAATAAATTAGGTATTGATGGGACGTATTTCAAAATAATAAGAGCTATCTATGACAACCCCACAGCCAATATCATACTGAATGGGTAAGAACTGGAAGCATTCCCTTTGAAAACTGGCACAAGACAGGGATGCCCTCTCTCACCACTCCTATTCAACATAGTGTTGGAAGTTCTGGCCAGGGCAATTAGGCAGGAGAAGGAAATAAAGGGCATTCAATTAGGAAAAGAGGAAGTCAAATTGTCCCTGTTTGCAGACGACATGATTGTATATCTAGAAAACCCCACTGTCTCAGCCCAAAATCTCCTTAAGCTGAGAAGCAACTTCAGCAAAGTCTCAGGATACAAAATCAATGTGCAAAAATCACAAGCATTCTTATACACCAATAACAGACAGAGAGCCAAATCATGAGTGAACTCCCATTCACAATTGCTTCAAAGAGAATAAAATACCCAGGAATCCAACTTACAAGGGATGTGAAGGACCTCTTCAAGGAGAACTACAAACCACTGCTCAAGGAAATAAAAGAGGATACAAACAAATGGAAGAACATTCCATGCTCATGGGTAGGAAGAATCAATATCGTGAAAATGGCCATACTGCCCAAGGTAATTTACAGATTCAATGCCATCGCCATAAAGCTACCAATGACTTTCTTCACAGAACTGGAAAAAACTACTTTAAAGTTCATATGGAACCAAAAAAGAGCCCGCATCGCCAAGGCTATCCTAAGCCAAAAGAACAAAGCTGGAGGCATCACACTACCTGACTTCAAACTATACTACAAGGCTACAGTAACCAAAACAGCATGGTACTGGTACCAAAACAGAGATATAGATCAATGGAACAGAACAGAGCCCTCAGAAATAACGCCACACATCTACAACTATCTGATCTTTGACAAACCTGAGAAAAACAAGCAATGGGGAAAGGATTCCCTGTTTAATAAATGGTGCTGGGAAAACTGGCTAGCCATATGTAGAAAGCTGAAACTGGATCCCTTCCTTACACCTTATACAAAAATCAATTCAAGATGGATTAAAGACTTAAACGTTAGACCTAAAACCATAAAAACCCTAGAAGAAAACCTGGGCATTACCATTCAGGACATAGGCATGGGCAAGGACTTCATGTCCAAAACACCAAAAGCAATGGCAACAAAAGCCAAAATTGACAAATGGGATCTAATTAAACTAAAGAGCTTCTGCACAGCAAAAGAAACTACCATCACAGTGAACAGGCAACCTACAAAATGGGAGAAAATTTTCGCAACCTACTCGTCTGACAAAGGGCTAATATCCAGAATCTACAATGAACTCAAACAAATTTACAAGAAAAAAACAAACAACCCCATCAAAAAGTGGGCGAAGGACATGAACAGACACTTCTCAAAAGAAGACATTTATGCAGCCAAAAAACACATGAAAAAATGCTCATCAGTGGCCATCAGAGAAATGCAAATCAAAACCACAATGAGATATCATCTCACACCAGTTAGAATGGCGATCATTAAAAAGTCAGGAAACAACAGGTGCTGGAGAGGATGTGGAGAAATAGGAACACTTTTACACTGTTGGTGGGACTGTAAACTAGTTCAACCATTGTGGAAGTCAGTGTGGCGATTCCTCAGGGATCTAGAACTAGAAATACCATTTGACCCAGCCATCCCATTACTGGTATATACCCAAAGGACTATAAATCATGCTGCTATAAAGACACATGCACACGTATGTTTATTGCAGCATTATTCACAATGGCAAAGACTTGGAACCAACCCAAATGTCCAACAATGATAGACTGGATTAAGAAAATGTGGCACATATACACCATGGAATACTATGCAGCCATAAAAAATGATGAGTTCATGTCCTTTGTAGGGACATGGATGAAATTGGAAATCATCATTCTCAGTAAACTATCGCAAGAACAAAAAACCAAACACCGCATATTCTCACTCATAGGTGGGAATTGAACAATGAGATCACATGGACACAGGAAGGGGAATATCACACTCTGGGGACTGTCGTGGGGTGGGGGGAGGGAGGGGGGAGGGATAGCATTGGGAGATATACCTAATGCTAGATGACGAGTTAGTGGGTGCAGCGCACCAGCATGGCACATGTATACATATGTAACTAACCTGCACAATGTGCACATGTACCCTAAAACTTAAAGTATAATAAAAAAAAAAAGAAAAGAAAACTAAATGTGCAACATCCATATAATCCAATAATTACACTCTTGGGCATTTATCCCAGAGAAATGAAAATTATGTTCACACAAAAATCTATTCACAAATTTCATGGCAGCTTTATTTGTAATAGTCCAAAACTGGACACAATACTGATGCCCTTCAACTGGTGAACAGTTAAATAACCTGTGATACATCCATATCATAGAATACTACTCAAAAATAAAAAGGAGGCCAGACATGGTAGCTCACGCTTGTAATCCCAGTATTATGGAAGGCTGAGGCGGGCAGATCACACGAGGCCAGGACTTCAAGACCTGCCTGGGCAACATGGCGAAATCCTGTCTCTACTAAAAATAGAAAAATTAGCTGGGCTGGGTGGCAGGCGCCTGTAATCCCAGCTACTCGGGAGGCTGAGGCATGAGAATCACTTGAACCGAGGAGGTGGAGGCAGTGAGCTGAGATCATGCCACGGCACTCCAGCCTGGGTGATAGGGCGAGACTCTGTCTCAATCAATCAATCAATCAATCAATCAAATTAGAATAAACTACAGATAAACATAACAACCTGGATAAATCTCCAGAAAATAACACTGAGGGGAAAAAAGCCAAAGGTTGTAGACTATGATTCCACATCTATAACCTTCTTGAAATGACAAAACAACAAAAATGAAGAACACATTAGTGATTGCCAGGGGTTAAGGAGTGGGAAAAGGGGAGTTTTGAGAGTGGCTATGAAAAAGCAACATGAGGAATCCTCTGGTGATGAAAATGTGCTTTATCTTTACTATCAATGTCAAGATCTTGGTATTTATATTTTACTATAGTTCTACAAGATTATTACCATTGGGTGAAACAGGATAAAGGGTACCTGAGATTTCTGTGTTATTTATTATGATTGTATGTGAATCTATGATTACCTAAAAGTAAAAAGTTTAACCTAAAAAATCTGAACTACATGAGGGTCTATCTTAAAACAGGTCAATTCTGTATGCACCCTCATTAGCAGACTCTTTTTACGCTATTTAGTCACATACATGCTGTTATGCTCAATTTTAGCATTTTCCCTATGTCTGTGCTAAAAAGCGAAAGAAATTACCTCACTTTCACGAGAATTAAAAAAACCTCGTGCTGTTAAAGTAAGCAGTATATTTTTAATTAAACATTTAAAACATTTCCTTTCCCTAAAATACCAAAAACTAGACACTATTTAAAATAATAATAAAAACTACTTTATCTGAGAACTGATTTTAAATATCTATATAAATTTTCTGCATGTATTTATGCCCATTAGGAGCTCTGCAGAACTGCCAGGAGTTGTCTGCCAATCACTTCTCCACTTCAGTAGCAGAATACTAAATGTAAGTCCTCAACACATTCTAATTAAATGCTAATTTCAATTTTGGTTTAATGTACACAGTGGAACAAAGTTGCATCACACATTCTTCTGACATGTAAGAATACAGCTGAATGCAAGTCAGTATAAAAGAAAGAAGAGAGGAACAGATAATTTTAGAGATGTGTACTCTTCCACCCACCATTTCACTCAAGGAATGTTTGCATCAGAATGTAAAGAGAGACCTAAATCTGCTATTACCTCCTAGCCTGGGTCCAGATAGTCTCCATTTCTGAGGTCCCCCACTGAATGAGCCATGAGAATGATTCGATTGTTTAAAGATATATGTATATAACGTGTGTGCAGTTATTCTACCTTTCAAAGACAAGTGTCCATGTATATTCGTATATAAAAATATATCTGTTTGTATACCTAAAATAGGGCTTTATACATAATAGGTATCCCTTTTCCTTAGAATCCCTGAAGCTCTTTCCTGTCCCTTCCACATTCCTTGGTCCCTCTATCTCTCTGACCACCTCAGTCTCTTTTGCAGTCTTCCTCTTAGCGCCCTTACATACATGTTTTATTTAAACTAGAAAAAATGTGCTGTTTTTATAGATGGGAACATAATCTTCAAAGACACAGGTTTGTCCAAAGTTTATGCCTTATGACATTTTAAAATTGTATTTTTAAAACAATTTTTGCTTTTTATTTAATTTTTCTAATCTGGTTTATCTGTGTTAACTAGATTAGGAAGCCAAAAATTATATTACAATATTAGATTAAAGCTGAAAACTAGTAAAAAAAAAAACTTACCAATTGCCCCAGTTATGAAATCCTGCAGCTTGGAGTACATGTACAGCAAACTGACAAATATAGACGAAGAAGAATACAAAGAATCTAAATGAACTGTCACTCCTTTGAAAAAAAAAAAGAAAGAAAGAAAAAAGGGGGTTAGGGGGAGAGAAAGAAGGGGAAAAACGTCATTTTTCTCATTATCTTTACATTTACCTGCAGAATGACATTCAAACCTTAAAAGCACAAACAAAAAAAAGTGGCAACCACCTGAGGCCTCAAGTTAACAACATTGTAATAACTTATGTGAACTCGTCATGCTAACACTAGATATCGTTATTCTAACCTCACAAGGACAAACTTTCAATTTCCAACTGCACCACAATCCCTCTTGACAAAAAAACTTACTCGTTTTCTTCTTTTATTAAACAGCATCATAGAATTACAATCAACACACAATGAATTGCAAATATTTAAAATATCGCTTTAATAATTTTTGACATATTTATATACTTGATTCCCCAATCACTATGATGAGCATATCCCCAAAGTTTCCTTGAGCCCCTTGGTAGCCCCACCCTACCCACTGTTTTTCTGTTACCATAGTTTGACTATTTTATAGAATTTTATATAAATGGGATCATATATTATGTAGTCTTTTTTCCTTGTCTGGCTTATTTTACTCAGCACAGCTATTCTGAGATTCACCCAGTTTTGTGGCATGTATCAAAAGTTCATTCCTTTTCATTGCTGAGTAGTATTCCACTGTGTAAATATACCACAGTTTATTCATTCACTGTTGGGACAGTTAGGTTGTTTCTAGTTTTTTATTATTATAAATAAAGTTATTATTGTTATTATTCATAATAAAGCTATTATTAATAGTCATGTACAAGTCTTCCCATGAACATATATTTCCTTTTTCTCTTAGGTAAATACCTACAAGTGGGAAGGCTGGAACATATCATAGGTATACGTTTAACTTTTTAAGAAACTGCCAAACTGTTTTACAAACAGGTTGTTCTATTTTTATTTACATTTTCTTTTTTTTTTTTGAGACGGAGTTTTGCTCTTCTTGCCCAAGTTGGAGTGCAATGGCGCAATCTTGGCTCACCACAACCTCTGCCTCCCAGGTTCAAGCGATTCTCCTGTCTCAGCCTCCCGAGTAGTTGGGATTACAGGCATGGGCCACCATGCCCAGCTAATTTTGCATTTTTAGTAGAGAGGGGGTTTCTCCACGTTGGTCAGGTTGGTCTCGAACTCCCAACCTCAGGTGATCTGCCCGCCTCGGCCTCCCAAAGTGCTGGGATTACAGGCATGAGCCACTGTGCCCAGCCTGGTTGTTCTACTTTTCATCCCCACTGGCAGTACATGAGTATTCCAGCTCCTCCACATCTCATTAACACTTGTTACAGTCTTTTTAATTCTAGCTATTGTAATAGCTGTACAGTAATATCTTACATGGTTTTAATTTGCATCTTCCTAATAAGTAATGTTGTTGAGCATCTTTTTATGTGCTTTTTGTCATATATAGATCTTCTTTCATGAACTAATTAAAATATTTTTCTGATGTTGTAATTAGATTGCTTTTTCCTTTATCGTTGAGTTGTGAGAGTTTTTAAAACTATATTCTAGAAATACAAGTCCTCTTTCAGATATATCCTTGACAAAGATTTTCCCTCCGTCTGTTGCTTGTCTTTTCATTCTCTTAAGAGTGTCTTTTGGGAGCTGGTGTAATGGTTCACACCTGTAATCTCAGCTATTTAGACATTGAGGCAAGAGGACTGCTTGAGGCTAGGAGTTTGACATGAGCCTGGGCAACATGGTGACACACCCATCTTTATTTTAAAAAAAAACAAAAAAAAACAAAAGGGAAGAGGAAGAGGAGGAGGAGGAGAAGGAGGAAGAAGAAGAGGAGGAAGAAGAGGAAGAAGTAGTAGTAGCAGTAGTGGAGTAGGGGGAAGGGGGAGGGGGAAAGGAGGAGGGAGGGGGAGGGGGAGAGGAGGGGGAACGGGGAGAAGGGGAGGAGGGGGAAGGAGAGGGGAGGAGGAGAGGAGGGAGGAGGAGAGGACGGGGGAGGAGGGGAGGAGAGGGAGGACAGGGAAAGAGGGGGAAGGAGGGAGGAAGGGGGAAGGAGGCAGGAGGGAGAAGAGGGAGGAGGGAGAAGGGGGAGGAAGGGGTAGGGGAAGGGGGGCAGGGGAGGAGGGAGGGGAAAGAAGGGAGGGGAGGGAGAGGGGGAGGAGGGAGGAGGAAGAAGAAGAAGAAAGTTTCTTTTGAAAAGGAGTTTTGCCTTTTTACGAACTCCAGTGTATTCACGCTTGTTCTTTTATATATCTTGATTTTACTGTTGTTTCTGAGAAATCTGCCAAAGCCAAGAATGCAAAGATTTTTTTTTTCCTGTTTTTTTCTAGGAGTTTTCTATTTTCAGTTTTACATTCAAGTCTATGTTCTTTTTTGAGTTAATTTTTTAAAATATCATATCAAGTATGAAGTTCTTTTTTGCATATGGTTATCCAATTGTTCTAGCAGCATTTCTTAAAAAGACTGTCCTTTCTGCATTACGTTCCCTTTGTACCTTTCTCAAAATTAGTAGTCTGTCTATGGCTGGGTTTATTTCTGGGCTTGCCATTCTCTCCCACTCTTCTATTTGTCTACCTTTTTGTCAATATTATACTATTTTGAAGTTTTCTAGTAAGTCTTCAAATTAGGTGGTGTTAGTCCATCAACTTTATTGTTCTTTTTCAAAGTTGTCTTGACTATTTTAAGGTTTTTACATTTCTACAACCAGTATAAAACATGGCAATGAGTTAACATGAATACATTAAAGCAGTGGTCCCCAACCTTTTTGGCACCAGGGACCTGTTTCGTGGAAGACAATTTTTCTACGTATGGTGGGGTGGGATGGTTTCAGGATCAAACTATCTCAGATCATCAGGTATTAGATTCTCATAAGGAGCATGCAACCTAGATCCTTTGCACACGCAGTTCACAATAGGGTTTGTGCTCCTATGAGAATCTAATGCCACTGTTGATGTGACAGGAGGCAGAGCTCAGGTGGTAATGCTCGCTAGCTGGTGCTCACTTCCTGCTGTGTGGCCCAGTTTCTAACAGGTCACTGGCCAGTACAAGCCCACAGCCCAGGGGTTGGAGACCCCTACTCTAGAATCAGCCATTTCCCCTGAGTCACAAAAGAGCAAATTTTAATGGTTCATTAATAATGTTTTCTATGTCAGTCAGATTTAAACTAAATGGTTCCACATCTTATTGCAGCAGTACTATATTACACCAAAGCTGGTATTAATGACCATACAGCTGAGAAAAAATTATTAATGAAAAATAACCAATATCAAAATCTACAATATAAAATGCTATTTTTATAATACTGAATAGAAATCCTATGTATGACTCATATCTCCAGGGATACTATAGAACACATCACTTTTAATACTAATTTTTCTTTTACTATTTTGAAACAGACACTTCTAAAGTATATTTCTATTTCCCTGTCCCTCTGGCAAAGAATGAAGAATATAACTTAATATTATATTTTTTTCACTTAGAGTTTTTACTATTTTGTGTGCCAAGAAACCAGACTATTAAAATATTTTACATTATAAATATATAAAGTATGTGCTCTAAAAAGGGGCTGAATAATGTCTACAGCCTTCACAACAGCTATGTCCATTACCTTGTTCCAAATTCTTAGACACATTCTAGAAGCTGAAACTGCCTAACTGTAATTTCTAGTTAAGAAATCTATTAGAAGATACTGAATATGTTTTAAAAATTAAGAAGTCCTACTCAAAAACTATTTCTAAAATATTGCTTTCAAATACAAATGGAGGTATGTTAAAACTAGTCCACCTTCCTCTTTCTGTATGTACAGTTAGTACACACAAATGCACAGTTAGTGTACAAAACTGATCAAATGAAAACCTCAAAGTTTACTTTTGTCTAGTTTTATTTTAAATAAAGCTAAATAAAAGATATTAAGCAGGTTAAATATCATTCTCAAAGATTGTATTTATTTCATTTTACCAACTTTTCTATTTCTGAATAAGGAGACAATAAAATTCATTTCATTGCACACTGACCGTTAATACGAATAATTATTTTAAAACACTTCAAAGTTCTCTAAGACATAAACTCCATATCCCAGCACTTACTTAACTACCTAGACTCTTATCTCCAAGAGAGCACAAATCTTCCTTTACCTGAGCTGTCCAAATTACTGCAAATGCAAAATCAGTCAAATTCAAAACAAAATGAAGCAATACAATCATCACGTGAATATCAAGTTCCTTTCAGATGCTTGAGGGAAGGGCAAGGAAAAGCTGAGGAGCTCTGGAATAGCCAGAAGACACCCAGGAGAGCTGTACCTTAGCCAGAATCAGAAAAGGTCCAGGAAAAAAAAAAATACATCATCAGGGGAAGAAGAACTTCTATTGGCATTCAGAAGGTGGGTCTTGCGTGCAGGAAGAGACCAGAAAGCAGACTGTTTAAATCAGCTTGAACATAGCCATTTTAAACCAAAGAACAGAAATATAGATTTAAAAATAAAAACACTATACATTGATTTAACCTATGTGAATTAAATTGTAATCTGCCTCAGTTTACGATAAAGTATTTACGGTATCATGGATATTTATTCATAATAAATCCACCTAAGTAATGTATTTTCTCATCAGAACACATAAATAAAAGCTCTCTACTACTTGCCATCCTGGCTCTTTCAGATCAAAGCCTACTGGAAAACTGAATTTCAAATAAGCAAGTAGTTTTTGGTTTAATGTCTTCCACAGTCAAGCTGCAGCACAATTTTAATAGAAAAGTTCTTCCCTGAAGTATGATAATAAATCTCAGAAAATAAGCTTATTTGATCTTGTAAAGTTTATTTCACATGCCAAATCAATACCAGAGATATTAATTACAACTACCATTTGCTGGGATGGGAAAAGACAAAGTATTTCATTATTTCAAGGGCTAAGATGGGGGGACACAAGTTAACTAAAGCACACCACTAAATGTATTTAACTCTGGCAACTCAACATAGCAGATAAGAGAACATGAATTTACAGATTTGGGTTTGAATCCAGACTCTCCCACTTAAAGTTGTGTAACTTTGGGCAAAGTATTAAGCCTGAGATTTTCCATTTGCAAAATGGGGGTAACAGTGGAACATGCTTTTATATAAATAAAATACTGCAGGTAAAGTGCTTAGCTGGGAATGCATAGGCACACAGAAAGCAACTGATAAACATTACTTGTTGATACCTGTATTACACTCATGTAATACTGTATCAAAATAAACTGTTTTGCTCACAGAAGTAATGTCCTGCTCACAGAAGTGGCATTAGGCTATTGATAAGATACTGAAAATTTCTGGAACATGGTTGCTAACAATCAAGACTACTAGAATCAAGTAATACAAGAAATTATTGATGGTGTACAGGCATTAGAATAAAAAGAAACTGATAGAATTTGGCTGTGTCCCCACTCAAATCTCATCTTGAATTGTAGCTTCCAGAATCCTCACATGTCATGGGAGGGACCTGGTGGCAAGTAACTGAATCATGGGGGCAGGTTTTCCTGTGCTGTTCTCATGAAAGTGAGTAAGTCTCACAAGACTGCATGGTTTTATAAAGGGCAGTTCCCCTGCACACACTCTCTTGCCTGCCACCATGTAAGACATACCTTTGCTCCTCCTTCCCCTTCTGCCATGATTGTGAGGCCTCCCCAGCCATGTGGAACTGTGAGTCCATTAAA
Source organism: Homo sapiens (assembly GCF_000001405.40). NCBI lineage: Eukaryota > Metazoa > Chordata > Mammalia > Primates > Hominidae > Homo > Homo sapiens. Next base: position 78,444,289 of record NC_000005.10, on the reverse strand, counting down.
CATCTTTTTCTTTATAAATTAACCAGTCTTGAGCATTTCTTCATAGCAATATGAAAATGGACTAACACAGAAACCTAAGAAGTACAGGTGCTTTTCTTGTCTTATTTGGGGGCTCCAAAACTGTCTAAACCAGCCCCATATTCCCTCTTTAGTAACTTTATGCTGAAATGAATTCTTTCTCCAGAATAGGGAGTCTATTAGTAGGCTTGAAAGGCAGCACTATGAACTGCCCCTTACCACAACAGTGCAAAAAAAATTTGCATATGTGTTTTTTTGGAAGAAGATTCGAAAATTCTAAATTTATAATAGAGTCTATCTCTTAAAATCTATTAAGAGCTGGGCACAATGGTTGACGCTTGTAATCCTAGAACTTTAGGAGCCAAGGTGGGAGGTTCGCTTGAGCTCAGGAGTTCAAGACCAGCGTGGGGCAATACAGTAAGACCTCATCTCTATTAAAAATAAGAAAAATTAGGTGTAGTGGCACATGCCTGTAGTCCTGCCTATTTGGGAGGCTGAGGCAGGAGGATCATTTGAGCCTGGAAAATAAAGCAGCAATGAACAATGGTTGTGCTACTGTATTCCAGCCTGGGTGACAGAATGAGATCCTATCTCAAAAAAAAAAAAAAAAAAAAAAAAGCAAAACCACTCACTAGTCTGGCTAAAAAAGCACAGGACTGGAATGAAAGAGACTCTGAACTCTCTTCTTCCCACCTATGCTTTGTCAAAAGCACAGGGGTCAATGAAAAAGCTCACATTACATGAAGTTTTAAACCTGAACAATATCAAACCTAGACCACAACCTTGGTGCAAACTCTGAATCCTCTATACTTAACAGACTTAATAATAGCTAATATTTTTTGAACATTATTTGCCAAGCACTATGTCAAACACATGTATTGCCCATTCAAACCTTACAACACCCACGTGAGGCACACTAATATTGACTCCATTTTACGGATAAGCAAACAGATTTAGAGAGGTCAAATAATCCAAATACATAGCTGGTAACAGAAATGCTGCTACTTATCTGTGCATCTATTAAGGTAAAATTCTTTTTTTTTTTTTTTTTTTTTTTTTGAGACAGAGTCTAGCTCTGTTGCCCAGGCTGGAGTGCAGTGGTACGATCTCAGCTCACTGCAAGCTCTGCCTCCAGGGTTCATGCCATTCTCCTGCCTCAGCCTCACGCATAGCTGGGACTACAGGCACCCACCACCACACCCAGCTAATATTTTTGTTTTTGTATTTTTAGTAAAGACAGGGATTCACCGTGTTAGCCAAGATGGTCTCGAACTCCTGACCTCATGATCCGGCTGCCTTGGCCTCCCAAAGTGCTGGGATTACAGGCATGAGCCATGGCACCCAGCCTTAAGCTAAAATTCTTAACCAAGTGATAAAACTACCTCTAAGATAATATTTCAATTCCATCATCTCCAAGAAATTTAATTATCAAGGAATAGAACACCACTAGCTAAAGTATAATAACCCCAAATGCTCAATGCAGTGTTTCTTATATATAGGAGAATATAACAACTAAAATCTCACATTTGAATTGATACTCAATGTAGAAAGCTTAAACAGACAAAATCAGCCAGTAGATAACCATTTTCAAATTACCTTTGAACAAAAAAATTAAATAAAAGGAAAACGGAAATCAACATTGATTAGGTCCTAGGTCACAAATGGACTGTTTCCAAGCTATTACATAGGCTATGCTCTTATAAAACAAAACTCAGCCGGGCGCGGTGGCTCACACCTGTAATCCCAGCACTTTGTGAGGCAGAGGGAGGCAGATCACCTGAGGTCAGGAGTTCGAGACCAGCCTGGCCAACATGGTGAAACTCTGTCTCTACTAAAAATACAAAAATTAACCAGGCATGGTTGTGGACACCTACTCAGGAGGCTGAGACAGGAGAACTGCTTGAACCCAGGAGGCTGAGGTTGCAGTGAGCAGAGATAGAGCCACGGCACCCTAGCTTGGGCAACAGAGAAAGACTCTGTCTCAAAACAAACAAACAAACAAAAAACTCAAACATTTTTCTGCAAATAAGCCTCCATGATACCTATCTGAACAGAGAATACTAAACAGTACAAGTTTGAGTTTTCAAACATCTAGAATACCACATCATGAAACTATTTATCATGCTTTTTTCCTTCTTTTTTTGAGACAAGGTCTTACTATGTCACCCAGTCTAGAGTGCAGCAGCATGATCACAGCTCACTGCAGCCTCAACCTCTTGGGCTCAATCAATCCTCCCACCTCAGCCTCCCGAGTAGCTGGGACTACAGGCACATGCCATGACAACCGACTAATATTTGTACTTTTTGTAGAGATCAGGTTTCACCATGTTGCCCAGCCTGGTCTCGAGCACCAAGCTCAAGCAATCCTCTCCTCTTGGCCTCCCAAAATGCTGGGATTATACACATGAGCCACCACACCCAGTCACCTTTTTGCTTTGAGACAGAGCCTCACTCTGTTGCCCAGGCTGGAGTGCAGTGGCTCAATCTTGGCTCACTGATCTTGGCTCACTCCGCCTCCCAGGTTCAGGCAATTCTCTTGCCTCAGCCTCCCAAACAGCTGGCATTACAGGCACGTGCCACCATGCCTGGCTAATTTTTGTTTTGTTTTGTTTGTAATTTTAGTAGAGACGGGGTTTTGCCACATTGGTCAGGCTGGATTCAAACTCCTGACATCAGGTAATCCGCCTGCCTCGGCCTCCCAAAGTGCTGGGATTACAGGCATGGGCCAGCGTGCCCTGACCCAGCCAGCTTTTTACTAATACCACTTGAAAAGTTTAATATTAATTCTCTTGATGGTCCTATCACTCTTACACTTGAAATTTCCTAACTATTTTAATCATATACTTTGAAACATCATTTTCCCCCCTAAACTCTTCAATAAAGTGTTAACATAACTTCAAACCCTAAATCAACTATCAAAACTTTATAGTGATCCGTTTGAAGACGGCCAAATAGGAACAGCTCTGGTCTGCAGCTCCCAGCATGATCGACACAAAAGACAGATGATTTCTGCATTTCCAACTGATGTACCTGGTTCATCTCACTGGGACTGGTTGGACAGTGGGTGCCACCCACGGAGGGTGAGCCGAAGCAGGGCAGGGTGTCACCTCACCTGGGAAGTGAAAGGGGTCAGGGAATTCCCTTTCCTAGCCAAGGGAAGCCATGAAAGATGGTACCTGGAAAATCGGGACACTTCCACCCTAACACTGTGCTTTTCCAATGGTCTTAGCAAACGGCACACCAGGAGATTATATCCTGTGCCTGGCTCGGAGGGTCCCACGCCCACAGAGCCTTGCTCACTACTAGCACAGCAGTCTGAGATCGAACTGCAAGGTGGCAGCAAGGCTGGGAGAGGGGCGTCCACCACTGCTGAGGCTTGAGTAGGTAAAGAAAGCTGCTGGGAAGCTCGAACTGGGTGGAGCCCACCACAACTCAAGGAGGCCTGCCTGCCTCCGTAGACTCCACCTCTGGGGGCAGGGCATAGCTGAACAAAAGGCAGCAGAAACTTCTGCAGACTTCAATGTCCCTGTCTGACAGCTTTGAAGAGAGTAGTGGTTGTCCTAGCATGGAGTTTGAGATCTGAGGACGGACGGACTGCCTCCTCAAGTGGGTCCCTGACCCCAGAGTAGCCTAACTGGGAGGCACCTCCCAGTAGGGGCCAACAGACACCTCATACGGCCAGGTGCACCTCTGAGACGAAGCTTCCAGAGGAAGGATCAGGCAGCAACATTAGCCGTTCTGCAATATTTGATGTTCTGCAGCCTCCGCTGGTGATACCAAGGCAAACAGTCTGGAGTGGACCTCCAGCAAACTCCAACAGACCTGCAGCTGACAGTCCTGACTGTTAAAAGGAAAACTAACAAACAGAAAGGACATCCACAACAAAATCCCATCTATACATCACCATCATCAAAGACCAAAGGTAGATAAAACCACAAAGATGGGGAGAAACCAAAGCAGAAAAGCTGAAAATTCTAAAAATCAGAGCGCCCCTTCTCCTGAAAAGGAACACAGCTCCTCACCAGCAAGGGAACAAAGCTGAACGGAGAATGACTTTGACGAGTTGAGAGAAGAAGGCTTCAGACGATCCGTAATAACAAACTTCTCCGAGCTAAAGGAGGATGTTCAAACCCATCACGAAGCTAAAAACCTTGAAAAAGGATTAGACGAATGGCTAACTAGAATAAACAGCATAGAGAAGACCTTAAAAGGACCTGATGGAGCTGAAAACCACGGCACGAGAACTATGTGATTCATGCAAAAGCTTCAGTAGCCAATTCGATCAAGTGGAAGAAAGGGTATCAGTGATTGAAGATCAAATGAATGAAATGAAGTGTTGGAGAAAAAAGAGTAAAAAGAAATCAACAAAGCCTCCAAGAAACATGGGACTATGTGAAAAGACCAAATCTATGTCTCATTGGTGTACCTGAAAGTGACGGGGAAAATGGAACCAAGTTGTATAACACTCTAAAGGATATTATCCAGGAAAACTTCCCCAACCTACCAAGGCAGGTCAACATTCAAATTCATGAAATACAGAGAACGCCACACAGATACTACCTGAGAAGAGCAACTCCAAGACACATTATTGTCAGATTCACCAAGGCTGAAATGAAGGAAAAAATGTAAAGGGCAGCCAGAGAGAAAGGTCAGGTTACTCACAAAGGTAAGCCCATCAGACTAACAGCAGATCTCTCGGCAAAAACCCTACAAGCCAGAAGAGAGTAGGGGCCAATATTCAATATTCTTAAAGAAAACAATTTTCAACCCAGAATTTCATATCCAGCCAAACTAAGCTTCATAAGTGAAGGAGAAATAAAATACTTTACAGACAAGCAAATGCTGAGAGATTTTGTCATCACTAGGCCTGCCTTACAAGAGCTCCTGAAGGAAGCACTAAACATGGAAAAAAACAACCAGTACCAGCCACTGCAAAAACATGCCAAATTGTAAAGGCCATCGATGCTAGGAAGAAACTGCATCAATTAACAGGCAAAATAACCAGCGAACATCATAATGACAGGATCAAATTCACACATAACAATATTAACCCTAAATGTAAATGGGCTAAATGCCCCAGTTGAAAGACACAGACTGGCAAATTGGATAAAGATTCAAAACCCATCAGGGTGCTGTATTCAGGAGACCCATCTCACCTGCAGAGACACACATAGGCTCAAAATAAAGGGATGGAGGAAGATCTACCAAGCAAATGGAAAGCAAAAAGAAGCAGGGGTTGCAATCCTAGTCTCTGATAAAATAGACTTCAGATCAACAAAGATCAAAAGAGAGAAAGAAGGCTGTTACATAATGGTAAACAGATCAATTCAACAAGAAGAGCTAACTATCCTAAATATATATGCACTCAATCCAGGAGCACCCAGATTCATAAAGCAAGTCCTTAGAGACCTACAAAGAGACTTAGACTCCCACACAATAATAATGGGAGACTTTAACACCCCACTGTCAACATTAGACAGATCAACAAGACAGAAGGTTAACAAGGATATCCAGGACTTGAACTCAGCTCTGCACCAAGCGGACCTGATAGACACCTACAGAACTGTCCACCCAAAATCAACAGAATATACATTCTTCTCAGCACTACATTGCACATATTCTAAAATTGACCACAGAATTGGAAGTAAAGCACTCCTCAGCAAATGTAAAAGAACAGAAATCACAACAAACTGTCTCTCAGACCACAATGCAATCAAACTGGAACTCAGGATTAAGAATCTCACTCAAAACCGCTCAACTACATGGAAACTGAACAACCTGCTCCTGAATGACTATGGGGTAAAAAACGAAATGAAGGCAGAAATAAAAATGTTCTTTGAAACCAATGAGAACAAAGACACAACGTACCAGAATCCCTAGGACACATTTAAAGCAGTGTGTAGAGGGAAATTTATAGCGCTAAATGCTCACAAGAGAAAGCAGGAAAGATCTAAAATAGACACCCTATCACCACAATTAAAAGAACTAGAGAAGCAAGAGCAAACACATTCAAAAGCTAGCAGAAAGCAAGAAATAACTAAGATCAGAGCAGAACTGAAGGAGATAGAGACATAAAAAACCCTTCAAAAAATCAATGAATCCAGGAGCTGGTTTTTTGAAAAGATCTACAAAATTGACAGACTGCTAGCAAGACTGATAAAGAAGAAAAGAGAGAAGAATCAAATAGATGCAATAAAAAATGATAAAGGGGTATCACCACCGATCCTACAGACATACAAACTACCATCAGAGAATACTATGAACACCTCTACACAAATAAACTGGAAAATCTAGAAAAAACAGATAAATTACTGGATACATACACCCTCCCAAGACTAAACCAGGAAGAAGTTCAATCTCTGAATAGACCAATAACAGGCTCTGAAATTGAGGCAATAATTAATAGCCTACCAACCAAATAAAGTCCAGGACCAGACGGATTCACAGCCGAATTCTATCAGAGGTACAAAGAGGAGCTGGTACCATTCCTTCTGAAACTATTCCAAACAATAGAAAAACAGGAAATCCTCCCTAACTCATTTTATGAGGCCAGCATCATCCTGACACCAAAGCCTGGCAGAGATACACACAAAAAAAGAGAATTTTAGACCAATATCCCTGATGAACATCGATGCAAAAATCCTCAGTAACATACTGACAAACTGAATCCAGCAGCACATCAAAAAGCTTATCCACCATGATCAAGTGGGCTTCATCCCTGGGATGCAAGGCTGGTTCAACATGCGCAAATCAATAAACATAATCCATCACATAAACAGAACCAAAGACAAAAACCACATGATTATCTCAATAGATGCAGAAAAGGCCTTTGACAAAATTCAACAGCGCTTCACGCTAAAAACTCTCAATAAACTAGGTATTGATGGGACATATCTCAAAATAATAAAAGCTATTTATGACAAACCCACAGCCAATATCATACTGAATGGACAAAAACTGGAAGCATTCCCTTTGAAAACCGGCACAAGACAAGGATGCCCTCTCTCACCACTCCTATTCAACATAGTGTTGGAAGTTCTGGCCAGGGCAATCAGGCAAGAGAAAGAAATAACGGGTATTCAATTAGGAAAAGAGGAAGTCAAATTTTGCAGATGACATGATTGTATATTTAGAAAACCCCATCATCTCAGCCCAAAATCTCCTTAAGCTGATAAGCAACTTCAGCAAAGTCTCAGGATACAAAATCAATGTGCAAAAATCACAAGCATTCCTATACACCAATAACAAACAGAGAGCCAAATTGTGAGTGAACTCCCATTCACAACTGCTACAAAGAGAATAAAATACCTAGGAATCCAACTTACAAGGGATGTGAAGGACCCCTTCAAGGAGAACTACAAACCACTGCTCAACGAAATAAAAGAGGGCACAAACAAATGGAAGAATATTCCATGCCCATGTATAGGAAGAATCAATATCGTGAAAATGGCCATACTGCCCAAGGTAATTTATACATTCAATGCCATCCCCATCAAGCTACCAGTGACTTTCTTCACAGAATTGGAAAAAAACTACGGTAAAGTTCATATGGAACCAAAAAAGAGCCTGCATTGCCAAGACAATCCTAAGCAAAAAGAACAAAGCTGGAGGCATCACACTACCTGAGTTCAAACTATACTACAAGGCTACAGTAACCAAACAGCATGGTACTGATACCAAAAGAGATATTTAGACCAATGGAACAGAACAGAGGCCTCAGAAATAACACCACACATATCCAACCATCTGATCTTTGACAAACCTGACAAAAACAAGAAATGGGGAAAGGATTCCCTATTTAATAAATGGTGCTGGGAAAACTGGCTAGCCAGATGTAGAAAGCTGAAACCGGATCCCTTCCTTATACCTTATACAAAAATTAATTCAAGATGGATTAAAGACTTAAATGTTAGACCTAAAATTATAAAAACCCTAGAAGAAAACCTAGGCAATACCATTCAGGACATAGGCATGGGCAAGGATTTCATGACTAAAACACCAAAAGCAGTAGCAACAAAAGCCAAAATAGACAAATGGGATCTAATTAAACTAAAGAGCTTCTGCATGGCAAAAGAAACTACCATCGGAGTCACCAGGCAACTTACAGAATGGGAGAAAATTTTTGCAATTTACCCATCTGACAAAGGGCTAATATCCAGAATCTACAAAAGTCTCAAAACAAATTTACAAGGAAAAAACAACCCCATCAAAAAGTGGGCAAAGGATATGGACAGACACTTTTCAAAAGAAGACATTTATGCAGCCAAAAGATACATGAAAAAATGCTCATCATCACTGGTCATCAGAGAAATGCAAATCAAAACCACAATGAGATACCATCTCACGCCAGTTAGAATGGCAATCATTCAAAAGTCAGGAAACAACAGATGCTGGAGAGGATGTGGAGAAATAAGAAAGCTTTTACACTGTTGATGGGAATGTAAATTAGTTCAACCATTGTGGAAGACAGTGTGGCAATTCCTCAAGGATCTAGAAGTAGAAATACCATTTGACCCAGCCATCCCATTACTGGCTATATACCCAAAGGATTACAAATCATGCTACTATAAAGACACAAGCACACGTATGTTTACTCCGGCACTATTCACAATAGCAAAGACTTGGAACAAACCCAAATGTCCATCAATGATAGACTAGATTAAGAAAATGTGGCACATATACACCATGGAATACTATGCAGCCATAAAAGAGGATGAGTTCATGTCCTTTGCGGGGACATGGATGAAGCTGGAAACTATCATTCTGAGCAAACTATCGCAAGGACAGAAAACCAAACACTGCATGTTCTCACTCATAGGTGGGAACTGAACAATGAGAACCCTTGGACGCAGGGCGGGGAACATCACACAATGAGGGGTTGGGGGCTGGAGGAGGGATAGCATTAGGAGAAATACCTAATGTAAATGATGAGTTGATGGGTGCAGCAAACCAACATGGCACATGTATACTTATGTATCAAACCTGCACGTTGTGCACTTGTACCCTAGAACTTAAAGTATAATAAAAAATTAAAAAAAACCTTCATATTGTAGGTCATGTTAATAAGCCTGCAGGCTGTAATCCTCTGTAAGAAATAAAGCTCTCCTTTTCTATATTTATAGATCTCATGATTTAAGTCAACACTATATATAACTTATATTTACATATGTATGAAATAAGTAAACATGTTTCATCCTGCTCTGTTCTACCTCTAAACTACTCTTAGATACACCATACATGTTTCTGACATACCTACTGTTGCTGTTCTAGAATAATGCTACCATTTATCCATATTTCCTTTTAAAAATCAGATGTGTACAAAATATCCAGCTAATAGAATACACACAGAATCCAGAATCCAGAAATGATTCATCAAAAAGTATTTTTAAAAAGGTAATCTCATTCCTCTTATGTTATTTTTATACTTATTATAAACCTCAAATACTGTAACAGTAACAGGGATTTTCAAACTGGAAGCTAACACTTCCTTCTGCATCACAGTTTTTCAGAAGGAGATATCTGACAGTAGTGATTTACTCTGAAGTGCAAATGATGCCATATAGCACAAGAGGATTATCTTCACAAACAGGTTTACCTTTAAAAAGAAAACTCATAGATGTAAAAACAAAATGTTAAAAAATTTTTTAAAAACCTTATAGATTGTAAAAAGAAAAACTAAAGTGCTTTTAAAACTTCTGAAGAAGGAGGAGGAAAAGGAAGGAAGAAAGAAGGAAGGAAGGGAGGAGAGGGAGGAGGAAGAGGAGGACCACCAAGTAAATGTATCTGTGTCTAAGAAGGAACTTTCCTATATCTCTCAGATGTAGTAGGGGAAGGCTTCAGCTTAGGACGTAGAAAAGTGGAAAAGACCACTGTTTCTAACTCTCATAACAAACATTCATTTGCAAAATCACAGCTTAACACCCATCAAAGGGCAAACAACCCCAAAAATAACTCAAAGAGAGATAAAAGACTAGCACTTGTTTACCTGGAACAGACAAGCAAAAAGGAATTCAGCTAAAGCTTGTGATGCATTGCTCTAAGATGAAAGGTTGGTTAGAGAGAGTACAGAACCCCCAGGAGCCAAAGCTACATGGGTATCATCACTCACTCACAGGCTCTTCTCCACAGATCTCACCAGGTGCTCAGAAGAAAGACAGGAGGCTGGCCTCATTCAGGGTACAGGTCTTGGGGAGGCAAAGAGCAGCCACCAAAACTCCCCTTTAACTCTTCCAAACAAAAGCTTTATGTGGGAGGTAAAATGGGATAGCAAAGCCCATTTTCCTCAGGGCACAGCTAAAGACCCACTGCAGCTGGGGAAAGGGCACAGGAAAAAAAATCCTCTAACCCTGGAGGTGGGACAGGAATATATCTATTACAGAGACCTTAGAGATGGTGGTGGGGCAGGATCACTGAGAAGGGCAGATCTCTCCACTCCAGAGACACAGGCTGCCTAAGGCTGAGGCTGAACCAGAACAAGAATATCCTCCACCCCTAACTCCCCAACATGCCCACCATGCTCCAAGTATAAAGTAACAAGTAACAGCACTCTACTCCTGGGGGAAGAGTGTGCGAAGAGAAGCCCTCTCTGAGGGGCAGGCACAAAGGGGAAACCCGAAGCTAATGGAGCAAACACCAAGAAAAAGCTTCTGGAAAAGCAGGACTCACTCTAAACATAAGGTAACACCAAAGTAATTTGAAGTCTCTGAGGTACTGAGGGCAGTCATGGTGAGCAAAAACCCAAACCCAGATCAATTTCTGACTGAATTACCTGACACCTGCCCCCACCACAGCAGCACACCATCCATACACTAAAAGCCTAGCACAACAGAAAAGCCATGTCCAGTGGGTCTTCAGCTGTGCCCTGAGGAGGATGGGATTTGCTATCCCATCTCACCTCCCACTTAAGGCACAAAACCTATTTATTTCAGTCTCTACCGTCTTCAAAAGATGTCTAGTTTTTAACAAGAAATTATGAGGCATAAAAAGAAACAAGAAAAAAAAGACACACTGTCAAGTATGTAGAGACAAAGCAATCAAGAAAACCATATTCACATATAACTCAGGTGTTGGCATTATCAGACAAAAAATTTAAAATAATTGACTAATATGTTCTTAGACTCTAGTCAAAAAGGTGGCCAACATGCATGAGGAGATGGGGCATCTTAGCATATATATAAGATATAGGAAATTACCAAATGGATATGGTAGAAATGAAAAATATCATAACAGAGATGAAGAGTACCTTTGAGAAGCTCACCAATATACTCAGCAAAACTGAGGGTGGGAGAGAATCAGTGAAACTGAAAATAGAAATTATATATACTGAAATGCAAAAGTAAAAAAGAATGGAAATAAAGAATAGAACATCTAAGAGACATGGGGCAATATCAAAAATTCTAACACATATGTAATAAAAATTACAGAAAGCGACGATAAAGAAGTTACAAAAGAAATATGTAAAGAGACAGTGAATGACTGAGAATTTTCCAAAATTAATGAAGACTCAAAACCAGAGATCCAAGAACATTAGACAACACTAAGGATAAACAGAAACACACACATATACATAACACACATTGCACACACGTACTTTAACACATCATATTCAAACACCCCAAAACAAGAAATACAGAAAAAATATTAAAGACAGCCAGAGAAAACAAGACACACTAAATACAGAAAAATAAGGATAAGAATTATAGTGGACTTCTAGCCAGAATCTTTGCAAGCCAGAACGGATGAAAATGATGTGTTTAAAGTACGAAAGAAAGTAAAAACAATAAAAATACCTGTGAACCCATATTATACTTATTGATAATATCTTTCAAAGATGAACAAAAAATGAAGACTTTTTCAGACAAAAATCAGAGAACTGATTATTAGCAGACCTGTTCTACCAAAAATATTAAAGAAAAATTTTCTGGCAAAAAGATTATGATATGATACAAAAACATGGATCTCCACATATACACCCACACACACAAATGAAAAGTGCTGAAATGGTATTAATAAAGGCCAATGTAAAATTCATTTTTCCTTATATTTAATTCTTTTAAAATTAAAAGCAAATTAAAATTAAAATCTAAAGCAAAAGTAGTGACACATAGAGATAGAAGAAGGATGGTGACCAGAGGCCAGGAAGGGTAGTAGGCAGAAGCCAGGGCACCGGAGAGGTAGAGATGGTTAATGAATACAAAAAAATTATTAGAAAGAATGAGTAACTTAGTATTTGATAGCACGACAGGGTGACTATTGTCAAAATAATTGTAGATTTTAAAATAACTAAAAGAGTATAACTAAATTGTTTGTAACACAAAGGATAAATGCTTGAGGGGATGACTACCCCTTTTTCCATAGTGTAATTATTACACAATGCATGCCTGTATCAAAATATCTCATATATCCTATAAATATACACACCTCCTATGTACCCATTCAAATTAAAAAAATTCTTTAAAGGTAATGTACTGTGTGTTTCTAGCATATATAAAAATAAAATACATTTTAAAACTGTATAAAGGTTGGGAAGGGGGAACTGAGAGTACTCTGCTGGGAGATCCTTACAGTACATATGAAGCAGAATAATATTATTTGAATACAGAGACTATGATTAGAGACATATATTGTAAAAATTAGGGCATCACTAAAAAACAGTTTTAAGAGATATAAATAATGAAGAAATAGGGGAGAAGACAGTCATTAACAGATACTCAACTGATCCAAAAAAAAAAAAAAAAGGCAAAAAGAAAGGAAAAGAAACAAAGAATAGTTGGAATAAACAGAAAATAGATGGTAAAATGACAGATTTTAATCCAAGCAGATAAGTAATTATATTAAATATAAATGGCATAAGCACATTAATTAAAAGAGACTGTCAACTTAATATATAGACTTGTCAACTTCATATATAAAGTAGCTTTTTTGGTTGGCAACCTATAGTTGCGTCTGCAAAAGCATTTTGAACATTTTACAAAATGCTAAAAAAAAAAAAAAGTACAAAAGCATTTTGAATATTTTGAAGCATTTTAGAACATTTTACCCAACAAGAGCAGGCTATATATTCTTTCAAGTGCATGCAGGAGTGTTAATTTTAGAGTTTTAAAATTCCTAGCAATGTTATATCTATATGGTTTCTTATATCTGTATCTGCACTCAATCTGTTATACAATACGTTGTTTTGGTTGAAAATGAAGAAATCTGCTTCACATATGTATATGGTTAGAAAAGGGAGGAACCTAAGCTCTCTGAAAGGAAGGCCCCAAGAGTCCTTAGATCATACTCAGAAAAGCTATTAGGAAATAAGCTGCATACAAAGTTAACAAGCTATTTATCTTCTCCACATTCTCAACACTCAGTGGGCAGAGAACTTTGTAACAAATACTAACTACACTAGTTAAAGAGCTAGTCAAGAAATAAACATTGTTACTAAATATTCCAAAGTCAGTTAACTTACTGTGTGGAAATCACTGATGTACCTGGATTCACTGCAAACTAAATGATAATGTAAATATAATAAAGTAGGAACATAACATCCTAAGCTTCTAGTCTGAAGATCTGGGTTAAAACCTCAGTTCCTAATAATTTGCCCAAAAGACCATAAAGACTAAATAATACAAAGTACTGAACATGATTTGTAGACTCTAAAACAGTATATATTTATATATAAACGTAAGAGAATCTGATAAGCACTAGGTTCTTCTTGTAGTTATATAAAGAATATTACCTTTCCTCATGAAGAGTTTGAGACTTCGCTTTGGGAAAAAAAAATCTCTTTTTCTGGTTATATAAACAGAAAGGATGAACCATAGTTTTTCAATCTTGCCAGAAAATATGGAAAGAATCAGAAGGGAAGGAAGGAGTGTGTATGTGTGTAAAATAAAGCAACAGATCAAAATAAGGCATTTACTGTAGCAATACAGCTGTACAAAAAACAAAATATAATCACGATATACTAGAAAGTGCAGCTGTAAATACTATTTACATAGTAATAAATACTATTTATTTATAAATAAATACTGTATTTATAAATAAATACTGTATTTATAAATAAATACTGTATTTATAAATAAATACTGTATTTATAAATAAATACTGTATTTATAAATAAATACTGTATTTATAAATAAATACTGTATTTATAAATAAATACTGTATTTATAAATAAATACTGTATTTATAAATAAATACTGTATTTATAAATAAATACTGTATTTATAAATAAATACTGTAAATACTATTTACATAGTAATAAATAAAGAACTCCAAATACTAGTCTAACCTAAAATCATTGTTACATGTAACAGAAGGACTGTGGGGAGAAAAGATGCATGTGTGTTGGGGAAAAGGGGCAACATAAGCTTTAGAAAAGCTGAAGCTTTATTCTCCATAGCAGCAAATGAGTACAAGACAACTAAAACTTAAAAATCAAGAAATGGAAATTCACTTCCAGCATGACAGAATGAGGAAGTCAACAAATCCGCTTCTCAAAATACAATAAATATGGATCAAACTCAAAAATAACCATTTCAGTATTCTGTCCAAAGGCACACAACATAACAAACTGAGAAACATCTATTCATGGAAACTACTGAACTCTGGTAAGAACAGCATGAGTCTGTGGCATTCTTGCCTAGAACTGCTCTCATTCCCTGCAACTCTCTTGGAAACGTATTTCAACCAAGGTAGGGCAAATCATAAAAATCAGCACCCTCATTGCAACTCCCAGAAGGAACTCAAAATGACCAAATGGAAAGTATGCCAGAAATGCAGGGTTGGTTTACAAAAGTCAATCAATGTAACTCACCATATTAACAGAGTAAGTGGACAAAGATCACATGATTATCTCCACAGATCATGGCAACAGAAAAGCATCTGGAAAAATCCAACACCATTAATGATAAAAAAAAATTAAAAAAAAAAAAAAAAACCAACTCAACAAACTGGAAACACAAGAGAGGTTCCTGAGACCAACAAAGGGCATCTACAAAAAAAAAAAAATCTACAGTCAATATCATCCTTAATGGTGAATGCTTTCTCTTAAAATTGGGAATAAGGCATGGATGTTACTCCTCCTACTTCTATTCTCACTATCCTAGAAGCTGTAGCCAGTTTAATAAAGCAAAAGGAGGAAAAAAGGAAGGTGGATTGATTAAAGATAACTACTTTGGAAGGAATAAGCAAACATTTTTATTTGCAGAAGACATTATCATAATATATATGGAATCCCAAGGAATCTTGAGCATGCATGTGCACCAGCACATGCACACACACAAACTACTAGAATTAGTGAAGGAGGTTAGCAAGGTAGAATGATACAAGATCAATATATGAAAGACAACTTTATTTCTAACTACTAGCAACAAACAATCCAAAGAGGAAATTAAAATAATTCCACCTAAAATAACATAAAAAGGATAAAATACTTAGTAACAAATTTAACAACAGAAGTATAAGATTTGTGCAATTAAAACTGAAGAACATGGCTGAGAGAAATTATAAAAATATAAATAAATGGAGAGAAATCCATATTCACAAAATCAATGCTGTCAGGGTATTAATTCTCCCCAAACTGGCTTACAGTGTTAACTCAATCCCTATCAAAATCACAGCAGGGTTTTTATTTTTATTTTTTATTTTTTGTAGAAACAGGCTGAGTCCAAAATTTAAATGAAATGCAAAGGACTCTGAATAGCCAAAACAATTCTGAAAAAGAAGAAAGTCGAAAGACTGACTAACTATAAAGCAACATTAACATTAGTCAAGAAAGGCATATTGGTATAAAGATAGGCACATAGTTCAATAGATCAGAACTGAGTCCAAAAATAAATCCTACATCACTGGTCAATGGATTTGCAAGAAAAGTGTCCAAACAATTCAATGGGAAAAGTCCAAAAATAGACCTCTCCATATATGGACAAGTGATTTTTCAACAGAAGTACAAAAAGATAATTTACAAAATATAGTCTTTCTAACAAGTAGTGGAGGAATATTTGGATATCCACAGCAAAAAGATGCATTTAGACCCTTACACAAATAAAGACCAATAACCTTCATACACAAAAAACAAAAATTAACTCAAAATGTATTATACACCTAAACACAAGAGATAAACCACAAACTTCTAGGAGAAAATATAAGAGAAAATCTTTATGGCCATGGGTTATGCAAAAGGATCTTAGACATGATACTAACCAGACAAGACCAAAAAAATAGTTAAATTAGACTCTTAAAATTGAATGTTTTTGTGCTTCTTAAGGCACCACTAAGAAGCCACACACTGGGATAAAATATCTGCAAACTGTTAAACAACAAAACAAAACAACTTATATCTCCAATACAGAACTCTTACAACAAAATATATTTTAAAAATAAACTTAATAGTAAGAAGTCAACAACAGAATTTTTAAAATAGACAATAAACTTGAACAAACATTTCACCAAAAAAGACACACGTCTAATAAGCAAATAAAAAGGTGCTCAAACTTCATCAGTAACTAGGGAAATGCAAATTAAAGCCACAAGATACTACTACATACCCACTAAAATGGCAATAATCAAAAGACAAAAGATGAGAGTTAGTGAGGATGCAGAGAAACTAGAACCCTCAGACGTTGCTGATGGGAATGTGAAATGGTACACCCACTTTAGAAAACAGTTTGGCAGTTTCTTAAAAATTTAGACACGTTTTAAAAAAAAAGTTTCATCCCAGTAAGGCTACTCCTAGGAATATTGTTATGGTAACTCTTAAAAATATATTCAAGAGAAATGAATATATGGCCATAGACAGACTTGTACACGCTGTTACAGTTTGGATTTTTGATCCCCCAAACCTCACACTGAAATCTGATTCCCAATGTTGGAGGTGGGGCCTAGCAGGAGGTGTTTGTGTTATGAGGGTATCACTCATGAATGATCGATCCCTCATGATCCCTCATGAATGGCCTGGTGCAGTACTCATGATAAGGAATAAGTTCTCCATTAGTTTCCAAAAGAGCTGGCTATTAAAAAGAGCATGGCACCTCTCCCCCAACTGGCTTCTTCATTCTCACCACATGATCTCTACTCACATCTGCTCCCGTTTGCTTTCCACCATAAGGAGAAGCAATCTGAGGTCCTCACTAGAAGCAAATGCTGGCACCATTGTTCTTGTACACTCTGCAGAACCACGAGCCAAATAAATCTCTTTTCTTTATAAATTACCCAGCCTCAGGTGTTCCTTTAGAGCAACAAATATGAACTAAGACACATGCATATTCATGGTATTATCCAAAAAGCCAAAAGTTGAAAAGAGCCAAATATCCATTAACTGGTGAATGCATAAATAAAATGTGATGTAACAATACAATGGAATACCATTTAACAATTAAAGAGAAATGAATTACTAACACATTCTGCAGCCCGAATAAACCTCAAAAACGTTATTCTAAGTAAAAGAAAACAGCAAAAGACTAGATGTTCTATGATTCCATTTACATGAAATGCTCAGAAAAGAGAAATTTTTAGACACAGGCAACAGATCAGTGGTTTCCTGGAGCTAGGGGAAAGGAATGAGAATTGTGTGCAAATGAATCCAGGGAAATTTTGGGAAGGATGGAAAAGTTCTAAAACTGATTGTGGTAATGATTGCACAACTCTATTAATTTACTTAAAAATCATTGAATTGGGCAAAAGATATGAACAGACACTTTTCAAAAGACATTTATGCAGCCAACATGAAAAAAAGCTCATCATCACTGGTCATTAGAGAAACGCAAATTAAAACCACAATGAGATACAATCTCATGCCAGTTAAAATGGTGATTATTAAAAGATCAGGAAACAGATGCTGGCAAGGCCATGGAGAAATAGGAACGCTTTTACACTGTTGGGAGTGTAAATTAGTTCAACCATTGTGGAAGACAGTGTGGCAATTCCTCAAGGATCTAGAACCAGAAATACCATTTGATCAGCAATCTCATTACTGGGTATGTACCCAAAGGAATATAAATCATTCTGCCATAAAGACACATGCAAACATATGTTTATTGCAGCACTATTCACAACAGCAAAGACTTGGAACCAACCCAAATGCCCATCAGTGATAGATTGGATAAAGAAAATGTGGCACATATACACCATGGAATACTATGTAGCCATAAAAAAGAAATGAGTTCATGTCCTTTGCAGGGACATGGAGGAATCTGGAAGCCATCATTCTCAGCAGACTAACACAGGAACAGAAAACCAAACACCTCATGTTCTCACTCTAAGTGGGAGTTGAACAATGAGAAGACATGGACACAGGAAGGGGAACATCACAAACCAGGGCCTGTCAGGGGTGGGGGGCAAGGGGAGGGAGGGCATTAGGACAAATACCTAATGCACGCGGGGCTTAAAACCTGGATGATGGGTTGATAGGTGCAGCAAACCACCATGGCACACGTACACCTATGTAATAGACCTGCACATTCTGCGCATGTATCCCAAAACTTAAAGTAAAATAAAATAAAATAAATCATTGAATTTTCCCATAAGAGTGGGTGAATTTTATAGTATATACAATATATCCTAATAAAGCTACTTAAACAAAATCAAGGAATGGCAGTATATGATCATTATTTAAAATATAAAGGTAAATGCCCACATAAGTCAGCGGCAAGAACTGTTGGTAGAAAAGGATTAAAACAGGTCTTTATTTTACCAAAAAAGTATTTGCACAGCTACTTAAAACTGCATATAAAATAACCTGTATACAAAGATGTATCACTTTTATAAATATTAAAATACTTTTAAAAATATTCTCTACAAGCTAAAAAAAGGTTTGGGAGTACAAATATATATGAAAAACTAAAATTATGCTAGAGAATGAGCAAAAATTATCAAAATTCAACCTAATGGTTACCTATGGAGCAGGGAAATGGAAACATACCAGTGCTTCAGCGGTATTGATAATGTTCCATTTCTTAAATTGACCAGTGGGCTCACAGTTCATAGATGACTCATTATTATGCCTTTTAACTTGTGTTTCAGGTATTCTTTGGTATGCATTAAATACATCATAATTAAAAAGTGGGAGAAAGTACTACTTTGAAAATTGTCTTCAAAGCTACAAATAATGGCTCTGTAAAATATAATCTATAAGAAATCACAGTTCACTTATAGATCATAAAATGTAAATGATAAAATCTAAGAGGGTCCAAAAAAAGTTAAAAATTAATTACAGCTACCATTTATTCACCATCTATAATGCAAAACTTGCATACATTATCTCTAATCCTTCTTTCAACTCTACAAATATCCCTCATTTAAACCTAACAAACTGAGGCTCTGAGTTTTACTGCATGTGCTCAGAACCGCACAGCTTTTTAAGTGGGGAAGCCAAGATCACTAAGCATTATGCAAATACTCTTTCTCAGTCTGTTTCTAATAGTTACTCAACAACATTCAACAATAATGCTGCCTTGTTAATAATTACCTAATATTTTGATGTATTTGCATAATGCCTAGTGATTTGTGGAAGTACAAAATTCAGGACCAAGTTGGGGTTTTTTTGTTGTTTTTCTTCTTTTTTTTTGAGGCAGGATCTCACTCTGTCGCCCAGGCTGGAGTGCAGTAGCACGATCTTGGCTCACTGCAACCTCTGCCTCCCGGGTTCAGGCGATTCTCCTGCCTCGAGCTGGGATTACAGAAACATGCCACGATACTCAGCTAATTTTTTGTATTTTTAGTAGAGATGGAGTTTCACCATGTTGGCCAGGCTGTTCTCAAACGCCTGACCTCATGTGATCCGCCAGCCTCTGCCTCCCAAAGTGCTGGGATTACAGGCATGAGCCACCATGCCCAGCCCCAAGTTACAATCTTTGTAAACTACATAAATAACAAAATGACAACTTCATGTTTAATCCTGATACCTAATAAACTTAACTTTTAAAAACACATACATTTGAAACTTCACTATATAATTTTCCTTGAGATTTTTACAATGAGTTTACCTTACGGAGAACAAAGTCCTGTAAATATATCAATATAAGGAAATGCCAAAGATACATAACAGGAAGGTATATTAATGATTATAAATACTTTAATTCAACTTTCCCCATAAAAAGTATTCCTCTCGAGGCTGGGCGCAGTGGCTCATGTCTGTAATCCCAGCACTTTGGGAGGCCGAGGTGGGCAGAGGCCGAGGTGGGCAGAGGCCAAGGTGGGCGGATCACCTGAGGTCAGCAGTTCGAGACCAGCCTGACCAAAATGGTTAAACCCTGTCTCTACTAAAAATACAAAATTAGCCAGGCATGGTGGTGCATGCCTGTAATCCCAGCTACCTGAGAGGCTGAGGCAGGAGAACTGCTTGAACCCAGGAGGCAGAGGTTGCAGTGAACCGAGATCAAGCCATTGCACTCCAGCCTGGGCAACAAGAGCAAAACTCCATCTCAAAAAAAAAAAAAGTATTCCTCTCATTTCTACTCTGCACAGTGAAAACCAGATTATTAATATATTTGTATATACTCTAAAAGACTGAGATGCAGCTAAAAACTCAGCCTAGGGATCAATAATGCCACAAGTAAAAATGTTCCACCAAGCATTTTTATTTCAACTGCCAAAATGGGGGAAAAAAAAAAGATACCAAGTGACTTCAGGAAATAAAAGGCACAAAGCTGGCTTTTAGTCATTTATTTTGGCTACATAAGTAACAGAAGGTTTAAAATCCAAATTCCCTAGTCTCAGGTCACTTTTTTGAAAAGTTTCATAAAGATATCCTCACTCCCACCAGCCAGCATCATCACAGATCGATAACATATTGGTAATGTGATGGAGGTCATTAGGCAGAGGTTAGATGTCCAAAAAAAACAAAACAAAACAAACTAACAAAAAACAGAAAAAGCCTTGTGAGCCATGCTTAGATAACGAAGAAAATAACAGCAATAACTCAGATCATGCAAGGAGTAACTATGTTCCTTTCATTCCTCTCCAACCCATCTCTACAGGAGAAGCTCTCCCCGTTCCTTGGCAACCAATCTCCCATATTTCAATGTATCCAAAGGTTCTTTTCTCCTTTCCCTTCTCCCATCATTTCTTCCCTTCACTCCTCCTCTCATCATTTCTTCTCTTTATGCCATTTCTAAGTAATAATTTACTTCTTCATTGTCTGATACATTTTCTCTCCAAATTCCCTAATGTTCTCCCATCTCCTGTTCTCTTCTGTTTTTCCCTCATCTGTTTACAGATCTGGGTTTCTAACTCTGTGTGTGTGTGTGTGTGTGTGTGTGTGTGTGTGTGCGCGCGCGCGTGTGTTACACATTCTGGTTAACTAAAGAGATTTTAGGTTGCAATGGCAAAACATACTGAACACTTAAATGTGGGCCTCTAATTTCCCTAATATATCCTTTAAACAACACACGCATATATCCTAGTAATGTTACCCCTTATTCACGAGAGTTGAAATGGTTATTCACAAGAATTTACTCAAATAAAAATGAGTTTAAAAAAACTATTAAATATATGAACCCATATAGGACTATCATTTCAATCAGTATTTCCCAATACTTCTTAAAGCAATAGTCCAACAAAGTACTCCACAGAAAAATAATGGTTGCATGGTCAAGTCATAAGGCACAAATCATACTAGGTACTTAAAGAGTGTAAGAAATCCTGAAATGAAGAAACTTGCTTAACCTTATTATCCAGCTGTTCCCAAATTTACTAAGCTTATGAGCTCTTTTTTTCTCCCCCAGCACCTATTAATATCCCACAGAACATGCGCTAAGGAAATGTTAACCCTAACCACTGATTAAAATATACTATGTAAAGCATTATACTTAACCTAGTAGCATAAATCGTTTTTAAAATGGTGCTGCCTTTGAAAAAACCTAAAATGGATTTATAAAGAAAATAATCCAAGTTGCTAGGTGCAAATGGCTCATTTTAAATATTGCATGTATATTTACCTTACTTAGGTTAATTTAAAAAAAAAAAAACCATAAGCACCAATTGGGATTTTGATTTGGGAGGTGGGGTGGGCAAACAGCAAAATTTTCCTTGAAGTATAACATATGGAAGAGAATATTTTATAAATATTAACTTCTAAGACTGTTCTTATTTTTCCATCAATTTTCATGTTTGGTCTTTTATCAAATGGGAGAAAAAAATGGAATTTTATGACTTACAAAATCCAATGAATACACAGGCATGCTATATTGAACTTTCCTGAAGGTATGTTACACAACAATACAAGAATTTTTTAATGAAAATGCATCAATTTTCCCTTTAATGTATACTACGAATTATTTACTTCACAGGTTTTAAAGAGTGTATTTTAAAGTACACACATTTTACCTGAAAGCTCCATAAAGTGGTCTGTACCAACAGACAAATGAACAAGGAGTAAAAAGCAAGAACCACAGGATACTCAATCCAAAATCAACCGCTCTTGCAGAATCAACACAAAACCAAGCCAAGCATCCGAAGATATTTAGAAACAGTGTTACTGCATGGACTGTGGAATCAGAAAACAAAATAGAAAAAGAAAGATTTACATTCAATTTATGAATTCATCCAACAAAAAATTGTAAATAAAAAAATACTTCCTAAGAGCAAATGTATTCTACTCCATGTTTCCATTTATATTTTTCAAAACACTGTTGTATCTTACATATTTGATTTGAAAACAGAGTATACACAGGAAAGCGAGTCTTAATACATGTACTGTTTGGCAAAAATTCTGTTGGCCCTCTCCTCCTCACAGGCAATGATGTAGCTAAACCAGAGGCGCACTACCTTAAGGGCTTCTTCCCGAAAAGGAAACGTGATGTCTCTTGATCTGAAGCCCAAGAAGAAAAGCAGTGTCTGCCAGGAAAAGACCCAGGACTTAGGAGGAAAAACCATATCTTTACAGAATGGGGCTGCAGACTAAACACTGGACTAAAAATACTAATACAGTAGCAATTTCTAGTGACTATATAGTCAATGTATAAGGATTGTTCATTCAACTTCATAGAGCTGTCCATTTGTAAAATCCTGAAAAAAACTTGCGTTTTGGTAGAGGATTAAATTTATTAAGTCCCCTCCTCACTCCCCCACACAACATGATACATTTTAGCTACTGTGGCAGGCTTTTCTTTTGGTTAACACAAATAGATGTTGACAAATTCATCATATGCTGTTAATAATTGCTTTCCCTGACAGACCAAAAACAAAAAATCTGAGTAACATCTAACTATACCATGATCCTAAAGAACTACTTTGACCCATTGTAATTAATAACTGTTTCAAAGGATTTTTTAAAAATTTATTCACAGGCTGAATTTATTATAGTAAGTACATTCTTATATAAGCTAAAATGATGTTTAATGTAAATTATCAAATCAATAAAAATATGCCAACAAATTACTTGAATTAAAATTAACAACTGGGAAAACCTATTGGATCTAGTTTTTTAAATCTCAAACTTTAAGATTTCTTTACAAATCAAATAAGTTAATAATTAATGAAACAGGATACACACACACATTCTGGGATGCCTAAATTTGCTCTTACCTAACCCACCAGATAAGTAAACAAGCTCTAGAGTTTTGTTTTTTGTTTTTTTTTAAAAAGAGCTCCAGATGAAGTCACTTAGGTTGTAGTCATCTAATATTAAGCCAATCACTCAACCTCTGTAAGCTTCAATTTTTCAGCCATAGAAATGCAGGAGCTTTTCCCACTTTAAAATCCCATTCAATTCTATCACAAAAGAGACACTCTCACTCATTACTCTAGTCCCATTAGGATTTTTAACTCTCAGGAATGCTTGCTCATAATAAATTTACTCAAAACCCTTGGCCTCAAAATAAGGGTGGTTGTGTTAAGATCTTAAAAACAGAATTGAAGATTGTGAAATAGAAAATTATTACTCTGCAGCATTAAATAGCATCCAGCTGCCTTAAAAAGTTTTAGACCTTAAGAACATTCTAACTTAAATTTCAATTTTCAAATTAGGTTATTTCCTAATCCACTGAAAGAAAGATAAAATATATGTATAATTACACTTTAAAGTTCATGAAAATTATTCCAAGTATAGATGAAAATACAAAAATTAGCCAGGCGTGATGGCATGTGCCTGTAGTCCCAGCTACTCAGGAGGCTGAGGCACGAGAATCACTTGAACCCGGGAAGCGGAGGTTGCAGTGAACCAAGATCGTGCCATTGCACTCCAGCCTAGGCAACAAAGCAAGACTCTGTCTCAAAATAAAATAAAATGCTAGGACAATTTCTGCCCATTTAAAAAAATAAACATATATAAAATATAAATGCATATATTATATTGATTAAATAAGAGTTGGTTAGCATGTACATATATGGAATCAGACATTTAATATTAAAAATATATACTACTGACACTGAGGATTCAGCAAAAGATATTAGATCAAGAATATCTCGAAAAATACTAATGAAGAGTTAAAAATAGACTATCCATTAGGAAACACTTCTCACATTCCAAAACAACTTGACATACATGAAGAATGCTCCTAAAAGATTTTAAGGAAAATTATCTCATCCATTAAGGGAAGGGTGGTAGTCTCATTAATCATAAAGTAAAAACAAGTAAATTTCCTCCATCAAGAATGTACCCTACAAATTATCCATTAACCCAGATGTTGTGCATGTGAGAACCCTCAATAGCTACCTCCCCTTCTGACAGGGTATCAAAATGAGGCTGAGACTACTGTTTGGAATAAAAATGAAACAGAGAGTAAGTGGGAGGTCTGTGCACACAGAGTAAAACTGTTAACGGCTTGACATTTTGTTTCAGTATTCCATGAGTTATTATACTCAAAGTGATGTAAGCATCAGAGCCCCAAACGTATATTCTAATGTTCCGTTCAACAAAATGTCCTGTATTAATTAAGCACTTTCAATAATAAAAGTATCGCAATTGAAAACAAAAAGTAAACTGTACTCAAAGCTATAAAAAGAACACTTAGTTTATGTAATAATTTTATGCCCTTTTAAAAATAGCTAAAACGCCTACATTTAACAGAATTCTTTTAAATGGCCTTCCTCTGCATAAAATTAGTATGCACTATTTTTTCCAAGCAAATCATGTCTAGATAACATCTTTCAAGGAAAAAGAATCTTATAAAATTTTACCCACATGACAGAGAAGTTGTCTTTTCCTCAAAAGAATGCCAGTTCTCAACATACAAGTTTTTCTCAGCCAAGGACTTACATTGTCACATATAGTACAATTCTGAAGTACCTAAATAGGATATGTTTCACTCTGAAATCATGATTATTAAGCTTTATCTATAGAAAAAGAAGACTGGTTTGCTATACTATCCTTGAAATAAAAATGCGGATTTTGACAACAAAAATACAAATTCTAAGCAAAGATGTAAATTGTTGTATACTCACACATCCACAAGTAGTACATAAGCTTTACTGTCTTTTGGAATTCTACAGGAATGTCTACAGAAAAATCCTGATAGAAACAAGGTCCGACAGGAAAATTGCTAGGAAGAGGTGGCCAATTATTTTTTCTACCTGTAAATTTTTTTTAGAAAAAGAAAAGGTTATTTATATTATAACAAATGTGATATTATTTTTTGTTTCATAATAAAGAAAAACTCTATTATGTTAACAAAAGTTCAGAAAAACTGTAGAACTATATCTTTGTATTCCTAGAACTCTGAAAGACAAGCTTTAGATTTTTAAAAAATTTTCTCAGAATATCATCACCTTAGAGCACATTAGATAGTAAAATAATTTTCCAGTGTCATATCATACCATGTTTAGCAGGAACCATTTATGTACAGAAAAAACAAGAAACAAAAAGAAAGCACATATCCAGTGCTTCTACCCTAAAACAGATTTATTTCACAGTCCAAAGAGTCTGGCTGGCATGAAAGGGCCATCCAGTTTTTAAACTTCAATTTTCTCCTCAGCATCTTAAATCTTCAAATATAATTCTGTTATAATTCCTATCTCAAGTGGAGAAAGACTAGCTTCTAATTTTTTCAAGTTTTCTGTTAAGTCCAAGATTAAACCAATACCAAAGAATCAAATTTAGAATACTCAAAATCTGGGAAAAAATAATATCCAAAAGATACATGTACGAAAACCCTACAACAAAGAAAACATGAAACAGTCATGATAAGGAAGCTGAAGAATTATAGAACCTTTAAAAATGCAGAGAAAAACAAATTCAAACTGTAAAGGGAAAAAAATGTGTCTACATAAAGAAACCAGATTAAAAATAAGACTTGAGAAATGGTGGGGGAAATAAAAAATTAAAATAAAGAAGTCAAAACATGAAAATAGCGGGTAAAAACAGCACCTAAGGCCATTTCCCGATTTTAGATGTTATATCCCACAGTTTTTAAAAATTCAATTTTACCTACTTTTCCCAGACCAGGGTAATTTTTATAGAAAGAACAATAACCTATTTCTGATTCTCCCCAATGAGTCTCCTGTGTTCCATTTATCATACTATTCAAATTTCATATAGTTCATTTCTCATACCAATCTCATACTATTTGAGAAGCGGCAGTGAATACTCGTAAAGAAGAGAGGCTCTGGAACCAGAAGTGGCTAGCCACTTACTGGCAAGGTCGCCTTGGGCAACTTACTCTCTCCTCCGAGCCTTAGTTTCCATATCTGTAAAATGAGAATAAAAACTCTATCACCCCTCACAGGATTGTATTGATGATTTAAGTATGAGTTAAGAGGGGAAAAGTACTAAAATGTGCTAACATACTGCAGTCTAATTGTTAATTTCCTACTCTTTGTTACTGTCTTTACTAACATAACTCTCATAGAAATAGTTTGTATTTGCCAGTGCTAAAGAAATAGGATGGATTTTAGTTACAGGTACTTCAGAAACATTGGTCCCAGTTCAACTTTTAGTTTCTCCTTCTATAGATGCTACCTCTGATGCTGCAAGCAAGAAAATGACCCAGGATAAATGTGTTCTCATGAGGCCCTAGACTTACACATTCTAAGTTAAAAAGAAATAGTTCTGTATATTGTTATTGTTCTAGCTTTGCATTGCATCACTATCCCAGACATCCTAACAATGACTTATCTAGCTCTTTTATCTCTTCTTACTCAGAGACTGCTAGCTTTCCCTAAGAGACTCCTTTGAAGTGCTTTGGCAGGCACAAACTTAATAGAATTCACTGCAACAATTCACCACTTATTTCTTTGGCATCATATGAATACCTTAGGCTTCCAATTTTTCTAACATGATTTGACAAAATACTTGCGAGGACTGGGGCAGATAATCTGAAATTAACCTGAATAAATCAGGTAAAAGTCAAATGTAGGGTACATGCAAATGTACTCATAAAGAGTCCACAGAACCAAGGAGGGCCTAACTGCAGAATCAAAGGCTCCTGGCCTCAGAGTAAGCAAAAATTATCATATTCACATTCATTTTCTGTGTGATGAGGCTAACACTGTTCTAAGCTATCAACAAAAGACTATGCAAATCAGCCAAGATTAGAAGGCTACAGAGTATCAAACAGGCAATCTGCTGTGTCTGATCTCCTTGTTAGAACAGGAAAACAGGGTAGGGTTTTATCCACAGGCCAAATGACCTAGGAGCTAGTATAGACATAATGTAAAGTATTTAAAAGTTATTTTTATTTCAAATTTCTTTGGATACTACCATGTTGACTGAGGTTTTGCATTTCTCGTTCCCGACGATCTAATTCTGCGGCTTTTCTTTCTAGTTCTTCCTGGCGCTTAAGAAGTTCAGCTTGGGCCAATGCATGTTCCTAAATAAAAAATATCAATATGTGAATAGACTGTCAGAAGTATAAAATACTTTAACATTTATATGCTAACTCCTACTTCTCTACTATGAGAGAAACCTAATTCAAACACACTTCCAAAGTACAGGAATTTACTGAAGATCATAGTTACAGAAAATATTATGAGGATATTTGGTCCATTTGGTCTTTGGGTTCCAGAAACTCTCAGTGGGAATGTTGGGTCCATTAGGAGAGGAAAACTTCTCTTAGTAAAAGTAGTCACAATCTTTAGGTAATCTGGAAAATGAAATTAAGATGACCTCTATGCCTAAATGAGTGAAGAACAGAGGCAATGGGAACAGTTGAGGAAAATGAACAATAGAAAAAAGGGCAACTGAATTGGCTCCTATTAATCAGATTAAATGATATATAAGGCCACCAATGCAAGAATATTTTCTAATATCTTAAATGTTATAGGAGAATGAGGTCAAAAGATGTGATTAAGAAATTCTTTATAACTCAATTTGCCCTTACATGCTATCAGGCATCTTATTAATCTCCTTTCTTCTCAGATTTTTGCCATCTTCTACCTCCTAACACTGTTATTTTACCATTGCAACGCTCTCCCAATAATATCTATTATTCCATCATTTTTACCTTAATGGTAGTGTGCATTAAAAAGTGGGACCAAAGGCAATAAAAATTTATCCACTGAGATGATACATAAATTCAATAATTCCTAATAATGGAATAAAGCAAATGGTATAAGCTGACAAAAAGAGGAATGAGTATTTGAAGGGTGACAAGACAGCAAATCCAGACTTGAAAGTGAGTTAAAAATTAAGCAACAGAAATGTAACCATATAAAGATTTATTTTGCTCTGAAAGCAAATGTTATTGATATTATAATGGCCAATATGAATTTATACAACTAACATGAACTAACCTTTGCAATCTGTGTATAAGCTGGATGTTCCTCTGTTGGTTTCATTATTGCTGGTTGTGTATTGGGTACATTAGGCATCTTCACACCGCCTGGTGGAGGCTAGGAGGATTAAGAGAAGGAAAATTATGTAACACAGAGATCCAACTTTAACTTCTTTCAAAAAGTATAACACCAATAAAATGAAAAATCCCAAAATCTGCATCTCTTCATTCCCTGCTCTCTCATAGTCAAGTGTGTGGCAAAGAGCTGCTTAAATTCTCCATCTCCATTTTCTCCAACTCATTCATTTTTCAACTCTACAATCAGACTGCTACTTATAACACTATATGACAAACACTCTCCTCCAGGATACCGTATGTTAATAGAGGCCAGGCATGGTGGCTCATGCCTGTAATCCCAGCACTTTGGGAGGCCAAGGCGTGTAGATCACCTAAGTCAGGAGTTCAAGACCAGCCTGGCCAATATGGTGAAACCCCGTCTCTACTAAAAATACAAAAATTAGCCGGGTGTGGTGGCGGGCACCTGTAATCCCAGCTACTTGGGAGGCTGAGGCAGGAGAATCACTTGAACCGGGGAGGTGGAGGCTGCAGTGAGCCAAGACTGTACCACTGCACTCCAGCCTGGGCAACAGAGCAAGACTCCATCTCAAAAAAAAAAAAAAAGAACTTTTGAGTTTAATAGTAAAATACAGATAGAACCAGACAAAAGAACTACACCAAGGTTTACTGCCAACTCTTCCCTCTTGAGAAAGCTACATGCCAGTGCTCTGAAGAGTATACAGGAAAGTTCTTGGTAGAACCCCACTAAATTTAAAAGAGTAAAAGGGAAGGCGTAAGGAGAGAGAAAATAAATTACCCAACTTCCACTTTGCCAGTGAGGATCAGTAGTGTCTGAAAGCTGCAAGATCAGGAAGTAGACATCTACAAGTCCATCAATGGGGGATTGGTTAAATTACTGTATATACATACAATGCAGCCATGAGAATAAATTAGCGATAGAAGAATGTCTTTTAAAATACTAAATAAAATAAAGCAAGCTGGCCGGGCGCAGTGTCCTATGCTTGTGATCCCAGTACTTTGGGAGGCCGAGGCAAGTGGATCACAAAGTCAGGAGTTCGAGACCAGCCTGGCCAATATGGTGAAACCCCATCTCTCCTAAAAATACAAAAATTAGCCAGGTGTGGCGGCGGGCGCCTGCAGTCCCAGCTACTTGGGAGGCTGAGGCAGAAGAATCGCTTGAACCCGGGAGGCGGAGGTTGCAGTGAGCTAAGATCGCACCACTGCACTCCAGCCTGGGAGACAGAGCAAGACTCCATCTCAAAAAATAATAATAATAATAAAATAAAAATTAAATTAAAAAATAAAGCAAGCTACAGAACAGTCTGTATATGACCTTTTTTTCAACAGACACAGATTTATACATGCCCCCATAAAATATCTGGGAAGTCTCGGCCACCTGATATCAGACGGACTTGCACCTGTTGTTTTATATGCCTCTGTATTATTTGCTTCCCTCGACACATGCACCATATACTACTTTAATAAAAATATATTTTTAAAGTACTCTTTAGAATGACCATAAGAAAAAAACAAAAAACAAGGATGGGAACATGAAAAGAACAATAGAAGCAAAAACAGTAACAGAAAAGAAAAGAAGAAAGGAAAGAAAGAGAAGAGGGAGGGAAGGGGGAGGTCATAAATAAGAAAAATATAAAAAAGAAAGAAGCTGCACAAGGACGTTCAAGGATCTTAAGAACTATTAAAACCAGAAGACACCACCAATATATAGCAGGATTTTACTCTGACACAGCTAACAGCAGCCCTGAAAAGGAAGCCACGCATAACCAAAGATATAACTGTAGTTCAGCTGATTCTAAAATGCATATACAAAAGGCAAGAACCGGCTGGGTGCAGAGGCTCACACTTGTAATCCCAGCACTTTGGGAGGCCAAGGTGGGCAGATCGCCTGAGCTCAGGAGTTCGAGACCACCCTGGGCAACATGGTGAAACCTCGTCTCTACTAAAATACAAAAAATTAGACAGGCATGGTGGTGTGCACCTGTAGTCCCAGCTACTGGAGAGGCTGAGGCATGAGAATCGCTTGAGCCTGGGAGGCAGAGGTTGCAGTGAGCCCAGATTATGCCACTGCACTCCAACTTGGGCTACAGAGTGAGAGTCTATCTCAAAAAAAAAAAAAAGGCAGGAACTAAAAACAGGTCAAACCATTTTGAAGAAAAACAAAGTAGGAAGACCTATGATATCAAGGCTTATTATAGAACCACAGTAATTAAGAGTGTAATACAGATGCAAGGACAGAGAAGTGTACCAATAAACAAAACAGACACAGAAACAAACCCACACAAATGCAGAAACTTGATATCTAACAGAGGTGTCACTACAAAACAGTGAAGAAACAATGTGTTAATCAATAAACGGTGCCTGGATAACTGGTTACTCATATAGGAAAAAAAAACATTTCTTACTTCGCATCATATACAAAGATTAATTCGAGGTAAATTCATGATCTAAAACTGAAAAAGCAAAACTTAAACACTTTCAGGGAAAAATACATGTGAATATTTTTATGAATATTTCTTGAGCTTCTAGAATATGAACTCTAGAAATACTGTGTATTTTGTTTATGACCTATCCCAAGTACCCAAAATAGTCCCTGAAACAGTAGATGCTCAGTAAGTATCTGTCAAATTAAGAATGGAAAACACACACCACACAAAATTGACGAATTTAATTACACTGAAATTTACAAAAAGTAAAAAGTCAAATCATGGACTAGGAAAAGATAGTTGTAATGCATATAACAGAAAATTGCTACCCAGAATATATAAAGAATTGTTACAAATCCATGAAAATACAAACTAATCGAAAAACTAGCAAAAGATCTGAACAAGCAATAGAAAGAGGTCAATAAACATGTGAAAAGAGGTGTAACAGCACTAGTAATCAAGAAGTGCAAAAACAATCATATATCATTTCAAAACCATGAGATAGAAAAACAAACTCTGACAATACCAAAATTGGAATTTACACAATATACACAATGGTGGTGCATATGAAAATTAAAGCACTGATCAAGATAGCATTTCAAGTCAATGGAAATACAAAAGGTTGTCAGCAAATGCTGTTGGGAGAATTATTTAAATTGGGGGAGGAAAAACAAAATCCCTGTATCTCAAAAGAATTCCAAATGGATTAAAAATTGAATGTTAAAAAAAAAACAAAACAAGACAAAAAACAACTATAAAGACACTAAAATACACTCTATAGACTATAGGGCATTATCTGCTCTTGGCGTGAAGAAAAGTCATTCTAAACATTCAGAAAAGATGAGGGGAAAGAAATCATAATGAAAAGGTAATATATTTGACCACATAAAAATTTAGAAATTTGATGATATAAAGCATTCATAATCAAGATTAGATGGCAAAATCTAAATAATAAGCAACATATACAACAATTAGTTAATACATTTCACTAGGTACAAATCAATACAAAATTATCAGATAAACATGTTACTGAAAAAAACTGCATTTTTAAAAACTCTGAACAGGCAGCTTACAAAATACAAAAGAAAAATAAACATACAAAAAATTTCAACCTCATTAGTAATCAAAGAAATGCACATTTTACATAATTATTTTTAAAATGATTATCATAGGATTACCACATTTTGAGAAAGATGTGGTAAAATAGATATTCTCACACACTGAAAAGTGGGATTATACACTAGTACATGTAGCAATCCTGGAGCACAATTTGGCATTATGTTTCAAGAGCCATAGAAGTATTTATACCCTATGTACTATGAATATCTGGTCTTTAAAAATATCCTATGGAAATAATCCAAGATATTTGCAAATGTATGTATGCCAAGAATGCTCACTACAGCTTTATTTACAAAAGCAAAACCCCAAATGTCCAACACAACAGAAGAAATGGTTAAACTGATACAGCTATAGGAAAGTATACAATACAGCTATTTAAAAGTTCTAAAAGAGTGCAATAAGATGAGGAAGCTTGGACAAATAAGTGATTAAAAAAAGTTATGAAACAAAGCTGTATATACAACATGACACGAACTTCCTATTTTAAAATAAGATGAAAATATATCAAAATGTTAATAGGGATTATTTCTGGGCAGTGGGATTAAGAGCATTTTCTTGTATTTTTAAAATCTCCATTACAATCTTTTGTCACTAAAATAATCACAAATTCTCTTTTCCAAATGCTTGTTCCCCCACACCCAGTATCTCTTATTAATGGGCAGAAAAACTAAGGCTAATCAATGCTAACTTCTCCAATTAGAAAAGTATGGTCCTTTAAATGTAAAACCCAAAACTATAAAAACTGTAGAAGAAAACCTAGGCAATACCATTCAGGGTGTAGGCACGGGCAAAGATTTCATGACAAAAACTACAAAAGCAATGCAACAAAAGCAAAAATTGACAAATGAGATCTAATTAAACTAAAGAGCTTCTGCACAGCAAAACAAACTATCAGCAGAGTGAACAGAAAACCTACAAAACGGGAGAAAATTTTTGCAATCTATCCATCTGACAAAAGTCTAATAACCAGAGTCTATAAGGAACTTAAACTTATTTACAAGAAAAAAATGCCATTAAAAAGCAGGCAAAGGACATGAACAGACACTTGTCAAAAGAAGACATTCATGGGGCCAACATATGAAAAAAAAGCTCAACATCACTGATCATTAGAAAAATGCAAATCAAAACCACAATGAGATACCGTCTCACACCAGTCAGAATGGTAACTATTAAAAAGTCAGAAAACAACAGATGCTGGCGAGGTTATGGAGAAAAAGTAATG
This sequence comes from Homo sapiens, assembly GCF_000001405.40. NCBI lineage: Eukaryota > Metazoa > Chordata > Mammalia > Primates > Hominidae > Homo > Homo sapiens. The sequence continues at coordinate 78,410,774 of NC_000005.10, read as the reverse complement.
CTTTTATACTGTTGGTGTGAGTGTCAATTAGTTCAACCACTGTGGAAGACAGTGTGGTGGTTCCTCAAAGATCTAGAGGCAGAAATACGATTTGACCCAGCAATCCCATTACTGTGTAAATACCCAAAGGAATATAAATCATTCTACTACAAAGACACATGCACACCTATGTTTACTGCAGCACTATTCACAATAGCAAAGACATGGAATCAATCTAAATGCCCATCAATCATAGACTGGATAAAGAAAATGTGGTACATATACACCATGGAATACCATGCAGCCATAAAAAGGAATGTGATCATGTCCTTAGCAGGGATATCGATGAAGCTGGAAGCCAGCCTCCTCAGCAAACTAATGCAGGAACAGAAAACCAAACAGCATGTTCCCACTCATAAGTGGGAACTGAACATTGAGAACACATGGACACATGGTGGGGAAAAACACACACTGGGGCCTGTCGGGAGATGGGGATGGGGATTAGGGGTGGGCAAAGGGAGAGCATCAGGAAGAATAGTTAGTGAATGCTGGGTTTAATACTTAGGTGATGGGTTGATCTGTGCAACAAACCACCATGGCACACGTTTGCCTATGTAACAAACCTACACATCCTGCACATGTACCCCAGAACTTAAAAAGTTGGAAAAAAAAAAAAAAGAAAAAGAGTTCCCGGCACCTTAAGTGAGATATAATTCTCACATATATTGTCCCAAGTTCACATGGCATTTAGAACTGCTATCTTGATCAGTAATAAAGATCTTCCCCCAGCAAAAAACCAAAAGCATCGCCCCAAAGCCCTGTCTTCTTGGTGTAATAAGCAGCAACAATAAAACAATGACCAAATACTAATAAAATGTCTGGCAAAGTTAGCCTGGCAGCAGCATATTTCAGGAAAAACACAGAAGAAATTACCCAAGAATGTACCCAGCTGAAACCTTGCTATAAATGCTGTATTACTTTAAATAACCAAGGAAGTATTAAGTATAATAAACTAGTAGATAAGGATGAAGGTAGGGTTAGAGCTGGTAATGCGATATATTTAAGGCCATAGTTGCTTGCAGTATAGCAATGATGAGAAATGTTGGAGAGCCACAAATCTCTAATAGCACTGATATAAATCTAATAGCTATTATCCTGATAATTTCTTCACATCTGTAGATGTTAAAGACCCAGTATTTTCTTCAGCCACAACATAGTGGATTAGCCAACTCAAGCCAAGTAGAATTCTGGAGGACGACCTCTTTTCATCACTACTAAATACCTATTGTGATGATGGTTCCCAGTTCATTTCCAACTTTTCACTCTGGGACAGATGAGCGTGTATGCGTGTGTGTGTGTGTGTGTGTGTGTGTATCTATATGTGTCTCTGTCTCTATCTATATATATATAAATATAAAACAAGCCACTCAAGACTTTCACTTCTTAAAACATAGCAGATCACCCATATGTAGAGATCCCCTTCTAGTACATAATACCTAAAATACTAGACCAAATTTTATTTAAATAATATTGTAAATACACAACTAACGCAACAAGAAATCCTGGGAGGCAAGAAAGCAGGAACTACTAAATCCAAAGAAAGAACAGCCTTGATACCAAACCATTCACCAAATTACTAGTGATCCATCTGCACTAGTAAACTAGAGACAAAGCTTTGGAGCTGGTACAAGGATGGTAAGGGATTGACAAGATCCCTGCATAAAGCCAGGAGTCTCTAAAAAATGACCGTTTCAGTGGATGAGTAAGAAAAAAGCAATTTCACAGAAGAAAAATAAATGATGGGAATACCTCCATGTCTTGTCCTTAATTCTGGATGTAGAAGGGAGGAAAAAAGGGAAATCTTCCCTGAGAATTCCCAGTCATAAACCTACCAATGGCCAGGCATGGTGGCTCACACCTGTAATCTCAGCACTTTGGGAGGCTGAGGTGGAAGGATCACTCAAGGCCAGGAGATTGAGACCAGCCTGGGCAATATAGTGAGACCTCAGCTCTACACCAAAATTTAAAAATTTACCAAGTGTGGTGGCACATGCCTGGAGTCCCAGTTACTTAGGAGGCTGAGGCAGAAGGATAGCTTGAGCCCAGGAGGCAGGTTGTAACGAGCCAAGATCATGCCACTACACTCCAGCCTAGGCAACAGAGCAAGATCCTGTCTCCAAAACAAAACAAAACAAAACAAAAACCAAAAACCTACCAACTTGCAGATCTCAGGTCAGAATTCCACTACCCACATGGACAAGATAATCCAACATCCAATTTTCAGTGAAAAGGATCTCAGGCTGGTAGTGGCCTCAGGCATTTGGCAAAAGTAGAGGAACAAACATTAAAACCAGGTGACATGGGTTTGGCTGTGTCCCCACCCAAATCTCATCTTGAATTGCAGCTCCCATAATTCCCACGTGTCATGGGAGGGGCCTGGTGGGAGGTAACTGAATCATGGGGGTGGGTCTTTCCTATGCTGTTCTCATGACAGTGAATAAATCTCATGATACCTGATGGTTTTATAAAGGGGACTTCCCCTACACATGCTCTCTTGCCTGCCACCAGGTAACACGTGCCTTTGCTTGTCCTTCACCTCCCACCATGATTGTGAGGCCTCCTCAGCCATGTAGAACTGCAAGTCCATTAAAACTCTTTTTCTTTATAAATTACCTGGTCTCGGGTATGTCTTTATTAGCAGCATGAGAACTGACTAATACACCAGGCTTCAAGAAATTAACACAGATAAAGTTCCAAGTAACTTTGGCTTATGATTTAAATCTATGAGGAAACAAACCACAAGGGTCCACAGAAATAGCAAATTACAAAATAAGACCTGAATATATTTGAATTATCAGATACAAAACAGGTGTGTTTAATAAAGAATTAAGAGGGTAATACAAGTTTGACTAACAAGAGACTATCAGAATTGGCCAGCTTCTTAAATGAAATTCTAGAAATGAAAACTATAATAATGACTTTTAAATTATAAATTTAATAGACAAGTTGAACAGCAAACTACACAAAGATGAAATAATAAAGGAATGGAAGTGAATCTAATGACACAGCACAGAGATCCAAAAAATGTAAATATGAGAAATTATAAGACATGATGATTGAGAAGGTCTAACATACAATTAAGAGGTCCAGAGGGGAAAAAAAAAAAAACAGGATAAGGGAGAGTCAATGTTTAAACAGTATATGAAGACACTAATTCTCAGATTCAAAACCCTAAAACACAAGCCAAATTTTAAAAATAGTAACACTCAGATACATCACAATGAAAGAGCAAACCTTAAAAACTGCAAGAAAAAAAAAAGGATAATTCCCACACAAAGGAAGGTCACCTATAAACCACTGTGTATCCTTTCACCTAAGATCCTAAGACTGAGCTAGCTTCTCAACAGCAACAATGCAAGCTCAAGTATAATGTGCTAAATGGCTGAGAGAAAATAACTGATAATGCAGAACTCTAAAACCAGTCAGATCAGCTGTTTGAGAACCAAGATGAAATAATAACAATAAATACTGAAAAAAGTACTACCAATAGACCCTCACTAACAGAACTTCTACTTTAGGGATAACAACAAGAAAAAAATGACAGGAGAAGAAAAATTTGAGATGCAAAAAGGAAGACCTCTCTATCTCACTGGGCACTCCATAGTATATCATCTTCATTTTACATGGACCAAAACTCCAAATACAGAAGGAAAGCCAACCTATTGGCAGGGAAAAAGAAAATACTCTACTGCAACCAAATGTACTACAGTAAGCTCCTCTCCTGACAAACCTAGAACTGTGTCTGCCACTACTTTGGCTGTACCTGGGAAAAACTTGAAGTACTGAGAAAAGCAGAGTGTGCAGAGTTGGAGACAAAGAACAAAACTGGAACAGACCTGGAAGAGAATGAGAGAACTGACCCCGGAGGCAGAATCAAAAACAAAGTCTGGCAGAGCAAGGCTGTATATCCTCATCCCATGGATGGATGAAATTTAACAAACTGGGAATAGACTACATGCTTAAATATCTCTTAGAAAAATAAGGGTTATAATTATTTTATATTTTAACACGAATTACCTTACTACATTTGCCTCTTCAGTTTGGCTAGGACAAACAGATAAAAATTATAGAAAAATATATTGGCTCAAGAGAATTAAGAACATTATAATAATCATGATTATACAATAGTGGATGGACTGCTCTATAATATAGTAAGCTCTCTGCACTGGAAATTCCAAGGGTGATTCATTTTAAATAAACGACTACCCAAGGTCTCTTCAAGGCACAGGAAGTTCATGAGTTGTCTTTGTCATGCATAAGCAAATATATTTTCTCCTTCCAGGTTTTCTTCCATATTCTAAACACCTATTCCAGAAATTTCTTCTTGCTTTCTCCAGCTCTTTCTCTTCCATCTCTAAACCAAAAAACAGCCAAAGTGTATGTAGGGTCTAAAAGAATGTTACTTAATTTATATTCACAGACATCCCGTATCAGAAACCCCAGGTACTTACTGAAAATGCAAACTCTGGGCCCTTCTATGAACCTATTGATTCAGAACCTTAGGGATTAGAAGAGAGAATTTGTACTTTTAACAAACTACCATTTTTAACAAACTCCCCATGGTGATTCTTAGACACCTTAAAATTTGAGAACTCCCCTCTAAGGCAACAAAGTTTACAGCTTCTATAAAACACTGTTTTATTTCTTTCACTTAAACTGCCAAAAGGATCCTGAAACTTTCTGCAGCTTTCACTCACTTTAACAGCCGTTGATTCAGCAAAGAAATGACTGTGGCTATGCTTAACACAGATTCCCTTGTTATTAAGAGTGCTGAAAGTTTACACATACTAATCTCAGAATCAGGACAAACAGACATAACTTTATTAGACTAATCACTTTAAAATAAGGTTTTTGAAGATTAGGATAATTGTCTGGGGAAGGACGTGTGTAATAGGAAAGAAGAAATATACCAGTATGGGAGTTTTCAAATAGATAAAGGAACATAAAAGAACAAATGTGACCATATCCATTCATTCATACATTCATCAAACATTCATTGGTCAACTACAATGGGCCACAAACATATACAGGAATTGGGATACATTAATGAACAAAATAGGCAAACACCCCTACTCCCATAAAGCTACATTCCAGCAACAGAAGATAAACAATACACATATTGAACAAATACATTCTAGAGCATCTTAAAAGGCAATCATTTTACGGGACAACAACAAAAAGACCAGAGTGAAGAGGTCATGAGTACAGGCTGACAGAATAAGTTTATAAAGGTGATTGGGGAAGTCAATATTTGAACAAAGACTTCAAGGAGGTGAGAAAGTAAGTCTTGCAGATTATCTACCTGGGGGGAAGACCATTTTAAGCAGAGGTGACAACCAGTGCAAAGTCAGGAGAATGCATGGAATATGTGAGGAATCAGCGTGCTAGACAGGAATACACAGGGAGAGGGTGCGACAAGATGAAGAACAAAGAATATTAGGGATCAGATTAAAGGCTATTTTAAAGACTCATGGTTTTTACTCTGAAAAAAATTAAAGCAAGTAAAGGGGACTTTCAGTTTCCAGTTTCATGTATAAGGAGTTTAGAATTTACCACTCCACCCTAACAACAAGTGAAAAGATGAACAAACTAAAAAATCAGTAATTCATTCTGGATCGTTAAGAGATGTGAGGACACAGGGCAAATTGCTGACCCATGACTGCAGAAATAGGTCAATACAAGGAGTAACAATTTGCCAGAGCAAAAGCTCTCTAGCAGAAACCACTGCAAGAACCATTACTGGGGTAGAAAAACCTTAACTGTAATTAAGAAATTGTTGGAGGCTCAGCATAGACAACACTGAGAGTTAAAATCTACAGGGGAACCCATTCATGTGGTGAGTCCCCTCGCACTTTTGTTTTATCTCCAGGAACTCAACTCATAGTACATGGAGAAAAAAATCCCCTCCTTCTTCTAACAAGTGGAGTGGGGAAGAACCATTTTTGAAAAACACCAGAGCACTCTGTTCTTAACAAGGCCTCCCCTCAGGAGAAACTATTTAACCAGTGCCTAACCTGTTGGGGCTTATCAGAGCCTAACTCACCTGGGGGAAGGGAAATACCCAACTGCAGCCAACTCTAGCCATTCTGTCCCACCTAAGAAAGAAGAAAACAACTTCGAAACATTTGTGAAGTCCATAGACTCAATAAAAGACTGAGACCTAATCACAGGACTATAGAGTGCTTCTGAACACCTTGCCACCACACAACTAAAGACCTAATTACAGCAATTCCTTTTACCCAGTACATCATGTCAGCCTAGCAAAAAAAAAAAAAAAAAAAACCTGTAAGGCTGGGCACAGTGGCTCACACCTATAATCCCGACACTTTGGGAGGCTGAGGCAAGAGGACTGTTTGAGCCCAGGCGTTTGAGACCAGGCTGGGCAATATAGTGAGACCCCGTCTCTAAAAAAATAAAAAAATTAGCCTTGGTGGCACATGCCTGTAGTCCCATCCACCTGGGAGGTCAAGGCTGCAGTGAAATATTAAATATTTTTAAATATATGTAAGTTCTGTAGAGAGAATGAGAATAATATAGGTCAGAAACTTGGATCCACATAAAGCAAGCATGAGCATACAAGAAATAGACGAAGTTTAAAACCCTTTTTTTTTTTTTTTTTTGAGACAGGGTCTCACTTTGTCACTCAGGTTGGAGTGCAGTAGCATGATCACAGCAAATTGTAGCCTCAAACTCCTGAGCTCAAGCAATCCTTCTGCCTCCTGAGTAGCTAGGACAACAGGCATGCCCACCATCCCTTTTTTTTTTTTTTTTTTTTTTTTTTTTTTGAGACAGAGTCTCACTCTGTCCCCTAGGCACGATCTTGGCTCACTGCAGCCTCCGCCTCCTGGGTTCAAACAATTCTCCTGCCTCAGCCTCCCAAGTAGCTGGGACTACAGGCGCATGCCACCACACCCAGCTAATTTTGTATTTTTGGTAGAGACAGGGTTTCACCATGTTGGCCAGGCTGGTATCAAACTCCTGACCTCAAGTGATTCGCCCGCCTCAGCCTCCCAAAACGCTGGGATTAAAGGCGTGAGCCACTGCACCAGGCTGATGCCTGGCTAATTTTTGTTCTTTGTTTTGTTTTGTTTTGTTTTGTAGAGACAGGATCTCAATGTGATCTCACTACATTGCCTAGGCTGGTTTTGAATCCCTGGCCTCAGGCAATCCTCCCACCTTGGCCTCCCAAAGCTGATTACATGCATGAGACACCACGTCTTATTTTTCTTATTCTCAAATGGTCTAAGAGAAAACAGTTGGTTCAAAATAATAACAGCAACAATGTATTCAATTATGGGTTCTTCTGCAAATATCTTGTGTGTGTATATATATACATATATATGTTTATATATGCTTATATATCAGCGAAATGAATGACAGCAATGATACAAAGATGGGAGGGAGGAATCATATTCTTATTATAAGGCACTCACACTACCTGTGAAACAGTATAGTTATTTGTATGTAGGTCTGGATTTGTTATAAATGTATATTGCAAACTCTAGGGCAACCAGGAAGGAGATAAATTATAATCATATAAAATGTTCTATTAAACTCACCAAGAGGGCTGGGCACAATGGCTCATGCCTGTAATCCCAGCACTTTGGGAGGCCGAGGCAGGCAGATCACTTGAGGCCAGGAGTTTGAGACCAGCATGGCCAACATGGTGAAACCCTGCCTCTACGAAAAATACAAAAATTAGCCAGGTGTGATGGCAGGTGCCTGTAATCGCAGCTACTCAGAAGGCTGAAACAGCTTGAACCTGGAAGGCGGAGGTTGCAGTGAGCTGAGATCGGGGATTGAGCCACTGCACTCCAGCCTGGGTGACAGAGTGAAACAGTCTCAAAATAAAACAAAACAAACCACCAAGAGTAGAAGACAAAAAGAACAAGGGCAACAAACAGAAAACAGCAATCAATATGATATATATTAACCCAACTAAATCAATAATCACTTTGAACATCAACGGTCTCAAGGCACTAATTAAAAGATTATGAGATGATCAAAAAACAAGACCCAACTATATGTTGTCTATAAGAAACCCACTTTAAATATAAATAAACATATGGATTAGAAGTAAACAGAAAAATATACCATGCTAACACTGATAAAAAATTTCAGAAAAAGCAGACTCAAAGCAAAGAAAGTTATTAGAGATAAAGAAGGGCATTAAATAATGACACATGGGTCAATTCTCCAAGACATAGCATTCCTTAATGTACATCCACCTAATGACAGAGCATCAAACTACAAGAGGCAAAAACTAATGGAACTGCAAGGAGAAACAGATGAAACTACTATTATAGTTGTAGACTCAAACACCCCTCAAATCAGAAACGGACCGATCTAGCAGGCAAGAAATCATTAAGAACATAGCTGAATTCAACAATACCATCCGTTGATTGGATATAATTAACACCTATCAACCACTTCATCCAACAGCAGAAACACATTCTTCTCAAGTTCACATGGAACACTCACCAAGACAGAAGACATTCTGTAACATAAAAAACACCTTAACAAATTAAAAAAAAAAAAACAAATATAGTATTTACTCTCAAACAAGGGAATTAAATGAGAAATCAATAACAAGAAGAAAACTGAAACATCCCAAAATATGTGAAGATTAAAAAAGATACTTCTAAATAACACAAGTCAGAGAAGAAATCTCAAGAGAAATTTTAAAGTATTTTGAGCTAAGTGGAAAAAAAAATGTACATCTTATCAAAATTTGTGGGATGCTGTGAAAGCAGGGCTTAGAGGAAAATGTATAGCATTGAGTGCATATATTTGATAAGAAAGATCTAAAATCCATACTCCAAGTTTCCATGTTAGGAAATTAGAAAAAGAAGAGCAAATTAAATCCAAAATAAGCAGAAGGAAAGAAATAAGAGCACAAGTCAACGAAATTAAAAACAGAAAATCAATAGAAAAAAATCAACAAAATGAAAACCTGGCTTTTTCAAAAGATCGATAAACTCAATAAGCCTCTAGCCAGGCTCCCTAAGGAGGAACAAAAGGGAGGACACAAATTACTAATATCAGAAATGAAGGAAGAGACATCCACTAAGGTCCCATAGACATTAAAATGATAACCAAGACATACTATAAATAACTCTATGCCCACAAATCTGATAACCTACAAGAAATGGACCAATGCCTCGGAAAATGCAATTTGTGACAACTCACAGAAGAAGAAACAAGCTATCTAAATAGGCCTCTATTTATTAAAGATATTGCCTCAATAAGTAATAACCTTCCAAAACAGAAGGTAACAGGCCCAGACGGATCCACTGGTGAATTCTACCAATCATTTAAGGTAGAAATTTTACTAATTCCATACAGTCTCAATCGGAGGAAAGAAGCAAAAGAAAGACTTCCTAACTCATCCTATGAGGCTAGAAATACCCTCATATCAAACCAAAGACACTACAAAAAAACTATAGATCAATATTCTCTGATGAACATGGATGCAAAAATCTCCAACAAAATATCAGCAGATTGAATCCAACCATATATGAAACGAATCACATACAAAACCAAGTGGGATTTTCTCCAGGTATCCTAGGCTGGTTCAACATTCAAAATTCAATTAATGTAATTCATTACATCAATAGGCTAAAAAAGAAAAATCATATGACCATATCAGTAGATACAGAAAAAGCATTTCACAAAATCCAACACACATGCATAATAAAACCATTCAGCAAACTAGGAATAGAGGGGAACTTCCTCAATTTGATAAAGAACACCTACAAAAAGCCCAATGCTAACATCAACTTATTGGTGAGAAACTAGAAGCTTTCCAGCTAAGATCAGGAAAAAGGCAAGGATGTCCCCTCTCACCACTCCTTTTCAACATTGTACTAGAAGTCCTAACTAATGTAATAAGACCCAAAAAAAAGGTATGAAGATTAAGAAGAAACAAATAAGACTGTCTTTGTTCACAGATAACAAGATCATCAACATGGAAAATTCAATGGTACTGACAAAAACCTCCTAGAACTAATAAATGATTATACTAAGGTTGCACAACACAAAGTTAATATACAAAAGTCAATCACTTTCATATGTAACAGCAATGAACAAGTCGAATTTCAAATTAAACCCATACCATTTATATAAACATCTCCCAAAGTAAAACAGGCATAAATCTAATGAAATATGTATACATTCTATATGTGAAAAACTACAAAACTGATGAAAGAAATCAAAGAAGAATAAAAGATATTCCATGATCATGGATAGGAAGACTCAACACTGTTAAGATGTCAGGTTTTCCCAACTTGATCTACAGATTCAACGCAATCCCAATCAAAATCCCAGCAAGTTATTTTGTGGACACTGACAAACTAATGTTGAAGTTTATGTGGAAAGGCAAAAAACCCAAAACAGTCAACACAATATGGAAAGAGAAGAATAAAGTTGGAAGATTGACACTACTAGAGTTCACTTACTATAAAGTAACAGTAATCCATACAGTATAGTATTGACAAAAGATTAGAAAAACAGACCAACAGGACAGAATGGAGAGCCCAAAAATAGACCCACATAACTACAGTCAACTGATCTTTGACAACTGAGCAAAGGCAGTACAATGGAACAGTCTTTTCAACAAATGGTGCTAGAGCAAAATTAATTCAAAATGGATCACAGAAGCCAAGCATATGCCTATAGTCCCAGCTACTAGGGAGGCCAAGGCAGAATTCCTTGAGCTTAAGAGTTCAAGACCAGCCTGAGCAACACAGCAAAACCCTGTCACTAAAATAAACAAACAAATATTTAAAAATGGATCATAGGCCTAAATATAAAATGCAAAACAATAAAACTCCTCGAAGATAACACAGGAGAAAACTTAATTGACCTTGGGTATGGTGATGACTTTTTAGATAGAACAACAATGGCATGATCCCTGAAAGAAATAATTGAAAAGCTGGACTTCCTTAAAATTAACACTCTGCAAAAGACAATGTCAAGAGAATGAGAACAGAAACCACAGACTGGGAGAAAATATTCTCATCTGATAAAGAACCGTTATCCAAAAGATACAAGAACCCTTAAAATTCAACAATAACAAACCAATTAAGAAATGGACAGAAGACCTTAACAGAAACTTCATAAAAGAAGATACAAAGATGGCAAGTGAGCACATAAAAAGGTGCTCCACATCATATGTCATCAGGGAAATGCAAACTAAAACAATGACACCACTACACACCAATTAAGATGGCCAAAATCCAAAACACTGATAACACCAAATGTTGGAGAGGATGTAGAGCAACAGAAACTCTCATTCATTGCTGGTTGGAGTGCAAAATAGTACAGACTTTGAAAGATAGTTTGGCAGTTTCTTACAAAACTAAACATACTGTTACCATATGGTCCAGTCAGTCTATTCCTTGGTATTTATCCAAAGGAACTGAAAACTTACATCCATACAAAAAACCCACATACAGTTATTTATAGCAGCTCTATTCATCACTGCCAAAATTTGGTAGTAATTAAGATGTCCTTGAGTTTGTGGATGGCTAAATAAACTGTGGTACATCCAGACAATAGTATGTTATTCAGCATTAAAATGAAATGAGCTAATAAGCCATGAAAAGACAGAGGAACCTTATTATGCATACTACTAAGTGAAAAAAGCCAATCTGAAAGGCTACATTATGTATGATTCCAACTATATGACACTGTAGAAAAGGCAAAACTATGGAGACAGTAAAAAGATTAGTGGTTGCCAAGGTCTGGGAAGGGGCAAAGAGATGAATAAGTACAGCACAGAGGATTTTCAAGGCAATGAAACTATTCGGTATGATGTTATAATAATGGATATAGGTCATTACACATTTGTCCAAACCCACAGAATGTACAACATCAAGAATGAACGCTGGGGCCATGCGCGGTGGCTCACGCCTGTAATCCCAACACTTTGGGAGGTTGAGGCAGGGGGATCACCTGAAGCTAGGAGTTTGAGACCAGCCTGGCCAACATGGTGAAACCCCGTCTCTACTAAAAATACAAAAAAGTAGGCGGGTGTGGTGGCGCAAACCTGTAATCCCAGCTACTCAGGAGGCTGAGGCAGGAGAATCACTTGAACCCAGGAGGTGGAGGTTGCAGTGAGCCAAGATCGCACTCCAGCCTGGGCGACAGAGCAAGACTCTGTCTCAAAAAAAAAAAAAAAAAAAAAAAAAAAATAGTGAACCTTGGGCCAGAAACAGTGACTTATGCCTGTAATCCTAGCATTTTGGGAGGCCAAGGTGGGAAGATTGCTTGAGCCCAGGAGTTTGAGGTCACAGTAAGCTACATTCATGCCACTGCACTGAAGCCTGGGCAACAAAGTGAGACCCTGTCTCAAAAAAAAAAAAAAAAAAAAAAAAAAAGAGGTGAACCCTAGGATAAACTATAGACTTTGGGTGATTATGGTGTGTCAATATAGATTCACCAATTGTTTGATAATGGTGAAGGCATAATGTTTTCAAGGTTCAACTATGTTGTAGTAACTACTTCATTTATTTTTATGCTAGGTTTTATTTATCCATTCATCAGTTGATAGGAACATAGGCTATTTCCAATTTTGGGTTGCATTTGTGTACTGGTTTTGATGTGGACATATGTTTTCACTTCTTTTGGGTATGTACCCAAGAGTGGAATTACAGGGTCATATGGTAACTCCACGTTTAACAAATGTCTAGAGCTAGCAAACTGTTTTCCAAAGCAGCTGCACCATTTTACATTCCCATCAGCAGTGTGTGAAGGTTCCAATTCTCCACATCCTTGCCAATACTCGCTATTGCCTGACTCTTTGATTATAGATATCCTAATGGATGTGAAGTGGTATCCTCCTTGTGGTTTTCATTTGCATCTTGACAGCTAACAATGTTGAACATTTTTTCACCTGCTTATTGGCCATTTATCTTCTAAGGAGAAACATCTGAGTCCATGTGGACTCACCACTCCTGGTCAATTTGTGTATTTTTGGTAGAGATGGGGTTTTGCCATGTTGGTCAGGCTGGTCTTGAACTCCTGACCTCAAATGATCCATCCACCTCAGCTTCCCAAGGTGCTGGGATTACAAACATGAGCCACCACACCCAGCCTGGTTGTCTTTTTAATATTGAACTGTAATAATTTAATATATATTCTGGATACAAGTCTTTTATCAAATATGTGATCTGCAAACATTTTCCCATTCTGTGAGCTGTCTTTTCACTCTCTTGATAGTGCTCTTGGACAAAAAGTTTTAAATTTTGATGTCCAAATTGCCTGTTTTCTCTTTTGTTGTTTGTATTTTTAGTGTCACATCTAAGAAACCATGGCCTAACTAAAGGTCATGAAGATTTACTCTTATGTCTTCTTCTAAGAGTTGTATAGTTTTAGTGCTTACCTTTAGGTCTATGATTGAGTTAATTTTTATGTATGGGATGAGGTAGGAGTCCAACTTCATTCTACTGTATGTGGACATCCAGTTATTCCAGCACCATTTACTGAAAAGATTATTCTTTCCCATTGGATTATCCTGACACTCTTGTCAAAAATCAGTTGATCATAAATTTAAGTGTTTATTTCTGGGCTGTCAGTTCTATTCCACTGATTTGCATGTCTATGCCAGTACCATATTGTCTTGATTACTGTAACTATAACAAAACTTTATCTTAACCTCCTTTCCCTTTCCAGCCCCCATTTCTCTCATCCTCTTCCCTAAAAAAAACTCTCTGCTCTCCACTGCTGCAAAAATCCTATGAAGAGTTGTCTATTTGCGCTTTTCCCAGTTCTTTCTTCTTAAAGATACTTTAGTAAGGCATTTGCTCCCAACACTCAACCAAAACTACACTATTCAAGATAGCTAATGACTTCTACATTGTTAAATTCAATGATAAATTTTCTGTCTTAATTTTATTTGCTCTATCATCAGCATTGATAGTTTATCACTATCTCATTATTGAAACACTTTCTTCACTTGGCTTTCAGAACACTAAGTTGTTTCTTCTCAGTCTCCTTTATTTCTTTTCTCCTCCTGCCCTTCCACCTCCAATATTCGAGTGCACCAGGAGTTTAGGTCTTGCTTCTCTGCAATACATGTTCACTCAATTGATGATTAAATCCAGTCTTATACCTTTAAATACCATCTAAGGGCCAATGATTCCCACATGTATATCTTCCAGCCCAGACCTCTCTGATGAACACCAGATTCATACAATCAACTGCTTACTAAACATGTCTATCTGGATGTCTTGGAAATTGCAAATCCAACATGTCAAAAACTGAACTGAACCTGGTCAGTTTTTGGTTTCCTGCTTCACTAACTTTTTAACTTTATTTTTCTAATGCAGTTTTAGGTTCACAGCAAGATGGAAAGGAAGGTACAGAGATTTTCCATATATCCCTGTCCCAACACATGCACAGTCTCCCCCATTATCAATATCTCCCACCAGAGTGGACATTTGTAACAACTTATGAACCTTCACTGACACATCATCATCACCCAAATCCACAGTTTACATTAGGGTTCACTCTTGGTGTTGTACATTCTATGGGTTTGGACAAATGTATAATGACATGTATCCATCATTATAGTATCATATAGAGTAGTTCTGTCACTCTAAAAATCCTCTATGTTTCAAGGATAGGGAGGGATAGGTATTCTGGGGGTTCTACTTTGACCCTTTTAAATGGGGATAAAGAGACAGATGGAAACACACTTAGTCCTAATATACCATATCTTATTCCCAGTGTGGCAGGTAGACTCTAAAGTGTACCCTAAGGATTCTTACCTCTTGATGTTCACATCTTTTTAATAATGCCCTTCCCTTGAGTGCATACAGCACTTGTGACATGCTTCTAACCAAGAGAATATGGTAAAAATGATGGAATGTCACTCCTTTGATTACGTTACATTATATAAACTCCCTCTTCGCAGACTGGAGTAAGATTCTCTGAAGGCTTGCCAAAATAGGTGGCCATGTTGGAGAGGCCCAGGGGGCAAGAAACTATACAGCCTCTGGAGGCTGTGGACAGCATCTACAATCAATGGTTGGCCTCCAGCTGATAGCCAGCAAAAAGCTAGGACCCTCAGTCATACGACCACCAGGATATAAATTCTGCCAGCAATCTATATAAGCCTGGAAGCAGATTCTTCCCCAATTAAACCTCTAGATGAGAATGCAGCCAAGACAACAGCTTGACCACAGCCTTGTAAGACCCTGAGCAAAGGACCCAGTAAGTAATGCTGTATCTGAACTCCTGAGCCACAGCTAAGTTTATGGTAATTTGTTACACAGCAACAGAAAATGAATATATCCAGTGTGAAGTATTCATCTGGATCCATTGAAGGGGATAAACATACCTAGAGAAGCCAAGCCTTATGATCACCCACAGTCTCTCTTGACTCTATACAATGGGGAGTCAGTCTCAATAGGGTCGGGGGTTCATGAGTTAATTAGACTTTGGCTAGAGCAAATGGCACATTAGAAGATAAGAGTAAAAAGACAGTCTGGAGAAAATAAACTGGTACTCTGTACTTTCTGCTCAATTGTTCTGAAAGCCTAAAAAAATGGTCTACGAAAAAAATTAAAATAAAAACAAAAAGTCTGAAGTCAAACCGTGGATGGTCTCACATGCCAAACTACTGAGTAGGTAATGCATAATCATTTCTAAGGAAGGTAGATGACCTAATCTGACCTCTGCTTTAGGAAAATAAGTCCAGTCACAGTATAAAAAGCGATTTGAAGAGGAAGGCTGGAAGTAGATAACTAGATAGGTCATTCTATTATTTCACATGAGTGCCTGACTTAGGACAGGTAAGAAAGAATGAAAAGAACAGACAGGTAATATCTCCAGCAGGTATAAGTGACAGGATGTGGCAACTGATTAGATGTAGGAAAAGAAGCTGTTAGCGCCAAAGACAAATCGGGTATTTCTAGCCAACGATACTAGGATGTAAGTCAACAGTATCATTAAATGAGACTGGAAACAAAGAGGTTCCAGAAGGGACAGATAATGAGCTCCAAGAATACAAAACAGTGAGAAGCAGAAGGCAAAGAGAAAGAAAAAAGAAGTGCACAGCGAGAGAAAATAAAGACAGGTGTTAAACTATACAGAATGCTTTGGCAGTATTAAAGATGAGTAAACTACTATGTACAATTATATCCAGTCAGCCCCTGCAGCTAGATGCTTTAGTCCTAATTTTCAAGAGATACTAATACTAAATTATTTAACTCAGCTAGGCATGGTGGTTCATGCCTGTAATCCATTTTGGGAGGACAACACAGGAGGATCTCTTGAGTCCAGGAGTTTGAGACCAGCCTGGGCAACAAAGCAAGAACCTGTGTCTATAAAAAGATAAAATTATTTAACTCAACATTTTCCTCCCTGCCTTCATTGTAATATATATATATATAAAAAAAAGATTTTCGAAGAGGTTATATGGTTTGCCTAAAGTTACCAACTGCTTAGTGACAGGGCCTAGGTTAAAATGCAGGTCCTCTTTAGACTCAGTCTACTTCATGTCCTGAATTATGTTAGAGGCAGTACTTCCTTACATAAACCAATTATCCATGTCCCTTTATGGTCAGAGATGACCATCTGGGCATACCCCCTCACACTGTCAGTACCTGGAATTTTCTCTTGTGGTTCTTCTCTCTGCTCTATGTGACAGAAATCATATATGGCATCAACTAGCGAAACAGAAAAAGAACCAGGCAGACAATCCCTAACGAAAAGAAACATGACAGTAAACTAGGCCCCAAGAAATGTCTCTAAGGATTTGTCAGCAGTGCTGCACTTCTCCCACACACAGGTGTCCCTATCCCTTACCTTCAATACCCACCAAAAAAAATTCTGTCTAAAGCCACAAATGCCCTCACCAGTGGCCAAAACTAGTGAGAATCAAGCAGCAATAGGCATTTTCAACTGTTACTTAATTGAAAAGAAAAACATTCCCCATAAACATACATCAATTCTTAAGGATAATTTCTCTATTTATGCATTAGATTTTAGAGGGTAGGCCAGAAAACCTACCTACCATGCACAACATAATTTCAGTAGAAAAATGCATTTTGAATTCAAACAAAAAAAATTATTTCATAACTCAAGACTATCTTCCATTTTTATAGTACATCTCAATTCAGACTAGCCACATTTAAGTGCTCAAGAGGCTTTCATGACACTGTCAATAAAATGACTTAGTCTATATTATAAAGTGTCTTGTTACAACTCCTTTCTCTGAATGTGTAAAATGGTGAATATATAAGTTATAAAATTATGCAGGCCAAGCACTGTAGCTCACACCTAAAATCCCAGCACTTTGGGTGGCCAAGGCAGGAGGATCACTTGAGGCCAGGAGTTTGAGACCAGCCTAGGCAACTTACCAAGACCTCTTCTCTACAGAAAATAATTAGCCACATGTGGTAGAGTATACCTGTAGTCCTAGCTACTTGAAAAGCTGAGGCAGGAGTATCGCTTGAGCTCAGGAGTTTGGGGCTGCAATGAGCAACGACTGTGCCACTGCACTTCAGCCTGGGCAACAGAGTGAGACCCTATCTCTAAATATATATATATGTATATAATTACTCAAGATTTCCATACTGTAGCCTTCCTTAAATAACTTAAGGTTTCCATTCAAACAGAAAAATTAAGTACAGAAGAAAACAATTTTAATAAAAAGAAGAACAGGGCAGGAACTTTCTAAATCTTAGCAAGATTACACACTCAGGCATTCTGCTAGAAGATCTTCCTTCTTGACCTCAAGTAGCTCACCATATCCTGATACAAGAATCAAGAAGCTTCAGTTTCACAAACACTGTCCTATGATAAAAATACGAATACCACCAATTAACTAAAACAGGACCAAGGTCTAATGCTAATATACCACTTAAATCAATTATCTAACTACACCTAATCTCTTTGGAAAATAATCACAGCCACAAAAATGGACAAATTTCTGAAATCACATTATATAATAAACAAAGGAATATTTAATATTTAAACTGTGTTTTCCATCATGTTAACAGTGCAGAGGAAAATGCACCCAATTATCATAAGAATTTTCCTGGTTCTGACACCATATCACTGTTCATCAAATCTAAGGGAAGTGTTTCATTGTAAATTGGCTTCTCACTATTGCCTAGCTCCTTGCTCAAGACTATTCACTTTCAGAAAATCTTTTTGTAACTATAAAGTCTCAACATTTACAATCATGATTTATATTTTGTTTTATTTGTTCTGGATATATCTTCTTTGTGTCTGTGTAATTTTTAATTACACCAATTAGGTGAGAAATCTTTCAAAGACCAGGACTATTTTTTCTATTTCTTAAGCAACTATCTCCAAAGATAGCACTAGCAAAATGAAAAAGGCAAAAGCTTTACAGATAACACGAGTTAATAAGCCAGTTCTGCCACTTACTTGCTAGCTGACCTGTGTCTCAGATCTTTATTAGTAAAACGGAAATTTAAAATATCAATTTTGAATATTATGAGAATTCAATAAGATAATACAGGCAAAGCACATGGCA
Source organism: Homo sapiens (assembly GCF_000001405.40). Lineage (NCBI taxonomy): Eukaryota > Metazoa > Chordata > Mammalia > Primates > Hominidae > Homo > Homo sapiens. The sequence continues at coordinate 78,392,224 of NC_000005.10, read as the reverse complement.
CAAAGTAGACAGCTTGATGAAGAATACTACAACTGATAAGAGTAATCTAAAGCTGCTACTATATAAAAATGCTAAACATATTTCTTGCTAGTAAAGTTTTGCAAACATTTATATAAAAATCTCTTTTCGCTCTCCCTCTCCCTCTCCCTCTCTTTCCACGGTCTCCCTCTCCCTCTCTTTCCACGGTCTCCCTCTCCCTCTCTCTCCCTCTCCCTCTCCCTCTCTTTCCACGGTCTCCCTCTGATGCCAAGCCGAAGCTGGACTGTACTGCTGCCATCTCGGCTCACTGCAACCTCCCTGCCTGATTCTCCTGCCTCAGCCTGCCGAGTGCCTGCGATTGCAGGCGCGCGCCGCCACGCCTGACCAGTTTTTGTATTTTTTTGGTGGAGACGGGGTTTTGCTGTGTTGGCCAGGCTGGTCTCCAGCTCCTAACCGCAAGTGATCCGCCAGCCTCGGCCTTCTGAGGTGCCGGGATTGCAGACAGAGTCTGGTTCACTCAGTGCTCAATGGCGCCCAGGCTGGAGTGCGGTGGCGTGATCTCGGCTCGCTACAACCTCCACCTCCCAGCCGCCTGCCTTGGCCTCCCAAAGTGCCGGGAGTGCAGCCTCTGCCCGGCCGCCACCCCGTGTGGGAAGTGAGGAGCGTCTCTGCCTGGCCACCCATCGTCTGAGAAGTGAAGAGCCCCTCCGCCCGGCAGCCACCCCGTCTGGGAAGTGAGGAGCGTCTCCGCCCTGCAGCCACCCCATCCGGGAGGGAGGTGGGGGTCAGCCCCCGCCAGGCCAGCCGCCCTGTCCGGGAGGGAGGTGGGGGGGTCAGCCCCCCGCCAGGCCAGCCGCCCCGTCCGGGAGGTGAGGGGCGCCTCTGCCCGGCCGCCCCTACTGGGAAGTGAGGAGCCCCTCTGCCCGGCCAGCCGCCCCGTCCGGGAGGGAGGTGGGGGGGTCAGCCCCCCGCCCGGCCAGCTGCCCCGTCCGGGAGGTGAGGGGCGCCTCTGCCCGGCCGCCCCTACTGGGAAGTGAGGAGCCCCTCTGCCCGGCCACCACCCCGTCTGGGAGGTGTACCCAACAGCTCATTGAGAACGGGCCATGATGACAATGGCGGTTTTGTGGAGTGGAAAGGGGGGAAAGGTGGGGAAAAGATTGAGAAATCGGATGGTTGCCATGTCTGTGTAGAAAGAAGTAGACATGGGAGACTTTTCATTTTGTTCTGTACTAAGAAAAATTCTTCTGCCTTGGGATCCTGTTGATCTGTGACCTTACCCCCAACCCTGTGCTCTCTGAAACATGTGCTGTGTCCACTCAGGGTTAAATGGATTAAGGGCGGTGCAAGATGTGCTTTGTTAAACAGATGCTTGAAGGCAGCATGCTCGTTAAGAGTCATCACCACTCCCTAATCTCAAGCACCCAGGGACACAAACACTGCGGAAGGCCGCAGGGTCCTCTGCCTAGGAAAACCAGAGACCTTTGTTCACTTGTTTATCTGCTGACCTTCCCTCCACTATTGTCCTATGACCCTGCCAAATCCCCCTCTGTGAGAAACACCCAAGAATGATCAATAAAAAAAAAAAAAAGAAAAAAAAATCTCTTTTCATTCTTTATCGACAAAGTTTAAAAATGGTCTTGTTCCCATCTCCACCTCCTAGAAATCAAGTTAAAAGAACTACATACAGTGGAATATAATTTGCCAGCTCTTCTTTTTTTCCCTTCAACAACTACTACCAAATTGCACTCTCACATATTCACAGCACTAATTCATTATAAGGTTGAATCATATGAAACCACCATTTTTATATATCAAAACTGGTCAGCTTATTGGCCATTTCACATGTTTTAACCTGTAATTTACATGCTCAAAGAGCACTTTAGTGATCCCAACCTGGAATTAATTTGCTACATATAAGCAAAGGCTGTTAAATGAGGGCTTTGAAATAAAGAGAAATTTAAAAGTTCATTCTTATTTTAATGCTTTTACTTTTGGACTGTTTTTACCAACAATACTATTGATACCAAATGTGTGGGGTTTTTTCCCCCAACACCAACCAATTCCCCAACTCTTTGGACACCATCTAGATGTCCTACAACTCAGTTCAATTCTGATACTACCTACCTGGACTATCACAGATCCCACAGGTTAAGGGCTCATTTCAGACACCAGTCACAAGTCCCAAGTCACCAGTCACAAGTCACAGATTGCCGCCCATACTGACTAACTTTCTATAAACTGGGGGTTTCCATGACCCTCTCCTTGGATTTGATAATTTTCTAGAAGCGCTCTCAGAACTCATGGAAACAGTTTACTTACTATTAGCAGCTTACTAAAGGACACAACTCAGGAACAGCCAAATAGAAGAGATGCACAGGGCAAGGTAACAAAAGTATTGGAGGCAGACCCAAATACAGGAGATGAAATTATTTGCCACAGAAATTCTGGAGATAGTCTCAACAGAATCTACCTCAACAGTTTTCAAATCTAGGTCACAATAAAATCATCAAAAGAACTTTAAAAAAAAAATTGCCCTAACTCTAAGAGATGAGGGCCATAAGGGGTAGTGTAATAAAGTCCCCTAGATGCTTCTCATATACATCTAGAGTAGCAAAACACTGTTTTATGAGGATTTTTTTCATACTTGTACATTTTATAAATCAAAACTAAATTTTGAGGCCAGGCGCCACGGCTCACATCTGTAGTTGCAGCACTTTGGGAGGCTGAGGTGGGAGGATGGATTGAGACCAGGAGTTCAAGACCAGCCTGGGGAACATAGAAGACACTGTCTCTACAATAAATAAATTTTTAAAAGAAAAAAATACTAAATTTTGAGGGGAAAAATATGCTTTCCTAGTCTGGGTAAAGTTCCAGAGGTTCTACTCTGCCAGAACAGAAGGCTAGTACTATTCAGAATAATCTAATTCAAATGACAATCATACAAACATTCATGGTACAGTTCTACACAGTTTCCACGTAAAAAAAAATCACCCCACATTATCAGGCAGACAACATGTATACCAAGAAATATTTCTCTAATTCCTAGTATTTCAAGTAATGTGGAAAAGTTTACATTTTAGAAAGATTATTGTGATTTAATCTGTAAAACATAAAAGAAAATTTGAAGTATTTCACTAGGATCATCATGGTAATCTTCAATTACTACTAATATTTCTACATATTAAAAAAATCCAAGTTTGCTGAATACTAAATAAAACATTAACAATTTGTTTTATTTAAGTGTAAGCAATCCACTAAAAAAGAAATCATAGTTAAAATAGAATTCCTACTGAATTTCAATTTAAACATTTAAAAGCAAGAATAATCTTACTGTTCTAGAATCCGAGAATGGATTATATTCATCAAGTCCTGGTGGAACATTTCTTGTCACTTGTGTAACTGATGGATCCTAGAATAAAATTCAAAGGAGAAAAAAAAGATTACTTATCCTTTAAAAAATAATTTTGATATTTACATACCATTTGCTTTATCTATACTTGTGGTCATGCAGCAAGGCTAACAGAGGAAAATAAAAGAAGGCTCTCAGATTTACTGTCTCATTTCAACAATGGTGAAATTTAAACCCATACAACCTTCACATTCTCAAAGGAAAACAAAAACTGAGTTAGATTCAAATCAGCTGCAAGCTATTACATCAAGATAAAAAGTAGACCACCTCTTAATAGCTGTGTGGAACTGACTACACAAAAGCATCTCAGGTAGACCCACCATCATTTCCTTTGGCCTCGACAAAGAGTTCACGTTCCCCCTTTTTATAACAGCTTCAGTTTGTCCCACTGAAGATTTCATACTGCATTACAAATCAATGTCATACAGCCAACATCTAGAGCATTCAATATTAAGTAACTCTTGTTTTATTCTACTCCAATATCTCTACTGTAGTTTATTTCACCACATGATCATAGACTGTCTTCCCTTTTCCAAGTATAATACATGATCACACCATTCCAATTTTTCAAATCTTTTAATAGTAGGCTTTCATGAAAATAACCAAATCACACAGTGAGAGGGAAAATGGCAGATAGGAGGCAATACTAACTTGCAGCTCCCACTTAATGGACAGAGCAGCACGTGGAGACCTACATCGTGAACCTCTTGCTCCAAAAACTATGCAGGAACATACCAGGAAATCCGAGAGAATCCACAGACCCTTTGAAGAAGGTGGATTGCTGCTGCAGGTTCCTGGGACAGCCGAGGAACGCCGAAGACAAAGGACATAATCTCTTGGGAGCTCTATGGTCCTGCCACCGCCTGATCCTCCTCCTACTACTGCAGCTAATGTGCTCTTAAAAGTGCCACCTCCTGGCTGGAGGCCAACCAACACAAAACCAGCGTACTTAAAAATATCCACTTCACTCTGCTGCTACCTCCACGGGAACAGGTGTTGGTATCCATGGCTGACAGACCTGAAGATGGATCACATCACAGGACTCTTTGCAGACAGTCCCCAGTAACAGCCCAGAGCCCAGTAGCTCCACTGGGTGGCTTGATCCAGAAGAGAAATAACAATCACTGTAGTTCAGCTCTCAGGAAGCCCCATCCGTACAGGAAAGGGAGGAGCACCACATCAAGGGAGCACCCCGTGGGACAAAAGAAACTGAACAGCAGCCCTTGAGTTCCAGATCTTCCCTCTGATATAGTCTACCCAAATAAGAAGAAACAAAAAAAACAATTCCAGTAATATGACAAAACAAGGTTAACACCCCGAAAAGATCACACTAGCTCACCAGCAATGGATCCAAACCAAGACAAAACCTCTAAACTTCCAGAAAAAAAATTCAGAAGGTCAACTTTTAAGCCGATCAAGGAGGCACCAGAGAAAGGTAAAGGCCAACTTAAAGAAATTAAAAAAAAAAAAAAAAGATACAGGATATGAATGGAAAAATTTTCAGTGAAATAGCATAAATAAAAAACAATCGCAACTTCTGGAAACCAAGGACACACTTAGAGAAATGAAAAATGTACTGGAAAGTCTCAGCAATAAAATCGAGCTAGTAGAAGAAAGAACTTCAGAGCTCAAACACAAGGCTTTCGAATTAACCCAATCCAACAAAGACAAAGAAAAAAAGAGTTTTAAAAAATGAAAAAAGTCTCCAACAAGTTTGGGATTATGTTTAACAACCAAACCTAAGAATAATTGTTCTCGAGGAAGAAGAGAAATCTAAAAGTTTGGAAAACATATTTGAAAGAATAATTGAGGAAAACTTCCCCGGCCTTGCTAGAGATCTAGACATCTAAACACAAGAATCTCAAAAAACACCTGAGAAATTCATCATAAAAAGATCATCACCTAGGCACATAGTCATCAGGTTATCTAAAGTCAAGACAAAGGAAAGAATCTAAAGAGCTGTGAGGCAAAAGCATCAGGTAACCTATAAAGAAAAATCTATCAGATTAACAGATTTCTCAGCAGAAATCCTACAGGCTAGAAGAGCTGAGGTCCTACCTTTAATCTCCTTAAAGAAAACAATTATCAGCCAAGAATTCTGTATCCAGCAAAACTAAGCTTTATAAATGAAGGATACATACTTTTTTCCAACAAAGAAATGCTGAGAGAATTTGCCACTACAAAGCCAGCACTACAAAAACTATGAAAACGAGCTCTAAATATTGAAACAAATCCTCAAAATACACTAAAATGGAATCTCCTTAAAGCATAAATCTCACAGGCCCTATAAAACAATACAATGAAAAAAAAAAGAAAAAAGAAAAGGTATTCAGGCAACAAATAGCACAATGAATAGAACAGTACCTCACATCTCAATAATAACGTTGATTGTAAATGGCTTAAATGCTCCACTTAAAGGATACAGAATGGCAGAATGGATAAGAATTTACCAACTATCTGCTGTCTTCAAGAGACTCACCTGACACATAAGTACTCACATAAACTTAAGGTAAAGGCCTAGAAAAAGATATTCTATGCAAATGGACACCAAAAGCAAGCAAGAGTAGTTATTTTTATATCAGACAAAACAAACTTTAAAGCAACAGCACTTAAAAAAGACAAAGAGGGACATCATATGATGATAAAAGGAATAGTCCAACAGGAATATATCAAAATCCTAAATACATATGCACCTAACACTGGAGGTCCCAAATTTATAAAACAAGTACTACTAGACCTAAGAAATGAGATAGACAGCAACACAATAATAGTGGGGGACTTCAATACTCTACTGACAGCACTAGACAGGTCATCAAGACAAAAAGTCAACAAAGAAACAATGGATTTAAACTATACCCTAGGACAACCAGACTTAACAAATATTTACAGAATATTCTACCCAACAACTGCAGAACATACAAGCATACATTCTCTTCATCAGCACATGGAACATTCCCCAAGATAGACCACATCATAGGGACAAAAAAAGTCTCAACAAATATAAGGAAATCAAAATTACATCAAGTACTCTTTCAGACCACAGTGGAATAAAATTGGAAATCAACTCCAAAAGGAACCCTTAAAACCATAAAAATACATGGAAATTAAATAACCTGCTCCTGAATGATGACTGGGTCAACATTAACATCAAGATGGAAATTAAAAAATTATTTGAACTGAACAATAATAGTGACATAACCTATCAAAACCGCTGGGAAATGGCAAAAGTGGTGCTAAAAGGAAAGTTCATAGTATTAAATGCTTACATCAAAAAGTCTGAAACAGCACAAATAGACAATCTAAGGTCACACCTCAAGGAACTAGAGAAACAAGAACAAACCAAACCCAAACCCAGAAGAAGAAAAGAAGTAACCAAGATCAGAGCAGAACTAAATGAAATAGAAACAAACAAATACAAAAGATAAAAGAATCAAAAAGCTGGTTCTTTGAAATGAGAAATAAAACTGATAGACCATTAGCAATATTAACCAAGAAAAAAAGAGAAAAGATCCAAATAAGCATAATTAGAAATGAAACAAGAGACATTACAACCAATACCACAGAAATACAAAGATCATTCAAGGCTACTACAAACACCATTACACAAATAAACTAGAAAACCCAGAGGAGACAGATAAATTCCTGGAAATATACAACCCTTGTAGAATAAGCCAGGAAGAAATACAAACTCTGAACAGACCAGTAACAAGCAGTGAGACTGAAATGGTAATTAAAAAGTTACCAACAAAAAAAAGTCCATGGCCAGATGGATTCACAGCTGAATTCCATCAGACATTCAATGAAGAATTGGTATCAATCCTATTGGCACTATTCCGAAAAACAGAGAGGGAATCCCCCCCTAAATCATTCTATGAAGCCAGTATCACCCTAATACCAAAACCAGGAAAGGACATAACAAAAAAAGAAAACTACAGGCCAATATCCCTGATGAACAGAGATGCAAAAATCCTCAACCAAATACTAGTTAACCAAATTCAACAGCATATCAAAAAGATAATCCACCATAATCAAGTGGTTTCATAAGAGGGATGCAGGCATGGCTTAACATCCACAAGTCAATAAATGTGATACACCACATAAACAGAATTAAAAACAAGAATTACCTGATCATCTCAATAGACAAAAAAAAGCATTTGACAAAATCCAGTATCCCTTTGTGAAAAAGCCTCAGCAAAATCGGCATAAAAGGGACATACCTTAAGGTAATAAAAGCCATCTATGACAAACCTACAGCCAACATTACACTGAACGGGGAAAACTTGAAAGCATTGCCCTTAGGAACTGGAACAAGACAAGGATGCCCACTTTCACCACTTCTATTCTACACCGTACTGGAAGTCCTAGCCAGAGGAATTAGACAAGAAAAAGAAACAAAGGGCATCCAAATTGGTAAAGAGGAAGTCAAACTATTGCTGTTTGCTGATGACATGATCATATACCTAGAAAACCCTCAAGATTCATCCAAAAAGCTCCTAGAACTGGTAAATGAATTCAGCAAAGTTTCAGGAAACTAAAACATTTGTGTACAACATTAATGTACACAAATCAGCAGCCATACTATATACCAAAAGCAACCAATCTAAGAATCAAATCAAGAACTCCACCCCTTTTAAAATAGCTGCAAAAAAAAAAAAAGAAAAAAAACTTGGGAATATACCTAACCAAAGAGGTGAAAGACCTCTACAAGGAAAAGTACAGAACACTGCTGAAAGAAATCATAGATGACACAAACAAATGAAAACACATCCCATGCTCATGGATGGGTAGAATCAATATTGTGAAAATGACCATACTGCCAAAAGCAATCTACAAATTCAATGCAATTAACATCAAAATACCATCATCATTCTTCACAGAACTAGAAAAACAATCCTGAAATTCATATGGAACCAAAAAGGAGCCCACATAGCCAAAGCAAGACTAAGTAAAAAGGACAAAACTGGAGGCATTACATTACCAGACTTCAAACTATACCATAAGGCCATAGTCACCAAAAGATCATGGTACTGGTATAAAAACAGGCACACAGACCAATGGAATGGAATAGAGAACCCAGAAATAAACCCAAATACTTACCGTCAGCTGATCTTCCATAATGCAAACAAAAACATAATGTGGAGAAAGGACACCCTATTCAACAAATGGTGCTGGGATCATTGGCAAGCCACATGTAGAAGAATGAAACCGGATCCTCATCTCTCACCTTATACAAAAATCAACTCAAGATGGATCAAAGACCTAAATCTAAGACCTGAAACCATAAAATTTCTAGAACATAACATTGGAAAAATCTTTCTTGACACTGGCTTAAGGAAAGACTTTATGACCAAGAACCCAAAAGCAAACACAACAACAAAAAAGGATAATAGATGGGACTTAATTAAACTAAAAAGCTTGTGCACAGCAAAAGAAATAATCAGCAAACAGACAACACATAGGGTAGGAGAAAATCTTCACAATCTATACATTTGACAAAGGACTAATACCCAGAGTCTACAAGGAACTCAAACAAATCAGCATGAAAAAAACAATCCCATCAAAAAGTGGGCTAAGGACATGAATAGACAATTATTAAAAGAAGATGTACAAATGGCCCATAAACATATGAAAAATGCTCAACATCACTCATTATCAGGGAAATGCAAAGCAAAACCACAATGTGATACCAACTTACTCCTGCAAAAACAGCCATAATCAAAAAATAATAGATATTTGTGTGGATGTGGTAAAAAGGGAACACTTTTACACTGTTGGTGAAAATGTAAACTAGTACAAACACTATGGAAAACAGGGTGGAAATTCCTTAAAGAACTAAAAGCAGATCTACCATTTGATCCAGCAATCCCACTCCTGGATATCAATCCAAAGGAAAAGAAGTCATTATATGAAAAAGATATTTGCACAGGCATGTTTATAGCAGCACAATTTGCAATTGCAAAAATATGGAACCAGCCTAAATTCATATCAATCAACGAGTGGATACAGAAAATGTGGCGCACACACACACACACACACACACACACACACACACACACACACCATGGAATACTACTCAGCCATGAAAAGGAATGAAATAGTGGCATTTGCAGCAACCTGGATGGAATTGGAGATATTATTCTAAGTGAAGTAACTGAGGACTGGAAAACCAAACATTGTATGTTCTCACAAGTGGGAGTTAAGTTATGAGGACACAAAGGCATAAGAATGATACAATGAACTTCAGGGACTCATGGGAAAGGGTGGGAGTTGGGTGACGGATAAAAGACTACATAATGGGTGCAGTGTACACTGCTCGGGTGACAGGTGCACCAAAATCTCAGAAATCACCAGTGAGAAACTTATTCATGTAACCAAACACCACCTGTTCCCCAAAAACCTACTGAAATTTTTTAAAAACCTGAATCACAAAATTGTAGTATATGTATGTGTGTGTATAAAGTATATACATATAATGAATATCTCAACAAAATCAACTATGTAATTCATGTGAAAAGCATTTATAATGAACATCTCAGCATAATGAACATCAACAAAAGTCAACTACATAATTCACATGAAAAGCATTTTCCAAACTGTCATGTAGGCTAACCTTCGAATTTCTAGTCTCAAACTTTAGTATGCATCAAAATCAAATAAGACACAGAGTGTTGCACCCAACCCCCAGAATTTCTCATTCAGTAGGTCTGGGGTGGGGTCTGAAAACCTGTATTTCTAAAAGGTTCTCAGGTGATACTGCTTCTGCTGGTCTGGAGACTTTTGCTCTTTAGTCTACATGTACCTTCTCCAATTCACCTTCCTCAACACAGCCATTCTTTACCTCTCAAAAATGCAAAGCTATTCTTGCCATTCCCTTCCTCCAACCTCTTTCCTCTGTCCTTTATCCATTTCAGATTTTTAGAGGCTCTACACAAACTATAAAACAAAACACAAATTCCTTAAAATGAGATACAAGGCTTCTAACCATCTAGCCTGCCTATTTTTCCAGCCTTATAAATTCATATGAGAAACATCTTTCTCCCTTAACCAAATGAAACAACCTACTGAATAAGGAGCCTCAAATTTGGCATAAAGCAAGTAGTAAGGATAAATTAAAAGTATGACACAGACAAAACATAAAGGCTTTAGTCTTGCTCAACAGTAAAATGGGAAAGAGGGAATGAAATCACTCCACTTACTTTCCCAGGGTTCCCCTCCAAAATTTACCCAAAAGTGTAAGCAGCAAGAAGATTATCAAGAGAGAAGGCATGTGTCAGTGAGAAAATTGAGAAAATAGAAAGATGTCATTTTAATCAAAATTTTCAACTTAGCATTGCTAAAGTTAACCTAATTTAGAAGTGAGTTTAGGATCAACAAGCACTTTCATCAAATCCAGATGGTCCAGCTGTAGTCTCAATGCCTACCCTCACCATCATCTACAAAACCAGTAACCAGTGAGTCCTCAAATATCAGTTATACTCTTCCTTTGCGTTGCTTCCTCTAGTTAGAATAGTTTTCCCAGCAGGGTCAGCCTAGCAATCTCTTCCTCTTCCTTACAGGCTCAGTCTAAATATTACCTCATATGCTAAGCAATGATCTTTCTGATACCTTCCCTCTACCCAAGTCTCTCCACTCCACGCTCAATGTTCCCACAGCACTTATGAGAGCTCCATCAACATCGATTTCCCTGAACGATGATAATCTTCATGCAAGCCTTTTCTTCCCCCAATTAGACTGTGAACTCTTTGAAACAAGAAACAGTTTTTTTTTTTTGAGACGGAGTCTTGCTGTTGCCCAGGCTGCTGAAGTGCCGTAGCACGATCTCAGCTCACCACAACCTCCACCTCCCCCATTCAAGTGATTCTCCTGCCTCAGTCTCCCAAGTAGCTGGGATTACAAGCATGTGTCACCATGCCTGGCTAATTTTTGTATTTTTAGTAGAGACAGGGTTTCACCATGTTGGCCAGGCTGGCCTTGAACTCCTGGCCTCAAGTGATCCACCTGCCTCGGCCTCCCAAAGTGCTGGGATTACAAGCATGAGCCACCGCTCCCGGCCTTCAAATGTTTTTACTATATCTGTTGTGGTGATCTGTGATCAGTGATCTTTTTTTCTTCTTAATCATACATGCCTGGTGATATTCTGTTTCTTCAACGAGTATTATTACCACCTCTGTGGGGAAATACCCAAAGAGTAATTCTTCAAGATAATAGCAGCAGTAGTAACCAATAAATACTTCTTGAAAAAAAATAAGCATAAAGATAGTTCAAAAAGTGTAAATAAAAAGATGTTTAATCTCATTCATAAAAGAAACACTCATTAAGACTACACTGATTTAATCATTTCTCACCTATCAAATTAGCAAAAAATCTAAAAGTCTGACATACTCTACTGACAAAGCTGTAAGGAAGCAGGCATTCTCATGCATTGCTAATGGGAATAAAGACTGTTACAACCTTTATGGAGGGCAAGTTGGCAATACCTAGCAAAATAACATCTGCATTTATCCTTTGACCCACAGTCTCACTTCTAGGAACCTACTCCAAAGAAATATCAGCAAAATTCTATTTGTAACCACATGGAAGCATCACACTAATTAATCGACTGGAAGCAACCTAAATATATATAAATAGAAGATGACTGAATAAACCATGACAATCTACATGATAAAGTACTATGCAGCTGAGTATCATTATGCAGTTGTAAAATGGTATAAGGAGATATAAAAGTGCTATGGGCTGAGTGAAAAAAGCAAGGTGCAGAGGAGTGTAAACAAATGTTAAGCTTTGGTGCAAAAGGCAGATAAAAATGAATGTGTGTTTATGTTTTTTAAAAGGAAGAGTAATCCAAAAACTAATAAAAATGATAGACTTCGAAGCTAGACTTAATTTTACATTGTTTTATAGCCTCTACTTTGGAACCATGAAATGTTTTCGTAATTACAAAACAAAATTAACTCAAAAAGAAAAAAGGAGGGAGATAGAATGTAGGATCAGAAAGATGAATCCTGCTTAGCCAACATTCACGCTATCAACGTCATTCTCTCAGTGCCACAGAAGTACGAGTCCAACTCTCACTTTACAAATACACACATCTAATTATCTTGAGTGTGCTAAAATTCACCTTAAATACTTTTAAAAGCCAATAAATAAATAAGGTATAACTTAGTTCCAAAGAGACTAAAATCATTCTTCCAATTTTCTACTTTCAACTACAGTGACTAAAGTGCACTTGTTTCCTTCTAGATTCTAGAAATTTAATCCTGGCTAGAAGTTAACAGGCAATTTGATAAAATCATTTTCTCAAGTGAACTGAGTTCACTCTCCTAATGCAGTATTAGATGACAAAGCATTAAAGCATGTACACAATATACCAAGAATGACACTAGATTTAGGAAGGTAAAGAACTGATATCTCTGAATTATTACATAATTAATGTTTCAAATTAGCTTTAGCAACTGTAGTGTTGAGGAAGCCATAGTCTCTAACCTGGGAGAAGACAACAAAACTGAAAAAGAATTAAGTAACGATAAATGATATTGACGCCTACTAAGTATTCAGCATTTACTTTTACATTTACTTTTATTTCCAATCTTTGCTATGATCTTTCCTGGTAGACTGTATCATTCTATTTTTCAGAGAAAGAAGCTGTGGCCTTAAACAAGGTCAGGAAACTTCCTTAAGATCAATTAGTGCATGTCTGAGACAAAAATTAAACTAGGACTTTCCAATTCCTAATTCCTTATTAATAATTCCAAAACTGTGGCAGGAAAATGTTATTCTTCTTCTCCAACATAATCAAAATAAAATTATTTCAACTGATAATTTGGTTTCTTCTTTGGCTGTGGTTCTCAAACTTCAGCACGCATTGCGGTCACCTGGAGGGCTTGTAAAATCCAGATTGCTGAGCGTCACTCTGAACGTACCTTGTTTCTGATTCAGTAGGTCTGGGATGATGCCTGAGAATTTATATTTCTAATAAGGAAAAGATTCTCAGATAGTCTTATTTTGTTGACTTAGAGGATCATACTTGGCTTCTGTATTTTATTAACTTCTAAGTAGCAAGTAAAGATATTCTTCAGAGTTTAATTTAAATATCATGTGGATCTGACTATGCATAGACATTAGAGTTATATCTTTACATCATTAGTTAAGCCAAGGCTACTCTGTCAATACTCTAGTAATGCCACTTAACTTTACAGTGTTACTTCACAGTGTTTACTTCATATTTCACTAAAATATCAATATGGATATGAAAACAAATGTTTTTCCAAACAAGAGAATAAAAGTTTACATCTAGCACAATTAGTTTATATCTTCAATACTAGGTTTCTCTACCAAATTCTCCAGAGGAATGAACCTTCACTGTATTCCAAATGCTCTCCTACACCATGCATTGTATTGGATATTTCTTAATCACTGCCACACATAACCTGAAAGATGCAACCTGGGAGACAGTGCTTTCACCTGCTGGAAATAAGGAGATTGACTCAATCAACTTATATAACTAATCAAGCTCAGTCTCCTGTTTATTTCTCTCTGTACATATGTCATTTTTAAGCTAAATAGTAGTCTAATAACATAAAAATCTACATGGATGATTATTGTACAGCTATACATTATATATACACTTACTATGATATCTGCTAACACAGGCTTGGGTTTCATGATTAGTATCCAAAACCTTCTATGTCCTGGGTACTTGTTCTGTAGCAGAAAAAAGCACTAGTCTAGGAATCAGAAACTGAGCACCTGGTAACGACCAATACTGTGACATCAGGCAAGTCACTCAAACTCTCTCGATTTTCTCATCTTCAAAATTAAGGGGAAATTTGATAATCACAATGGTCACCCATAGTTCAGAAATGTTATGCTACGGATTGCTGGCTGCCTGTATTCAAATTCCAGTTCCATTACTAAGAAGCTATAAACTTTGAACAAGTCACTTCGTATTTCACTGTACCTCAGTTTTTTCATCAGTAAAATGTATCATATAATTCATGAGTTACTACATGTAAAGTGCTTAATATAGTTTCCACACATGGGAAAGACTCAAATAAGTGACAGGTGAGGCTGCTATCATCATTACCACCAACAGTAAGTTAAGGATCAAGCAAAAAAGCTCTCCACCTATGGCTAACTGAGAATTGTAAAAAGTATAGCAAATATTAGGTAATGAATAGGACAAAAAATACCCACCTGTGTTTCCTTAAAATATGTTCTAAGGAAAGCAACCAGAAGCAGTTCTTTGCCCAATCTTTGTGTCACGTGACCCTATTAACTTGGCTACATAACTAAGAATAAGAAACTGGCCTCTGTGCCAAAGGCAACTATCTTTAGAATTGGACACGAGGAAACCTGGCAGGCCCAACAGAAGCAACTCGGTACTGACTAACTGCTAATCAATCCAATCCTATTCCCATTTTTGAGGAGACTGAATATGAGACATAAAATTGGGAACTATAACAGCAGCAGTAGAAGCTGACAACAGCCATGGTAGAAAGAGTGACAAACAGAAGCTAAGTTATAGGAAGGTGGCCAGAAAAGGGAGCAGAGAGCAGCAGGTAAAGCATCTGAGGGGAACAGCAATTACTAGAGTTGCCAATGAGTCACCAAAGCAAAAACAGAGCCAATAAATATGGTTACTGTTATTTTAACTGGTGAGAAATGACTTTGTGTTACAGAAGTTTTCACAATGTCCTGCAGATCATCAGAAGGGCCTCAGCTTTTTTTTTCCTTACCTCCCACATTGTCTAGAGGTTAGGGGAAAAAAAGGAAAAGGGAAGCAAAAAAGAGGAGGGAAGGAAAAGCAAGGAGGAAGCCTTTCCCCCAAGGTAGGGGGGAAAATCTTCTTCATATCTAAGCTTAATCTCCTCCTAACTTTTCTTAGGATCACCCTGTCAATTATCCTTTTCTCTCATATGTTCAACTGCTTCTTCCCAGCAAGATACCTCACATTTCAAGTCTTGATCATCTTTAAAATGCACACAAGCAAAACAAAAAACAAACAAACAAAAAAATCCCTCCTCCACCCCAGAGATCAATCTGCCAGTATTTCTCATGTGTCAATGGCAATGAACTCCTTACTGGTCTTCCCTCCCTATCCTCCGACCCCATGCCAATCTATTCTTCATAATAAGCCAGAATCAGCTTTTCAAAATACAAACCTTTTCATGTCATTCCTACAGATATAATTAATGTGAAGTAGATATATTTGAGGCCTTTGAAATTTTTAAATACTTGGGAATGGGCAATGAAAACTGGCGAAATCATTTATTGAACAGATTGCAATGACAGGTAAATTCTCACCATTAAGTGACTGCTAAGAACTGGAGACAAACTTTAGACCGGCAATAATAAATGACATTCGTTTATCACACACATCCTACAGTGTGCAAAAGCCATCTACTGTTGTAGTAATGCATTTTATAGATGTGCTATACACCTGTGCTACCTGTAAATATGGTAGCCACCAGCCACATGTAGCTCTTAAAATGTAGTCCAATTGAGATGTGCTAAAAGTATAAAATACATTAGATTTTCAATTTCAAAGATTTAGCAAAACAATGTAAAATATCTCTAATTTTTATATATCGGGGGAACCCACCCCCAATATTTCAACGTAAGTTCTATTTTTCATAAGTGTCGGCCGGCTAGAAATAAAGAGAGACAGTATAAAGAGAGGAATTTAACAGCTGGGCCACCAGGGATGACATCACATATCGGTAGGACCGTGATGCCCCCCTGAGCCTCAAAACCAGCAGGTTTTTATTAAGGATTTCAAAAGGGGAGGGGGTGTATGAACAGTCGGGGTCCCTGACTTCCTGCAACATTTATATTGATTAGGTGTTGAAATAAGATTCTTTATATGGAGTAAAATAAAATGTATTACAATTAAGTTCACTTGGTTTTTCCTTTTTTTCTAATATGGCTACTAGAAAATTTTAAATTGCATATGCGGCAGAAATTATATTTCTATTGGACAGTACTGATCCAGGCACTACAACTTATTCAAGACTGGCTCATAGAATAATTTCACTTTTGTCCATTTGGACAAATTCAATTATGTTAGCAAAAAGAAATATGACAAACTAGACTTAAATTTCCTCTAAGTTTTTCAAAATTACAAAGGATGACAAGAGACATGATTAGAATCTTTCCAGTCCAGTATTTTTATATAACACAGTAGCAGATTTTCACCATTAGTTCCTTCACACTTTTTCATGAGATATAAGGTATTATTTTGAATATATTAAACATTTATAAGAAAATGCACATTTATAGTTCTATCAAGGAAGCCAATGGGAAATTGAAGGCTACAGATTCAAAGAGAGAAAGAAAATTCATCTAGGTTAGCATGATACCAGACTCTTAATTATTTCATGTAATCCTCAGAAGAGCTTTATGACTTGGGTTCTGTATCTTTTCTTTCACTGCTGAGAATACTGACTTAGAGATGTTTTAGTAATTTGCCCAAAGTCATATAATAAGTGACATGGTCAGGATTCAAATCCAAATCTAAATCCAAAGACCAAGTTGTTGGAAGAAAATGCAATAAAGAAATTTATGTTCAAAACTATATTTCCTCAGAAGAAAAAGAATAAATATTGTGCTGCTCTATAAAATGTAATTAAAATACTCTTCAATAGCTCTGCTTGGTTCAGTCAAGACTATACACTTACACTAGACAATTTGATTAAACAAGAAATGCCCCAAGCTGAGAGGCCCTCCCCTGAGTTCAATTTTTCCCCTACTCCATAATTCTCAGAGTTACTATAATCATATGAATTTAATAAATACTAACAAATTCACTCACCTGGAAGAGTACTACAGTTTCTAAATGCCCCACTTTTTTTAAAAAGGAGCTAGGAAAAGCCATTAAAAATCTCTCAACAAGACTCTAAGACAAGTGTATTTAGCGAAACTTTTATAACTGTGATACGTGCTTAATAATCACTAGGAATTATTCAATAAATCATGATTTTGAAAAATTCATATCATGGCAAGGGTCGTAACAGTCTTACTCAAATCTAAAAGAAACTCACTTATGTTTATAGACCCAAATCAGTCCTTAGTAAATTAGAAACTTAACTAAAGCAATCATGCCCAAGCCAACTTACCTCCTAAGTAGGCATCTGTTTGATTATCGAGTACACTCTATAGATTCTAGAGAAAGATTTCTTTGGAAACAAACATAATTTGTGAATATAATTTGGTAAAAATTTCCTGCAGATAATTAATAATAAATGTAATGAACCTAAATAATATAGAAAACAAGAAATTCTAGTTTCTTAGCTTACAGCCAAAATGACATTGAGAGGTCTGGTCCTTTTTTTGTTTCATTTTATATTGCCAGCAGCACTTTTAAGCAATTGCTATGAGAAATTATTTCTCACATTATCCTTACCCTTATTGAAGCAATTCCATGAAACAATTTTATTCCAAGTCCTGTCACTCCTGAGTAAACTTAGAAAAATTAACTTCTGTGTCCGAATTTCCCTACCTATAAAATGAGAGAAGTGAAGTATAACAACACATATGCCTTCTGCCTCAGATTCTGCATTTAGGGGAACTGAGGCTCTAAGATAGTTCAGGCCTCATCTTCTCAGGAAGTTCTGTTTCTGCAATATGAAGAACATGTTATTCTTGTTTTGTTAGCATCAAAGCATTTATCACACATTATATCTCCCAACTAAAGTGTGGATTATTTGACATCAGAAAATTCTCTTTATCTTGTATCCCAAGTGACTATCACAGCATCTGATTTTTGGGAGTTTCATATACGTTACTAAATAACCTACTCTTACTCCATCTTCAATGATGATAATCTCTTGGAGACAATTGAGTTTGGTCCACTTTAATCTCCAATGCAGTCACAGTAATTATATAAAATTTTAAATAACCATAAAGACCTATTAAACTGGCAAGCTCTCCATTTTAAATATAATGGTTGATAAAGACTGAGAATATGTTTTGTTTGTTTTTCAAATTATACCATTAGGTCCACTCAAACTCACTAACCAAAATAACAGAAATTAGATGGTCCACTGGCAAAAGAATTAGATACCAAATGTTATCAGATACCATAGAGGTAAAGGCAGTCCTGCTAGTCCAAATTTCACACTCTATTTTGTAGTACCATATCTGAGCTATAGGAACTACATGAAAACATGTTCTGACTGAACTATAGTCAAAAAAAGATAATATGCCTAAAGATAGAGCAGTGGCAAGAAACCAAATTACGTCTTAAAGCAATCAGTAGGGCAAAGAACTGAACATTTAGAGAATATAAACATGTCTTACATGGATAGTAAATCCTTAAGAAAGATTTAAAAAATAGAGGTGTAATTTTATCCCCATGTGGCAACTTTCCTACATAGCAACTTTCCTACAGCTAGGGATGCTTGTTTTAGGTTGAGTTAGTCAGTCTCTGTGGTTTTATATTGGATGTAGCAAGCCTAAGGTAAGTAGCATATTGCAAAAATGCAAATTAATGTATTCCCAAAGCTTGAAAGTAGTAATACATGCTTTTTCTATTTAATATAAACATTTTTAATGGAAATGTTTATAGCTGAATCTCAGGGGAACTTCACCACCACTTAGAGTTCAGTTCATAAGATAAAGTTCTATAAACTATACATACTGCAGGCAAACATTTCTGTGTTCTTAGCCTGGTGTCAGGGAGATAAGAAGAAGGAGTAAGTGAAATTTGCAGAGGTTTGTATTCCACTAGCAGAGGGGAGAAGGTAAGAAGGTGGGCTCTGGAACCACACTGCTTAAGGTTTGCTTCTCTACCTCCTAGCTAGGTGACCACAGGCAAATTAATTTTTCTAACTTCAGTATTTAGTTATTGTTGTTGTTATGTTTCTTATATTAATAGTTCCAGGAGTTTTCCTTTTGAATCAGAAAAAAAGATGGGAATCTTTTTAAATAACAGATAAAGAAAATAAATAATAATGCAAGATTATCTTTTGTTGCAACATGTAATTATTATTTATTTTACCCCAAGTTGCCTGTATTTTCTAAAGCAGGCTCTGATTTTTTATTAACTTTCAAACTTTTTGGTATTAACATAAATAGAAACAAAAACAAGACATGCAAATTACTAGTTGCCTTACCAAGCTCAGGGATTTTAGAAGCTATTATATATCATGACTTGAAGTGAGGATAACAGTAAGAAGAACTCCTTTTATTGTTATGACAAATCACCTTGTGATGTAGGTTTCATACAAATGTTGGAGAGTTGTGCACTTGCTTGGAGATTTTTGAAAAAGACATCTAATTTTTTTTTTTAATATCTGAGCTATTAGTTTTTAAGGTTATGATTACTTTTCAATGTCATGGTAGGCTAGCAGGGGATGAATCCCTGATATCACAAATGAACCTTCCCCCTCTTTGGGTACATTACTGTAGAGAATGCTTGGGTTTGGTGCTACATACTACAATTGTAAGCACTGGCCTGGGAAGCTTAACCACCATTTAGAATTTGTTTATAAGAAAAAGTGCCAAATGGTGGTAAAATTACACCTAGTTTACCAACTCCTGGCCATGACTGGCCAATACTCCTGATGCTCTTTTCCCATTACCTACCACTTTCACTTGACAGTGCTCTCCATATATCCCAAATTATCATATAAGAATTCTAACCACCATTAGAGGATTTCCACAGATTAAATGGCTGCCGTTAGCATGTATATAACACAGCCACAGCTTATTTCTCTTGAAGAAAGTGAGAACTTAAAGTATTTGTTACGTACAGAATGCTTCTACACTATGCATTGTTTTCACTGTGTTTGAGAAGCAAACATCTTTAATAGCTATATATACTAAATTATTTGCATTCAAATGTTTTGTGTTTTCTTCTACTATCAATCAAGTTATAATTATCAATGTATAACTATCACAAATCCCTCCTTCCTAATTTGATTTCAGCAATACTCAAAATGCATAACGCTTTACACTATACGCATATCCTTTGCTTTAAGAGTTTAAGGGGTTCCAGTGTTTCTGCTTAAATGCAAAAATGTATTATTTAATTCAACTGTATTCTGTAAAATAAATGGAAGTATTTCTTTTAAGGAAGCATTTATTTTTTAAAAAAGGAAACATATCAAGTTGGTAATACTGACAATGTGTTCATAATTACATTCTAAAACCAAGTGTAAAACCTGCTATTAAATTTGTTTTTAAGCATTAAAGTATGCAAAGACTTAGAAGCAGTTGCAAAAGTAGCTCTGGCAATTTTAGAAGCCGGACAAGTTAATATATACTCAGAAAACCTGGTGACTACCAGGTATTTGCAAGGCATTTTTGCATGAAATATGAGGGCTTTTTCAGATAAAATATTTCATCTCCTTTGCAAGAACACAGATTAAGAATACTGAGATTTTTGACAAGTGTGCCAAGATCATTCAATGGGGACTGAACAATCTTTTCAACAAATGGTGCTGGAACAACCATTATAACCACATGCAAAACAATAAAGTTGACCTTACGTCATACCAAATACAAAAATTAACTCAAAATGAATCATAGACCTAAATTCAACAGCTAAAACTATAAAACTCTTTGAAGAAAACATAGGGATAAACCTTCTTTACCTCAGATTTGGCAAAGGATTCTTAGATGTGACACTAAAACACCAACAACAAAAAATAGGTAATTTGAACTTAACACAATTAAAAGCTTTTGTGCTTCAAAAGATGTTATCAAGAAAGTAAAAAGACAACCCAGAAAATGGGAAAAAAAGTCACAAATCACATACCTGATAAAGGTATGTATCCAGGATATATAAAAACTCTTATAACTCAATAATAAAAAAGACAAATAACCCAATCTAAGAATAGCCAAAGGATCTGAACAGACATCAAAGAAAATATGCAAATGTCAATAAGCAAATGAGAAGATTCTCAACATCATTAGTTATCAGCAGACTGCAAATCAAAACCACAAGATACCACTTCACCCCCACTAGGATGACTAGAATAAAAAACAGGTAATAGCAAGTGTTAACAAAGATGTAGAGAAATCTACATACCCATACACTGCTAGCAGGAATATAAAATGGTACAGCCACTTTGGAAAAGGGTCTGGAAGCTCCTCCATGATTAAACAGAGTTACCATATGACTAGGCAATTCCACTTGTAGGTATATATCCCCAAAAGAATTTAAAACAGGTGATCAAACAGAACACTTGTACAGGAATGTTTATAGACACATTATCTGTAATAGACAAAAAACAGAAACAACTTAGGTGTCCAGCAATGGATAAAGAAACATTACTAATTCTGAAAAGCACCCAAAGCCAAATGCCAAGGAGAAGGGGATTACTGGATTGCTCTCTGGGTATAGATCTGCAAGCCTTCTGCACAGAAAGGAGAACAGGGTTTTCCACACCAGTCTACACATATGAAGTCAAACGCTGCAGGACATTACAGACTGCCTCAGTAGGAACAACTCAGAGACTTGTTACAAGGTTAAATCTAACCAAACTCCATGTCACCTTTTATATCCCACACCCACTGAAAGTTGGAAAATTCTCCCTTGTGATTTAAAAACATCTTACAATATTTGCAAGTATATTACTCCACTACACCACCAAAAACTGTAGGTCTAAATACAGGCTTAACTCTATCACCCTTTTGGCAAGAAAATGTTACTTTACACTTACGGTTTAGCAATTCTGGTTGAAACAGACAGACTCACTCAGGTCACCCCAAATGCTGGGAGCAGGAGAATATTTTAAAGATATATACAGAAAGAAGAACGCCAGGTTTCACAGAGATTGAAATTCTTCATGACATGGCACATCCCTTCTAGTTAAAAAACACCTCTAATGAAGGACAGGAATTCTTGAAAATGGCCTTCAAAAGCCTAGTGAGATAACTGCTATTCCACTGCTTTGGACAAGTACCTTTGTTAAGATCAGTCAGCTGAGGCCAGGGTGGCAAAAGTCACACCCTAGAGGACATGATCACAAATGTGTAAGCTACCATGAGGGCTGCTCCCTCAGCAGAAGCTGAGGCTCAGAGCATAGCTGGTCTCTGAACATAAAGCATCCTCTCTAGCTGAACTGATCATACTTAATTCCAATATCCAATATGGTCGATATATTAGAACAGAGAAAATGCAGGAATACCTAGTTTCACTGTACTTCACAGATATTGCCTTTTTTAAAAAAATAAATTGAAGGTTTGTGGCAACCCTGCATCAAGCAAGTCTCGCAGCACCATTTTCCCAACAGCATGTGCTCACTTCACATCTCTAGCGTCACACTACGGTAGTATTCGCAATATTGCAAACTTTTTCATTATCATTATGTCTGCTATGGTGATCTGTGATCAGTGATACTTGATGTTACTACTGTAATTGTCTTGGGGTGCCACAAACCATGCCCATAACACTGCAAACTTACTTGATAAATGTTATGTGTCCTGGCCGGGCACGATGACTCACGCTTGTAATCCCAGCACTTTGGGAGGCCAAGGCAGGCAGATCACCTGAGGTCAGGAGTTGGAGACCAGCCTGGCCAACATGGTGAAACCCCGTCTCTACTAAAAATACAAAAAGTAACCAGGTGTGGCGGTGCACGCCTATAGTCCCAGCTACTCGGGAGGCTAAGGCAGGAAAATCGCTTGAACCTGCGTGGTGGAGGTTGCAGTGAGCCGAGATCACGCCACTGCACTCCAGCCTTGGAGACAGAGAGAGACCCTGTCTCAAAAAAAAAAAAAAAATTGTGTGTCCTGACTATTCCACCAACCAGTTGTTCCCATTCTCTGTCCCTCTCCTTGGGTCTCCCTATTCCCTGAGACATTACAATATTGAAATTAGGCATCTCTGTAGGTTATCCAACTTCTGCTTGAATTTCTGCAAGTGCTGGAGAATGCCCTACCAAAAGAGCATTGTCAGGCCATGGTAGCAGATTTTTAAAAGTCTGTTTGGACAAAATTTACCTTTACCTTCAAGTAAACTTTGCCAGTTAACCTTAGATTCTTTTTCTAAAGCAACAAATAACAAGTTTATTCACTTACCTAAGAACACTTTAAGTATCTGATGGGAGCTCTCCTATTTCCCTTTAGCCCTCTGTAGACTAAATCCACTGAGTAATTGAAACTTAAATTGTTCTTCCTAGAACTTGATTCCAGTCCCATGACCATTCTGACTGTCCTCTTTGGGCATATCCTAGTATTTTCAAACCACTCTTTAAATATGCACTTGCAATTGAGAAGAATACCCAGCTATTAGACCAGAACAGAATACTATAGGATTATTAATTTTAAGGAACTGATCACTAATTTCACTAAGCCAATATATATTTTTCAGCAACTATATCACACTGGTGGTTCATATTAAGGAAATAACCAATAAATTATTTGGATCTGCATTTATCACTATTAAATATTAATCATAGTCCAAAAAAAACTTTTGGTAATATCAGCACAAGAACAGTTTACTTTCGAAATTTTCATAATCACCATCATCTCATATGACTGTAAAGCTACAGGGCCAAAATAAAACTGTGTTCAAATCTTAGTTTTGTCACGTGGCACAGCAGCCTCCTATGGCAGCAGCCTTCCCCTGGCCATATGAGATGCTCAACCTAGACAAAAGTTTTCTAAACATCTGAAGAATACCGACCATGGCAACGGACACTTCACCCTAAATGAAGATTGTCTCAAAAAGAATGACAAATGTGGTTTTTAAGGCATGGTTTGAACTCTGGTAAGATTAAAAAGAAACTGTTAAGAGAGTTGTGACAGCCTGGACTAAAGAAACAGTTCAAAATTAATAGAAACTTCTGGGCTCCCAATTTTCAATGGGCAAGAAGCAGGCCAAAAATGCTACTCAGCTGCCAAAAGGGCTCATTCTTATAGAAAAAAATAAATAAAGGACCTCTCAGAGGGTGGAGCCAAAAGCAGAAGAAAATAACAGGTGAAGGAACCAATACGAGGTAGCAGAACTGGGCCCTAATCAAGAAACATTCATTGTCCCCAATGTAGGGGACCCTAACAACACGTGCCTGGCTAGATTTCAGAACTGCTATGCATCAGCAGGTGCTACACGCCTCCCACTCTTTCCCTATTTGAATGGGAGTGTCTAGTGAAGTTATCCTACGACTACCTCGCCATTTTATACTAGGTGTATCTTCAGATCATAGGTCTGTCTCCAGTCAAGAAGTGGAGCCTATTGCTTGCCACTCCTTTTAAAATCTAGGCTGAACTTGTGCCTTGTTTTGACCAACAGAATACAGCAGAAGTAGCATATGATTCAAGAAGCCTTGTAGATTCAGCTCTTGCCCTCTGGGAGCACTGCTGCTACTATGCACAAAGCCCATTTATTACTAGTAGAGAGGCTACATGAAAGACAGCTAATTGCTGTGCCCACTGACATCTCCAGGTAACCAGCAGGCACTTGAGTAAGGATATCTGAAACCATAAACCAGGTGACTGAAGCCACTTTAGTGACTCCAGAAAAGAACATTAAAAAAAAGAAAAAACCTGCCCAGCTAAGTCTAGCGCAATTAACAGAATCGTGAGCAAATAATTGTTATTTTAAGCCATTATATTTTGGGATTGTTACATAGCAACAGATAAGTGAGACAGTGGTAAATAAGATAATGGTGCATCTTACAAAGGATGGCATCTTAAGTTGATGAAATATAACAGCAGCTCAATATGTGCTTTTTAAAAACATTAACATGAGGAAAAATGAGCAGGAATTCATGCAGTTGACATGAACGTAAAATAACACAGGCCCACAAACTGCAACCACTATGTTCCAGATTAATGTTAAAAGACAGTTTTCAAAATGTGACAATCACAAAGGAAATCCTCAGAATACTTTCCTAGTGCTATCCAATCTCCAAACTCAAAATTTTATATCTTTTTTTTGTTTGTTTTTTGGGTTTTTTTTTTTTTTTTTGAGACAGGGTCTCACTCTGTCACCCTCCCGCCTCAGCCTCCCAAGTAGCTTAGATTACAGGTGTGCACCACCACACCCAGCTAACTTTTAAATTTTAGTAGAGATGGAAGTCTCACTATGTTGCCCAGGCTGGTCTCAAACTCTTGGGTTCAAGCAATCCTCCTGCCTTGGCTTCCCAAAGCACTGGGATTACAAGCATGAGCTATCAAGCTCAGCCTCAAAATTTTAAACAGATAAGGGAGGAGTGAAATCAACTTGTAAGTATCATTGTCAAGGTAAATGAAATAAGATGGATAACATTCTTGATGTTACAAAATGAAAACTAAGGTCTGAACGTTTGTTTCCTTAAAAATCACATGCTGAAACCTATCACCAACGTGATGGTATCAGAAGGTGAAGACTTTGTGAGGTGACTAGGTCAGCAGGGCTCTGCTCTCAAGAATGGGATTAATATCCCTATTAAAAAAAGGACCCAGAGGCCAAGTGTGGTGGCATACACCTGTAATCCCAGCACTCTGGAAGGCTGAGGCAGGTGGATCACTTGAGGCCAAGAGTTCAAGGCCAGCCTGGCCAACATAGTGAAACTCCGTCTCTACTAAAAATACAAAAATTAGCTGGGCATGGTGGCATGCACCTATAATCCCAGCTACTCGGGAGGCTGAGGTAGGGGAATCGCTTGAACCCAGGAGATGGAGGTTGCAGTGAGCCGAGATGGCACCCCTGCACTCCAGCCTGGGCGACAGAGCAAGACTCCGTCTCAAAAAAAAAAAAGAAAAGAAAAGAAAAGGGCCCCAAAGAGCTGCCATCCCCTTCTGCCATGTGAGGACACAAAGAAGATGCCATCAATGAGGAAAAGGACTCACCATACACTGAATCTGCTGGGACCTTGATCTTGGACTTCCTAGCCTCCAGAGTTCTGGGCAATAAATTTCTGTTGTTTATAAATTACCCACTGTGAGGTACTATACTTTGTTACAGCAGCCCAAACAGACTAAGACAAATGAATAACACACTTGAATTATGGGTCATTTTCAATTTTAAATTTCAACTCTTACAATGCCACCAGATTACTGTAACTTAAAAGATAACATAAGTGAGAATGCTGAATTTTAGGCCATTTCTAAAAAAAATTTCAATAGACTAAAATTAATTTTTGAGGCCAAAACAAAATGGACACTATGCTCAATTTTAACATGGAGATATTTTATTAGGGAGGAACTACGTGTTGTGAAAAAGCACCAGAATTCAGACAACCTTGGTCTAGTCTAGCAGGTTGATGTAGGCAAAGCACTTAATTATTTTTAGCTTTGATTCCTTGACTATGATCAGTCAAACAGCTACTACCAGCACTCCAGAAGATCCAAAAGTAACATAAATTTCACTAAATTCATAGCTAAGCATATAGAGATTATTAAACAGAACTTTTTTTTTTTTTTTTTTTTTTTTTTGAGATGAGTCTCGCACTGTCGCCCAGGCTGGAGTGCAGTGGTGCCATCTCAGCTCACTGCAACCTCCACCTCCCAGGTTCAAGCAATTCTCCTGCCTCAGCCTCCCAAGTAGCTGGGATTACAGGTGCCCGCCACCACGCCAAGCTAATTTTTTGTGTTTTTGGTAGAGACGGGGTTTCACCATGTTGGCCAGGCTGGTCTCGAACTCCTGACCTCGTGATTCGCCCGCCTCAGCCTCCCAAAGTGCTGGGATTACAGGCGTGAGCCACTGCGCCTGGCCATTAAACAGAATTTCTTAAATTACTATTAATACTAAATATTAGTACCTAATTAAAACCACTATACATTAAGCTCTTACTATATGCTAAATGTATGTTCATCTAATCCTATTTACAATCCTATAGAGAATGTACTATTACCCTATTTTACAAAATAGTAAACTGAGTCTTTCTTTTTTAATACTTCTAGGGTACATGTGCACAACGTACAGGTTACATATGTATACATGTGCCATGTTGGTGTGCTGCACCCATTAACTCGTCATTTACATTAGGTATATCTCCTATCCTTCTCCCCTCCCCCCACCCCATGACAGACCCCGGTGTGTGATGTTCCCCACCCTGTGTCCAAGTGTTCTCATTATTCAATTCCCACCTATGAGTGAGAACACGCGATGAGTAAACTGAGTCTGAAAGAGGTTAAGTAACTTTCCAAGGTCTCACAACCAGTTAGTGTCAAAGCCAGGATCAAGCCCAGATCTTTTCAAATTCTTGAGCCAAAATTTTTTAATCCTATCCTCTGCTGCCTCCCCTCAACTCTAACCTCCAAATACAAAACAAGAATTTTGGTATCAAAATGCAACCAGGGAGCACATACAGTGTCACCAGTAATGGACTAGAAATCAGGAGACCTAAGTTCTAATGCCAATTCTACACTACCTACACATGGGCACAAGACAATGAGCAAGTGTGCCTCTGTGGGCTTTGTTTTTTAATCTATGAGATCTGACTGAATATATTTTAAGAATTTGCCCCCCCAGCTGTGAAATTCTAATTCTCTTCATATTTTAAAAATTAATTTAAATGTTATTTCCATAATGAACTATCTTATTCAATCAATTATCATGTTAATATGCAAAAGCATAAAGCATGAAAATTTTCTGACCACTTACTAATTTCTTCCTTTTATGAACAAACTGCACTTGTTCCGGCACTTAACCATACACTCTTATGCTGACTTGTAAGAGCCTATATTGCTGACCTCTGCTGGTTATTAAACTCTCCCCTTTCATTCATTTTCCAAGCATATTTGTCTCACTGTTAGACTAATAGCCATAAGGACAGAGACACTTCTTCAGTATTTGTTGAATGAATAAACTCAACAGAAAACAAAGGACATACAGCAATTCTTCAATAATTACATGTTGACTATACAGAAAATATTTTTCCCTCTATAGCTTTAAAACCCCATTTTAACAGCTCAAGAGTGGATCCTCAGAAACTTCTATATAATTAATCACCTATTTTCTTTTCGATCACTACAGATTTCCAGTTATTCCAAGTTTCTTGATGCGCAATGAAAGCCATTCAAATTTCATAAAACCATTCACTAAGCCTAGGAAAACCACTAGAATATAAAGCAGGGGCTCAACAAAAAAAAATGAACTGAATCCAGCAAATAGCCTTACAAGAACCAATAAAATCAAGTAAACCACTATGGTTATATTATATAAGGAGAATAGACTCAAACTACTTTCATGATACGGCACAAACGAAGATGCTTGCAGAAGTATTCCTAACATAAAAGTGAAGGAAAAGAAATGCTAAAAAATGAAAAAGGCAATGGAAAACAAATAGGATTTAATGAAAAAGAAATTAGCATAGTTACCAAATGCGAAATATCATATACTTGAAAATAAGAGCTTTATCTTCAAATACTGCAAATAAAAACAGATTTGAAAAATGGGTCGGGCCCAGTGGTTCACGCCTGTAATCCCAGCACTTTGGGAGGCCAAGGCGGGTAGATCACGAGGTCAGGAGATCGAGACCATCCTGGCTAACACGGTGAAACCCCGTCTCTACTAAAAATACAAAAAATCAGCCGGTGGTGGCGGGCGCCTGTAGTCCCAGCTACTTGGGAGTCTGAGGCAGGAGAATGGTGTGAACCCAGGAGGCAGCGCTTGCAGTGAGCAGAGATCGCGCCACTGCACTCCAACCTGGGCGACAGAGGGAGACTCCGTCTCAAAAAAAAAAAGAAAGAAAGAAAGAAAGAAAAACGATCTGCTTGAACGCAGTGGCTCCCGCCCGTAATCCCAGCACTTTGGGAGACTGAGGCAGGTGGATCACGAGGTCAGGAGTTCAAGACCAGCCTGGCCAATACAATGAAACCCTGTCTCTACTAAAAATACAAAGAATTAGCCGGGTGTGGTGGCGGGCACCTGTAATACCAGCTACTAGGGAGGTTGAGGCAGGAGAATCACTTGAACACGGGAGGCAGAGGTTGTGGTGAGTTGAGATCACGCCATTGCACTCCAGCCGGGGCAACAGTGCAAGACTCCGTCTCAAAAAAAAAAAAAAAGTAAAAAAAGAAAAATGATCATAAAGTAACTCAAATGATTCTAGAAACATTTCAGATTTAAGTAGAGTATCAGAAATGTTATTTCAAAAATCACTTTTACATAAATATAAGCAGAAGTAAAAAGACAAAATATAGATATAAAACTATACTTTGTGAGGAGGAGGGGCAGGTGAACATAAATGGAAAAATAAAGGGTCAGATACACTGACAGTGCTATAACAGTCACCAAAAACAGAGAAAGATCATAAGCAGAAATATGTGTACAACCAAGTCTACTTTAGACCTAAATGATCTGTCCCTGATGCATTTTACAAACTTGAATAATCATTGTCCTGGATACATCCACTTATAAAAGAACAAAAAAGATTTATAACGTTATGCCACAATGAATATTTAAAACAACTCCTGGGTTTAGAATTACTACAGCAACTTTATGAATGTCAGAAGAGGAAAAGTGTCATGGCAATATCAGATGTCACAAAAGGACAGTCTGGGCTAAGATGAAGACAATGTTTTGCCCTAACAAGAGAGCCAGTTAATATGAAATGAACCATGAAATGGAATGACCAAGTAGAAAATACACTGCCAAATCGTCAGATGCTGAATAAACAGCGTCAGTGAATTATCTGAATTAGGAAAGGCTAAAAGGTTCTTGATGTTTTATCTTCAAAATATTTTAAAATAACACCCATTTAACAATTTATGAACGGTCTCTTTAGAAAGTCTACCATTTAAGAACTACCTGATTTTCCACAACATGGAAGCAAGTCCAATACTAATTGAAACAAAACTGCCAGGAAAAAAAAAAAAGTCTTAAAATGCAACCATGTCACTGAAAGGTACAGGCCAGTTGTACTGAATTTTAAGTGACATTAGGGACAATGAAACAGTGACTGAGTCTAATTCTACACTGCTACAAAGTGAGTCGAGTTGTCAATAATAATCAGGGTCATTTCATTAAAATAATCCTCCTTGGAATTATCAGGCATTTAATAATCAGAGCAGAAATAGTTTTCCTCTTCCAGGATTCTTAATGAAAGATAAAACCAGGAGTAAAAAGATGTAAACTCAACAAGCCAGAAGTGACACTTGTGTGACCACAAATTAGAGTTCCTGTTTTATTCTGTGTGACTGCAAATTAAAGTTACTACTGCACATGGCCGGGGGGATTGAGAAACAACTTCAACCAACAGTTGGAAACAAATTACACGTGCTAACAGTTACACTCATTAGGAAATTCAGAATACTTTCAAAGAGAGAGTTATTTAGATGTTGCATTCATTTAAACGCAGACGATGAATATCTCAGCCGCCTTCCTTTGCAGGATTCTGTGCCAAGCCCTTCCGAAGCCGGGGTTGATAAGGTCGACTCCAAGAAGAAAAGCAGCTCAAGTAGGAAATGGTATCCTCACATAGCCCAGAGAACCGGTGACGCACTAGGAGCTTGGAAAATATCCCAT
The DNA here is from genome assembly GCF_000001405.40 of Homo sapiens. Lineage (NCBI taxonomy): Eukaryota > Metazoa > Chordata > Mammalia > Primates > Hominidae > Homo > Homo sapiens. The sequence continues at coordinate 78,361,436 of NC_000005.10, read as the reverse complement.
CGTTTACCTTGCTAGAAGCAGCTGGGTAGGGAAGAGGTCGTCCACGTGCACTATTGTTTTCCAGATATGTTTATTTTTAAGTTTTGCTTTGGTATCAATAACCTCAACCTCAACCTAACAGAAAGAGGGGGGATGGCAGCGCCACTGGTGGTATTTGGGTGCAACACAAGTTTAAAAAATAAAAACATAACCTTTTTTTTTTTAATTGCAGCATACTCGGTGCCCTCACCTCTCTCCTCCTCCACACCTCTGCCATCACCCCACGCAGCTCTCCGCCGCCGCCACCTCGGGTCCCCATGACAACCCCACCCCAGGGCGGGCCCCCCTCCGCCGACTCCCGGCCCTGCCAGCCACACTTGCTTGGCAAGGGGCGACTCTACCTGCCCTCGGCTTTCTCTCCTGAGAGGCGGGCCAGGACCCCTCCGGGCGCGCGGGCCCAGTCCCGGCTGCAGACACGACCCTCACCAGTCGGGGACGTGTGGAAGGGCGACCGGGCACGAGCTGAGGAGGTTCCACCCCCAAGCCCCAAAACCCAAAGGAGTGACACGGGGCCGGGGCGCGACCCCAAATGGAGGACGGCGGCCCCGCGCCCCTCTCTGGGCTGCTAAGGGGAGCCGAGGGGCAGACGCAGTGGGCGCGAAGGAACTCGTCCGTTTTCACAAACAACGACGCGTCGCGGCGGCAGGAGATGCTGGGGCCGAAGCTCACCTTGAAGGGATTGTTGAGATCCGGGTCGGCAAACGGGTTACTGTCGAAATCCGACATCTCTCTGGCTCTCGGCGTCACCCACCCGACCCAGGCGCAGAGAGAGAGACGAGGCGAGGCCGCCGCCCCCCTGCGCGCTCACGTCGCCGCCGCCGAGCAGATCCGGGTGCAGCTCGCGGGCCACCCAGCCGGCCGCGCCACTGAGCATGCCCGGTGCGGCGGGCTCCTGGCCGCGGCGCAGCTCGCGTTCGCCATCCCGTTCCTCCGGGCCCGGATCCCACGCTCCGGGCTTTAGCTGCGACCGAGTAGGCAGTCGGGGCGAAGGAAACGGGAACTGAAAGCGATGAAAAGCGTTCCACACGCCACGAGCCCGCGGGATCCTCGGAGAGTATGGAACCCTTCCCCTCCGCTCTCAGCCGGAGGCCAGCTGCGTCCAGCCGGGCTCGGTCTTCTGAACACCGATTTCAAATCAGGTCCTCGGGGCCCAGCGTCACTTAGGGAAGTGGTGGCATTTTGTGGTAAGGACGCACACTTGTCAGGTTGGGGGAGGCAGCCTGAGTCGTGGGCCGCGCACCCCGGGAGCAGTGCCGTTAGACCGTGGGACGCGGGCACTGGAGAGGCTACTGCACCGCCCTCCGCAAATTACCTCCCCGGGGCGGGGGCGCGGCCGCTGCTAAGGATTTTTGCATACCCCTGACCCCACCTGAGAATCCCGGCCTCCCATCTTCCGGTCTCTCTGACTCTAGGTTGCTGCTAAATCACGGAGAGCAGCCTTGGCGCTGCCGGTCCCAACTTGATCCAAGGAGCCTTGAGAAGGAGATGAGATTCAGTACCAGGGGCCGGCCGTGGCTCCCATCCTCCGGAATCTGCAAAATGGCTACTTCTTCAGAAATAATGGGGAGAGGGATGGCAAGAGGCCAGAGATCAAGGCCCTCGAGTATTAACTTGAGCATTTGGGCACAAAATAGACACTTTTGGATTTTCCCGTCTTTTCCAACACCAAGGATGAGATTATCAAAAGATGTGTTAAATTAATTTGTACCGGCCGGGCGCGGTGGCTTACGCCTGTAATCCCAACACTTTGGGAGGCCGAGGCGGGCGAATCACAAGGTCATGAGTTCGAAACCAGCCTGGCCAATATGGTGAAACCCCCGTCTCTACTAAAAATACAGAAATTAGCCGGGAGTGGTGGCGTACGCCTGTAGTCCCAGCTACTCTGGAGGCTAAGGCAGGAGAATCGCTTGAATCCGGGAGGTGGAGGTCGCAGTGAGCCGAGACCGGGCCACTGCACTCCAGCCTGGGAGACAGAGCGAGACTCTGTCTCAAGAAAAAAAAAAAATCAATTTGTACCATTCCTTGCCCCACCCTGCCGAACTTATTGAAAGAGCATCGCTTTCCTCACTTTTCTCCTCTAACAGAAAAGCACTTAGATGAAGCTACAGGGAGCCAGAATTCTTTTGACTTGGTGGGTACCGGAGGATTGGAAGAATCTAGATTGAGTATTCCTTGGCCTTTGGGGAGCTTGCTCTATGCAAAGTCACCCAGGAAATGATACTCCCCCCACTGTGAAACACTAGCTAGAGATGATAGACAAAAAGCACATTTGTTGTAATCTCCCTTTGACGGGATTCAGGTTGGGATAGATGTCGAAGCAGCTGCTTCTAGGTAGTCAACGAAGATGTCAACTAGTAAATGACAACAGACAAGGATGAGCACAGCAGAGCTGTACGATTCTAGATATCAAAAAGAGCAAGCAGTCTGTTGTACTCACCATCGCATCCTCAGCAGCTGCCCAGTGCCCGGTTTTAACTTAGTGCTCAGTGTATGTGTCAGGTTTGAATCCCAATTCTGATACTACCTGTGCTACTCTCTTCACCTCTCTGAGTCTGTAAAGGATTATTTAAGAATTAAATGAAACAACATACAGAAAAGTGTCCTGCATGTATATTTAGTGCCTAACAAATATTGGTTGAACGTCGAAAGTGGCAAGGAGGCTCAGTATGTTCTTATACGCTTTGCCTCCCTTCTCCTGAGCAAGCATGTCCTTGCCCAGCTCATCTGCTTCTCTCACCACTTTTGCCCTCACTCCCTCCACCTGTCCTCCAAATGACTCAAAATAATCTGCACTATTTATTATGCATCTACTATGTTCCAAGACAATGAGGGTCAGCTGAGCCCGCATTGCAGGATGGAAATTTCCAACTATGTTCTGTTTACAGCTAATGATATTTGCACCTAATGCAAAGGTTTACAGACTTTACTGTTATAGAATCATTTGGAATACCTGTTGAAGATGCAGACACCCACCTTACCATACCTCCTATTGCTAAGATTACGCTTGAAAGGATCTGAGGTAGGGGCTCTGGATCTGCATTTTTTATTTTTTACATCTCTATACATTATTTTACATAAATGTATAAATGGAGTCATGACATACATATTGAATTTTTCACTTACAAAAATTTTTATTCCGTGTATTCCCTCTTCTCTTCCCCTACATTAACAACCTAGTACATTTCTTTAAATATTCTTGTAATAGTGTATATCTGCACTTACATAAAATAACATGTAATTGTATAAAAACAATACATATTCATGCAGATATGCATACACTCTAATACTGAGCTTTGGCATTGTCTTGAAAAAGTTAGATCATATGTATATTTTTCTGCAGCTGTTTTTCTCAATACGTATGGCAGAATTTCTCAGCAAGATGTGCATTGTCAGAGAGACAGTCTTAAGGTTTCTTCCCCTAGTATGCCACATAAATATTATCACTTTTTATGTGTAGCATGCCTATAGAGTGAAAAGGGAAGCATGGCCTAATGGAAACCATATATCTGATTCATTATTCTTAACAACTGCAAAAATCAGCATATGTAAAGGATCTCAGGTGATTTTTTTTTTTTTTTTTTTTGAGACCGAGTCTTACTCTGTCACCCAGGCTGGAGTGCAGTGGCACAATCGTGGCTCACTACAACCTCCACCTCCCTTGTTTAAGCAATTCTCCTGCCTCAGCCTCCCGAGTAGCTGGGATTACAGGCATGCACCACCACACCCGGCTAATTTTTGTATTTTTAGTAGAGATAGGGTTTCACTTTGTTTGCCAGGCTGGTCTCGAACTCCTGACCTCAAATGATCCAGGCCACCTCTGCCTCCCAAAGTGCTGGGATTACAGGCATGAGCCACCATGCTTGGCCAACCTGAGATGACTTTGGTGGTGGCTGATCACACTTTTGGGAACACTGATATGAGGACATGCAGACATATGGTCCATGGGTGAGGGTCTTAATCTGTTTGTGTTGCTATAAAGGAATACGGGAGGCTGGATAATGTATGAAGAAAAGAGGATTATTTGACTCATGGTTCTGCAGGCTGTCAGCTTCAGATGAGGGCCTTATGCTGCTTCCACTCATGCAGAAGGCAAAGGGGAGACTTCGTGCAGAGATCACATGGCTACAGTGCAAGATGGGGCATCAGGGGAGAGAAAGGGAGAAGCTGACTCTCGGTTCTTTTGAACAACCTGTTCTCAAGGATGAGAACTCACTCTCAGGAGAATAGCACCAAGCCATTTGTGAGGAATTCATCCATATGGCCCAAACACCTCCCACCAGGCCCCAACTCCAGCACTGGGACTCATATTTCAACATGACACTTTGCAGGTCCAAAGCCATACCCAAACCATAGCAGGGAGCTTATTAATTCATTAGCCTCCATGAAATTTAGAATTATAGAATGTGCGAGCTGAGAAGGAACCTCAGCCTCTCTCATGATTGAAGAAACTGGAGTTTGGACAGGTTAAGTAATTTGTCTCAGACACCAAGGAAGTGAATGGGGAAACAGGGAACAGAACTCAGGTCTCTTGACTAATGTTTTAGACATTAAATAAATAGGTTATTAAATGAATAGAATTATTCTATATGAATAATTTCATATAGAAGGAAGAAATGCTATGTGCAAGGTAGAGAGAAATTATACAAGAAGCCTCATTTGGTGCAGGAGTTCATTTTACGGAAGGTACCTCCTAAATTTGGTAGAACAAAGACTCAAAACCAGTCTATGCCCTCTCTCCTGCAAACCAACCGTTTGATCTTGAACATATCAACTCACCTTTCTAACCAGAGTTTCTACTCTAGTACATCATTCAAGTATTTCTTGAGCAACTAAAACAGTGATGTTGTGGATAAAGCAGTAAACCAGGTATAAAGCGTAAGGCCTGCTCCAGAAAACTTCCTAAAAGGCCTAGAACATGGCTAAAGGATATCTCAGATCCTTTGGACAGTTCTAACGTTCTATTAATCTGGGACAGTGGCTCACTCCTCCCTAACCCTGTTTCTTTTCCCCTCAGAGTGTGCCTCCCATCATCATCATGCTGCTTCTCCTCAGACTGACACTTTTAATTGGTGAACCTATTGAGCAGGGTCTAGAGTCTGAATTCCTTGTTTTCTAAACTGCCTAGCTTATAGCTGGGGAATGCTAGGAAAATGCCAAGTTAGATATTTACGTTTCTTGCCTCAAAAGGTTCACTGGATTCTGGGTTCACTGATGGATTAGAACTGAAATCCATCATCTCTTACAGTGGGTCTAGTCTCCAGATTTGCTGCTGTGTCTGCTGATACCCTCGACGCCCCAGCACCAGCCTATCTGGCTCCCTATTCTGCCACTGGCTACATTTTCAGGCAATAACAGAGGAGGTGCAGGCATTGTGTGGTAGGCCAAATAATCCTCCCCTCCCCCAAAGATGTCCATGCTATAATCCCTAGAATCTGTAAATATGTTACCTTACATGGCAAAAGAGACTTTGCAGGTGTAATTAAGGTTAAGAACCTTGAGAGGAGGGGATTATCCTGGATTATTCAAGTAGGCCCAATGTAATCACGAGTCCTTGAAAGTGGAAGAGGAAAGCAGAAGAGTTGCTGACTTTGATGATTGAGGAAGGGGTTCTTAAACTAGGGCATGTGAGTGGCTTCTGAAGCTGGAAAGAACCCTCAGCTGACAGCCACCAAGGAAACAGAGATTTCAGTCTTACAGACTCAAGGAACTACATTCTACCAATGATCAATGTACAAGGAAATAGATTTTCCCTCGAGCCTCCAGAAAGGAACCTAGCCTTGCTGACACTTTGATTTTAGACTGGTGAAATTCATGCTGAACTTATGACCTACAGAGTTGTAAAATAAATAAATAAATTTCTTGATTGTGCAGATTATTTTGTTAAAAAAAGAAAAAAACCAAATTTTTGTATTAAGATGCTAAATTGGTAGTAATTTGTTTCAGCAGACAGAAAATCTAATACAGATGCTTCTTGATTTACAATGAGGCTATACCCTGATAATCCCCATCGTAAGGTGAAAATGCATTTAATACCCCCAATAAACCCATTGTAAAGTCGAAAAATCATAAATCAAACCACTGCAAGTCAGGGACCACCTGTCCACACCACTGTGGTGTGGAAAGTAGAAGAAAGAAAAGGGACGTACACTCAGTTTCCTGGTGTGCCAGGAAACTTCCAAGCAGCAGAACCAAGGGAAAAATGCAAAGGGTGTTAATGAAAAGAAAGTGAATGTCATTTGACTTGTCCTGAGTGAAGACCCTCAGTTACGGCCAACTTTAACTATGTAAATAGCATGGAAACAGTATTCTTTTTAAAAAGGAATATACAAACCAACTGTATTTGGCTTCGAATTCAAAGTTTACTATTAATAAAGGGAAAAAGCAGATTTTCCACTCTTGCTCTTCCACAAATTCTGCAATACTCTCAGAATGTGTATTACTCTGTCATATAATTGATGTCATCATCATATATATTCCAATTGGCCATAGCACCTTGAAGGCAGGGTTTGTATGTTTTTCAACATTGTCACTCCAGCATCTGACATGGTGCGGCAAATAATTAGTGGATGAATGAATAAATGCCGCAGCTTCCATTTGAGGCTTAACATCATCTTTGCTTCCATTACTAAAATACTATTTGAATGACTCTTCCCTCATTGCAAATGCTGTCTTCTTAAACGTTTTTATTAAGTACTCCTTTGCCTAAAAACCTTTATGATCTCCTTGTCAGCTATAGGAGAAACACTAAATTCAGTATCATATCACTCACGGTCCTTCCTCACATGGCCTCAGTCTATGCTTTCAGCCATACCTTTCCCCCACTGGCTCTCTACATGCATTTATTTATGTATCTGCTTCCCCTTCTCCTTTTTTTTCAAATTTTAGGACTTGTAGTGCAACCCACTAGTCAGTCATAAACTCAATTTAGAAGGCTATGACCAGCACATTTTAAAAGAGAACAGAAAATATCCAAGTACGTGGCACACAATAAACAGAAGCTGCACAAAACCTTTGTTTCAGTTGTGTGTACATGCGTGTCACACTTAAAATTTATTTATTGTGGTCATGGCTCTAAACTGAGAATTCCTCAAGGACAGATTATGTTTTATTTTATTATGATTGTTGGCTTTTATTATTCCCAGTACTTATCACAGTGGCTGGTAAAACAATTATAACTTGTTTATTTGTTGAATGAACCAGACTGAACTAAGGGTATTTTGGAGTTAAAGACTGTAGAGCTACACCAACAGCACAAAGTCAAGTAGTGTGGGTTTCCTCGAGGGATCAAGGCAGTCTGCCTGTCTCCACAGGATGCCCTCAGTTCTCCCACATTATCACAGCATATGTACTTGGGTCCCAACGGCAACTCCACTGCTGCCTCCCAATCAATTCACAAATTGCTATGGAACATCTCTGGGGTAGGGTTCTGACCTAGAAGAAACCTGAAATATAGAGGTTTAGTCCTGGGACCAGGATGAGGGTGAGGCCACAGAGGCTTCTAGGGCACCAATTTTAAGGAGACATTCACCCTCAGGGTCGAGCAAGTAGCAACCCTGCATTCAGTCCTTTCCCTGTCTTCTAACCAAGTTGATGAAATCACACAAGCACAAAGAAGCACCAGGGGCTTTGCAAGAAGGCCAGCCTGGGTTCAGATTCCTGATCTGCTGCGTTCTGGGTTGTGCAACTCTTCAGGCAAATTGCTTATCCTCCCTAATCCTCACGTTCCTCTCACCTCCTTCATTACCACGCTAATTCAAGCCATCAACATCTCTCACCTGGATCACTGCCATAGTCTCTTAACTAGCCTCCCTGCCTCCACCCTTGTCCTCCTACAATTTATTCTCCACACAGTGCCAAACTAATTCTTTTAAAATGTAAGTGAGGCCAGGCATGGTGGCTCACGTCTGTAATCCCAGTACTTTGGGAGGCTGAGGTGGGCAGATCACCTGAGGTCGGGAGTTCGAGACCAGCCTGACCAACATGGAGAAACCCCATCTCTACTAAAAATACAAAATTAGCCAAGTGTGGTGATGCCTGACTGTAATCCCAACTACTTGGGAGGCTGAGGCAGGAGAATCACTTGAACCCGGGAGGCAGAGGTTGTGGTGAGCCGAGATCATGCCATTGCGCTCCAGCCTGGGCAACAAGAGCAAAACTCTGTCCCCTCAAAAAAAAAAAAAAAAAAAAAAGTAAATGAGAACATGGCCCTCATCCACTCAAAGCCCTCTAATAGTTTCCCAGCTGTATCAGGATAAAAGCTTGGGCCTTGCAAGTCCCTATGGATTCCAGCCCCTATTGCCACTCTAACTTTATTTCCTATTCCTCTCCTTCGCATTATCTTGTTTCAGGCCCCCGGCCTCCTCACCACTTCACGTGTCCCCCAGGCGTGCTCCCACCACAGAGCTTTTTTCCTTTTGTTTCCTCTGCCTGGGTGCAGTTCCCGCCTCTTGACTGCATGGCTCACACATTCACTCATCTCCTGCAAGTCTTTGCTCAATTGTTACTTTCTCAGTAAGGCCCTTCCTAACCTCCCGTTAAAAAATGTTAGCCCTCTACTCTCTAGCACTTCCTCCTTCCCTGCTGTATTTTTCTCTAAAATGCCTTGCACCATTTGACATACTCTGCTCCCAGTAGAATATAAGCTCCTTGAGGATAAGAACTTTTGTCAGTTTTGATCACAGAGATCTCAATGGCTAAGACATAAGAATAGGGGCTCAAAACTGTTGAATGAATGAATGAAAGAATAAATGAATCAAATAGGGATAATAATAGCCCCTCCTAGAATTATGAGACTTAGATTAGAGGATGCTCAATAAATGGTAACTATTACGATTAAGGGACAATTAAGAACTCAAGAAATTAGTTAAAGAATAACTTAAAAAAGGTTAAGAAGTACAAAAAAGGCCATTTAAGATGAGCAAAGGCGGTAGGCACAGTAGAGGCATTCAGAGGGGAGTGAGGTGGTTGTGGCTGGAGTGGGCTGTGGAAACTTCAGAGAAAAAGAAGGATTTGACTCGGGCCTTGAAGGCCTGATGATACTGCTATCAGCATGAAGCATGGAAAGGACAAAAGAGCATACCCATTGGGGCAAAAAGCTTGCGCACAAGCACATATATGAGAGAGCACAAGATAGAAGCGCTTTCACCATCTCACATTTACTGTGGGAGAGACGTCAGGAGAAAAGGTAGCAAGAGAAGAGGTGCTCTCCTTTCTCCGCAGGTGCTTTGGTATATTTATCGGTTATCTTCGACTCAATGAGTTGACCACTAGCAAGCCGTAGATTCACACCACCACCCATTATCCAGCTGGCTGCCTTCCAAGCTCATCGCCTAAGCCAAGCCCAGTCCAACCAGCTGTATACAGTAACCCACCCTTTCCCATGTGATTATATGTTGTTCAAGAGACTGAGTGGTCTGAGTATCCCCCAAATAATTAGAACACAGTGGCATTCCTTTATTATTCATTGTATTAAAGTATTCTATATCACAGGAACACAATAGATATAACAAAATAAATATATTTTTGAGTCTCCGTTTACCTATACATGCATATAGTCTCCTCTACCAAGAATGCCCTTCTGTCCCTCAATTTCCACGTCAAAGTCCCATCAATGCCTGGTGGCCAATTTCAAATGATACATCCTATAGAAATTCTTACTAGATATCCATAACCCAAATTTGTCTCTCCTGTCCCTATAGTATGTAAAACAATTTGTTATAGAATTCATAATAGACCCATCTCCTATGAATATAAAGTTATTACTACATGCCAGTGATTATGGTGAGCTCTCCATAAATATTTGTGAATGAATGAATGAATGTATCTGTCTCTCTGTCTCCATTATATGAGCTTCTGAAGGCAGGAAGAAATTTCATTTTTTTAGCATAGCTTCTGTATTCCTTTGTTCTCACATTGCTATAAAGAACTACCTGAGACTGGATAACTTATAAGGAAAAGAGATTTAATTGGCCCATGATTTGGGAGGCCTCATGAAACGTACAATCATGATGAAAGGTGAAAGGGAAGCAGGCATGTCCTACATGGCTGGAGCAGGAGGCAGAGCAAGAAGGGGAGGTGCTACACACTTTTAAACAAGCAGGACTCGTGAGAACTCACTCACTATCACAAGAACAGAAAGAGGGAAGTCAGCCCCCATGATCCAATTACCTATCACCAGGCCTCCTCCAACAGTACGGATTACAATTCAACATGAGATTTGGGCAGGGACACAAATTCAAACCATATCAGCATCCTACTCATATTAGGTGCTGAATAAATAATTGCATCTTCACTTATAAAAGAGATTGCCACTTAAAATCTTCAGCCAGAATAAGCTTAAAGATAAGATTAAGAGCAACTATTTTATTTATTTTTTAGAGACAGGGTCTCAGTCTCTTGCCCAGCCTGGAGTGCAGTGGCACAATCATAGCTCACTGTGGCCTCAAACTCCTGGACTCAATTAATCCTTCTGTCTCAGTCTCCCAAGTAGCTAGGACTACAGGCACCCACCACCATGCTTGGCTAACTTTTTAAAATAATTTTGTAGAGATAGGGTCTTTCTATGTTGCCCTGGCTGGTCTGGAGCTCTCAGCCTCAAGCAATGCTCCCACCTGGGCCTCTCGAAGCATGGGATTACAGGTATGAGACACTGTGCCTGGCCAAGAGCAACCATTGTGGTAATCAACACAAACAGAATTGTGCAGTTATGATAATAACTCTAGGACAGAAATTCTGAATTCTAAATGATGATTTCATAGAAACACCGTGGAAGCATTTCAAATGGTATGGGTCAATGAAATGCAAAAACTAACTCTCTTGGCACATTCAGGCTGCTATTAAAAAATACCTTAGACTGGGTAGTTCATAAGCATAAATGCATTTCTCACAGTTCTGGAGAGTGCGAAGTTCAAGATCAAGGCACTAACCCACTTAGCATCTGGTGAGGGCTTGCTCTCTGCTTCATAGATGGCACTTTCTTGCTGCATTCTTATATGGTGGAAGGGGTGAACAAGCTCCTTTAGGCCTCTTTTCTAAGGCCACTAATTGCATTCATGAGACCTCCGCCCTCATGACCTCATTGCCTCTTAAAGTCCTCTTGAAGTCCACATCTCTTTTATTGATTGATTGATTGATTGAGATGGAGTCTCGCTCTGTCACCCTGGCTGGAGTGCAATGGCACCATCTCAGCTCACTGCAATCTCCGCCTTCCGGGTTCAAGCTATTCTCCTGCCTCAGTCTCCCAAGTAGCTGGAACTATAAGCGCACGCCACCACGCCTGGCTAATTTTTGGTATTTTAGTAGAGACAGGGTTTCACCATGTTGCCCAGGCTGGTCGAGAACTCCTAAACTTAGGCAATCTGCCCACCTTGGCCTCCCAAAGTGCTGGGATTACAGGAATGAGCCACTGTGTCCGGCCAAATCGACGTCTCTTAAAACTATTGCATTGGAAATTGGGTTTCAGCATATGTGTTTGGAAGGGACACAAATATTCACAAAATAGCACTAACTGTAAAGCTCTTTTTACTTCCTAGAATGATCTGCATAACAATTTTATGGTGAAATTATTCTCATTTTACAAGATAGACATTATTACATATATGTGTGTATATATGATTGTATACGTACACGCCTAAATATTAAGGAGGCATTTACCAGTGATCATATTTAAGACACTGTAAATTTAAATAAGTATGACAGTCCTGTGACTACTTTGAATACTCAATTTTATATGTATGTGAAGACTAAGAAAGAGGACTACTTTTATTTTTATCTGGGTACATTTTAAGAAAACTGAACTTTATTTTGTTCATGAACCTTAAATTTTATAATCATACTTGCTATTCCTAAAGTCTATGCAACTTCACAAAAGTCCTCATAAAAGTAAAGACAGTTTACAATTCTTAAATTGCCTATTAGCCATAAATCTTCAAGGGACTCCTGTAAGGCAGAAAGTAATCATGGTAATCTAAACCCACTTTCTGATCTCCCCAAAGAAATACCCCCAAATCTGATTATGAAGCGTTTAAGGAAAGAAATGTTACTTCCTGGTTCTCCCTTTCTACTTTAAAACTGAGAGTTTTCAAAAAAAGAAATTAGGTTTATTTACAATGCTATTATCTTCCCTGCCTTATGTGAACAGAGAGTAGAAACAGCTGAAATTTCTTGAACACCCTGGCGTATGTCAGGCACCGAAATGCTGGAGGTGAAACAGATATTTTCTTGTATAACAACATAATTTTGGGAGGTTAAGTATCTTTATCTTCGTTTTACAAATATGAACAATGGGAATTTGGAAAAGTGAAGTAAATATGAGGGTTATTTTAAGAATTATTATGCAAAATAGAGGCCTCATATTTGGGGTTTTATGTTGTTTGTCTTTGTATTCTATAGTAGGCTTTTATTATTCTGCCCAAGTAGAGAATTCCATGTTTTTGTTGTTTTTAGAGAAGCGACACAATTTTGTTTGCTTATTAAGCACACCACTGTAACTCATGCTTCCCCAATGTGCAACTACAAGATGACTGGGGAGAAACAGTGACAGAGATGTGAATAATTATATTCACAATCTCCAGTTCTCTCGCCCACCTCCACTGCATCACCTCCCTTCATCTGACCAGTCCCTGGGGTTTCACAGTTGGTTTCCCTCCATTTGTGGCCTCAGGAACCTTGATGGTTCTGCCTGCCACTTGGCATGGTTTTAGGATCTGGACCTGAGAGCAGACATGGTTCCCTCCATTAACACCAGTGTGGATCTGTTCACACCTCATATTCTCCAGGGGTTTTAGCCAAGGCATTGGGCTCTGCTAGAAAATTGGTCTTCTACAAGGAGGTCTTTATTATTTTAGTTTTTTACAATGCTTTGATGAATGATAACTTTCCCTTTTGATGTTCCCTTTAAATTTTCAGTCCTTCTCTCATGTAATTTGGCACAAGTTCCCTTGGAAGCTTGGTTAGAAGACAGTAAAAAACCACCATGCTGTGTCACAAGCAAACTGTCCTTTCATCCCTCATCACAACCATTATCACTAAGCCAAGCCGGGGCACCTTGACATTCTCCCGCTTAAAAGCATCCTCCCTGATCAAGAAATGGTTTCAGAAGTGAAAGCATAGACCTGTTCCTATTTTTTGTTTTAAAAATTGCTTAGTCCTAGGACTGGGCATTAACTCCAACTTGTCACTGACTCTTCTAGAAGGCCCAGAAGGCCTCAGGCAGATATAACTAATCCGAATAACATGAGATATGCAAATTAGCCTCCTCTATATTATCCCATGGCTATATATATCTCATCTTGAGCTAAAGTTAAATAAATTGGAGGAGCTTATTTTTCAATGATCAATTTCAAATTTCTCCCTTTCTTTGGCTCCTGCAATTGGCCTATGGTCTTTCCTGGCAACTCTTACCCCAAAAATTAATTATCAGAGAACTCTGCTTATATCTTTATCATCTATAGAGATTATTTTCCAGCCTGGGCAACATGGTGAAACCCCATCGCTATAAAAAAAAATACAAACATTAGCTGTGCGTGATGGCTTGTGCCTATATTCCCAGCTACTTGTGAGGCTGAGGTGGGAGGATTGCTTGCATCCTGGAGGTGGAGGTTGCAGTGAGCTGTGTTTGCTCCACTGTACTCCAGCCTTGGCGATGAGACCCTGTCTCAAAAAAAAAAAAAAAGGCCGGACACAGTGGCTCACTCCTGTAATCCCAGCACTTGGGGAGGCCAAGGCGGGCAGATCACAAGGTCAGGAGATCGAGACCATCCTGGCTAACACAGTGAAACCCCGTCTCTACTAAAAAATAGAAAAAAATTAGCCAGGTGTGGTGGCAGGTGCCTGTAGTCCCAGCTACTCAGGAGGCTGAGGCAGGAGAATGGCGTGAACCTGGGAGGCAGTGAGCCGAGATCGTGCCACTGCACTCCAGCCTGGGTGACAGAGCGAGACTCTGCCTCCAAAAAAAAAAAATTTCTTGTAGTAGTAATCCTGTAAGTGGGTTCTGCCCAAAAGAAGGACCTTAGGTGCAAGGGACAAGAGATTTGGGTACAAATCATTAATTTGGATGATGTTCCCAGGAAGCCAGAGTGAGAGAGAGTGGAGAATGAGACAGGTAACAGGGAAAGACGATAAAAGCAGAATTGTTAAGCGGGTTACAACTGCGGGGTGAGGGAGGCTCAGTCCCAGGGGGATCTGCTGAGGAACCATGTAGAGTGTTTCTTAGAATTGGCCTTTGAAACATGAGGAACCAGGGGCATTTATCCACCAACTCTTGTCCTCATTGGTTCAGATTCCCCCCACCCTGCAATGTAAATTAAACACACACACACACACACACACACACACACACACACACACACACACACGGCAGTCAAGTAGCTTCAGGGAAAGCCATCACTATGCACTATTACTGTCTACTGCAGCTGTGGCCCAAGTCAGAGGTTACCAAAGGAATGTGATGTGGGGCACAAATGGTGTTTCTACAACACCTCTTGACACATCTCTGTCCCCCTTTAGATGATATATATCTCTGGAGCGCACACCACACCTGAATCATTTTCATATCCTTGACACCTAGCACAGCATCTGACAGAAGGTAGAAGCTGAATGACTGCAGGGGTGGATGGATGAAAGGATGGAATTAAAACTAAATAAATTTGGAGGGGCGTGGTGGCTCACTCCTGCAATCCCAACAGTTTGGGAAGCCGAGGTGGGCGGATCTCTTGAGGTCAGGAATTCGAGACCAGCCTGGCCAACATGCTGAAACCCCATCTCTACTAAAAATACAAAAATTAGTTGGGTGTGGTGGCACATGCCTGTAATCCCAGCTACTCAGGAGGCTGAGGTACAAGAATCGCTTGAACTCCAGAGGTGGAGGTTGCAGTGAGCCGAGATTGCGCCACTGCACTCCAGCCTGGGCAACAGAGCGAGATTCCATCTAAAAATAAAAATTAAAAATAATTAAAAAATGAATAAAACTAAATTTTTTCACATCAGATTTGCACTCACTTAACAGCATTTTTTCTAAACTCTTTTTATGATTTGCTCTGTTAACACAGTTTTTATCATATGCTCTAAATTTTTGCCATAATCCTATATTTTATCATAGTACATAAAAGTTTAAGATATTTCTTAAGAAAAATAAAACTTGTGTATACAAAGATACAACTACAAAAGAATTGTTTTCCCTTTGCCTACTTTGTGACGGCCTTTTCACCATAAAGGACACCAGAAGATCAGAGATTACAAAATAAGAGCAGAAAACATTTATTTTGTCTGGCAAGGTTCTGAAGAAATTAATCACATTAAATCACTCAATGGAGATTTAACGATGTGAAATTTTAAAAATTAATATTAACACAAAAATAATCAAGTTCAGTAATTTCCAAATAAATGGAGTGAGAGTCCCAGAACATTAGCTCAAGCTGAGAAGTTGAGAACTGAGACAAGTCTAAACATGTCAAGGTAGCCTGTAGACAGCCTCACCAGAGTGCAACTTTTAGACGGCCAACGACCACCATCTCAGGAGGGACAGTGAGAGATGTTGTCAGCCAGCCTCTAGGAAGGCTGTAGCCCTGAAGCCACTGGGGAACAGAAACTCACCCCTCATCCCCTCACAGGCAGTGTGCCTAATAGAGAAAGAGTTCAGCCCCAGAGGAGAGGATGGAGAGTCAGACTTGGTGTGTGGACAGAGGCTGAGATCTGAGAGGGAGGGCAGTTCTGAATGCAGAGTGATAATGCATCACTCAGATTGCCTTCCTGTCCAGCCCTCAGAAACTCGAGCCAAATTCCTAGGGAGAGAAAAGCCCTAATAGAGAGGAAGCTAAATAAAGAGCTATCATCACTAGAAGCCCGTGAAAAACTGAGAAGAAATAGCTCTGCCCCATGTGGGCGAAGAAATACCTCACTTGAGAATAAATAACTCTCAATGTTGGGAGAACAGAGAGAAGGGGTTAGGCTGAGCAGCAATAAGAGCAACATTAAGCACTTCTAGGTGGAAGAAGAGGGTGGTCAAGAAGGATTCTACAGAGAAAAGTAGTAACATCAAGAGGAGAAGGTGGAGGGGTACAGGCCACCAGCTAGGAAGCAAAGCTGAGATTAAAATAGCACAGTGCGGTAGCTCATGCCTGTAATCCCAGCACTTTGGGAGGCTGAGGCAGGTGGATTACCTGAGGTCAGGAGTTTGAGACCAGTCTGGCCAACTTGGTGAAACCCCGTCTCTACTAAAAATACAAAAATTAGCCAAGTATGGTGGCAGATGCCTGTAATTCCACTACTTGGGACGCTGAGGCAGGAGAATTGCTTGAACCTCGGAGGTGGAGGTTGCCGTGAGCCGAGATTGTACTACTGCACTCCAGCCTGGGTGACAAGAGTGAAACTCCGTCTCAAAAATAAAAATAAAAATAAAATAGCACAGTAGAGTGACTATCGTTAATAATAATTTATTGTATATTTCAAAATAACTTTGTGCTGTTCCCAGCACAAAGAAATGATGCATGTTTAAGGTGATGGGTAGATGGGTACCTTAGTTACCCTGATTTGATCATTATACATTATATGCATGTATCAAAATATCACATGTACCCCATAACTATGTACAATTATTATGTATCAATTTTTTTTTTAAATTTAGAGACAGAGTCTCACTGTGTTGCCCAGGCTGGAGTGCAGTGGCACGATCTTGGCTCACTGCAACCTCCACCTCCCAAGTTCAAGTGATTCTTGTGCCTCAGCCTCCTGAGTAGCTGGGATTACAGGTGTGCACCACCACGCCTGAGTAATTTTTCATATTTTCTGTACAGAGAGGATTTCACCATGTTGTCCAGGCTGGTCTCGCACTCCTGGCTCAGGCAATCTGCCTGCCCCTCGGCCTCCCAAAGTGTGTATCAATTTTTTAAAACATGAAAAAGAAGGAAAAAAACATACTTCATACTTTCTGGGTAGCAGACTCATAGAGGGCACCCTCTAATTCTCTAACCATGTGACTGCCCACCACAAGCCACATCATACTGACTAAGACAAGTTTCACTGACCCTAGACAACACAGATTTTTTGTTTCTTTCACAAGTGCAATGTTTCTGGAAAGTTGGTTCCATTAAACATACACAGGAGACTATTAGTTAAGGTTCTCCAGAGAGACAGAACCAAAAGGAATATAAATAGATAGATAGATAGATGATAGATAGATAGATAGATAGATAGATAGATAGATAGATAGATGATAGATAGTTGAGAGGGTTTATTACAAGAATTGGCTCACACAATTATGGTGGCTTAGACATCTCACAATAGTCCATCTGCAAGCTGGAGAACCAGAGAAACCAGTAGCATGGCTCAGTCCAAATCAGAAGACCTGAGAACTGAGGAACCTGAAGGAATAACTCTCAGTCCAAGGCCAAAGGCCCAAAAGCCCTGGGAAGCCACTGGTGCAAGTCCCAGCATCCAAAGGCTGAGGAACCTAGAGTTCTGATGTCCAAGGGCAGGAGAAGTGTATTGCCACACCACAAGAGAGAAAGAGAGAGAATGAGAGAATTTGCCTTTCACCTTTTTGTTCCATCTGGGCCTCTAGCTCATATTAAGGGTGAATCTTCCCCACTCAGTTCACCAACTCACATGCCAATCTCTTACCAAAAAAAATCCCTATAGACATACCCAGAAAGAATGCTTCATCGGCCATCCAGGCATCCCTCAATCCAGTCAAGTTGACATCTAAAATTAACCATCACAGAGGTGTAGTATTAAATATTTCTTAGTATTTGTCAAGATAAAGAAAACTATAAATAAAAAAGCTTATTTGACTTGATAATTAAATTTCATTTATATGTAAATGCATGTGTTTTGTCATATAAGCAACTGACATCTGTTAGACGATAGGTTCTGGATTACCTTACCAGCTTGCATCAATTTGAGAAAAAGATTTTGGAATGACATTCTGATGTATTACCCCAACAAAAAACAAAAAGCATTATTTCAGAAAAACAGAAAACTAAAGTCAAATGGTTAAATCAATAATGCAATATTCATATATGGACTATCACATAACCATTTAAATGATATTTTAAAAGAATCTGTAATAACATGAAAAAACAAATATGATAATGAATGGAAAAAGGTGCAATAAATAGTGTAAAGAGTAGAGATATGGCTTCATTTTAAAAAGCTAAAATTAAAAGATAAATGAGACAATGGGCTGGGTTCTTGTTTTTTTTGTTGTTTTTGTTTTTTTGTTTTTGCTCTAATTTCCACTATTTGCTAACCATTCATTACTTTCATGGCTAAAAAATAAGTTTAGGAGAAAGAATATGGCTTAGTTTTGACTTAATTGGTATGTAAAGAAAACAATTTTCATGGGGCTTAGAGTTGAAAAACTTGGCTTTATGGATCTAGAATAAACTGTTTTGACTGAAATAATTTTGTGCCTTGGCTTGTAAATCACCTTTTTCCTCCCTTGTGGTCTGAAACAGATATAAGAAAGATTGGAGAACTGTGTGCCTGGCAATTGCCTTGCTGAAAGGAAGCCCTCAGAAAAAGTTGTTTGATGGTATGCTAAGCCCATTACTACTGGCTCTTTTCCCAAAATAAAACAAAACAAACAAAATTAGAGGTTTAAATTCAACCCTACCAAGGACAGTCTCTAAATATCATCCTTGTTCTTACCAGTAGTATTTGCTCTTGAATGTCATAGGGCTAAACATTGGTAGTGGCATTAATTATATTAAATCTGTGATTAATTTATTTTTAATCAATGGATACAAAATGCTTCTGGAAGGTCATCTATGTCATAACTAATAGGATTGTCTTTGTTTAAGGTGAGAGCTGGCCAAGCCAGAAAGACAAACCAAGCGACTTTGAGTGGGGGCTTTGTGTCACAAGGCATCAGTAGACCTGGAGACTGAGTTCAGGCAATCAATCAATCAATCAATCAATCAGGCCTACAGAATGAAACTCCAACTAAAAACTGTGGACACCAAAGCTCAGCTGATTTCCTGGTTGGCAATACTCCATGCATATTGTCACACATCAATGCCAGCTGGTCAGTGGTAGAGGACAATAAAAGTTTTCACACTTGGAACCTTCTCAGACTGTGTCCTTTTTGTCTCTTCCTTTGGCTAATTTTCATTCACATTATTTCCCTGTGATAAACTGTAACCATAAGTATAATAGCTTTCAGCGACTTCTATGAATCCTTCTAGCAAACTATCAAACCTGAAGGTGGTTTTGGAACCTCCCGAACTTTCAGTTAACTTTGGAAGTGGGAGCACTCTTGGGGACTGTGTCCTCAAACTTTGTAGTTTGACTAACTCCAGGCACATAGATAATTTAAATGTGGCCAAATTTGGTCCTCAGGCCATAGTTTGCTAACCCTGTTCTAGCTCATTAAAATAGCCATACAGCATCAATTTACATATAATTTGTTGTGACTCATGTAAAATTCATAATTGCGTGCAAACAAGCAGTAATATTCTACCACTCTGCAATTGTCAAAATGTGCAGATATTGTATGTATACAAAGAGTAATTGAACTGCAACATTTTTGTGACAAAGCTGATGCTGAACAATATATATAATATCATATTTTAATATTATATAATTTATTTTACATATTATATACGTTTTATGTGTATATATAATATATATAGTATCTGCACTCCCCTCTTTGCTGCCCATCTCTAATTAGGTTTCTAAAACATGCCTTTGAAGAACTACAGTACTTTGTAAATCAAATTGTTTCCCACAGTGCTATTGTAGTAAGCAAATAATCCGCTCAGCATGTGTTTAGGAGTATTAAGCAACATAATAGGAATCCTGACATGCCAAAAAAATCACAGAAAGCCCTGGATTATTAACAATCTTGAGTGTTCTAGAATTTTCCTAGGAAACAGGAGGAATTTGTACCTTTGATCCATAAACGGAGACTCCAAACAACATCTGCTTTTGACATTTAAACATTAGTCTACATGTCTTGATGGCCAGCAAGTCCCTCCAATCTTGTCAAAGACATTATAGGAAAAAGTCATATGGGCAGCAGGCTGCATTCATTTTAATTGTGGTTTTCTTTTGGTGTAGCAAAAGTCAATGTTCTGTTCTTGTCATATTCTTTCTCAATATTAGACATTTTCAAAAAGGTAATGATCTTGTAATTTTATTATAGTTATCAACCATGGGTAATTTATTCCTTCAAATGAATTTTCTATGGCATTAATAAGTCTAAAGTACTGCAAGCTACTACCATTTAATTGCCAAGTTATTCTAGCTGGCATGAGTGACTCTTTCTACGTGACTGACTTACTCTAACTAAAATATCTACTGGACAGATAGCCAATCCCTCCTATAATATTAGAATATCTGCCCATCCCTTAACCAATTTCCTCCCCTTGGAATATTATGGAGAGGCTGTTTCACATCGGCAATAACATCCACTTGCACTTTAGCTATTGCCTGGCATATGACAAATACTCTCCACTTAGCCATGATGCCCACTCAATTTTCTGACAACTACTATTAAGTTGACTTCAGGGGAGAGGGAAGAATGGGGGAAACTCACACTCCTACGTGATTCTGTTTTAGCTATGAAAACAGGCCCATTCCTTAGAGCTACACAACTTAGATAACAATCGACAGCAGGACTTAAAATTTTACTTGAAAATATTAAAGGGGAATTAAAAGATACAAAAGAAAAAATATAAAATGGAAATTTAGATATTTGTCCTAGAGTCGATTAGCCATTGCCTTGCACTGAGATCCCCTCAACCATTTCTCTTTTTTGCCTTTAGTATGTCACAAGTGACCAATGCCATCTTATCTTTCACAGTCATGAATCTTTATCATGTTCTTCTTACCCGGTCAGGGCCCACTACCACCAACCAAGAGAGAGGATGAAGTCCTCTCTTCTCCTAGTTCAAGGCCTTCTTTATTTCTTCCTCCAAAAAATTGACAATGGGTCTACCATTTTCTTTGAGATTTCCCCACCTTCATTCCCAGGGATCCTTTGTTCTCCATAACCTATACAAAGTAAACCCAGTAGTTGACAGTACATTTCCCAAACTTGGGCTCATTCAATTATAAATGGCATCATATGTGAGACATTAACCATCCAGCCTGTGGTAAGCAGCCATGGTCCAGGGCAGTTTCATTTCAGTCTTTCTTTCAGTATGCAGTGAGGAGGAAATTAGACCTACGTGTTCCCTCTGGCCTGGTCCTAGTCTCATGATTTCCTGTGAGGAAATAACTGAATAAAAAGGGACTCATCTCTCAGAAACAATTATTTTTGAATTAGTAGAATGATTTTTTTCCCATTAACTCTGTAGTGCCTTCATTCTAGAAAGACATAATGCAATTTATTTGTCAAACAAAATTTAATAACTCAATCACAAACATCTGCTTTCCATTTGGTGTGTCCATAAGAAAAATGGCAAGGTACTTGCTTAAAGCAATATGATTTTAAAAGTTCACCAAAGTACCCAGACTCAGGAAAAAGAGGAAGGTGACTCCAGATTCAAGCACAAATTTCAAATTCTATGCATGCAAAAGCTGCTTACCGCCTTCCCACACGGTTTTCAAGTTTCAACAGTTTCCCTGAGGCACCAGTTGCACTGGTGTGTGATTATGTCCCTGCTGAGCCTCGGTTGGCTGAATTCTCTAGTGGCTTGGTTGTCCAGAAGGTCAGTTAGTGCTACGGAGAATCCAAAGTCCAGAAACCCTGGTTATAGTAAGGAACATGTTTATGTTTTCTATTTCAAATAGTACATACTTCTTTCCTAACAATATTCTATTTAATTTATTCTGCTTAAAAATGCTCATAACACACTTTCACCATAGAGATGGCTGAAAATACAGCCACATTGATATTGTACAGATTAGTAAAACGACATATGTGTAAATGAAGCAGACATATTATTAAGTGGAAACTATTGAAAATTAAGCACTATTATATTTGGAGAGCAATTATAGTAGTGTAGACTATGTAAGGCCCTCAATGTGGTCCAGTTTGTCTATGAAAGAGCTTCTTGGACCATAATATGTCTATTTTTTTAGTCATTATAAAGAAACATTGTCAAGACCAACACCATAAAATATAATTTTTTAAAAAGCACTTTTGGGGGTTTATAGATTAGTTTTCTCTTTTGTAATTCATTTAGGTCTACAACTTTTATTACTTAAAGTTTTTCTTTTTTGAGACAGGGTCTCACTCCTTTGGCCAGGCTGGAGTGCAATGGTATGATCACAGCTCACTGCAGCCTCAACTTTCAAGATTGAGGTGATTCTCCCACCTCAGCCTGCCAGGTAGTTGGGACTACAGGTGTGTGCCACCATGCCTGGCTAATTTTCTGTATTTTTTGTAGAGATGGGGTTTTACCATACTGTCCAGGCTGGGCTTGAACTCCTGGGCTCAAAGTGCTGGGATTACAGGCATAAGCCACCCTGTCTGGCCTAATTTTTTTAATTTTGCAATTTTTTTCACATTCTTAAGACGATGCTTAGATTTTAATTTTTTAAATAATAAAAGCATTTGCATCTATAAATTGGCCTCTAAACATAGGAACAGTTTCATGTGTTTTATTATCATTAATGTTCAGATGATCCGTAATTTCCAGTTTAATCTTCTTTTTTTCTGACCCAATAGTTATTTAAAAGAGTGTTTTTTTATTTTAAAGTGGTAAATTTAGTGCATTTTGAGATCTGAAAATGTAGCTGATATAAATTAGACCTTCTACAATATTTTGTTTTTGGCTTACAATATAATTTTTTTGGAAACCTTCGTGTCAGTGTGAAAAAGATAATTATTCACTGTTTACATGGTACATATATGATTTTTAAATAACATACCATGTATTACTCATGCTCAATGGGCTCAACACAGATTTGAATTGGTAGAGGAATGAAGAATTAATCAGTGAATTGAAGAAATGAATCGATTGAGATTACCCAGTCTAAGGAATGAAAAAGAGAGAGAGAGAAGGAAGTAAAATGAATAGATCCTGAGATACCTATGGACACCATCAAACATACCAACTTACACTTAATGAGAGTCTTTAAAAGATAGAAAAAAAGAAATACAAAAAATAACAAAAACCTAACCAAATTTGTTGAAAAACGTTAATCTACACACCCAAGAAGTGCAATAAAATCCAAGTAGAATAAGCTCAAAGAGATCTAAACCTAGACACATCATAGGCAAATTGTCAAAAGACAAAGAGAGAAACTAGAAAGCAGCAAGGGAAAAAGTGACTCATCAAGTACAAGGAATACTCAATATAATGTACAGTTTACTTCTCATCAGAAACTATGGATGCCAGAAGGCAGTGGGATGACAGATTCAAGATGCTGAAAGACAGACTGTCAAACAAGAATTCCAGTGGCTCACGCCTGTAATCCCAGCACTTAGGGAGGCCAAGGGTGGGTGGATCACTAGAGGTCAGGAGTTCAAGGCCAGCCTGGCCAACATGGTGAAACCCCATCTCTAATTAGCTGGGCATGGTTGCGGGTACCTGTAATCCCAGCTACCCGAGAGGCTGAGGCACAAGAATCACTTGAACCTGGGAGGTAGAGGTTGCAGTGAGCCAAGATCGCACCATTGCACTCCAGCACCACTGCACTCCAACCTGCATGATAGTGCAAGACTCCATTTCAAAAAAAAAAAAAAAAAAAGACTGTTGACTAAGAATTCTATGTCCAGCAAAACTATTCTTTAAAAATGAGGGCCAGGCGTGGTGGCTCATGCCTGTAATCCCAGCACTTTGGGAGGCTGAGGTGGGTGAATCATGAGGTCAAGAGATTGAAACCATCCTGGCCAACATGGTGAAACTCTGTCTCTACTAAAAATACAAAAATTACCTAGGCGTGATGGTGCATGCCTGTAGTCCCAGCTAGTCAGAGACTGAGGCAGGAGAATCGCTTGAACCTGGGAGGTGGAGCTTGCAGTGAGCCAAGATCGTGCCACTGCACTCCAGCCTGGTGACAGAGTGAGACTCCATCTCAAAAAAAGAGGAATATTTCTATATACAAAAAGGGAAAACAGAATGAAAAGGATGAAATTAACCTGCTCAATGGCTATATGGCTGTTTTTCTCCAAGTTACTCCATCACTGGTATTAACTTATGTAAGACACACTTTCAGACTTTTTGTTTTCTTAAGACATTTAGCTCTCTGTGGTAGATACGAAGATTCCCTGCACAGATGCCTCTTCAAGGACTTGATGCCCGGCAATGGGCAGGCAGTCAGCAGATGTCTTTAGTGATGAGCTTTTTCCAGAGAACTGCTTTGCCCAAAACCTTCCTCTTCCTACGGCTGTGTGCATCTGATGACTATGTGAGGGTGTAATAAAGCCTTGGCCACTTGATACTATTCTCTCAACATTCTGTGCCAGATCAGATGAGGCTTTTCGAATCTGCATAGCAGCTCTACTTCTCCTTTCACCCAGTCCCACATCCTTCCCTTCCCTTTCTCTTCTTTCTTTTTCTTTCTTTCTTCCTTTCTTTCTTCTTTCTTTCTCTTTCTTTCTTTCCTTTCTTTCTTTCTCTTTTTCTTTCTTTCTTTCTCTCTCTCTGTCTTCTTTCCTTCTTTCTTTCTTTCTCTTCTTTTTTTTTTTTTTGACACCGTCTTGCTCTGTCACCCAAGATGAAGTGCAGTGGCACAATCTCAGTTCACTGCAACCTCTGCCTCCCAGGTTCAAGTGATCCTCCTACCTCAGGCTGTCAAATAGCTGGGACTACAGGTGCCCACTACCACACATGGCTAATTTTTGTTGTTGTTTTTTTTTGTAGAGACAGGGTTTCATCATGTTGCCCAGGCTGGTCTCGAACTCCTGGACTCAGGCAATCAGCCCACCTTGGCTTCCCAAAGTGCTAGGATTACAGGTGTGAGCCACCACACCTGGTCCCTTCCCTTACTTTTCGTAAGTGTTGATTCCTAATAAAACATCTAGCTTCCAAAGCTCTGCCTTGCTCTTTGCTTCTAGAGAACTAAACCTGTAACACAATCGTTGTCTTTTACCTTCAGGCACAAGGGAAAGACAGAAGGCCAATAATCTTGTTCTGTTCAACAAAGATAATTTATAAGTATTTATGTCTTCTAGAAAACAGGGATGTCAATTTAAGTTTTTATTACCAGGGGAACACATTATTATTATAAACACCAGTTTACAACCTGTTAAGGACTAGGAATTGCTTTCACAGGCCATAGCAACAATCTCTGATCTCCAGATGTCTAACAGGGAGTGTAGCCAACCAGAGTCAGCAACCGACTGCCCAGCCCAGCCTCTTGTTTTATAAATACAGCTTTATTGGAACACAGCTATCCACATTGGTACACATATCGTCTATGTCTGCTTTCACACTACAACACCAGAGCTGAGTAGTCTCAGTAGAGACCATACAGCCTGCAAGCCAAAAATATTTACTATCTGATCTTTTAAGAAAAAAGTTGCATTATGTCTTTCTAGAATGAGGGCACTACGGAGTTAAAGGGAAAAAAAATCTACTAATTCAAAAATAATTTATTCATTAATTTCTTCGACTAATAGTTACTATAGGTAAATCACAGCTTGACATTTGGCACAAGACTTTTGAAATGTTTAAAAATAATACACATAATTGTTTTTAACAGTTTTTCTGTACCTACTAGTAGTGACTGAGCTTTTAGTCTGGGCAAAGCAGGTTGCCATATACCATTCTCAAGAGTGTGTGTGCCTTCCATGAAACAGGGTTAGAAAATATGTGAAGTTGTTGATTTGATGTGTGACCACGCTGCTTCAGTCCTATGTCACATCTCTCTGGCATTGTTATCTTTGGATCTTTGGGAAAGTGCTAATCCACCATGTATAATGATCATACTTTTTCTTTTCCTTTCTTTTCCCTTTTTTTTTTTTTTTTTGAGACAGAGTATCACTCTGTCACCCAGGCTGGAGTGCAGTGATGCAATCCCAGCTCACCACAACCTCCGCCTCCCCAGATCAAGCAATTCTCCTGCCTCGGCCTCCCAAGTAGCTGGAGCCACTGGCGCCCACCACCACACCTGGGTAATTTTTGTATTTTTAGTAGAGACGGGATTTTACCATGTTGGCCAGGCTGATCTTGAACGCCTGACCTCAAGTGATCCACCCACCTCAGCCTCCCACAGTGCTGGGATTACAGGCATAAGTCACCACACCCAGCCAATGATCATACTTTTTCATGTTATACCTTCTTTTCCCAAAACCTATTTATATACCAGTAAATCAAACTGTGCTACGACAGTGCTTTTACATTTGATTCTGATTCCACATAATAATTTCCCATTTGAAACAACAATTATTTTATCAAGAAGAAACAGCTGCAAACACAGCAATTCCTCTGAACTACCATTAACTGAATGTTCCCTGCTGTCAAGCCAGATGCTTAGCAGTGAGTACTGAGCTTTCTCTTTAAACGTGCAGGAAGCAGGGAGATGAGTTGGCTGGCTGCACGGCCCTGTGGTGGGAGTCCTGGGCCCAGCCCCTCTGCTGTGCACTGCAGAACTAGAGACAGAATGCCCTTCTCATCACTCCCTGCCTTTGACCCTATTCTTCCTGGACCTCCTGCCCCAACTTCTTCAGTAAGTTCTCTGAAGCCAGTTGCATCATTTGAGTTCTATTGTCCATATCTAGTATTCCAGAAAATTGTACTGTTATAAAAATTTAACAGGGTCAAAATTATTAATGCCTGTGTGTTCACAGCTTCTTTCCCTCTCCCTTCAAGCTAAGTGAAATTATGGAGTTGCTCATCCTCTAGGTATTTTTCCATTTACCTTTCTCATGGGCCTTATTAGAGAGACAGGGGCGGGGGAAGAAAGTCTTGAGCAGCCAACACTGGGTTGTGGTGGCAGTTTTAGGTTAGTAGTTGACAGTGAGGAGAGGGACTTTTCAGGAGTAACTACATCCATATAAAAAATAATTGAGAATGCAGAGGTAGTAGGCAGAAGATTTTTCAATATGTTAGCTGTGCCTGCAGAAAATAATGAGATTTATGAAGATAAAAATAACAGGTAAATGTTTTGAGCTAGGGGAGGAAGGGGATGGAGAGATGAGTAGGAGTGCGAGGATGTTAATGCTTTTATCTTTCAAAGTAAGGAGTCACTGATGATACATACAATCAAAACGTGGCTTTATAAAAAGTGCAACAATGCAGTCTTTTCATATTTTGGAGTATTTAGAATTCTTCAGGAAATAATGTATCTTGTGGTGATAGAGGAATATTTATTTGAAATTCAGCCATTCCTTCAATTTCTCTTCTATTAAATTCAAGTAAGTTTAATTTTAAGATGTTTATATAAATGGCATGACCCCATGCTTATAAAGGTATTCTTTCTATCTGTATGTATGCTTAGAAGAATGTGTATATATACACAGTATAAAGCTAATGTATATTATTCTAAAGCTAATCATGGTCATTTCTGGGTGGTAGATTTGAGGTGATTTTCAAACTTTTATTTTTGTGCAGTTCTGTTGTTTGAATTCCTGTAAGTCATTCAATAAACTAATTTTTCTTTTAAAAATGTGAAAAATATGCCAATATAATAGTGGTTTGTTTGAGATGGTGTGAATATGGATGATAATGACGATGATATTGATGATTTTTGAGACAGGGTCTCACTATGTTGCCCAGACTGGAGTGCAGTGGCTAATCACAAGCTTTACCATGGCACACTACAGCCTGAAATTCCTTGGCTCAAGTGAGCCTCCTGCCTCTTCTTCCTGAATAGCTGGGACTACAGGCACATGGCAATTATTATTTTTCTTTGTGCTTTTCTGTATTTTCTAACTTTCTAACAATAAAAATTATAAAATAAAATAATACAAATATACAACATCGCTATTATGCTTTCCATGTTAATATTTTTTTATTCCATGGCAGCTTTATGAAGATATTAATAGTAAAGCATGTTTTTTCATAGGATGTTTCAACCAAAACTCTTTTTTACAGACATGCATAAAAAGTACCATGGACCAAGATAAATCATTATTTGTCTAAAGATTAGCATAGGCAGACTTAAATAGCAGCAATAATTCCTGTGTCTAAGAAAAAAACTCCAAGGAGGGCACACTTGGTCCAGTTAGGGCCAAGTTAGGGGATTTCAGAACGCCCATGAAAATTACCAGCAATCAAAGAAAGGATGAATAATAAGTGACTAACAGAATCAAATATCTAACGTGTAATACGTACAAGTAACCATTTTCAAGCCTCAGGACTCTATTCTATAAAATAGACATAATGATTTCTTTCTAGATTAAGTAACATTAGGAGGTTGAGAGCATGCTGCATGGTTAAATTCAGGTTCTCAAGATAGGTGTGTTATTATTCAAGAACAGTACTCTTATGAGCAGTAGACACTTCGAGATCTTTATCAAACATGGTTCAGGATCTACTGTCTTCCATGAATTAACATTCTGTATTGTCAATATATTATTTCCAAAACATAATGTAAATGTATGCAAAAGGAAATATAAATACATAAATAGAAAAAAACCCTCAGTTTTCTTTATATTCTCCTCTACTCTTTTCTTTCTTTACTCATTAAAAAATCTTTCTCAGGCCAGGCATGGCGGCTCACGCCTGTAATCCTAGCACTTTGGGAGGCCAAGGCGGGCAGATCACAAGGTCAGGAGCTCGAGACCAGCCTGGCCAACGTGGTGAAACCCCGTCTCTGCTAAGGATAAAAAAAAATTAGCCGGGCATGGTGGTGCACGCCTATAATCCCAGCTACTCAGGAGGCTGAGGCAAGAGAATCACTTGAACCCAGGAGGCAGAGGTTGCAGTGAGCTGAGATCATGCCATTGCACTCCAGCCTGGGTGACAGGGCAAGACTCCATCTCAAAAAATAAATAAATAAATAAATAAAAATCTTTCTCTTTTCTCATTTTTCCATTATTTTTTCCTTGCAGATTCATTTATTTCTAGCTTTTTTTTTTCTTTTTTTTTTAGATGGAGTCTTGCTCTGTCACCCAGGCTGGAGTGTAATGGCATGATCTCCACTCACCACAACCTCCACTTTCTGGGTTCGAGTGATTCTCCTGCCTCAGCTTCCCGAGTAGCTGGGATTACAGGCATGTGCCACCACATCTGCCTAATTTTTTTAGTAGAGAGGGGTTTCCCCATGTTGGCCAGGCTGGTTTCAAACTCCTGACCTTCGTGATCCACCCTCTTTGGCCTCCCAAAGTGCTGGTATTACAGGCGTGAGCCACCATGCCCGGCCTTATTTCTAGCTATTTTTAACCAGTATCTTTCTCTTAAGTAAATGTGCACTTTTTTCTGATTTTCTTTTAAATATTCATCTCTGTAGAAACCTCACTAAAATTAAACATAATTAGTTTAAATGCAACCTCTGTGTAACATTATTTGCTAGAGTGAGAGATTCCTGGAGAACCATCCACTCCAATACTGTCTAGATGGAAAACTGACTCTCAGATTGGCTTTCTATCCTCCACTCCTCACAGACATTCTACAAGCAGTGCTGTGGCTTCTGTCTCCCTCCCCTCTCTCATAGCCTCCCCCTTACACACCCAGTACCACTGCCCTCCTTCAGTGAACTGCCATTCTTGCAAATGTGCTCTCCTCTTGTCCAGTCTCTGTGCTCTCTCACAGCTGCAAGATGAAGTTTTTCAAAAGCTAATCTGGCCTTTTTGCAGCCTTGTTTTAAAATCCTTGAATAGCTCTCCATTATCTACAGGGTAAAGTCCAAGCAACTGGTACAATAAGTCCTTTATTATGGGACACCTATCTATTTCTCTAATCCCCATTAGTCTTGAAATCACCCTCTCATCCCCTGTATTCAGCAATTTCAGTCCCCCTATAACACACTGGCACTGTGCAATTAACAGATCTAGGTCTTTGCTTGTATTTTTCCCTCTGCCAACCACCAATCAATTCATATTTTAAGTTTAGTTTTAGGCTGGGCGTGGTGGCTTATGCCTGTAATCCCAGCCCTTTGGGAGCTCAAGGCAGGCAGATCACCTAAGGGCCAGGAGTTGGGGACCAGGCTGGCCAACACGGTTAAACCCCGTCTCTACTAAAAATACAAAAATTAGCCAGGTGTGGTGGCACACACCTGTAATCCCAGCTACTTGGGAGACTGAGGCAGGAGAATCACTTGAACCCAGGAGGTGGAGGTTGCAGTGAGCCAAGATCGTGCCACTGCACTCCAGCCTGGGTGACAGAGTAAGACCGTTTCTCAAAAAAAAAAAAAAAAGATAGTTTCAAACGAATGTATGAAGGATGTTTCATCTCACCAGAAGTAAGGGAAGTAGAAACTAAAACAATACATTTTCCACTATCTGACCATCAAAATGTTCAACAATTGACAACATTCTCACCGGGTAAAAGTGTAGAGAAACAGGCACTCTTCTACCAAATTGGTGGAAGTACATATCGCTACATGGGTTTTGGAGGACAGTGTGACAGCATTTATCATAATTTTAATTTAATAATTCCACTCAGGTATATAGTCTACAGACATACACATGTACATAAATATGTCTGTAGGTATTCATTTCAGTATTTATAATAGTGCAAATTTGGGAGAAAATTCTAAATTTTTATCCATAGGGAATTGGCTAAAAAAAAAAAAAGATATTTCCAACTCCTGGATTTTGATATAGAAGAACTGTAATGAAACAATCCCTATGATAAACTGTGAAGTGAAATAAAAAACTGAAAACAGTATTTATTTTATGGTTTGTATATAATTAATATGAATATATATACATAAATACACAAAGGCATATATATATGAACACAGGTAGATATACAGAAAAAGTTCTGCACACATACAAAGTGTTAAAAGTACTACCTCGAAGTAGAAGAATAACGGGAGCAGGGTAAAGAAAGACTTCCACTATTTATATACTTCTGTATTTCAATATTTTACATAATTAAGATGCATTCATACATAACTGGTTAAGAAAATATGTACACCTTTTATTATTATTATTATTATGTTTGAGACGGAGTCTCGCTCTGTCACCCAGGCTGGAGTGCAATGGTGTGATCTCAGCTCACTGCAATCTCCGCCTCCTGGGTTCAAGTGATTCTCCTGCCTCAGCCTCCTGAGTAGCTGGGATTACAGGCACGCACCACCACACCCAGCTAATTTTTGTATTTTTAGTAGAGACAGGGTTTCACCACGTTGGCCAGGCTGGTCTCGAACTCCTGACCTCAAGTGATCTGCCCGCCTCAGCCTCCCAAAGTGCAGGGGTTACAGGCTATACACCACTTTTTAAAGTTTTGAGCAAGGTTTAGCCCAATCAGAAGTGAGAGAAGGGTGTTGTAGGAAGCGGGAACAGAATGAATAAAGGAGACAAAAGAACAAAGCTCCAGCACTTCCTCCTCTGCAGAGCTTCCTCCCCATGCTCGTCCATTCGTCCATTCCTCCATTCACTGCTACTGCCCTGGGCCCCACCAAATCCTGTAGGTACTCCTAACGCAGAAGCTATAACAATTAATGGCACTTATCTATTTACAAATATGACTCCTCCAACCAGACTGTAAGCTACTTGTAACCCTAGCTCCTAGGACACTG
This sequence comes from Homo sapiens, assembly GCF_000001405.40. Classification (NCBI taxonomy): domain Eukaryota; kingdom Metazoa; phylum Chordata; class Mammalia; order Primates; family Hominidae; genus Homo; species Homo sapiens. Next base: position 78,329,879 of record NC_000005.10, on the reverse strand, counting down.
CCATGGAAAGAAAAGGCGGGCATCCGGGAAATTGATAAATGAGCAAATAAATTAATGGATGTATAGTAGATGGATGGATATAGAGTCTTCATTAGAAAAGTTTGGTTGTTAAAGTGCAAAATAATTCCAATATACAGCACTTTTCCCCCCTTGTGTTGGGGGTAACGATAAATAGCACAGTTTTCAATGACTTGGTGGTCAAAAATATTCTGGGCTAACACCAGCCTAAACCTCTGTAATATTTAGTCACATGAATTCAAAAGGAGCGACACTCTAATGAAGACTCAAATATGACATTAAACACAAGCACTGATGACATACTAAAACAAAGTATGGACTTGTGAATTCATGTAGCCTTTAATGTGCTTTTTACATCATTTATTGCTGCTTCCACCACTCCATTATACGGAGAACGACTCTCTAAATTGCACTTACATGTTCTCAAAGCTATACTGAAATTGTAGTACAAATGCTTTAATATTAAACATCTGAAATTTTATTTTCCGAAAGTGTTTTTTGCTCACTTAATTAGTTTAACCAATGAGGCTAATTACCACTTGGTTTTCATTATAATTTTGATAATTATTGTCCTGAAGTTTTCCTCCCAGGCACATAGTATGTGCTGGTTTCATTATTCATTTCCTAATACCCCTTGAGATAAATTTACAAATGATTTACATCTGGAAATCCTTTATGTACTTTTTAACAAGTGATAGTTTTTTAACCCCTAAACCTCAAGAAAACCACCTCAGAAAGATCTTTACTGGCTACACGCTGTGCTTCTCTAAGAGCTATTGTCACCACAATAGGGTAAGTATTTCACATGCTATTAAGTGAAAAAACAGACATAGGATTTGTATGTTAAAATAGTCCCACCTCTCTTCTAATTGTGAAAACTTTGTTGTGTGGGAAGATGGTATTTTAAGGAGTTATGTTGTAGTCAAGATGAGTCAGCATGTTTTGGTTGTTACCATTTATGGGGCAACTGTGAGTCCAGGCAGTGGCTTGTCGCCTCGCTTGGTGCTTTCTCTGGGAGTATTCAGGCAACTGGGAAGATTAAATTCAAATACTACTTTGTTCACAAGAGAATTACCTCCATTTGAAAGCTGTTCACTGATTTTGAATGTTAGGTATTTGTGTTAGGAGTGATTTTGGGGAAATTTCCCCCTAGTGTGAGCTCCAGGGTGGACACGGCGGGTGGAATGGGTTAGGAACAGTTTGGTCAGCTCAAGGGCCAGTCTCAAAGGGGCTCAGGACCCAACTATATTGTGTATGTATACAAATTCTTTGTAAAGATTTTAATTTTGTTGGCCCTTTGGAGAAAGGGGAGGCCGGAAAAAGTGTTTTCACTCTAGGCAGTAGGAACTGGCTCTTGGCAACACTGTGCAGTTCAAATCTTTCTTCTTCAGTAAGGTCTATCCCAATTATACTCCATCTTCATTACTTGATGATGCACTCTTGTGACATTTGAGACACGGGTGAAGGTGATAGCTTTGAATAAGAGGGAAGAAAGGAAAGATGAGTAAAAATATAGGTGACTTTGTTGTAGTCAAGATGAGTCAGCATGTTTTGGTTGTTACCATTTATGGGGCAACTGTGAGTCCAGGCAGTGGCTTGTCGCCTCGCTTGGTGCTTTCTCTGGGAGTATTCAGGCAACTGGGAAGACTAAATTCACCTATATTTTTACTCATCTTTCCTTTCTTCCCTCTTATTCAAAGCTATCACCTTCACCCATGTCTCAATTTTAGGAGGAAAGGTAGAAAGAGGGAGACTAGTTACGGGGCGGTGCAGTCATCCAGGTCAGGAGTTGGCAAACTATGGCCTGCTGGCCAAATCTGGCCCAATGCCTGTTTTTGTAAATCAAGATTTACTGGAACACAGCCACACCTATTCATTTAAGTAATGTCTGTGGCTGCTTCAGGCCTGCAAGAACAGAGTTGAGTGGTTGCAACAGAGACTCTATAGTCTGCAAAGCCTAAAATATTTACTATCTGGCCCTTTACAGATAAAACTTGCTCATCCAGATGAGTAACCCAGGTGAGAGAGGATGGCAAATTGTATTTGATTAGTAGTGGCAGTGGGGCGAGGAGTGATCAAATTCCAGACAAATGTTGTAAGTAAGGTCTACTGGATTTGCTAATGGATTGGACATGAAACACAAAGGAAGGAGAAGACACAAGAATGACTGAGGTTTTGGCCTGAGCAACTGGGAAGAATAGATTTTGTCATTTGCTACCATGGGAAAAGGCTGTGGAAAAAAGTTGGTTGAGGTAGTAGATAATAAAGTGTTTAGTTTTGTAAATGTTTGGGCATAAATTTGAGATGCCTATTTAGACACTTACATGGAGATATCAAATAGGTAGCTGGATATATAAGAGAAGATTTCAAGGGAGGTGTCAGGGCTAGAAATATCAATTTGAAAGTTGTCAGTTTATAGATGTTATTTAAAACCATGTGATGGAATGAGATAATTTAGTAATGGACTGCAATGACAGAAGAAGACTGAAGACTGAGCCTGAGGTACTTGGGAATTCAGATGTTGGGGATATAAGGAGGAACTAGGAAAGGAGACCAAGTAAGTAAGTGAGTCAGGTGAAAAACCAAGAGAGAGTGGTGAGCCAGATGCCAAGTGAAGAAAGCGTCAAAGAGGAAAGAGTGGTGAACTCTCTAAGTTGATCAGGGGGCTTATGGGTACAATAAAGATTTCATGGCCACTCTCAGGAGGATGGAGAAGGGGAAAGTCTAACACAGTCCTTGAAGTGGTCTTGGGACAGTGAGTCAGGCAATGCCAATGAAAGGTCGGGTAACCAAAGTGAGGTGAAGGGAGGTGACAGGTTTCAGGTGGGCATATCGCTTTGTCCTGCCAAAAGTGGTACAACCAGAGGAAGACCAGAGTGTGACCTTTTTCTCCAACTAAGGACAATACTCTGTTTTCATATATATTGGGGCTTATTTCCAGGCTTTCTGGTTTACTTTACTCATATTTTTCTTTTCATATTCTAGAACTATATTATTTTGGTTACTGTAACTATAAAATGTTTCAATATTTGGTAGAGCTAGACTCCCCTCACTACTCTTTCTTCTTCAGAGCAATGACCTCTTAATTTTAAAGATACTTTTAACATAATTAACATGTATTCTTAGCAGCTATGTAATTATTTCATTTGACTTTCACAGTAATTCTGGATGATAGGTATTATTACAATTCTTATGATGAAAAAACTGAACCTCAAAAAAGTTAAAAATTGTGTTCAGGCTGGGCATAGTGGCTCACGCTTGTTATCCCAAGCACTTTGGGGTACTGAGGCAGGCAGATTGCTTGAGCCCAGAAGTTCAAGACCAGCCTGGGCAATATGGTGAAACCCCGACTCTACAAAAAATACAAAAATTAGCCAGGAGCGCTGGTGCACGCCTGTAGTCCCAGCTATTAGGGATGCTGAAGTGGGAGGATCACTTGAGCCTCACTCAAGGCTGCAGTAAGCTTTGAGTGTGTCACTGTGCTTCAGCCTGGGTGACAGAGTGAGACCCTGTCTCAAAAACCAACAAAAAAAATTGTTTTCAGTCACCCTTCTAGTAAATGGCACATCTGACATTTCAACTAAAATCTGACTCCAAAGTCTACATGTTATAGTGATCTTCATAACTCAATTAGACGTCCCTTATTCCACTTCAGCATCTGTCATATTAGAAGTCTAGGGTTAGGAAATGTTTATAAAGGATATTATAAAGGACATGGGGTTCATGAACCCAAGAACAGTAAGGTATATTGTTCTGATAGTGTGAGTGAGAAGGAGCTGAGGGACATAATAAGTTCAAGTATATCCAGCAGAATATAAACTCCATGACGGTAAGATGTTGCCTGTCTTATTTACAATACTATCCCTGGTATCTCTACTAGAGCTCCACACATTTTTGGCATTCAGTAAATATTTGGAACAGAGAAAATTATGAGGTCTTATCCCTGTTATCCAGGAATTTATCATCTAGATGGGAGGCAAGATACAGACACCTACAAATTTAATTTATAATACAAGATAAAAATTTTTGTTCAAGGAACAAGAGAAAAATAGAATATGATAATGTTATAAATAAAAACATTAACTTGATAATTTACTGATATAGATTAAAAAAATGGTCCTTTGGGAGTTTTGTGTGTGTGTGTGTGTGTGTGTGTATTTTTTTTTTTTTTTTTGGAGACAAAGTCTCACTTTGTCACCAGGCTGGAGTGCAGTGGTGCAATCTCAGCTCACAGCAACCTCTGCCTCCCGGGTTCAAGTGATTCTCCTGCCTCAGCTTCTGGAGTAACTGGGACTACAGGCACACGCACTATGCCCAGCTAATTTTTGTACTATTAGTAGAGACAGGGTTTCATCATTTTGGCCAGGATGGTCTTGCTCTCTTGACCTCGTGCTCCGCCCGCCTCGGCCTCCCAAAGTGCTGGGATTACAGGCTTGAGCCACTGCGCACGGCCCCTTTGGGAGTTTTATGGAGGTGATGATTACTTCTGTTTGGGAAAATCATGGAAGATTGAATGGGGAAGTTGGGATTTGATCCAGGTATGAGAGGTCAGTAGGTTGGTATAAGTAGAGACATAGATCAATTGTATTTTAGCCAGGGTGAATGGCATACAACAAAGCATGAGGGTTAGGAAGGCCCAATGTATTCTGGAGAAAGTTACTAAATCAAAGTATTTTTTATCTTCAAGGGACTAAAAGGTTTGGAAAAAATGTTTAGTGTAGATAATTAAGAAGGTAGATTGGAGGCAAGATCAGCAATGATTCGCTTTGTGTGTAGTAGCTTATATATCCAATTTATCAAATATTATTAAGCTCCTACACTGTGCCCAGTGGGTAAGTTTCACCTTCATTTCATGTTTCACTTGACTTCTATAGTATTTGTTACTACTGATCTCTCTCCTTCTCTCTTGAACACTACCCTGGTAACTCCGTTGGTCTTGCTCTCCTTATTCTCCTCTTCCCTGCTGACAAGTTGGTTGTAGCTCCTTTCCTCGTCCCTCTGCCGACTCCTTAAGCCTCTTCTCTCTTTATTCTATCCTTCTTTGTGGTTGATCTCATCAGCGTGGATGACCTCACATTTTTTGCCAATGATTTCCAAATTTCTATCCCTATCTCAGACTTCAGTTCTGATCCTCAGATTATTATATCCTGCTGCCTCGGCGACATTTTATCTGAATGTCCCAATGGTGCCTCTAACTTAACATAATTAAAGTTTAACTCTTTCTCTCACCAACCTTTCTCTGCTTTGTGAATAACCTACTCTAGTTAAGGGTCACTCTCTATTCTGTTTCCCAAGTCAGAGGCAGGTGATTTATTCTCTGTGACTTCTTCACTCTCACCTTGGAATTGGTCATTAAATCCTATAACCTCCATATCCTATATATCTCACTAGTCTGACATCTTTTTTTTTAATCCTCATTACCACTGCCTTAATTCAAGATCTTATTTCCTCAGATCTGGATGTCATATTCCTCATTCTGGTTTCTCTGCTTCAAGTCTAACTTTTCCAAGTCACCTATAGTTTCAAATATCTTTTAAAAATAAATTCTGAGGCCCATCTCTGTGGCTCATGCCTGTAATCCCAGCACTTTGGGAGGCCAAGACAAGAGAATCACTTGAGCCCAGGAGTTCAAAACCAGCCTGGGCAACATAACAAGACCTCATCTCTACAAAATTAAGAAAAAAAATTAGCCAGGCATAGTGGCTCATGCCTGTGGTCCCAGCTACTCAGCTACTCAGGAGGCTGAGGTGGGAGGATTGCTTGAGCCCCAGAGGTCAAGACCGCAGTGAGCCATGATTGCACCACTGCATGGTAGCCTGGGTGACAGTGAGACCCTGTCCCACCTAAAAAAAGAGAACCCTAATCATATTATCCTCTTTTTTAAAGTCTTTGCTGACTCTCCATCCTCTGCGGCAGTGGTTTTCAAAATTTATAAACATAATATACTCTTTTTTTAGTTGAAATGTTAAATTTGAATTCTCTTCAATGGGCATCTAACAAAGCGGAGACAAATAATAAATCTATATTCCTTTAAAAGTCATTTAAAGTGTATTGGTTTCTATTATATAACAGTTACTGTACTGAACACAGTGGATATAAACAAAAATAGCAACTGCTACATATTTACTGATTACCCTTTGCCAAGTACCATTCTAAGTTTCTTTGGCATGCATCAACCCATTTAATCTTTACAATCCTGCAAACATGAATAAGGCATGGTTCCTTCTCTTAAGGAAATTTCATTGTGTGTGTGTGCTTGGGTGTGTGTATGTGTGTGTATTTTACCCTGAAGATTAACATTTTATTTCATTGATGGCTCCTCTAAGGAATCATCAAATCTTTGTTGGCCATTGATCTAAGCTGGCTAGCAAGTTCCCAGGAGCCTCACCAAATGGATTAGTCTGTATCCTGGGAGCTTGGAGCCAATGTTAATCATCCCAAGGGCAATTAAGGCAAGAGGCCCAGCAAAGTCATCTTAGTTACAAAATAAGAAGATAGCATTAGTCTCTATACCTCAACCTCTGCCTTGCCAAGAGAGCATTCTCAACTCCTTTTCTGCAAAATACTGCTTGTCAGTCAGACTTGTCTAATATCTTAGCAACACAGACAAAACCCAAGGAAAGCCAAGCATTGCAGTTTTGTTGTTCATGATTTGGTTGGTACCATGATTTAGTAAATTACTTTTTCTGAGGGTTCTTTTTTGGCTTGTTTAAAGCCAAGGACCAAATGTAGCAATAAAAATCTAAATTACCTTGGCTCTTTGCTGAAATGCTCAATATTCCAATCTTTGTGCTTTGCTGTAGTGCCAGGAAGAAGAGAAAAAACAGGTGACAATGATACTGCATTACTGATTCACTCTACTCATTAGATTATATTGAAATGTTATGACTTGCTGGGCTCAGAGAGTTATTCAGTTTTTGCCTCCAGCCATTTCAAAATAATTTTTTGTTCCTACATAGCACACTACAACATTATTTGGAGTAAGACTTTCTAATTGGAAATAATAATTTTTAGATAGCAAATTAAGCCCTTTACCAAATAATGTTAAATTATCATCAAGATTACATTTTCATGAATAATTAATCAATACCACTTCAGCTGTTTAGCTCTTTAGTATTGTTGAACTAATAGCAATTGTTAGGTTTAATTGTATTCTCTTGAGTTCAACAGCAAAAATAAAATCAGGTCATACATTTGCACTATCTTGTCAGACAAAAAAAAATTCACTGAATAAAAATGACCCAGAAGGCATGTTTTTGGTAAGCCTATTCCAAAATGTTATAGTTATGTTAGCACTTGCTACTTCAATTTTGGTAGAAGTCTTTTACTTTAATCAAGGTAAAACATAGGCTTTCTTCAATATAGCTTTTGTGTTGTAATTCCAGAGATTTTTCTATATTAATTTTTAACCGAGTGCAGGATCAGTATAACAGAAACACTTTTTGGTTCAATTATTTATTTGGTCCCTCTATTTAAAGAGGGTAAAAACAATGGACTATTCTTACTGATTTGCCTAGGGTTTCAAACATATGAAGACAGCACGTACTCATATCTACTTCAGTGAAGTAAAAATGTTACAGTTCATCATGGATATGATAAAAACAATCAATGGCCTAGTTTAATAGGATCCTATCACCATCTCGTGCCTCTTCAGCAATGTCTTAAAATGATTTTTACCATAATTAAAGTACTTGAAATCACTTGTTCTCTCATAAAAATCAGATTATACTTTTATAATCTGATTTAAAAGTCAGATTATATTTTTAGTAGAATTTTATTCTAATGAGTGTAGGCCCTTTCTATTAACCTTAACAGTCAAGAAACATGAAACAATGGGAGAATATATCATTTGAGACTTCAAACTAACTGTTCATGCTAATATGACAGGAATGACTGCTTGAGGACAATTTTATCATATCAATTGCAATTTTTACATAGGAGAAAAATGAAATATGTTAAATAGCTATTGTCATTTCTGCCTTTACTCTCAGGGTATCAGCTAAATTATTCCTTTATCAACATTTGTGTGCTTTGCTATGTGATAGCTCCAACTATTTTTTAGCAGCTGAACTTGATGAAAGTAGGGTACTCGATGGGAAATGAACCTTGGGGTGTTAGGATTCTCAGAGTGGCAGTAGGGGTTGAGGAGCAGATCGGGGGAAGGGATATAAGTTAAATAGAAAAACATTATCTCACAGATAAGCTTTGAAGTCAGCAAAGTAGCAGCCACAATGATCATTGGCATCAGCCTAGTACTATCACTTCTGTTTGCTATACCCCCTTGTGAAGTCTGGATATTCCTAGAATGTCTAGATATTTCAGTTAGTAGATGTGCTGCTGGGAGATGCTCAGAAAAAGGAAAAGAACACATACTTATTTATCACCTATAAATGCCAGGCACAGTAGCGATACTTTCATGTTCTAGATCTCATTGGGTCACCACGCTAATCCTCCAAAACTCATATGATTATTTTCATTTTTCTTTACTACTGGAGACATTAAGGGTGAGAGTGGTTAAGCAGTTCACCCCGAGTCCCACTGTTTATGCAATAAACAGCTAATTGGTCTAGCAGCCATGTTAGTTGGGAGAAGAAAGGGACCAAATAGGTCAACATGGATATTTGGTGCTTGTCCTTTTGAACATGAACACTAAAGATTAATCTCAGAACACCATGGCACTAAGATAGTCACATGAAAGGATTTGGAATTAAATAGTTTTAAGAGGTGAATGTTTTGAATTCTTTATCTACAAGCTCTTGGTTTAAACCTCTTATCCTGGGGTAAACATGTGTTCATCTTTATTTTTCCCATACCACCCTCCCACAGTGCTTTCTACATCATGATTATTCAACATTCAATTTGTAATCTTCTTACAGGAGCAAGAAGAAACCGTCATTTTATAAAGTGGTATAATTGTAATAGTGTCCACCCCGGGATATTTATGCTTGTCATAGTAATTGGGGACTCGATTGGAGAGTTAAAAAGTGAGTAAACAAAAAGTAATTAACAGTGTTGACCTGTATAGCAAAACATAATTTGTTAAAGGAAGGGCAAAAGGAGAGAGAGAGAGAAAGGAATTGTAATACAAAAGATCAGTAATATAAAAGACTTTAACATTTGAAATTAAAATTAGGAGAGAAACTCACATGAATAATTAGTATCTCATGTTTTCTGTGAAAACAACTACCTCTGCTGCCTACAGCTGGAATTACCACGTATAGCAGACAAGAGCTTCTTTCACTAATTGGGTCAGATTACATTTTTAGTACAATGTTATTCTAATGAATGTAGGCCCTTTCTATTAACCTTAACAGTCAAGAAACATGAGACAATGGGGGAATATATCATTTGAGACTTCAAACTAACTGTTTATGTTAATGTGACAGGAATGACTGCTTGAGGACAATTTTATCATATCGATTGCAATTATGAAGGGAAAATAAAATCTTCTCAAGTATTCTTCACTCTTTCTGAGTTAATTAAATTTTATAACCTTTGCTAAACTCTTCAAACAATAGACTCTTGAGGAATTTTTTTTTAAACTATAAAAAAAAAAAACTATTGTCTTCCCAAGATTCTGTTGGGTTGCTAGATTTAGCAGTTCTCTTTATTTCCATTGCAGGAAGTGATTATCAACATTATCATTATTTTAAACATCATTAGTAATCTCTTTTATCAAATCTGTAGGGTACTGTGCTGGAAGGAGAGACATCAAGAGGTGTAAGATATAGTCCCTGCCCTTGAGAAATATGTAATCTAAGTGAAGACATTTACTACCTTTGTTAAAATTGGTCCAGAATAATTTGTTTAACCCTATGATTTATTAGAATCATTCAGTGGGAACACATATGGGAATGATATTGGAGTTAGATATTTTAAAATAAAGCCTATCTCCTACCTTTGCTAAGAGATACACATTATGGTTTAAAAGATGATGCAGATGGCATTTGTTTCCTTTCTGCAGGCAGAAGGAAATGCATTGATTCCTAGAGGATAAAACACGTATTCTCTGAGCACTTTTATTTGAGTGACTTGAGAAAACAGTTCAAGTCCCACCTCTGCAACTAATTGGCAGTGTGACTACTGCCTGTTGTAGTATTATACATTTTTGTTCCAGCTGCTATCCTGAAGTAGGAGCTCTCAGTGCCTTAGACTTAAGAGAAATCCTATATAATTGGCTAGGATGGCATATCTGCACCAGTCAAGCATAGTGTCTTGCCTTTCTCCTTCATAACTCAACTGGTTGACAAATAATGATGAAATTGTAATGAACTCTATGCCTCTGATGTACTTACAAATTAGTCTTATATGTGAAAACCTATTTAACATTTCCAAGATGTAGACATCATGTACAAAAATGTTTTATCATACACTATACAATAATGCTCATCACATGTTAAAATATCATGACATCTTTTACACTGATTTTCAGTGCTTGAATTTGGGAGAAGCGAAGGGAGATAATTTTTTCTACTGAAACTGGAGATATGAAAATAAGTCATGGGGATAATTGGGCAAGTGCATTTCCTGAAAATATCCTGTATTTTTCTGGTTTATTTTGTTTGCTTGATAATCAGTGTTTACATGATTACCAAATTTCCTTTATTATCACATTTAATTGAAAGTTAATAATCTATTTCCTTCATCAGTGAATGTTTTGTTTTTACAAAATAATGTGCAGCAGTCGCACAGATCAGTTGATGTGGGTGAATGAGGTCATCTGAGGCTTTCCACTTTCATACTACAGTCTATTCTTCATTAGAAACATTGAAGAAGTTGTTTAGAACTTCAAGAGACTTTACAACCCTGAGATTACAGGTGTGTTTTCTTTTTGGTTGGTTTCAAAAGTAAATTTTCAAACCCATAGAAAAGTTGAAAGAAGAAAACAATGAATACATGTATACTCTTCACCTAGATCCATCAAATATTTATATGCTCCATCAATTTTTCTACTTGATAAACTTTTTTGTATTTTAATTTTTTCATTTATCGTTTATCTATTTTTAACTTTTACTTTAGGTTTGGAGATATATGTGCAGGTTTGTTATAAAGGTAAACTTGTGTCATGGGGGTTTGTTGTACAGATTATTTCACTACCCAGGTATTAAGCTTCGTACCCATTAGTTATTTTTTCTACTCTTCTCCCTCCTCCCACCCTCCACCCTCAAGGAGGCCTCAGTGTCTATTGTTCCCTTCTTTGTATTCATAAGTTCTCATCATTTAGCTAGCGCTTCTAAGTGAGAACATATGGTATTTGGTTTTCTGTTACTGCGTTAGCTTGCTAAGGATAATGGCTTCTAGCTCTATCCATGTTCCCACAAAAGAAATTATATCATTCCTTTTTATGGCTGCGTAGTATTCCATGGTGGATACACATAATTTTAAGGAGAGTTTAAATTCAATATCATCTAATATATAGTCTATATTCACATTTCCCTAATTGTCACAAGTTACTTCTTTTCTTGCTTTTTAAAAACATTTTCTTATTAGAAATTAATATATGTGCATGTTAGAAATGCAAAAAGTAAAAAAGGGTATCTCATGGAGCTTAGACTATATTCTATCTCTGACCCCATTGTGCAAATACTGTGAATCATTTCACAGGTATGGTTTTAGAAATTTTCTACAAATATACACTACATGTTTTTAGATGGATGGAAACATTCTATAAGATAATAGAAGGTATTTTCATATAAACACACATAAATATCTTGTTTTCATATGAGCACATATAAGTCCTACTCACTGATGTTTTCTTAATTTAATAATCTTTATTTTTAGAGCAGTTTTAGGTTCATAGCAAAATTGAGTGGAAAGTATAGAGAGCATATATGCTCCCCATCCCCACAGACACACAACCTCCCCTACTATGGACATCCGGCACCACAGTGGTGCATTTGTTACAACTGATGAATCTACATTGACACATCATTACTACCTGAAGTCCATAGTTTACATTGGGGTGCTCACCCCCAGTGCCTGGGTTATCAGGGGCTGGAGTCTGCTAGGGTCGGCTTGTATCCTGGGTTTGCTGGAGCATGAAGTTACGGGGGCTAGCCTGGAGTCTGGGGCAGCAGGGACTGGCCTGGTTCTGGGTGACTTGGAGCCTATATCTGTGGGGACTGGCCTGGAGCCTGGAGTTGTGGGGTTTAGTGTGCCACTGGGCAGGCCTGGAGGCTTAGTCTGCAGGTACCAGCTTGGAGCCTAGGGCTATGCGAACCAGCCCGGCACTGAGTTTCACTGGAGCAACACTGGTGCCAGGCCTGTGGCAAAGTCTGGGACTCACTTTACTTTCCTTCCCCCACTTGGAGGATATCTCTCTCCATGTCGTGTTGCCTGGCTTGGAGGGGTGATGTGATGCAGAAAATGTGAACCTGTTCTTCCTACTTTCTTCAGTAGGTCCTTTTGTAATTCTCTGCTACACACAAGTGCCATAATCTCTCAACTGAATTCCTTAGCTCTTATGAAGATATTTTCATGCATGGAGAGTTGTTCAAATAGATGTTTCTATGAGGGGATAAGTGCTGGAAAGTTCTATTCCACCATCTTGCTGATGTCACGATCCAAGATCCACACTTCCTCTTTCTTTCTTTCTTCTTTCTTTTTCTTTCTTTTTCTTTCTTTCTTTCTTTCTTTCTTTCTTTCTTTCTTTCTTTCTTTCTTTCTTTCTTTCTTTCTGTCTCCTTCTTTCTCTCTTTCTTTCTTTCTCTCTCCTTTCTTTCTTTCAAAGCTAGTCAAGTGAAGCAATGGAAGTAGAGAGAGAACAAATAAATCTGTAACCAGTTATGATCAATTAATTGTAAATAGCACTGCACTCCAACCAGCCCTTACTATCTTTTGATTAGTGTTAGCATAGTATATCTTTCTCCATCCCTTTACTTTTAATCTATATGTGTCTATGTCTTAAAAGAGTTTCTTGTAGACAATATATAGCTGGGTCTTATTTTTTGATCCACTCTGGCAATCTGTCTTTTAATTGGAGTATTTAGACAGCTGACTCTTAAATATAATTATTAATATAATTGGATTAATATCTGTGATATTTGTGACTATTTTCTATTTGTTGCCCTTGCTATTTGTTCCTATTTTTGTCTTCCATACTTCTTCTGACTTTTGAGGTATTAATGGAGCATTTTATTATGATATAGTTATATAATGATATGTATGATATATATATCATATATTATAGAATGATATTATAATATATGATTCCATTTAGTCTTCTTTCTTAGTATATCAATTATGCCACTTCATTTTTTTTTTAAGGTGGAGTTTCACTCTGTAGCCCAGGCTGGAGTGCCGTGGTGTGATCATGGCTCAATTCAGCCTCAAACTCCTGGGCTCAAGTAATTCTCCTGCTCCAGCCTCCCAAATGGCTGAGATTATAGGTGCATGCCACTGTGCCTGGCTAATTTTTAAATTTTTTGTAGAGACAGGGTTTCGCTATGTTGCCCAGACTGGTCTTGAACTCCTGGGCTCAAGCAGTCCTCCTCCCTCCACTTCTTAAAGTGTCAGGATTACAGGCGTGATTCAGTGCACCTGGTCACTTATGCGTCTTCTTAAAATCTTTAAAGTGGTTGCCCTAAAATTTGCAATATACACTTACAATGAATTCAAGTCCACTTTTGAATACAGGCATACCTTGCTTAATTGCACTCTGTGAATACTGTGCTTTTTACAAATTGGAGGTTTGTGGCAACCCTGCATCAGGTAAATTTATTGGTACCATTTTTCCAAAAGCATTTGCTCACTTTGTGTCTCTGTGTCACATTTTGGTAATTCTCACAATATATGTGTGTATATATATATGTGTGTGTGTATATATATACATACATATGTATATATATACACACACACATATATATATACACACATATATATATGTATATATATATACACACATATATATATGTATATATATATATATATATATATATATATTTTTTTTTTTTTTAGATAGAGTCTTGCTCTGTCACCCAGGCTGGAGTGCAGTGGTGTGATCTCAGCTCACTGCAAGCTCTGCCTCCCAGGTTCCAGAGATTATCCTGCCTCAGCCTCCCAGGTAGCTGGGACTACAGACACGTGTGACCACATCGGCTAATTTTTCTATTTTTAGTAGAGATGGGATTTCGCCATGTTGGCCAGGCTGGTCTCGAATTCCTGACCTCAGGTGATCTGCCCACCTCAGCCTCCCAAAGTACTGGGATTACAGGCATGAACCACCACACCCAGCCTCTCACTTTAAATCAAATGCCAGAAATAATTATGGTTAACGAGGAAGGCGTTTTGAAAAGTCTGTATAGACGGAAAGCTAGTTGTCTTGCGGCAAACCATTAGCCAAGTTGTGAATGCAAAGGAAGAGTTCTTGGAGGAAATTAAAAGTGTACTCCAGTGAATGCACAATGCTAAGAAAGCAACACAACTTTATTGCTGATATGGAGTTAAGTTTTACTGGTCTGGGTAGAAGATCAAACCAGCCGCAACATTCCTTTATCCAAAGCCTAATCCAAGCAAAGGCCCTAACTGTTCAAGTCTATGAAGGCTGAGATAGGTAAGAAAGCTGCAGAAGAAAAGTTAGAAGCTAGCAGAGGCTGATTCATTACGTTTAAGAAAAGAAGCCTTCTCCACAACATAAAAGTGTGAGGGGAAGCAGCAAGTGCTGATGTAGAAGCTGCAGCAAGTTTTCCAGATCTACTTAAGATAATTGATGAAATGTGGCTATCCTTAAAACAGATTTTCAGTGGGGGGAAAGAAATGTTGTATTGGAAGAAGATGTTATCTAGGAACTTTACAGCTAGAGAGAAAAAGACAGTGCCTGGCTTCGAAACTTCAAAGGGTGCTGGCTTTGGCAGCACATATACTAAAAAAACTGGGATGATACAGAGAAGATTAGCATGGCCCCTGCACAAGGATGACGTGCAAATTAGTGAAGCATTCCATAAAACAAATAAACAAGCAAACACTTCAAAGGACAGGTTGATTCTCTTGTTAGGGGCTAAGGCAGCTGGTGATTTTAAGTTGAAGCCAATGTTCATGTACCACTCCAAAATCCTAGGGCCCTTAAGAATTATGTTAAATCTACTTTGCCTGTGCTCTAGAAATGGAACTACAAAGCTTGGACGACAGCACATCCGTTTGCAGCATGGTATACTGAATATTTTAAGCCCATTGTTGAGACCTACAGCTCAAAAAAAAGGATTCCTTTCAAATTATTACTGCTCAATGACAAGGCACCTGGACACCCAAGAGTACTGATGGAGATGTACAAGGAGATTAATATTGTTTTCAGGCATGCTAACACAACATCCATTCCGCAACCCACGGATCAAGGAGTCATTCCAACTTTCAAGTATTAGTATTTAAGAAATATATTTCATAAGGCTATGGCTGTCACAAATAGTGATTCCTCAGATGGATCTGGAAAAATTTATTGAAAATCTGGAAAACATTCACTATTCTAGATGCCATTAAGAACATTCATGATTCATGAGAGGAGGTCAAAATATGAACATTAACGGGAGTTTGAAAGAAGTTGATGCTAACCCTTTCACAGATGACTTGAAGGGGTTCAAGAGTTCTGTGGAAGAAGTAACTGCAGTTGTAGTGGAAATAGCAAGATAACTACAAGTGGAACCTGAAGATGGGATTGAATTGCTGCAATCTCACGATCAAACTTGATGAGATGAGGAGTTGCTTCTTATGGATGAGCAAAGAAAGTGGTTTCTTGATAAGGAAACTTCTCCTGGGGAAGATATTGTGAACATTGTTGAGATGACAACAATTGATATAGAGCATTACAGAAACTTAGTCAATAAAACAGTGATATGTTTTGAGAGGATTGGCTCCAGTTTTGAAAGAAATTCTACTGTAGGTCAAATGCTATCAAATGGTATTGCATGCTACAGATAAATCTTCCATCAAACAAAGAGTCCATTGATGCAGCAAACTTCACTGTTGTCTTATTTTAAGAAATTGCCACAGCCACCCCAACCTTCAGCAACCACTACCCTGATCAGTCAGCAGCCATCAACAATGAGGCAAGAGCCTCCACCAGAAAAAAGATTATAATTTGCTGAAGGATCTGATGATCATTAGCATTTTCTAGCATTAAAGTATTTTTAAATTAAGGTAGGTACTTTTTTTTTTTTTTTGAGACGGAGTTTAGCTCTTGTTGTCCAGGCTGGAGTGCAATGGCGCAATCTTGGCTCACTGCAACCTCCGCCTCCCAGGTTCAAGCTATTCTCCTGCCTCAGCCTCCCGAGTAGCTGGGATTACAGGCATGCGCCACCACGCCCAGCTAATTTTTGTATTTTTAGTAGATACGGGGTTTCTCCATGTTGGTCAGGCTGGTCTCAAACTCCCGACCTCAGGTGATCTGCTTGCCTCGGCCTCCCAAAGTGCTGGGATTACAGGTGTGAGCCAACGCACCCAGACTTTTTTTTTTTTTTTTGTGGTGGAGTTTCGCTCTTGTTGTTCAGGCTGGAGTGCAATGGGTCAATCTCTGCTCTTTGCAACCTCCACCTCCCGGTTTCAAGTGATTCTCCTGCCTCAGCCTCCCAAGTAGCTGGGATTACAGGTGCCCACCACCATACCTGGCTAATTTTTTTTTATTTCTAGTAGAGATAGATTTCACCATGTTGGCCAGGCTGGTCTTGAACTCCTGATCTCAGGTGATCCACTTGCCTCAGCCTCCCAGAGTGCTGGGATTAGAGGCGTGAGCCACTACACCTGGCTGGTACATAATTTATGACATAATGTAACTGCACACTTAATGGACTACAGTATAGGGTAAATATAGCTTTTGTATGCACTGGGAGACAAAAAATTCACATAACTCAATTTATTGCAATATTTGCTTTATTGCAGTGGTCTGGAGCCAACCCACAACATCCCCCTGGTATCCTTGTAATGCTATACTGCTCTGCAAGGAGTGCAAGTGTCTTACAATTACAAAACATTCCTAATTCCTTCCTCCCATCCCTTGTATCATTACTGTCATTTCTTTCATTTACACATGAGCACATTGTTACATTACTATTTTGAACAAACTTCAAATACATCGTTGCTGTTGCTATTACTATTTTGAACAAACTGTCTACTGTCAGACCAATTAAAAATAAGAAAAATAAAAGTTTTTATTTTACCTTTACTTATTCCTTCTCTGATGTTTTTCTTTTTCTTCATGTAGATCCATGTCTCTGACCTAGATTATTTTCCTTCTCTCTGAAAAACTTATTTTTACATTTCTTGCAAGGCAGATCTACTGGCAAAAAATTTGCTCAATTTTTACATGAGAAAGTCTTCATTTTTCCTTACTTTTCAAAGATAATTTCACAGGGTGCAGAGTTCTAGGCTGGTGTTTTTTTTCTGTCATCATTGTAACTATTTTACTCTACTGTCTTCTTGCTTACACAGTTTCTGAGATGTCAAATGTAATTCTTACTTTGCTCCTCTGTATTTCTTCTGGCTTCCTTCAGGATTTTTCCTTTATCTTTAGTTTTCTGGCATTTGAATACGATGTGCCTAGGTGTCATTTTTCCTGCTTTGATCCTGCTCAGTGTTCTCTGAGCTTTCTGGATCTGTTGTTTGGTGTCTGACATTAATTTGGGGAAAATTCTCAGTTATTATTGCTTAAAATACTGCTCCTCTTCCTTCTGTTTCTTTTCCTTCTAGTATTCCCATTATTGTATGTTACACATACAGTGGCTGTCTCCTGGTTCTTACATATTCTCTTCTGTTTTTTTTTCTTCCAGTCTTTTCTGTCTTTGCTTTTCAGTTTGGGAGGTTTCTATTTCATATCCTCAAGCTCAGAGATTCCTTCCTCAGGCACATCCAGTCTGCTAAGAAGTCCATCAAAGGCATTCTTCTTTTCTGTTACAGTATTTTGATCTCTAGCATTGTCCATGATTGTATCTTAGAATTTCCATCATTCTGCTCACATTATCCACCTGCTCTTGCATGTTTTCCCTTTAAAGTCCTTAGCATAGTAATCATAGTTCTTAAAAATTCCTGGTTTAGTAATTCTAACGTTCCTACATATCAGAATCTGGTTTTGATGTTTATTTTAGTCTTTTCAAATTGTAGGGGTTTTTTTTTCTCCTTTCAGTATTTTTTATAAATTGTTGTTGAAAGGTGGACATGCTGTACTAGATACAAGAAACTGCCTTAGTAATGGAGTGGTGAAATGTGGGGGGACAGGAAGTGTCTATCATCCTGCGATTAGGTGTCCATCTTTTGGTAGTCTGCGCCTCTGGTCTGTGAGCTGTCCCGTTGCTGTTTCAGGGTTTTTTTCCCCTTAGGTGGGACAGGATGGATACAGTAGGCTGGAGTTACATATTTTCCTTTCCTCCAGTAGGTTAGGTTTTGATAAAACCCCAGCTGGGCAGACTCTGAAAAATAGTTTCTCCTGAGAGCAGACCTTGTTCAGAACAGAGTGCTCTGGTTTGTTTCAAAACGGTTCCTTTCCTCCTCCCGCTGCAGGAAGCGTGAAGGGATTTTTCTCCAAAATTCACCCTAAGAACCAGGTCAGGCACCTGGAAGTAAAGCTTCCCAAAGAGTGGGGGCCCCAAAGACTGGGTCCCCCTGGAGATTTAAACTCACGTTTGTCTATACCTAGTTTCCAGCAGTTTGTGAAGTACAGTTCCACTTTTCCTACTCCAGCACTAGTTCCTGGGGTGGTTTCTGCTCTGCTAAGTTGCGATTCTCTGCATTTATCTGTCTGTCTCGTCAGTTTTGGGGGCAGCACTTAGCCCTTTGACTTCACCTCTGTAATAGATCTAAAAATATTGTTGATTTTTTATCAGTTTGTTTAGCCTTTTACTCGTTAGGACAGAGTAGCAACTTCTAAGCTCCTTATGTGCTAGACTGGAGAGTCAGTTTTTTTTTATGTCTTTTAATTTGCTTTATTCCAAGCCAGTTTCCCTGCCCATTTATACCCATAACAGATAATTTTTAAGAGAGTTCAGATCTATGTATTCTTTCTTAATTTAAAAAAATTGAAATTTTGACAGAAGAGCACTGAAAAATGGACAATATTACTTTTTTCTGTTGTCAATGCCTCACAAAAAGTCTGACAACTGGGCCTGAATTTTTTAAACTGGCACTGTGACTTATGCCAAAAACGTTGATAAAAACAGAAACCCTATACTGTGTCCATGATAGCACAGAATGCCACGACTTAAAACCAGCCATGAGGGCCGGTTGTGGTGGCTCACGCCTGTAATCCCAGCACTCTGGGAGGCCAAGAAGAGAGGATTGCTTGAGTTGAGGAGTTCAAGACTAGCCTGCACAAAACAGTGAGACCCGGTCTCTATGTTAAAAGAAAGATAGCTATGAGCACATACAGCATTAAAACTTAATTTTTTCCTAAGTCTGTTTGACTATCCAAGATAATGTCATAGAAATTTTGAACTGAAAGAACCTCAGAAGCAGGCTAACTAGCTCCATTCCCTATATTACCAGTGAGGAAACTGACTCCCAAAGAATCTGTGGCTTGTCGAGGTCACACTGGCAGTCAATTGTAGAGATGGGAGTAGAAATAAGGTATCTTTACTTTCAATTATCTTTATGTCTGATTTTTTATCATCTTCTCTCCCATAGCCTTCTATCCCTTTATTTCCTTTCTTTTCCATTTCTTCCTTCCCTTCCTTTCCTCCTTTCCTTCTAATGAGCAGATGAGCAGACTACAGACTTTTTTTTTTAATTTGTAATTTAAGACATGGTCTTGCTCTGTTGCCCAGGCTGAAGTGCAGTGGTGTGATCACAGCTCACTACAGCCTCAAACTCCTGGGCTCAAACAATCCTTATGCCTAGTCCTGAGCAGGTAGGACTACAGGTGTGCACCACCATGCCCAGCCAACATCAGACCTTTTTTAACGAAAACAAATCACCCTGTTACCCTTCTGCCAAGGTTTGTCAATAGTGGCATTATTAACATTAGGGCTAGATAATTCTTTTTTCCTGGGGGCTCTCCTGTGCATTGTAAGGTGTTTAGCAGCATCACTGCATCCTAGCCGTTAGATTCAAGTAGTCAACATGAATTCAACATTTTATGTAGCTCAGGTGAAAGTAGATGGTGGTACCAGAAGAAGTCAAGAATTGGGGTGATAACAAGGCCTCTCAAGGTAGAGGTCTGCTTCATGGTGACTCAGCAGGAGACTCCATGACTTGACTGCTGGGAAACCTTTTGGGAGACCTAACCTGGGGCCAAAGTAAAGTTATCCTGAGTCATGAACCTATGCTATTTAAGGACAAAAAAAAAAAAAACAAACCCAAGAACACAAACAAACAAAAAAGCAACAAAATTTTATGTAGTTGTAGTAATAGCCTACATAAAATTTCTTTTCTTTTCTTTTTTTTCTTTTGAGACAGAGTCTCATTCTGTCACCCAGGCTAGAGTGCAGTGGCACGATCTCGGGTCACTGCAACCTCTGCATCCTGGGTTGAAGCAATTCTCCTGCCTCAGCCTCCCAAGTAGCTGGGACTATAGGCGCGTGCCACCACACATGGCTAATTTTTGTATTTCTAGTGGAGATGGGGTTTCACCATGTTGGCTAGGCTGGTCTCAAACTCTTGACCTCAGGTGATCCACCTACCTTCGCCTCCCAAAGTGCTGGAATTACATAAAAAGGATGCCTCAAACCCTAACTTAACAAAAAATAAATGAAAAAAAAAAGGGTGTGGAGAAGGGATGTATTGACTTTCTTAACTCTAAAGACAAGGGTTGTTGTACCGCTCTGAGATGAATAGGTCTAGGAAGTCAAATGATACCACCAGGATTTTCTCTCTTTCTCTCAGATCTGCTTTCTGCTATGTTGGCTTCATTTTCAAGAACTGCAGACAAACTGAGGATATAGCTGAAGGGAGTTTCAACCTTATAATACCACAGTTTACCAACCCAAATGAAATAGAGGCTTTCTTCTAGCAATTTCCCAGGAAAACGCTCTGATTGGCCCAACTTGAGTCATGTGACTAACACTCAGCCTAATCACTGTGGCTGTGGAGACAGATTATTATGAGTGGTCAGGCCTGGGTCACTTGCCCACACCTTTGACAGAGGAAAGTACCCTAGAAATTAAATGATTAGGGTAAAGGAGACACAGTTCCACAATAGACAAAGGGATGCTGTCACTGGAAAGGAAAGCAGGGATGCTAGGTAGACAAAAATACCAGATGTCCATGTCATCTGTTTACAATATTCAGTGACTTGTTTCCTCAAGTTGTAGTGCTATGATTTCCTTAAGTGTTCTGCTACCATTGAACTTTAAGGTGATTTGAAATATTTTTCCATTTTAAAAGCAGTGTTCTTTTTCAGTGCCTTCTGAATGACGTCTACTAAATTTCCCATTGGTTTTCTCAAACAGGGGCCCTTGGTTTGAATTCCGAACTACAAGATTTAAAATGGAATGATTTACCACCTAATTTAAGGCCATTCAGTTTTGCTTTATCCCCTTTTGCTTTTATACTTCCATTATAATCCTTCCATCTGTGATTATACCAACTGTTGTGGCAGTATCTGCTCCAGCTGCATGGGCACATTTGAATACATTAGTGTGCTATGTCAGTGGTTTAGGAAATTTTTTATGGTCGCATGAAGATTTATTTCTAACTCTTGTAGGACCTGCTTTATTATTTCTTTTAACTATTAACCTCAAAAACAATATTGTTCAATTTTAAGCCTTTAGACCTGTACATGCACTTAAAATACAGGATCACTCTAGTATCCTAATATCTGTGAAATATGCCTCTGGTTGTTTTATTACTATGAAATCTATCTACCTCATTTACCTGTATAAATTTACTTCTCCATATTTTGAGGCCTAGCTCAAGTGTTATTCTCTTTTACATGATTTAGTCAGACAATATTAATCAAGTGAATGTTAAATAGTAAAAGTGAAATTACATGAAAAGCCCCACATTTTGCACATTTAAACTGTTTTTCATTGTCTTGTACGGTGTTGAAGGTGGGACCTACTCTTGAATCTTCTTTTAGTGGTGGAATGAGGTACACATTGTTCATGAGTGTCACTCATATTGAATTTATGATTTGCCCAGGTGAATTTACGATCAGTAGGTAGTTCTGTTGCTGGAGGGTCATCTGTGAATGAAGCCAATTATACCATTCGAGGGGCTCCGTGTCTCCATCCACATCCCATAATGTGGATTTTTGCCACTTATTTCAGCGGTATGTACAAAAACTGCTTGTTGCCTTCAAAATATTTGTTTCCATATTTGTCTTTCCCTCCTGTGAGCCCCCAAAATCTAAGATAGGTCTCAGTCAATTTAGGAAGTTTATCTTGCCAAAGTTAAGGATGTGCACGTGTGACACAGCCTCAGGAGGTCCTAAGGACCTATGCCCAAGGTGGTCCGAGCACAGCTTGGTTTTACACATTTTAGGGAGACATGAGACATCAATCAATACATATAAGATGAACATTGATTCGGTCCGGAAAGGCAGGACATCTTGAAGTGGCGAGGGGGCTTCCAGGTCACAGGTAGATAAGAGACAAACGGTTGCATTCTTTTGAGTTTCTGATTAGCCTCTCCAAAGGAGGCAATCAAATATGCATTTATCTCAATGAGCAGAGGGATGACTTTGAATAGAATGGGAGGCAGGTTTGCCCAAGCAGTTCCCAGCTTGACTTTTCGCTTGGCTTAGTGATTTTGGAGCCCCAGGATTTATTTTCCTTTCATATAACATACCAACTTTCACATTTTCCCTGAAGAAAATCTGTAGAGAGGCCAGGCGGGGTGGTTCACGCCTACAATCCCAGCACTTTGGGAGGCCAAGGCGGGCGGATCATGAGGTCAGGAGTTCGAGACCAGCCTGGCCAAGATAGTGAAACCCCATCTCCACTAAAAATACAAAAATTAGCTGGGCCTGGTGGCAGTCGCCTGTAATCCCAGCTACTCAGGAGGCTGAGGCAGGAGAATAGCTTGAACCCGGGAGGCAGAGGTTGTGGTGAGCCGAGATGGCGCCACTGCACTCCAGCCTGGGCAACAGAGTGAGACTCCATCTCAAAAAATAAATAAATAAATAAATAAAATCTATGGAGAGCCGCAGAGGCTACTGTGGCCATAATCTGTTGTAGTCCATGCTTCAGGACCTGCAAGAACTTCATCTTGCCCCAAAAGATGCGATTTCTTTTTTTTTTTTCTTTTTTCTTTCTTTCTTTTTTTTTTTTAAGACAGAGTTTCACTCTTGTCGCCCAGGCTGTAGTGCAGTGGTGCGCTCTCGGCTCACTGCAACATTTGCCTCCCGGATTCAAGCAATTCTCCTGCCTCAGCCTCCTGAGTAGCTGGGATTACAGGCGCCTGCCACCATGCCCGGCTAATTTTTTGTATTTTTAGTAGAGATGGGGTTTCGCCATGTTGGGCAGGTTGGTCTCAAACTCCTGACCTCAGGTGATCCGCCCACCTCAGCCTCCCAAAGTGCTGGGATTACAGGCATCAGCCAACGCACCCGGCCAAAGATGTGATTTCTTTTGTCGCTTTGTTCAGTTTGTTTTTGCCCTTCTTATTGCACTTAGAAAATCTGCTTTGTATCCATGAGATGTAATGAAACAAGTGGTGTGGTACCACTACTTTAAGGTTCTGCAATGATCATGGACTTGTCTCTCAGAGAATCATAGACAGTGATAGCCTACAAAATATATAGTCATTAAGTTATTTATGGAAGTGTCAGAGGCGTTTGAACCAGAGCAACTCCATCTTAAATAGTCTCATGTGATGGCTGTAAGCATGCACCACCACACCCGGCTAATATTTGTATTTTTTGTAGAGATGAGGTTTCACCATGTAGCCCAGGCTGGTCTTGAACTCCTGGGCTCAAGCAATCCACCCACCTCAGTCTCCCAAAGTGCTGTGACTATAGGCATGAGTCACTGTGCCTGGCCATTTTGTATAACTTCAGCCTTTGCCTCTGAGATTAAGGTCACCTAAAATTCTTAAGTAAAATAATGATACTATAAATGGCCTAAAATGTTTCCTTTGAGATATTTAGTGATACGGTTTCTCTACATTCCTAAATCATTTCAAATAAATGTCAGTCATTATCTCATGTAGGGTTGATCGCATTGCCTTTTCCCAGAGTAATTTTATTATAAAATATAATAATGAAAATGAAGCATTTTCTTTTTCTCTTTTTCTTTTTTTTTTTTTGAGATGGAGTTTTGCACTTTCACCCAGGCTGGAGTGTAATGGCGTGATCTTGGCTCACTGCAACCTCTACCTCCCAGGTTCAAGCGGTTCTCCTGCCTCAGCCTCCTGAGTAGCTGGGATTACAGGAATCTGCCACCATGCCCGATTGATTTTTGTATTTTTAGTAGAGACAGGGTTTCACCATGTTGACCAGGCTGGTCTCAAACTCTTGACCTCAGGTGATCCACCCACCTTGGCCTCCCAAAGCGCTAGGATTATAGGCATGAGCCATCACGCCTTGCCAGTCATAGCATTTTCAAGGCACAAGTTTATAGGTGTGTACTGTTTTGGAAAGCCTTAAGTATGAAAATCCCCAAATGCTTAGTAAATTGGAGGATTGCATATATTCAATTAGAGAAGATTTCTTCATGTTCCAAAATAATAAATCATGGAATTTCTCTAAACAGGAGGGCATGACAACTCACGTGCATTTGGTAAGAGAAACTTTACAGTCTACCTGGGAAAATTGCACTATGTAACCCAGTGCAAAGCTTCCAGAGTGATATGTATCAGAGAGCGATGCATGGCTAGCTAAACAGATCAGCTGTCCAAATCAATTATGTAACCAGGGATTTGGGGATCAGATGGAAGAACCACATTAGACTGGATGGTCAGAGAAGATCTCTCTGAAGAGGTGATATTTGAGCTAAAACCTGAATAGAATAAAGCCTGAACAAAGCTGAAGGAGCCAGCCTTTTGGAGACCCACCAATAGGTCTTCAAAAGGCTGGGTCCTTCAGAAGAGCCCAGCCAGTAAGGTCTCTCAGGTCAGAACAAGCTTGGTGGATCAAAGAACAGAAAAGCCAGACTGCCTGGAGTATAAGGGGTGTGTAAGCTAGGAAGAGTGCTTCTACAATTAAGTTAAGAGATATAAACAAGGACCAGATTGAGTGGAACCATGGTAAGTGCATGTAAATTACCTCACTTGGAGTTTGAAAAATTTTAAAAATGCAATAAGTGGAAACTCTTCTTTATTAGAGGTCATGTTACTCTTTTCTTCATAATCCTAATTTAATTTTTTTTTAAATAGGGGTAACTTTATTCCTTATTACACATTCAAATGAACACCTAGAAATTACTTGTGAAATTTGAACCTCATGTCTTCACTAACCTTGTTAAATTTAAATTCTATTAAAAAACATAAGAAGTCTGGGAGTGGTGGCTCACACCTGTAATCCCAGCACTTTGGGAGGCTGAGGTGGGAGAATCACTTGAGCCCAGGAATTTGAGACCAGCCCAGCCAACAGAGTGAAACATTTTCTCTACCAAAAAATTTTTAAAAAATAGCCAGACATGGTGGTGTGCACCTGTGGTCCCAGCTATTCAGGAGGCTGAGATGGGAGGATTGCTTGAGCCCAGGAGTTAGAGGCTTCAGTGAGCTGTGATCATGCCACTGCACTCCAGCCTGGGTGACAGAATGAGACCCTGTCTCAAATAAATAAATAAATAAAATAAATGAAAAACATAAGATGAATTTCCTAATCTAAAGGCAATAAAACTGCGTATTCATATAATACTTACTGTTTTACAAATTTTAAAAATTGTTTCTTGCCTAGATTTATGCAGAAAGTCTCTCTCACTCCATTTCTCAACCATGAGACCCCTCAGTCAGGAAAATATTTTCCTAAAATTCAATCAGTTTTTTTGAGAACACATGGACACATAAAGGGGAACAACACACACTGGGGCCTTTTGGAGGATGGAGGGTGGGAAGAGGGAGAGGATCAGGAAAAATAGCTAAATAACTAATAGATACTAGGCTTAATACCTGAGTGATGAAATAATCTGTACAACAAACTCCCATGACATAAGTTAACCTGTGTAACAAACCTGCACTTGCACTACTGAACTTAAAATAAAAATTAAAAAAAATTAGTTTTTGTAGTTTATCTTTAATCAATCTGGGGTTTATTTTAGGCATTGTGTGGGTTAGAGATTACAGTAGGCTGAATAACAGCTCCCAAATATGTCCAAATTCTAATCCCTGAAAAATGTGAATGTTACTTTATATGGCAAAAGTGACTTTATAGATACAATTAAGTTAAGGGTGCTGAGATGGGGAGATTATCCTGGATTAACTTGGTGGGCCTTAAATGTCATCACAAGTGTCCTTAAAAGAGGAAGGCAGAAGGAAATTTGACAAAGAAGAGGAAGAGGCCATGTGAAGACGGAGCAGAGAGAGAGACTTGAAGATGTTATGCTGCTGCCCTGGAGATGGAGGAAGGGGCCTGGAGCCAAGGAGTACAAGGAATGCAGCCCTAAAAGCTAGAAAAGGCAAGGAAGAATTTCCCCCTAGAGCTTCTGGAGGGAGGGTCCTGCCCATACCTTAGACTGTGTTCCTTGATTTTGAGCCTCTGGACTCCAGAACTGTAGGAATAAACTTATGTTGTTTCAAACTATCTAGTTTGTGGTAATTTGTAACAGCAGTAATAGGAAATTAACACAGGGATGGAGCCTAATTTTTGCCACATAGTTAACTAATTGTCCCAGTAGCATTTATTGTATACTACATTATTTCCTAACAGGTCAGGAATATTAACTTTTTCATAATGTCAATGCCAGCATATAACTGAGTCTGTTTCTATTCTATGCTGCCAATCAATTTATTTGCTCTTGGGTCATTACCAGACTTTTGCATTACAACAATTTTATAGTACATTTAAATGAGTGGTAGGGTGAGTCCAATATTCTTTTTTTTCTTTCCAAAAAATGTCTTGCTTTCAGCTGCATTTATTCTTCTAGATGAACTTTAGCATCAATTGGCCTAGTAAAACATTTTCAATTTTGATTGAAACTGCATTAAATATCTAAATTCATTCAAATATTTTTATTCAGAAACATAGACTCCTTTTTAGGTCTCTACCCCAACCCCTAACCCTTCGGTAAAATTTTATATTTTCGTCACTTAGGACTTGTACATTTTTTAAGGTTGATTTCTTAAGGCTTACTTCTTTGTTGCTACGTGGAACAGGCTCTTTTTGAAGTTACATTCCTTTTTTTTTTTTTTTTGAGACAGGGTTTCACTCTGTCTCTCAGACTGGAGCACGGTGGGGCGATCTTGGCTCACCGCAGCCTCCGTCTCCCAGGCTCAAGCGATTCTCCTGCCTCAGCCTCTGGAGCTGGGATTACAGGCATGTGCCACAACCGCCCAGCTAATTTTTGTACTTTTAGTAGAGATGGGGTTTTACCACGTTGGCCAGGCTGGTCTTGAACTCCTGACCTCAAGTGATCCACCTGCCTTGGCCTCCCAAAGTGCTGGGATTACAGGCATGAGCCACTGCACCTGGCAGAAGTTATATTTCTAATTAGATGCTATTGGCATGTAGGAATGCTATTGGATTTTGAATTTGGCCACTCTGCTGAATCCACTTAACATCTCTGAGACTTTCTAGTGAGACAATATCATTTATAAATGTTATAATCTTTTCTCCTTTATACTGTTTATTTTTCTTATTTGTTTTTCTTGTTTTATTGCATTAGTTAGAATCTATAGAACAGTGTTAAATGATGATGGTGTTAATAGGCATATTTACCTTTTTTCTGACTTTAGTTGGAATGCCTTTGATGTTTCACTATGAAACATGATGTGTGTTTTACTTTGTATATTTTGTGGAGGTATTTTAACGTAATCTGTCTATTTATCTATATCTGTATTAGTCCATTTTCACACTGCTACAAAGATACTACCTGAGACTGGGTAATTAATAAAGAAAAGAGGTTTAAATGACTCACAGTTTTGTATGGGTGGTGAGGCCTCAGGAAGCTTACAATCATGGCTGAAGGGGAAGCAGGCACCTTATTTCACAAGGTGGCAGGAGAGAGAGAGAGAGAGAGAGAGCGAGAGGTAGTGAAGGAGGAAGAGCCCCTTATAAAACCATCAGATCTTGTGAGAACTCACTCACTATCATGAGAACAGCATGGGGGAAACCACCCCGATGATCCAATCACCTCTAACCAGGTCCCTCTCTCGACACATGGAGATTATGGAGATTGCAATTCAAGATGAGATTTGGGTGGGGACACAGAGCCAAACCATATCATTGCAGCCCTGCTCCTTCCCAAATCTTATGTCTTTTTAACATTTCAACCCAATCATGCCTTCCCAACAGTCCACCAAAGTCTTAACTCATTTCAGCATTAACTCAAAAGTCCAAGTCCAAAGTCTTATCTGACACAAGGCAAGTTCTTTCTGCCTATGAGCCTGTAAAATCAAAAACAAAGGGAGTGGAGGCCCCATGCAAGTTCGACATTCAGTGGGGCAGCCATTAAATCTTAAAGCGCTAAAATAATCTCCTTTGACTCCAAGTCTCACATCCAGGACATGCTGATGCAAGGGGTGGGCTCCCATGGCCTTGGGAAGCTCCTTCATCAGCTGGCATTGAGTGCCTGCAGCTCTTCCAGGTGCATGGTGCAAGCTGTAGGTGGATCTATCATTCTGGGGTCTGGAGGGTGATGGCTTTCTTCTCACAGCTCCACTAGGCAATGCCCCAGTGGGTACTCTGTGTGTAGGCTCCAACCCCACATTTCCTTTCTGTACTGCCCTAGCAGAAATTCTCCATGAGGGCTCTGCCTCTGCAGCAGACTTCTGTATAGACATCCAGGCATTTCCATACATCCTCTGAAATCTAGGCAGAGGTTCCAAGGCCTCAATTCTTGACTTCTATGCACCCACAAGCCCAACACCACACGGAAGCTGCCAAGGCTTGGGGCTTACTTCCTTTGAAGAAACAGCCTGAACTGTTCCTTGGCTCCTTTTAGCCATGGCTAGAGCTAGAGTGGCTGGGAAGCAGGGCACTAAGTCCTGAAGCTGCACAGAGCAGTGGGGCCATTTTTTCCTCCTGGGCCTCAGAGCCTGTGATGGGAGGAGCTGCTGTGAAGACCTCTGACATGCCCTGGAAACATTTTCCCCAGTGTCTTAACAATTAACATTTTGGCCCCTCATTACTTATGCAAATTTCTGCAGCAGCTTGAATTATTCCCCAGAAAATGAGTAAATGGGTTTTTCTTTTTTACCACATGGTGTCGCTGCAAATTTTCCAAACTTTTATGTTCTGTCACTTCTTGAACACTTTGCTGCTTAGAAATTTCTTCTGTCAGACACCCTAATCATCTCTGTCAAGTTCAAAGTTTCACACATCTCTATGGCAGGGGCAAAATGCCACTGGTCTCTTTGCTAAAGCATAGTAAGAGTGATTTTGCTCCAGTTTCCAATAAATTCCTGATATGGTTTGGCTCTGTGTCTCCACCCAAATCTCATCTTGAATTATAATAATCCCCATGTGTTGTGGGAGGGACCCAGTGGGAGGTAATTGAATCATGGGGGCAGGTTTTTCCTGTGCTGTTGTGGTGATAGTGAATAAATCTCAAGAGATCTGATGGTTTTATAAAGGGGAGTTTCCCTGCAGGAGCTTTCTTTTGTCTGCCACCACGTAAGATGTCCTTTTGCTCTTCCTTCGTCTTCTGCCATGAATGACGCCTCCTGAGCTATGAGGAATTGTGAGTTCATTAAACATCTTTACTTTATAAATTGCCCAGTCTCAGGTATGTCTTTATTAGCAGCATGAGAACAGACTAATATAGTTCCTCATCTCCATCTGAGACCACTTCACCCTGGACTTCATTGTCCACATCACTATCGGCATTTTGGTCAAAACCATTCAACAAATCTCTAGGAAGTTCCAAACTTTCCCATATCTTCCTGTCTTCTTCTGAGCCCTCCAAACTGCTCCAACCTCTGCCTGTTACCTAGTTTCAAAGTCACTTCCACATTTTCAGTTTGTCTTTATAGCAGTACCCCACTCTACTGGTACCAATTTACTGTATTATTTTGTTTTCACACTGCTACAAAGATACTACCCTAGATTGGGTAATTTGTAAAGAAAAGAGATTTAATTGACTCACAGTTCTGCATGGCTGGGGAGGCCTCAGGGAACTTACAATCATGGTGGAGGGGAAAGAAGGCACCTGCTTCACAAGGTGGCAGGAGAGAGAGAGAATGAAGGGGTAAGAGCCCCTTATAAAACCATCAGATCTCATGAGAACTCACTCACTGTCATGAGAACAGCATGGGGGAAACCACCTCCATGATCCAGTGACCTCCTACCAGATCCCTCCCAAGACACTTGGAGATTGTGGGGTTTATGGGGTTTAAAATTTCAGATGAGATTTGGGTGGGGACACAGAGCCAAACCATATTGATACCTATTTACATATATATAATAATAATAAGAAAATTTACTTTTATTTCTGGATTATTAATTTTTTCTTTAAATCAGAAGAGCTGATAAAATATTATGAAATGATTTCCAATATCTATCATTATGTTTCTTAATGTTCAAAGATTCTTTTATCATATAACAAAACGTATTGGATTATTTTGTTTTTCATTTAGCATTTGTTTAGTATTGAGATAGTTTATTGTTCTTTTTTGTATTTAATAAAATCAGTCCTACAAAATGAATTTGGAAGTGCTTTGTCTTTTTCTTTGCTAAGTTTAATAATAGTTTAAAATAACAGAAATAGTAAACTCCTTATAGGCCCAATAGAACTATATTAGTGTAGTCCTTTTTTGGTGGTAGACTTTTGGCAACGTTTCCAATTCTCTTCTATAGTTATTTAGTTTATTCAGGTTTCCTGCAACTTTTTGAATCAAAATTTTTTTTTTTTTTTTTGAGACAGAGTCTCGCTTCTTCGCCCAGGCTGGAGTGCAATGCACCATCTCAGCTCACTGCATCCTCTGCCTCCCGGGTTTGAGCAATTCTCCTGCCTCAGCCTCCCCAGTAGCTGGGATTACAGGCATGTACCACTACACCAGGCTAATTTTTGTATTTTTAGTAGAGATGGGGTTTCACCATGTTGACCAGGCTGGTCTCGAACTCCTGACCTCAAGTGATCCGCCTGCCTTGGCCTCCCAAAGTGCTGGGATTACAGGTGTCAGCCACTGTGCCCGGCCTTGAATCAATTTTTATAACATATTCTAGATAATAATGAGAAAATGTTAACATTCAGTATCTATAAAGTATGCCTACAAATCAATAAAAGATCCACTTAAAACTAAGCAAGTGACAAATGTGCATAATTAATAGAAGAAAAATTCAAATAGCCGTTTGATGTGTGCTTTAAATCTGTTATATTTAGGGTAACCATATATGCCTATTTCCCTGGCAGAGTCCTGGTTTACATGTATTTGTCCAGTAAAATTATGACTAGTATCACTTTTTGTCTCGAAAACTTCCTATTTGGGGCTGGGCGCTGTGGCTTACGTCTGTAATCCCAGCACTTTGGGAGGCCGAGGCGAGTGGATCGCTTGAGGTCAGAAGTTCGAGACCAGCCTGACTAACATGGTGAAACTCCATCTCTACTAAAAATATAAAATTAGCTGGGCATAGTAGCGCATGCCTGTAATCCCAGCTACTCGGGAGGCTGAGGCAGGAGAATCACTTGATCCCAGGAGACAGAGGTTTCAGTGAGCTGAGATCGCGCCATTATTCTCCAGCCTGGGCAACAAGAGCAAAACTCATCTCAAAAAACAAACGAACAAACAAACAAAAAAAGAAAACTTCCTATTTGGACAATACATTTTAATGTCTCTTTACTTAGAATAAATGAGATGCAAGTTTAAATGATAGTAGAGATTTTATTATTATTATTACCAATCAGATTAGCAAACATTAAAAAGATTTATGATGTACATTGCTGGAAAGGGTGTGTTGAGATGGAAGAATATTGGTGAAAGTGTTGGTATTCTCTTTTTATGTTAGAAATTTGGCAATATCTATTAAAATTTTAATTGCACATATCATCTGTTCTAGCTATTGGACTTTTGGAATCTTAACTAATGGGAATAGTGGTGGCGTGGTGCAAAGACATGCATTGACAAAGTTGTTATAATAGTCCAAAACTGGAAACAATTTACATGTGTATCAATAGGCTATTGATTAAATAAATAAAGATGCACCTATGAAATGAAATACTATGTAGATCTTTAAAACAGTGAGATGCAGTAAGATGCAGAATGGTATTATGGTTTTAACTGGTATTTGCAGAAACATGCCATATATCATTTATTTTTCTATGCTTAGAGAAAAAAGCTTGAATATATATACACACTTAACACCTATATCATGAGGGTTAGATGAACAGAAATGGAAACAGAAAATTTGATAAAGGTTTTGTTAAGTGTTAGGGGGAAAATAGTTTTTGGAAAAAAAAAAACAGCTTATTTGGCAGTAATACCAGACACTACGTATACTGGCAGGAAACAGAAAAATCTGGTTTGGTTTGGCAACAGGTGTCAAAGAGTAATCTTTTAGTTTTATTAATGTTTCTTCCAGTTGGAAGTGTGACTTTTTTTCCTCTGTCAGAAAACTTCATGGCTATATAAAAGATTTTTCAGTTCTGGAGATATGGGAAAGCTGGATCACAGCCCATGGAGTTATTACTTTTTATCTTTCTGTAAGAATATACAGTGTTAGAATTCTAAGGCAGTAAGGGCCTCAAGTCCCTTCTTGTCAATGCTCTCATTTTTTTATTTTTTTTTTAGTGATAAAAATAAAGTTTTACCTATTTCATCCAGGAATATATGCTTTGTATCTTATACGTAATATTCCAGAGAAAAAGAAAGTTACCTATACCTCTTTTTTGAAGAATAGATATTCTTAATATCCACACCATTCAAAGACAATGTAAAAACAAAACAAACAAAACCCCAAAAAACAAACCCCCAAAACCCAAAACCCCAATATTGTAGGTCAGTCTCCTACCTGAGTCTGTATGAAAAAATAAAAATATTACAAAATAAAATCAAGCAGTTAATTAAAAATAACAGACTCAATGATAAAGAACTCTTCAAGTCCATCAGAAAAACTACTCAGTGTAAAAGTGGATAAATAGGTTCATGTGCAATTCCCAGGAAATAAAATGCAAATGGAGTAACAATCACATAAAATATTCTCAAGTTCATTATGGCCATGAGAATGAAAATTAATTACAATACAAATAATATTCATTTGTATCATATTGATGACAATTAAACATTTTTAGAAAGCTAAACGTTTGTGAGAATGTGAAGAAAGAAGATTATCCACTGCTAAAAGTATGCTGGAAAAAAATTTAGGATATCTGGTAAAAGTGTACATGCTCTAAAACCAAGAAATTCTGTAATCAGGTATGTGTCCGAGATTTTCCAGGCTATGTGTATATCAATGTTCTCATTTTACAAATAAAGTAATCAAAGCCTAGCTCTTTTTACTATTAATATATATAAAACTACTTAGAACTTTTAATATATATTAAAAGTTAACTATTTTAACTTAAAAGTATTTATTTTAACTTAAAATAAATTTTTTTATATTAAAAGTTAACTACTTTAACTATTTATATATATAAAACTACTTAGAAGTTTTAATATATATAAAACTACTTATATCCTGGTATATATTAAGGATTATATAATAATATATAGTTATCTATGATCATCCTCATCCTCATCATCAATAGTCAGTTGTAGGTGAAATTCTATTAATTAATACTGACAAATAACACATTTTAGGTGCTCATCATTGGCTCTCCGGAGGAGTATTCTAACAGCTGAATTAAAAACCTGCCAATATTTGACCAGACGATCAAGTTTGGAGGACGTCCCTTCCTCTCCCACCCAGAGCCACGCTCTTGCGTGCTTCCACAGTGACAGTGTGACCTTTTGAAATTTGGAGATCATACTCTCATCCTTGAAAACGCCCCACCGCCTTCCCTGGGGCGGCCGGCCTCCAGGTTCGCGTTCTACCTGGTAGAATCCCTTGACAGTTTCAGTACCTGGCCGCCAGGGCTTTGGGTGTTAATGCCTTCCTTGGACGGGAGGCACTGGGGAGAAGAGAGGGAAGGCGCTGAAACCCACCTGAGAAGGCGGGCTGGGGGAAGGCACCCCGGGAAAGAGGTTTTCTCGGGTGCCAGCACCCGGAGAGAGCTACTCTGGGGCCAGGCAAGCATCCCGCCTAGGCTCCCTAGTGCATATTAGTGAGTAACACGACTGGCGCGCGAGGTGGTCCATTTTATTTTTGGTAGCTAGACGCCAATAGGACGCACCACTTCAGCTCCAAACGGGAACTGGTGGCCCCAAGATGTTTTCTTTTCTTTTTCATTTTTTTGAGACAGGGTCTCGCTCTGTCGCCCAGGCTGGAATGCAGTGGAGAGATCTCAACTCATCGCTACCCCCTCCTTCTGGGTTCGAGTGATCCTCCCACCTCAGCCTCAGTAGCTGGGACCACAGACACGCGCCACCACGCCGGCTAATTTTTATATTTTTTGCAGAGAAAGGGTCTCGCTATGTTGCCTAGGCTGGTCTCGAACTCCTGGCCTCAAGTGATCCACCCGCCTCGGCCTCCCAAAGTGCTGGAATTACTGGCGTGAGCCACCGCGCCCGGTCTGCCCCCAAGACTTTCATTGAAAAGATGGAATGGTCGCTTCTGTGCGGATCCTCCAAACCATCGTTGGGAGAGGCCTCCTTAAAGTCTAGGAGAAAAGTTGTTTGGGACCGATATGAAAGTAAGGCAAAGCCGGATGGAAGAGAGTAGCCGAAACAAGCAAGAAAAGGAAAAGCGATCGTGATGGGTTTAGGAAAGGTGATCTGGCGTGCTAAATGGCATTTCCGGAGAAATCTGAAAACTATTGCTTTACTGAAGTATAGCAAAGAGCTGTCCGGGCTCTGGAAACTCCTTAACGGATCAAAACGGATGCAATGGGTATCCTTCTCCAAAGACACACCTCAAACGGGCCGGGAGCCGGGCAGTTAGCCACCCGCTGCCTCCCCTTCCGCAGTCCGGCTCGCAGCCGCTCAGCTACCTCTAAAGCCCGGAGCAGGAAAGTCCGCGCAGGCCTGGATGGCCCGGGTGGTAATCTAGCAGGCCTGCACACTGCGCATGCGCAGGGGGTGGACTGCCAGGTCGGCTCAGGGAGCCGTGACGAGTCCGGAAGCGCCTGCGCGCGCTCCTCCGTACGAGAACTAGTTTTGTTCCGTGCCCTCTGGACTGGAACCTTTTGGAGAGAACCCCCGGCAGGACCAACCCCGCACCCGCCAGCACCGCGGCAATGTCCAGCAATAGTTTTCCTTACAATGAGCAGTCCGGAGGAGGGGAGGCGACGGAGCTGGGTCAGGAGGCGACCTCAACCATTTCCCCCTCGGGGGCCTTCGGCCTCTTTAGCAGCGATTTGAAGAAGTGAGGAGAAAGGTTTGGGTTGCGGGGATGGGAGGGAGGAGCTGCGGACTCGGAGGAGTGGGCGCCAGGGTGGGCTTCCTGGAGAGGAGCGGGGTCGCCCTGAGGTCTGAGCAGGGCAGGGCGGTAACGTGTCCCGCGGGTGGGTAGGTGGGGTTGGTTGGCGGTGGTGGGAGTTGTGGGAGTTTGGGGCGAATGTGTGTAGGGGTCTCTAGTAGTTTTCAAACTTTAGTGAAAAGGAAACCACTTGGTGAGCTTAGATCCCACCCCTGAAGACACTGATTGAATTGGACTTGGGCTGGGCTCAGGAGTCTGAATTTTGAGCATCGTCTTCTAGTTTATTTACCGTTCGCCGGATCAGACTTTAATACATTCCCTGATTAGGGTGAAAGGAGTGTTTTGGTGAAGGTGAGAGTGCGAGTGTTGCTTGTGGGAAGTTATTTTGTGACCCCGGAGTGTAGGAGCAGAGAGGTGGATTTAGGCTGTTTGAATGGACAAACTGGTTTACACCAGTATTAATGTTCTTGGATTATGTCCTTTGCACTACAGACAAAAACACCAATCCAAAATAAGCATATGAATAGAAAATATTTTAAAAGAGTGTTACTGTGAACAAATCCAAAACTTTTACAGATTAATAATGTGAATTTTAAAAACGAATGTTAAACAAGGTACACTTAGTTTTGTAAAAAGTATCACCGAGAAATGGAAAGAAATCCCAAGTTGTTTGTTTTGGGGGGTGGGTTGGTGGTAGTGGTTACATTTACCAGAATTATCATTTTTACATTTCTCTTATTTTAAATCTTTCATTACTAAGCAATAGGGTCACATAATAGTCTGTCACTAAATTCATGCTAAATTAAGGTAGAATAGCTGTGCTAGTAGCTTTGCAGATCTGTTAGAGGGTATAATTAAAATTTAAATTAAACGTTACTAACAATATTGGGTAGTCTAGAAAGTGCTACTACTTCAAATTGGGATTACATTTTGGCTGTATTGAGGATCAAAATCATATATATAGCATGTAAGATACAATCTTTTCCTTTTTCCCAAGGTTAGAAAAGTTTAAAAGTAAGGTAACTGATTTCATTTTTCATTATATGCATTTGATGATCCATTGTTCTAGAACAAGTACGGAGCTTGTTGCCTCTACTATTAGCAAAATGTTTAGACTGAATTAACCTGTATATCGGCATCAATCTGTTTCGCAAATTAATTTACTTTTATGGTTTGTGAACATCTACGATGTTTTCTCTTAGATTTTTGTCAGATTTGGGGCCAGGCACTGCGGCTCACGCCTGTAATCCCAGCACTTTGGGAGGGTGAGGTGGGCGGATCGCTTGAGGCCAGGAGTTCGAGACCAGCCTGGCCAACATGGTGAAACCCCGTCTCTACTAAAAATACAAAAATTAGCCGGGCGTGGTGGCTCGTGCCTGTAATCCCAGCTACTCGGGAGGCTGAGGCAGGAGAATCGCTTGAACCCGGGAGGCGGAAGCTGCAGTGAGCCGAGATCGCGCCACAGCACTCAAACGTGGGCGACAGAGTGAGACTCCGTCTCAAAAAAAGAAAAAAAAGAAAAAGATTTTTGTCAAATTTGGACCTGATTTGGAAAAAAAAAACAAAAAAAACTTACGGCTTTGACTCTGTGACCAGTGCTCTTGAGGTGACCTAACAGGTTGGATTTAAAATAAAAGTAGCTAATTGATTAGAGGTGATATGTAATATATGCAAATAACCATGGTT
Organism: Homo sapiens; assembly: GCF_000001405.40. Lineage (NCBI taxonomy): Eukaryota > Metazoa > Chordata > Mammalia > Primates > Hominidae > Homo > Homo sapiens. The sequence goes on along the minus strand of NC_000005.10, from coordinate 78,292,711 downwards.
GAATTGTGTTCCCCGAAAGATATTTATTGAGTATTTGTGCACACCACTTTACATTTATTATCTCATTCAGTTTTCCTAAACAACCCTGCAGGTTATTACCAGGTACTTCTCTGCTCCCACTTTACACGTGAGGAAATTGGAGCAAGGTTGTTAACTTGGAAAAGGCCACAAAGGTAGAACATTGCACTGCCTGAATTTGAACTCAGGGGCTCTAATATTAGAGCCCATTCTCTCAAAAGTTTAGATGTGCTACTTACTACTTGATGAAATGTATGGTATTTTTATTAGTGAGTGCATACAACTCACAAAAAGTTTAAAACTTTAAATAGTAGCTCCAAGTAGTACCACCAGAGAAGCTTCCAGGGATTAGAAACATTTGGCTATTGACCTGCAGTCTAATGGAATTGTACAGAAACAAGGAGACCCCTGTTCTGGAAGTGGTCATTAAATCTCTCTTGAGTCCACATTTTCTCATTTATAAAACCGTAATATTACTTGCCTTTTAAAAAATCGAATGACAAAGTTTATATAAAAAACTTAAAGCTTACCCTATTCCTCACCTCTGGTTTTTAATGGTTTACTCTGATGAAATAGTTTCAAGTTTACAAAAAAGTTGCAACAATGACACAGAGAGCTACCCTTTTGCAGATTTACCAATTAAAAAAAAAATGCTACATTGCTTGCTTACTCTCTCTGCCACTCACTCTCCCCATGCATATTCAGGCACATATACGTATTCATGTTATTATGTCTTCTGAACCATTGGAGACTCAGTTGTACACATCATGTTCTTTTACAATGAAAATCTTAATGTGTAATTTTTAAGAACAAAGATATTCTCTTACGCAACTACAGTGTTGATGTATTCAGGAAATTAATCTAATTTTATCCTTTGTTCCAATAAAGTGTTTTTTTTCCCAAGCATTTTTTTCCTCAAGTACAGTTTCCAGTCCAAGATAATATATTTAATTTAGTTGCCATGTCTCTTTAATCTTCTTTAATCTGGGATAGTTCCTTAGCCTTTTTTGTCTTTCATGAATTTGACATATCTAAGGATTGCAAAGCCTATTATTTTATTTTATGTTAATCAGTTTTTGGGTTTGCTGGTGTTTCCTCATGTTTAGATTCAGGTTATGTATCCTTGGCTGGGATACTACCATAGGTGATGCATGCTTCTTGAACTATTACATTTGGAGGCATAGGTTGTCCATCTTCATGATGTTAATTTTCCTAGTCACAGGGTTGTCCAGTTTCTCTGTGGTGTCATTTCTGTTTTTTTTTTTTTTTTTTTCAAATTATCTGTGGGGAGACACTGAGACCATGCAGATGTCTTGCTCTTTTTTAAATGGACCACTTCTACATTTAACAACCATTGATCAATCTCCTGAACCTGTCTTTTCCACAATGGCTGCAAAATGGTAATGTTTCAGCTGCAACTCCCTCTGCTGTTCTGCTCTTTGGCTTCTTGGCCTAGAGCTCTGTGTTCACTGATCCTTCACTAACCATCTCAATGATGCCTAGGTACTTCCTAGTCATAGTATTATCGGCAATTTTTGTTTTCTGAATTTAATCTTATTTATCAATATTATTTATCTTCTCCTCTCTTCAAACAGAAGCAGAATTAGATGGCTTTATGAAAGTAGATCCTATACCTAATTTATTGGCTAAAAAGGCCTGTGTATTAGATTATTGGCTTCAAGATTTTCAATTTCTTTATTTAAAATGTAAAGAACTTATTTTTGTACTCTTATTTTTTATTTTTTGAGACATGTCTTACTCTGTTGCCTAGGCTGGAGTGCAGTGGTGTGATCATGGCTCACTGCAGCCTCAACCATCTGGGCTCAAGTGATCCTTCCCACCTCAGGCTTCCGAGTAGCTGGGACTACAGGTGCATGCTACCATGCCCAGCTAATTTTTGTATTTATTGTAGAGATGGGGTCTTGCCATGTTGCCCAGGCTAGTCTTGAACTCCTAGGCTCAAGCAATCCGCCTGCCTCATCCTCCCAAGGTGCTGGAATTGGAGGCGTGTACCACTGTGCTTGGCCCCTTCCTTCTTTTTAAAATATTCTCAACTTTTATTTTCTGTTTTTTTCTAAGTTGTTTTTCTTCATTTAAAAAAAAACTTCTTTTAACCAATTTGGGTATGTGTGCCTATAATTAAAAATAATTTTAATAATTCTGTTACTGGATTAAACATTTAATTAGGAATTAATTTCTAGAAACAGACAAGACTAATTAATTTTTCTTAATTACAATAGTAAAGCTACTAAATTTGTAAATCTCTTTTCCTTTGAGAGCATCTTGGTGTATTAGAAGGAAGACTGAGGCTGGGAATGGTGGCCCCTGCCTGTAATCTTAGCATTTTGGGAGGCCCAGGCAGGAGGATTGCTTGAACCCAGGAGTTCCAGACCAGCCTGGGCAACATAGTGAGACCTTGTCTCTATAAATGAAAATGGGAAGAAAAAACAAAAAACACTGGGCCCAGAGTTAGAAGACCTGGATTTAAGTTGATGTTTTCCATTTGTAGTAGTGCTTCCTTGTTCAAGTTGCTGATCTCTTCAAACCTCAGTTTCCTCATTTCTAGACGGGATGTGATAATACTTGCCTCTTTTGTGAGGATCTCATGAGATGGTGTACTTCAAAGTGATTTCTAAACTAGGATATTAACTAACGCTATTTGGGAAAGTTGGTGAAGACTTCACTGAGGTAGTGACACTTTAGATCTTAAAGCCTGAGGTTTTTGCCAGGGGGAGGAAAGATGGATTCTTTAGGCAGAGTATGTAGAAACCAGAAGATTTGCAAAAGAAAAAGCATGTTCAAATGAGATGGATATTTAGACATCACAATTATGAATAGTAGGTAGTAAAGTATGGGAATGGATGAAATCACCCAGGGAAGACTTTTCTTGTTAGACGAGAAGGCAGTTTGGACAAAACCCAGGGGACAACAGGATATAAAGTATGAATGGAAGAACTAGAAAAAGAGACTGAGCTCAGAAGGGTGGGAAAACACAGGAAGGTTTAAAAAAGAAGATGCTAACAGGAAAATTAAAAGAAGGAAATGTTCAGCTATGTCAGGAGTTGTAGAGTAAGGGCAAATAGAATGAAGGCTGAAAAGAGGCCCTTGGGTTTAACAACTGAAAGGTGACTTTAGCAGCCAGTAACTTAGCAATGCAGTACCTCCTGCACACGTTGAAAGGTAGCATTTTTACTCTGTTTAAATCGGGGTGGGCTTTTCATTTGTTTAGATTCAAAGAGCTAATTTAGATCCAAGCAAAGTACTGCATGCTTTCCTGTAGTCAGTAATACAACCCAGTGTATTTGGATTGCATCAATAAAGCCTGACTTATTTTTTAACTTAAATCTTATTCATTGTCAACTTTACAATATCAAACATGAAAATTCTATTACATTCATTCTTAACCTTTAATATCAGTGATTCTCAGGAGAGTCCAGTAGGAAGATTACATGTGTCTGTGGTTTGTACGCAATTATAGCAACTCTGACTTTATCTCCACTACTTTTTGTATCTTTCTGAAAGGCATATAGAAATGCAGCTGAGTGAGATTCATTTACTTAGAGGGATGTTATTGAATATACTTTCTTAAAAATACAATTTTATTAATAGTAACGCATTATATTTGACCTACCTCAAAGAGTCATTGTGTCTCACTATGGGTTCTAAACTTGTTTGTGTTTAAGTCCATTTTTTATTAATACTTAATTTTATCTAGTGTCTGTACCATATTTTTGGGTGTTTTTTTTTTTCATTTAACATTTTTTCATGGTCTAGTTGTTTAGAGCTTGCTCTACTTTCTTTTTGCTTATCCTAGTATTTCTCATTTAAACTTTATCTCATTGTGTATTTTCAGTTTATGTAGTTGCTCAGTGAATATTTCTTAAATATTTATATAGATAAATCGTTCACACATTCTGCTCATATTAAAGACTGTGATTTGTGTGAAGGTGCCTAGCAAAGTGTTTGGCTCATAATTTTGCTTAATAAAATATTTTCAGATCCTTTTACTCAATTCAGTGATTTAGATTCCATTAACATTTGCTCTCTCATTAGCCAATGTTGTTAAAAAATGAAGCATGACTGATTCCGTGGACCCTATACAGAAGGAAACCCTCATCTGGTATCTCCATTGTATTGTAGTACAGCATCACCCTGAAGCTAATTTTGTGTAGTTCACTTGGGTCTTTGCTGTGGTTAGGATTAACTGACTCGGAATTGTCATGTAGGTATGGAATGAACTTTACAATCAGGATTTTTAGTCTTTATCCCAGTCTTCAAAGGCATCTTTACCTCCCAGTCTTGGATTATTCCATATGTATGGTTCATTCCTCTGTGTTTTCACCATAAAAATGCATAACAATTATAGTGTCTTTATCTTGTTTTTAAGAAACTCAGACTTTATTTGGAGAGATTAGGCTAATGTGAACTAACCGTCAGTAATTCAAGTATACAATTAGTGTTAAATTGTGTAATTCAACTTTTCAGTGTGGCATACCTATTGAAAATTATTTGTTATAAGCCTTTGTTTGTGTAAACAGTGATTTACTGAAGAAAATGGAAATGCTGGAATTTTGAAATGTTAAGGACATTTTAGTTTGAGACGTTGAAGTGTTGGTGCCCTGAGTCATAAGCATGACATGAAGAGGCACGGGCTCCTTCCTCATTGTGAATTCCTTTCTCTTGTGCTCAGGAGTTCAGGGTTGCTGCTATGAAAATATGCTTCAGTCATGATTTTGTCAGCATACTGTTATACATCTGATCATCTTTAGTTATGAAGATTTAAATCTCTTGTGTTCTAATAATTCCAGGTTTGATAACTGATCTGTCTTGTTTATTATGTTTAGCTAATTGAAATTTATGGTCATTAGATCTGGTACTAGAGCTGTTAACATATTTGCTTGCTACATATGTAAACTGGATCCTACTTTTTTTTTTTTTTTTTTACAAGGGGTACATTAAGTTATTAGGAAATTTTAGTATTTTATTGATTTTTCACTAAATTTCAGCATTTGTTCCAAGGTGACTAAAAATAAAAGAAGAAACTGTATACTAGCATCTGCAGTGCATTCCTAGCAGCTGAACTAGTTGTTTTTGTCTTCATAAAAATAAGATCGTAAGTTTTACAAAGGGCCAACTATTCAAATTAAGGATTGTCATTTCAGTGGTGCAGTAGGGTTCCATTTATGATTTAATTCTTGAAATATATTTCAAATTAAATAAGATTTTACTACATTGAATAGAAATTTGATGAAATACTGCCTGTAAACAGAGTCTTACTTTCCAACAGATTATAAAACCTTTTATCTTATTTTGCTTTGCTTGCATATCTCCTTGAAGGAGAGTTGGTTCTGACTTCTACATTTTGTCTTAATAAATATTCAAGAAAATATTCTTTCTTGACAGTAGGATATGTTATTTTTAAAATCACTGATCTGGTAAAATTTGAGGAGAAAAATCTGAAAATTAAATTTCAAGCCTTACCATTAAATCATAAGATGTGAGATTTTATGTTATTTAAAAAAAATTTAGTATTTGGAGCAACATTACCAGAGCTGAATGATTAAAGCACATGAAAAAGGCAGACAGATGGTTGGTTGAAATGTTCTTTTTTGCTGCATGAAAAGTTATAAATGCTCATAGAATGACAAATGTATTACAGTGAAATAATTTGACAGTATTTCACTTGTGTATATAAATGAACTACTGACAAAAACAAATTGCCTGCAGTCCAAATTCAAAATTTAAAATGAAGAGCTTAAAGTAGAATAATCAAGAAGGAAATGATTTTCCTCTATTTCATATTATTATGAATAACGTTGGTTCGTGTATTTAGAGAAGGCTTATTTAGCCTATCAGCTGGAAAGACTTAATAGATCTACAAAAGTGAACAGTTTATAGCCAATATCTGTTTATTGATGGACTGATTATTTATATTGCTGATAGGAACCAGCCTAATTAGAAGTCCACTGTCTTTAATTCAGCTGAGTGAGTTGGCATGGTAGCTGGACAAATGAGAGAAGAATGAATAAGGCCCTGTCTCAGTTTGTTTTATGCTGCTATAACAAAAAACCTGAGACTGGGTAATTTCTAAAGAATATAATTTTATTTCTCACATTTTTGGAGGCCAGGAAGTCCAAGATTGAGTCACAGGCAGGTTTAGTTTCCTGGTGAGGGCTGCTCTTTGCTTCTAAGATGGTCTGTTGTTGCCGCATCCTCTGGAGGGGAGTAATGCTGTGTCCTTACTGGGCAGAAGGTGGAAGGGCAAGAGAATGGAAGACTGTGAAGCCTCTTTTGCAAGGGCCTTAATCTCATTCATGAAGGGAGGAGCCCTCATGACTAAATCTTAAAGGCCCCACCTCTTAATGCTATCATATTGGCCATTAAGTTTGAACATCTGAATTTTGGAGAGGACACATTGAAACCATAGTAGGGTGGTTCCAAAATCATAGGTTGGCAGAGCTAGGCATCACCCAACTTTATTCTTGGAATGGGTTTTCTGCAAGTTTTTAAAGCCTAGGTTGAGAATGTGGTCAAGAAGGATGTGGGGGAAATTAATTAGTAAAATATGAGGGCAGAGAGATAAGGGGCAGAGTGGAAGGCGGAGACCTGATTGTGTAGGGCCTTGTAAAATCATTGTTAAGGTCTTTGATTTTACTCTGAGTGAGAAGGGATGCCATTTGGAGAGTTTTGAGCAGAGGGGTGAAATGATTGTTTACCCTTTAAAGGGACATTTTGCCTCTTGAACTAGGAGTGGACTGCAGATTTGAGGCAAGGACCAGCAAGGAGACTATTACAGTAATTCAGGCAAGAGAAGGTGATCCGATTGGTGGTAGTGGAGAGAAGTGGGTGAGTTATGGATATATTTGAAAGGTAGAGCCAATGAGATTTGCTGATAGTTTGGATGTGATATGTGTGTGGGAGAAAAGATATCAAGGGTGGATACAAAGTTTTTTGCCTACACAGCTCGAAGTTTGGAATAGCTGTCAACTAAAATGAAGAATATTGTGCAAAGAGGAATTTTTTTTTAAAGGGGGAAAGGGACCAAGAGCTTGTGCATGTTAAGTTTGAGATGCGATTAGGCATCCATGTGGAGATACTAAATAGGCAGTTGGATATCAGAGTGTGGAGCTTAGAGGAGGAGTCAGGCTAGAAGTATAAATTTGGGAGTCATCAGGTATCATGGGATTGGATGAGACACTGAGGAAGTGAGTGTAGAAAAAGGTCAGAGTCAGTCAGTCCTGGGACATTCCTGGAGTAATTGTGTCAAATAATACAAATAGGTCAAGTAAGATGATTACTGAGAAGGGAGTTTTGGATTTGTCACTGGGTGGACTTTGGTGACCGTGACAAGCAGTTTAGGTGCACTGGTGGGGCTGAAAGCCTCATGAGTGGGCTCAAGAGAGAAGGAAGAAGAAGAATTGTGGTTAGTATTTTTTTTTTTTTTTGAGACAGAGTCTTGCTCTGTCGCCCAGGCTGGAGTGCAGTGGCGTGATCTCGACTCACTGCAAGCTCCGCCTCCCGGGTTCACGCCATTCTCCTGCCTCAGCCTCCCGAGTAGCTGGGACTACAGGCGCCCTCCACCACGCCCAGCTAATTTTTTTTGTATTTTTAGTAGAGACGGGGTTTCACCGTGTTAGCCGGGATGGTCTCCATCTCCTGACCTCATGATCTGCCCACCTCGGCCTCCCAAAATGCTGGGATTTACAGGCGTGGGCCACCGCGCCTGGCCATTAGTATATTTTTAAGTATAGAAGAGCAGAGAAATGGAGCAGCACTTGGAGAGGAATGTTATGTCAAGGAATTTTTCCTTAAGGTAGGAGAAACTGTATTATCTTGTTTGCTGATGGAACCAACTGATGTAGAGGAGAGAAAATAGATGATGCATTAGAGAGAAGGAAAATTGCTGGAGAATTGCTGATATCCCCTTTTTCTTCTAGAAAACTTACAGATACAGGTTAGCTGAAAAATAACAACCCTAATTTCAATATCCAGAAGAAATCGGTTAATGTAGTATATATCTTTTAGCCTTTTTTCTTTTGCATATATATTTATATGTATGTATGTGTATATCATGTGTTTTTAGAGCAAAGCTATATGCTTTTATAATATGACATTATAATTTGCTTGTTTCATTTACCAATGCATGGAGCCTGCTCATTTCTTAAAATGATAGTCCTTTTAGGACAAATTGTAGTTAAATTACTATCTATTAGCTATTAGGAAAGTAAACAACTAAGGTATACAAATGAGGTTATGTAGCTAGCTCCACTAGAGGATTTAAATAGTATCTTATGTAGAATGGACCTTATTAATTACTACCTACATAAATAGAATAACCTTGCAAAAGAATGAATACTAATGATGTTAGATAGTAGCACTGATGAGGACTTTCCACACATACCTGTGTATACCAGGCAGACAGAATAGCATATACCTAGGTTTAGAGCTGTAATGTTCAATATAGTAGCAACTAGCCAAATGTAGCTATTTAAATTTAATTTAATTAAATTTAATTTCTCCACCACTCTAGTCACATTTCATGTATGTGATGTAGCTAGCAGTTACTATAATGGATAATGCAGATAAGTGATTATTTCTATTATCACAGAACATTCTATTGGATACTGCTGGTTTAGAGGCAAGGATTTATGGCTTACATAGGGAACAGGAAACAATTCAGTGTGGCGAGAGCACATAGTTAGGAGGAAATGAGGGACTGACTGGTGAAAGATGGTTAGGAGGTAATCAGTCTGTATTATGAAGAGTTTTGCATACCATGCTCAGAAATTAGGATTTTATCATGAAGGTTTGCACAGTAAGGAGTGCTAAAGTATAGGAGCAACATAAAATGATTTATTTTTTAAAAAGATCACCTTGGCTACACCAGTGTTTTTGGATTGGACAAGTATGTGAATGATGCTAGAATTCTGTGATACTGGAAACACAGATGGATAGAGTAAGTTTGGAGTGAGGAGGGTAAGTGTTGAGGTCCGTTTTGGATCTGCTGAATTTGAATTGATAGTTAGGCATTCGTTGAGCAGTTAGATAGATAGATAAGGTATTCAGGACAGCTACCTGGGCTGGTGATGTAGATTTGGGAGTCATTAATTGATGACATTGTAGTTGGAGCCATTGAGTGGAAAGTGTGTGTGCGGCATGTGAAGAGAAGGCCAGTGAGGAATCTTAGTAAAGTCTACATTGAAGAGAGTAGGAGAATTGGAACTTACTTAGAAAACTAAGAAGGGAGAATTCAGTTTGGGGAAACCATGAAAGTTGATTGTACAAGTTTTTGAATTGTGTTTAAGGTATAAGGAAAGGGCGAAACTTAATTCCTACTTCCGTAGGAGGAAGACAGCCGATAAATGGTTTATTGTGTGGTTTGTTGAGACAGTGTGGTATGACGGTTAGACACACCCACTCTGGAACTATTCCTGGGTGTCAAAATGTGGCACAGAGTTAATAAATGGTACTTGGACAGATTATTTTACAACTCTCTGCCCTTGGTTTTCTTATGTGTAAAATGGGGATGAGGATGATAATGTACCTACACTCATTGACTAGTTGTGAGGATTAAAAGATTTAACATATGTAAATAGTGCCTGGTACATAATAAACATAGTAATTATGATTACCATTATAACACCATTAAAGTCATTTAAAGTTTTGTTTTCATTTTTCTTTTTTGGTTTTAAGAGACACAATCTCTTTCTGTGCCCCAGGCTGGGGTGCAGTGGCCCTATCATGGCTTACTCCTGGGCTCTAGTGATCCTTCTGCCTCAGCCTCCTGAGTAGCTGGGACTGCAGACATGTATCACCATGCCTAGCTATTTTTTTTTTTTTTTTTTGGTAGAGACAAGTCTTACTATGTTGTCCACGCTGGTCTTGAACTCCTGGGCTCAAGCCGTCCTCCTGCCTTGGCCTCCCAAAGTGCTAGGAGTACAGGCATGAGCCACCATGCCTGGCCTGTTTTATTTTTAATATGATGTACTTTTTAAGCTATTATAATTTTAGAATTATTGTTAATTTTAACATTAACCATTGCTTTATGTTTTTAATTTTCAAATTTTCATCAAACTTCAGTTTTTCTGAATTATATTTCACAAGTGTTTGAAACAACTAAATATATTTACTTTTAATGGCAAAAACTGCAGTTACTTTTGCACCAGCTTAATACAAAGTACCTTTAATGTGCACCACATAAAAATAAATGAAATTAATAAGCCCTGATTCTTCTGTGTGATTATCAAGGATTTGGGAACAATGATTATAGTACAAAGGAGTAAAAAGTGTATTTGTTTTAAACTTTTTTTTTTTTTCAATTTTCAGTCTTCTTTTGTATCCTATGGCTTTGAAGCTGTTCTTGAAGAAGCAGCCTATTTCTCATTTTTCCTAAAAGAAGGCAGGCTTATGTATGTTTTGCTTTAACAGAAATAAAAAGAGGAGGGGCTAAATGGTCAGCAGTGCCAGCTGCTGGTGTGGAATCAAGCAAAATGGTAAGGCAGTTTGGTGATAAGGCAGTTGTTGGTGACCTTGGTGGTGGTGACAGCAGTGTCAAGGGATGTTGAGTGTGGAAATCGATGGCAGTCCATTGGTGGATGGGTGAGAAGTGAGTAAAAGAAGATCACTTCTCCGAAGAACTTTGGCTTTCAGGTAGAGGACGAAGGATGGTTATTGCAGGGAGACATGGAGTCTAACGAGCTTTTTTTTCTTTTAGAGTAGTTTCTCTTTTATTTTTAATTATGGTAAAATACACCTGAATAACTTTATCATCCTAACCATTTTTTCCCCTATTTGACAAGGTATCAAGCAACCTAACCATTGTTAAGTGTGCAGTTCAGTGGCATTAAATATAGTCATATTGTTAGGCAATCGTTACCACCATCCCTCTCCAGAACTCTTTTTATATGCACCACTGAAACTCTGCACCCATTAAATAAATCCCTATTTTCTCCTCTCTCCTATTCCTACATACACACAGAGTCCCATCTATTTTGATACTTTGTATATTACTTAAATAATTTTGGATGATAGTGACTGCAAATGATTTTTTTCTTAGCATTCTTAGTATTGTAAAACGGTTTTTCATTCATGTAGCAAAACTATAAAAAAAGTTTCAATATAGTTTGGTCAATAGGATATGTTTATGTTTCAAAAATGTAAAACTACACATGGAAATAAGTTAGTCAGTCTTTTAAAAATAAATTATAATGGGATAATTAACTATAGATGAGAACTGTTTTTTTTTTTTTTTTTTTTTTTGAGGCAGAGTTTTGGTCTTGTTGCCCAGGCTGGAGTGCAGTGGCACGATCTTGGCTCACTGCAATCTCTGCTTCCTAGGTTCAAGCGATTCTCCTGCCTCAGCTTCTTGAGTGGCTGGGATTACAGGTATGCACCACCATGCCCGGCTAATTTTGTGCTTTTAGTAGAGATAGGGTTTTGCCATGTTGGTCAGGATGGTCTCGAGCTGCTGACCTCAGGTGATCCACCTGCCTTGGCCTCCCAAAGTGCTGGAATTACAGGCGCGAGCCACTGCGCCCGGCCGAGAATTGTTTTTAAGTGATAGCATACTTTAAAATAATCACATAAAACTTAAGTGATTTGCACTTTTAGATTCTATTCCTGTCAAGTACAAATTTGTAGGACTTTTTTTCTGTTTCTGGTTCTACATAGCCTTCATCAGGAAACTTGGTGGGACCATGTGACTTTAAAAAATTGTGGTAAAAAACACATAACATTAAATTTACTATCTTAACCATTTTTGAGTGTACAATTCAGTAGTGTTAACTATATTCACATTGTTGTGCTACAGATGTCTAGAACTGTTTCATCTGCAATACTGCCCTGTGACTTTTTAAAAACTAATTTTTTTATTGAGATTTCCAAGTGCATCAGGGACAAAGGCAGACATTGCATATTGGTTTCCTGAATTCCCTTTACAGAATGCTGATCCAAACTCATCAGATGGAAAACTTGCCTTCTGTGGCCTTGGAAAGTTGTTGTTGTTGTTGTTTTTTTAAAGAATTTAAAAATTAATCTAGCTTTGAGTTGGCATATCTTATTAACACAGTTGTAGAAAACTTATATTTCCTCTACTATAGTTTATGAATTTCTTGGAGAAAAATCTAATACTAATACTCAAACTTGATGCACAAACGGATTCTTTGGCATGTTTGTGTGTATGCCCATCTGTTACTGTGGCACCATGCCTATTATTACTGTGGCATGCCAATAGCAGTGAGCCATGTGAGCCAACAAAGATGAATTGTTTGGACGGAATACACTATTCTGTAATACTAATTAATTTTGAGCTGATGAATCTACATGAGATAATGTTAACCAAATACAGTCAAAGTAATGTCAGTGAAAATAAAATTTATTTTGACTTATACAGAAGTGTATCACAGATGTTTTAGACTACCATTGAGAATAATTAGAATCAGTGTTTACTATGATTCTAGTGATCAGTTTTCTTTTCATGAAAATTTTGAGTTTAAAAGAAAAGTTCTTCTTGTGATTATAGATTAAGTAGGGAGGGGGATGACACTCCAGGTTATGGATTTTATACCTTTTATAAGGTATTACTTTATAGTTCTTGAAATATATTCTTTTTTTTTTTTTTTTGAGACAGAGTCTCACCCTGTCGCCCAGGCTGGAGTGCAGTGGCACGATCTCGGCTCACTGCAGCCTCAACCTCCTGGTCTGATCCTCCCACTTCAGCCTCCTGAGTAGCTGGGCCCACAGGTGTACACCACCATGCCTGGCTAATATATATATATATATATATATTTAAGTCATATATATATATTTAAGTCATATATATATATATTTAAGTCCTATATATATTTAAGTCCTATATATATATACACACCTATATATACATATATAGGACTTAATATATAATATATATAAATTTTATATAATATGTTAAAAAATATATATTTTTCTTTTGTAGAGATTAGGTCTCCCTATGTTGCCCAGGCTGTTCTTGAACTCCTGGGCTGAAGCGATCTTCCTGCCTCCGCATCCCAAAGTCTTGGGATTGCAGGCATGAGTCACAGTGCCCGGCCATTGAAATATATTCTTAATATAGTCAGCTTTATAGCAGAAATTGACAGCGTAGTATGGTGAATAGGAAGAATGTTGAATTTCAAAACAAGATTGAAATTTAATTCCTTGCTTTGCCATTCCCTGGTTTTATGATGATATACATAAAAGGCATGTGATTTTAGAATTTCTCACATGCTATGTAATCTTATGTTACCTTTATATATTCTGAGACTTGGTTTACTCATCTATTAAATGGGAACAATAATAGCTACACACGCTTCATAGAGACTTTGTGATACTAAAATAAGACAGTGTTATAAGCTTCAGAAAATAAAACCACTACCACGTGGCTAAATAAGTTAATAATATGTTATAAACACGACATGTTAGCGGTGAGTTAGTCAATGATGTGGAAAGGATATAACTTCCAATCCCATATCTCATAACTCCCATTCATGTGTAACTACAAAGAACAAGTTCTTATGTATCCTTTCAGAAATTTTTTAAAAAAATTAAACGATCATATATATACTATTCTCTATGTATCTTGCTTTCCACCTGGTATATTTTAAAAGATCTTTCCATATGTTGATATGTCTTTCCATATCAACATATGATACCATTTTAATCTTTTAAACCAGCAATCGCCAAACCAGCAGTACCCAGGGACCTGTTTCATGGAAGACAGTTTTTCCATGGAAGGGGGTGGGGGTTGGCTTGGGGATGAGACTATTCCACCTCAGATCAGGCATTAGATTCTCATAAGGAGCGTGCAGCCTAGATCCCTCGCATGCACAGTTTACAAGAGGGTTTGCACTCCTCTGATAATCTAATGCCGCTACTGATCTGACAGGAGGCGGAGCTCAGGCAGTAATACTCCTCATCTGCCACTTGCCTGCTGTGTGGCATCCTGGTTTCTAACAAGCCACAGATGGGTAATGTTCTGTGGCCTGGGGGTTGAGGACCCCTGTTTTAAACCACTGTGTAATAGTTCCTCATAATTAATTAGTCCCCCCCCCCCTTTTTTTTTTTTTTTTTTTTTTTTTTTGAGACGGAGTCTCGCTCTGTCGCCCAGGCTGGAGTGCAGTGGCGGGATCTCGGCTCACTGCAAGCTCCGCCTCCCGGGTTCACGCCATTCTCCTGCCTCAGCCTCCCAAGTAGCTGGGACTACAGGCGCCCGCCACTACGCCCGGCTAATTTTTTGTATTTTTAGTAGAGACGGGGTTTCACCGTTTTAGCCGGGATGGTCTCGATCTCCTGACCTCGTGATCCGCCCGCCTCGGCCTCCCAAAGAATTAGTCCCCTTTTGGAGGGGCATTTGATTGATTTCACTTTTCATCACATAAAAACAATATTTCAACATAAGTTTTTGCATACCTGTGTGAATTTATCTATTTGTAGGAAAAAAGTTTTACAGGAAATCTCATAGAGCCACTGACATAGTTTAGTTTATATATGGTGATGCATAAAATTTGTAACAGGCAAAAAGTTCCTTTTCACTGTTTAAAAACACTGTAAACCAAAAATGCCACTTTGTATAGAAGATTAAGATTGGGGGAGTCTCAGAAGCAATAAAAGGAAACATTAACAAATATACTACTGAATAGTCACATTCTAGAAGACATTCCTAATCTCCTGAGCAAAGGTAAAACATACTTCCTGCTGCCTACCAAGAGGCCAAGTAGCTGAGGGCATTGATAAAGATCATGGCAAATATGAAGATGTCCTGTGATGTCTGTATGACATCATGGCTTTTAATACGCATATGAATGATATGAAGACATGGAAGATATATGCTTGGTTTTTAACTTTTATTGGGATCATGGATCCTTTTGAGACTTTACAGTGAAAGGGTTCTTCTGTGTCTTTCTAAGAAACAAGTTTAGTATATAGCCTGCTTTCATTTGTTTTTTCAACTAATGTTTATTGTGTATCTGTTATGGACCGGTAAGGAATGTAACCTGCTTCAGCCTACCTTTAGAGGCCCTTCATAGATCTTCTTTTGGATTCTTTATAGCCAAGCTTGTTCTTGCTCTGTTATCTTGTATGATTTCTTTGGTTGTCTCCTTGTACTTCGAGACCTCAGATCACTTATCCGTGGAGGTCTTTTGTGATCACCCAGTCTTACTTTATTGCATTCCTTATTTTAATTGTTTGTGTACTACTTATCTGATCTTTCTTTATGTTTTTGTTCCTCCCTGCTTTCTTCCTTCTCTGCCTTGCTCTCTCCCTCTTTACTTCCCTCCCTTCTCCTTTTTTTCCTGTCATTCCCCTTAAACTCCCTCCCACCAATTCCTTGTTTGTTAAAATTTAGGTCCTAGAATATTCAGGGACTTCAATACTTAGAGCAGCTTCTGGCATATAATGGATGTTGAATAAATAAATGTGCTAGGCCCAGTGATAAGTGCTTTATGATTTTATTAAGTCTTCATGACAACCTATTTGAAATAGACATCAGCTTTTAGTTCTGTTGATTTTTCTCTATTGTAGTTTTGTTTCATAGAGGCTTTGTGATACTAAAATAAGATACAAGCTTCAGAAAATAATACCAGGTAGCTAAATAAGTTAATAATATACTATAAATGCAAAACATGTTAGTCTGTTTTATTAAATTCTTCTTGTATCTTTATTATTTTATTACTTGTACTTTGAGTTCAATTTGCTGTTTTTTTTTCCTAGCATTCTGAGATGGAAACTTAGATCATTGATTTTTAATCTTTCTGATTTTGTATTGTAATTAGAAATATAAATTTGCTTCTTCTTCTTTTTTTTTTTTTAGGGACAGGGTCTTGCTCTGTCACTCATGTTGAAGTGAAATGGTGCGATCTTGGCTCACTGCCGCCTCAGCTTCCCAGACTCAAGTGGTCCTCCTACCTCAGCCTCCTGAGTAGCTGGGACTAAAGGTGCATGCCACCATGCCTGACTAATTTTTTGTTTTTTTTGTGGTGAAAGGGTCTTGCCGTGTTGCCCAGGCTGGTCTTGAACTCCTGGGCTCAAGCAATCCTCCCACCTCAGCCTCTTGAGTAACTAGGACTGTAGGTGTATGCCACCAAGTCCAACTAATTTTTGGATTTTTTGTGGAGATAGTGTCTTTGTTATGTTGTCTAGGCTGGTCTTGAACTGCTGAGCTCAAGTGATCCTCCTGCCTTGGTCTACCAAAATGCTGGGATTACAGGCATGAGTCACCTCCCCCAGCCTAAATTTGCTTCTAAATATTGCTTTAGCTGCATCCCACAAGTTATGAAATGTTGCACTTTGTCAAATCACAAAGTATGTTGCAGGCTGGCATGGTGGCTCACACTTGCAATCCTAGCATTTTTGGAGACTGAGGTGGGAGGATTGCTTGAGTTCAAAAGTTCAAGATCAGCCTGGACAACATAGGGAGACCCTATCTCTACAAAAAATAAAAAAACATTAGCCAGGCAAGGTAGCACATGCCTGTAGCCCCAGCTACTTGGGAGGCTGAGGTGGGAGGATCTCATGAGCTTAGGAGTTTGAGGCTGCAGTGAGCTGTGATCATACTACTGCACTCCAGCCTGGGCAATAGAGCAAGACCCTATCTCAAAAAAAAAAATTACCATTATGTGAGCACTTTTTAGTTTTTATTTTATTTTTTAAGTATTGGTTTCTATTTAGATTCCACATACTCTGATTCTTATACCTTTCAAATTTGTTGAAACCTTATATAGTCTATTTTGGTAAATGTCCTATGTACAATTGAAAAGAATGTTTATTCTGCAGTTGTTGGATATATTGTTCTATGCTTGTAAGTTTAAGTTGTTTAATTATGTTGTTCGAATTTTTTACACCTTTATTGAATTTTTCGTTTCCTGGTTCTGCCAGTTACTGAGAGGTGTGTTAAAATTGCCAATCATGGCCGGGGGCAGTGGCTCATGCCTGTTATCCAGTACTTTGGGAGGCCGAGGTGGGTGGATCACGAGGTCAGGAGATCGAGACCATCTTAGCCAACATGGTGAAAACTGTCCCTACTAAAATACAAAAAATTAGCTGGGTGTGGTGGCGCGTGCCTATAATCCCAGCTACTTGGGAGGCTGAGGCAGGGAAATTGCTTGAACCCGGGAGGCGGAGGTTGCAGTGAGCTGAGATTGCGCCACTGCACTCCAACCTGGTGACAGAGCAAGACTGTCCCCCAAAAAAAAAAATTGCCTATCATGATTATGGATGTGTGTTTTTCTTCCATGAGTCTGTCAGCATTTGCTTTACACATGGAAACTGTAAATTTAGAATCTGTATAAATTGCATATAAATGTAAAATTATTTTCCTTTTGAAATGATACCCTATGTCCAGG
The DNA here is from genome assembly GCF_000001405.40 of Homo sapiens. NCBI lineage: Eukaryota > Metazoa > Chordata > Mammalia > Primates > Hominidae > Homo > Homo sapiens. Next base: position 78,275,336 of record NC_000005.10, on the reverse strand, counting down.
CAGCAGATCTTCAGCTTTTATTTGTTTGAAAACCACTTTATTTCACCTTTAGTGAAATAAAGAATATTTTTAATATCCTGGGTATGGAATTCTATGTTGGCATTCTTTTCTCTTTCAGCCCTTTAAATATGTCATTCCGATATCTTTTGGCCTTTATAATGTCTGTTGAAATGTTATTCCTTTTAAGGTAGGGACCAGCAAACCACCCATCTGTTTATGTACATAAAGTTTTATTAGAACACAACCATGCCCATTTGTTTTTGTATTATCTATAGATGCTTTCATTGTGCAATAGCAGAGTTGACTAGTTACATCAGAGATGGTATGGCTGGTAAAACTTAAAATATTTACTTTCTGGCCCTTTACGTTTGTTGACTCCTGTCTCAAGGTAATTTTCTGGATGCCTTTTTTTTTAAAAAAAAGATAGGGTCTCACCCAGGCTGAGTGCAGTGGTGTAATCATAGCTCACTGCAGCCTTGAACTCCTGGGCTCAAACAATCCTCTTGCCTCAGCCTTCTGAGTAGCTAGGATTATAGGTGCACACTATCATGCCCAGCTAATTTTTTAAAAATATTTTTTGTAGAGACTGGGCCTCACTATGTTGTGCCCAGGCTGGTCTTGAACTCCTGGCCTTAAGCAATCCTCTTGCATTGGCCTCCCAAAGTGCTTGATTATAGGCATGATTCACCATGCTCAGCCTCTGGATGCTTTTAAGATTTTTCTCATTGTTTCTTGTTTTCAGCAGTTTGACTATGCTGTACCTGGTGTAGTTTTATGTTTGTCCTTTTTTTCTAAGATTTTTAAATATGTGGGTTTATGTTTTTCATAGGTTCAGAACAATTCTTAACCATTATCTCTTCAAATACTGCTTTTGTTTCATACTCTCTTTTCTCTTTGGAACTCTAATTAGAGGTATGTTAGAAATTTTACCTTTATCTCATATGCCTCTGATGCTCTGTTCTATTTTTTCCATTCTTTTATTTCTCTGTGCTTCAATTTGTATATTTTCTCTTGACCTGCCTTCAAGTTCGATAATCCTTTTTTTCTCCCATTTCCAGTCTGCCATTAAACCTATCTAATGAGTTCTTAATTTCATATACTATACTTTTCAGTTCTGAATGTCCATTTGGTTGTTTTGTATGGATTCTACTAATTGTTGATTTCTGTGTTGTTTCATCTGTTTTGTCCATCTCTTCTACATTTTCCTGACCATGTTAATTGTAATTATTTTAAAATCCCTGTGTGATAACTCTGGTATCTGAGTCACTCATGGATCTGCTCCTGGTTTTTTTTTTTTTTTTTTTCCTTTTTTTCTTTTTTGGGCGGGGGTAATTTCATCCTGTTTTTAGTATGTCTCGTAAGTTTTGATCAGATGCTAGGTATTTAGGATAAAAATGATTGATGAAGCTTTGGGTGATAGCTTCTTCCATACAGGGCTGGGTTTTTGTTTTTGTTTTTTTTTCCAGCCAAGCAAATAGAATGTAAGCAGATCATTCTGATCTTGTCAAAGCTCAGTTTTAGACTTTTTAAGGTCTTGTTTATGGAACTTTTTCTTATACTCCTCGGGCATCTTCCTTAGCACTCTGTGTGGCTCTTCAGTAATCTTAATGGAAAGTCCAGGGCATTCACCAAAGCCTCTCTTCTGAGGACAGACTTGACAGCTGCTGTTTTTTGTTGTGTTTCCTGGAGTCTTGCCTTAGGAATTGCAGCCAACATTTTGCACACAGATTTTTGTGTACCTTGTCTCTGGTTCCCTCCTCTGTAATTTTGTCCTTCAAGTCTCAGTCACTGTGGCAGCCCTGGAATTCAACATTTGTCTCCTCAAGTTATTAAGACTGTGACTTCTCCTTGGGTTCTGTTCTCCCACATGGCAATTTGGGAAATGTACTGAGGGAAAAAGCTGGTGTGAATGAGGAGCTCTTTTTTTCCCTTGAGAGAGATAGGTTCTTACTCTGTCACCCAGGCCACAGTGCAGTGGCATCATCATGGTTCATTGCAGTCTTACCCTCTTGTGCTCAAGATTCTCCCACCGTGTCTCTGAGCAGCTGGGATTACAGGCGCATGTCACCACACCTGGCTACTTTTTGTATTTTTAGTAAAGATGGAGTCTCACCATGTTGCCCAGGCTGGTCTCAAACTCCTGAGGTCAAGCTATCCACTAGCCTCGGCCTCCCAAACTGCTGGGATTATATTAATAGGTGTGAGCCACTGTCCTGGCCTAGGGGCTCACTTTTTGTGCTTCTCTTCTTTCAAGGATCATGGCCCCTTAAGAGTACTTGTGTGTGTGTATATGTATATGCATACATATATGTGTGTATATGTATGTATTTCAGCTTTTATAGTTATTTTCTATGGCAGGTTTAGTTTTTTGTAAGCTACAGTGTCATGGACAGATATGGAAGTCCCTACAGTATATTCTGAATGTAGCAGCCAGAATGATCCTGTTAAATAGATCATGACTCTCCTGTGTTCAAAACCTGCAGTTCTTTATTTATTCAGAGTTAACACCAAAAACTTTTAGAGTTATTTGACCTGCTTATCCTCCCTGTCCCCCTTTGCTCCCCATGATATCTGCATAACTAACTCTCTTATTTGAAAATCTTTGTTCAGATGTCACTTTTAAAATTTACTCAAACTGTGCTATTAAAATTGCCTCCTTCTTTCCTTTCTGTATCCTTTTCCTCTGTTTTTTTCCCCCATATCACCTTACGACTTAAAAATGTCTTATTTATTATGTTTGTTGTTTCTTTTACTTAATAGAATGAAATCCCTATGAGGGCAAGGGTTTTTCCTATCACTTTTGTTCATTGCTGTGTCACAGATGCGAATGGAGAACCAGATGAGAATAGAGCTTCAGAATCTAAAGGAGGAGGGAATTTCAAGATGGAAGAGTAATGGTCATATGTATCAGATGTCAACAGAAAGAGCCAAACTTTGTAAAATAATTGAAGAGGTTTATTCTGAGCCACATATGAGTGACCATGACCTCAAGAGATCCTGAGAACCTGTGCCCAAGGTGGTTGGGTTACAACTTGATTTTATATTTTTAAGGAGCGTAAGACATCAGTTAGTACATGTGAGGTATACATTGGCTCAGTTGGGAAAGGCATGACAGCTTGAAGCAGGGGGCTTACAGGTTACAGGTGGATTTAAAGATTTTCTGATTGGCAATTACTTGAAAGAGTTAAGTTGTTATTGAAAAACCTGGGATCAAGAGAAAGGTGTGGCTGGGTTAGGATAAAGGGCTGTAGAAACCAAGATTCTTATGAAGTCTCTTAGGTGGCTGCCTTTAGAGACAATAGATGGCAAATGTTTCCTATTCAAATCTTTAAAAGTGCTGGACTCTCAGTTAATCTCTTTAGAATTGTTAGAGCCTGGAAGGGGAAACTCTGTAGAGATCCTTTACAGATGCAGATTTTCTTCCACAAAAGGCTGCTTTGCAGGGCCGGTTCAAAAATATGGCAAAGAAGCATATTTTGGGGTAAAATATTTTGATTGCCTTCTTTATATGTCATGTGACGTTATGCTATAGTCAGGTTGGAAAGTAAGCCACGTTACGTAGGGTTAAATTAAAATCCATCTGATGAGAATTTATGGTTTGTAGGGCAGGACTCCTCAGGCCCCTTAGGAATTTGGGCAAGAGAGAGAAAAGTCAGAGTTTAGTCCTCACAAGTACAGAGGAATAATCTGAAACTATTCATGAGATTTTACCTTGGATTTTTAAATTAAGACGTTGTTTGTTACCCTGTGTGAGAGACATTTTAAATTAAAGGTAAATGAGATTACCAAGAGTTGAGGAAGGGTCTGTAGGCTTTTTTCTTTTTAATCTTGTGAACAGTATAGGAGGAATATTCATATTTATTTGGATAATTTATGATTCTGACTTTTAGAAAGTTTGTTTGTTTTTTGTTTTTTGAGATGGAGTTTCACTCTTGTTGCCCAGGCTGGAGTGCAATGGTGCCATCTCGGCTCACTGCAACCTCCACCTCCCAGATTCAAGCAATTATCCTGCCTCAGCCTCCTGAATAGCTGGGATTACAGGCATGTGCCACCATGCCAGGCTAATTTTGTATTTTTAGTAGAGATGGGGTTTCTTCGTGTTGGTCAGGCTGGTCTCAAACTCCCGACCTCAGGTGATCCTCTCGCCTCAGCCTCCCAAAGTGCTGGGATTACAGGCTTGAGCCACTGTGCCCTGCCTAGAAAGTTAATAGATGGGTGAGCAGGTAAAGACACTAGCAATGGAGTTTTTTGTTTCTATTCACTGTTGCATTTATTAAGTGGAGGCTTTGTGCCAAAAGTTTTTCCCCTATATTACCTCATGACTTAAAAATTTCTTACTTATTATGTTTGTTGTTTCTTTTACTTAATAGAATGAAATCCCTATGAGGGCAAGGGTTTTTCTGTCATTTTTGTTCATTGCTGTGTCACAAATGCGAATGGAGAACCAGATGAGAATAGAGCTACAGAATCAAAAGGAGGAGGGAATTTCAAGATGAAAGAGTAGTGGTCATGGGTATCAGATGTCAACAGAAAGAGCCAAAGTTCTGAGCACTCTGCAAGGGAAGCTTAGATCCTAAGTGAACTGAAAATGTTCCTAAGCCTTAATGTTTTGCACAAAAACATTATTATTATGAGGGCCACTCCCTTTGGCTACATAGCACTGGGAAATGGTAAGTTCTGACTCTGTTTCCAGCGTTTTTTCTGCATATCCATTCATATTTGCAGCGCACCACTTGGATAGTAGCATCTTTTATTGGAGTGGTTCTCTATGCCTAAAGAGGTGCCTGTGTTTTGGAATTTTTTGGTAGGGCTCCATAAAGGTCCAGCCTTCCCTTCGTTGAATATTTTTATACATCCTTTTTTGGGCATGTATCTCTGATTGGAAATTGCTATTCCTTATCACTTTTCCAGTCCATGATTTCCTGGATGTAAGTTTTAGGTGTTGCTTTCTATGGTATATAAATTTTGGTGTACCATAATTTTGAGGAAAAAGAAGGTAACTTTGTAGTGTGGGGCTCTCAAATGGTAAAAGTCCTTTCTTTTTTCTTTTTAAAATTTCCAGTCCAATATTGATGGATACTTCTACAAAATACAATAAAAAATAAATTACTAGAAAAATAAAATGGGCCAGGCGTGGTGGCTCATTTCTGTAATCATAGCACTTTGGGAGGCCGAGGTTGGTGGATCACCTGAGGTCAGGAGTTCGAGACCAGCCTGGCCAACATGATGAAACCCCATCTCTACTTAAAATACAAAATTAGCTGGGTGTGGTGATGCACTCCTGTAATCCCAGCTACTCAGGAGGCTGAGGCAGGAGAATCACTTGAATCCAGGAGGCGGAGGTTGCGTGAGCGGAGATCACACTACTGCATTCCAGCCTGGGTGACAGAGTGAGACTCTGTCTCAAAAGAAAGAACAAACAAACAAAAACATAATAAAATTAAAGAAAAATAAAATGAAAAAGGCACACAAAATAAAATACAAGCCCCACTTTTTAAATTAGACTCAATAAACATAAAATTACATTGTCAAATTGTTCCGTCACGGTTCTCAATGTGCTTATTCTGAATTTTGGTACCTATCTCCTCATGGGTTGGTAACAAAAATTTGTGAATTAGTCATGATTCTTGGACCAGACTTTCTCAGATCATACTTTAAGTAGCACTGATATAGTGTACAGTACTACATAGTCTTAATTTTCCCCTTAATTTATGTTGTCTTTAGAAGGAGTAGAAGGTTTTAATGAGTTATGGATTATAGATTGATTAAAAAGAGAGGTAATTTACACTACATAATAGCCCTAACACATCCCTAGTTCTTATATATAACTGGTAAACTTTATTTTTCAGTTATAGTTACTAGTTCATTCTGGGGCTAAAATAAGAATGACTTTCCTGGTAATAGTAAGATTTGCCTTAAATGTTCAGTTATATATTCTTCTCTGTCCTTTGAAACTTAAAACTGGCCTATTTTGAACATGAAAGGAAAAGTTATACCATTTAACACCACAAGATGTCACTTATGTAAAAATAAAGTTGGTATCCTAATACTCAAAGCTAGAAAGCTACAGGTAACTAGGTAAATGAAGACACAGGTAAATTAAAAATGAATATATTTGAAACAACTATTGTTTTCAGCAAAGAGTTGAGGAAAATATTGCTAATTCAGCATTATTTTGACTCAAATATTGATATTTAACAAAATAGTATCTAAGATTTATGCAGTAATACATGTTAACTGATCATATTTGAATCTACGTAATGAAGAAGGTAGACCTAAAAGAACTTAATAAAAGTTAATGTATTTTGAGGGTAAAGTAGGTGTTATGGTATTAACTTTCCTAAATCTTTACTGTTTTGGTGACAGGCAAAGAAGAATTTGGGAAGAAACATGTAATTTATATCAGAATTTTAAATAGATCCTTATGACATACGTGAGAAGCTGCATATTACATCAGGTTGAAACAGTGCCTAGGATTTTTCTTGTCTCTTCCCTGAACCTCAGAATTATTAGTTTCTCTTCCTATATTAATGCAGTATTTGTTGTTGAAGACTAGCTTTTCTGTTAACCATGAAGAGCAAAACCTTTATCTTTAATATTGAGATTCTGTTTTCTTGTTTTTAGTTTCAGAGAGCAGGTGCTTGTTCTGGGCACTCTGGGAATTTGGGCTTTAGATGAGCAAACCAAGTTTCCATTAGTTTACGAGTAAGACTATGCCTGGAATTAGAGGTTGGGCTGTTCTAAAAATTGACACTTCATTCCTCTTCATTGCTCACTTCTCTCTCCAGATAAAACTGGTAGAGGAGAATAATGGGACACTTTGGGGAACAGAAAAGGGGAACAAGCAGGAGAAAATTGTTTTCTTTTTTGGCATGTGTGTATGTGTGACCACATTTCCTTTCTATTTAGTTCCTATCGAATTCTTTTTTTTTCTTACCTAACTTCAGTAAGATTTTTTTAAGGTTTCTTTTAGGGTTTAGGTTTTTCATTATAAAAGTATACATAGTCATTAAGTAAATAGGAAAATACAGCAAAAAGTAGAAGAACAAAATACAGTTACATATATAGTTCCATTAATTTCTCTCCCTTTTCTGTTACCTGTGAAATCTGAAAGAGCCTGAAAAGTTTTATGCAGGGATCCTAAATTCCTTAAGGTGAACATTTATAGTATGTGTAGTAGTTGTATGTTCTCAGAGACAGTTTTTATTTATTACTACCTCTACTGTTTAAATATTTTCAAGCTGTATTTTTAATTAGGAAGAAGTAGGTGTTTTAATTATTTAATTGTATTTTGTCTTCTCTACTGGTCACCATTGCATTTAATTTTATGAGCTGTTTGGAAAGTAAGGCTCATTTTTTTCATAATAAATTTCATTGCATTTATTCCTTTTGAAAAAAATGTGCTTAGCTTTTACTTATTTTTTTCTTGCAATGACAGTTTGTAACATTTAACCCTTGTATTAGTTTGCTAGAGCTGCCATAACAAAATGCCACAGACTGGGTGGCTTAATCAGCAGAAATTAATTTTTTCACAATTAATGCCTGGGAGTACAAGATCAAGGTGTTGGCGGGTTTGGTTTCTGCTGAGGCCTTTCTCTCTGGCCTGCAGATGGCCACCTTCTTGCTGCAGTTATTTAACATTGCCCATGATATTACTTCTAATTCTTATGAAAATGATATATTTTAAGCTATCTAATATAAAAATCAAAGTATGGATTTTTTTTCTTCTCTTTTGTAATAGGAATGAAGATCTAAAGCAAATGTTAGAGAGCAACAAAGATTCTGCTAAACTGGATGCTATGAAGCGGATTGTTGGGGTAGGTAAAATACTCATTTACTTCAATTTTGGAAAAATGGACAAGCAGTGATCATATTATTATATATATATATAAAAATACGTTAAATACCAAGTCTAATATTCTGTTTGCCCTTAATATTAACTTAGAATTTCCTGTCCAAAAATGTTAAAGAAAAAAGTACATTATTGAAGTGTCAAAAATCAAGAAACTTAGGTTTTAATTTTATCTTTTCTCTGTTTTAATTTCCCTGTATCTAATTTCAAGGTATTTCTACTATGAGAATGAGGTAGTTAGTCATTTTGAAGACAAAATAAGATGATATACAAGCTATTTTGACTTCCTACACAGAGGGATACTAAAGAATGATTTTTTTTGTCCTTTCACAGCCTAAATGTTCTGAGCATACTTTCATCTGTTTTTTAAATTCTCTTACTACCAATAGAAACACTTTATTCAGTTTAGAAGCCTAGAACTTCTAATAAATATTATTAAATATAAGAGCATTCACCAGTGTTCAGCTGTAAAGCAAAACATAAACAATTGATTAATAAGTTATGAGGATTCTATTGCCAGAGAATTAAAGATATAATATAGTTCCTTAATTATTTTTAATGTTTTAATTTTAATTTTTTATTTTTCCAGGGTTCTAGTTGTATATACCATCTTTAGTAAAATAGTTTTGCAATTTATGTTGCACTCTCTGTACGTACTCATTTGATTTTCCACATTCACAGAGAAAAAACTTGCTTAATTCCACTGACTATCTGATGCTCAGGAGTTTTGCTTTTGTTTCACTGGAATCAAATTCATAAAACTGATTTTTCTTATTAACACTATCCTTTTTATCACCACCATTGCTGATTCTATTTTCCACTTAATTTTATATAATAAGGTCAAAATTGAATACATTTGCATAATTGCTTAAATAAACTACTGTAATAAGGCGATGACACAACTAAAACAATACTGTTTTCCAGCAGGCAGTGCCATCGTATGAGAGCTTCAGATCTCTTTTCCTTTCTTGATATATTAAAGTCCAAATAACAGGTATCAGCATGCTCTGTTAAAAAGTGAGGTGGTATGAAAATCAAATATATTAAAGTCAAGTACTAATTGTATCTGTAGGACATCTGTAAGTGACTTGATCCTTGCTTTCATGTTTATGTCATTTGGCAGTATAGGGGCAATTTTGAGGATTCCATTGTAAATTTTTGATTTGTTAATGTTATGCTCTATACATAGGAGTATTTATGGGCAGGCAGTTCTTGCTTTGCATGGCTTTTATACATATGAATTTCAGTTACTACAGTTTAGTTAAGTGACACCAATCCCCTAACAATATGGTTCAAATTTCATTTACCATGGTGTATTAATTGTGTACTTGGATAATGTACAAACTTGACTGCTAGCTCTTCATTCTACAAATAACTTGTAAATTACAAACATGTATCATGATCCATGATCAATCATGTCACTTCTTTCAAAATCTGTCAGTGATTGGTCACTGTGCATCTGTTACTCAGTTTATGCACAGACAACAAAGCATGTAGTTGTGTTGCCTCTTTGTCTCCCAGTAAGAAACACATGTGACATTTTACAGAAATGAATAATTGAAAGAGGCATTTGCCCAACAAAGTGAAAATACAGCAAAGAAATGAAAAGTGATAACATGTAATGAAAATCAGGTAGAATATAAATGAAGTTATACAGAAGTAGCTGGCTGTGGAACTACTGACATTACACGTTTTTAAGAGACTGAATTTATAGCTGGAGGAACTTGGTAAGGTGAGATTTTCAACCAACATAAATGATGAAAGTGATTTTGTTGAAGAGCATGAAGCTGTCTCAGAGGAAGTGATGCTGTCAGAAGACCTCACATTCATTAAAGGAACTCTAGGAGATAGTTGAGAACATTGAAAATGCAAAGGGTAAAATGTTGGAAGCTGATCCAGACTTAGAAAGGAGCATGATAATTTACTGAGGAATACGAAAGATTCTTCCTCAGTATCATGAGTTAAACACTGATAAGAGAACAAGTTCTGTTCAAACCACTCTTGATAAGTTCATTTTCTTTGCCTTTTTTTTTGTTTTTTTAGAGACAGGGTCTTGCTCTGTTGTCCAGGCTGGAGTACAGTTGTGCAGTTGTAACACATTGCAGCTTTGAACTCCTGAGCCCAAGCGATCCTCCCACCTCAGCCTTCTGAGTAGCAGGGACTACAGATGTGTACCACTATGCCCAGCTAATTTTTTTATTTTTATTTTTTGTAGAGACAGGGTCTTGCTATATTGCCCAGGCTGGTGTAGAACTCTTGGTTTTACTTGATCTTCCCACCTCAGCCTTTCAAAGTGCTGGGATTATAGGTGTGAGCCAATGTGCCTGGCCAAGTTAATTTTCAATTTTTCCAACGTTTTAAGTTATAGTATACTAAATATTGATTTTTATTATTTTTTCACTTTCCTATAAATTTATAACTGACAGTAAAAGAGTTATTAATGCTTTGACAGAAATTTTAAATAGTATCCAGGGATTTAGTGAAATAAATTACCTTAATGGGATGTAAGAGCCATAGTTTAAAGAAATAAATAAGGGCAGTCCCTACTTTGCATGGTAGTGCAGGTCTATGCCCTGCAGGAATGCAAGCAGAAACCATGGAAAGAAATTTTAATAAGCCAACTGGAAAAATTACAATTGATCTATGATGCTTAAAATTTTTGTCAAAACAGGAAAATTAGCTGAGTCAGGTGGTATACTGTTTTGAGTTAATGACTGTAATAAATAGTTTTGTATAAATCTTTCCAGACGGACTGTTTATCCCTTGTTCTTTCCCTTTCTTCCTTCAATAACAATGCTTTGGTTCTATGTATGCTTTAAAGGATTCAACTTGGGGCTGTTGCTTGCATCTTTTAAAAAATTATTGGGTTGGAAATTGTTTAAAAGACCAAGATTTTTCTGCAGTATTAGTGTGCATCAGGATGAATTCCTGGTTATCAGGCCTGAGGTTTTACTGGTGATGTGACACCTATAGAACTTTAGTGGGTTTTCTATCAGCTTTGCTCCAATGTAGTCTCTGGAATACAAAATAAGGGTCAGTTAACTTTCTGTATCTCCATTTATTCTTGACTGTTGATTCTTAAGAGTTACTGTTGGGTCTGAAACCCTTTGAAACCTTTTCTCTCTGTTTTTGTTACCTGTGAATTAACTAGCAGTTTTCTGTAAATTCAAAATTCTGAACTTTTATCTCATCTTTATTGCTTTGAAGAATGACCAGTGGAAATTAAAAATTAAACATAATTTCATCCTTTTTCAAAAAACTGGGTTTAAAAATTATGTGAATTTTTGGATCTAGATTATTATTCAATACAGTCATGCATCACTTAGAGTCATGCATCGCTGAATGACAGGGATGCTTTCTGAGAAATGCATCCTTAGGCAGTTTGTTGGTGTGAACCTCATAGAGTACTTACACAACCTAGTATACTTACACAAGCTTACTACACACTTAGGCTATATGGCATAGTCTATTCTTCCTAGGCTATAAATCTGTACAGCATGTTACTGTACTGAATACTGTAGGCAGTTGTAACACAATGGTAAGTATTTGTGTATCTAAACGTATCTAAACATAGAAAGTTACAGTAAAGATACAGTATTATAATCTTACAATAAGATTATATATGTGGTCCCTCCTTGACCAAAACGTGGCACGACTGTAATTTAAAAATAACACAAAATTCAGTCATTGTAATATACCACATTAACAGAAGGAAAGGGAAAAATCCCTCACAATCATCTCAATTTATTCGGAGAAAGATTTGACAAAATTTAATACACTTTGATGATAAAAGTACTCAACAAACTAGGAATAGGAGGAAACTACCTCAACCTATCTGTTAAAGAGCAGGTGTGGAAAACCCAAAACTAGCATCACACTCAGTAGTGAAAGACTGAAATCTTTTACTCCAAGGTCAGAAACAAGGATGCTTGCTTTTACCACTTCTGTGCAACACAGTATTGGAAATTTTAGCCAGAACAATCATGCAAGAAAAAGAAATAAAAGACATCCAAATGGAAAAGGAAGAAGTAAAATTATTTTTATTCACATCATCTTATATGTAGAAAACCCTAAAGATTCCACAAAAAACTGTTAGAACCAATACGCAAGTTTACCAAAGTTGCAGGATAGAAAAGCAACACACCAAAATGACTTGCATTTCTACACATTAACAATGAACAATTTGAAAATAAAATTAAACAAATATTCATTTATAATAGCATCAAAAAGAATAAAATATTCAGGAATAAGCTTAACCAAGGAGATGAAAGACTTGTACACTGAAACATTACTGAGAAAAATTAAAGAAGACACAAATAAATGGAAAGACATCTATGTTTCTGGGTTGGAAGACTAATATTGTTAAGATGTCAAAATGATCTGTATATTCAATGCAATTCCTATCAAAATGCCAATGATGTGCATGGCAAAAATAGAAAAAAATTCATCCTAAAATTTATATAGAATCCCATGAGTCCCTGAATAGCCAAAACAACCTTGAAAAAGAGCAAAATTGGCTGGGCACAGTGGCTCACGCTTGTAATCCCAGCACTTTGGGAAGCTGAGGCAGGAGGATCATTTGAGCCCAGGAGTTTTAGACCAGCCTAGACTACATGGCAAGACCTTGTCTCCACAAAACTAATAATAAGAAAAAAATTACTACCTGTGCCTGTGGTCCCAGCTGCTTGGGAGGCTGAGGTTGTGGTATCGCTTGGAGTGAGCTGTGTTCATGCCACTGCACTCCAGCCTGGGCAACAGAGCGAGACCCCATCTCAAAACCCTGTCTCAAAAAAAAAAAAAAGAACAAAATTGAATGTCTCATACTTCCTGATTTCAAAACCTATGACAAAGCATAGTAGTGAAGACATTGTGGTACTGGAATAAAGACGGACAACGTATAGACCAATGGAACACAATAGGGAGCTCAGAAATCAACCCTGACGTAAATGGTCAAATGATTTTTGGTAATGGTGCCAGATCAATCAATTGGGAAAGGACAGTCTTTTCAACAAATAATGTTGGGGAAACTGGATTATATATATATGCAAGAAAATGGTGTTGGATTTCTTTCTGTATCACACCATAAATAAAAATAAACCAAAATGGATCAAAGACCTAAATGTAAGAGCTAAAACTATAAAACTCTTAGAAGAAAGCATAGAGAAAAAGCTTCATGACATTGGATTTGGCATAGGATTCTTAGATACAACACTAAAACAAGAACAGTAAAAAAAAAGTAGATTATTTGGATTTTATCAAAATTAAAACTTGTGTGCATCATAGGACTCTGTCAACAAAGTGAAAAGGCAACCCATAGAATACAAGAAAATATTTGCAAATCATATATCTGATAAAGGATTGATATCCAGAATATATAAAGAACTCCCACAACTCAACCATTAAAAACCTACCAAATGGCTGGGTGTGGTGGCTCACGCCTGTAATCCCAGCACTTTGGGAGGTCGAGGTGGGCGGATTACTTGAGGTCAGGAGTTTGAGACAAGCCTGGCCAACACGGTGGTCTCTACTAAAAAGACAAATCTCGTCTCTACTAAAAATACAAAAATTAGCCAGGTGTGGTGGTGGGTGCCTGTAATCCCAGCTGCTCGGGAGGCTGAGGCAGGAGAATTGCTTGAACCCAGGAGGCAGAGGTTGCAGCGAGCCAAGATCATGCCACTGCACTCCAGCTTGGGTGGCAGAGTGAGACCGCGTCTCAAAAAACAACAACCGGTGGCTCATGCCTGTAATCCCAGCACTTTGGGAGGCCGAGGTGGGCAGATCACGTGAGGTCAGGAGTTCGAGACCAGCCTGGTCAACACAGTGAAACCTCGTCTCTTCTAAAAATACAAAAATTAGCCAGGCGTGGTGGCGGGCGCCTGTAATCCCAGCTACTTGAGAGACTGAGGAAGGAGAATTGCTTGAACCCGAAAGGCAGAGATTGCAGTGAGCCGAGGTCGTGCCATTGCACTGCAGCCTGGGTGACAAGAGTGAAACTCTGTCTCAAAAACAAAACAAAACAACAACAACAAAAACCGACCAAATGAAAAAATGGGTAGAAGACTGGAATAGACATTTCTCCAGAGAAGATATATAGATGGCAAATAATTACAGAGAAAGATGTGCAGCATCACTAATTATTAGGAAAATGGAAATCAAAACCATAGTAAGATCACTTTACACCATTAGGATGGTTATTATCAAGAAAACAAAATTGTAAGTGTTGGTGAGGGTAGAGAAATAAGAACTCTTATGCATTGCTGGTGGGAATGTAAAATGGTACAGTTACTGTGGAAAACAGTATGGTGGTTCCTTAAAAAACTAAAAATGGAATTATCACATAATCCACCATTCTCCTTTTGGGTATATACAGACAACAGTTGAAAGGAGATACTTGAACAGATATTTCTACATCAGTGTTCGTAGCAGCATTATTTATAGAAGCCAATAGGTGGAAACAACCCATGTGCTCATCAGTGGATGAATAAACGAATGTGGTACATCTGTGCAATGGAATGTTATTCAGCTTTAAGAAGGAATGGAATTCTGATGCATGCTACAACATGGATGAACCTTACTTAAGTCATTATGCTGAGTCAAATAAGCCAGACACACACACACAAAAAATTGTATGATTCCACTTTTATCAGGTACCTAGAATAATCAAACTCATAGAGACAAAAAGTGGAATGGTGGTTGCCAGCAGCTAGGGGGAAAGCGAGAAATTGGGAGCTTGTCTTTCAAAAATCATTTTGGACATTTATTTTAAATATTATGAACCCTATTAAAAATAGTTGTGTAGGCATGAGCGCTGTCCCACTCATTATGCTTTCACTTTTTTTTTTAAACTTACATTCCTCCTCATTCTTTTTTTATTTTCTATTTTTTATTTTTGAGATGGAGTCTCGCTCCGTGGCCCAGGCTGGAGTGCAGTGGTGTGATCTCAGCTCACTGCAACCTCCGCCTTCTGGGTTCAAGCAATTCTTCTGCCTCAGCCTCCCAAGTAGCTGGGATTACAGGCATGTGTCACCATGCCCCGCTAATTTTTGTACTTTTAGTCGAGACGGGGGTTTCATCATGCTAGTCTTGAACTCCTGACCTCTGGTGATCTGACCTCTGGTGATCTGCCCTCCTCGGCCTCCCAAAGTGATGGAAATACAGGCATGAGCCACCACGCCCGGCCCCTCCTCATTCTTTAGAGTTTTGGTTTATTTTCAGGTGATGGGGGCATTTCATTTAGGAAGAGAATGTAGATGGCATTCTTTCAAAGTCCTTGCCTGTCGGAACAGGTTTCTATTTTTTTTTCCATGGGAAAATAGATTACTTAAGAATAGTATTGTTGGGTTGCAATGTTTTCTTTTCCTTAGATTTTTGTAGATTTCATTCTTGATTTTGTCTGGCTTTAGCTGTACAGAGCAGAAATGTGATGTGATGACAATGAGATTGCTTTTTTAAAAAACATTTAATTTTTATTTCTTTTAATTTTATTATTAATTTTTTTTTGTTTTTTGTTTTTTTGAGATGGAGTCTTGCTCTGTTGCCCAGGCTGGAGTGCAATGGCACAATCTCAGTTCACTGCAACCTCTGCCTCCCGGGTCCAAGTGATCCTCCTGCCTCAGCCTCCTGAATAGCTGGGATTACAGGCGCCCACCACCACACCCAGCCAATTTATTTGTATTTTTAGTAGAGTTGGGGTTTCACCATTTTGGCCAGGCTGGTCTCCAACTCCTACCGTCAAGTAATCCGCCCACCTTGGCCTCCCAAAGTGCTGGGATTACAGGCGTGAGCCACTGCACCCGGCCATATATATGTATTTTTAATTTTAGTGGGCACATAGTAGGTGTATGTATTTTGGGGGTACATGAGATGTTTTAATACAGGTGTGCATGTGAAATAAGCACATCATGGGGAATGGGATATCCATCTCCTTATACCTTTTTCCTTCTGAGTTACAAACAATTCAATTACACTCTTTAAGTTATTTTAAAATGTACAATTACATTATTGTTGATTGTGGTCACCCTATTTTCCTGTCAAATAGAAGGTCTTATTCATTCATTCTGTTATGTTTGTACCCATTAACCACTCCACCTCCCCTGTATCCCCCACTTCCCTTCTCAGCCTCTGGTAACCATCCTTCTACTCTCTATGTCCATAAGTTCAGTTGTTTTGATTTTTAGACCCCACAAGTAAGTGAGAACATGAAATGTTTGTCTTTCTTTCTTTCTTTTTTTTTTTTTTGAGATGGAGTCTTGCTCTGTCACCAGTCTGGAGTGCAGTGGCACGATCTCAGCTCACTGCAAGCTCCACCTCCTGGGTTCACACCATTCTCCTGCCTCAGCCTCCCAAGTAGCTGGGACTACAGGCACCTGCCATCATGCCTGGCTAATTTTTTTGTATTTTTTTGTATTTTTAATAGAGATGGGGTTTCACCGTGTTAGCCAGGATGGTCTCGATCTCCTGATCTCATGATCCGTCCGCCTTGGCCTCTCAAAGTGCTGGGATTACAGGCATGAGCCACCGTGCCCGGCCAGATGTTTGTCTTTCTGTGCCTGGTTTATTTCACTTAACAAGATCTTCATTTCCACCCATGTTGTTGCAAATGACTGGATCCCATTGTTTTTTATGACTGAATAGTACTCCATTGTGTATTTGCCCCACATTTTCTTTATCCATTTGTCTGTTGGTGGACACTTAGGTTGCTTCCAAATCTTAGCTTTTGGCAACAGTGCTGCAGCGAGCATTGGAGTGCGGATGTCTCTTTGCACTCCTGATTTTCTTTCTTTTGGGTTGTACCCAGCAGTGGGATTGCTGGGTCATGTGGTAGCTCAATTACTAGTTTCTTTTTGAGGAACCTCTAAACTGTTTTCCATAGTGGTTGTACTAATTTATATTCCCACCAACAGTGTGCAGGGGTTCCCTTTTCTCCACATCCTCACCAGCATTTGTTGTTGCCTGTCTTTCTTTTGGGTATAAGCCATTTTAACTGGGGTGAGATGATAACTCATTATAGTTTAGATTTGCATTTCTTTGATGATCAGTGATGTTCAGCATCTTTTAATATGCCTGTTTGCCAATTGCATGTCTTCTTTTGAGTAACGTCTTTTCAAATCTTTTGCCCCCTTTTTATCATTTGATCAAATCTTGCCCATTTTTAGATTATTAGACTTTTTCCTATAGAATTGTTTGAGTTCCTGATATATTCTGGTTTTAAATCTCTTGTGAGATGGATAGTTTGCAAATATTTTCTCCCATTCTATGAGTTGTCTCTTCACTTTGTTGATCGTGTCCTTTGCTGTGTAGAAGCTTTTTAACTTGATGTGATCCGATTTGTCTGTTTGTGCTTTGGTTGCCTGTGCTTGTGGGGTATTACTCAAGAAATCTTTGCCCAGACCAATGTCCTGGAGATTTTCCCCAATGTTTTGTTGTAGTAGTTTCATGGTTGGAGGTCTTAGATTTAAGTCTTTAATCCATTTTGATTTTATATTTGTATATGCTGAGAGATAGGGATCTAATTTTGTTTTCCTGCATATGGATATCCAGTTTTCCTAGCACCATTTATTAGAGACTGTCTTTTCCTCAGTGTATGCTCTTCGCATCTTTCTCAGTTCTCTGTAGGTGTGTGGATTTGTTTCTGGGTTCTCTATTCTGTTCCATTCCTCTGTGTGTCTGTTTTTATGCCAGTACATGCTGTTTGGTTACTATAGCTTTGTAGTATAATTTGAAGTCAGGTAATGTGATTCCTCCAGTTTTGTTCTTTTTGCTTAATATAACTTTGGCTATTCTGGATCTTTTGTGGTTCCATATAAATTTTAGGATTTCTTTTTCTATTTCTATGAAGAATGTCTTTGGTATTTTGATAGGCATTGCATTGAATCTGTAGATTGTTTTGGGTAGTAGGGACATTTTAACAATATTGAGCCTTCCAGGCCATGAACACAGAATATTTTTCCATTTTTTGGTGTCCTTTTCAATTTCCTTCTTCAGTGTTTTATAGTTTTCACTATAGAGATAGTTCACTTCTTTGGTTAAGTTAATTCCTGGGTATTTAATTTTGTGTGTGGCTAGTGTAAATGGGATTACTTTTAAAATTTCTTTTTCACCTTGTTCACTGTTGGCATATAGAAATGCTCCTGATTTTGGTATGTTGATTTTGTATCCTGCAACTTTACTTAATTTGTTTATCAGTTCTAATAGTTTTGTGGTGGAGTCTTTAGGTTTTCCCCAATATAAGATTGTATCATCTGCAAACAAGGATACTTTAATTTCTTCCTTTCCAGTTGGAGACCCTTTATGTCTTTCTCTTGTCTGATTGCTCTAGCTAGGACTTCCAGTGGTATGTTGAATAACAGAGATGACAGTGGGCAACCTTGTCGTGTTCCAGAGCTTATAGGAAAGACTTTCAGTTTTTTCCCATTCAGAATGATACTAGCTGTGAGGTTTGTCATATATAGTTTTTATTATGTTGATGTATGTTCCTTCTATTCCCAGTTTTTTGAGGGTTTTTATCATGAAAGGATGTTGGATTTTATCAAACGGTTCTTCAGCATCAATTGAAATGATCATATGGTTTTTATTGCCCATTTTGTTGACATGATGTATCACATTGATTGATTTGTGTATGTTGAAGCATCCTTGCATCCCAGGGATAAATCCCACTTGGTCATGATGAGTGATCTTTCTGATGTATTGTTGAACTCAGCTTTCTAGCATTTTGTTGAGGATTTTTGCATCAATATTCATTAGAGATATTGGGGTGTCATTTTCTTTTTCCTTGATGTGTCTTTGTCTGGTTTTGGTATCAGGGTAATACTGGCCTTGTAGAATGAGTTTGGAAGTATTCCCTGCTCTGTTTTTCAGAACAGTTTGAGTAGGATTGATATTAATTCTTCTTTAAATGTTTGGTAGAATTTAGCAGTTAAGCTATCGGGTCCTGGGCTTTTCTTCAGTGGGAGACTTTTTATTACAGCTTTCATCTTGTGATTTGATATTGGGGTCTGTTCAAGTTTTGGATTTCTTCCTGATTCAATCTTGATAGGTTGTATGTATCTAGGAATTTGTCCATTTCTTCTAGATTTTCCAATTTATTGGCATATATGGGTGCTCATAGTAGCCACTAATGATCCTTTGAATTTCTGTAGCATCAGTTGTAATATCTTCTTTTTCATTTCTGATTTTATTTATTTGGATTTTTCTCTTTTTTTTCTTAGTCTGGCTGATGGTTTGTCAATTTTGTTTAACTTTTCAAAAAAAGCTTTTTGTTTCATTGATCTTTTGTATTTTTTCATTTCAATTTCATTTATTTCTTCTCTGGTCTCTATTATTTCTTTTCTTCTACTAATTTTGTGTTTTGTTCACTCCTGCTTTTCTAGTTCCTTAAGATGCATCGTTAGATTGTGCTTTTGAAGTTTTTCTTCTTTTTTGATGTAGACACTTATAGCTATGAAATTCCCTCTTAGATTTTTCAGTTTCTTTCTTAATTACTTCATTGACCCACTGGTCATTCAGGAGCATATTGTTTAATTTCCATGTGTTTGTATAGTTTCCAAAATTCCTTTTGTTATTAATTTCTAGTTTTATTCTATTGTGATTAGAGAAGATGCAATTATTTCAATTTTTTGAACGCTTTTAAGACTTGTTTTGTGACCTAACATATGGTCCATCCTTGAGAAAGATTTATGTGTTGAGGAAAAGAATGTATATTTTGCAGCTCTTGGATAAAAGGTTCTGTAAATATGTATTAGATTCATTTTTGTCTATAGTGCAGATTAAGTGTGGTGTTTCTTGATTTTCTGTTGGAAGATCTGTCTGATGCTGAAAGTGGAATGTTGAAGTCTCCTAGCTGTTATTGCATTTGGGCCTGTCTCTCTCTTTAGCTCTAATAATATTTGCTTTATATATCTGGGTGCTCCAGTGTAGGGTACATATATATTTAAAATTGTTATATCCTCTTGCTGAATTGACTCCTTTATCATATAGTGACCTTCTTTGTCTCTTCTTATAGTTTTTGTCTTGAAGTCTTATTTTGTTTGGTATTGTATAGCAACTCCTGCTCTTTTTTCATTTCCATTGGGATGGAATGTCATTTTCCATACCTTTGTTTTCAGCTGATATATGTTTTTATGGGTACAGTGTGTTTTTTTGTGGGCAACAGATCAATGGGTTTTGTTTTTTCATCCATTCGGCCACTCTGTTTTTCTGATTGGCGAGTTTAGTCCATTTATGTTAAATGTTATTATTGATAAGTAAGGACTTACTCCTGCTATTTTGTTATTTGTTTTCTAGTTATTTTATGGTTTTCTCTTCCTTCTTTCTTTCCTTCCTGTCTTCTAGTGAAGGGATTTTCTCTGGTAATATGATTTAGTTTTTTGTTTTTTACTTTTTCTATATATCTTGTATGTTTTTGGTTTGAGGTTACCATGAGGCTTGCAAATACTATCTTATAATCCATTATTTTAACCTGATAGTAATTTAACACTATTTGCATAAACAAACAAGCAAAAAGAAAACTAATAAAAACTCCGTGCTTTAACTTCGTCTCCTCACTTTTTAACCTTTTGTTGTTTCTGTTTATATCTTATTGTACCATGTCCTGAAAACTTGTAGTTACCATTTTTGATTGGTTCATCATTTAGTTTTTCTACTCAGGATAAGAATAGTTTATACATCACAGCTACAGTTTTATAATATTCTATGTTTTTCTGTGTACTTACTATTACCAGTTAGTTTTGTACCTTCAGGTGATTATTTATTGCTCATTAATGTCATTTTCTTTCTGATTGAAGTACTCCCTTTAGCATTTCTTGTAGGACAGGTCTGGCATTGATGAAATCCCTCAGCTTTTGTTTGGGAAAGTTTATTTCTTCATGTTTGAAGGATATTTTCACTGGATATACTATTCTGAGGTGAAAGTTACTTTTCTTCAGCACTTTTAAATATGTTAGGAAACCTTACCTGTTTCCACTGAAAAGTCTACTGCCACCATATTGGAGCTCCGTTGTATGTTATTTGTTCTTTTTCTCTTGCTGCTTTTAGGATCCTTTCTCTATCCTTGACCTTTGGGAGTCTGATTATTAAATGTCTCGAGGTAGGCTTCTTTAGCTTAAATCTGCTTGATGTTCTATAACCTTCTTGTACTTGAATGTTGATATCTTTCTCTAGGTTTGGGAAGTTCTCTGATATTATCCCTTTGAATAAACTTTCTACCGCCATCGATTTCTCTACCTTCCCTTTAAGGACAATAACTCTTAAATTTGCCCTTTTGAGGCTGTTTTCTAGATCTTTTAGGCATGCTTCATTCTTCTTTATTCTTTTTTCTTTGGTCTCCTCTGACCGTGTATTTCCAAAGAGCCTGTCTTCAAGCTCATGAATTCTTTCTTCTGCTTGATCAATTCTGCTGATAAGAGACTCTGATGCATTCTTCAGTATATCAACTGCATTTTTTAACTCTAGAATTTCTGATTGATTCTTTTTAACTGTTTCAATCTCTTTGTTAAATTTATCTGATAGAATTCTTTTTTTTTTTTTTTTGAGGTGGAGTCTTGCTCTGTCGCCCAGGCTGGAGTGCAGTGGCATGATCTGCAAGCTCCGCCTCCCGGGTTCATGCCATTCTCCTGCCTCACCCTCCCAAGTAGTTGGGACTACAGGTGCCCACCACCATGCCCGGCTAATTTTTTATATTTTTTAGTAGAGATGGGGTTTCACTGTGTTAGCTAGGATGGTCTCGATCTCCTGACTTCATGATCCGTCTACCTCAGCCTCCCAAAGTGCTGGGATTACAGGCGTGAGCCACCGCGCCTGGCCTATCTGATAGAATTCTTAATTCCTTCTCTGATCTTGAATTTCTTTGAGTTTTCTCAAGACAGCTATTTTGAATTCTGTATCTGAAAGGTCACATATTTCTCTTTTTCCAGAATTGGTGCTTGGTGCCTTATTTAGTTTGATTGGTGAGGTCGTATTTTCCTGGATGGTCTTGATGTTTGTAGATGTTCATCAGTTTTTGGGCATTGGAGCGTTAGGTATTTATTGTAGTCATCACTGCCTGGGCTTGTTTATGCTTATCTTTCTTGGGAAGGCTTTCTAGTATTCATAGGAACTTGGGCCCCAAGCCCAATAATGCTGTGGTTTTTGCAGCCTCATAGAGGTTGGTGCAAGTAGATGTTCTTTGGTGTCTGGGCATTGAAGAGTTAGGTATTTATTGTAGTCTTCACTGCCTTGGCATATTTTTGGCCATCCTTCTTGGGAAGTCTTTCCAGATATTTGAAAGAACGTGGGTGTTGTGATCTAAGCTATATTGGCTTTAGGGGGCACCCCAAGCTCAGTAACACTGTGGTTCTTGCAGACTCATAGAGGTACTGCCTAGATGGTCTTAGAACAGATCTAGGAGAATTATCTGGATTACCGGGCAGAGACTCTTGTTCTCTTTCCTTACTTTCTTCCAAACATACAGAGTCTCTCTCTTCTCTGTTTTGAGCCAGATAAAGCTGAGAATGGTGACACAAGCACCCGTGTGGCCACTGGTACTATGTGCTGGGTCAGACCTGAAGCCAGCACAGGACTGGGTCTTGCACAAGGCCTGCTGTAACCGCTTCTTGGCTATTGCCATGTTTGCTCAAGGCCCTGGGGCTCTACAGTCAGCAGGTAGCAAAGCCAACCAGGCCTGTGTCCTTCCCTTAAGGGTGGCGAGCTCCCCCAGGCCCCGGATGGGTCAAGAAGTTCTGTCTAGGAGCCCTGGGAGTCAGGGACTAGAGTCAGAAACCTTAGAAGTCTACCTAGTGTTCTGTTGTATTGCAGCCGAGCTGGCACTCAAACCACAAGGTGCAATGCTTCCCACTCTTCCTCCCCTTTCTGAAGGCAGAGGAGCCTCAACCTGTAGCCACCACCACCCCAGGCCACAAAGAGTACTGCCAGAGTACCCCCATAGTCCCTTAACGCCCAAGGTCTCTTAAGTCAGCATTCATGAAAAGCTATCGGGGGAACTCTGGCAGTACTTTTCATGAATGCTGCTTGGCCTGGGACTCACCCTTCAGGACAGTGGGCTCCCTTCTGGCCCAGGACATGTCCAGAAATGCTGTCCAAGAGCCAAGTCCTAGAATTGAAGACGCTAAGAGCCCACTTGGTGCTCTACCCTGCTGTGGCTGTACTGGTACCTAGGGGGCAAGGCAGAGCCCCTTTTACTTTCCCCCCTGCTGTTCTCAAGCAGGAGTTTTGCCCCATAGCCACCACAGCTGGGAATGTGCTGAGTCTCACCTGAAGCCAACAAGTCTCAGTGGTTCACCAAGGCCCTCAATGTAGTACCTGGATATTGCTGCTGGTTATTCAGGGCCCAAGGGCTCTTCAGTTAGCAGATTATGAATGCTGCCAAGCCTCAGACCTTTCCTTCAAGGCAGCAAGTTCCCTTCTGGACGAGGGTGTGTCTAGGAATGTCGTCTGGGAGTAGTTAGGTCCTGGAATGGGGGCCTCATGACTCTGACCGGTGCCCTATCCTGCTGTGGCTGAGCTGGTATCCAAGATGCAAGACAAAGTCCTCCCCACTCTTCCCTCTCCTCTCCTCAAGTGGAAGGGAGGGGTCTCTTTTGGAGCCACCAGCTGTGCAACCTGGGGTTAGGAGAGATAATGTCAGCACTCCCTTGGCTGCCCCAGGTGGTATCTCAGTATGTTGCGTGCTCCCTCCATTGTCTCTAGGCCTAGTTCAGCCGTAGGACTTGCCAAAGAGTTGCAGTTCTTATGGCCTAGACTGTCTTTCAAGTTTACTTGGAGACACACAGTGCTGTAGCCCTCGGTGGCGAGGTTTTCCAGGGACTCAAGTTTGGACCTCTGGGATTCCTTTCTGGCTAGGGCTGGTTTAAATGCTCCCCCTGTGGGTGGGCATCAGCTGAGTTCGGTCCGGTTTTCCTTTCTGCTCTAACAGGACAGCACAGAGTTCAGTGCCTCACAATTGCAGTGTTCTCCCTTCCCCAGTGCCCAGAGATACCCTCCATACCATGCACTGCTGCTGGAAGAGGAGTCACCACTCTGAGGAAAAGGGTGGCATTGGTGATTCAGGACTGTTACTTTTAATCTCTTCTGTGCTTCTTTCAGTGATATGAAGTTCAAACCAAGTCCTGTGAGTGCTCCCCTGATTTTTGGTTCTTATGAAGGTGTTTTTTTCTGTGTAGATAGTTGTTAACTTTTTTGTCCTCGGGGGGACGATTGGTGGAGCTTTCTATTGCACCATCTTGCTCTGCCTCTGAGATTGCTTTTTCTCTTTCTCTTTTAGAGAATCTGTTTCAACTGTCTGGATATGTAGATGTTTTTAATATTTTGAGGAAAAAGAAAATATTCAAGATACGGTCTGTGTTTTTTCTTTACTGATTTGTTATGTTACTAATGAACCCTTTGATTCTAAAATTTTAAATCTGTTTTACTTAGAGAATGTTTGTCTGCTATTTATTTTCTCCCTTTTCTGTCAGTCTGCCAGTTCTCTCTTAGCCTTCCTATTATGTGTGTATTATATTTTTTGGATCCATCCTCTGTTTGCCTCTGTCTTCTCCCCTGTCAAATTGACCTCTCTAACCTTTCCTGTCATTTTTAGGATTTTTTTTGAGCTGGCATTGAAGTCAGTTTAGAATTTTTGACATTATCCTTTCTTCTCTCATTATATTTTAAAATTTGGTAATTATATCTTTATCTGAAAATTTTCTTTGCTATTCCAAAGTCATTCTTTTTTAAAAAAATGCCACATCCCCTCAAATCTCACTAAGAATATGAGTTAGATATATTTCCCATGGTTTTTCTCTTTTATATCCAACTTTTTCCCCATATAATTTATTCATACTTCTCCAGTGGGTCCATTTCTTTTGAACTGTGGAATGTTTTTATATGCCCTGTTATTTTTTTCCTCCTTAAGTCATCCTCAGAAAGCATTAGAGTTATTTATCTTTATTTTTCCAGAATTTCTGTTTGAAATTGGTTCTGTTGTAGGCTCTAAATTCATAAGATCAATAATTTCAGGCTCCATTGTGGGTTGAAGAGAGTAGTATTCGTATTAATAAATTAAGTATTAGAAGACCAAATGTCTATTTAGAATAGAGTGGGACAAACAGATAGCTGAGGGTAAGGAGCCTGAGAGCACTCTTCCCTCTGTCTTTAATTGGTACGTCTTCATTAAGTTCTTCACTGTTTTTCTGTTTTTTCCTTTATTTTTCTTTTTTGGGTTTAAGTATTCTTTGGGAATAGGTACTAAGATTCTTTGGGAATAGGTACTATATATTCTGCTGTTTGGTATGTTGTCCTCAGGGTACTTCCCTGAAGATTATTAGAAAGACCAATATATTGGAGCCAAGGGCCTGTCTGATAGTTAAGTAGTAGGTAAAATTAGGTCCACTTTTGATTAAGTAGTAAGTTCATCCACTTATTTCTTAGGTTGTAACTAGATTGGTAGATGCTTGTTTCCTAAAATGTTATCTTATGTGAACCATACCCCTGCAGAAATTTGTTGAAATTTCTGTTATGTGGATAGTACTTTATCTAAAATAGAAAATATCCTGGATTGATGCAATAGCAGAATGGTGATAACAGAAGAAAGAGCCAGAAGTTGAAGACAGATCATTAGAAATTATTCAGTTTGTGGCCGGACACGGTGGCTCATGCCTGTAATCCCAGCACTTCAGGAGGCTGAGGATTGCTTGAGCCAAGGAGTTCCGAGACCAGCCTGGGCAACAAAGTGAGACCCTGTCTCTACAGAAATACCAAAAAATCAGCCAGGTATGGTGGAGGGTGCCTGTGGTCCCAGCTACACAGAAGGCTGAGGCAGAAAGCCCACTCGAGCCCAAGAGGTTGAGGCTGCAGTGAGCCAACATGGCACCATTGCCGTCTAGCCTGTGCCACACAGCAAGACTCTGTCTCAAAAAAAAAAAAAAAAAAAAAAGAAAAAGAAAAAAATCATTCTGAAGAATAGAGATTGAAAAGAACAGAGCCTTGGAGTTTTGTTGGTTCATTCTAAAGGTCTAACGTATGCATCATTAGAACAGCAGAAGGAGAGGAGAAAGAGATTGGAGTAGGAAAAAATATTTGAAGAAATAATGGTAGAAAACTTCCCAAATTTGATGAAAGATACAATTTTTATTTTTATTTTTATTTTTTGAGACGGAGTCTCACTCTTGTCGCCCAGGCTGGAGTGCATTGTGCAATCTCGGCTTACTGCAACCTCTGCCCCTGGGGTTCAAGCTTCTCCTGCTTCAGTCTCCTGAGTAGCTGGGATTACAGGTGCCCCCGCTCCCCAGCCCCACCATGCCCAGCTAGTTTTTGTATTTTTAATAGAGATGGGGTTTCACCATGTTGGTCAGGCTGGTCTCGAACTCCTGATCTCAGGTGATCCGCCCTCCTCAGCCTCCCAAAGTGCTGGGATTACAGACATGAGCCACCGTGCCCAGCCAAGATACAAATTTATAGATGAAAGAAGCTCAGCAAATGCCAGTTAGGATAAACTAAAAGAAAACCACGCATAAACACAGTAATCAAATGGTTGAAAACCAAAAATAAAGTCTTGAAAGTAGCGGGAAAAAATGGTACATAGAGGGGAACAATAATTTGAATAAATGCAGATTTCTCATCAGAAATCATGGCAGCCAGAAGAGAGTGGAACAATATGTTTCAAGTACTGAAAGAAGAGAACTGTTAACCCAGAACTCTATATCCATTGAAAATATCCTTCAAGAACGAAGATGAAATAAAGACTAAGAGTATCCATTTCTAACATGTTTACTTTAATGAAATGTTAATAGACGTTGTGTAGGCTGAAGGGAAATGATACCAGATGGATATTTAGGCGGACCAATCAAAATGGTAAATACGTATAAAGGACTAATTTTATTCTTAAGTTATCCCACTATCTGAGAGGTTTTTAATATGGGTGGCTAAACATAAAAGCTAGTGGGGAGGTGGAAATAAAAGAGTCTATATGGTTGCAATGTTTCTGCATTTTTCTTTTCTTTTTTTTTTTTTTTTTTTTTTTTGAGACAGAGTCTCGCTCTGTTGCCCAGGCTGGAGTGTAGTGGTGTGATCTCGGCTCACTGCAACCTCTGCCTCCTGGGTTCAAGTGATTCTTCTGCCTCAGCCTCCTGAGTAGCTGGGACTACTACAGGTGCACGCCACCACACCTGGCTAATTTTTGTATTTTTAGTAGAGATGGGGTTTCACCATATTGGCCAGGCTGGTCTTGAACTCCTGACCTTGTGATCTGCCTGCCTCAGCCTCCCAAAGTGCTGGGATTACAGGCGTGAGCCACTGTGCCCTGCCTGTTTCTGCATTTTTCTTGATCTGGTACAGTGTTAACTGTAAGTAGACTGTGTAAGGTTTGCTGTTTCTGTATTTATATATTTATATGTCTGTTTATCTACCTATGTATCTGATAATCCGATAAGTTAAAGATATGCTGTTTGAGCACAAAGGAGATTCATTTAAACCGCTATTGCTATAGATTATGCCTATGATGCATTTTTACGAGGAACCAGTAAATTATATAAAAAGATATAGGCAGAAAGTTAATATAAAAATATGAAATACTAAAAATTTTCTAAGGAAAAGAGAAAAGAGGAAGTAGGAGAACAGAAAATACAGGGAATAAACAGGAAACGGATACTAAAATGGTAGACCTGAATCTAACCATGTTAATAATTCTATTACATGTAAGTGGTCTGACATTACCAATAAAAAGAGATCTTCATATTGGATGAAAATGTGAAGATACAACTGTGCTCTTTGTAAGAAACCTACTTTTAATATAAAGACATAAGTTATAAGGAAGGAAAAATGCATACCATACAAACACTAACCAAAAAAAGTTCAGATGAATCTATTTATATCAGAGAGAGTAAACTTTTGAACAAATAGTATGGTTAGGATAAAGAACATAACAATAAGAGTCATTTTCCCAAAAAGACATAATAATCTTACATGTGTCTAACAACAGAGCTTCAAAAACGGAGTAAAAAAAAAAACCTGTTAGAACTGACAGGAAAGATTGACAAATTCACAATTATAGAGACGTCAGTGCTTTTTTCTTAAAAATCAATAGAATAGGGAGATAGAAAACCAATAAGGAAATTTAAGACTAGAATAATATCAACTTATATGACCTAACTGACATTTATAGAGCAGTCTACTCAACAGTAGCGAAATATACATTCTTTTTATTATTATTATCTATATTATTATCTATATTATCTATATATTATAATTATTATCTATATTAGCAAGATAGACTACATTCTGGGCCATAAAACACAATCTTAACAAACTTAAAAGAATTAAAATTATGCAAGTGTGTTATCTGACCATATAGAATTAAACTAAACACAGTCATTGGAAGAGATCAAAATTTTTTTAAAATATTTGAAAATTATACATCAAACTTATACATTTAGAAATGATGACATGATCCATGAGTCAAAGTCAAAGTAAAAGTCACAAGGAAATTAGGATGAAATTGAAAAACCACATATCAAAGTTTGGAGGATTTAGGTAAAACAGTACTTACAAGGAAATTTATAGTAATAAAAGCTTATGTTTGAAAAGAAGTATTTCCAATCAGTGCTCTGAGCAGCTACCTTAACATAGCAGAAATAGAAGAGCAAATTAAACTCAAATTAAAACTAAAGAAAGAAATAATAAGGTAGAGTAGAAATCAATGAAATTGAGTAGAGAAAAACAGTAGAGTAAAATCAGTGAAATGAAAAACTAGTCCTTGGAAAAGATAGATAAAATTGATAAACCTGTAGACAGAGTGACCAAGAAAAAACAGGACAAATTATCAATATCAGAAATGCAAGACCCTGTTGACATTTAAGGGATAATTAGGGAATATTTTAGGCATCATTAGCCCCATAAATTTGACTACTTTGTTGAAATGAGCAAAATCCTTCAAAGATAAGCTATGATGTTTACTCAAGAAGAACTAGATTATCTGAATAGTCCTATATCTAATAAAGTAATTGAATTTTTCATTAAAAAAATTTCTACAGGGAACGTTCAGTTCTACATAAGCTCTTCCAGAATATAGAATATGAGAAAATACCTCTGAATTCAATTTCTGAGTTCAGTGCTATCCTGGTCTGAAAACTAGACAAAGACATTATGAAAAAATTAAATTATGTCCATCTCCCTCATGAACATAGAGGATTGGATGGAGAGTAAATCAGTCAAATTTCCCAAAATACAGTGCTGTTAGGCTATACCCATTGTAAGTAAAAACATTGATGTTGGGGCTGAGGCCACCAAAGGTTGAAGGATGAAAAAAAATAAAAGTCAAATGTGTGAAGTTAGAGAACAGGTATCAGAAACTGATGATCACTCTTTTAATCAGATGCCTGCAACCAGTGAATGTTCTTTGGGGCACTCTGGAATTCCATCTCTACCTTGGGTAGAAGCTATCTAAGAGCTTAGCAGAGGGCATGATTAGAACCTAGGAGAGTTTAGAGCTACAAATGACCTTATGTTATCTCCTCAACTTTTGCCCAGCTGCTCCCTAAACATGACTCTCACTTTTTACCTGAAAACTTGTCTTCCTTTCTCACCTTTTATCTAGAGAGTCACCTTCAAAGGGCAGAATCGCTGGTACTGCAGCTTTTTCAAATATCAGGAACTTCAACCAAATAAAATGAAAAAGGACATATTCTCCTATGCTTTCCACCTATGAACCTTACTTTTCCCTCAGGGCCCAAATGTGGCTCCCCTCAATTCCTATGCTCCTTGTTCTGGGTAAAAGAGTACAAGGGGACCAGGAACAGGGTTTTTACCTAAAGCAGAAGGGAGAGAGGGTGGGAGAAGTATGTTATTTGAGTGGATAAGGAGGAATACTGAGAAGGACTGCCCGCTTTCAAACTGAGGTTCAAGGAGTCTAAGAGCTTCTTTGCTGGTTTCTTCCTTTCTTCATGTTGGGAAAAGGGCTTGTGGGGTGTCTGTATAAACTGGCCATAAAAATATGGGACAATAAGTTGTGGAAGCCACAAGAGGCCTCTGAGGAGGAAAGTCTCCTAATTGCCATCATGTTCCCATGCTCAGAGGGAGACCCGCTTTCTTATCTGTAAACACTGTGTTCAAGGAGAAAGACACTCCTTTGAAACACTGGAATGTGAACAGGCGTGCAGGCTCCTAGTTAAGCCCGCTCCTACTAGCTGCTCTCTGATAAGTTAAAGATAGGCTGTTTGAGCACAAAGGAGATTCATTTAAACCACTATCGCTGTAGATTACGCCTATTACGCATTGCCTCCCTTTCACTGTTTC
The DNA here is from genome assembly GCF_000001405.40 of Homo sapiens. Classification (NCBI taxonomy): domain Eukaryota; kingdom Metazoa; phylum Chordata; class Mammalia; order Primates; family Hominidae; genus Homo; species Homo sapiens. The sequence goes on along the minus strand of NC_000005.10, from coordinate 78,245,224 downwards.
GCCCTGAACGTCTGCTTCTCAGATCTAAGTGATTGTACTCAATAAATAGTGTGGAGACCAGAGCTCTGAGCCTTTTGCAGCCTCCAAAAGTACAACTGGCCCCCTGGCTCCCCACCTTTACTCTTAACTTGTCTCTTCTCAATCCTTTGTTGCCACCGGACTTTGGGTACCCTATGGGTGGTTTTGAGGCTGGTCCCCAACACTCCACAATTTCTACTTTGTTTTTTTTTTGAGACAGAGTCTTGCTCTGTCACCACGCTGGAGTGCAGGGGTGCGATCTTGGCTCACTATAACCTTCGCCTCCTGGGTTCAAGCGATTCTCGTGCCTCAGCCTCCTGAGTAGCTGGGATTACAGGCACGTACCACCACACCCAGCTAATTTTTGTATTTTTAGTAGAGACAGGATTTCAGCATGTTGGCCAGGATGGTCTCGATCTCCAGACCTTGTGATCCACGCTCCTCGGCCTCCCAAAGTGCTGGGATGACAGGCGTGAGCCACCGCACCTGGCCACAATTTCTACTTTTAGGATTGTACTATGTCTTGTCACTCAGTCTACTTCTCTGTCTGTATGCCCTCCTGTAGTGATCTCATCCCTTTCCAAATGCATATTGCTAACCAGTGCTGTCTCCTGTATTCTGTAGCCTTTATTCCCATATATTCAGCTGGCTTCTCAGCATATCTGAAACCAAACTCTGGATTGCTCATCTCCCCAAATACCTGCTTCTTCCCTAGTCTTTCTCATCATAGTAAATGGCAATTCCATTTCTCCAGTTAGTCATTTGTAGTCCTTCTTCTTTTTTTTTTCTTTTGAGTTGGAGTCTCAAACTCTGTCACACAGGCTGGAGTGCAGTGGCGTGATCTCGGCTCACTGCAATCCCCGGCTCCCAGGTTCAAGTGATTCTCCTGCCTCAGCCTCCCAAGTAACTGGGATTACAGGCATCTGCCACCATGCCTGGCTAATTTTGTGTTTGTGTGTGTATGTGTGTGTTTTTAGTAGAGACAGGGTTTCAGCATGTTGGCCGGGCTGGTCACAAACTCCTGGCCTCAAGTAATCTGCCAGCCTTGGCCTCCCAAAGTGCCGGGATTACAGGCAGTAGTTCTTCTTAATTCATGTCCCTTCTTTCTTATATCATATATAATCTATTTTCAGAATAAATCCCAAATCTAGCCCATTCTCACTGTGCTCACTATCTTTCCTCTGCATAATTGCTGTAGCCTTCTGTTTTCCATGGTATCATATCTTCTGGTCTATTTTTCACATTGCAGCCAGAAAGATCCTTTTAAAATATGAGTCATTGCTAAATATTTAATGATGTCTTTCCTCTGCTCACAACTCTCCATTGGTCTCCTGCTTCACTCATAGTAAAAGCCAACTCATTTTACAGTGGTTTATACATTTCTGACCTTATCTCTCACCATTCTTCCCCTCACTTACTCCAGTCTGGCTCTCCTGGCCTCCTATTCCTGGCACATGCCATGCCTAAACCATTGTTTCCCTAGCTAGTCACATGGGTCCCTTCCTCTCTTCCTTTGCATCCCTGCCAAAAGGAAGGCCTTTTCTGACCACCTTATCTAAAAGAGCAACTCCCACCTCCACCTCAGCACTTCTCATCCCCCGATACTACTTTATTTTTCTCCACAGTAGTCTATTGCCACCTCACTATTATTGTTTATTGACCCTTGCCCCATTAGAAGGTAAGCAGCACATGGGCAAGGACTTTGTATTGGTTATGGTTGGATCCCTAAGGCCTAGGATGGTCCCTGCTAGAAAGTATCTTCTCAGCAAATATTTGTTGAGTGAATTTGATTGTGGTGTTTTTTTCCTTCCCCATATTTGAATAACGTTCTGCGGAATAAAGTTAGATAGTCATGGAGTAGGATACCATAGGACAGGATGTCTGACTTTAGGTAATCATTGAATGAATGAATGAATGAATGAATGAATGAATGGCAGGGGTCCTACAGAACATTTAATCCCTCTCTTTTCTTATTTCAAAGATGAGAAAATGGAGAGAGGTGTACAAATCATAGAAAGATGTCTTAGCTTCAGTATTTTGTAAACCCTCCATAGTGCTCAGCAGGTTTCACAAAATACTCAAAAGAATGTCACAGGTAAGGAAATAGAATATAAAAAGACTAGCTTGTATTCAAGAATATTTTAAGGCTATCATATAGAAAGTTCTTATAAGAAATTGGTAACGGGGATTCTAATGCTTCAAGTATCACATATTTATATAACATTTGTTGTAAATTAATAAAGCTAATATCTTTTTAAAGGCAGTTTATTAGATATGGTATGTAATTCATAAGGAATCCCTTTTCCCCAAATTACCCTATAGTTTGAACTTTATTTTGTGGTTACCAAAGTCTGGACTTTTAAAAGATATAAAGTTATAATCTGAGAATGAGAAAGACAAAATGGGAATACAGATAGATATAAAACTAAAATAAATAGAAATGTAAAATAGTGCACAGGAAATTCTAAATGATAAGTGTAGATTAAAATATTCTAGAGGAGGCTGCACATGGTGGCACGTGCCTGTAATCCCAGCAGTTTGGGAGGCCGAGGGGGGTGGATCACTTGAGGTCAGGAGTTCAAGGCCAGCCTGGTCAACATGGCGAAACCTCGTCTCTACTAAAAATACAAAAATTAGCCAGTGGTGGCATCAGGTGCCTGTAATCCCAGCTACTCGGGAGACTGAAGCAGGAGAATCGCTCGAACCCGGGAGGCGGAGGTTGCAGTGAGCCAAGATTGTGCCACTGCGTTCCAGGCTGGGCGACAGAGTGAGATACTGTCTTAAAAAAAAAAATTCTGAAAGAAATTAGGATTGGGTGACACAGTGGCCCAGGTGTTAGGAGATGGCTGTAGCAAGGGAGAAGGAGTAAAATTTGATGATGCTTTAGATAGAAGGGGAGAACTTAGAAAGCTGGGGCCATGATCTGAGCAGAGGCATAGTGGGGCAGCCAGAGAATATTCTAGTAGTGAGTAAGGTCATTTTAATAGAACCTTAGGTCAGAGAGTTTAAGAACAGATGTTAGTGCACATTGTGAGAATATTTGAATGTTACATAAAATCATTTGGACTCCAGACAGTCAGAAGCTTTTGAAATCTTTTACGGGGGCTGACATGTGCAAAGTAGTGTTTTAAGCATATTAAACTGTCAGTGATATACATTATGGATAGGAAGAGGAGACTGAAAAGTTCTCTGTGAGGTGATACTGACCCATGCTAGGATAATAGCAGTGGAAGGGATTAACATGTGTTCTGAGAAGTATTAGCAGGACTTAGTTACTCTTCTGTGAGAAGAGACCAGGGTAATTTTGTGGTTTTTGGTATCTAGGAGAACTGTGGAAATAGGAAATTCTATCATGAATGTCATTTTATCATGAATGCCATTTTGTCATGAAAGATGAGTTTGGCTTTAGACATAGCAAGTTTGGGATGAGAGCAATCTAATGATGTCTAGTTAGAGATGTGGAACTCAGGCTGGATTTGGGCTACAGTTAGTCCTAACGGTGAATGAAATCTTAGGAGTTTCAGAGATTGTAGAACAGTGTAGGCTGAAAAGATGGTGGTGCGCAGAACTTTAGTGGGCAGAGGAAGAATGTTTAGTGAAGGCAACTTTGAAAAGCAATGGTTGCAGAAGTAGGGTAACCTATGAAAAGAAAGCAAAGGTTCACATAATTAGTTGGTTCAAAGTAACATTCATCCCTCTCTCAATTCCCCCATTGCAAATGCAGTACATCTTTAATGTCAGATCCTGGAAAATAGAAAATAGCAAAAATATTTTTAAATATTTTTAAAAAGTTTTTACCCAGCCTGGGCAACATAGTGGTACCCTGTCTCTACAAAAAAATTCGAAAATTAGCCAGGCATGATGACATACGCCTGTAGCCTCAGCTGAAGCTGAGGTGGGGGATCACTTAAACCTGGGAGGTCGAAGCTGCCGTGAGCTATGATTGAGCCACTGGACTCTAGCCTGGGAGACAGAGTAGGATCTGTCTAAAAAAAAAAAAAATTACTTATAACCCAGTTAGCCAGAGAAAACTAGTAAAATATTTAAATATATATCTTAAGTTACTAAATATTTCTTGTTTATTGTGTCTATGTATTTGTGTATTTATATTGCTGTACAAGATAGTGTTTATTATTTGCTGTAAATAGTTGAGGTAAGATGATTCAAAAAGAGTTCAGCGGTTAATTACGTAGCTTATTTGTTGACCTAATCTTCTAAATATTTAATATATATAGAATTTCCCATATTGTCTGTTTTGTTTATTCTTCAGATGATTGCAAAAGGGAAAAATGCATCTGAACTGTTTCCTGCTGTTGTGAAGAATGTGGCCAGTAAAAATATTGAGGTACTGTTTTGATCTATAATTTTTATGATTCCTTTTGTTTTCATGGGACCGTACACTTTTTATGTAGTATAATGCAACATAAGATACTTAAGTATCACTAGATTTTTGTTATGATTAAAATGTCCTTAATTTTAAATGTAGGTAAGATCAAATAAAAAGTAGGCACAATCCTAGCTTTGGATTTTTGGTAGAAAATATGAAAAGCAAAACAGATTGATTCCCCTGAGTGAATGATGGTAAGTTGTCGAGTTTTCACCTGTTCCTAGAGGCCCGTTTAGTTTAAATTTTGTTCCAGGGACTTAATTTTAAGATAGCATATGTCCAGTGAAAAAGACCTATTTGGGTATATCCAGACCTTGATGATTTGGGGCTTTTTGGGATTTCTAGGACTGAGCCCAAGAATATTTCCCAAGTTTCTCAGACTACTCATGACATGTACTAAGCACTCAGTACATATATGTGGATTTATTGAATGAACACGTCCCAGTAAAATACTGTTTTCTGTAAGCTACACTAATATAGTCTAGTATTAAGGTTACATTCTCCTCTCCACCCTGGTTAATTGATAAATTAATTGAAAAAGCCTGGTTAATTGATAAATTTTTCTCAGTTTAAAGCTTTAAAGCCTTTCCCTCACCATAAAATTAAAGATGTGTTACTGCTACTATTTGTTTGCCATTTTATTGGCAGATGATGAAGCTCATTAACAAATAACAGAAACATTCTAATCCAGGGAACATGGTTATGGTGACAGAGAAAGTGCACAAGCATTCTTGCACGGGCAAGTGTGAGAGCGTAAGGAGGATGGGTGTGTGATTTCAGAGGGTTCGCTAATTTTGTAGTTATGATTTTATTTTCCATGCATAGTATGGTCATTTTTTGGTAGTGAAGTTTTTTCTATTTTGCGTGATGATTTTAAATGTTCAAAGTATTCTTGCCAGCAAAACCAACCAGAGAAAAAGAAAACATTTTTGAGCTAATGTTCTTTAAATATTACTTAACTAAATGTGATTGATAGTGTTGGTGAGAGAGGAATTTTTAATCTCCCAATCATGATTTTGATTTTTTTTTTTTTTTTTTTTTGAGACAGAGTCTCACTTCGTCACTCAGGCTGGAGTGCAGTGGTGTGATCTTGGCTCACTACAGCCTCGACCTCCTGGGCTCAAGCGATCCTCCCGCCTCAGCCCCACAAGTAGCTGGGACTACAGGCGCTTACAACCATGCTTGGCTAGTTTTTTATATTTTTTTTTTGTAGAGACAGGGTTTCGCCATGTGGCCCAGGCTGGTCTTGAACTCCTGAGCTCAAGCAATCTACCTGCCTCAGCCTCCCAAAGTGCTAGGATTACAGGCGTGACCAACCGTGCCTGGCTTTTTTTTTTTTTTTTTTTTCTGAGACAGGGTTCCTCTCTATCTCCCAGGCTGGAGTGCAGTGGCATGATCGTGGCTTACTGTAGCCTTGACCTCTTGGGTTTAGGTGATCCTCCTTCCTCAGCCTCCTGAGTGGCTGGGACTACAGGTGCATGCCACCATGTCCAGCTAATTTTCATATTTTGAACAGAGACAGGGCTTCACCATGTTGCCCAGGCTGGTTTCGAACTCCCAGGCTCAAGCAATCTGCCAACCTTGGCCTCCCAAAGTGCTGGGATTATAGGCATGAGCCATCGTGCCTGGGCTGATTCTGGAATGTTTTATTTTTCCCCTTAATTTAGTATTTTTTGCTTATTTTTAAAAGTACTCCTATTAGGCATAACTCTTTGGGTTTTCCTGATGAATTGACCTTTTTATTATAAAAAAATCCTTTATTTTTGTTAATATGTTTTGTCTTAAAGCATATTTGATTTGTTATTAGTATTGCCACTCCAACCTTCTCATTTCTTTTTATTATCATTTTTATTCATTTGCTTTCAGCTTGTCTGTTTATATCTAGTGTGCACCTGTTGTTGACAGCGTATAGTTGCAGCCTTCCCTACATCCCGTGTGTCAATCTCTGCCTTTTAATTGGAGTGTCTATTTTGCTAACACTTAATATAATTATTGATCTGCTTAGATTTGAGTCTACTATTATTCTTTTTCTTTTCTCTTTGTCTCTTTTATTTTTGTCTTCTATTCTTCCTATTCCTTTTTTGGGTTAACTAGAAACATTTTAAAATTTCATTTTAGTTTTTTTCCAACTTGCATTTCTTGGCATATATGACAGTGGTCCCATATGATTATAATACTGTATTTTTACTGTACTTTTTCTATGTTTAGATACACAAATACTTACCATTGTGTGATAGTTATCTACAGTATTGAGTACAGTAACATGCTGTACAGATTTGTAGCCTAGGAGCAATAGGCTATATCAGTAGTCCCCAACGTTTTTGGCACCAGGGACCAGTACTGTGGAAGACAATTTTTCTCTGGACCCAGGGTGGGTAGGATGGCTTCAGGATGATTCAAAAGCATTACATTTATGGTGCACTTTATTTCTATTATTATTACATTGTAATATATGATGAAATAATTATATAACTCACCATAATGTAGAATCAGTGGGAGCCCTGAGCTTGTTTTCTTACAACTAGATGGTCCCATCTGGGGTGTGATGGGAGACAGTGACAGATCATCAGGCGTTAGATTCTCATAAGGAGCACGCAGCCTAGATCCCTCTTGTGTGCAGTTTACAATAGGGTTTGTGCTCCTATGAGAATCTAATGCTGCTGTTGATCTTACAGTAGGCAGAGCTCAGGAGGTAATGCGAGCAATGAAGAGCAGCTGTAAATACAGATGAAGCTTCACTTGCTTGCCCACTGCTCACTGCCTGCTGTGTGGCCTGGTTCCAACCCCTGGGCTATGTCATATATCCTAGGTGTGTAGACCCCTGGTCTGTATCATATATCCTAGGTGTGTAGTAGTCTATACCATGTAGGTTTGTGTAAGTTGCACTCTGTGGTGTTTGCACAACAATGAAATTGTCCAACGACGCATTTCTCAGAACATTGTTAAGCAATGCATCACTGGATTATAGCATTTTAAGGATAGGTACTTTAAACCTACTTTTTTTTTGGAGACAGGGTCTCGCTGTGTTGCCCAGGTTGGAGTGCAGTGGCACGATCTTGGCTCACTACAACCTCTGCCTGCCGGGTTCAGGTGATTCTCCTGCCTCAGCCTCCCGAGCAGCTGGGATTACAGGCTTGTGTCACCATGCCCATCTAATTTATTTTTCGTATTTTTAGTAGAGCCGGGGTTTTGTCATGTTGCCCAGGCTGGTGTGGAACTCCTGAGCTCAAGTAATCTGCCCACCTTGGCCTCCCAAAGTGCTGGGATTATGGGTGTGAGCCACCATGTTCAGCCTAAACCTACTTTTAAAAAAAGATTTAATATTTTAAAGTATGCTTCTTGCTTTTTTTGGGGGGGAACTGTAGTGGCATGAACACAACACACTGTAGCCTTCACTTCCTGGGCTCAAGTGATCCTCCTGACTCAGCCTTCTGAGTAGCTGGGACCACAGGTGCGTGCCACTACTCCTGGCTATTTAAAAAATATTTTGTAGAGACGAGGTCTCCATGTTGCCCAGGCTGGTGTTGAACTCTTGGGCTCAGGTGATCCTCCTGCCTTGGCCTCCCAAAGTGCTGGGATTATAGATGTGAGCCACTGTGCCCAGCTCTTAATTTTTTTCATTAGATAGGAAGTGCATTCTGTATTTCAGATAGATGAATTTTTCTATCAAAATGAAATAGTTCTTATAAACTCAATTAGACTAAGTTGGATAAGCCAAAATCAAAACAGTTGTATTCTTGTGGCCAGTTTATGAATTAGATTAAATTAGTACTGGATTTAAATGACTTGATAAACCATACTTTCTTTGTAGATTTCTTGAGTAAAATCAATTTTACTTATGATTAATTTAGTAGATATTTATTAAACACTATGTGCTTGTTATATATAATTCTGAATTGATAATTTTCAACTACTCTCCCTTTGACACCTTATGGCCATGATATCTGAGCTTCTAATTTGATATGTTTATTAGTTTTATGGCCTGTGGTATAAGAAAGTCCAAATATCTGGAAAAAATAAACATTTAACTTAGAAAAATTATGAGGCATAGGTGAAGCTTGTCTTAGTATTATCAGGAATAGAGTCTCTTAGTAGCAATAGGAATAATTGCTAACATTAAAAAAACCTGTCTGACCAAGGTTATTAGTGCCTTGCATAGATCTACTCCGTTTTATCCTCACAAATAACCCTGTGGGGCTGTTTCTGTCATTACTTGTATTTTATATATGAGGACAAGATGGCAGAAAGGTTAAATTAGCTGATCAAGGTCACACAGCCAGTGTGTAGCAGTCAGAATCCAAAGCTAGGTTGCTTGACTTCAGAACCCATCTTAGCCCATTCAGCGCCATCTTTCCTGTTTGATGATTCCTCCCTCTGTTTTGTCTCTTAATATTTTTGACTCCTTATCAACATCTGGCATTAGCCATCCTTTGGGAGGTACCTAGTATTGGCATATTTTTTTTCTTTTATGTTTTAGTTATGGGTAGAAATGACGAAGTCCTTAGAAATTGGTGGTAAAGTAGCTAGTTCCCTGAGGACTTCTAGTTCTTGTTGTAAACAGAAAATTCCATACCAATTATTGTTCCTTCAGAACTGTTTTACTATTCAAATAGTTATCAGTAGGAGAACTTTTCCATTTGCTCATATTTTCCCTTTACAATTAGATTCTGGTAGCTGCCTAATGTTCTGTTACAAAAATGTCAATATAAACATAATTATTGGTCTATTTGTTTTGGATTTCTTTCGTTCTTTAAATACCTTGTTTATTTTATTTTTTTGAAACATGGTTAAGCCTTTAATGTTTTGGGAAAACTGACATAAGTTTCTTAAAACTTATGTTCAGAAATTGAATGTTTCACTCCTCTCAAGTGCAAAATTTCATTTTTACAAGTACATGCTGCTTTAGACACACAGGTGAGCTGTACGTCATCTACCATTAAATGTCAAATGATACCAAAAGTGACCTAGTAAGCAATCAGTGGTTATAGTACAAAAATAATCAAAGGTTTAGTCAATAACTCATGAAGTTTGATGTACTAGTATTGATAAGCTAATTAAACAGATCTGTCTGTGTTCTTCCAGCCTACTGGGGCTCTGCTATGATTAGCTTTACAGCAAGGAGTGTTATAACATTGAATGAAAGTAACCGATCAGAGAATGATGTAGTCACGGAGCTTTAACTACTCCCATTTCTGGTCACAGAATGGTTTCAGGGAAGGTAGGCTTTCTTTGCACACCTGCAGCCTGTCAGTGCATAGGCCTCTTGTGGTCAATATTGATTGATTCTTATAACAGAAGTAGAACAAATTTAGTGTTTCGCAACCTTCTGTGATTTAATATTGTTATGCTTTTTGCCATAACAGTCACAGAAATCCTTCTCCAATAGTGAGTAATTATTGCAATGCCTGCTAGCTCAGCTGTGGTTCTGAATGTTTCAGTGTTGCCAATATAAACTCTGTGATATATTCTAGAGTTCATAATCCAGTTTTAAAAGCTGGCTGTACTTGGTGAATAAAGGTATTGCTGAGAAATAAATTGTAAGGGGATAAGGGAGAACTGGACCCATTCTTTCTCAAAACTTTCCAGAGAACTGTAGAGTGAGATCTGAATATAATTAGTAAAGAGAAAGAATATTTTAAAAGAATATTTTAAAAAACCAAACCAGCTGTGTTGGTGTGCACCTAGAGTCCTAATTACCAGGGAGGCTGAGGCAGGAGTCTCTCTTGAGCCCAGGAGTTTGAGGCCAGCCTGGGCAACAGAGCGAGACCCTATCTCTCTTTAAACATACACCCACACCTCCACCCCCACTCACTGACACACACACACCCCTCCCCACACACCCACATACACCAAAAAAACAACCAGACTAACAAGTTAAAGACTTTGGAGGCAGTCTTTCCAAAACCTGTTGTTTTCTTCATAGTATGTTGGTGTCTTTCTAGACTTTGCTGTTCAATGAATTATACCCACTGGTGTGAGAAGTTAGATCCTAGATGTAGCACTCTAATGGGAAATGTCTTAATTTTTTTCAGTCTACAGTTGGTCTGGAATGTGATCCAGCTGATAAATATTGAGCTTTTACTATATGCCAAGCAATGTAATAAGTCCTTGCAATATACAGATGAATAAGAAATGGTTGTTGTACTAAATAGCCTCAAGTTCACTTCCAGGCAGATGGGATAAATTACTTAGTTAAATACATATTATGTGTTGATTTGATATATTGAAACTGTTGTTAATCAACTGCTGATATATTGATATATATTTGATATATTGACTGCTGTTAATCAGTCAACCACGTGTTAATTGCTTTCTACCATTGCTGTATTCTTAGGAACTTTAAATCTAGTTGAGGAAAAAGTCATCTATCCTCAAATAGTTAGAGAAGCGCTTCTAAAACTGATCTAAGAATTTGAAAAACTTATATTTACACTTAAATATAATCTGAAACATTAAGTATAGTTTGAATCATTTGGTTTCCATCTTATACCTATATTTGTATTCTTGTGTAACATCACTTGGTTCCAAGTGATCATTTAAAGGAACAGTGTTTCACAAATATGTGTATTTTGGGTTTGAAAAATTCTGAAGGTTGAGAAGCACTAATTTAAACCAAGAAAGTGTAAAGAGTCTAATCGTGAATATAGATGGAAAGTACATTGATAATAGAGATGGGGTTCTATGGAATGAAGTCATTACTACCTTTTACTACAGTTGTAAATTTCTTGTTGGATTTTTAATAATAATACTGCAATGATGTCATTTTCAAATGAGAAGATGTGCAATTGGGGTTAAAAAACAGTGATTTAAAGCATTCTTCTTTTATAAATGTATATATTATAAATAAAATATAATTTTTTTCCTAGGTTTTCAGATGCTCTTAGGGGAAGAGTTGTCTCCTCTTTTGTTAGGGGTACCTTAATAGAAATATCTGCGGACTGCCATCATAGGCCACAACATGTAGTAGTTAGGAACATGCCCCTGTTTGCATCCTGATTCTGCACTTGCTAGCTCTGTGACTTTGGGCAAGTTATATAAACCTCTGAGCCTTACTTTCCTTATCTTTGAGAGGGAGATAATTGTACCTAGGATAGATATGAGAATTAAACGAGTAATATAATGTAGATGTAGGGCCTTACACATTTAAATTCTAGCTGGAAAGTTATAGCAGATTGAGGTGAAGAACAAAAGCTGTCGCAGGCAGTTTTCCTTTCATATTCTGTATTTCCTAATTAATTTTAATACTAGCCAGAATGACAAGGGTACTTTTAGAAAAGAAAGGCTGGGCTGGGCGTGGTGGCTCACGCCTGTAATCCCAGCACTTTGGGAGGCCGGGGTGGGCGGATCACCTGAGGTCAGGAGTTCAAGACCAGCCTGAACAATATGATGAAACCCCGTTCTCTACTAAAAATAGAAAAATTAGCTGGGCGTGGTGGCATGCGCCTGTAATCCCAGCTACTCTGGAGGTTGAGACAGGACAATCGCTTGAACCCAGGAGGCGGAGGTTGCGGTGAGCTGAGATCATGCCATTGCACTCCAGCCTGGGCAACAAGAGCAAAACGCCGTCTCAAAAAAAAAAAAAGAAAAAAGAAAAACAAAGGCTGAGGAACTTCTCCAGATGAAAGAAGACCAAGGAGACATGAAAACTTAAATATGATGCATGATCCCAGATCAGAAAAAATACTATAAATATAGGATGTTATTGAGAATTTCTAAATATGGATTATTTATTAGATAATAAATAATGCACTGATGTTATGTTTCCTGAATTTTATAATTGTAGTGTTAGCAATTGAAAAACATAGATGAAGGCGGCCGGGTGTGGTGGCTCACGCCAGTAATCCTAGCACTTTGGGAGGCCGAGGTGGGTGGATCACTTGACGTCAGGAGTTCATGACTAGTCTGGCCAGCATGGCAAAACCCTGTCTCTACTAAAAATACAAAAATTAGCTGGGCGTGGTGGTGTGCACCTGTGGTCCCAACTTTTCGGGAGGCTGAGGCAGGAAAATCATTTGAACCCAGGAGGCAGAGGCTGCAGTGAGCCGAGATTGTGCCACTGCACTCCAGCCTGGGAGACAGAACAAGACTCTGTCTAAAAAAAAAAGAAAGAAAGAATAAAACATAAATGAAGCCTATATGAGGCTTCAGTGAACTAGTCTTGGAACTTTTCAGTAGGTTGTATTGAAGGATGATATCTGAAATAAGACAATTTATTGCTTACTATAGCAAGGGACAACTGTGCTTTTTAGGCACAGCTTCTCTGGGCATAGAGATTGCTGATATTATTGTGGATTATTGGGAAGGGCAGTCTTCAGGGATTGATGGACTTTCAGGGTCCTAAGTGGGTTGATATCATCTGTAGATGCATGGTCATGTGGGTGAGACTGCTCTTGATTGATTGGCACTCAGAGGTGGGTGTATGGGAGTGCAGTTGTTCCTGACTGGCTAACTTTCACAAGCAAGAGGCTGAGCAAGAAAACTTGTTCATTCAGGTGCCTTTTTATTGTTCTGTAGAACAGGTTTAAAACAGTTCTGGTGGCTACATGTTGCCAAGGCTTTAGAAAAACCTGTCTCTCCGAGGAATGTGGGAACTTAAAAACATTACCAATTTGAAATCTTTTTATAATTAAAGAATTTAAAGTATTAGAAGAATCACAGCACTATTATTTTGTTTTGAGGGCCATCTGGAAAGATGAGATTCACCCCTATCGTGAAATATCTTTATTGTTTTATCTGACCCCAAAGTAATTAATATTCCTTTAAAGATAATATAGAAGGATGTAAAGAGTGAAAGTCACTGGTTAATACCATCACACAGAGATAGTTACTATTAACATTTTATTGTATAGATTTCTCAATTTTGTGCTTACTTGACTTGAATCTTAGTTCTTCTATTTAATAGATACGGTACTTTAGTCAAGTTACTTACCCTGTCTGTGTTTCATTTTCTTATCTGTAAAGTAAGAATAAATACTTGTTTATTGAGTTGTGAGGATAAAATGAGTTAATTTATGTAAGACATTTAGAACAGTGTCTGACATGTAGTTAATGCTACCTATAAGGATTTGCTATTATTACCATATTATGTCCATTCTAAGACATATGTTTGCTATTTTAAAGTTTCTGCAGTTGGGATTTAACTTAACAACTGGTGGTGATTACGATGGGTAGTGTTTTCTGTTTGTTTGTTGTTGTTCTTTCCTTTGTGGTCCATAATATAATGGTATGTTTTACAATTGGTGGTCTATTTAGATTGCATAAAATACAGTATGTGGGCATCTATTTTTTTTTTATACAGAAGTGAGATCATACAATGCATACTCTTTTACACCTTTAAAAAATTTTAGGCCAGGTATGGTGGCTCACACCTATAATCCCAGCACTTTGGGAGGCCGAGGCGGGCAGATCACCTGAGGTCAGGTGTTCAAGACCAGCCTGGCCAACTTGGTGAAACCCCATCTCTACTAAGAATACAAAAGTTAGCTGGGCGTGGTGGTGCGTGCCTGTAATCCCAGCTACTTGGGAAGCTGAGGCAGGAGAATCGCTTGAACCTGGGTGGCGGAGGTTGCAGTAAGTCGCGAGATCGCCCCACTGCACTCCAGCCTTGGTGACAGAGTGAGACTTTGTCTTAAAAACAAAAAACAAACAAACAAAAAACCTTTTTCAAGGACATATTTTCTTTTCTTTCTTTTCTTTTTTTCAGATGGTGTCTTGCTTTGTCACCCAGGCTGGGGTGCAGTGGTGCGATCTTGGCTTGCTGCAACCTCTGCCTCCCGGGTTCCAGCAATTCTCTTGCCTCAGCCTTCCCAGTAGCTGGGATTACAGGCATGGGCCAATACACCTGGCTAATTTTTTTGTATTTTTAGTAGAGATGGAGTTTCACCATGTTGGCCATACTGGTCTCCAACTCCGGACCTCAGGTGATCCGCTCGTCTCAGCCTCCCAAAGTGCTGGGATTACAGGTGTGAGCCACCGTGCCTGGCCACAAGGATATATTTTCAATGTCATACAGATTTATTTAATTTTGTATAGTGGCTGAATAGTATAGTGTTATATGGAGGAACTGTCATTTGTTTACTGTTTATCTACTAGGACTCTTTATTGTTTAATTTTTGCTCTTGTGGAAGATTTTAATAAGTGGAACTTGGGGAAGTGGAACTTGGTGAAGCGGGATAACTTGGGATAACCTGAGTGGAGATTGAGATAAAGAGTGCAAGTTATATTTGGGGACTATTTCTGTTTGACTAGGAAAGGAGGTTTCGAACAGATTATAAACTGTATTGAGTACTAGGTTAAGAGCTTTAGATTTTGTTTTTAAGGTTTTGTGGAGCCATTCAACATTGAAGAGTAATTGGAAAAAGGTTTTTTCATTTCATTTATAACTCTACCCGTATAGTATAGATGGATTGATATCAACTTAAAATGGTTGTGTTTAACATATTTATCAATGATGAAGATGTACAAAGTTTGTTTGCTCATTAAGTTTTCATTTGTACTTATGAATTGAGAAATAGTTTGGATTATAAAATTATCATCTCAAATTATCTTAACAGGGTGCCAAGATGTGTTGAATCTAAATTGTTGACAATTTCTGTAGATAAATGGAAGATTTTGCCTTTCATTTAAAATAATTTTAAAAAAATTCCGTGAGGACAGTTGGATTTTGATTTGGTCAGCAGTACATTTGGAAAAGGTGTATGGTTTTAATCAAGAATTAGTCATATCTGTGGAAGTACCTCATCTGGAGCAAGTTCTTATCTAGTTTGTTCTGTTTAGACTTTATTTGTAGTTTGTAGTGTCACGCTGAAAAAAATTGGAGTGAGTTTAGGAAGGAGCAAACAGGATGGTAGAGGAACTAAAGCTGTTATGTTTCACGAGAAATTAGGGTACAAGGAAGGAAGGTCATGACAGTTGTCTCTAAAGTAGTCCAGATTGGTTAGTATGACTGGAAATATGATCCAGTATAGTACTGTTTTTATATTTCCAGCACCAATTCCAGCTATCTCCAACTTTTTCCCCTCATTTCTTGTGTTCTTTGAGTATATAACTTTTTTTTTAATTTTAAATTTTTTAAATTTTTGAGACAGAGTCTCTTTCCAGTTGCCCAGGCTGGAGTGCAGTGGCACAATCCTGCCTCACTGCAGCTTCGACCTCCCAGGCTCAGGTGACTCTCCCATCTCAGCCTCCCAGGTAGCTGGGACTACAGGTGCATGCCACTGTGCCTGGCTAATTTTTTTTTTTTTTGTTTTACTAGAAATGGGATTTCACCATGTTGCCCAGGCTGGTCCTGAACTCCTGAACTCAGGCAATCTGCCTGCCTCAGCCTCCCAAAGTGCTGGGATTACAGGCGTGAGCCACTGTGCCTGGCTGAGTACATAACTTTTAGGTATATACTGTGTTGGTATCTTAGAAGGGTAATCAGGAATGTGAAGATATTTGAGAAGGTAGATACAGGCTATAAATAGTGCTAGAAGGAAGCAATGGATAAATTTCAACTCAAATTCTAGTTTTTGTTTATTTCTTTTTCTGTTCATAATTTTGTTGTAAACTTAGTGATTAAATTACCTTTAAAACTTGTTTTCAAGGCTGGGCATAATGGCTCATGCCTGTAACCCCTGTGCTTTGGGAGGCTGAGGTGGGAGGACCAGTTAAGCCCAGGAGTTTGAGACCAGCCTGGGTAGGCAACATAGGAAGACCCCGTCTCTATAAAATCCTAAAAAAAAGCCGGGTGTGGTGGTGCATACCTGTAGTTCCAGCCACTGGAGAGGCTGAGGTGGGAGGATGGCATGAGGCCAGGAGGTTGAGGCTGCAGTGAGCCGTGATTGTGCTATTGCACTGCACCCTGTGCGACAAAGCAAGACTGTGTCTCAGAAAAAAAATCGAAAACCAAAAAAAACTGTTTCCAGAACACACATCCAATCTTCTTGAATTTTTATTACGTTAAATTGGTATTCATAGTCACACATTATTCTTACTGGACTGAAAATATCATGTAATGCGTGTTGAAATGTGAGTATTACCATAAAAATCAGAGTTAGGGCTCTGGACTCTTTTAACAGATGAGGAAACAAGTTCCCATAACATATAGTTAGTGGCCTGGGCCCAAATTCTTTCTCTTATTATTTTTTAAAGAGGTAGGGTCTCTCTGTGTTGCCCAGGATAGCCTCTAACTCCTGGGCTCAAGTGATCCTCCTGCCTCAGCCTCCTGTGTAGCTGGGACTACAAGCATGTACGCCATGCCTGGCTTCTTTCTTTTATTTTTATCCCTCATTTTGAAAATATTTTTACAATTTAGTTAATATTCTTATATGAGATCTGCTCAGGGATTTTTTATTCCCTTCAAGAGGAAGGGACACTTTGATAGGCTATTGCTATTGTGAACTGGACTATTAAAATGCTTACTTTAAAAGCTTTTCCTGTTGTACTTATTATCCCACAAAATATTATTTTTATTTTACAATCTAACATGTGACCAGATTCAGTTATTTACTTGAGAAGAATTGAGCATGGATTTTGGTATAGCAAATACTGAGTTTTAAATTTTCACTCTGGTTATGAATAAATGATTTTTTTTTAACAGATCAAGAAGTTGGTATATGTTTACCTGGTTCGATATGCTGAAGAACAGCAGGATCTTGCACTCCTGTCCATAAGCACTTTTCAGCGAGCTCTGAAGGTAAATAATGGAGTGAGTAGGCAAATAGCTACAAGGTTTCTGCAGAGTTGAAAGTGTGTCAGTTAAAGAAGTGGAGCGATAATCCACTAAATAGCACAGTAGTGTCTTGAAAGAGTTAAAAGCCTCCTATAGTGCCTACTCAGTACACTTAGAAAATAATTTATACAACCAACTGAAACCTTGCTGTATATGTTACAGCTTCTGTATGTTTGTTTATATTCAATATAATTATTTTCATGCTTCAAAGAGCTGTTTATCATTATACTAGTTGTTGAAAGTACGCAAAAGGGGTTATAAGACATTTTTAAACATGAAATTGATGACCTGCAGCATTTTATTATTATGAAAGTATAAAAACCCAGCATATTTAGTAATAAATGACCAACTAGAATTATAACTATTACTTTTCTTTAAAACATTATTAAAGAAGTAAACATTTATGTCTGTCTTTTTTTCCCATTCCTATATACTAATTGTTCATTTTAAATTAAGTAGCTTTCTTTTGCTATTGTCATATTACACCCTTTAAGCACCTATTAACTGTGTCTGAAAGATATGTTTAAAATATTGTAAAGTTGAAATTTTGGTGAATATTTTTGCACTATTTTTAGGACCCAAACCAACTAATTCGTGCAAGCGCTTTGAGAGTTCTGTCAAGTATTAGAGTGCCAATTATTGTACCTATCATGATGCTTGCTATTAAGGAAGCTTCTGCTGACTTATCACCATATGTTAGGAAGAATGCAGCCCATGCAATACAAAAATTATACAGGTAGGTGCATTGTTAACAATATACCAAAGATCTCTGATGTTACATGGAATGTTATAGACCACAGAGGCTTGTTTTATTCGCTCTTTTAGGTAGGCTGCTCTTACACTAAGTAAATCCAGTGACTGTATGATGGTATTTCCCCCTGCTGCAAATGTTCCTTACACATCTTTAATTTCGTTTTGGCTATAGAGACCCTATGCAGGTTTTTATTTGTGAGGCTGTTAGAGCCTGTGATAATTTATAGATTTTATAACTTAAGAATAATCAGAATTTGAATTCTCATTTATATAGTCTATCTCATGTACACATATGCTTGTATTATTAGAAAATTGAGATTTTTTTTTCCTGTTTAGGGTAGAATCTTAAGTGTCTGATCCTCTCAACTCACTTATATGTGTTTTCCTTTCTTCCATCTTTGTTCCTGCTGCTCCCTTCGTTGTCTAATTCTTTTCCAGAGCTATTTTATTAAGTAATTTTAAAAAGTGTAGTGATTTGAAATATAGTGTGCTATACCATATCTGTGTGATATTTTAGAAATGTTATGCAATATTATACAATGCCCTGATCTCTGTGGAAAATTTACTGTCCAAATAGAATTGTCTACAACAATTTGGTATTATTTTCAGCTATCATTTATTCCTCAAGCTTTTTGAGACTCTCTTCTGTTTCTGGTGTTGTATTCACAGTATTGTGCTATGTGTATTTAGATGTATGAAAACAGTAGAGGATGTGGCACTTAATTATGAATAGCATATCATGTATTTGAGGAAGAAGATCAAAGACATACCAAATAATTAAAGGCAATCTATAATGAATAAGATATTAGCACTTGATATATATGTATATACAAAGGTACACTAGCAATGTCTTTGATAGGACAGGGACCAGAGATGATCATATTTTGTTACCGGAAAGTAAAGATGTAATGAGATGGGATTGGTAGTGAAATACTGCTTTGAGAAGGAAGACTTAAGCTGAAATTTGAAAGAATTAAAAAGTTTGTCCAGATAATTATAATGTTTAGTAATAAATGTGTATGTTTGTAGAAAGTGAAACCTCATATTCCTATGTTAACTGCCAGACAAGGTTTTATCATGCTTCTCACTCACCTTTTCTCCTTAGAAACTTATGGGATAAGATCCATGCTCACTCTAACGGCTTAAAAGTCCTTCTATCATTGGGCACCAGTATATTCCAGCCTCAATGCTTGCCTCTCCTTGCCTTGAGCTTATAGTCTGTTAGTATTCTATCTCAAATGTTTTAAGCTTATTACTACCTCTTATTTTTCCTAGTTTTAGTTGGCAGATTTTATAATGCATGTCTCTATCAGTGAACTAGTATGATATAAAATTCTTATTTGGAAATTCTCCATATTTGTTTTTGGGAAGTATGTATGCATAGTAAAATAATGACTGCTATCTAGTTATTTTTTTCCTCCCAGTTGAAAAGAGTTTGTGGTTTATCTACTTACAGTCGCTTTCTTGAAGTTTTCCAACTCTTTTAGAAGTGAACTTGTTCTTTCAGTACTATCTTAACTAAACCATTGATATCTGGTTTAGTTAATATGAACAATATTAGAGGGAAAGATGAGGACACATTCATGAGAAAAACCATCCCATTTTATTTGTTTTTCTTTATTTCTAACTTATAATTCTTGCTCTCCTTTCCCTCTTTAAAAATTTCTCAACATCCTTGAATTGGTGAGCATCATGTAAAGCTAGAATTAAAGGGAAAAATTAATATGTTATTTTTGTATTTTTTAGCCTTGATCCAGAGCAGAAGGAAATGTTAATTGAAGTAATTGAAAAACTTCTGAAAGATAAAAGCACAGTAAGTAATGTCTTTTTACGTCTTTGACATAAAAATGTACTTTATTTACATAGTATCATTTACCATTATATATTTTATATAGTTGTATTTATTGATTTCAAAATGGTATAAATATTAATGGCACACAGGACTATTTTTAAAGAACAAAAATTTTCATGTAATGAGAAAGACTGCATTTGGAGTTTTAGATCGTTATGTGTTTCTTCATCAGAATCTGAAAAAAGGCAAGTTGAGAAAAAAATCTTTAACCTGTGGCTAAGTGGTTAACATGGTAAGATCAAGGAATAGAGGTGACCTATGGGGGATGTGAGTTACTAGTGTACTAGTATCTTAGATGGGGCTTTTGTACCCACTTTATATTTCTCAAAACTACTGAGGAAAAGGATTCCAGCTCATCTTAGGATGCTATCATCAGGGAGTATGTACTATCTATGCATGGCAGCTATCTAATACAGTAGGCAGTAGCCCTGTGTAGCTGTAACTATTGGTTTATGGCTTAGCATTTGATCTATCCTGGATAATGTTCAATAAACATTTGATTAGAATGTGTATTCTGCTGTTGTTGAGTGGAGTGTTCTATAGATATCTGTTTTTTAGTGTTGTTCAAATCTTCTACTTTGCTGATCTTATGCCTACTTGTTCTATTCATTATTGAAAACAGGGTATTGAAGTCTCTTTAATTCTGTTAGTGTTTGCTTCATCTATTTAGGAGATTGGATGTTTGGTGCATGTATGTTTATAATTTTTTTAATCTTCCTTTTGTCATTGTAAAATGTTCCTCTTTATCTCTAGTAACATTTTTTTGTTTTAATGTCTGTTTTGCCTGTTATAAATACTACTATTCTAGCTTTTTTATGGTTGCTGTTTCCATTATATATCTTTTTCCATCCTTTTACTTTCAGCCTGTTTATATTTTTGCATCTATTGTATGTCTCCATAGACAGCATATAGTTGGCTCTTGTCTTTTTATCCAGTTTGCCAATGTGTGCCTTTAATTGGAATGTTTAATCCATTCACACTTATTGTTGTTATTAATATAGTTGGATTTTAAGCTGTCATTTTACTTGCTTTTATATGTTTCATGCCTTTTTTGTTCCTTATTTCTCCTTTATTGCTTTTTCTTAGATTAAGTGAATATGTTCTAGTGAACATTTTAATTCTTTTCATGGTTTTTTTACTATATATTTTTGAAAATATTGTCTTATACATGGAGATTATACTTGTAGTTTCATTCCTAGACCATTTAGTAAATTTCTGTTAGTCTGTAGTGTACCAGAAATCATTATTGCATTTCTTCTATGCATAGTTGGTATAACGTAGGAGGTAACTAAATATAGATTGATTATAAATGAAGATAGAGAAAAGAAATTTGATTCCTTTTTGTCTTCTGTATGACAGGCATGCTATCTGCCAGATATGAAGTCAATATTATTAATATTATGGTTAACTTGATTTTAATAATTTAAAAAAATACTTAGTGCTTTTCTATTATAAGTGCAAGAGATTGGCTAAGTACCATGGAGAGTAGTAAGATCTACAAGAAGCAGATCTGTCATTTTAATGAGTTTTACCATCATTTCTGCTACATTATAGACTAAGAGAAATTCTTTGGATGGCCTGGGAATGAACTCTCTCTGTATAATATGTGCATGTCTTCCCAGACAGGATACAGCATATCATAGGTAAAAACAATAGCGTTTGAATCAGATAGAACTGGCTTAATGTCTGAGCGTCTGCCACATAGTATATGTACCAATTCTTTATGAGTTTTAGGCTCCAGATTTGTAGGGTTTATAATATCTAATTTATAAATTTGCTGTTTGTGTCGAGAGAAAGAACTATTGTATATAAAACCCTCAGCACAGTGCCTAACACCACATGGGATGTGATTAAAAATTCCAAATAAGAAATAAGTACTCAAAAAGATGTAAAGATACAATATCTGTGTAAAATTGGAATGTCTGTTTCCAAAATACACCAGAAAGTAAAAAATATTGAATACTTGTTCATCACAGGTATTTAATATTTGTTGAATGACTGTTGAATTAATTTGTTACATTCTTGGTGATAGTAATTAAGTGTGTAGTATCGTTTTTAATGTCTCCCTCACCCCCCTGCAGTGGTTTCATGCTCAGTGTTCATAGGTAGATTCTTTGGGGGCTTTGGTGGCCTACCCTTTGTGAGGCACTCATTTTTCCTAAAGTGTTATATACTATATGTTTATTTTTTTTAATTAAGAATACATATTTCTTTTTCTGTCTATAGTAAAAAACAAAGTTTTTACTGACACCTGTAATTCTGGTGGTATAGCACAGAGTTCCTTCCAGCCTCCTTCCTTTTTATATTTGAAACTGCCTATTCAACATTAAGAAATGTGGCTCTGGCCACGCACCATTGTTCATGCCTGTAATCCTAGCACTTTGGGAGGCCAAGGTGGATGGATTGCTTGAGTCCAGGAGTTCGAGACCATCCTGGGCAACATGGTGAAACCTTGTCTCTACAAAAAAAAAAAAAGAAACAAACAAACAAACAAAAAAACAAGAAACAGGGCTCCTATTTCCACAATCTGTTTACATTTTTGCTGAGTCTCAGAATGCAGAGAAACTATTGCTTCAGAATTGCTAGCACTGTACCTCTGTGGGGTATACAGTAGCATGGGGCCTAATAATTAGAGTTAAATATTTAATTAGAGTTAAATATTAGTTTAGAGTTGTTTTTGTCTTTAATCTTTTTTTTAATGTATGGTAAATCAAAATTGCTTCAACTATTTATATCTTTGAACTCGTTGTGTTGGTATGTAAGAAAGCTATTGATTTTTTTTGAGTGATAAATTTTATATTCTGCTTTTTTACTGAATTCTTCTATTGTTTGAGTTAATTTTCTCATTCATCCTCCTTGGGTTTTTTTTTGCATGACAAAGAGTCTTTACTTTTAAATGATTATCAGTACACCAAGTAGTAACATGTAACAAGTTCTTGAATTCTGTCCTCTTTGATTAAGTAACTAAAACTGGCCCAAACAATTATACTAGTGTTCATTGTTCTAACCACTAGCAGGAATGGACTACCAGATATTGCAGAAAAAGGCCAAGACTTCACCCCTCTTCTGCCTAAACTGCTTCCAGATGGTTCTCTTCTCCTGGGTCTCCTCTACTTTAATGCTGCAGCTGCCTTGGGATCGCAGGGCAGCAGCCTCCTTGGCCTTGAACTCTTTCTCCCTCTGCAGGCAATATTGTTCAATTTCACCTTGAACTGCTGCTTTGGCCTGCTTCTCCCTCCGGTTCTTTCACTGCAGGTCTCAGACACCCTTTTCAGCAACCTGCAGCAGCTACTGGATCCCCTGAGACTGACTGGCCATGACAGCACCAACTCTGAGGCAGAAGCAAGCAGCCTAAATCTCTCTCTCTTTTTTTTTTTAGAGAATGAATCATATCTGCAAATAGAGATGTTTTACTTCCTCTTTTTCAGTTCCTAGAACTCTAATTTCTCTTGCCTAATTATATTGTTTAGTGCCATCACTACAGTTGTGTTCAATAGTAGTGGAGATGGTGGGCATTCTTGCCTTGTTTCAGTCTAAAGGAAATGCTTACATTGTGTTTGCATTAAGAAAGATGCTGGCCCTGAAGATTTTATCTTTGAAATATAGTACTTTTGCAAGGTACTTCAGGATTACTTGATATGGGTCAATTGTTTTGCCTTGGTACTCAGTGAGTCCTTTCAAAATGTAGATTCAGAATTTTTATTATCTCTGGCAAAGTGTTTTTTTTTAAGATTATAATTTTAAATATTAATTCTGTTATTTTTTTTCTTTTTCAGGGATTCCTATTTTATGCACATTGGATCTTCTTTGCCTGTTTTACATTCCAATCATTGTGTCTCTAAACCTCTTCTTTCTTTATCTCATTTTTATTCTTTTGGTTCTTTTTCTACCTTTCTTTAATACCCCTTTTAAAATTTTCATTCAGTAATTTTATTCGAAGGGCACCTTGCAATTTAGTCTTCACATCTGATTATTTTTGCTCTCTTGATTTCTTTCCTGTTGTCAATCAATCCTGATTTCTTTTGTTAATTTATAACTTTAAAAAATTTATAATTTATATTTATATTTCCTATCTTCAAATGCTTCTCTTGAGGGTATTTAATTCATTTTGAAGTGTCGTGTTGTTTCCTTTTGCTTCATCATTTATATTTCTTTGTCGGTAATTTTTGCCAGTTGAATTGTTTTGATTTTCATTTTCTGTTTTTAGTACTTACAGATTACTTGCATCTTCTTATTTCTTTGGACAGGATTGGTGATTTGATTTTGAGGTAGCTTGCAAGATTCCTAGTACAAGAGTACCCTCTCTGTTAGAATTACAAAGTATGTTTTCTTAGTAGATGGCCTTTTGGTGGGAGGGCGTGCATGCATAGGACCAGTATATGTCCCCAAACTATTTCGAGATATGTTTTGTAGCAGCCTAAATTTTTCTCTCTTCTTTTCTTTTCTGCCTAAAAAAGAAGGGTCTTACTCTGTCACCCAGGGCTGGAGTGCAGTGGTGTGATCATGGCTCACTGCAGCCTCGACCTCCCCAGCACAAGCAATCCTCCTGTCCCAGCCTCCTGAGTAAATGGGACTATAGACATGCACCACCATGCCCAGCTAATTAAAAAAAATTTTTTGTAAAGATGGGGTCCCACTGTGTTGCCCAGGCTGGTCATGAACTCCTGGGCTCAAGTGATCTCGCTTTGGTCTTGCAAAGTATTGGGATTACAGGCGTGAGCCACTGCACCCAGCCCCTCTTATTTCTTTTTTTCTGTTATTTCACAGTTTCCAAAGGACTGCTCTCCCCTTACTTTTTTTTTTTTTTAAGCTAATTTTCTCCGTGAAACTTTCCCTTTCTACACTACCTCATTGAATCATCCTCTCTTTCAAGTCTTTCCCTTATAGGCTGCTCTGATCTACCAAGAATCTTTTCCAGTATTTTCACACTTAGGGTGTTCTTTCTCTTTCTGTTGTTGATTTTCGTTTACTTTTAGGCCTGCCATTAACTTCTGCTTGCTTTGTTCCAGGCAGTTTTTTTTCTATACTGTTGGAGGTCTTTGTGAAGTTTTGTGATACAAGCATGAAAATAGTTATCTGGAATTTAGGGTTTATATTTCTACTTATATATAATTTGAGGTTTAGAGATTCTCTGTTTTGAAGTTAGGCTTAAAGCATGGGTTTTGGTCCCTTGTTGTTTTTTTTTTTGGATTTGGGTTGGGAGATTCAGACTTACTTAGGCATCATCAACTTCTCTACCCAGTATTTAAATTGGCTGTATTTTGTGAATGTTTTCTGGTAATTTTTTCTTTTGTGTGATTATAATCCATTGTAGAAAGGTTAAAAATATTCTACACAGATATTTGTGGATCATATCTTAATTATTACCTTTTTTTGGTCACATGTAATTCTTCATTGAAGGAAGACAGGTACATTTCTCCCCTGCCCCCCACCACCAAATTTTTAATGTCAGCATTGGCATTTAAAATCAATAGAGGATCAAAAATCACTTTCATTTAAAAAATCTCCCAGTTAAATGTACCAGGTCTAATTTATTTCCACATTTTGAAAAGGAATTTATTTGTTGCCAGCAGCAGTTTTTTGGGATCATTATTACGATGATGACATTGGTGTTGCTGCTGATACATATACATTTGAAAGATGTTGATCTATTAAACTTTCTTCATTTAACCTCTGTTGATTTTGAGGCATACCATCTGTTGCTTCTTTTAGGCTAGAGGATATTTTCTTTCAATTGAGATCTCAAAGAAAATTAGTTCCATAATTCTCATTTTAAGGAAAGGTGGAATTATAAATATATTAAAATATAATAGAATGGCTTTTCTCTTTTACTAAAGACCAGTATGTGTCATATGAATAGTTTTTTCCTAAAAATAGAACATTTTAGTGTTATTTAGGTAAAAGATATTACAGAAACCTTACAACTGTAGTCAGTGAACTTAAAAGGGGGCATCTAATCTATATTCTGTCATCTCCAATCAACTGTTACCATTTTTCTTTATATGAATTTTTATTGTTTATTCTTAAATTTTATACCATTTTCATCTACCTTCTCAACATGTCCTAAACACTTTCCTACTTTACTACAAGCCTTTTCTAATGTTCACGTATGAATTTATTTTTAAAATTAATAAGTTTCTCTTGTTTTTCTTTAAAATGTAGCAATCCATATTTGTTGACATTCTTTTCTTTAGAACACTTTAGAAGCAGAGTGGTATTTATTTCCTTTTCCTTTCAAGTTAATCCTAAATAAATCTTTTTGATAACATCGAACTTTCTGATAGAAAACAGAGTTTCTTAGGAAAACAAATTAGGTCAGTGCCTGCTGAAAAACTGATTTATGTATATATTTTTGATGACATAAAATTTCCTCTTTTTGATTTTTGCTATAAAATTATGTTTAATGAATAGATTGGTAGTGTATAGCTAAACCGTAGGGATAAGACACAAATTTTAAGTTATTGATTTAATGTTGATAAAAGCCCCACCGTTATGTGCAAAAAACACACCCCTGAGTTTGTACAGATGTTTTATTGTGATAGATCTATTATCCAGCTATTAGAAGATAAATGACTGATCTTTCCCATTTTCCATGCCTCAAGAAAATTGAAATAAGAAGGGGAATATCATTTGGGCTGTATGATTAGGGAAGGTTGGATGGCCATTAATTTAAGGGAAGAAAATCTTGGCAGCATTGGCCAACTTATACCATATTATCAATCAAACCTTGATGCACTTCTTGTGATGACCCAGCACTCTCAGGTTTTTGCAATGTTAATTAGAATTCATGACAAAATAGATGCAAGGAAACGTTTTGTACCCTTCATAATTTTATAGAAAATTTATTGTTATTAGAGGAACCATTTGCTTAGTGTGATTTTTTTCATTACCAGCTTGTCAACTAGCATAGATAATCTAGAGAAAATATGAACTCCATAGATGGGGTGTCACTTTTGTTGATGGTTCATGTAGTTTACCTTGGAGCACAGCTAATGGCTGAAGTTCATAGCAACAGCACAGAAAAACGTGGCAACCAAGGGAAGATAAATGAACCATGTTTATTGCTTTAATATAAAAAATACATAAATGGAAAACTGCATTTGAATTTGATGAGCTCATTGCTGGTTTTGTTGGAGTGATTTATTTTTTCCCTGATATGAAAAGCTACTATTGACACAGTGAGATGGAAGTTAACTGTCTGTTTTTTGGAAACCAGTATTTTTGGTTTTAAAATCTGAGTAGATCATTTAATTTTAATTCTGAATATTTTATAGAATATTGAACATTTAATAAACCAAAATTATTAATTTTCCTTGTAGTGTTTAGCCCAGGGTCAGATTGTTAAAACTATATGATTAAGTATCTAAAATGATCAGTTTTATTTTGTAAAAGTACTCTCTTTATATGCTTTTTAATTATTTTGATGTTTTCTTAAACTTTATTTGGTTCTATTTAATTAATGATATTTGTTAGTACCTTAGAAGGTGTTAGTACTTTAGAATTATTGTGTACATGTAGCTCTTGGTTTAATGAATTTAATATTATATGGTAGCTGATTTTCCATTTAATTGTTTAGTATCAAAACACATTTGGAAGAAAATAATTGCTAAGACAGAATAACTTGATTTTACATAGTATTTTAAAAATTGAAACTGTGAATTACCTGTTCAATTTCATGGATCATTTTATCCTAGATACTATCCTTTATTTTTGCACTTTAACACCCTTTACCAATTGATGTTGATATTAATATAAGGTTGATAATACATATATATAGATGTTTATATCTCACAATGAGTTATTCTAGAGTTTAATGTCATAAACTTAGTTGTAAGATATTTTAAAATGATACTAATTGTCACTTTATAGAAATGTAATTATCACAAAATGTAATTTCTAAAGAAATTATGTCTTTTGCAGAAGACATCAAAATGTGATTGAAAGCATGAGCTTAACTTCCTTGCCATATCTATAACAAATAGAAAATTATATATATAATACATTTTTATATAGTTCACACAAATAATCAATTCTGTGCTTTTTCGATTGAGGTGCATACATGCTGGGACCAGCAGGCACCAGTACATGGTTAGGGCTGGAGTCAATAAATGCAGCTTCACGTTTATACTGATTGGTAATTCATAAAATCCCCACAGGACTTGAAACTTGTTTAGCATAATAGCGAGTCTATATTCTGAGCTGTTTTCTTTCAATTGTATTGTTGGTTGCATATTAATAAACTAAATGTCAGCCAACTAGAGGGACAAACACTCAAAATATGAATATCATTGTATCTAATATTTTTCAAAAAGTACCATTTCAGTAAGTTATATTTCTATTTAATTGCTTATTTTAAGTCATTGGGGAAATTTTAGACACTAAAGTGAAGATCCCTAGTGTTCAGATAGAATATGGTATTAATTTGTTTTTCAAAACTGTATTATATTGTGGGCTAACTGCACATATATCATTTGTACGTATAGAGAAGTATTTGTATAATATATATTCTGCTTAGTTTGTGTCTTTAGAGTAAAGGAATCTCAATGTTACCACTTTGTAAAAGCATCACAGTTCAGAAACTAACATTATGATTCATTAACTGGTGTTGGAAGAGCCCCCTTTTGTTAGTAATATATTATTCCAACTTATACACATTGTTATGAAAGTGATAAGAGCCCAGGTGATGTTCTAAAATTTCAGCCAGTGTGTTTTCTTTGTAAATAAATTATATTGGGTAAAAACCGGTGGATTAAGATGTATATGATTTGAAAGTGTTCTTCTATTAAAATTTATGAATTTCTCATATACTTTTTAACATAAGTTCATTTTAGAATGATTGTCGTTCTCATTTTAAACTGACACAATGTGAGCTTTGTTATTGTCTTGATTCTTTTTCTGAATATTATGAACAAAGTACTGAATTTTTAGATTAGAATTTAGGTTAGCTTTAAACATGAAAAATGTGCGTGATTAATGTTTAATCCACATATGAACAATGTGTTGAAATTTAACCTGGTGAAATAAACACATCAGAATTTACTTCTCTTCAGAATAGTATTTTCTAGACATATTAGAACTATTAAAATTATTCTTTGACGAATAGTCACCATAAAGTTTGTTATTCAAACATGAACATTCATTTTAATTGAATGACTGAATACTTTAATACTGATTGGCATGAAACTGATTACTATAATGCCTGAGTAAGACCTTTGATGTAGGGGAGAAACATTTTTTAATAAGTTACTATTTCTTTCTTTTCTAGTTGGTAGCTGGCAGTGTTGTGATGGCTTTTGAAGAAGTATGCCCGGACAGAATAGATCTGATTCATAAAAATTACCGCAAGCTATGTAACTTACTAGTGGATGTTGAAGAGTGGGGGCAGGTTGTCATAATCCACATGCTAACTCGATATGCTCGGACACAGTTTGTCAGCCCTTGGAAAGAGGTAAGTGTTGAACAGTCTTCCACTTTCAAGTATACTAAGAGAATGGATGAGCTTTTTAAAACTTGGGCAAAAAATTAGGAGTAGTAAACTAGAGAAATCTGCATATTTAAGGAAGACTCATTTGTCTCTTGTTCTTTTACTAAAGCAGGCAACCAATATAAATGCAAGCATAATTATCCATTATTTTGGCACTGATTGATACATATTTATTGGTGTAAGTATATACACTTTTAGTTTGATACTGGCAAGAGGCCCTTGTTAGGAGGAGCAGCATGACACAGTGTTTACAGTGACATTGCCAAACCATGGATTTTTTTGGTTACTAGTTACTTTCACGTCTTTGAGCCCCAGCTATTCCAGGTACTCATTTGTAAAAAAAGTAGGTGATGTGCTCCTATAGCATGTGAATTTATACCTAAAGTAATTAATTTCTTGCCTCTATAGATAAATATTGTTGAACTTTTAAACTACTTTTTCCTAGTTTTGTATTTATAAAATGTTTGTGTTCTTCTCTTCACTTTAGCTGGTAGCATTTAGTAAAATTAATAATTTAAGTGAAGCTATTTGTTTTCTTTGTGCAGATTAACATTAGAAGTACGCCTTATTCTTTTTTTTAAGTATGCCTTATTCTTTTCATCATATTGACAATTTAGAAAATTTTATCATATAACTTGTAATTAAGATCCTTAGGATGTATACATTTAAGATTTAAGGTAATTTTAAACCAGTTTAAATAAATCCTTAAATGTTGTAAGAATAGCACATTCATTCTAGTCTTTTGATGTCTTATCTTTTTAAAATACAGTATTATAGATTTTAAAAACCAATTTGTGTAAAAAAAAAAAAGATTTTTAAAAAGCTCCTGTTATATCAAAGTGGTCTGTATACATACTTATGACAGGCCTTGAGTGCTCAGTACATCTTGCTTTTGTTAATTAGAAAAATGTAAATAACATGGAAAAATGTATGATACATGCTTTAAATGACACATCAAGCTTGCAAATTATTATAAAATGTTGATCACTATTTTCTATATTGATTTAGTATTAGCATTAAAAACTGTTTAGAAATTTTAATACTTCTTTATCCACAAGACAGTAATACTGATTTTCATCTCACTTTTAATATTAACAAAATGATGATTATGTTATCCATCTTAAAAATTGAAGTATGTTTTGAATTATTAATATGTAAGTCTTATGTTACATAATGCTCTTAAATTGATGAAATTTTACTATCCTTGTCAACTTTAATTTTATAAAGTTAATTTTATTTATCATTGAGCAAAGTACAGTTTTGATGGCACTTTTGCTAGATTAAGGAACATCTCTATGATGAAAATGTCCTGGCCCTTTTATGATAACTTTGATGAGAGATTTTTGTTGCCAAACAGCTTATTTGTTTGATTTCAGCCAATTCCTTTCAAAACTTCTGCTCAGATTTTTTTTCTATTGTATAAAGTTATAGGCAATTTTGCCTTAGCTAATCACTGTCACCATTTAAATTTTTAAATTTTACTTTCCTATCATTTTCAGTAACTATATGCAAATGATCCTTTGCTTGTAATTATATAGAAACTGGAGTTAAAATATATAGTGTACTTACCATACCTGCTAAAAATATGTAACCCGTAGTAAAATCTCTGCTTTTGTATATTTGTCTGTTTATTTGTTTTTCTGTTCCTTGAATTTTATCTTATTTTAGATAAAATTTATTTTTAAAGCCATTGCAAAGGAAAGTTAAGTTTTACACCATCATATACATTTGTTTTTTGACAGATAATTTGAAAAATTGGGACTGTATTCATTCTTGGTGTTTTCACATGTTAACTCCATGAACATGAATTAGGACAAACATGAGGTGAAGTCTGGTCATTGTCCCTGGCATACTGGAATGGGCTAAGTCATTTCTTTTCTTTGCCACTTACTTGCAATCCAACCTTGGAATTATTCGAAATGCTGTGCTCATTAGACTAATTTAGTGGTTTTCCAGTGTGCACATCAGCCCTCAGGATGTGCTAGCACTGCCACAGGAACGAGCCAAGCAGGGCAGGGGTGCTCTAGACTGTGCAGCTTTTTGGGCTTTTGCCACTGTTTCAAACACAGAAGCCTTTTTTGCCTTCCTTTCTTATGCAGCGTTGAATTTGATTTCCTTTGAGAAAGATCCATTGGCTTAAAAGACAGATAGAAAGAAAACCACTTTAAATAGAAGATTTATAAGTTTAGCTAATTTGATTCCTATTATTGTTGTTGTTGTTTTTTAATTATAGAAGCAATTCAAGTACATGTTCCCTTCTCGTAACCTCTTGGTTGACGCCTTAGAGGCAATTATTGGTAACTGTTTAATTTCAGTTACTCTGGTGGTTATAAATTTTACTTTGGATAAAACATTTTGCTTTATTTATTAATTTAAGTTGATATCAGTTGACCTCAATTCAAGGAAAAATTATTCATCGATTGTGTAAGTGCTATTTGAGGGTCTCGTTTAGCCCAGAATAATCAGTATAACAGGCTTTTGTCTACATACGTACATATGTTCAGTTCAGAAGCAGTGTGAAAGATTTGAAAGGCTCAGCCCTTATTGCAGTATTAGAATCAAGGATTGTACAATATGTTAGACTCTTGTTATAAATATATTTTATAAAATTAAGATTCAAATGAGTGGTCAACACTAGGACCATGTCTGTGCTCTCACTCTTCCAGTTAACCCATCTCAGGCTTCCTCTGTGCTAATTATGATTTTGTTTTACTGAGAAACTTTGGAGTGAGCAGTGTAGCCATTTATAGTCTTCAGTGCTTTCTGATCTAGGCTTGATGTTGCTTCCAACTTTTTAGCGACTACACATGGTAGTTTTAGCTTTAGAAGTTGGCAGACGAGGCCGGGCGCGGTGGCTCACGCCTGTAATCCCAGCACTTTGGGAGGCTGAGGCGGGCTTATCACGAGGTCAGGAGATCAAGACCATCCTGGCTAACACGGTGAAACCCCATCTCTACTAAAAATACAAAAAAAATTAGCCGGGCACGGTGGCGGGCACCTGTAGTCCCAGCTACTTGGGAGGCTGAGGCAGGAGAATGGCATGAACCCAGGAGGCAGAGCTTGCAGTGAGCCGAGATCGCACCACTGCACTCCAGCCTGGGTGTCTCAAAAAAATAAATAAATAAATAAATAAAAATAAAAGAAGTTGGCAGACTAAATCTCAAAGCAGAGTTTGACCATAGCTAGAAGAAACTGAGAAGTATTTGGCATTTATATTTGCTTGCTCTTTCTTATGTGATGTTGTAAAAGGAACACCATGTAGTAAAGAAAGGTTAAGATGATTATAGAATAAAAAGACAAGGTGAAACAGTACTCTAGCAGAGGCATTCCTGAGAGTTTACCTCTCTTTTTTATCCTTTTACCATCAACACTTGAATGTGTTGTTTCATGGAATCATCCAAGTAGAAATGTCTTCACTCTAGCCCTCCATTCCCTTTTACCTACAGGCAGAAGTCACTTACATAAATGCTATATAAGCACCATTTTATGATGAATTAAGGGCCATTTTACCTTGAAGTAAAGAATTTGCCAGTAGGAAAAAGTGTCACTAAAACAATGTATCGACATAAAAGTTAAATTTATAATTAAAAAAACCTGCCTGTAATACCGAATTCATTTAAATCCAGCAGTTTTCTCTCAGATACTAAGAGAAAATGTGAAAAATAATACTGTGATGCTTTATACTTAATGGCTTATCATTTTTGCTGTACTTTCTTTTCTTCTTTGTTTTCCTTTTTTGGGATAGAGTCTGTCTCTGTCACCCAGGCTGGGGTGCAGTGGTGCGTTCTTGGCTCACTGCAACCTCTTGCCTCCTGGGTTGAAGCGATTCGTCTGCCTCAACCTCCCAAGTAGGTGGAATTACAGACATGTGCCACCACACCCAGCT
Organism: Homo sapiens; assembly: GCF_000001405.40. NCBI lineage: Eukaryota > Metazoa > Chordata > Mammalia > Primates > Hominidae > Homo > Homo sapiens. Next base: position 78,212,132 of record NC_000005.10, on the reverse strand, counting down.
AACTTTTGTATTTTTAGTAGAGATGGGGTTTCGGCATGTTGGCCAGGCTGGTGTTGAACTCCTGACCTCAAGTGATCTGCCCTCGGCAGCCTCCCAAAGTGCTGGGATTACAGGCGTGAGCCACCATGCCTGGCCTGTACTTTCTTACATAGTATTCCATTTGCCATAGGGCAATCAGAATTATTATACCCATTTTATATATGAAGAAATTGATATATACAGATTTTAGCAAGTCACTTAAGACAATATTAATTATAAAAGGTGGAGCAGAAATATAAACAGAATTATCTGATGCCCAGGCCAGCATTATTGCCTTTATATTTTGTTACCCTGTGACTTGTAAATTAAAATAATTTCTTAGTTACCTTAATAAGTTTTCTGTGTTTGTTTATTGTGTTCCGGTCAAAACCAGCTTTGAGGCTCCCAATCCATAGTGCTCAGACATGCAATTAGCTAACAACCATAATTAAATTTGCTCTCAAAGAGAAAAATCATGTTTCCTATTGAATTTTTGCAAACATTTGTTTACGTTAATATGCTTGAAGTGTGGCAAAATTGTTTTTTGTTGAGGAATCGAAAATTCGTAGATACACTTTTTGAGATGAGCTGATGTACATGCTTTTGTCAATAAGTTCTCAAATGAACACATCATATACAAACAAGCTTCTTCAGGGGCAGAAGAGATTTTTAATTTAGTTTATTTGCATCATTATAGATCAGTATTTAGGCTGTTTATATGTAAATGTATGATTTGAGGAACAATTAAGTGTTGACAAAGTAGATTGCAGTCATATCAATTGCAGTGCATTTTCCATAATTTTTCTAACTGACATCTTTGATGATAAATAGTGGATGTCAAGTCAAAGCTGATTATACAGTGCACTAGGAATTCATGGGGCTGTCAGGGAGAAGACCGATTGACTTTAAATTTACATATTAATGAGAAGATTTGTTAAGAGGGTGCTTGACTATAGAAAATAACGGCGTATTTATAGGGCACGACATTTTATAAATAAAGCTGATGCAGGAAAATGGAAATTAAACCTTTTAGGTTAATAAATTCAAGAGACTGCTAAAATGCACATTTGCATTTTTATTTTCTTAAATTTACCTTACTCTTTGCAGTCCATGTGGGTTGTTTTTTATTCTAGGTCAAGTTTGTATAATTTTCAAGGATATAAAATTGTTTAAGTATTTTATTTGTCATTCAAGCCTATTATGGGAGATTTCTTGAAGCATAAACCTAGATCTCTAAGACTAAAGTTGCTTTTGTAAAATTAATCGATTTAAAAAAATAAATATTATAAAACACAGAGTAAATTTTAAGAGTGATTTAAAATAAAAACCAACATCTGTTAGTGGCATCAATTGTAAACTGAAAGGAAACTCTGACACTGGGGCCTGCTAGGAATGTTTTTAATTGCATGAATCTAGCTTTTTACAACTGAACTTTCTCTGGGAGATGAGAGGTTTTCAAGAATTATCAAAATATTTTACTTCAGTGATTTGGAAGTTAAAACTCTAAATATTTACCATTATTTTTTAGAATATGAATCCGGGTTATGTAATTCTGGTGGCAGTATTTATGCCAGTTTAAAATTTGGAGTAATTAATTTTGTCTCTCTCTGTATATCTGTACATCAATTATAAAACCTTACATAAGTTTAACAAAGTCCAAATTTAGAATTTTGTTTAAAGTATTTTTAAGGTAAGTTCTTAAGTTTTTCAGTGGTAGCCATAAAATAACTTATCAAAATCCAAAATTTATAAATGTAGTTTTTTGATGAGCAATTTTCTGTAGGTACAGAGGTACTTCAGGGAAGTACTTCATGAACTCCACATCCAGATCCTGTCTTAACGGACCAAAATGTTAGAGATTATTGAGTTTTAATTTTCTTTACTGATTAATTTTCTTTGTTAAAACAAATTTTGTCATGTGTCTTACCAATGGACTATAGATCCACGATTCTGTGGAATTTATTAAAAAAACAAAATACTGAGAAGTTGTGGTAGAATACATTCTTTACAATGCAATAAGAGCAGTTTTTTGTGCACTGTTTTAAGTAACTGTTGACAAAGGGTTCAACATATAATTTAAGGTGAAACTAAGGACCATGATCTAATATTGAAATAATGTCTCCTCTCTTCCCATTGGTTATGAAGCATTTATCGTAAAGATTCCGTATTCTTTTTGTTGTTTATAATTTATTCCTATTGATTGGAATTTTTTTTAACTCATGAAGTTTTCTTTTTTAAAAAAGAAAACTTTAAATTTTACCAAGGAACATATGCATGGTTTAAAAGAAAGAAAATGAATAGTACTACAAGGCTTATGAGAAACATTTTTCTGAGTGACCCTTCTCAATGTCTGAATTAGCTTCCTCAGTTCTTTTCCCTTCTGTGTGTGAGCTCAAAAGTATCTGAGCCAGGTCTCAATCAATTTAGAAAGTTTATTTTGCCAGAGTTAGGGATGCACCTGTGACATGTGCAGCCTCAGGTGGTCCTGATGACATGTGCCCATGGTTGCTATAGCTTGCTTTTATACATTTTAGGGAGGCATAATACATTAGTCAATACCTGTAAGATGCACATTGGTTCAATCTGGAAAGGCAGGACAACTTGAAGACGGGGCTTCTAGGTCATAGATGGATTTAAAGATTTCTGATTGGCAATTAATTGAAAGTTAAGTTGTTATCTGAAGACCTGGAATCAATAGAACGGAAATGTCTGGATTATGATAAGGGGTTGTGGTGACTAAAGTTTTATCTTGCAGATAAAGCCTCCAGGTAGTAGGCTTCAGACAGAATAGATTATAAATGTTTATCAGACTTAAGGTCTATGTTGATGTTAATGCTGGTTGGCTTTTCCTGAATTCCAAAAGGGAGGAGGGTGTAATGAGGCATGTCTGACCCACCCTTCCTATCATGGTCTGAACTAGTTTTTCAGGTTAACTTTGGAATGCCCTTGGTCGTGAGAAGGGGTCCCTTCAGGTGGTTGTGGGGTAAGAATTTTATTTTTGGTGTGTGTGTGTGTGTGTATTTACCTTTCTCCATTTCTAGGTAATAGACATATATTGCTATTTCTTGATTTATCAATTTTAGGCATTATGTATTGACTTCCTATTATAGAAATGGAGAATTTGTCATTCTTCTATTACCTTATGCTTCTGCTTACCTCTTTCATCTTTGGAATATATATATTAGAATTTTTTCAATCCATAGGTGTTCATTTTCCTATGATTTATGAATATTATTCAGCTGTATAATAGCATTTCATCTCTTGTGGAACTTTTGGTTCTTTTTGGAATCAAAAATTGCTTCATTTTAAATTTGCTTACTTTATCATGTCACTATATGAAGCATTCCAAGTTCTCCATTGGAATATTAAATATTCTCCAAATATTATTTTATGTGCAGTTGTTGTGATACTTCTTGTCTACCCAATGTCAGTTCTACCCCTCCCACTTATTTAAATAACAGGATCCTGATTTTGTTCAGAGTAGTTATATGCCTAATGAAAAATAATCAACATACTAAATTCCTTTAGAGTCAGAAATGGGTCCACATCTGGAAATTGGGATTCTGGGGAAGCTATTGTTTTTCTGACAGACTTATTTGACATATGTATATTTTACCCTTTGCCCTTTCTCATGATTCCTTCCCAGAATGCATGTGTGATGATTAGAGGTGCAGTAGTCATGTTACAAGCATAAGGATAAAACTATATTCTGGGGGTGGGCAGAGCTGAAAAACAAAGTGTTTGGGGCAACTTTTCATTTTATGGAGCTACCTAACTAGATATTTCTGTTATATATAGCTGAACACAGTTCTGACTAGTACAGTTGTCAAGTATATCAAGTATTTCAACAGCTTCATTTTCTTCCCAGGAGATATGTTCCTGGAGTCTTCACCCTCTGTTCTAATCTGATTGCTTACTAGGCCTGCACAGTTCCAATCTGTTTTTCTAGAACTTAATTTCATGTCTCTTCTGTGTTGAATCCTATTTCTTAGGCTTTCTTCTTCTCTCTCTCTTTCTCTCTCTGTCTCTCTGTCTCTGTCTCTGTCTGTCTCTCTCCTTTCTTTTGGTTTTCCTGGCTTTGGAGCATATCCTCCAATGTTTTCTTAAGAGTGGGTAGATGGGAGATAAAATTTTGAGACTTTCAGTGTCACTCTCACACTTGATTGATATTTTACCTGGGCTCTTGGATTAGTATTCTCTTAGGCCTTGTGCATTTGAAAATGGTTTATTGTTTCTTGTATATTTGACATCTTGCTGGTTATGGTACTGTTGGGACACACCCTTTTCTTCTTTTGAGAACTCTGTAGACATTACTTAATTTTCTTCTGCAATGAATTTTGCTGTGAAGAAATCTGAAGATAGCCAAAGATTTTTCTCCTTTGCAGGTGACTTGATTTTTTTTTTCTGCATGCTAAAAAAACCTGTTTAAAAAGTCTTTGAGAATTAATCAGGTTACATCTCAACGTGAGTTATTCCATATGATCTCCAGGTTCACTTCTTCCTTTTATTTTAGGGAATTTTCTTTTCTTTTTGTAATTTTAAAAATTCGATGTTTACATTTTTTTTCTGCTTCATTTGTAAGTTATATACTTGAGGAATACCCGTTATTCTGTTTTATAATCTTTGTCTACCATGTCCATCATATTTTTAGAAAATTTCTTTAATGTTTGTCCTTTTTTCTTTTTTTTGAGACAGGATCTCACTCTGTCACCCAGGCTTGAGTACACTGGTGTGATTACAGTTCATTGCAGCTTCGCCCTTCCAGGCTCAAGTGATTTTCCTGCCTGAGCCTCCTGAGTAGCTGGGACCACAGGTGTGTGCCATCATACTTGATAATTTTTTTTTTTTTTTTTTTTTGACACTGAGTCTCGTTCTGTCACCCAAGGTGGAGTACAGTGGCACGATCTTGGCTCACTGCAATCTCCGCCTCCCGGATGCAAATGATTCTCCTGCCTCAGCCTCCCAAGTAGCTGGGATTACAGGTGCCTGCCACCACACCTGCCTAATTTTTGTGTTTCTGGTAGAGACGGGGTTTCACCATGTTGGCCAGGTTGGTTTCGAACTCCTGACTTCATGTGATCCACCCGCCTCAGCCTCCCAAAGTGCTGGGATTACACATGTGAGCCACCGTGCCTGGCCTAATTTTTGTATTTTTTATAAACACAGGATTTCGCCATGTTGGCTAGGCTGATCTTGAACTCTGGGGCTCATGTGATCCTCCTGCCTTGACCTCCCAAAGTGCTGGGATTACAGGCGTGAGCCACTATGCTAGGCCACATTTTTGTCTTTTTGATTGCATTTATATTATTTCAAGTTGTTTCATTGTCAGTAATTTGATTTTCAATGGTCTAATCTTTTTTTTCAGTTTTTATTTTTAATTCCGTAAATGTAGTAACACCATTGCTTTGATCTGTTGTTTACTTACTCAGTTTGAATTTCATATTTCCTTTATTCTATAGTTTATCATCTTATCTTTGAACTTCTGTTTGATTGATTTCGTGTTCTTAGTAACGTGTTGAGTGATATGCTTTTGACACTTACATATAGTCCGTTATATATGTGAGGAGTGTGGTCAGGGAGAAAGATCCTTCTTCCTCCTTGCCCTACTGGCTGTTGGAGGTAATCAACAGTCTCTACCACATTCTCCATAATAACCTAAAAAATTTTTGAAGACACTATGATTTGGAAAGAATAATTGTTTCATCTGTTAAGATATATACTATTCATGTATATATATGTGGTATAAATATTAGATTAAAATGAAGTGTTCTGACAAAATTTTTTTATCTCAGGAGTACACCTCCTGTTCCCTCTAGATTTTGAAATGGTCTATTTTAGTTTGATCACAATGTAGTATATTTTAATTCATTAAAATAGATGTCTGGTAGGTGAGGAAGGCCTGATACATTGTAGGTTGGAAGCTCTTAATTAATTTATAAGTGAAATAATGGACCTTTTCTCATTCTCATTTATTAGGAAATACTTCAGGCTGTGTCATCTAAGTTGCTGATTCATTCCAATTTTTAAAATTTGTTGTGGAAATGTTCACATTAAAAAAAATCAGCTCATACTGACCTTTGTGAAACGCTTTAAAGAACTCTGTTAAAAAATGTTAGTTAAAAATAAGTTTTCTTGGGTTGATGTCCTTCAGAAACACCAATTTTTCTTAGATAAGTAACTTCATACATTTTCATATAAAGTACATAGAAAAACCATTCCTAGTATAGTAGAGCTATATTCTGAAAAAAAAAAATTTTTTTAGACAAAATAAATCCCCTTTCCTCTTCACCCTCCATCCCCATGATTCTGTGTATGTCCTGCTGAAAATTCATGTACTTGTCTAGCATGGGGCTTATAGTATGCTGTATGTAAGCACTAGGTAATGGTGCTGGTTAGTTATCCATTTGACATGCTGACCATTTTCTAATTTGAACAGTTCTAGCCATGTTGTTGGAATTAAAAATTTAGGGCCAGACATTGACCTTTGCTTTTTTAACATTTCCTTTAGTGGTTAGCTACTGCCTTCCTCAACCCAGTGGAGACCTTGACAGATTCCCTATTACAAATAATTGCTTCCAGAGCTAGTTGTTATTCCTGTTAATTTATTTAGGGGCCAGTAAAGTTTAGTGCCTATATATATAAAAATATATATTTGTGTGCGTGTGTGTGTGTATATATATATGTATATATATATGATTCCATCTTTAAAATAATGTATTTATTGATTTAATGATTTAGTTTTTATTTTTATACATTCAGCTTACTTAGTAAAAGGCAAAAGATTTATACAGTCTGAAGAGAAACCAGAGCATGAGCTTACTTAGAATATAAAATCTCTTTAGTGAGTTTATATTAGCACTTTCTCTCACTTTCTGTTTCCTAAACATCCTTTTTGTGTGACTAGCCTTATTTTTGCATTTCTTATAATTTTAAAAATTGTATCTTTATGTCGTATATTGTTAGTGAACTTTTATTACTGTTTTATGTCATTTTGGGTTTCCTAAATTTTCAAGTTTTTCACTGTAAGTCACAGTTCCAAGAGAAACAGATAAGTTGTTTCTAATCCATATTTTCCCCAACATTTTATTTTAAGAATTTTGCAAATGGAAAGTGATATCAGTAAAAATGGCAGAGTAGAGAACTCCCAAGAGCTTGTTGCTCCACAGAGATACAAGAAAATCTGTAAAAACAGTCCAATCAGCTTTTTGAATTCAGAAAATAGTCAAAGGTTTACAGCAACCATTCAAACATTTAAGAAAATGGGGCCTGAAACTCAGGAGAAAAGATTTGTGGCATTTAAACTTACCCTCACTCTATCCTCCCTTCTCTGCCTCAGTGACAGGGGCTGGATGGAACAGAGTAGATTCTGTTCGCAAAGAGGTGTGATTATTTGTTTTGACCTGCCTGGAGGATCCCTAATGCAAGGGACATGCCTTTATTTTGCTGAAATCATAACTCCCTCAGAACAAATTATCTACTAATGCCCCTTGGGGCAATAGATATCAATGGGAGTAAACAATGGACATGCCAAGAAGCCTGGAACAAAAGGCTGGAGGATGGAATGCTTTGGGGAATAAGGGAGTTGAGAAGCTCCTGTGGATAATATGGGATCTAGAAAGTCCATTTCATGCGTAGGGTTAGACACCTACTCAGAAAAGATCTGATAAGAACCTAAGCTTTTATGTCAGACTGACCTTCAAGCTCTGCAGAAGAGGAAGTGATGGCTAAGGCAAATTTTTAAATGGCCCAGCTAAGTTTTAGGCAAACTGCAAGCTAACAAAACAGTAAACACTTCCATGACCACATGCAACAAAGAATGTACTCTTTTCAGAAATAGCTTAGAAACGACTGTAAACAAACAAACAAAAACCTGATAGGCAGCAACAATAATCCCTGGGGAGGAGTTAGAATCTGAGTTAGTTACCACATTATAATATTCAAAATGTCTAGTTTTTAGCAGAAAACGATGAGGAATGTAAAGAAACCCATAAATTTGTTCCATCCACAAGAAAAAAAGAAAGTAATGGAAACTGTACTCAAGGAAGTCCAGACATTGGATTTGCTAGCCCAAGGGTTTTAAATCACCATGTTAAATATGCTGAAACAGCTAAATGAAACCAGGAAAACAATGACTCTCCAAGTAGAGAGTATCAGTATGTATAGAGAAATGATGCAAAGAAACCAACTAGAAATACTAGAGGGAAAACGTATAATAACTTAAATGAAGTATTCACAAGTAGCAATCAACAGCAGATTTGAACAGGCAGAAAATGAATGGGTGAACTTAAGTCAATTGAGATTATCTAGTCTAGGGAGTAGAAAGTCAAAAAGCATGAAGATGAACAGAGCTCAAGAGACTTAAGAGGCCTGTGTGATGACATCAAGTGCACCAACACACATAATACATATTCCAGGAGGAAAGGAGAGAGAGAAAGGGGCAAATAGAATGGCTGAAGAAAAAAATGGCTGAAAACTTCCCAATTTGATGACACACTAATCAACACATTCAGGAAGCTCATCAGAATCTAAGTAGGAGAAATTCTGAATGCACACCAAGACACATGATATGGTTTGGGTCTGTGTCCCCCCCATATCTCACCTTGAACTGTAATAATCCCCACATGTCAAGAGTGGGACCAGGTGGAGATAATTGAATCATGGGGGGCAGTTTTCCCCCTACTGTTCTCATGATAGTGAGTGAGTTTCACAAGATCTGATGGTTTTATAAGGGGCTTTCCCCTTCACTCTATTCTCATTCTCTCTCCTGCTACCCTGTTAAGAGGTGCCTTCCTCCATGATTGTAAGTTTCCTGAGGCCTCCCCAGCTATGCTGAACCGTGAGTCAATTAAACCTCTTTTCTTTATAAATTATCCAGTCTTGGGTATTTCTTAATAGTAGTGTGAGAATGGACTAATACAGCACATAAAGATCACATTTTCAAAAGCTAAGGACAAAAAGAGAATCTTGAGAGCAGCAAGAGAAGTGACTCATTATTTACAAGGTTTCCTCAATAAGATCAACAGCTAGTTTCTCATTAGAAACCATGGGGCCAGAAGGTAGTTGAAGAACCATGTTTGAAGTGTTGAAAGAAACAAAAAAGTCAACAAGTAAGTTCTTCTTTGGCAAAACTTTCCTTCAAAAATGGAGAAATCGGTACATGCCTGTATTGGTATAAACAGTCCAATGTTTTAGATGCATTTCAAAGTAAGATGCAGACATCAGTACACATTACACCTAAACACTTCAGTATGTATATCATTAATTAGAATTCAATATTTGTTTATGATTATTTTCCTTTTGTTGACATAAAATTTTCACAGTGAAATGCACAAATTTTAGAGTTTTGATAATTGCATGTATGTTAGTAACACACACAAACCCTTTTCATTATATGAAGTATTACTGTTGTGCTTCCAAGTTAGTTGTTTGCCCTCAGATGCAAGTATTGTTTTAATTTTTTTCATTATAGTGTTGTATTCAAAAAGTAAAGGATTTGAGGTATTACCATACTCCTGCATTTATACACACACACACACACACACACACACACACACACACACACTGAATATATGGCATATGTTTAGTGTATGTACACACACAAAAGCAGAAACACTGATGTGTGGATCAGAGAAGAGACTTTTTATTTACTCATGGTTATCTTAGTGTCACTTTCCTGCACTTCAGTTCCCCATGAGGGTGATGTTATGAGGGTTAGTGCCATCTGTATATCTTGGGGGATGGGGAGTTGTAATACAGGAGAGGAGCTCCTCCTAAATAAATGAATCTCAGAATTTATATAGGATTGTGTATTAGTCCATTTTCATGCTGCCAATAAAGACATCCCTGAGACTGGGCAATTTACAAAAGAAAAAGGTTTATTGGACTTACAGTTCTACGTGGCTGGGGAGGCCTTACAATCATGGTGGAAGGTGAAAGGCACGTCTCACATGGTGGCAGACAAGAGAAGAGAGAGCTTGTGCAGGGAAACTCCCCTTTTTAGAACCATCAGATCTTATAAGACTTATTCACGAACATAGCACGGGAAAGACTTACCCCCATGATTCAATTACCTCCCACTGGGTTCCTCCCACGACACATGGCAATTGTGGGAGTTAACAGTTGAAGATGAGATTTGGGTGGGGGCACAGCCAAACCATATCAGACTGTATACATCTCAGAGCTTATATAGGACTGCTTTTGCATCGCTCCTCCTCCCCTGTGTAGAGAGAGGGATAGTTACCTTATCTTTCTAATGTAAACACATTTTTTCTGGGGAGAGGAGGACAACGTCTCTTTTTCCATTACCCTGTGGAATTTAAATGATGGAAGATAAACCCATACATCTCCTTGGATGTCTCTCTGTCTGTCTTTAACTTCCAAGACTCATTTGCCATTTACTCGTCTGTTAATCCAGGTTGCCAGCACTCTTTGCTCAGGAAGTCCTGATCATGCAAAAACATGAATATAATCATGGAACATTGTTTACTGATAACAAAGATTAATTTAACTTGTTGTAGAGCTTAATATAATTAGAGTCATATTGTATTCTTTTTGGTACATCTTCCTTTACTCAGCATAATATTTTGGAGATTGATCCACATTGTATTAGTAGTTCATTTTTAGCATCTTCAAAATAATATTTTCAGTGTTATTTTGCTGAATAATAGTCTATTGTATGAATATTCCATAGTTTATCCATTCTCATATTAATAAATACTGGGCTATTTCCAGTGTTTTGCCTATTGTAATAAATCTGTTAGGAACATTCTTGCACAAATCTTTTTATGTTTTTGTATATGTTGGGTCAATACCTAGATATAGAATTATTGGATCATAAGGTGGATATATTTTGGTTCCGCAAGAACCTGTCAGTCTTTTTCCCAAAGTAGTTGTATTATTGTTTTAGTTTGCTACAGTTGCCATGACAAAATACCACAGATTGGGTGGCTTAAACAACAGAAATTTATTTTCTCACAGTTCTGATATCTAGAAGTGCAAGATCTCAAGGTGTTGGCAGGTTTGGTTTCTCTTGAGGCCTCTGTCCTTTGCTTACAGGTGGCCATCTTCTCACTGTGTCCGCATATTCCTAGGGTTTTCCTGAGTATCCAGATTTCCTTCTTTTATTAGGACACTAGTCACATTGTATTAGGGCCCACCCTAATGGCCTCATTTTAATGTAAACACCTCTTTAAAGGCCCTGTCTCCAAATATAGTCATATTTGGAGGTTAAGGCTTCAACATAAGAATTTAGGGTTGGGGGGCACAGTTTGGCCCATAACAACCAAGCTGTAAACCTTACAGTGACATATGGAGATTTTGTTTGCTCCACATCCTCACCAACATTTGGTAACGTTAATGTTATTCATTTTGGCCATTCTGTTGGGTTTTCTGATATTTTAAAATGAGTTCTCTTAGTGGTATTCTAATAAAGAATTATTCAATACTTTTTTGTTGTTGTTTTTAATGAGGCAGGGTCTCTGTTGCCCAGGTTGGGGTGCAGTAATGCCATCTCACTGCTGCCTCAACCTCCCAGGACCAAGTGATCCTCCTATCTCAGTCTCCCAAGTAGCTAGGACTACAGGCACACACTGCCATGCCTGGCTAATTTTTTGTCTTTTTAGTAGAGATGGGGTTTCACCATGTTGCTCAGGCTGGTCTTGAACTCCAGAGCTCAAGTGATTCGCCTGCCTCAGCCTCCCAAAGTGCTGGGATTACAGAATAACTATTTAATTCTGAGATGGTTTGAGGTTAGAAAACTTAGTCCTTTTATCCTCAAAAACCATAACTAGATAATTGAAGGGTTAGAAAAAAATCAAAAATCAAGGTTGGAGCCTCCTTGAACCCTTCTGTTACACACCCATTCCCCTTGTCCCCCCTCCCCCTGCTTGGCAGTCACAGATTGCACCCATTTATGTTTGAATGATGACTCCTGTACACCCATGGAGCTGTCATCTTTGCCTCCAGTGCCACAGGTGTTTGTGTAAGCATATGTTTTCATTTCTGTAGGGTTCTATAGTAAGCATGTTCCCTTCCCCGTCTTACCTCCAGTGGTTACTCTCCAAAGGCAAACAGATCTCTTTTGGCTTTGTCTTCTACTGGTTATCTTCATATTTTAAAAAATAACTTGTTTATATGATTTTTTTCCCCAGTGACTCAGTGTATCCTATAATTTAGATACAAGAATATTTTGGAAATAATGAAGAATAAATAGTCCCTTTTTGAAACTTTATATAAAAACCTTTTATATTCCAATTATTTCTGTTTTTTCTTTTTTAAAATGTTAAGTTGGTGTTTTGTGGAGATCTAGTTTTCTACCCTCCCTTTACCTAGAATATAAGTTTTTTTCCTGTTTTATGTATTAAGAGTTCTTCATAGTATTAAACAAAAGGAACTTTTAATTAATCGCCCTCCTTCTTAGGTTGTCCACAAATATTGTAAAACCTCTGCTTTAACCCATTTGTTTTTATGCCCTAGAGGAGAATTAAACATCAGTTTCAATTCAACACACATTTACTTTCCTGTCTCTAATATAAACTTTTTATTTTAGAGATTAAGGTATGGAGAGAATGAATACATGAGGAATCATGATTAGTTCTACTTAGGATCATTGTAATTTTGTTTCATAATTTATGATCAAATGAAAACTACTCTAAAATGAATTTTGCTTAACAAAAAATGTTTCTATTTTCTTCCCCATCACTGGATCTACATTATTTAGTTTTTAAATAAGTAGGACCCTTATTTCTCATGTCTTGAAACCCTTAGACCTAAGTTCAACATGTTTCATGAGCATATTTTATTTCAGAAAATTTGAAAAATGCTTTATTATAGATCCTCTAGATTTCTCAGTACAAAGTTTGGAAACTGCTGCATTCAGAAAGCTTGTTTCTTACATACTAGAGCTGAATCTAGTCATAAGAAATGAGATGTGTTGTGGGCAATTGAACACTGAAGTTTCATAGTGGCTCAACACAAAGTTACTGTGCACAGGTGTTTCTATAATTGTGATGTATTGGGGGAGATTCAGTGTTCAATGGTCCTCAAACCCACACTTCCACCTGTGTAGTATAGTGGTCACTGGGCTGTGATATAAAACATGTAAAGTGTATAGCATAGCAGTTTCTTCACAGAAGGAAAAAAAATCTCAAACCAGTATGCATATCCTTTGTTGTTTTACATAGACACAAATTTTGGGGAAGGAGACTTTTTCTTCTTTGTGAAAAATACTAAATTAAAAGTTTTATTAAACGTGAATTTTTTTCCAGTGAATTATCTCTAATAATGTATTCTCTTCCTGCTTAGTAACTAATTTGACTGAGTGATTATTATATTAGTTACCACCTACCCACCCTGGTCTTGTCAGGTACATCTAACCTAATGTCAGAGAGATGTAACACAATATACTGCTGTGGTATGTGCTATGGACTGAATGTTTGCATCCCCTCTGAGTGCATATTTGAAGACTTAGCCCCAGGGTGATGATATTTAGAGATGGATAAAAGTTGGTATTCTTAAAGGCAATGCCTCAGGTTACTTTAGCTTTTGGGAGGTAATGAAGTTTAGAGGAAGTCATGAGAGTGGGGACCTCATAATGGGATTAGTGCCCTTCTAAGAAGCTTGCTTCCTCTCTTCCACCATATGAGGTAGCTGTCCACACACCAGGAGGAGGGCCTTCACCATGAATTGAATCACCTGCCCCTTGATCTTGGACTTTTCAGCCCCGAGAACTGTGAGAAATAAATGTCTCTTGTTTCAGGCACCTACCCTGTGGTATTTTGTTATAACAGCCTGAGTTGACTAGTGCAGTGTCTTAGATTATGTGGGAATGTCATGATGTGTTAAAGTCACTTTTAAACATTTTGCAAGAGTCTCAGGCCACAGCAGGTTGCAGAGATTGTTTCATCCTGGTGTAAATCTTGAGATGGCACTAGCACCCTTCAGGCTGCCTTGGAATTCAGAAGGCAAGTGGGTATATTCAGTGTCTTTTATGTGACTACTCTAAATGCCAAGGTAATAAAGGTGAGAGGTGACAGGATAAAGAATAATAATTCCCGAGTTCAAATCCTGGCTCTACCATTTTTAATCTCTGTGACTATTGATAATTTATGTAAATTGTGTGCACCTCAGTTCTTTCATCTGTGAAAAAGATAGTAAATACCTGCTTTGTTTACCACATGGGGTGGTTCTCAGGTTTCAAAGAGGTATTTGTGCAAGTGTTTTATTAATACTAGAAGTTTCTTAAGCTGAAGTTGTTTTTTATTTCTACTAAGTCCATTGTTACTGCTCACATGATACAAAAGTAGATATTTTTCAGGAATGTTTGATTCCTTTATCAATTTTTATACATAAAAATATTTTGCTGTAGGCAGTTTTAACTGTCATTAATTTCATTTTTTATTTTTCTATTATTCCTTATGAACTGACAAAAGATCATAGTTTGTGTTTATTTCTTAGGAAATCCATTCAGATAAAATAAGTCTCCCTGTATCTTAAGATCTCTTTGAAAAGTAAATATTACCCTCAGCACCCAAAATTGTGGGTTCAGTTACTGACTTATTACTATTTTTGTGAACATTTATGTTTAGAGCTTCAGATACAAAATATGTAGAAAGTACTACTACTTAAGTATAATTTCACACTTTTCTTTATTCCATGAGCCTGTGGAATAGTACCTTAAGAGTATATAAACCATGCCTTTTCCAAAATATACTTCATGGAGTTATTTTTTGCCTTCATAAAGCTTATATGTAATGTAACAACGTTTGTCTCTTCTGAAAGTGAATGTTTTAGAGCAAAGTGAAAAGCTATATTTTATTCTGATTTTTTTTTTCACTAGCATTAGGGTGGTTGGTAAACATAGCAGAGAGAGACCTATTTTTATATAAGATAGGTTCAGATATATTAAACTCACTGCTTTCTTAAAAATAAAAATAAGCTTTATTTTTTGGAGCAGTTATAAGTTTACGGTAAAACTTAGTTGAAGGTGCAGGGATTTCTTATATATCCTCTACCTCCACACATGCAAAACATCCCCCACCATCAACATTTTACATTACGATCAATGAATTTACATTAATATTGTTGTCACCCAAAGTCCACAGTTTACATTAGGGTTCATCCTTGGTGTTGTACATTCTTCGGATTTTGTCTGATATATGATAACATGAATACACCATTGTGTTTTATCATACACAATAGTTTTGCTGCCCTAAAAATTCTCTATGCTCTACTTGTTCATCCCTCCCTCCCCACCAGCTCCTGGCAGTCACTAGTCTTTTTAATGTCTACATAGTTTGCCTTTTCCAAAATATCATATAGCTGGAATCATACAATATGTAACCTATTCAGATTGGATTCTCTCACTTATATTGTAATATGCATTTAAGTTGTCTCCATGTCTTTTCATAGCTTGTTAGCTCATTTATTTTTAGCACTGAATACTAGTCCTTTGTCTGGATATACCACAGTTTATTTATCCACTCACCTACTGAAAGACATTTTGAGCACTTTCTAGTTTTGGCAATGAGGAATAAAGCTGCTGTATCCATGTGCAGGCTTTTGTGTGGACATCTTTTCAGCTTTTTTGGGTAGATATCAAGGAGTGTGATTGCTGGATTGTTTGGTAAGAGTATGTTTACTTTGGTAAGAAACTGCAAAGTTGCCTTTCAGAGTGGCTGTACCATTTTGCATTCCCATCGGCAATGAATGAGAGTTCCTGTCACTTTATATCCTTGTCTGTATACGGAGTTATCAAGTTTCTGGATTTTGTCCATTCTAATAAATGTGTTATAGTATATCATTGGTTTTAGTTAGCAATTCCCTAATGACATGGTTTTGAACATGTTTTTATATGTTTATTTGCCATTTGTGTATGTTTTTTGGTGAGGTATCTCTTCAGGTCTTCAGCCCATTTTTAAAAAATTGGGCTGTTATTGTTGAATTTTAGGAACTCTTTGTATATTTTGGATAACAGTCCTTTATCAGATATGTCTTTGGCAAATATTTTCTCCCAGTCTGTGGCTTGTCTTCAAATTCTTTTGACCTTGTCTTTTGCATAGCAAAAGTTTTAAATTTTAATGAAGTCCAGCCTATCAATTATTTCTTCCACAGATCCATGTCTTTTGTATTGTATCTAAAAGTTGCCATACCCAAGGTCATCTAGATTCCTATGTTAACCTCTAAAAGTTTTATAGTTTTGTGTTTTACATTTAGGTCTGTGACCCATTTTGAGTTAATTTTTGTGAAGATTGTAAGGTCTGTGTCTAGATTTATTTTTATTTTTATTTTTATTTTTTGAGATGGAGTCTTGCTTTGTCGCCCAGGCTGGAGTGCAGTGGCATGATCTCAGCTCAGTGCAGCCTCCACCTCCCGGGTTCAAGCAATTCTCCTGCCTCAGCCTCCTGAGTAGCTGGGATAACAGGTGTGCATCACCACACCCAGCTAATTTTTTTGTATTTTTATTAGAGACAGGGTTTTACCATGTTGGTCAGGCTGGTCTCTAATTCCTGACCTCGTGATCTGCCCTCCTCAGCTTCCCAAAGTTCTGGGATTACAGGCGTGAGCCGCTGCGCCTGGCCTGTGACTCTTCGTTTGTTCCAGCATCATTTGTTGAACGACTATCTTTTCTCCATCGTATTGTCTTGGCTCTTTTGTGAAAGCAGTTGGCTGTATTTATGAGAGTCTGTTTCTAGGCTTTCTCTTCTGTTCCACTGATGTTTTTCTCTGTTATTTCACAAATACCACACTGTCTTGATATGTGTAGCTTTACAGTAAGTCTTGATTATGGGAAACTTTAAACATACATAAAAGTATGGCTGACAGTTCAACGAATCCCTATGTATACATCACGTAGCTGCACTGTTCATCAGCTCATGGCTGCTCTCGTTTTGCTACCTTACCCCATTCCAAGATTTCATGTAAAATTTTAGATATCATATAATTTCATTTCTATTGAGAGTGTATTTATAAAACATTATCTTTGCTTTAAAGAAACTGCAAAGCCTTCTCCAGTATAAATTGGTCCCCATTTTTTTAAATTTTTTTTTTTTTTGGTTTGGTCCAGCTTAAATGTATATTTTTAAAGAAACTAAAAAAAGTATTCTATGGTAGTATTTCATTTCATACATGTACATATTTTAAACATGGAAAAATAAAACATTCATTTATAAATAGAACATTTTATACTCATTTTATGAAATAGTTTTATCACATATATTTTAGAGACATTTTGAGGACTCCTTTTTGAGTCATTTTCATTTAATAGTTTTCCATTGGAAAGCATCTTTACTTCTGTCTGGATTTTTGGAGATACACATTACCTTGGAATATGGATACAATGCTGTCATAGAAATATGTTTCAGACTTTGAGTACTCATTCACATGATTTAGCATAGTCACTTAGAATTATTTTGTAAGGAAGATCTGTCATTTCTCCCTCATTTATTTATTTATTAGTTGTTTTAACTGCCTTAGCTCTAGAACCAGTCATGTTTCCATGTAAAAGAGCAGGTTTTATGGCCTTAGAAGTAATGTTTTCTGTCTTAGATTTCAGTCAGATGGTTCTGTCTTTTTGTAATAGTAATAGTATTATATTGGAGCAAAGTTGGCATTACTTAATGGTTGTATAGAAAAACTGAAACCACAATATAAAACATTTTAATTAGTACGAATTAGAAATCCCATGTATGATAATGCCTCATTTCTGTAGGCTCAATAGAAACAACATGTATAATAATTGATTTTTTTAAACCTTTTCATGCATTTGTAAAACACATTTTTCTTGTCCCTTGGCAATGGAAAATATAATTTTTACTGTTTTCTTTTAAAATTGTGTCTTTTATTATCTGTATAACAAGAAATCAGAATATCAAGATGGTTGAAATGATATGCATAATATACTAAAAATAAGGGCTTCATACATAAAATAATATTTAAAGGCTTCATAACAGCCATGCTAGCTACATAAGGGGTTTTTCTACTTTGTTTCAAATTCATAGATGTATTAATTGAGACTGCCTAATATCAATGTCTAGTTAAGAAATATATTTGGGCCAGGAGTGGTGGCTCACGCCTGTAATCCAGGCACTTTGGGAGGCTGAGGTGGGCGGATTATGAGGTCAGGAGATTGAGACCATCCTGGCTAACACGGTGAAACCCCGTCTCTACTAAAAATACAAAAAATTAGCTGAAAAAATTAGCCGGGTGTGGTGGCAGGTGCCTGTAGTCCCAGCTACTCGGGAGGCTGAGGCAGGAGAATGGCGTGAACCCGGGAGCTTGCAGTGAGCGAGATCACGCCACTGCACTCCAGCCAGGGTGACAGAGCGAGACTCTGTCTAAAAAAAAAATATATATATATATATATATATATATAAAAAAATATATACAAATATTTAAAAATATGTAAATATATAAATATTTAAAAATATATATGTAAATATATAAATATATATAAATATGTATATATTTGAGGATATAGAATAAGCTCAGAAGATTAAGCAGTTCTACTAAAAACAGAATATTTCTAAAAACTTTCAAATACAAATGGAGGGAATATTAAAATTAGATATTAGAATTCTCTTTTGTGTATATGAAGTATGGTTAGTATACCAAGTGGAATAAGTGGAAACTTACTATAAAGTAGATTTCAAAGTCTTTCAAATTCATTTATTTTTACTCTTAAGCAGACTAAACATTTTCCTTAATATATCTTGTTTGTCTTATTTAACTATTCTGTTTCTGGACAAGGAGAAAGTAAAATTCATTTCATCATATAGTTAACATGTTAAATAAGAATGATTACTTTTAAAACCATTCAGAGTCCTCTCAGATATAAACTTTGATTCCTCTACTTAACTTACTTAAGTATCTAGGCTATTATCTCTAACAGACCACAAATCTTTATCTGATATGTCAAAAGTATCACAAAGGTAAAATCAGTTAAATTGAAATTTTTAAAATATTACTGAATTTAAAGAACTCTGTAAGTGGTCACTGAAAGTCTAGCACTTTATTTAAACACAATATAAAAATATATCTGAGTTTTCTGAAAAATTGTGTTATGTTGCATTATCTGCCGTAAAGCTCGATCCTACCACTTAATTCCTTGAACATATTAATCATAGTTGTTTTATAGTCTGTCTTAGTTTGGGCTACTGTAACAAAAATGTCCTAGATTGGATGAGTTAAACAACAAACATTTATTTCTCACAGTTCTGGAGACTGGGAGTACGGGATCAAGGCTCTGACAGATTTGGTATCTGGTGAGGGTCTACTTCTTGGTTCATAGATAGATGACTGTCTTCTTCACATGATGGAAAAAAGGCCAGAAAGCTCTCTGAGGTTCATTTTGTAATGCCACTAATTCCATTTATGAGAGTTCCGTCTTCATGACCTAATCACCTTTCAAAGGCCCCATCTCCTATCCTAATACCATCACACTGGGGATTAGGATTTCTTTCTTTCTTTCTTTTTTTGGAGATAGTGTCTTGCTCTGCCGCCCAGGCTGGAGTGCAGTGGCGCAATTTTGGCTCACTGCAACCTCCGCCTCCCAGGTTCAAGTGATTCTTCTACCTCAGCCTCTGGAGTAGCTGGGATTACAGGTGTGTGCCACCATGTGTGGCTAATTTTTGTATTTTTAGTAGAGACAGGGTTTCACCATGTTGGCCAGGCTTGTCTCGAACTCCTGACCTCGGGTGATCCACTCGCCTTGGCTCCCAAAGTGCTGGGATTACAGGTGTGAGCCACTGCGCCTGGCCTAGGATTTCATTATATGAATTTGTGGGAGGGCAGAATCATTCAGTTCATAATATAGTTCACTTAAAATTACATCTGCCAAATTCATTTTCTAGATTCCCTATTTTTGCTTTTTTTTCTCTTGGTTTATATTTACATTTTTGTCTTTTTTTCTTGTATGCTTATTTTAAAGACATTTTGTTGAAGTAGAAATATATACTGCAGACTGGGTGCAGTGGCTCACACCTGTAATCCCAGCACTTTGGGAAGCCGAGGCGGGCGGATCACCTGAGGTTGGGAGTTCGAGACCAGCCTGACCAACGTGGAGAAACCCTGTCTCTACTAAAAATACAAAATTAGCCGGGTGTGGTGGTGCATGCCTGTAACCCTAGCTACTCAGGAGGCTGAGGCAGGAGAATTGCTTGAACCCAGGAGGCGGAGGTTGCAGTGAGCCGAGATCGCGCCATTGCACTCCAGCCTGGGCAATAAGAGCGAAACATATACTGCAAATGACTATATATTTTCACAAACTGAATACACCTATGTATCAAATACCTAGATTGAGAAACAGTAATTATCAGTATACTTCATAAGCCCCCTTCTTGATACCCTTCACTTAATAATCTGCTTTTCCTTACAGAAGGAAACAGTATCCTTACCCTTAGTGATACCAGCATTTCCTTTCTGATAAGTTGTTGGACTAGTTTGAAGCTTTGGATGATGGATTTTGTTCTACTTGTGGTTCTAGGGAATGGATTCAACAATCTTGAGTTCACTTATCACCTCAATTATGGATTGAGATGATTTAAGCTGGGCTTTTATCTGACCATCGTTACTCCCCAAGACATAGATTTTATATTTTAAACCAAAGACTAGGAGAGTTAGCAGGATTGTAATTTTTGGCGGATCCTGGCCTCACCTTTTGTTACTGCATTTTTGTTAACCTGCTGAAAGCTCTACTGAGCTTTTAGGCCTCTCAGCTTCCTCTTGTCTAATTAACACATCCTTTTTTTTTTTTTTTTTTTTTTTGGGGAAAAGCAATTCCAAAAGCCAATCAGAATTCTAGGTTTCTAGATTTACTACTTCTTCTGGGTCTTGTCTGCATAATTCATCACTGTTTTTTTAGCCCTCCAGTGCCTTCTAACAGGTTTCTTAACTTTTCCCCAGCTTTTCTAGTTCTCACTGACAGGCGGTTGTTCTAAGTTGTCTGTTTAGCCATTCTTAGAAATAGAACTATATAATCTTATATTATGTGTTTTTAAAAAGTGTTCTCTAAAGGCTTAGTTAAAAATGACATCTTTTATCACTGTGATTTGTGACTCCTTTTAAGCATCCATAACTAGCATTGATTGAAGTTGTTTCAGTGTAATGAGTTCCCCAAACAATACATTATGGTTCAAAATGAAGCAGTTGTGTAAGAGCCTCATAATACATTTATAAATCCTCAAGTATGAGGCAACTTCTTTCTGAGGGATAATTTTAGGGGGGAAACTTTTTTTCATATTTGGCATCTAGGGATATTGAATTTGAGGCATAGTAATAGTTTCAATTACATGGCTTCTAGAAAGAAAGTTTCTTAATAATAGAAGCAGTGGCAATAGCTACTGTTTGTGTACTTTAATTTGTATCAGGCACTAAGTGCTTGTATAATGTTCAATAAACTGATTCAATCTTTATAAACACTATAATGATATAGTTACTGCTTTTATAGATGAGTAAACCAAGACAAGGAAAAAAATCAAGACAAGGAAAGGTTGAGTGATTTGTCATGGTCATAGAGCCAGCACTTATATTGAACTGGTGTGTCCAGATACACCCATATGCTGTGTACGTATCCATTCTGTTTGGACTAATGCCTGTTCTGATTCATTAAAAACCTGAGAAACATAGTCCACAGTAGTACAGATTCAAATATGTTGTTGGAGATTCATTCTTGTCCTCCAAGAAAGCCTCATCTCCTTCATTTCATTAACCTCATAAAAACGTCCACCCTTCACTTGTCAATTTTTTCTCTGCTTGGTTCCAACTTAGAGAATTATGCAGTTGGTACATGCCTATAGCTAGTAACTGGGAGAGCCGGATCTAAGAAGCTGTGTCATGATGTTCTCATGGCAGTAGAACCAAACTGAAATTTCATAAAAAGTATAAGAGAATTTCTTCTGAGGGGAATGTTTTTAAATGATAATTAACATGAACTATTTTAGCTATAAGCAACATGTTCTTCATGTTTGTTAGCTCATAATCCCATTATAAAAACTTTGTTATTTCAAATAATCCCTTTTATTTTAGGAAATTACAATTTCTGTAATATTATATGTTAATTTGTAGAAGTTTTATTAGTAGCAATATAAGATCATTGAATCATGTGGAAAAGATACTAATGAAAGAAAATTACTCTTTTGAAATCTTTTTATTATTAATATTTTATTAGTTTGCATAATTTTTATTTTATTTTATTTTATTTTATTTTATTTTATTTTATTTTATTTTATTTTATTTTATTTTATTTTATTTGAGATGGAGTCTTGCTCTGTCATCCAGTCTGGAGTGCAGTGGCGTGATCTTGGCTCACTGCAACCTCTGTGTCCCAGGTTCAAGCGATTCTCCTGCCTCAGCCTCCCAAGTAGCTTGGACTATAGGCATGTGCCACTATGCCTGGCTAATTTTTGTATTTTCAGTAGAGATGGGGTTTCACCATGTTGGGCAGGTTGGTCTTGAACTCGTGACCTCAGGTGATCCGCCTGCCTTGGCCTCCCAGAGTGCTGGGATTATAGGTGTGAGCCACCATGCCTGGCCGCATAATTTTTTAAAACTGTAAAAAAATTCATCAATAGGAAGCAGTTGCATCAATTGTGAACCATGTATGTTATGAAATATTACTAAATTTTAATAAGATAGTGATTCATCGACCTT
Organism: Homo sapiens; assembly: GCF_000001405.40. Classification (NCBI taxonomy): domain Eukaryota; kingdom Metazoa; phylum Chordata; class Mammalia; order Primates; family Hominidae; genus Homo; species Homo sapiens. The sequence continues at coordinate 78,189,470 of NC_000005.10, read as the reverse complement.
TAATTATAGTCATTAAAAATGCCATCCTTTCAATTAAATACATATTGAAGAAATACAGTAGTGCAAGTAATCCTCTGTAAAGTGTTCATATTTTTGTAAATGCATATTAAAATCAAACCATATAAAAATGTTTCTTATGGAAGTGAACTCAAAAACCTATATGATGGTATGTTCATAGAGGACACTATAGAAACATTTACATAAGTTTAAAAATTTTTTTTTAAATAATTTTATTATTATTTTTTAAGTTCCAGGGTACATGTGCAGGATGTGCAGGTTTGTTACATAGGTAAACGTGTGCCATGGTGGTTTGCTGCACCTATCAATCCATCACCCAGGTATTAAGCCCAGCATCCATTAGCTCTTTTCCCTAATGCTCTCCCCACTAACCCTGCCCTGACAGGCCCCAGTAAGTGTTGTTCCCTCGCTGTGTCCATGTGTTCACATTGTTCAGTTCTCACTTATAAGTGAGAACGTGGTGTTTGGTTTTTTGTTCCTGCATTAGTTTGCTGAGAATGATGGCTTCCAGCTTCATCCATGTCCCTGCAAAGGACATTATCTCGTTCCTTTTTATGGCTGCATAGTATTCCATGGTGTATATGCACCACATTTTCTTTATGTAGTCTGTCATTGATGGGCATTTGGGTAGATTCTGTGTCTTTGCTATTGTGAATAGTGCTGCAGTGAACATTTGCGTGCATATATCTTTATAATGGAATGATTTATACTCTTTTGGGTATATACCCAGTAATGGGATTGCTGGGTCACATGGTATTTCTGGTTCTAAATCTTTGAGGAATCAGCACATTGTCTTCAACAATGATTGTACTAATTTATGTACCCACCAACAGTGTAAAAGCATTCCTATTTCTCCGCAGCCTGGCCAGCGTCTGTTTTTTGAGTGTTTAATAATTGCCATTCTGAGTGGTATGAAATGATATCTAATTGTGGTTTTGATTTGCATTTCTCTAATGATCAGAGATGTTGAGCTATTTTTCATATGTTTCTTGGCTGCATGTATATCTTTTTTTGAGAAGTGTCTGTTCATACCATTTGCCCACTTTTTAATGGGGTTGTTAGTTTCTTGTAAATTTGCTTAAGTTTCTTGTAGGTTCTGGATATTAGCCCTTTGTCAGATGGACAGATTACAAAAATGTTCTCCCATTCTGTAGGTTGTCTGTTTGCTCTGATGATAGTTTTGTTTGCGGTGCAGAAGCTCTTTAGTTTAATTAGATCCCATTTGTCAATTTTTGCTTTTGTTGCAGTTGCTTTTGGCAATTTCATCATAAAGTCTTTGTCCATGCTGATGTCCTGAACGGTATTGCCTAGATTTTCTTCTAGGGTTTTTATAGTTTTGGGTTTTACATTTAAGTCTTTAATGCATCTTGAGTTAATTTTTGTATAAGATGTAAGGAAGGGATCCAGTTTCAGTTTTTCACATATGGCTAGCCAGTTCTCCCAGCACCACTTGTTAAATAGGGAATCCTTTCCCCATTGCTTGTTTTTGTCAGATTTGTTGAAGATCAGATGGTTGTAGATGTGTGGTTTTATTTCTGAGTTCTTTATTCTGTTCCATTGGTCTATGTGACTGTTTTTGTACCAGTACCATGCTGTTTTGGTTACTGTGGCCTTGTAGTATAGTCTGAAGTCAGGTAGCATGATGCCTCCAGCTTTGTTCTTTTTGCTTAGCATTGTCTTGGCTACATGAGCTGCTTTTGGTTTCATATGAATTTTAAAATAGTTTTTTCTAGTTCTGTGAAGAATGTCAATGGTAGTTTAATGGGAATAGCATTGAATCTATAAATTGCTTTGGGCAGGATGGCCATTTTCATGATATTGATACTTCCTATCCATGAGCATGGAATATTTTTCCATCTGCTTTTGTCCTCTTTGATTTCCTTGAGCAGTGGTTTGTAGTTTTACTGTTATAATATACTGCCATAATCTTAAACATTTGTACAGCAAAATAAGCAATACATATGTGTCTTTCATTAAAATAATGTAATTGAACTCAGTATGTTAATTAACAATGAGGAAGAAATGGAATGAGTAGATGGTTATAAAAAGCAGTTTTTTATGTACATTTTGATGATTTTGTTAGTAATAGTGCTATGTCTGTTAATACAGCACTTTCATTATGTATCACTTTCAGGTAGAGTTTGAACATTTGTTTAATTAACCATGACTTAAGATTGTAAGTGAGTGCTTATGCTTAGAGCATTTAATTATTTGTGTTTTATTGGTTTATTAATGTACTTAACAGAACTACTTTAGCCTGGAGCTCCATAAAGGAATAGTCACTCAAGTCCAGCTTTGATATAAAAGTATATCTCACTTATAGTCTTTTTATTAAGCACTAAAAGACAAGTAGTGTGTTTGTTTTGAATTCTGTATTCAAAGGAAGGTGATAATGTTATGATTTCTAGTTTAATTTTGAAGATGAGTATTAGTAGAAATACTTTTGTTTTCAAAGAGTATAAATTTTGTGAGTTTTCTCTGAATAATTTTATAAGATTTTTTTGCCTGTGGATTTAAAAAGCACTGAGCTAATATTATTCCTATTCTGAGAGACCTAAAAGTTGTACTTTTGATGAAAGGTGTTTTCCAGTGATATTTATGTCAAGATTTAAGGAAAGATTGTGTAAAATCTGTAGGCACCTAGCAAGGGAAAAATACTTAAGTGATATTAACCTAAAACATTTTAGATAATTTTCTTTATTGTTATGTATAACAATGCATAAATACAACAAATTGCTTTTAAGTGACTTACTGATTTTTATCTCCTTAGTTTTATTCAATTAAATGGTTTTTAAAAGATAATTTAGATTCACATGAAATTTTAAGAAATAATTGAGAGAGATCTGGCATAACCTTTACTCAATTTTCCCCAATGGTAATGTCTTGCAAAACTCTAATACAGTATTACAACCAGGATATTGACATTGATACAGTCAAAACTGAGAACATTTCCATCACAGGGAATCTTCATGTTGCCGTTTCATAGCCAAACCGACTTTATTCCACATGTTTAACCTTACTCCCAACCCTTAACCCCTGGCAACTGCTAATCTTTCTGTTTCCATAGTTTTGTTATTTCAAGAATGTTATATAAATGGAATTATATGGTATATAACCTTCATTGTAGATTATCCATTTTGTCATTCTATAATGTCCTTCTCTGTTGTAATTTTCTTTGCTCTGAAGTGTACTTTATCTCATATTAATATAGTTATTGTGCTTTCCCTTGATTAATATTAGCATGCTATGTATTTTTCCATCTTTTTACTTTTAACCTGCCTTTATCTTTATGTTTATGGTGAATTTCTTATAGGCAGCACATAGTTGAGTCATGGGTTTTAATCTACTTTGCCAGCCTTTGTCTTTTAATCAGCATACTGATTTACATTTAATCTAATTATTTATTTTTAAGGCTTAAGCGTCCCATTTAGTTTTTTGTTTTTTGTTTGTTCTCTCTAGTCTTCATTTCTCTTAACTGTGGGTTATTTCAACATTTTTTAGAATTCCATCTTTGCTTATCTGCAGTTAATTTGAATATATCTCTTTTTTTATTAATTAAAACCTATTTTTTTGAAATTTTTTAGAGATAGGGTCTCACTCTGTCACCCAGGCTGGAGCACAGTGGCTTGATCATAGCTCATTGAAGCCTCAAAGTATTGGGCTCCAGTGATCCTCCCACCTCAGCCTCCTGAGCAGCTAAGACTATGGGTACATACCCCCATGAATGGCTGAGTTTTGTTTTATTTTTTTACTTGTAGTAGAGGCAAGGTTTTGCTCTGTTGCCCAGGCTGGTCTAGAACTCCTGGCCTTAAGTAATCTTTCTACCTTGGCCTTAAGTAATCTTTCTACCAAAGCACGAATATATCTCTTTGTGCAGCTTCTTTAGTGGATGCTGTAGGTATTACATTTTACATGCATAACTTATCATCTTACCATCACAGTCTACTGATGTCCTCATGTTACACTTCAAGGGGCAAACTTTTTAACCACTTAGCTCCCTTTGATCTCTTTTTTCTCTCCACTTTATAAATAGTTTTCTTAGGTATGTCCTTTACATGCATTTAGAACCGTATCAATGTTATAACTTTTCTTCAACCATCTAATATAATTTAAAAGACTCAGAGGAGAAGGAAAAACTATTATATGTACTCATATTTTTCCTTGCCATATTCTTTCTTCCTTCCAGATGTTTGAAGATTCCATCTTTTATCATTTCCTTTCTGTCTAAAGAGCTTCCTTTAGCCATTCTTTCAGGATAGGTCTGCTTATAACAAATACTCTAGTTCCCCTTTATCTGAAAATGTCTTGATTTTCTCCCCCTTCATTCCTGAAATATATTTTTGCTAGATATAAGATTCTCTTTTGATAGTTCCTCTCCATCAGTTGGTCTACTGTGTTCTGTCCTCCATGGTTTTTGATGAGAAATCTGCTGTCATTAGACTTGTTTTTCTGTTATTGGTAAAGTGTCATTTCTCCTTTCCTGCTTTCAAGATTTGTTTTTCTTTGTCTTTAGTTTTCAGAGGTTTTACTATAATGTGTGCTGTTTTGGATTTCTTTGGGTTTAATCCTGTTTAGGGTTTACTCAGCTTCCTCAATTTGTAGTTTTATTTGCCAAATTTAAAAAGTTTGCAGTCATTATTTCTTTGAGTTCTCTTTCAACTCTTGCCTCTGTCTCTTCTCCTTCCAGGATTGATTAATAGATGAAAGGAATGTTAGGTCTTTTGTTGCATTTTCACTGGTCCCTGAGACTCTGTTTTTTTTTTTTTGAGACAGTGTCTCGCTGTGTCACCCAGGCTGGAGTGCAGTGGCCAATCTCGGCTTACTGCAATCTCTGCCTCCCAGGTTCACGCCATTCTCCTGCCTCAGCCTCCCGAGTAGCTGGGACTACAGGCACCCACCACCATGCCTGGCTACTTTTTTGTATTTTTTTAGTAGAGGCGGGGTTTCACCGTGTTAGCCAGGATGGTCTCAATCTCCTGACCTCGTGATCCACCCGCCTCGCCTCCCAAAGTGCTGGGATTACAGGCATGAGCCACCGCACCCGGCCTGTTTTTTAGTTTTGATTTTTTTTGTCCCTAGTCTATTTTATCTTTGTTCAGATTGGGTAAATCTTGTTGTTCTGTGTTCCAGTTTACTGATTATTTCTTTTGTCCCCCTCCTCTGCTTTTGATCCCATTCATTAGGTTTTTAGTTTTGGTTCTTGTATTTGCCAGTCGTTAACAGTTTTTATTTGGTCTTTATATCTTCTATTTCTTTCTTTAAACTTTATAATTTTTTTTTTTTTGAGATGGAGTCTCACTCTGTCACCCAGGCTGGAGTGCAGTGGCGCAATCTCCACTCACTGCAACCTCCGCCTCCCAGGGTTCAAGTGAGTCTCCTGCCTCAGCTTCCTGAGTAGCTGGGATTACAGGCGTCCACCACCATGCCTGGCTAATTTTTGTATTTTTAGTAGAGATGGAGTTTCACCATGTTGGCCAGGCTGGTCTCTAACTCCTGATCTCGTGATCCACCCACCTCGGCTTCCCAAAATGCTGGGATTACAGGCGTGAGCCACTGTGCCTGGCCTTTTTTTTTTTTTTTTTTTTAAGATGGAATTTTGCTCTTGTTGCCCAGGCTGGAGGGCAATGGCGCGATCTTGGCTCACTGCAACCTCCGCCTCATGAGCTCAAGCAATTCTCCTGCCTCAGCCTCTCGAGTAGCTGGGATTACAGGTGTGCCCCACCAGCCAGGCTAATTTTGTATTTTTAGTGAGACAGGGTTTCGCCATGTTGGCCAGGCTGGTCTTGAACTCCTGACCTCAGGTGATCTGCCCACCTCGGCCTCCCAGAGTGCTGGGATGACAGGCATGGGTCACTGCACCCAGTCTAGACTTTATAATTCTTTGCTAAAACCTTCTATTTCTGTATTTTTTACCAGGATGTTCTCAATTGCTCATCGAAGCATTTTTTAATGATTTTTAAAAAATAATCAGATCATTCCAATATCTCTATTATCTTGGTATTGGCATCTGCTAGTTATCTATTTTTATTCAGTTTGAGATCTTCCTTTCTCTTGGAATGATGAGTGATTTTTTAATTGAAACTTGGACATTTTGGATACTTTGAGACTGGATATTTTTAAACCTTCAGGTTAACTGGCTTTGTTTGATACCACTCTAGCAGGGAAGGGTGGTGGAAAGAGAGAGGGGTGCTGTCTCATCACTGCCAGGTCATAGCAGGAGTCCGGATTCCCTGCTTATCCTCCACTGACACTTCAGAGGGATTTTACTCATTGTTACCATAGGTGAATGTGGGATTTCTGGCTCCCCAACCGTCTTTCTCTGATAGCTGTCTGCTAGGAGGGATACAAGGTACTGTTCTATGTGTGTCCTTCCCTGACAACCACCAGGGTGTGGGCGGGGCTGACTTTGGTTACTACTAGGTGTGGTGCTGCAAGTCCTGACTATGCACTAGGCCTCCTCTGACATCATCACAGTGAGGAGGAATAAGGTCACCTTGACACTAATGGATGGGCTTAGAAGTCCAAGCTCCTCACTTGGTCTTCACTGACAATATCAGAATGCCTTGTTACCTCTTGGTAGAGATGAAACTCTCAATCCCATCTTGGCCTTTTCTGAAACCACCTAGTGAGGTGGTTGGGGCATCTCATTACAGCCTAATAAGGGTAGAAGTCTAGGATCACCATCTCAGCCTCTACTGGTGGGGATGGGGGTAGGGCCATAATTTTTTATCTGGTGTTGGGCTGCACTTGAGTAGTTACTTCTAAAAGTTTTATATCTTGCTAGACTGCCCCTTTCCTGGTCCTTTGGCTAGAGAGAGCGGTTCTGGTGGTTTCTTTCATCTGCATTTGTTGCCAGCTTCTGCACCGAGTTGTGGATATATGAAATAAAAAGAAAACCCAGGGAACTCACTGGTCTGTCTTTCTTTGGATCTTGAGGTTCCTATCCAGTGCTCCTCCTTTTTGCCTTTCAAAGTCTTCTTATGTTTGTTTTATATATGTTTTACATGTAGTGTTCTGCTTTTCTAGATCTCTACTTAGTGAGAGAGATGGGGAAAAGTACATCTACTCCATCTTCCTGGAAGCAGAAAGTATGTTTCAGATACTTGGTAACGGAAGTTACCTCTAAACAGAAGTTGAATTGGATGTATGTGGCTATTACTGTGTTTGTTTGGTTTTTTGTTTGTTTGTTTTGAGCACTAAATGCCTGTAGGCATATTTTATTGGCAGAGATAAAGAATTCAAAACAAAAACCTAGAATCAGCTCCTCTGGATATTTATAAATCTCAAACTGAGACGTTTTCTTGACAACTCAGGGACCTACTTAACAACACTAGTTTTTTCGTGTCACACTTTACTGTGATTTCTTTTATGTTACTATTCAAACAATGCTCCTCTTTTTTTGACTCTTTGATCTAGTTACAGAGTGGCTGACAATTTATGGAAATAGTTTTCAGGTTTTAGGTAGTATTATAGGCCTTGTTAAAATCTAACGGTCATGTGTTCCTTTTGAAGGACTATAGGTATTTCTATGGGGATTTAATAGTCAAAAATTTACTTTGTAATACAATAGAAGCACATCATCTATAGCACAGTAACTTGTTATAAAATATGAGAAAAATCAATAGACCTTTATTCGATATAGGTTGTGTAATATTTTTAAATTGCCCAAACAGAAGTATTCTACGGTAAAATGTTGTTATAGATGTTTAAAGGAAAGTTTTCTTTGACTATATAATATGCAGATTGCTCAAGGTCTAAAGTAATCTTGGGTTGGATTTCTTTCATTGTAGGGTGATGAATTAGAAGACAATGGAAAGAATTTCTACGAATCTGATGATGATCAGAAGGAAAAGACTGACAAAAAGAAGAAGCCGTATACTATGGATCCAGATCATAGACTCTTAATTAGAAATACAAAGCCTTTGCTTCAGAGCAGGAATGCTGCGGTATGTTAAAATCCTTATAAGAAATAATTCACTGGTTTTTAAAAAACAGCAATTAAAAATATCTCAATTTAGTAAGTGAGTCTGTGTGTGCTAATGGAGCATTTGTTTGTTTACACACCAAATGACATGTAATGGATAGTTGGAAGTACAGTGTGGAATGTAAGCTATAGATTTAGAGACCTAATGTCTGAGAAGTAATACCTAAATATATTTCAGCCTTCCATGTTTCCAGGTATACAGAGTTAGGTTTTGATGACAATACCTGGTTTGGCCTATTGGACTTCATTTACGTTTTAATGGTTTTGTTAATTGGCTTTTCTTAAGATATTTCTAAGTTGTTTCTCAATTGGTTGGATTATATTAGCTCTTATATAAGAACTATGTATATTTATCAGTTATTCCATTGTGATTGGGGGTACTTGATCTGGTATTAGTCCATACTGTTTGTATCTGTCTGATAGAATTTTTAAGAGACTAACAAAGGTAATGCCTCACATATTATAAATGTAAATTGGCAGTAATAGTAATTAAAAATCATCTTTATTTGGGTCATAAGGTTTTTTTTGTTTGTTCGACACCTTTTTGTTTATATAACCATTTATATTTTAGAAGAATACATGTGCACAATACAAAATTAGAAATTACAGGCTAGCAAAACTAAAAAGAAAATTAAAACATCACATTCTCAACACTCAGAAATCACTTATGTCTTAGTGTATTTTCTTCCAGATCTTTCTAATCTGCATAAGTGTACATATATTCATGGTTACACATACATATATATATATTTTTTAACCAAGATAAAAATCATACTGTACATAGCATTTTCTAACCTTTTTTTCTCTAGTCAGTCCTCTCTACTTTTTATTTTAATAAAATTTCATTTCATTTAATACCAATTGATCTTAAATTATTCTTTTTGGATGATTTATCCAAACCATTATCTAATGCATTGCATCTTTTAAAGCCTGTCAAGTCTTGCAGAATGTCCTTCTGGGTTTGTCTGATTGCTGCTGCTTCTTTTTATTTTGTTATTTTGTTTGCTATACCTACTGGAATGGGATGGTTGCATCTTTTATAGTGTCATTTAATTCTTTTATATTCTGTGTTTCCTGTTAACTGGCAGTTATATCCAAAGGCTTGACGGATTTAGGTTAAACATGTTCTTAAAGATTTTAATTGAGAAAGTATTCTTAATGAATTGTTCTGTTCAGAACAATTCTTAATGAATTGATTCTTGAGAATTTAGAGCTTACAGCTTTGTATATCCAAGTTATCAACAACAATTTTTGTCTAATACCTAATGGTTTAGTTTCCAAATCATTATTCAGTAATCATGCCTAGTCATAATGAAAATATTATTTCATGGCTGTTGTAAAATATGCTTATATTTTAATGTACTCAGCTTAGCCAGATGCTAGTTAGGTAGCTGTAATTTGCCATCTTAAGCTGTACTTTATGAGTGACTCACTGTTCATTTAACTAGGTCTTAGAAATTGATTTTATAGTTCAAATACTTATGGATCAAAAACGTTTTCAAATAGTGAAACAAATAGTGGCAGTTTGTACTTCTGGTCCCATTTTGTTTGGGTTCCCTGCTTACTTGATGCTGTAATAGAGGTGGTTTACTTTTTGTGTCAGTGTATTTTGGTACCTTGTTTTGGGATGCTGCTAAATATGAGTAAAGGCTAACTTTTGAAGAATTGTGGATAGATTTTTTTTTAACCTCGTACTTAAGTTTATGGAGAGACTTTGAGAATTTCTTTCAGGAAACATAATACATCATTGCTATGTAGTTTGTACTGGAGATAGATACTGAAAGCGGAATGTTAGGAGGCTATTCTAACAGTCTAAATAAGGTGACAGCGGCATGAATGGTTAAGAGTAGAAAAGTGTTTATAGGATGCGCTTTATTATGAACAGGCATGATGTAACTGTAGAAGGTCTATAAGGTTGTATATTTTTAGTCTTTTTGGATTTTGAAGTTTTGGGAACTTTTTTCATGGCGTTTACAAATTAGCCTATACATTTCAAATCTGGGTATCAAAGCGACTTTCAACTGTTGGATTTCTAAATACCGAGGAAAAAGAGGCTCATTTAGTCCTTTTGGATTTTGGAGTACCCTAATATATTAGAACAGATGGCATGCCAAATGGCAGCTAGAATTTTAAAGACATTGACATGTATAGGAAGTACAGTTTGCTTTCTTGCCAGTAGGATTGGACTTTTATTTGTAAGGGAAAAGGATTTACTATCTGTAAGATAGATTAAAATTAAGATTCAGCTTTCTTTTCTATCATTTACTAATACTTATTAGCCAGGTATATGCGTTAATATTTTTTTAAATGACTGATCTTGGATTAGGTCAATCATTAATTGAGATTCTTTTATTTTATAAGATTTAAAATTCAGGAGAGTTTATTTTGTAACCAACTTATATTTGCAGTTCACAAGTGAAGAAATGAGATATTCTTGCATTTTTTAAATTCTCAACTAATATCTTAAAGCTATAAATCAAACTTGTAAGAAAGTACAAGAAATGGCAAACAGTAAATTTAGGACCCTGTATACTGTATTTTTAAAAACGGTTCTTTAGTTTCAGAAGAAACTTTTTTTTTTAACCTCAAACATTCTTCTGTGCTGTATACTATTTAGGCATATATATTAATAGAATTTTTGCTATATATTTGTTCAAACTTCATAGACCAGGCAGAATTAAATTAATATTAGTGTGTCCTTTGAGCCAAAGGCAGCATTGGTAACATCTGTAGCTATGTCTCTGCAGTTGTCACTCTGAATCTGAGTGTAGAGGCACTTAGGGGAAACAGTACTCTTCTGTTTTGAGACAAAGAAATTCCAGTCACCCTTTGTTTGTTTTGTTTTGTTGAGACAGAGTCTCACTCCATTGCACAGGCTGGAGTGCAGTGGCATGATCTCGGCTCACTGCAACCTCTACCTCCTGGGTTCAATGATTCTCGTGTCCCAACCTCCCAAGTAGCTGAGATTACAGGTGTGCACCACCACGCTTAACCTAATTTTTGTATTTTTAGTAGAGATGGGGTTTTACCATGTTGGCCAGGATGCTCTCACACCTGACTGCAAGTGACCCACCTGCCTCGGCCTCCCAAAGGGGTGGGAGTACAGGCGTGAGCCACTGTGCCCAGTCTTTGAATCACCCTTATAATGGCTTTGAACCAGAAGCCATTTTTAAGGTTCTGTGTTTTTAAAAACAAGATTATTTTAAATGCTACTGCTGTAGATGTATTTGTTTTAATGGAGTTTCTTTAATTGTAACTTAAATGTGCTGAGTTTTCTTTATTTCAGCCTACTAGTTACTGTTATCCTGGCTTCATTTAGAAAGGCATGCTTATAATTCTTAAAAAGCCCCAGTCTCAGAGCAGCAGCTGAGGAGCATGGAATTTCGAGTGTCTTGAGCTTTGCCACGTACTAGCTGTTACACCTTGAGCAGTTCATTCAGTGTCTCTTTTTTTTTCTGAGGATGTATTCTTTTCATAGCACTGCCATACATATTGCCACAAACTGAGTGGATTAAAACAACAGAAATTTATTCTGTCACATTTCAGGAAGCCAGAAGTCTGAAATCAAGGTATAATCAGTATTGGTTACTTCTGTACGCTCTGAGGGAGAAACCTTCTCTTTCCTGGCTTCTGGTGATTGCCAGCAATCCGTGGCATTGCTTGGCTTATGGGTGTATCACACTAATTATCTCCATCTTCACATGGCCTTCACGGTGTCTCTTTTTGTCCTTTTTTTTTCTCTTATAAGGACACGTTCATTCGATTTAGGGCTCTTAACCAGCATGATGTCATTTCAATTCTTATATTAATAATTTCTGCAGAGATCCCACTTCCAAATAAGATCAGATTCTGAGGATAGTATTGGGCACTGGGAGTGGGGGACACTTCTTCAACTCACTACGAAGAGTAACATTCCATTTTACGTCACAGGAATTTGTAGGACTTAGAGGAAATAATGTGTAGGAATGGATTTTGAGGTTGTAGAGTGCTCTAGTGTTCATAGTTCTGTTATTTTTATGCTTTATCTTGTAGGTGGTTATGGCAGTTGCTCAGCTGTATTGGCACATATCACCAAAATCTGAAGCTGGCATAATTTCTAAATCACTAGTGCGTTTACTTCGTAGCAATAGGTAGGTCATGATTTTATATATATTTTTTCTTTTGTATTCCTTCAAAAGTAATGTTTGAACAAATGTAATCTTTCAGGCATTTAATATATAACTCTGACTATATTTTAATCAATCGATCAGTAAGATTTCATACTTAAGGGGATTATTATAAAAGTCTTTATGCATTTATCTCAAACTTAATGATAAATACTGAAACTTTTTAACCTCAAGCCCAAAGATATTGAAAATATTTTGTGGCATAACACTAGAGTGTCACTAGTAGCCTAGTATTAGTGTTTGAAATTTTTAGGTATGGCAATAATGATGTTTGGGAGTTTTGGTAAATCTGGAATCACTGAAAAACTATACTGAAGTACTATCAGATTGACTTACTCAATGTATTAATACATGGTTTTATATAGAGCAATGTGTATGCTAAGTAATGTAGTTTATGCCAGAATTGTGCTTCCTATAAAGCTGGAATATTTAATTACTATGCTTTGCTCCACTCTAAAAAGAGAGCTGTGTTTTTAATAGCTACTCATTTTAAAGATTGCATACTCTTAGTTTCAGATAGACAGACAGAAAGAGCATGCCACCTTCTTTGATTTTACCTCTTTATAATTTAGTGGTTTAGGTTAACGATTCAAAACAATTTATTGAGTTTCCATGACATATAACATGAGAATCATGATTTCAGGTTTAATTCAGACATTTGTTTCTGTGTTTAAGAATACCTTCATTTCAGCTATTTGACATACCTTAGCTATTTTTCAGTAATTAGTTGTTTTAATTTGAAACAATGTTTTTCATTGAGTGCTTGTTTCCACTAATTGCGTTGGAAGGAAAAAACTATGTATTTATTTTTGCCCTTAACTGGAACTTAGTCCACAATTGTAGCTCTTGACTGGCTTAGTAACAAATGAGATGCCATTTCCTTTGTGTTCCTATTCTCCCTATCTGTATATCCAGCTATTATTTTTCTCTTTTGCTAGTTCAATACTTTTTTTTTTTTTCCTATGGCTAGTTCAAAAGATATCAGAAAGACCTGGAATTGGTCTTTCACATGAAGCCTTATACCAGATTCAGTTCATTTATTAGATATTTGGGTCTAAAAATAACATGACTACTTTTAAAATCTGGCCTTTGCCCTGGGAAGAATGAGTTATTTAATGAGTTTATAATAACAGTGTGGTCCTATCTACCCCTATTAACCCTAAGAATACCTTCCTTGGATGTGTTCAAAGCAGGTACAATGTTAACTTCATATTTTAGGAGCACTTTATTATAAAATTTGTTTTAACTATTCTTCATGATGAATCACGTCTAATTTATTGGTATTTTATAGGAAAAGTGCGTTAAAAAGACACACATCTAAGATTTACTAAAAACTTTTCATTATTACATTTAAGAGTCTCATTCACTTGAAATTATTGCTAATTCTTTGTCATTATTGTAGTGCTTACTCAAAGATGTTTCATTGGAACATATACCCAGTAAAAATTATCTTTTGATTTCTAGGGAGGTGCAGTATATTGTCCTACAAAATATAGCAACTATGTCAATTCAAAGAAAGGTATGTATGTTCTGAACACGTAATTTAAGAGACACATGAACACATTAGTACCATAATGTATTTTTGTATTTATTTTTGTAATCCAGGGGATGTTTGAACCTTATCTGAAGAGTTTCTATGTTAGGTCAACTGATCCAACTATGATCAAGACACTGAAGGTATGTATGCTTTCATTTTTCAGAGGCTTTTAACACATTTGTTTTGAAGAGATATTTCTATAGCTTTTAGCACCTGTGGGATGCAGTCCTGCTTTTCAAAACACATTGATAAAGTTAATGGTTTTTCTTTATACTTTTCAATCTATATTATTATATACTAATTACTGTACTACATTCTGATAATGTAAAGTTAAGCCATGCTACCTACAACTTGAATAACTCACAGATTACTGAAGGAGACAGGCATTTAAATAAATAACTTTGGAGATTTGTTCCAAGATGGCCAAATAGGAACAGCTCCAGTCTGCAGCTCCCACCATGATTGACACAGAAGATGGGTGATTTCTGCATTTCCAACTGAGATACCTGGTTCATCTCACTGGGACTGGTTGGACAGTGGGTGCAGCCCCAGAGGGTGAGCTAAAGCAGAGTGGGGCGTTGCCTCACCCAGGAAGCACAAGAGGTCGGGTGATTTCCCTTTCCTAGCCACGGGAAGCCGGGACAGACTGTACCTGGAAAAACGGGACACTCTCACCCAAAAACTGCGCTTTCCCAAGGTCTTAGCAACCGGCAGACAAGGGGATTCTCTCCCATGCCTGGCTCAGCAGGTCCAACGCCCACAGAGCCTTGCTCACTGCTAGCGCAGCAGCCTTAGATTGAATTGCGAGGCAGCAGCCTGGCTTGGGGAGGGGCATCCACCATTGCTGAGGCTTGAGTAGGTAAACAAAGCGGCTGGGAAGCTTGAATTGGGCGGAGCCCACCACAGCTCAGCAAGGCCTACTGCCTCTATAGACTCCACTCTGGGCAAGGCATAGCTGAACACAAGGCAGCAGACAACTGCAGACATCAGTGTACCTGTCTGACAGCTCTGAAGAGAGCAGTGGTTCTCCCAGCTTGGTGTTTGAGCTCTGAGAACAGACAGATGGCCTCCTCAAGTGAGTCCCTGACCCCCGTGTAGCCTAACTGGGAGACACCTCCCACTAGGGGCCGACAGACACCTCATATAGGTGGTTGCCCCTCTGGGACGAAGCTTCCAGAGGAAGGACCAGGCAGCAATATTTGCTGTTCTACAGTATTTGCTGTGCTGCAGCATTTGCTGTGCTGCAGCCTCCGCTGGTGATAACCAGGCAAACAGGGTCTGGAGTGGACCTCCAGCAAACTCCAACAGACCTGCAGCTGACGAACCTGACTGTTACAAGGAAAACTAACAAACAGAAAGGAATAGCATCAACATCAACTAAAAGGATATCCACACCAAAACCCCATCTCTAGGTCACCAACATCAAAGACCAAAGGTAGTATAAAACCACAAAGATAGGGAGAAACCAGAGCAGAAAAGCTGAAAATTCTAAAGACCAGAGGACCTCTTCTCCTACAAAGGATTGCAGCTCCTCACCAGCAACAGAACAACGCTGGATGGAGAATGACTTTGATGAGTTGACGGAAGTAGGCTTCAGAAGGTCGGTAGTAACAAACTTCTCCGAGCGAAAGGAGCATGTTCAAACCCATCTCAAGGAAGGTAAAAACCTTGAAAAAAGGTTAGACAAATGGCTAACTAGAATAAACAGTGTAGAGAACACCTTAAATGACCTGTTGGAACTGAAAACTGTGGCACGAGAGCTTTGTGACACATGCACAAGCTTCAATAGCCGATTCGATCAAGTGGAAGAAAGTGTATCCATGATTGAAGATCAAATTAATGAAAAAAGTGAGAAGACGAGGTTATAGAAAAAAGACTTAAAAGAAATGAACAAAGCCTCCAAGAAATAACAGACTGTGGGAAAAGACCAAATCTGCATTTGATTGGTGTACCTGAAAGTGACGGGGAGAATGGAACCAAGTTGGAAAACACTCTGCAGGATATCATCCAGGAGAACTTCCCCAACCTACCAAGGCAGGCCAACATTCAAATTCAAGAAATACAGAGAACACCCCAAAGATACTCCTCGAGAAGAGCAACCCCAAGACACATCTCACCTGCAGGGACACACATAGGCTCAAAATAAAGGGATGGAGGAAGATGTACCAAACAAATGCAAAGCAAAAAAAAAGCAGGAGTTGCAATCCTAGTCTCTGATAAAATAGACTTCAAACCAACAAAGATCAGAAGGCCATTACATAATGGTAAAGGGATCAATTCAACAAGAAGAGCTAACTATCCTAAATATATATGCACCCAATCCAGGAGCACCCAGATTCATAAAGCAAGCCCTTAGAGACCTACAAAGAGACTTAGACTCCCACACAAAAATAATGGGAGACTTTAACACCCCACTGTCAATATTAGACAAATCAACGAGACAGAAGGTTAACAAGGATATCCAGGCCTTGAACTCAGCTCTGCACCAAGCAGACCTAATAGACATCTACAGAACCCTCCATCCCAAATCAACAGAATATACATTCTTCTCAGGACCACATCACACTTATTCTAAAATTGACCACATAGTTGGAAGTAAAGCACTCCTCAGCAAATGTAAAAGAACAGAAATCACAACAAACTCTCACAGCACAGTGCAATCAAATTTAGAACTCAGGCTAAGAAACTCACTCAAAACTGCACAACTGCGTGGAAACTGAACAACCTGTTCCTGAATGACTACTGGGTAAATAACGAAATGAAGGCAGAAATAAAGCTGTTCTTTGAAACCAATGAGAACAAAGACACAACATACCAGAATCTCTGGGACACATTTAAAGCAGTGTGTAGAGGGAAATTTATAGCACTAAATGCTCACAAGAGAAAGCAGTAAAGATCTAAAATCGACACCCTAACATCACAGTTAAAAGAACTAGAGAAATGAGAGCAAACACATTCAACAGCTAGCAGAAGGCAAGAAATAATTAAGATAACGAAATACCCTTCAATAATAACGAAATACCCTTCAAAAACGAAATACCCAATAACGAAAAACCCTTCGAAAAATCAATGAATCCAGGAGCTGGTTTTTTGAAAAGATCAACAGAATTGATAGACTGCTAGCAAGACTAATGGAGAAAAGAGAGAAGAATCAAATAGATGCATTAAAAAATGATAAAGGAGATATCACCACCAATCCCACAGAAATATAAACTACCATCAGAGAATACTATAAATACCTCTATGCAAATCAACTAGAAAATCTAGAAGAAATGGATAAATTCCTGGACACGTACACACTCCCAAGACTAAACGAGGAAGAAGTTGAATCTCTGAAGAGACCAATAACAGGCTCTGAAATTGAGATAATAATAGCCTACCAACCAATAAAGTCCAGGACCAGACGGATTCACTGCCGAATTCTACCAGAGGTACAAAGAGGAGCTGGTGCCATTCCTTCTGAAACTATTCCAATCAATAGAAAAAGAGAGAATCCTCCCTAACTCATTTTATGAGGCCAGCATCATCCTGATACTAAAGCCTGGCAGAGACACACACAAAAAAAGAGGATTTTAGACCAGTATCCTTGATGAACATAGATGCGAAAATCCTCAATAAAATAATGGCAAACCGAATTCAGCAGCACATCAAACAGCTTATCCACCACAGTCAAGATGGATTCTTCCCTGGGATGCAAGGCTGGTTCAACATATGCAAATCAATAAATGTAATCTATCACATAAACAGAACCAACGACAAAAACCACATGATTATCTCAATAGATGCAGAAAAGGCCTTTGGCAAAATTCAACAGCCCTTCATGCTAAAAACACGCAATAAACTAGGTATTGATGGAATGTATCTCAAAATAATAAGAGCTATTTATGACAAACCCACTGCCAATATCATACTGAATGGGCAAAAACTGGAAACATTCCCTTTGAAAACTGGCACAAGACAATTATGCCCTCTCTCACCACTCCTACTCAACGTGGTGTTGGCAGTTCTGGCCAGGGCAATCAGGCAAGAGAAAGAAATAACGGGTATTCAATTAGGAAAAGAGGAAGTCAAATTGTCCCTGTTTGCAGATGACATGATTGTACATTTAGAAAACCCCATCGTCTCAGCCCAAAATCTCCTTAAGTTGATAAACAACTTCAGCAAAGTGTCTCAGGATAAAAACTCAATGTGCAAAAATCAGAAGCATTCCTATAGACCAAGAACAGACAAACAGAAAGCCAAATTAATGAGTGAACTCCCATTCACAATTGCTATGAAGAGAATAAAATACCTAGGAATCCAACTTACAAGGGATGTAAAGGACCTCTTCAAGGAGAACTACAAACCACTGCTCAGTGAAATAAAAAAAGGACACAAACAAGTGGAAGAACATTTCACGCTCATGGATAGGAAGAATTAGTATAGTGGTAATGGCCATACTGCCCAAGGTAATTTATATATTCAATGCCCTCCCCATCAAGCTACCAATGACTTCCTTCACAGAATTGGAAAAAACTACTTTAAAGTTCATATGGAACCAAAAAAAAGCTCACATTGCCAAGACAATCCTAAGCAAAAAGAACAAAGCTGGAGGCATCACGCTGCCTGACTTCAAACTATACTACGAGGCTACAGTAACCAAAACAGCATGGTACTGGTACCAAAACAGATATATAGACCAATGGAACAGAACAGAAGTCTCAGAAATAACACCACATATCTACAACTATCTGATCTTTGACAAACCTGATAAAAGCAAGCAATAGGGAAAGGATTCCCTATTTAATAAATGGTGCTGGGAAAACTGGCTAGCCATATATAAAAAGCTGAAACTGGATCCCTTCCTTACACTTTATACAAAAAATTAATTCAAGATGGATTAAAGACTTAAATGTTAGAGCTAAAACCATAAAAACCCTAGAAGAAAATCTAGAGAATACCATTGAGGACATAGGCATGGGCAAGGACTTCATGACTAAAACACCAAAAGCAATGGTAACAAAAGCCAAAATAGACAAATGGGATCTAATTAAACTAAAGAGCTTCTGCATGGCAAAAGAAACTTCCTTCAGAGTGAACAGGCCACCTACAGAATGGGAGAAAAATTTTGCAATCTACCCATCTGACAAAGGGCTAATATCCAGAAAAAACAAGAAAAGAGCAACCCCATCAGAAAATGGGCAAAGTATATGAACAGACACTTCTCAAAAGAAGACATCTGTGCAGTCAACAGACACATGAAAAAATGCTCATCCTCATTGGTCATCAGAGAAATGCAAATCAAAACCACAATGAAATACCATCTCACACCAGTTAGTATGGCGATCATTAAAAAGTCAGGAAACAACAGATGCTGGAGAGGATGTGGAGAAATAGAAACACTTTTACACTGTTGGTGGGACTGTAAACTAGTTCAACCATTGTGGAAGACAGTGTGGTGATTCCTCAAGAATCTAGAACTAAAAATATCATTTGACCCAGTGATCCCATTACTGAGTATATACCCAAAGGATTATAAATCATGCTACTATAAAGACACATGCACACGTATGTTTATTGCGGCACTATTCACAATAGCAAAGACTTGGAAGCAACCCAGATGTCCATCAATGATAGACTGAATTAAGAAAATGTGGCACATATACACCATGGAATACTATGCAGCCATTAGAAAGGATGAGTTCATGTCTTTTGCAGGGACATGGATGAAGCTGGCAACCGTCATTCTCAGCAAACTGTCACAAGGACAGAAAACCAAATATTGCATGTTTTCACTCATAGGTGGGAAGTGAACAATGAGAACACTTGGACACAGGGCCGGGAACATCACACACCGGGGCCTGTCAGGGGTTTGTGGGCTGTGGGAGGGATAACATGAGGAGAAATATCTAAAGTAAATGACGAGTTGTTGGGTGCAGCAAACCAACATGGCACATGTATACCTATGTATCAAACCTGCACGTTGTGCACATATACCCTAAAACTTAATGTATAATAATATAAATAAATAAATAAATAAATAAATAAATAAACTTCAGGGCTTGGCACAGTGGCTCATGCCTGTATTGCTAGCACTTTGGGAGGCTAAGGTGGGAGGATTGCTTGAGGCCAGGAGTTCGACACCAGCTTCGGCAACATAGTGAGACTCTGTCTCTTTAAAAAAATCAAAATTAGCCAGGCGTGGTGGCCGATGTCTGTAATCTTAGCTACTTGGGAGGCTGAGGTGGGCAGATTGCTTGATCCCAGAAAGTTGAGGCTGCAGTGAGCCATTGATCATGCCACTGCACTCCAGCCTGAGACCCTGTCTCTAACTAACTTATTTTAGTACTGTGTGTTTTAAGTAATACAGATATTTGAATTGAGTGTTGTGAAGAACAGAAAGGTGGAGCTAATTCTATGAGAGGTTTAGAAAAGATGATGTTTGGGTGGATCTTAAAAGAATAATATTGTGAATTTTTTTCTTGGTTGGCAGGTTGATTGGGAGGTCGAAGGGTTAGAGTAGGTGAAAAACATAATTCATGCTAACACAAGGGATTATGAAAGAGCATTGTTTTCAGGAAGTAATAAGTATGGCATAGAGTGCAGTTAGGAATATAAATCTATAGTGATTAAAATAGTGTGATATTTAGACAGAAAAGTAAGTGGAAAGAGTAGAAAGCCTAGAAATGTGCCCATACACGCAAAAATGTACCATATAGTAGAGGAGATATTACAAACCAATGAGGAAAGGATGGACTATGGACTATTCAAGACTGTTCAATATTAGAATGATGTATTATTCATATGAAAACTGAGTTTAATAATAAAATCTAAATTATACCCAAATTCAAGGATATTTTATCAAAAAAACCTGGTTTATAATTAGCGAAAATGTCAAGGTCATATAAGTTAAAAGAAAGACTAAGAAACTGTTTCAGACCAAAGGAGACAACTTAATACAGTATGTGATATTGAACTGGATCCTTTTATTATACATCATTGAGACAGTTATTGAAACTTACGTGCATAGTGACAATTGTGTGAAAGTAATGCATCAGTTTAATGACCTGATTTTCTTCGTTGTACTGTAGTCTGTGGAACATGTCCTTGTTTATAGGAAATATACATAGAAGTTTTTGGGGATAATGTAGCATCAGATTGGCATCTATCGTCTCAAATCGTTCAGAAAAACAACAGCAACAGTTCTTTGTACTATACGTGTAGCTTTTTCCTATGTTTGAGATTGTTTTTTAGAAGTTGTCCAGCTGGATGCAGTGGTTCATGCCTATAATCCTAGGACTTTGGGAGGCTGAGGCAGGAGGATCGCTTGAGCCTAGGAGTTTGAGACCAGCCTGAGCAACACAACGAGACTCCGTCCCTACAAAAAAATTTAAAATAAGCTGAGCTTGGTGGTATGCACCTGTAGTCCCAGCTACTTGGGAGGCTGAGGTGGGAGGATTGTTTGAGCCCCAGAGGTTGAGGCTGCAGTGAGCCATGATCATACCACTGCACTCCACCCTCGGTGACAGAGTAAGACCTTGTCTCAAAAAAAAAAAAAAAGAAAAAAGAAAAAAGTTGTCTAAAAGTTAAAATATAGTTATCAAAATAAAATTAAAAATTAAAAGATTATCTGGGAAAAATATTTCTAATACATGTGTCTGAATAAATGATTTGTACTCAGAATATGTAAAGAACTCCTCCTACAGTCTTTGCCTTCTAATTGGAGCGTTTAGATCATTTGCTGTTTTATTTTTTTTGTTTTTTTTTTTTTTTCAGTAGGTTTTTGGTGAACAGGTGGTGTTTGGTTACATGCATAAGTTCTTTAGTGGTGATTTCTGAGATTTCGGTGCACCCGTCACCCAAGCAGTGTACACTGTACCCAATGTGTAGTCTTTTATTCCTCACCACCCCCCACCCTTTCCCCTGAGCCCCCAAAGTCCAGTGTATTATTCTTATGTCTGTGCATCCTCATAGCTTAGCTCCCACTTATGAGTGAGAACATACGATGTTTGGTTTTCCATTCCTGAGTTACTTCACTTAGAATAATAGTCTCCAATTCTATCTAGTTTCTGTGAATGCCATTATTTTGTTCCTTTTTTATAGCTGAGCAGTATTCCATGGTGTGTATGTGTGTGTGTGTGTGTGTGTGTGTGTATATATATAACATGTTCTTTATCCACATGTTGATTGATGGGCATTTGGGCTGGTTCCATATTTTTGCCATTGCAAATTGTGCTGCTATAAACGTGTGTGCAAGTATCTTTTTTGTATAATGTCTTCTTTTCCTCTGGGTAGATACCTACTGGTGGGATTGCTGGATCAAACAGTAGTTCTACTTTTACTTTTTTAAGGAATCTCCACACTGTTTTCTTTAGTGGTTGTACTAGTTTACGTTCCCACCAACAGTGTAAAAGTGTTCCCTTTCACCACATCCATGCTAACATCTATTATTTTTTGATTTTTTGATTATGACCATTCTTGGTGGAGTGAGGTGGTTTCACACTGTGGTTTTGATTTGCATTTCCCTAATAAGTAGTGATGTTGAGCATTTTTCCATGTGCTTCTTGGCCGTTTGTGTATCTTTGAGAATTGTCTATTCATATCCTTTGCCCACTTTTTGGTGGGATTGTTTTTTTCTTGCTGATTTGTTTGTGTTCTTTGTAGATTCTGGATATTAGTCCTTTGTCAGATGTATAGACTGTGAAGATTTTCTCCCACTCTGTGGGTTGTCTGTTAACTCTGCTGATTATTTCTTATGCTGTGCAGAAGCTTTCTAGTTTAATTAAGTCCCATCTATTTATCTTTGTTTTTGTTGCATTTGTTATTGGGTTTGGGTCATGAAGTCTTTGCCTAAGCCAGCGTCTAGAAGGGTTTTTCCGATGTTATCTTCTAGAATCTTTATGGTTTCAGGTCTTAGATTTAAGTCTTTGATCCATCTTGAGTTGAATTTTGTGTAAGATGAGAGATGAGGATCCAGTTTCATTCTACTACATGTGGCTTGCCAATTATCCTGGCACCATTTGTTGAATAGGGTATCCTTTCCCTATTTTGTGTTTCTGTTTGCCTTGTCAAAGATCAGTTGGCTCTAAGTATTTGGCTTTATTTAATGTAGTTTATTGATATGAATGTATTTATGTTCACATCTTGATTTGCTTCTGTTTGTCTCTTCTATTTTTTTGTGATTTTCTTAAGACTAAATATTTTTTATTAGTAAAAATTTTTTTTCACAAGCCCATTGGAGATTACACATTGTTTATATCTATAAATCCAGAAGAGAGAATTAAAATGTCTGAGTATTTGGGATGGTAGACTATAGGAGAACAAATCAAAAGAATTAATTGGTATCTGGAAAGCAGATGTATTAACATGGAGGGCAAATTGTTTTCTAACTTTACTAAAAGACAAAAAGCCAAACTAGCAGAATTGTTTAGGTTAATTAGATATAAATTATAAGTTTGTATTGGGCAGACAATTAGTGAAGATGTAGAATTCTCCTTTTCCGAATTGTTTTCAAAGAACTAGTAATTGTCTAATATCTGTTTGTGGACATAAGAAGGTAGACTAAGTTGACCTGAAGGGTATAATGCCTTACCACATTGGCGACAATATGATTTGTGTGTGTGTGTGTGTGTGTGTGTGTGTGTGTGTGTGTGTGTGTGTGTGTGTGTGACAGAGTTTCAGTCTTGTTTCCCAGGCTGGAGTGCAATGGCGCGATCTCGGCTCACTGCAACCTCTGCCTCCTGGGTTCCAGCAATTCTCCTGCTCACTGCAACCTCTGCCTCCTGGGTTCCAGCAATTCTCCTGCCTCAGCCTCCCAAGTAGCTGGAATTACAGGCATGCACCACCATGCACCACCATGCCCGGCTAATTTTGTATTTTTAGTAGAGACAGGGTTTCTCCATGTTGGTCAGGCTGGTCTTGCACTCCCAGCCTCAGGTGATCCGCCCGCCTCGGCTTCCCAAAGTGCTGGGATTACAGGCATGAGCCACTGTGCCCGGCTGACAATGTGATTTTTAAAAGTAGAAATAAACTTTCAATTAAATGTCTGTACTCTATTAAATTCATCTTGCTACCTTTGTTTTAAAATGTTTACTTTCTCTTTTCTCTACTATAGCTTGAAATTTTGACAAACTTGGCAAATGAAGCCAACATATCAACTCTTCTTCGAGAATTTCAGGTTTGTGTACAGTGCTAATTATAAAAAACTTCTAAAACATATGTTCAGTCTTAAATATGCATCTTTTTCTATCTAGAAATATGTAATTATGTACATAAAATAGTGATTGGGACAAGACTGACAACTAAGAAATTCATAAATTTGCAAGAATAAACTAATTACAATTTATAATTTAAGGAAAACATAGTATTCTCTTTCATATTTTCATAGACTTTGAAGGACTTTGGTTTATAACTCTGTCTTTGTTTGAAATTGTATTTCTGGTAAGAATTTCATCTTTTTGTGCTGCCAGCATCAATAGTCCTTTCTATATTCTGTGGTCATGAAAACGGTTTCATTTCTTACCTGGTTGTTCCCATTTTATTGACCTATGACTATTTTTGACACTGCCCCCTTAGCCTCATATATAGCTCAAAAAAATTTGTTTCATAATTGCCCCACTACGATTTTTTAAATTGCTGTTTTTTATTTTGATTTGTTTAGTTGTATTTTTATGCCTTATGAGACTCTTCCTAGCTGCATTTCCCCCCAAAATATTATTCAAAAATTACTTCATGGACATGATACCCTTTATGATGGAAAGGTCATCTCTGAAGCCTTAGTTGTAGAGCACAGCAATAGAAAACTTTACATCAGTATTATGACTTTTATATTCCACTATCTGTTTTCTTAACAAAAATATACCACATACTATGCACTAATCACAGAGTTTTTCTTTTATCAGCTTCCAACTTTTAGAGATGTATTTTTTGCCATAGTTCTCCTATATGCCAATATTAAATTTCTTCTTGGTTATAAGACACTGTATACACGATTTCTTTTTAGCTATGTGATTTTTAAACTTTTTACAGGAATAGTAGAATAATATGGCATGTCCATAATTTATATTTTCATACCTGGATTACTCCACTTTTATGTTGTGTATCTTTCTAGACAAATTTCTTAAAAAATTAAGATGTTCTAGAAAATATACTATTTTATGTTATTATTCAGTAATCTTATAGCTGCAGATCATTGCTTGAATCTGATTTTCACTTCATTCCTATAATTTTATTTATTTAAAGTATTGGTCTTTGTGTTTTTTCTTGTTCCTTTCCTGTTGTCCTATCTAGTCTCTTTGGGTGTCCTCTCACTGTCCAGTTTTTGCTTATATCAAGTCTCCTGGGATTGTAGGAAAGGAGACTTAGGTAATGTTATGGAATGGGTTGTATAGAGGGCACATACTAGACCTGTTTCAAAATATTGGTCATCTAGTCTTTTCATTTAATATCAGGATGTTTAATAAGGTCCATTTTTCAGTCAAACTTTTAAGTATTTTTTTCATGTATTCATTTTTATCACTGTCTAAATTTGTACCTTCTGTCTATGTTTGTGTTATGCTCATAGTTACGCTTTTAGTAACTTTTTGGGTAAAATAGGGAATGTTTCTAAAGACTCATAAGTTCATATTTTTCTTTAAGGAAATTAAATAATTTATTTGGGAACACTTTTAAATATAATTGGTCTTGCCTTCATGGAACTAGGAGAGTTTAATTAATTTAATTTATTTGTTCAATGTTTAATCACCTGGTTGGTACCATTTTTAGCAAATTTGTATTTTTTTAGACATCTTTAGGTTTTCTCCTCCATTTGTCATTTAGACACCACTTAAATGTATTGCATTTTTCATAGTGTTAAGTCTACATTGTATACTTCTTATTTGAGGTTGGGAATCTTTCTTAAAAATTTCGATTGTAAATGACCTTTCAAATTTCATGTATATGATACAAAGTGTGTATATTTCTGTAAACAATAGAAGCTTTCCTCATTTAAAAATTAGGAAGGTTCTAAGCAAAGTGAAATTCTCTAGGGCCATTATAAAATTTATAAAGATATTTTAACTTCCTGTTGTTAAATCAGTGATTTATTTCTTTATTTTTAAATTTGTGTGTGTGTATATATATATGTGTGTGTGTGTATATATATATATGTATACTATATATATACTATATATACACACACACACATATATATATATACACACACACACATATACCCTTTACAGTATATTTTTAAAGCATACTTTTAAAGAAAATCTATTTCAAAAGTATGGTATTTTATTTTATTATAAACTGAGTATTTGAAGTATTTATTGAAATACTGTTCACCGTAACTATTATTCTTTTACAACCATTGTGATAGATTTTGAAATTAAAATGTTTGTAAATAGCCTACTGGTCCCTTTCTTCCTTTTCTCCCAGTTTTTAGATTTAGTGTCTCTGAAAAAGTGACCCTTTTTTTCATAGATTCACAGATGCTGCTGGTAAATGAACTGAAACCTCCAAAGAGAGAGCTCTCATCATCTCTTTCAACCTTGCACTTAAACTAATTGCTGTCTTTGGGTGACTGCTCCTACTATCTGTTTTGGAGTCTCAAGCCACTATGGCCACAGGTGAATGAGCCTGGCTTGAAAATGTGCTTCGTCCATAGGCACATTCTTTAAGTAAAAAAATCAAAACAAAATGAAATTAATCTACATCATCACTTGGTCCTCATATTGTGCTTATGAGAAGTTTATGTATTCTGGAATTCTTATATATTGACAAAGTTTAATATAATCGGAGTTTTGGTTAACTCAATAATACCAGTGTGTAAACTAATTGAAATAATATCTTTTAGACCTATGTGAAAAGCCAGGATAAACAATTTGCAGCAGCCACTATTCAGACTATAGGCAGATGTGCAACCAACATCTTGGAAGTCACTGACACGTGCCTCAATGGCTTGGTCTGTCTGCTGTCCAACAGGGATGGTAAGTTTACAGTTTCATTTTATTTTCAGGTGATTTAAATTTGAATATTCTTGGTATTATTTCCAAGTTGTAACCTTTTCTAACTTTGCATTTTAGCTTTTCCAGTTATATCAGTAGTATGGTCACAATAAGTAGCATTTTATCCTTGAATGCACATAAATATGCATATTCTGGGTTCTTTTTTTTTTAGTAAAATAGGCCATTAACTAGCAGGTAGTATTTGTTTTACCGCAACAGATCTAAGAAAATTTGTTTTACTTCTTTACAATTTAATCACCTTGATTGTATCTTTTCCACCTTTTTACTGCATTTTAATGGCATGTAAGTCATGCATAATATTGGTTCACCTGCAGAGGGTGCTAAAAGCAGGCAAATGACTATAACATGGAGAAGTGGCTAGATCAAAAAATATGTTAACTGTATACCTTCAACATTCTTTTTCCTCAGAAATTCACCTAATTATATTCAAAATTAACTAGATTTAAAAGCCATAAACTTGGAGCAGCTTTGTGTTTTTAAGCCAAACAATATCTAAGTGTTCGGTAAAACTGGATAGGTAATATCCAGTAAAATATGTAAGCTAGATCCCATATTGTTCTGTGGCAAAGCGTCAGTTATTTCTATGGGTAAGGCTTTGAAATAAATGGAGCCATTTAGAGAAAGAAAGAAAAGCCAACTTTACCTTTAAAATAATTTTGTTTAAAGAACTTTTATTATAATTATGTATTAAAATGAGACTTTTTTAAGAAAAGCATAATTTTCTTTGTAAAATCATTGAAATTATTTTGTGGAATTTAAAATATACTAATGTCTATGTCATGTCTAGATATGGGCATATATGATATAGCAGCCCATGAGGTAAAACAACAAAATTGATTACATTTTATTTGAAAAATAACTTTTTAGTACAAGAATCCTATAATCTCTAATTATTTTTTCCCACATGTAGATATCTTTAGAAAACTGTAACATTGTTGAGAGTATTTCTGATGAAAAAAATTGGAACAAAATTTATTCCCAGATAACATTGATTTTTGTTGTGAGCATAAAATTTTAAACTTGTACCTGTAAACTCAAGATACTATGACTGAAGATTTTTCTACATGTAGTATTAAAACTCCAAATAAATGCCAACCAAAATTATCAAGACGATAGGTTTAAAATTTTTTTTTATCTCTACAAAGTAGCTAGTGGAGATAGGATGATAAACGTCATCCATTCTATCTCTTTCTACTTTTAATAATAACTAATCCTTTTATCTCTGTTTCTATGTCACATTTTAAAATGTGACATTAAAAATGTGTTTTAAAGAAATTTTCCTGTGCCTTTAATAATGACTTTCTATTCAACCAAATAAAATACACACCTTGGGAAAATAACTTTGTACCATTAAAGATTATGAACCAAGGCTTACCAGGGCAATTGTTCTTTTACATTTTAGTTACATACAGAAAGCACCGGAAATTAGTTAGAACACTGATTAGTTCATTCAAATACAAAATATATTCAAATTTTCTCAATTTTATTTTTTGACTTTTTTTTTCTAATGGAAAATTTCAAGCTTTGGATTTTAAAGCAGTTATTTCTGCTTCAGATTTAATTTCTCAAAAAATATTTTTATTGACTTTAAAAGATAAATATTCTACCCCTACATCACTTTTAAGGGAAGACTAGATTGTTTTACAATTAGAAAATGAAAGACTAATACATACTTCCTCTCTAAAAGTAGAAGGATTTAGTTTAACTACTTTAAATTTTGATATTTTAATGGTTAGGCTTTTGTTTTTTGATACAACTCTTAATCATGGTTTTTTTTTTCCTGCAGTGTGAATATTAACAAACTTAAATTGTATTGTCAGATTATATTTGCATAATCATCATTAGCCCATAATACCTGATTAATTATGTCTGTATCACATATGCTACACTATTTTTTGTAGTTTGGAAGTCTGGCTCAGTAAAAGTGAGAGGTAAAACAAATAAGGAGAATATTTATATCAAAATTAGTAACATAAAAGAAAGTCATAGTATTTTTAACTTTAACATAGCCACCCTGACAATAGAGCCCCTTCCTCTTTGTATTAAAAGATCTACTTTTAGGAATAAATACTGTGAATGAAGACTCAGTTTCTTTAAAATCTGTTAAGATCTTTTAAGGCTCTAGGAATCTGTAATTATTTGATTTTATATTGAAATGAATACCTCATCATCTGTTCAAATAATGAATCTTTAAACCTCAGGGACATTTAGGCTCAATTGTTTTTAAATATGTTTAATATATTTCTCTTGGACCTCTAGTTTTGTGTGTGTGTTGTTAAGAGCCTTTCTAAGCAGACTTGAAGCTTGCCCTAAAACAGCCTATTATTACTCTCTAAGATTAATTTGATAAGCCAATTTCTTATAGACCTTTAGTAAGAGAAATCTACATTTCAGTTGACTTAGGTAATTTATTTTAGGTAACATATTAGCGAAATTTACTTTTTTGAATAACCTTATTGCCATCTACTCTAAACTAAAAGGATTGGGGCAGAAGACTTTGTTTTGTTTAGTTTTAAACAATTCAGTAAGCATTTATTGAAGACTTAAATCAGTTGAGATGTTTAATAAATGTTGAATATATTAATAGGATATTTATTTAACTTATAAAAGGTTCCTATCTTTATAGAGCTAATAGTCCATTGGAGGGAGATAGTAATATAAGACAAATATATTATAGTCTTCCCATATAGTGACCACTTACTCTCTTGCCAGCTATTTGCTTACATGTAGGACTATACCACCTATGTAGAATGTTACAGCTATCCTGAGTAAATTACCCAGTCTACCTGTGCACCAGATTCTTCATTTGTAAAATGAGTATGATAGTAGACTGTACTTTTTAAAGTTAGGTCCATTAAGATTTGTTGAGGACAAGGAGGAAGTTAGGAAATATCTAGAACATAGGATCATTTTGTGCTTCTGATAGAGTAGCACCAAAGTGCTGAGGTCTTTGGAAACCAAGAGGTACCATAAAGGAGAAGTAGAGTGGAATTACCTGAGGGGAATGAGAAGGCACTTGTGGTAGGCAGAATTATTGCGTTCCAAAGATGCCCAGAACCTGTGAATATGTTACCTTACGTGGAAAAAGAGACTTCGCAGATTGATTAAGTCAAGTTTCTATAGATGGGGAGATTATGTGGTTAGACCTAATGTTATCATGTGGGTCTTTATAAGGGAAAGAGAGACGCAGGTCAGTCAGAAGATGTCAGAAGGTCAGGGTGATGTGATTGTTGGAAGAGGTCTTTGAACCAAGGAATGTGGGCATGCTTGAGAAGTTGGGAGGGGGAAGGAAAAGATTTCCCCTAGAACTTCCAGAGGGAACGCAGCCCTGTTGAGAGCTTGATGTTAGTCCCATAAGACCTATGTTAGACTTCTGACTTTAGAACTGTACAATGATAAATTTGCATTGTTTTAAGCCACTATGTTTTTAGTAATCTGTGACAGCAACAATAGGAAACTAATGTAGTTCCTAAAGATAAATGATGCCAAACGCATATTTCAACTGTAGCCAATCCTGCGTCTGCTTGTAGATAATTAAATTATGCAACATTTTTTTCTCTTACTTAGGCTAGTTTTGCAATAATGTATTTTAAAAATATAAATTTGTTATACTATGCATTCTTTAAAACCACACTTACCAAATTTTGCTTTGCATAGTAATCACATAACCATTTATTTTTCTGCTAGAGTGTAAGTTTGATGAGGGCAGAATCTCATTCTGATTTACCTTTGCTTTCCTCATAGCACCAAGAGGTAGTCTTTATAGAAGTAATACTTGCCTATGGGTGGGCGCGGTGGCTCACGCCTGTAGTCCCAGCATTTGGGAGGCCAAGGCGGGTGGATCACCTGAGGTCAGGAGTTCAAGACCAGCCTGCCCAACATGGCGAAACCCCATCTCTACTAAAAATACAAAAAATTAGCTGGGCGTGGTGGCGGGCACCTGTAATCCCAGCTGCTTGGGAGGCTGAGGCAGGAGAATCGCTTGAACCCCGGAAGTGGAGGTTGCAGTGAGCCGAGATTGCGCCACTGCACTCCAGCCTCAGCGACAAGAGCAAAACATCTCAAAAAAAAAAAAAGAAGTAATACCTGCCTATCGTAACATAGAACGTATATAGATAGAATGTACATCCTAGTTCTGAGTTTGAATTCTGGGTAAAGTTATACAATTCCAGTGCATCTCCCTTTCTTCATCTTTAAAATAATAATAATAAGGTACCTACTTTACATTATTGTGAGAAGGAAATGAAATGTGATGTTGTTTTGTAAACTGAAGCATTAATATTAGTTAGCTTTTAGTTAAATCATACTAGGTTTTTTTTTGTTTTTTCTTTTCTCACTCTGTCACCCAGGCTGGAGTATAGTGTTGTGATCACGGCTCACTGAAGCCTCAACCTTCCTTGGCCCAGGTGATTCTCCTGCTTCAGCCTCCTGAATAGCTGGTACTATAGGCACGTGCCACAACTCCTGGCTAATTTTTGGATTTTTTGTAGACCTGGGGTTTTCCATGTTGCCCAGGCTGGTCTCAAACTCCTGGGATCAAGCCATCCTCCTGCCTCGGCCTCCGAAAGTGCTGAGCCACTGTGCCCAGTCAATATTAGTTAATTTCTTATTCTTATGGATAAGCAGGTAAACAGTTTGAAATACATATATTTACTAATGATTAGAATGATGAATTTTGTTTATATTCTTAAACGGAGCTTTATAAAAAATACATTTCAGTGAAAAAGAGTAGGCCGGGCATGGTGGCTCACACCGGTAATCCCAGCACTTTGGGAGGCCAAGGCGGGTGGATCATGAGGTTAGGAGTTTGAGACCAGCCTGACCAATATGGTCAAACCCCGTCTCTACTAAAAATACAAAAATTAGCCAGGCGTGGTGGCGCGCGCCTGTAAATCCCAGCTACTCAGGAGGCTGTGGCAGGAGAACTGCTTGAATCTGGGAGGTGGAAGTTGCAGTGAGCTGAGATTGCGCCATGGTACTCCAGCCTGGGCCACAGAACAAGACTCTGTCTCAAAAAAAAAGAGTAATAGGACACAAATTATGGTATTTCTAATATAATATTAAAATAAACCTTTGTAGTGTATGCCAGGGGAATTCCTAATAGCCATGAAGCCCTATTAATAAAAATATCAAAATAATAAGTAAAGGCAATGTTGATTTATTTCTTTGGCATCATTAGCATTAATAACACATTATATAAGATTCATTTCATAAGGTCAGGTTCTCAGGTGAGTTATGTTACGTTTCTTTACCAGTACCACCAAAAAGAGACTGGACCAGTGATTGGCCAGTTTAGTATGATAACTAAATCCCGTAATCCCAGTTTGAGGATCTACTTCCTATCCACCTCCAGTAGTAGTTACTGTATTAGTTAAGGCTCTGGCAAGAAACAGATGGCACACTTAAAAGGGATGATTG
Source organism: Homo sapiens (assembly GCF_000001405.40). Classification (NCBI taxonomy): domain Eukaryota; kingdom Metazoa; phylum Chordata; class Mammalia; order Primates; family Hominidae; genus Homo; species Homo sapiens. The sequence goes on along the minus strand of NC_000005.10, from coordinate 78,157,361 downwards.
AAGTGAATTAAGTGAATGAACTGTTTGTAAACTGTGGTCAGGATTAAGGGAAACCAACAAGATATGATGTAACACCCTGGAGCTAACAGGCTATCAACAGTGGGAGGCCTTTACCATGCCTCAGATTGAAGGGAAGGGGTGTGAGGAGCAGGAGCAGTTACCAGACCCTGCAGGAGTGAGCCACTTGCAGTACCTTCAGTAGGGGATTGCATGTAATACCAGGGAGAGGAGGCTGGCAGAGTAGGGATCCAGGATAACAAATATCCCCGCCCTCCCCCCACCATCTCCTGCTGAAGCTTTCTATTGACTAAACACAGCTATAAGCCAGGACCAAGGGAGTCTGGTTGAGGCAGACTACAGGTGGGCCTCTTAGGGCACAGTGCTGGGGAGAGAAAGGTAGAGTGGACTTTATAGAACAAATAGAGAAAATCCATCTCACTCTCACAATCCCATTCTTTCCGGCTTTGCACTCCATGCTATTTCTACAGTGACTTCTTTACTACTACCACTCATCTTTACTACTCACTTTTCTGGGCATTTCACTTAAGGAAAAATTTTTTTTTTAGTTTGCTGTTTTCTGCAGAATAGGGAAAATGTTGTTTAGATTGTAGATAATTGATTTCCACTATATAATTTATAGGAATCAAAGAGCAATATTTGAGGACTCTGGTTAAAAGCCAAAGACATAGAACACTATGGTGAGCAGCATAATCCAACGTCTTTTGCTTTCTTAATCTAAAGATGCAGAGATAAGAAAGGAACTACAGAAGCTAGGAGACAGCAACAGAGGTTAGAAATTAAAGTTAACTCTCCTAGTTAAGACAGTTGTTCACACCTCAAATTTGGAAGCGCACTCATGGTTATGCTTTCACATAGTCTTTTAAGGCTTGTATTAAATAGAATGTTTTTCTAATTTAAGTTTACATTTTACGAAGCATATTGCATTTGAATTGAATTATACATATTTAGTATGAATAATTTCTATCTTTTTCAGAAATAGTTGTTGCTGAAAGTGTGGTTGTTATAAAGAAATTACTGCAAATGCAACCTGCACAACATGGTGAAATTATTAAACATATGGCCAAACTCCTGGACAGTATCACTGTGAGTATCAATTAAGAGATGTTTGCTGAATTTTATTCAGTAAGTTGTAATTTTGTTAAAATAAATGGTCAGCCTAAAGGGTAATGGTTAGGAGAGCTGAAGTGTCTGGATTCCAATTCTGAGATTCTAAGATTTCTTGCTGTTATAGGAGGGAATTACAAATCTGAATAGGGGAAAGGATAGAATGAGCCTCGTGGTATTAGATTGGAATTGGAGATAGCAGTGTGAGTTTTATATATCAACAGCTAGATGTTGGGTGAGTATATATGCATGTTCATGTGTCATACATGAAATGAATATACAAACATCTGTTTCCCAGAGCTGTCCTTTGAGAGGAGTTAGAAACAATACCATTGAGCACACTTTGTGCACAGATTTTGTTTTTTTAATTGAGATATTATTTTATACTATAAAATTTACTCTTTTGAAGTGTATCATTGGTTTTTGATCACTTATAAGTTGTGCAATCACCAGTATGTAATTGCAGGACATTTTCATCACCCCTTAAAAAAAAATCCATAACTGAGACTGCCCAGTCTCCCTTCACTCTATACCCTGGCCACTACTAATCTACTTTTTTTTATCTTTATGGATTTGCCTTTTCTGGACAATATGTAGCCTTTTGTTTCTGGCATCTTTCACTTAGCATGTTTTCAAGGTTTGTGTATGTTTTCGAATATAGTACTTCATTCCTTTATATGGTAGATCTTAGTTTTTAAACACAAATCTTGAAGAGTGGAGCAAGATGGCCAAATAGAGGGCTGCAATGATTGTCACCCCTGCAAGAACACGAAATTTTAGCAACTAATTACACACAAAAAAGCACCATCATAACCAAAAATCAGGTGGGCACTCACAGTATCTGGTTTTAACTTCATATTGCTGAAAGAGGCACTGAAGAGGGTAGGAAAGACAGTCTTGAATTGCCGGTGTCACCGCTTTCTCATCCCCTGGCAGCAGCAGTGTGGCATGGAGAATCTCTGCACTAGGGGGAGGGAGAGCACAGGGATTGGGAAGAGAACAAGAGAACAAGAGTCTCTGCCTGGTAATCTAGAGAGTTCTCCCAGATTTATCCAAGGCAGTACCTCTACCAGTCTGCAAGAACCACATCATTATTGGGCTTGAGGCCCAAGTCCCTTTGAATAACCTGGAAAGCCTTCCCAAATACAATAAGCACAAACAAGCCCAGACTGTGAAGACTACAATAAATACCTAACTTCAATGCCCAGAGACTGATGAACATCTGTAAGCATCAAGACCATCCAGGAAAATATGGCCTCACCAAACAAACTACATAAGGCGTCAGGGGCCAATACTAGAGAAACAGAGAGATACGTGACCCTTCAGACAGAGAATTCAAAATAGCTGTCTTGAGAAAACTCAAAGAAATTCAAGATAACACAGAGAAGGAATTTAGAATTCTATCTGATAAATTTAACAGATATTGAAATAGTAAAAAAGAATCAAGCAGAAATTCTAGAGTTGAAAAATGCAATTGATATACTGAAGATTGCATCAGAGTCTCTTAGTGGCAGAATTGATCAAGAAGAAGAATTAGTGAGCTTGAAGACAGGCTCTTTGAAAATACACAGTCAGAGGAGACAAAAGAAAAAAGAATATAAAAGAATGAAGCACAGCTATAAGATCTAGAAAATAGTCTCAAAAGGGCAAATCTAAGAGATATTGGTGTTACAGAGGAAGTAGAGAAAGGGGCAGGGATGGAAAGTTTATTCAGAGAAATAATATCAGAGAACTCCCAAACCTAGAGAAAGATGTCAGCATTGAAGTACAAGAAGGTTATAGAACTTCAAGCAGATTTAACCCAAAGAAGCCTACCTCGAGACATTTAATAATCAGACTCCCAAAGGTCAAGGATGGGAAAGGATCCTAAAAGCGGCAAGAGAAAAGAAACAACATGCAATTGAAGTCTGATACCTGTGGCAGCAGACTTTTCAGTGGAAACTTTACAGGCCAGGGGAGAGTGGCATGACATAAAGTGCCAAAAGAAAACAACTTTTACCCTAGAATAGTATATCCAGTGAAAATATCCTTCAAATATGAAGGAGAAATAAAGACTTTCCCAGACAAACAAAAGCTGAGGGAGGGATTTTGTCAGCAACAGACCTGTCTTTTCTTGTAAGAAATGCTAAAAGGAGCTCTTCAATCTGAAAGAAAAGGATGGTAGTAAGCAGGAAGAAATCATTCAAAGGCACAAAATTCACTGGTAATAGTATGTACACAGAAAAGCAGAATATTGTAACACTAGAATTGTGGTGTATGAAGTACTCATGTCTTGAATAGAAAGACTAAAACGTGAACTGATTAAACATAACTATGACAACTTTTCAAGACATGGACAGTACAATATGATATAAGTAGAAACAACAAAAAGTGAAAAAGCAGGGTAGAACTTTTATTAGTTTCCTTTTTGCTTGATTGTGTATGCAATCAGTGTTGTCATCAGTTTAAAATAATGGATTATATTAATAAGATAGTATTTGCAAGCTTCATTGTAACCTCTAATCTAAAAACGTAAAGTGGATACACAAAATATAAAAAACAAGAAATTAAATCCTACCACTAGAGAAAACCACCTGCATTAAAAGGAAAACAGGAAGAAAGGATGGAAGGAAGAGAAGAATGTGAAACAACCAGAAAACAAATAACAAAATGGCAGGAGTGAGTCCTTACTTATCAATAATAACATTGAATGTAAATGGACTAAACTCTCCAATCAAAAGACAGAGTTACTGCATGTATAAAAAATCAAGACCTAATGATCTGGTGCCTACAAGAAGCACACTTCACCTATAATGATAGACATAGACTGAAAAAAAAAAGGGATGGAAAAAGACATTCCATGCTGGTAGAAACCAAAAAAGAGCAGGTGTTGCTATACTTACATCAGACAAAATGTCTGTCTCTTCCTACACTTATAAAAGACAAAAAGTGTAGGAAGAGACAAGGTCATTATTTAATGATAAAGAGTCAATTCAGCAAGAGGATATAATGACTTTAAATATATATGCACTCAACACTGGAGCACCCAGATATATAAAGCAAATGTTACTAGAGCTAAAGACAAAGGTAGACCTCAATACAATAATAGCTGGAGATTTCAACACTCCACTTTCAGCATTGGACAGATCTTCCAGACAGAATACCAACAAAGAAACATTGGACTTAATTTGTGCTATGCACCAAATGGATCTAATAGATATATACAGAAAATGTCATCCAAGAGCTGCAGAATACACATTCTTTTTATCAGCACATGGATCATTCTTAAGGATAGAGCATATGTTAGGTCACAAAACAAGTCTTAAAACATTGAAAAAAATAATACCAAGTATCTTCTCTGACCAGAGTGGAATAAAACTAGAAATCTAAAACAAGAGGAATTTTCAAACAATATAAACATATGGAAATTAAACAATATGCTCCTGAATGACCAATGGGTCAATGAAGAAATTAAGAAGGACATTGAAAAATTTCTTGAAACATGTGATGATGGAAACACAACATACTAAAACCTAAGGGATATAACAAAAGCAGTACTCAAGGGGAGGTTTATAGCTTTAAGAGCCTACATCAAAAAAGAAGAAAAACTTCAAATAAATAATAAATAACTTAATGATGTATCTTAACTAGAAAAGCAAGAACAAACCAAACCCATAATTAGTAGAAGAAATAAAAATCAGAGCAGAAATGAAATCAGAGATGAAAAAGGAGATATTATAACTGATACTGCAGAAATTCAAAGGATCATTAGTGGCTACTATAAGCAACTATATGCCAGTAAGTTGGATAATCTAGAGGAAATGGAAAACTTCCTAGACACACACAACCTCCCAAGATTGAACTGTGAAGAAATCCAGTATCTGAACAGACCAAAAACAAGTAACAAGATTGAAACCATAATAAAAGTTCTCCCAGTGAAGAAAAGCCCAGGATCCGATGGCTTCACTGCTGAATTCTACCAAACATTTAAAGAAGAACTAATACCAAGTCTACTGAAACTATTCCAAAAAACAGAAGAAGGAATACTTCCAAATTCATTCTACAAGGTCATTGTTACCCTGATACCGAAACCAAACAAAGACACATCAAAAAGAAAGGAAGGGAAGGGAGAGGGAGAAGGAGAGGGAAGGGAAAGGAGAGGGAAGGGAAAGGAAGGGAGAGGGAAGGGAAGGAAAAGGGAAGGGAAGGGGAAGGGGGAGGGAAGAGAAGGGGGAGGGGAGGGAAGGGGCAGGAGAAGGGAGGGAAGGGGGAGGGGATGGGAGGGGGAGGGGGAGGGAAGGGATGGGGAGGGGAGGGGGAGGGGAAGGGGGAGAGGAGGGATGGGGACGGGAGGGGGAGGGGAAGGGGGAGAGGAGGGATGGGGAGAGGAGGGGGAGGGGAAGGGGGAGGGGAAGGGGGAGGGGAGGGAAGGAAGGAAGGAAGGAAATAAAACTAGAGTCTAGCATCTGTTGAATATCAATGTAAAAATCCTCAACAAAATACTGCTAAACTGAATTCAACAACATTTAAAAAATCATTCGTCATGACCAATGGGATTTATCCCAGGGTTACCAGGATGGTTCAACATTCATAAATCAATCAGTGTGATTCATCATATCAACAGAATGAGGGACAAAAAACATATGATGATTTCAATTGATGCTGAAATAGCATTTGATAAAATTCAGCGTCCTTTCCTGATAAAAACCCTCAAAACTGGGGATAGAAGGAACATACCTCAATATAATAAAAGCCATATGTGACAGACCCACAGTTAGTATCATACTGAATGGGGAAAATCTTAGCCTTTCATCCAAGCTCTGAAACATAACAAGGATGTCCACTGTTATTCAACACAGTACTGGAAGTCCTACCTCAAGCGTTCAGACAAGAGAAAGTTATAAAGGCATCCACATTGGAAAGGAAGAAGTCAAATTATCCTTGTTTGCAGATGATATTATCTTATATTTGGAGGTATTTTGGGGTATAAGAGCATTCCTACAACTTACCTTTATTGGTTAAGAAAACAAAATGTGACCAGGTGTGGTGGCTCACGCCTGTAATCCTAACTAACACTTTGGGAGGCCAAGGCGGGTGGATCACCTGAGGTCAGGAGTTTGAGACCAGCCTGGCCAACATGGTAAAACCTCGTTTCTTCTAAAAATACAAAAATTAGCTGGGCGTGGTGGTGTGTGCCTGTAATCCCAGCTACCTGGGAGGCTGAAGCAGGAGAATCGGTGGAACATGGGAGGTGGAGGCTACAGTGAACTGAGATTGTGCCACTGCACTCCAGTCTGGGTGACAGAGCGAGACTCTGTCTCAAAAAAATAAATAAATAAAAATAAAAAATAAAATTATATGTTTACCTGGAGAGATAGCTAACACAAATGCAGTAAAATGTTAACATTTGGGGAATCTAAGTGCAGGGTATCCAGAATTTTTTTTACTCTTCTTGTAAGTCTGAAATTATGTAAAAAAAAAATAAATAAATAAAGCAATAAATATTAGTTCCAACTCCATCACTTACCAGCTCCGTCCTTATGTTAAAGTCTTTATGCCTCACTTTTCCCATGTGTCAAATGATGATCGTAAAAGGACCTACAATATAGTATTATTATAGGTATTAGCTTAGTTAATATGGTAATGCCCTTGGAACGCTGGCTGGCACATAGTAGTGCTGCATTATGTGTTTGTCATTCTATCTTCATGCTCTTCTTCCCTTTAAAACCAAAGTTTTTGAAAGAACTATCTGCAACAAGTTTTATTCCTTTACGTCAAACTCCCTCCCCGTCACAGTTGGATTTTGGTTCTCCAGCACTTCATTAACTATGCCTTTTCCAAGGTTACTATCTCCTTTCTAAATCCAGTGGATACTTTTCTGTCCCTATCTTCCTTGATCTTTTCTTAGCATTGGACTACGCTAACTACTTCGTCCTTTTTGAAATAGTCTCCTCATGGCTTCTGTGATTTTTCTCTTCTGGTTTTTCTTCAAACTCTTCAGCTATTTCTTCTCCATTGTGTTTGCTTTTTACTATGCCTTTTTCTTGAGTGCTGGTTAATGTTTTGCCAAGTGATGTTCTATAATAAATGCAGATGTAGTTTAGGGAGGAGTATATTATTTCCTTTTTTGAAGATGGGTTAATCTGTATTCTCATTCTCTTCAGAGGGATCATTTTTGTGTAGTCAAGGGTAATGGATCACAAGATTTAGAACCTGCCAGTCAAGACCAATTTTAAATATCTCTGGTGGCAAAATTGTCTTTCCCTTAGGGTGTTAGTAAAGCTTGCAAGGCAGTTACACATTTATCTTAAAGCTAAAAAAAAAAAAAAGTATGGCTTACAGGAGTCATTTAGCATCTGAACTTCCACCCCATCTCTCAGCGGAGAGTTACTTTGTATTCATATCTGTTCTTACTGTTGATTCTAATGATCAAAGCCAAGACTTCTCATAGAGATTGTGTATGAGAGATGTAGGGGTTAAGAGAGTAATTTGAAAACCGGATGACTTGGATTCACAGTTGGTCTGTACCTTTTACTAGCTTCATGAACTTAAGCAAGTTACTTGACTTCACTATGCTCCAGTTTTCTCATCTGTACAATGGGGATCATAGTACTGACAACCTTAGAGCTCTGTTGGGTGGAATGAATGAGTCAATGCATGTGAAGCACTTAGAACAGTGCTCGGTGTAAGCTGTTATTAAGGGAATATTGAGTGTTTTTTGAAGAAGACAGACTATGGTAAGGTTTTAATTTTGTAAGCTTTCTTATTGCCTCTTTTATATTTTACTTATTTAAAATAACTCCTATAGAGCATATCATTTGCCAGGCACTATTCTAAGTACCTTAAAAATATAAATTATTAATTTTTAATAGCAACACTTCAAGGAAAGTTCTCTTAATATTCCTATTTTATATTTGAGAAAACTGAGGCACAAAGAGGTTATGTAACTTGCCCAAGGTCACATAGCAGCAGGTCTGCTTTCTTAACCAGTGCATTATGTTGTATCTCACTTCCATTTATAATCTATCTGTTTAAAAATTTCACTTTATTTAACAAATATTTAAATTGTCACCGGTCCTTTTTCTGTATTCAGTTCACATACCTACTCAGTGACCTAGCCAAGGTTTTTTTTATTATTTCCTTTTGCTTCCCTCAAGTCATTGACAAATTGGGAATTAGAGTGACATGATCAATGTCTACCGCAGTGTAGAACAGATGTTTGACATTACTTTGATGGGAAATGAGAGGTTAAGCTTTTTTTCTCAAAGCCGCCGAAATGGACATCTAGCATTCCTATCCACCAAGCATCAAAATTCAGTCGTGTCTCTAGTCATTGTAACACTGCTCATATTTAGTTACTTCCTACGAAGTGATACAGCCCCCAGGAAGAACCACTTGTCTAACCAATAGCTAATGAACTAGCACAGAGAACTCTAGATGGAAGAAGACAAAGAAGAGAGATATATAGGTGACTGTATATTTACACATGATTATGAGGTTGGTGCAAAAATAATTGTGGTTTTTACCACAATGGCAAAAACCTCAATTCCTTTGCACCAACCTAATAAATGTATAGCAATAGACTAGGAATGTCTAACCAAAGTGCTAAATTTGAACTCTTGATAAAGAAGGGGGCATAATATAAGGAAAATTCTATTAACCTAGAACTAAAAACATTGAATATTCAGGAAAACTGAGGAATGAGATTAAATGGAGGTCAGAATAAAAGAATGTTAAAGGTTTTGTGGGAGGAAGAGAGTGGAGAGAAGTGAAATTATTATGGTAGTCTCATCTGGTGTTCAAAAAGTAGTAAGGTAAAAATAATTATCTTGAGGTGAAAACCATGGGTTTTAGTGAGGGAAATAGTTAATACCTTGTTTACAGGTAATGGTAGAGAAGTATGTATCTGATTATGAGAAGGAACTAGGAGTTCTGTATCTCCCCAGACTTCTTGTGCAAAATTTAGTTAAAACTTGTGCTAGTAAACTCGTTCTGGTCCTGTTTAGAAAGGAAGAGGCAATTATAAGTACTAGGGCTTCAGGAGAGTGCAGCTGCTATACATAAAACCTGTAACAGTGTATGAGGCCTGTATCTGGCAAACCCTAGGCTTTCTTGGAAGAAAACTTTCTTCTATTTGAGTATATTCATGTCCAGGGATACAGAAGATACTTTTGATGTGTAAACTTTCTTTTTCTCGCTCATTCTCTCTCTTTCCCTTTTTTTTTTTAATGGAGTCTTGCTCTGTCACCCTGGCTGGAGTGCAGTGGCGCAATCTCATCTCACTGCAACCTCCACCTCCCAGGTTCAAGTGATTCTCCTGCCTCAGCCTCTGAGTAGTTGGGATTACAGGCATGCGCCACCGTGCCTGGATAATTTTTGTGTTTTTAGTAGAGATGGGGTTTCCCCATGTTGACCACGCTGGTCTCAAACTCCTGACCTCAGGTGATCTCACCCCAGCCTCCCGAAGTGCTGGGATTACAGGCGTGAGCCATGGCACCTGGCTGATGCATCAACTTTCTCAACAGTTGCTGGACTATAAGCCAAATAAGTACAGTCTTACAGCTCTATATAGCAAAGCTTATTTTTTTCAGCTTTTGTTTTTCTCAGAAGATAACCATTAATAGATACAAAAATATGGTGAGAATTCAGTATTCACAAAGGAAAATAAAGGAACAAATAGCAGTTTTACAAAGCCAGAAAAAAAATAAGAAAGAAAGAAAACAAATGTAAAATAAATAATAAGTATTTAAAAGTAATAAAGATGGAAGAAATAAAATCAAATATTTCTCATCTTGAATATGAATGGACTGAATTTTCTCATCAAAAGACAGACTTACAAATTGGAATAAAAACAAAAACTAGCTACAGGCCATTTATAGTTAAAGCACCTTAATCAAGTGATAAAAGTTGAAAATAAGAAGGTAAGGAAAGAGATATTAAGCAAATATGAACAAGAAAGTGAGATTTACAGTTAATTAAAAGCATTTAACAAGATAAAAAGGAACATTATAAAATGAAAAAAGGGTAATTTGTAAAGAAAGTAATAAGCACAAACCTATTTGCACAAAAAATATGGCAACCAAATAAATATGTAAAGGAAAAATCTATTCAAAATGTGAGGAGAAATTGATAAAATAGTTACAATGTGTGACTGTAATGTATTTCTCTCATATTAGATATTTCTAGTAGACAGATATAAGTAAGAAAATTAAGTAATCAAAAACTTATTTAGTAAATATAGCTAAAACCTTATATCTCTTGAACAGATAATACCCACTTTTAGGAGTATATCCAGTGAATATTTTCAAAAAATCAAGAATGTATTTAGGCATAAAGGAAGCTTAAAGATTTTGCATTCTTTGACCTTAAGCAATGAAATGAGACTTAAATAATTTAAAAGGGTACCAGACCAGTTGTAAAGTAAGAAATGTACTTTCAGATTAAAGAATGCATTTAAAGAAGAAATGCAAACTTTTTTCTAAAACCCAGGAAATAAAATGCTTTATTTCAAAACATGTAGGACATGGCTAAAGTTATAAAGATCACCATTTTTAAAGTATAGGGATATAAAATAAAAGAAAAACGAATCAAAACAGAAGAGGGATCAATGCTGATTTTGTAAAATAGAATACAAAAAATATATATGAGTTGAAAAGTACATGTTAAATCTGGTCTTTTGGAAAGAAAATAAAACAAAATTCCCTTCTAATTATTATGAAGCAGAGAGAGGTAACAAAAGTAGACAAATCTGGAATATGATAATAAAAGAAATTAAAATACAAGAAAGCTGTATGGAATTCTACAGCACACATTTGAACTTAAGGAGAATGAAAAGCTGATAATTAGTTGTTACTGCTCATCTAACGTATCTGAGGAAACTGAAGTGCTTGAAGGTGGGACAAGCAAGGAAGAATCAAAACAATTTGTTGTGCAGAACCCTCAAAATGGTCAACCACAAGTTACCCCAGGAGAAGGTGATGAGGGATGTAGCAGACATAACTTCAAAGTCAGGAAAGAAGAATGATTGAATCCCCAGAATCTCTCTGTTCCAGTCAGGAGAGCTGTTTATACAAGAACAATGGCCATGTGGAAATAAAAGCAGTGTTTTATTAATCCGACCAAGTACCTGATAACTCCTAAACGTAGGCAAGTGATTTTAAAATGTGAGCCTTAAAATAAGAGCCTTAAATGAGACTTCTGTCCTCCTGAATCTCTACCTATTTCACCATCAAACCCAGGAGTGTCATTCTAAAACACTGCAATTTTAGGAAAAGCCAGTCTGTCCAATATCTAAGGACAATGGGTCAATATTGAGCATGTTTTCCTTCAGTGCCTGAGCCACTTTATTAGGGCAGAATCCTGGGTCCATCTTTCTTCTGGAAGGAGAGAGAACAGAAGTGATAGCAAGACCTCTTCCCACCTGGCCACCTTACCTATCCTTAAAAGAAGAGGTGAAAGAAGTGGGAAAATGTCCCACTATACACGGGTGTGGGAACAGGCAAGAGGATGGCCTGGGTCTGCCCTGAAAATCTGGCTCTTGGGGAAATGGCAGGAGGCACTAAGGGAGCCATTGCACAATGTGGCAGACAAACAGAGGATGAAGGAATAATCCTTCATCTGATTAATAAGTAAATATGACCCCAGTGAGGTGAAGTTAATTGCCTCCTTGATGTAACACCATCAGTGTGGGATCAGAACCGGTCTCAACAGCTTGCTGACCAGTATTCTTCCTAGTTTACCACACTCATTTTGTCGCTACCCAGTGATCCAGTATGAATTTTGGATTCAGATTTGGAGTTCTGATCCTAGTTCCACCACTAACCAGCTGTGAGATGTGGGCAAGTTTCTTAACTCATTTGTTACCTAGTTTCCTCATATGTCTAGTGCAGATCATAGTAGAGCATACTTCATAGGGCTTTGGCGATGAATGACTGAGAAAATACGTAAAGCTCTCAAAAACAGTGCATGGCACATGGTAAGAGCTCAATAGATATTAGCTATGTAATTTGTTTTAAAAAGAGAACATAGATTTTATCATATTGAGGGCTTTGTTTTAATTGGTTATTTAGTAATAATTGAAAATATAAAAACTAAAGTTTAAATGTATTTTACATTTTGAATTCGGTCAAATCAAATAGATTTATGTCTGTAATACAGTCAACTTACATGTTCTGATTGTGAGTATTCTGTCCTTTGGCGTATCCTTCATTTATGATAAATACTGGTTTTGGAGTTCTTCTAGAATAAAATGCATACTATCAGCTGGCATGGTGGCTCATGCCTGTAATCCCAGAACTTTGGGAGGCTGAGGCGGGAGGATTGCTTGAGCCCAGGAGTTTGAGGTTGTAGTGAGCAATGATTGCACCACCGCACTCCAGCCTGGATGACAGAGTAAGACCCTGTCTTTAAAAAACAACAACAACAACAAAACAACCCATACTACCTGTGGATTGCTCTGACAGGATTTCACATAATGTTTAATGGGACAGATGGGATTTCATATCTTAACAACTGAAAGATGTTATTCTGTAAAAACTGAGTAATATTGAAATAGCACTTTGTATCCTTGTTGCCCAGATGCCTCACAGGATGCCTGCCATTTCACAAGTTACCCACCCTTTCTCTGGCACCCCATTGTAATTCAGGCTTAGGCTTTAATGCATATTGAGTCCAGATACAGAGTATTAGATCTGATTTGCTGTTGGTATGCAGTTTGCTTAGATGTCTACTGATTTTGCCTTTGACAAATTTAAATAAATGAAATTGATGTTTTTGTAGGGTTTACTTTGGACTGTTGCACTGTGCAGTGGGCTGGTGTTGAAACACAATAGCTTTTAAATTGAACTGCTTACAGAGTGATCTGCAAAATCTTTCTAGATGTCTTTCTATAGCTGCTGTGGTGAGCTAGGAATCATTATTTGTTTTTGCTGGCAAATTAATGGGTTGTGGTGGCCGTGGAAACTGCCTTCTAGTACAAGGTTTGAAAAGTGCATTTAATCACTTTCTCAGGGCATTTAGAATAAAGAATCAGGCAAAGTCATTTACAATCCAATTTGTCTTTGAGAATATTGAAAAGCAGAGCTTCATAATGAAAGTATTATATCATATGTATGACTCTGTGTGTGTGTCTGTACCTGTGTCTGTGTCTGTGTGTGTATTATTAGTTTGGTTTTATTTCAGTGTTCCTATTTATTTTGTGGTTAAAAAGACCATGGGGAACAAAAAGTGACTAATTTACTTTTCTTTTTTTTTTGAGACAGAGTCTCGCTCTGTCACCCAGGCTGGAGTGCAGTGGCACAATCTTAGCTCACTGCAACCTCTGCCTCCTGAGTTCAAGTGATTCTTTTACCTTAGCCTCCCAAGTAGCTGGAATTACAGGAGTGTGCCAGGCTAATTTTGTATATTTAGTAGAGACAGGGTATCACCATGTTGGCCAGGCTGGTCTCAAACTCCTGTCCTCAAGTGATCCACCCGCCTCAGCCTCCCAAAGTGCTGGGATTTTAGGCATGAGCCACTGTGCCTGGCCTCTAAAAAGTGACTAATTTTCTTACTTGCCTTTTTTTCAGGTGCTTCAAATCTTTGAAAGTAGTGGCTGTGAATTCATAGTGTCAATGGTGTATAAATGAGAGTCCTGTTGCTTAATGGGAAGAGAAAGGGAAAGCTGGAATCCAAAAATCTTAGTATTCTGATCCCATCCACCTGCTCAAAAATGTTGTCTTTGTCAGTTTCCTAAGCTTTGTAATACAATGCCATCACCAAAAGTTTGGTATATTTATATTGATATTATTTCTTGTGGTGAAGTTTTCTAAGTTTTAAAAATTCTTGGGGATTTTATTAGCTCAGTTCTAGAAAACTACAAATCTTATTCTCACCACCATCTTGAGATTTTTATTGTGAGCATTGTGATTTATTGATTTTTAATTTTTTCAAAGAGTTGTATTTTAAATATATGTATCGTGAGTGTTTACAGTATTCCAATATTTTAATTTTAATTTTAGTATATTCATGAATATAAACAATCTCTTTAAACATTACTTGTTTTTGGGATCGTCTTTTTAATTGCAAAAGATTGTTACCAGAAGAAAATTACTTAAAATGGGATAATAGATTATGGTATGTCATAGAATTCTGATTTTTATACTAGCAATATATAATAAAATATTTAAGAAAAATAAATCTAGCATAACTGAAATTTGAAGTTGCACATATATTCTTATTTAGAACTACCTTTCATTATGGCAGGCAACTTGAATTCCTCTATACTGGAAAATTTAATGTACCACTCAATTACTATTCTTTAGCCCAATTTAAAATAATAGATTGGGAGTAAGGTCTTAATGCAGTGTAACCTTTGGAACGTTAGAAATAACCTCTTTTCTTTCCAGAAATCAGTATGCAGTAAGGGCATCAGTTTTATCACACTGCATGAATAGATTTTTAATAGCACTTAGACCTTTTTCTAATTGCACAAGTATATGGATTTCTTGTGTCTCACCAAACATGCTAAATAATAATTTAAAGACATGCTGTTACACTGTTTTAAAATATATACCTTTTTATTTAAAAGCTTTTTTGATCATCTCATTCTGATTCTAGTGAAGGACTCAATATTGTAACTTAATATTTTTATATAATTTCATAATGTGGGTGTTTTGAAAGATTTTGCAATGGTAGATATTGTGATAAAATTTTAGCTATGGAAAGGTCCTTATTCTCACTTTTTTCTTTAACAATCCTACTATGTATAGCCATGAAACTACAGAAAATATTAGGACTTTGAGAAATTGTAAAAGGACTTCATAAAAAGAACATTATCTTTCCTCGTGATGCCACCTTTTAATGATAGCTGTCAGCCTTTTCACTTATTATAAAAAACAAATTTTCTGTGCGAGGTGAAAATGTTCACTGAAATGAATTTACACACCCTCTCAAATTCCTTTTGGAATAGGGGAGGATGCAAATAAGCAAATAGTAATAAAACTAATTTGCATACTCTAAATTGTTGGTCTTAATGGTACTGATGGAAGGTTTCCAATTTGTCACAAAGCAGTGACTTTTAAGAACATAAATTATATTGAAATGCAGTTTATTTAAAAATATAGTGCCAAAATGCAATATTGGACAAATTTATCCCTGTTTCTTTTGTTGACCAAATAATAGACTGGGATTCATGATTTTATAAGCAGACCTTGATGATCTTATCAGTTTGATATATTTCCAGTGTTGTAGATGCTAATACATAAAGAGCAAAAACAGTTTTGATTTGGAATCATAGTACCTAATTGATCTGTTTCTTTTTCTGTATTATCTGTGGGTTCTCAAATGGGCTTTGTGGACCACCTGTCTCAGGAGTCATCTGTGATGCTTTTTAAATTAAAACATAGATTTCTGGGCCCCACCACAGAAATACTATTTTGGAGCTGATCCCAGGACCTGTCTTTTTAGTAAGAACCCTGGATGATTTTTGTGGGCATTGAGGTTTGGGAACTGCTGTTCTAGAGCAGGGGTCAGCAAACCATTTCTATAAATTGCTAGACAGTCAATATTTTTGGCTTTGAGGACCATATGGTCTTCACTGTAACTATTTCTGCCATTATAGCACAAAAGCAGCAACAGATAATGGAGAAACAAATAGGTATGGGCAGCTAGACTGGCTTCTAGAATTTGTTCGTCTCTGATAGAATCTAGATTCTAGACCATCGGTTTTTGCTGTATGAATATTTTCTAAGATATTCTCTTCGAAATCAATTTTAATGAGATTTCCTATGTGTTTATTTTTTGATAACTGACGAAAATTCATAAATACAGGATTAATTCCTAGATATACATTAAATTAATTAATAGCTGTAAAACTTTTGTAATAGTTAAAACCTTTTCTATGTTAATATTAGAGTATGATTAACTTACTTCTAACTATGTAATCTGCTTCTCATATTAGGTTCCTGTTGCTAGAGCAAGTATTCTTTGGCTAATTGGAGAAAACTGTGAACGAGTTCCTAAAATTGCCCCTGATGTTTTGAGGAAGATGGCTAAAAGCTTCACTAGTGAAGATGATCTGGTAAAACTGCAGATATTAAATCTGGGAGCAAAATTGTATTTAACCAACTCCAAACAGGTGAGAGGCAAATGTTAGTCAACCTATCTAATACGTACTTTCCTCTTCACTCTGATCAAACAGCGGGGGTCTGTGCCTTCATTAGTCTGACCATTCAACAATTTCTAGGTGCCTGTTTGTTTCAGGTTCTATGTTAGATGATACTAGTGCAAACAGATGACATTCTAGTCTAGTAAGAGAGAAAACAGATTAAAAAATGAAATAGTGTGTGTTAATGCTGTAGCAGAAGTATTGACATACAGTGGAATTCTAGACGAATTATAAAGTCTGAAGTCGATGTGAGGTCAGAGAAAATTTTATAAAGGATGAAACTCTTGACTAAGGGCTTGTAAGAGTGGTTTACTGTACAGAAAGAGGAAAGCACAGGGTCAGAGTCAAGAAACAGCTTGGTGTTTCTGGGAAACTTTTTGAAGGTGAGTCCAGAATGGCAGGTACAATGGTCTGAAAGTTTATATCCCCCAAAGTTCATGTGGTGAAACCTGATCACCCATGTGATGGTATTAGGAGGTAGGACCTTTGGGAGGTGATTAGGTCATAAGGGTGGAGCCTTTATAAATGAACTTTATGCTCTTAGAAAAGAGATCCCTGAGAGCTAGCTTGCTGCTTCTGCCATGTGAGGACACAGTGAGAAGGTGCTATCTGTAAATTAGAAAATGGGTGCTCACTAGACACCAGAACTGTGGGTACCTTGATCTTGGATTTCCCAGCCTCCAGAACTGTGAGAAATAAATTTTTATTATTAATTATATTATTAATAGGCTTCCCAGTTTATGGTATTTTCTAACAGTAGCCCAAATGGACTAAGACATTTTGCAGTTTGAACGCATGGAGTGGCTTGTATGCTCTGCTAAGTAGTATGGACCTTGTCCTGCAGAGGAAAGGGAAACCACTTTTAATAGTAGTATAATTTACCAGATTTGCAGTTTAGAATATTCATTTTTTAAGTCCATTGACTTTTTGAGCAGCTGTTAATAAGAGGAATCATTTTTGCTTCCATGTACGAAATAGGGACTTTTCCTATATCTGAATTGCTATTCTCTGTGAGTGGACTTACCTGTTTAGTAAATTGGAAAAAGATTCTTGCTCATTTGCAGCTAGGCTTCTTGGGAAGCTTTATGCTCTGTGTCCTATCTATTTTTCTCTAATTTTCACTTTTCCTCTGACTCTTACTTTTGCCTTTGTGATTTTTTTTCTCCACCTCCCCTCTCTTTGTTTTTGTCCCCTTCCCCAAAACTCTTTCTGCCTAGATATCTCTCTGACATCCTTCATCCCTTCGTGCCCCGCCCCCGTACTACAGTCCAGTGTGTTTGTCATTGTCTCCTTTCTCTTCCATCCCTGTTTGTTTCTCTCTTTTTGTATTTGCTGTGTATCTCTCTATATGTGTCTCCCTCTCTGTCTGCCTTTCCTGCTTCCCCATAGACCACACTTATTTTCTAGTAAACTAATGTTTGCCTTTCAGAATCCTTAGGTCGATTCCTCAAATTCATTTCTATATGCTTTGGGATTATCTTCATCCCTAATCGTGATATGAGTTATCTTATTATAGCTTTTGCTGATTCATCTACAAGATTTGTAACCAGATAATTGCAAATAATGGAGCATATTTCCATTATTTAGATTTTGTCTTTACATTTTAAGTCATCTTTAAAAGGAATCAGTTAATCCTTTCCAAGTGTCTGTAGATTTCTTCATACATTGAGATGCTTTCTAAAAACTGAGTAAAGAAAGACCTATGTTTGCTGTTGAGTTTCATGTTTCTTGATAAAATAGAGGGAGTTTTAGCCTGAAACTCCATGGTGTTCACTAAATCCCTGTGGTATGGCAAAAGTCAATATGATACCTAGACTCTTAGGATTTTTTTCTGTCTGGTTTGGCCACTCTAAATATATCTAGCTTATGGATTATTGTTAAAGTAATACCAAAATCAAATGTCAATCAAGACTTAATCAAACTAAGTAAAGCTTCTTTCTTTGGCTCTTTTCTTTGTAGCTGTGAATAACCAATAATGAAATGTAGTACTGTTTATTGTAGAGCATGTTTCATGTCTTTTTACCCAGTGAATTTGAAGACAACTAGTTTGCACTCAGGTTTTTTTTTTTTTTTTCTTGATCTCTATTATTAATGGCAGTTTTGGAGCTCAGTTTCTGAAGTGTTTTTTTTTTTTTTTTTTTTTGAGACAGAGTTTCCCTCTGTCACACAGTCTAGAGTTCAGTGGCATGATCTTGGCTCACTGCAACCTCTACCTCCCAGGTTCAAGCAATTCTCATGCCTCAGCCCACTGAGTAGCTGGGATTACAGGCATGTGCCACCATGCCTGGCTAATTCTGTATTTTTAGTAGAGACAGGTTTCACCGTGTTGGCCAGGCTGATCTCGAACTTCTGACCTCAAGTGATCTGCTCACCTCGGCCTCCCAAAGTGCTGGGATTACAGACGTGATATTTTATATTTTAGAATGATACTTCTAGGAAACTACAATAGGCCTCACCACCTAATGGTGAAAACACAGTGATTTTTTTTAATCACAAATTTTTATGTAGCTCATTGTTTTTAAGTGATTAAATATGAAAATAGATTAATAGTGTCTTGAAGAGTTGTTCTCTGTTTTTGAATATTTCTCAAGAAGAGGAGATTGAGAGAATTAGCAACTGAAAATTAGTTGTTTTTTGTTTTGTTTTGGAGCAGAGTCTCCCTCTATCGCCCAGGCTGGAGTACAGTGGCGTGATCTCGACTCACTGCAACCTCTGCCTCCCGTGTTCAAGCAATTCTCCTGCCTCAGCCCCCTGAGTAGCTTATTATGGGTGTCTGCCACCACACCTGGCTAATTTTTTTTTGTATTTTAGTAGAGATGGGGTTTCACCATGTTGGCCAGGCTGGTCTTGAACTCATGACCTCAAGTGATCCGCTTGCCTCAGCCTCCCAAAGTGCTGGGATTACAGGCGTGAGCCACTGCACCCAGCCTGAAAATTAGTTTTAAAGAATGGTTTTAAGCACTATCAACTTGATAGAATTTTTAAAATTTGTGTAATCCATTAGATATAAGACAGACTAAAATAATTGTTTTGACTGAAATACTAAGAATTGTTTTCTCTACTTATTTATTTTAGCCATCTTTAAAACTAAGCTAGGGAGAGTCGATTACAGTGATGAGTAGCTGGTTTGCCGTGAAGTCTTGATATTTATTTGTAGATCTGAATTCCCGGTGGCCTAAATACCTCAGTGAGCATTTCTATAATTTTTATTGAATTATTTAGGGTTATAGAGAATGTCTAAATTGATTTTTATAAGATTTAGCATATTGTATTTATTTGTATGTTTGAAGAATAATCAAATAGTAAATTTCTTTATCTGCCTCAAACTATTTTTGACCTAATATAAAAAATAATTTAAAAATTAGTTAGCAGTCTGTTTTGAGTATATCCTAGACTGACCCTACCATAGAAAACAGCTGTAAACTCCAGAAAAATACAAGAAACAAACGACTTTCTGAAGACACAGAATAGTAAAGAAAAGCAAGAGAATCTGGAGGGAAATTCATACTTAGAAGAAGGAAATGGCACAGAGTTATTTTCCCTGTTTTTATGGCTTTTATCCTGAGGACAGTTTGCAGTTGGCACTGTGCACAGTGGCTAGACCTCCAAAAGGAAATTCAAAGTCCTTCTGGCTTGAGGAAGTAGAGAAGAGAGTTCAGGAAAGCTACAGACATTGGAAAGTTAAGGAAAAATAGTAGAAAGGAGAGAGTCAGTGTGGGAGAATCTCAAAATCTGGGAGTAATTGTACCTAAGTTTTTGGCTGGCATCTGAACCATACTTATGCAGGGTGGATTCAGAGAAACACAGCTAGGAATTAAAGAACCAAGCTGAAATTTGAGGTGTACCCAAGAGACTGAGTTTGTACCTTGAACCCCAACAAAGTTAATTACCTGCTAAAACAAATGAAAATCCTGTACTCATTCAAAGAGTTTAACTATGTCCAGAGTCTCTAAAATACATGGCATTCTTAATGTCCAAATGTATCTTGTATATCCAAAATTACTCAACATAAGAAGAACCAGGATGGGGAGTTATTGTTTAATGAGTACAGAGTTTCTATTTGGGAAGATGAAAAATTCTAGAGATGGATGGTGGTAGTGGTTGCATAATATGGTAAATAGACTGCCTGGCTTCAAATCATGTTGTGCCACTTACATGATTTTGGACAAATCATATAACCTATCCAAGATTTCATTTTCTCATCTGTAAAATGGGAATTATTATAATATAGTCAATTTTGCTATATTGCAACATGTATGCTTCTAAAATCATTGTGCTATACAAAATCACACAATAAAAACCATAGGGATTATTAGAAAAATGCAGTTAGAGTGGCAACACTCAAAAACTATATTGGTGACATATTTTTTAAAAAGGAACCTAAAAAAAAAAACCAGAAGTACAATTTTACACGTGTTAAATGGTTAACAAATAAATACTACAATGATACTGCTCTTTATATTGAAAAAGACTTGAGGTTTGCTTATGGAAGAAAGGCTATACTTGTTCAGCGGTAGAAAGAGGGTTAATCTGAAATTGGATGGAAAGTTGTGCCTCCTAATGAGCATGAATATGGCGCATAACACATGTAGATGTTAACCTCTGAAGTACATGTTTGAGGTATGTATGTTTTGTGTATTCCTACACATCTCTGTTTAGCTGGGTGCATTTTTATGCCTTCACCTAGTATTTCTTGCAGAAGAAATCACCACAAAATTCATGTTATGCCCAAATTGTTCCCTAATATGCCAACTGAGTTGGAACAAATGCACATTTTCAAAACAAGCATTAGAGCAGAACTGACTGTACCTACCTCACAAAGTTATTATGAGGATAACATGAAACAGTTCATGTAAAATGCTTAGATTTCCTTGCACATAATAGTGCCTAGTTCATTTTAGTTATCCTTCTTTTGTAACCCTAGCGAGCAACTGCTGTATTCTTCTTAGGGAATATGATGATTTACAGTAAAGAAACTAGTCTAGTTACTGACAAAAAGTGTATTCTTATTAGGAAAAAAAACTACTGATTTGGGTTTATCCTACTGAGATTTTCTAAGTAGGATGCTGAAATCTCCCCGCCCCTCTTTTTTTTCAGTCTGTGAAGAAAAAAATGGTTAGAAATAAGTATCAAGAGTAGAAAACACTCTTAGAATACTCTCACACAGGAGTAATTTCACTTTTATGTGGGGAAAAAGTTGAAAGACTGAAACCAGTTGAAGTTGCTGAAATCTAGAACTGTTAAGGCAGTATAAAGATTTAGCATGAGTTCGTTGAAATAGTCTACTGAAGTTTGAGGAAGAAAGGATTTAATTAAACAAATTAATAACAATTTAAAAGTTAATGAATAAAAGATGCTTTTGATTTTAAACTCTAATAGTATGTCATCTTTTAAATGTAGTGATAAGTGCTATAAGTTAATGTTTTTCTTAGCTCATTTTGATTTTTAGTTATGAAATATTGCAAACCTATGGAAAAGTACATAATAGCATAAATACATATGTGTATATCTACCACTAGGATTAAGTTGATATTCACATTTGCCTTTATTTATTTATTTATTTATTTATTTAATGTAAGATGTATAGAACTAGAACCTCAAGCTTCTGTTCACACGTTCGTTTCTTCCCCATTGGTAACCACTGCCACCTTGTTGGTGTGTTTCATTCAATCATCCCTGTTTTATATTTTTATTATATGAATATGCATCCATAAGCAATGTATGGTTGTTTTTGTGAGTTTTCAAATTTTACATAAGTAGATATTCTACTTTATGTATATGTTTGCAACTTTTTTTGCTTAATATCATGTTTTTGAAATATGGATATGTGTAGATATAATTTAATTACTATCTCTGTCAGACATTTAAGTTTCTACTTTTCTGCTATTAAAAAAGAAAGTGCTTCCTTGAGTTCTTTTTTACTCTTAGTGAGAGATTTTGTAAATCACACTGATGTTTTAGGGATTCCTCCTAAAGTTAAAAGCAGATTCTCTCTTGCCCGTGATTCAGGTCTTTGGAGAAATCTCCTTCCCCCAAAGCCTCTTTAATGTGATTTAACAAAAGGAGACTTGGACACTCTGAAGTGACATCTCTATCCTTTCTTTGATATGTTTTCCTGGCATTGAAAAACTCAAGTAAATATAATACAGAAAGGAAGACCTTACAGAAAACTTTTCAAGTTGACAAAAAGGTAGATACTATTAAATTCAGAAATTACATCTAAGTCACATAAAGAATCCTGTTTAGTCATGAAATTAAGAAACTAATTAGGGCTGGGCACAGTGGCTCACGCCTGTAATCCCAGCACTTTGGGAGGCCGAGACGGGCAGATCACCTGAGGTCAGGAGTTTGAGACCAGCCTGACCAACGTGGTTAAACCCCGTCTCTACTAAAAATACAAAAAAATTAGCCGGGTGTGGTGGCACATGCCTGTAATCCTAGCTACTTGGGAGGCTGAGGCAGGAGAATCAC
Organism: Homo sapiens; assembly: GCF_000001405.40. Classification (NCBI taxonomy): domain Eukaryota; kingdom Metazoa; phylum Chordata; class Mammalia; order Primates; family Hominidae; genus Homo; species Homo sapiens. Next base: position 78,134,641 of record NC_000005.10, on the reverse strand, counting down.
TTGAACCTGGTTGGCAGAGGTTGCAGTGAGCTGAGATCGCGCCATTGCACTCCAGCCTGGGCAACCAGAGCGAAACTCCATCTCAAAAGAAAGAAAGAAAGAAAGAAACTAATTAGATGGAACAACGGTACTGCTTAGGTTTGCCTCTGGTGTAAGTTAAGAATTCTATGTAGAGTTTACTTCATTTACCAAACATATTTGTTTGTATCATCCTGTTAAAAAATAACAGCAATGTAGAACCAATATAAATCTTTACTATGCCGAATGCAGACTTCTGTGTCCTTTTTATGTAATAGTAAAGATATTATTAGAACTATAGTATTAATAGTAAAATATATATTAGGACTATATTTTAAGAGACCTTTTTAGTTATTTGTACTGACTTATAATCTATTAGAAGAAAGCTATTGTTTGAATAAATATTTCCCAGTTTATTGTCAGAGTATTTTGAGAAGTCTTTTAAATAATGTATTTCTTTTTTTTTTTTTTTTTGAGGCGAGTCTTGCTGTGTCGCCCGGGCTGCAGTGCAGTGGCGCGATCTCGGCTCACTGCAAGCTCCGCCTCCCAGGTTCACGCCATTCTCCTGCCTGAGCCTCCTGAGTAGCTGGGACTACGGGTGCCCGCCACCATGCCCGGCTAATTTTTTGTATTTTTAGTAGAGATGGGGTTTCACTGTGTAATAATGAATTTCTTAATTTTTATGTAACAGTTCTTCAAATTCATTTTTCCTGTGTCACAGTGACTTAGAGTCAATCTGAAGAAAATGTAATTGATATAATTAGTGTCTGGATAGCATTAGCCATTAGTTGGTACCAATAATGGTTCCTTAAATCTAAGCAGGAAAATTAGTCTGAAAACAAAATTTAATAAATAGCTGTATATATGATATTGAATATTTTTGTTAATGATAATACATTATACTGTCATTGCTTATCTTGTGTAATTTGTGAATAAAACAAATTTAAAAGTACTATTTAATTAATATCCCATCTGGTTTTGGATTGAGCCTCTGGTGATATTAAAATGTCATGATTGTACTTAAATGTTGTCTGTTTTCTTCCTAACAGCTTCCCTGGACAGATCTAATTTATGCCTGTTGTCTCCATGCCATCTAGTTTAGGATTTGTCCCAAATTTTTAATGAAGTAATATCACTAATATTTGCCTTAAAATAGCACAGTTAATTTGTAGACCTCCGCTTTGAGGTCTTCTATCTTCTGCCATAATTTTGTCTAGTGGCATGTTAAGACACAAGTGCAGTGAACAGAGATTTCATTTTAATATGTGAGCCATTTAAATCTGAAAGACTGTATCTTTTTCCCACCCTTTCTAGATGTAACATAACTAACTTCTTCCTTTTAGAACAGCAGGCAGGATTTGTGCTGATAAATGAAGTATACTCTGACAAAGCAGGTGGGAAAAGCTGTCTTTTGCTTTGCTGGAGGTGGAGAGATGAGTATTTAACAATGCTTCATTTGCCAGCAACTTGATATACCAGCAAGTGTTGCCATGGCCTATGAGATGCATGAAGCTCCAGGCTGCCAGTGGGTGGAATTAAAGGAAAACATGGGAAGTTAGAGGTTGGTTATAGGTGAAATATGTGCAGGAGTAAAGACTGAATAGTCCTGTCCTAGGTCATTAAAGAGAGTGGTGAAAGCACTCTTGCTACAGTAGTTTTGTCATTTATTGTATAGTGTAAGTCTAAAGTTTGTTTTATTATTTGGCAGTTCTTTTTTTATCTTGTTATAAAATCATCAGCAATATATTTTTTAAAGTGGAAGTGTACATTTAACAAACAATAAAGTGCTAAATTTCCACTTAGTACTTAACATGCATAAAATATTTGTCGACATTTACCAACCATCATGAGAGTGCTGGTGATCTCATTGACCACACAACAACCAGAAGACACAACAATCTGCTACAAAAAGATCAACATCCATTTAAAAAGCTAGTAGTTATTTTAAGATTATGCATTAAGGTAATTTAATACGTACAGGTGCAGAAGATGTTTATATAATTCTGTGTGAAACATGACCTCATTTAGATCAAATAACTTTTTGAAAATTAGTTTTTTACTTTTATTCTATGTTTTCTTATGCACATATGAAAAATGAAACAATAGCTGTTAATGTGGTGGCTCCATTAGTAGAAAAAAGGCCCAACACTGCTGGTTTTCAAACAGAAAATCAGTTAATTCCAAAAATAGACTTTTTTCATTCAATGTATTTGTATATTTGTTTGGTCAGGGCTGCAAATGGGAACAAAGTAAAGCTTTTGGAAGTTTATTCTGTCAAAAATATTGCAAATGCTGTTGTAAATTAAAAAGCTCAACTTTGAAGATAAAACTGTTTTTGATGAAAGGACGTTGTCATGGTAAAAATCAATGTTCTTATTTAATTAAGAAAACTATGGAAGAGAAATGTTTTAGGAATTGGTTGTTGTGCATGCGAACAAACTGCTTATTCAGCCAGTTGAAATAAAACCGTAGTTGTCACATTTACTGATATTAGTATACACAGTTTGACCGAACTATAAAATTCTTGTGATGAAACTGATGTTGAAAAACCATTCTATAGCATAACAGTACACACTGTCTTTAATGCATATTAGCAACAGAATTTTAGATACATGATTTTGTGAAGAACTGCTTTGTAAATTAAGTTTCTTATATTGGCTTAAACATTTTTTATTGATAATTGAGTCTTCTGTATATTGGTTAAGTTTTGGTTCACAAATTGTTTGGATTATTTAAAGTGTCACTAGTAAATGCCAAAAAATTTTACCTTTTGAAAAATTTTAGCAAATAGCAATCATTAGAAACAAGTCTTGCAAACAGAAAGACTTTGAAAGTTTTCCCTGTACAGGCAAGGGAAGAACTGAACAGGTTAAATGGTGAGAGCTCAAGATTTAATCAAGAGGTTGTCATTTGCACTATCTCACCTATCGTGAAGACTCTTTTGATGGAGCACCTGTTTTTAATTAGAAAAATTTATATTGTGTAGAATGAAATGAAATTGAGAAGGCAGTTGGTTTTGTAGTATCTAAATTGATGACATATTTTTAAAAGGATAAATAAAATAATTATTTGAAAATGTTGTCAATATTGTAAAAACTTTTTATTGACTACATGGGGGAAAAGCTAAATATTTGGGTTTGAAATATTGACAGTTTTTAACATAAAAGCAAGGATTGGTACTATTCTTCATTCAGTAGGATTTTCTCTGAGATTACATGATTGTCCAGAAATACTGTAAAGAGGGTATTTTCTCCATTATACCCAAATATGGTCTACAGAGAAGAAAGTTGAAAATGTCAACAATTTTATAATTACTCACTGCAGAATTTAATTTGGAAAAAGATTGCAATTTTATTTTTTTAAAAAAACTTAGGCCATATAAAAATGTATTCTCCAGAGAAATACTAATGCCTTGTTACTAGATACATACACTGAAGAAACTGATTAATGTATGTAAATGTGTGGTGAATAACTATTCTGCTTATGGTTTTAGTGCATCATTGTACACAAATTTGTTTTTATCTTTTAGAAAGAATGTTATTTTTGAAAATACATTTTAATAAAACTTATTTATAAGCTTATAATATAATACATTTTACAGTCAATAAAAATTTTTAAATTATATAATTTTAATTACTTTAAATGCCCTACCTAACTTTCAAAATTGTTAACATATTGAAAATGTTTAATTTCCTAAAAATTAATTTTGGGCTAAGAAATATAAGCCAAATGTATCATTCTGCTAGCTCAAAAAAATCATTGCAATTAAGAGACTCTTTCTTTATTTTAGTTGCAGATTTAAAATCTCAGCACTCAAATGGACTTTAGAGTTAACCAAGTTGTAAATTCTAACTCCACATTTGAGAAAACTAATGATTAAGTGGATTTCCCAGGTTTTTCCAGCAAATTAATTACATGGTTTAGTGTACCACATTTTCTTTTAAGTTGGTTTTGAATTGTATTCCTCATTTGGTGAATACTTTGCAAATTGTCTTAAAAAATGAATCATAGAAATTTTCTTACCTGTACTTGAACCAGCATGGTCTAGCAATTAGTGAATAGCAATTGTTGGTAACCAAATTCAGAATAGCTCTATTAACATTTTCACTTGTATTTTTTATAATTCTACTTTAATAAAACTGGGTTAATCCTTTTTAACTACTCTGCTACTGAAATAAGGTTGCTTTCTATCAAATCAATTATCTTAAGCAATTATTGTAAAAGAGTTTACCACACCATTTCTGTACTTTGACTTATTGTTCTAGAATTGTCTTTAGCTCTGCCTAACTTGATTGATTTTATTTTTTATCTGCTTCTAATGTGCATAAAATCTTCTAATCTAAAGTAAATGATTTAGTGTTTCTCGGTTTATTTTTCCCATATATTATGAATTCTATTTGGCTTATAGTTAAAATTGTACACATGTAGCCTTCTTGTTAAAACTATGCTTTTTCAATAAAATAACTGTAGTTTAAAATACAAACCTGTTTTGTTAACATTTCAATTTTGGTTTAATTATTAAAATTATTTCAATATATGTTAATGTAGTACATTCAAAAATTGACTTAGGAAGTCTTATTATGGTGTAAAAGCTACTATAATAAGTTGTTCCCTTACATAAATAAATAAATGACCAATATTACTAGAGGCTATAAGCAGCTTGGGGGAAAAATGGAAGAAGTCTTTTATCCTAGTTTTCAGAGGGCATCAGCAGCTTGCTTTTATGAAAAAGTAACAGCTAAATGCACTGCAAATAATTTGCAGTAATCCAGTTCAGTGATTCATGTGTCTGCTTTAATGGGTCATAATTCAGGGTAAAGTAACTGAGTGCAGTCAGAGTGCAGACACTGCTTATGCCAGGGACAGTATCTCTTCATAAAACACACCTCAGGAGAAGCAGTTTGCCAGCCCCCTAATACTTTCTGATGTTTTGATGTCCTGCATATTTTTCCGATTAAGTTTTGAGTGCCATGTTTTTAGTTGTATTTCCACATTCATTATTCTCACGTAGACCCCTTCAGCGGGTTTGCCATATATGATTATTTTTTTAATGATGCCTTTCTTTCCACTTCAGCAGTTTAATAATCTAGCACATGGCTGCTTCTCAATACTCAGCATTCACCTACCCAGTACAGAAGAGGACATGTGCTTTGGCTTCAAAATTCCATTTGCAGCATTAGAAATGTGTATTCCCTATGGAACAACATTTGTTTGACATAACCATTCATTTTTATTACCTCTTTAAATATGTTTATCCAGAGTTATCGATAATCATAAATAACTGTATTCTCATCTTGATCTGTTTTTTTCCAACAGACAAAATTGCTTACCCAGTACATATTAAATCTCGGCAAGTATGATCAAAACTACGACATCAGAGACCGTACAAGATTTATTAGGCAGCTTATTGTTCCGAATGTAAAGAGTGGAGCTTTAAGTAAATATGCCAAAAAAATATTCCTAGCACAAAAGCCTGCACCACTGCTTGAGTCTCCTTTTAAAGGTATTATCAGAATATAACTCCAAAATATATGTTATCTAAAAAATTATGACAAGATGTTGCCATTTCTAATGTGCTTAAAATTTATCTCTTAGGAAATATAAATGATTCGCATATATAAATATATAAGAACAGCATGCTTTCTACTCATTCATCTGCTCTCAAAAGCAAGTTTTATATTAAAGTTTATATTTTTGTAGACCTTATTTACTAAATAATTTTAAGCGTTCTGACTTTATTCTAACATTTAAACTGGGCAATAGATGAAAACTGTCTTATTCTTATAAATAATGACTTCATTTCTCTTTTAAATAGTTTTATAAGAAATATAATTCCTTTTAATAGTGAGTTATTAAGTAAATATTCTGTGTACACTAATATCAGTTTTTCTAGGAGGAATTATTTTATAAAAAGTATCCCTCTATATTTAAACTGGTTTTTCAAAGAGGGAAGTTGACTTACGTGTCCCAGCTTTTTAAAAGGAGTAATTAAGTATTTTACCACCTTACAAGTAGCCATTCCAGTTGGAATCAAATAGTTACATACCTTGGTTTTCATATTGTTTCTTATTTAATGTTCTTATTTTAAAGCGATAAAAAGCAATTCAGTTTTGTAGAAAAACTATTAAAATTCTGGATGTGTTTGTGCCAAGACATGTATATGGATTGTTTAACTGTGCTGTCATTCTTAATATTCACAGTAAAGTAATTTTTAGAGAAGCTACATTTCAGAGCAACACCTCTAAACACACTGACTGATTAGCTTTTTTATTGACCATTATGGGGGAGATTATTGTAATCTATGGACTGAAATCAGTTTTTTGACCTATGAAGAGCTTCCTAGTCTATATTTATTCCTTGACATTTGAGGTAATATGCCAATTACCTTGAGCTCTGATTATGATTGTTCTCTGTTATATACAGCTCATATTGTTTATTTTATATTTTTCCCTATTTTTAATAGATAGAGATCATTTCCAGCTTGGCACCTTATCTCATACTCTCAACATTAAAGCTACTGGGTACCTGGAATTATCTAATTGGCCAGAGGTGGCGCCCGACCCATCAGTTCGAAATGTAGAAGTAATAGAGTTGGTAAGTTGACCTTTCTGAAATTAATTTTGCCAAAGCAGTGGAAGACTCTAGGATAGCTATTGTTTTATATAAAAGCTTTTTTGGAGAGTTGAAAATTGAAAATTGTTCTAGTATTTCTAAATGTAATGTGTTAGATATACCTTGCCTTTATAGCAACTAAATATTATAGTATTCCTATGCCATTGTACATGTACTGTTCCTTTTCTTCAAGGAAATAGAGAACTGAATTCTCTGCATCAGTGCCACCCACATTTGTGCTATTGCATTTGTAGCCGCGTAGATTCAATTTCTAAGGTATTTAGTTTCATTGGATGAAGTTTTTTCTACTTTGTTTAGAGATTTGTAAGCTTCCTGACAATATCCTTCTGAATAATTTCTGCTGTTCTCTTTCAGAAAAACCACACAAAGTGTTCTAGATTTTTTGATGAACCATTTTTAAGTGAAGCCTGAACATAAATAGGGAGCATTGTGTACCAAAAATGTCCTTTGACAAGGTCACAAAGTGAATAATATGGTGCTTTCTCATCAAAAACAAATTTGCTATATAAATACTCTTTTTCTCAATCTTTAAAAAAAATGCTGGCCATTGAGATAAAAGAATTAACATTCTTTTCTAATATTATCTGTTTCTTTCTCATATATACAAGAAAAAGTGAGAGAGGCCTTCTAATTGTATTTAGCAATTATGCAAAATATATTTAATACTTTAAAATGTGGAGTTAACAAAAAAAGCAGTTAAGAATTGTATTCTGGATACTTTTCTGGTGGAAAAGATACATTGAATTAGGATTCAGATAACTGGGGTTCTTTACTAATTCCTGTGGGAAAGTGAGTTAACCTCCTTGCTCTCAATTTTTCTGTATACAGTGGAAGAAAACCTTTATTACTTTAATAAATAGAATTTCTATAATGATCATGGCCATGTAATTTGATTCCTCTGAGAAATTATTAAATGTTTCTCTTAACCACTCCAACTTATCCTGGCTTTGAAGCATGGCCGGAATTAATAATAGCACTATTTAGGAACCCCTGACAGTGTACGATGATAATGTTTTATAAAAACTATCTTGTTTAAACCTAATAATGATTGTAAGGGATGGTTATTGTTATTCCCACATTGCAGATGAGGAAGCCAAGTCTTAGATAACTTAAAGTAAATCGCCTAAGTTCACATGGCAAGTAAGTGATAGAACCATATTCCAACCCAGGTCTGAGTTCACTGTCCATGCTGTTACTGTATTTTATTATGTAATATGAGAAGAGGAACCTTGAGCTTGTTCACAAATCTGTATTATCCTTAGTACTTAGCACCATTATCTTTATGTTTTGACAAATGATCTGTACTTAGAGACAGCCAAAAATTTGTAACAGTAGTAATATGTAAAAATATGAGAAGCAATTACATGTCTATCCCTCCTTGCAGCTGAGTTTGTTGATTTTTACTCAAATCTGCATACTCTTAAGTACTCTTCAAAAGAGTTGCCTTATTTGTGCAATTTTTTTTTTTTTTTTTTTTTTTTTTTTTGAGACAGAGTCTTGCTCTGTCACCCAGGCTGCAGTGCAGGGGCATGATCTTGGCTCATTGCAAGCTCTGCCTCCCAGGTTCAAGCGATTCTCCTGCGTTAGCTTCCCAAGTAGCTGGGATTACAGCCACATGCCACCATGCTTGGCTAATTTTTGTATTTTTAGTAGAGATGGGGTTTCGCCATGTTGGCCAGGCTGGTCTCAAACTCGTGACCTCAAGTGATCTGCCCGCCTCAGCCTACCAAAGTGCTGGGATTACAGGTGTGAGTCACCGTGCCCAGCCTATTTGTGCAACTTTTGATCAGATACTAGAATATAAAGAGAGTGTTCTTTGTTATGGTTCCTCCTACGGACATACTTTCTCTCCTAATTTCTTATTATGCTTGTTTGTTGTTTTTATGGTTCGTTTTTTTTTTTCATTATGGGGTACATGATGTTTTAGCCCAAGTAGAACCATCCTTTTAACCTTCCCCTGCTTCCGCCTTATCTCTCCCTCCTTGCTGCCCCCACCCACCAAAAAGCATTATCTTCTCAGAGTTGATAGCAATGCTATGCAATTTAATTTGGTCTCAGCAGTATTCTTTATTGGCTGATAGATTGGTTTGTTGGCTGGCTTCTTCCATTTTCATGTGCTCTTCTAAGCATTAACTACCTTATAGGGACAGTACTTAAATATAACATATTATGTTCGTTTCACCTGTCCAATTCAACAGAGACAAATTAATTTCTTTTTCATTTTGCTGATTATATTTATGAAATTAATAATTGGTAACTTAGAGAGAATCATTATAACTGATTGAACATGGTTTGATAAAACTGTCACTGTCTGTTGATGCCATGCAGAAAACAGCTTCAGTCTATTGGACTCTGAGACAATTGGCTTAAAATTATACTATGAGGGACACAATTAAATATAAAAATAACGTAGATAGTTTTCTTTTTAAATGCAGCTACAATACAAAAAATAATGTCCGTATTATCTTTCTTGTCTCTCACTCTACTTCATCTCCCTTCCAAGTCATGTCACTGTATTTCATGCATATAATATACTATGTTATTCTAGTTTTCCTGTAAAGTGATCTTACATGGTCAAGTCCTGTAACTGTGAAATATAACTTAGTAAGAAAAATGACCTAGGTTTAGATAATCTGATATTTTAATCAAAATGACTGGGAACCTAGTCAGATTGACAGTAGAAGTCACTTTGAATTACACACCACCATTTCTAGGATATAGGATATAATATATATTTATATTATGATCCCAGTAAGTTTTGAAGATCCTTAGTTAATAATTTATTTGCTTAGTTCTAGAAAGTCCTTTCTTCTCTACTGACAGAAAGACCGCCTTCTGCATATGAAGGGTATTTTGCTTCATAAACACATCTGTCAATATTTTATCCTTTACAGAAACTTTCAAATTAGCGTCTATGTTCTCTTCTTTTCTTTTCTTTTCTTTTCCCTATTATTCCTTTTCCTTACAATGATAATGTGGTCTTTTAGTCATAAAGGACCACAATACAAATTAAGATACTTTTATTGTTCGTCTTTGGCCTTTTAAAACCTGAAACTCCATAGAATTCATGGCCATGTCAAGAAAAAATGCACGTTTGAGCATAGAAGTCTGGTTTTCCGAAATTGTTGATTTAGTGTTATTAAATTAATCCAACAAACGTTTTATCAGACCTCAGAGAAATATGTTTGGATTTAAGAAAAATATGGACTTCAGAGTTTACCAAATATAAGAGAGCTTTGTTTATAGAATACTATCTTTGTAGACAGAAGCATTTTAAATAAATATAAAAGAAAGCCATACTGCTGATCTTATATAAGCATCTTATTCAAATATATTCAAGCTTCTCTTTTTAAGCAACATACCTTAAACCCTCTAGATCAGTGGTTTTATTTTTATTTGCTTTTATTTATTTTTTTGAGACATGATTTTGCTCTGTCACCCAGGCTGGAGTGCAGTGGTGCGATCATAGCTCACTGCAGCCTCAAACTCCTGGGCTCAAGCCATCCTCCTGCCTCAGCTCCCAAAGTGCTGAGAGTACAGGTATGAGCTACATCACCCAGCCTTAGACTAGTGGTTTTTAAATGTAGCTGCGCATTATAATCATATGGAGATTTTGTGTGTGTGTGTGTGTTTAATTTTTATTTTATTATTATACTTTTAGGGTACATGTGCACAATGTGCAGGTTTGTTACATATGTATACATGTGCCATGTTGGTGTGCTGCACCCATTAACTCGTCATTTAGCATTAGGTATATCTCCAAATGCTATCCCTCCCCACTCGCCCCACCCCACAACAGTCCCTGGAGTGTGATGTTCCCCTTCCTGTGTCCATGTGTTCTCATTGTTCATTTCCCACCTATGAGTGAGAACATGTGGTGTTTGGTTTTTTGTCCTTGTGATAGTTTGCTGAGAATGATGGTTTCCAGTTTCATCCATGTCCCTACAAAGGACATGAACTCATCATTTTTTATGGCTGCATAGTATTCTATGGTGTATATGTACCACATTTTCTTAATCCAGTCTGTCGTTGTTGGACATTTGTGTTGGTTCCAAGTCTTTGCTATTGTGAATAGTGCCGCAATAAACATACATGTGCCTGTGTCTTTATAGCAGCATGATTTATAATCCTTTGGGTATATACCCAGTAATGGGATGGCTGGGTCAAATGGTATTTCTAGTTCTAGATCCCTGAGGAATCGCCACACTGACTTCCACAATGGTTGAACTAGTTTACAGTCCCACCAACAGTGTAAAAGTGTTCCTATTTCTCCACATCCTCTCCAGCACCTGTTGTTTCCTGACTTTTTAATGATTGCCATTCTAACTGGTGTGAGATGGTATCTCATTGTGGTTTTGATTTGCATTTCTCTGATGGTCAGTGATGACGAGCATTTTTTCATGTGTTTTTTGGCTGCATAAATGTCTTCTTTTGAGAAGTGTCTGTTCACATCCTTCGCCCACTTTTTGATGGGGTTGTTTGTTTTTTTCTTGTAAATTTGTTTGAGTTCATTGTAGATTCTGGATATTAGCCCTTTGTCAGATGAGTAGGTTGCAAAAATTTTCTCCCATTCTGTAGATTGCCTGTTCACTCTGATGGTAGTTTCTTTTGCTGTGCAGAAGCTCTTTAGTTTAATTACGTCCCATTTGTCAATTTTGGCTTTTGTTACCATTGCTTTTGGTGTTTTAGACATGAAGTCCTTGCCCATGCCTCTGTCCTGAATGGTATTGCCTAGGTTTTCTTCTAGGGTTTTTATGGTTTTAGATCTAACATTTAAGTCTTTAATCCATCTTGAATTAATTTTTGTATAAGGTGTAAGGAAGGGATCCAGTTTCAGCTTTCTACATCTGGCTAGCCAGTTTTCCCAGCACCATTTATTAAATAGGGAATCCTTTCCCCGTTGCTTGTTTTTCTCAGGTTTGTCAAAGATCAGATGGTTGTAGATATGCGGCATTATTTCTGAGGGCTCTGTTCTGTTCCATTGATCTATATCTCTGTTTTGGTACCAGTACCATGCTGTTTTGGTTACTGTAGACTTGTAGTATAGTTTGAAGTCAGATGGCATGATGCCTCCAGCTTTGTTCTTTTGGCTTAGGATTGACTTGGCGATGCGGACTCTTTCTTGGTTCCATATGAACTTTAAAGTAGTTTTTTCCAATTCTGTGAAGAAAGTCATTGGTAGCTTGATGGGGATGGCATTGAATCTATAAATTACCTTGGGCAGTATGGCCATTTTCACGGTATTGATTCTTCCTACCCATGAGCATGGAATGTTCCTCCATTTGTTTGTATCCTCTTTTATTTCATTGAGCAGTGGTTTGTAGTTCTCCTTGAAGAGGTCCTTCCCATCCCTTGTAAGTTGGATTCCTAGGTATTTTATTCTCTTTGAAGCAATTGTGAATGGGAGTTCACTCATGATTTGGCTCTCTGTTTGTCCGTTATTGGTGTATAAGAATGCTTGTGATTTTTGCACATTGATTTTGTATCCTGAGACTTTGCTGAAGTTGCTTATCAGCTTAAGGAGATTTTGGGCTGAGACGATGGGTTTTCTAGATAAACAATCATGTCATGTGCAAACAGGGACAATTTGACTTCATCTTTTCCTAATTGAATGCCCTTTATTTCCTTCTCCTGCCTAACTGCCCTGGCCAGAACTTCCAACCCTATGTTGAATAGGAGTGGTGAGAGAGGGCATCCCTGTCTTGTGCCAGTTTTCAAAGGGAATGCTTCCAGTTTTTGCCCATGCTGTATGATATTGGCTGTGGGTTTGTCATAGATAGCTCTTATTATTTTGAGATACATCCCATCAATACCTAATTTATTGAGAGTTTTTAGCATGAAGGGTTGTTGAATTTTGTCAAAGGCCGTTTCTGCATCTATTGAGATAATCATGTGGTTTTTGTCTTTGGTTCTGTTTATATGCTGGATTACATTTATTGATTTGTGTATGTTGAACCAGCCTTGCATCCCAGGGATGAAGCCCACTTGATCATGGTGGATAAGCTTTTTGATGTGCTGCTGGATTCGGTTTGCCAGTATTTTATTGAGTATTTTTGCATCAATGTTCATCAAGGATATTGGTCTAAAATTCTCTTTTTTGGTTTGTGTCTCTGCCAGGCTTTGGTATCAGGATGATGCTGGCCTCCTAAAATGAGTTAGGGAGGCTTCCCTCTTTTTCTATTGATTGGAATAGTTTCAGAAGGAATGGTACCAGCTCCTCCTTGTACCTCTGGTAGAATTCGGCTGTGAATCCATCTGGTCCTGGACTTTTTTTGGTTGGTAAGCTACTGATTATTGTCACAATTTCAGAGCCTGTTATCGGTCTATTCAGAGATTCAACTTCTTCCTGGTTTAGTCTTGGGAGGGTGTATGTATCAAGGAATTTATCCATTTCTTCTAGATTTTCTAGTTTATTTGCGTAGAGATGTTTGTAGTGTTCTCTGATGGTAGTTTGTATTTCTGTGGGATCAGTGGTGATATCCCTTTTATCATTTTTTATTGCATCTATTTGATTCTTCTCTCTTTTCTTCTTTATTAGTCTTGCTAGCAGTCTATCAATTTTGTTGATCTTTTCAAAAAAGCAGCTCCTGGATTCATTGATTTTTTTGAAGGGTTTTTTCTGTCTCTATTTCCTTCAGTTCTGCTCTGATTTTAGTTATTTCTTGCCTTCTGCTAGCTTTTGAATGTGTTTGCTCTTGCTTTTCTAGTTCTTTTAATTGTGATGTTAGGGTGTCAATTTTGGATCTTTCCTGCTTTCTCTTGTGGGCATTCAGTGCTATAAATTTCCCTCTACACACTGCTTTGAATGTGTCCCAGAGATTCTGGTATGTGGTGTCTTTGTTCTCGTTGGTTTCAAAGAACATCTTTATTTCTGCCCTCATTTTGTTATGTACCCAGTAGTCATTCAGGAGCAGGTTGTTCAGTTTCCATGCAGTTGAGCGGTTTTGAGTGAGTTTCTTAATCCTGAGTTCTAGTTTGATTGCACTGTGGTCTGAGAGACAGTTCGTTATAATTTCTGTTCTATTACATTTGCTGAGGAGTGCTTTACTTCCAACTATGTGGTCAATTTTGGAATAGGTGTGGTGTGGTGCTGAGAAGAATGTATATTCTGTTGATTTGGGGTGGAGAGTTCTGTAGATGTCTATTAGGTCTGCTTGGTGCAGAGCTGAGTTCAATTACTGGGTATCCTTGTTAAATTTCTGTCTCGTTGATCTGTTTAATGTTGACAGTAGGGTGTTAAAGTCTCCCATTATTAATGTGTGGGAGTCTAAGTCTCTTTGTAGGTCACTCAGGACTTGCTTTATGAATCTGGGTGCTCCTGTATTGGGTGCATATATATTTAGGATAGTTAGCTCTTCTTGTTGAATTGATCCCTTTACCATTATGTAATGGCCTTCTTTGTCTCTTTTGATCTTTGTTGGTTTAAAGTCTGTTTTATCTGAGACTAGGATTGCAACCCCTGCCTTTTTTTGTTTTCCATTTGCTTGGTAGATCTTCCTCCATCCCTTTATTTTGAGTTTATGTGTGACTCTCCACGTGAGATGGGTTTCCTGAATACAACACACTGATGGGTCTTGACTCTTTATCCAATTTGCCAGTCTGTGTCTTTTAATTGGAGCATTTAGCCCATTTACATTTAAAGTTAATATTGTTATGTGTGAATTTGGTCCTGTCATTATGATGTTAGCTGGTTATTTTGCTCGTTAGTTGATGCAGTTTCTTCCTAGCCTTGATGGTCTTTACATTTTGGCATGTTTTTTGCAGTGGCTGGTACTGGTTGTTCTTTTCCATATTTAGTGCTTCCTTTAGGAGCTCTTTTAGGGCAGGCCGGGTGGTGACAAAACTCTCTCAGCATTTGCTTGTCTGTAAAGTATTTTATTTCTCCTTCACTTAGGAAGCTTAGTTTGGCTGGATATGAAATTCTGGGTTGAAAATTCTTTTCTTTAAGCATGTGGAATATTGGCCCCCACTCTCCTCTGGCTTGTAGAGTTTCTGCCAAGAGATCAGCTGTTAGTCTGATGGGCTTCCCTTTGTAGGTAACCCGACCTTTCTCTCTGGCTGCCCTTAACGTTTTTTCCTTCATTTCAAGTTTGGTGAATCTGACAATTATGTGTCTTGGAGTTGCTCTTCTCAAGGAGTATCTTTGTGGCGTTCTCTGTATTTCCTGAATCCGAATGTTGGCCTTTCTTGCTAGATTGGGGAAGTTCTCCTGGATAATATCCTGCAGAGTGTTTTCCCACTTGGTTCCATTCTACCCGTCACTTTCAGGTACACCAATGAGACGTAGATTTGGTCTTTTCACATAGTCCCACATTTCTTGGAGGCTTTGTTCGTTTCTTTTTGTTCTTTTTTCTCTAAACTTCCCTTCTCACTTCATTTCATTCATTTCGTCTTCCATCACTGATACCCTTTCTTCCAGTTGATCGCGTCGGCTCCTGAGGCTTCTGCGTTCTTCACATAGTTCTCGAGCCTTGGCTTTCAGCTCCATCAGCTCCTTTAAGGACTTCTCTGCATTGGTTATTCTAGGTATCCATTCGTCTAATTTTTTTTTAAAGTTTTTAACTTATTTGCCATTGGTTTGTATTTCCTCCTGTAGCTTGGAGTAGTTTGATCATCTGAAGCCTTCTTCTCTCAGCTCGTCAACGTCATTCTCCGTCCAGCTTTGTTCTGTTGCTGGTGAGGAGCTGCGTTCCTTTGGAGGAGGAGAGGCACTCTGCTTTTTAGAGTTTCCAGTTTCTCTGCTCTGTTTTTTCCCCATCTTTGTGGTTTTATCTACTTTTGATCTTTGATGATGGTGATGTACAGATGGGTTTTTGGTGTGGATGTCCTTTCTGTTTGTTAGTTTTCCTTCTAACAGACAGGACCCTCAGCTGAAGGTCTGTTGGAGTTTGCTAGAGGTCAACTCCAGACCCTGTTGCCTGGGTATCAGCAGCGGTGGGTGCAGAACAGCAGTGGCTATAGAACAGCGGATATTGGTGAACTGCAAATGCTGCTGCCTGATCGTTCCTCTGGAAGTTTTGTCTCAGGGGAGTACCCGGCCGTGTGAGGTGTCAGTCTACCCCTACTGGGGGGTGCCTCCCAGTTAGGCTGCTTGGGGGTCAGGGACCCACTTGAGGAGGCAGTCTGCCCGTTCTCAGATCTCCAGCTGCGTGCTGGGAAAACCACTCCTCTCTTCAAAGCTGTCAGACAGGGACATTTAAGTCTGCAGAGGTTACTGCTGTCTTTTTGTTTGTCTGTGCCCTGGCCCCAGAGGTGGAGCCTACAGAGGCAGGCAGGCCTCCTTGAGCTGTGGTGGGCTCCATCCAGTTCGAGCTTCCTGGCTGCTTTGTTTACCTAATCAAGCCTGGGCAATGGCAGGCGCCCCTCCCCCAGCCTCACTGCCGCCTTGCAGTTTGGTCTCAGACTGCTGTGCTAGCAATCAGCAAGACTCCGTGGGTGTAGGACCCTCTGAGCCAGGTGTGGGATATAATCTCCTGGTGTGCCGTTTTTGAAGCCCGTTGGAAAAGCGCAGTATTAGGGTGGGAGTGACCCGATTTTCCAGGTGCCGTCTGTCACCCCTTTCTTTGACTAGGAAAGGGAACTCCCTGACCCCTTGCGCTTCCTGAGTGAGGCAATGCCTCATCCTGCTCCGGCTTGCGCACAGTGCGCTGCACCCACTGTCTGGCACTCTCTAGTGAGATGAACCTGGTGGTACCTCAGATGGAAATGCAGAAATCACCCGTCTTCTGCGTCGCTCACGCTGGGAGCTGTAGACCGGAGCTGTTCCTATTCGGCCATCTTGGCTCCACCCTCCTGGAGATTTTTTAAATAAAACAAAACTAGGTCAAATGTGCACCAGACTAATTAAATCAGAATTTTAGGAGGTGAATCTAGGTATTTGTTTTTTTAGTATTAATATTTGTATTGTTTATATTAGCGTTTAAAAACTATTCTCAGGTGATTCTATTGTACATTCAGTGCTGAGAAACATTCTTGAATAAGAAATTCTGTCATGCTGTAGACTCCTTTACAATAAAATAGGTACTCTAGCAAAGACTTGCACATAGGAAAAACTCAAAGGTACAATCAATAAATGAGTCTCAACTATTTTATCTTTTCAGAAGTATACATTTCCCTGCTTTTTAAAAAATCATATATGAAGCATGATTTAATTTCTTCTTGACAAATCAAGGCCATGACTATAAAAGCAAACTAATACTCTGTATTAAAGTGGTTAAAGGGGCTCATATTAGTAAATGCTGTTACTAATACAATATTTAGTAAACACTAAAGTCAGTATTTTTCTTAAGCATGTTTCTGAATTTAATATTGAAGTCTTTAAGAGGCTAATAAATATAATTAGTATTTATTGTGTCAGCCACACTTAAAATTGAACAAAATAGGCTGGACGTGGTGGCTCACACCTGTAATCCCAGCACTTTGGGAGGTCGAGGCAGGTGGATCACCTGAGGTCAGGAGTTAGAGACCAGCCTGGGCAACATAGTGAAATCCTGTCTCTACTAAAAATACAAAAATTAGCTGGGCGTGGTGGTGGGTGCCTGTGATCCCAGCTACTTGGGAGGATGAGGCAGGACAATCGCTTGAACCTAGGAGGCAGAGTTTGCAGTGAGCCGAGATCCTGTCACCATACTCCAGCCTGGGCGACGGAGCGAGACTCCGTCTCAAAAAAAAAAAAAAATTGCACAAAATATTTTAAATTCCCTGCTCTCCAGAAACTTACATTCTACCAGGGATAGACCAACAGTTAAAAAAACAAGTAGATTGTATAGTATGTTAACAAGTAATACATGCTGTGATTAAAAAAAAAAAAAAAAAAAAGGTGGTGGGGAATGGTGTTGGAAGTGCCAAGAGCTAGGGTGAAGGCCCTAAACTGGGAGCATGCCTGGGACGTTTGGAGGAACAGTAAGGCATGGCCAGAGCAGATCAGGCAAGAGGGTGAGCAGCAAGAGGTGAGAGAGGCAGGCGACGGGGACAGTTGTGGAGGGGCAGTCATGAAAGGATGGTTGTATTGGGCTGTGCAGACTGTTGTAGGGACTTCGGCTTTTTCTCTGAGTAAAATGGGGAGCCACTGCAGGGTTTCAGGCCAAAAAGGAGCTTGCTCTCATTTAGGTTTTAATATAATCATTCTAGATGCTGTGTTTTGCAAAGTTTGTTTGCTGGGGGCAGGGTGGAGGGGCAGTAGAAGCAAGGTAACGAGTAGTCCAGGAGAGAAGGGTGGGTCAGACCAGGGTAGCTACAGGATTTCTTGATGGCTTAGATGTTTAGGATATGAGAAAAAAAGAGAAGTCAAGGATTACTCCAGGATTTAGGCTGTTGAGATGGTTAGGGCAATTTATTGCCTACACTAAATATTTTCTTTTCTTTCTTTTTTTTTTTCTCTCTTTTCCCTCAGTGTCAAGCTATCAACTTGTGTTTGTTATTGCTGTTATTGTATCTGCTTCTAGTTTCGCTCACCTATTTTAGGATATATTACTTTTGTTTAAATCTTCTGTGGGCCAAAAAACACAAAAGTTTTAAAAATTGTATATTTAAAATAAGATTGTTGGTTTAACATAGGGCCTCTGAGTGAGAGTTTGTGTTGTTGTATTTAGGAGTAAAGTGAATCAGCCTTAATGCCAGGACTTCTAACAGTTGCATTCCCTGTGGAGGCCTTAAGCTTGCTTTTGAATTCAGTTATGTTGTTAATGATTAAGTTTGCCAGAACTCTAAATCTCTGAATGAGAATTCATTTATATTTACTTTATTTGTTTAAACAGGCAAAAGAATGGACCCCAGCAGGAAAAGCAAAGCAAGAGAATTCTGCTAAGAAGTTTTATTCTGAATCTGAGGAAGAGGAGGACTCTTCTGATAGTAGCAGTGACAGTGGTGGGTTTTATAATTTATTGGCATATATTATTTACATAGTAGATTACATTCTATATCTCAGAAACAAGGCCTAATCCATAATATTCAGCAGGTAGTTTTAAGTGAAGTTTGTATTATCAAAATAATCCCTTTCATTTATATATCACTCTTTAGTTTTCAAAGTAATTTTTAATTACTAAATTCTCTTTTTACTTTACAATATCTCTTGGATAGTAGCTGATACATTGGTATAGCTGAAACAGGAACTCATACTTTTCTGAATTCTAAACCACAATGCCTAATATATCTATTGAAAAACATAATTTTACACTTGATGAACTTTTAGTGGGGTCTTTAAAAGTAACTTTCTTTTACAAAAACGTAAAGTTTATTTTATACCTTGAAGAGTCTTTTTCTCTTTCATTTTATACTTATCTCTTTCTGTGAACCTCTATAGAGATAAAGCTAAAATTATTAAGTCTCTATATACTATAAAAAAATCAAACTAAAGGTTGAGGGTAACTATATGCAGTGAAAAGAATGCTTAATAGGAAGGATTTAGAGGCCCTGGCTTTTACCTATGCAAATTGAATAAGGCACCTACTTTTCTCTATATCAGATAAATGAAGGGGTACAGTTAAATATTTCTTAAAGTCCCTTCATTGCTAAAATTCTGTGAGTGATTTGCATAATGAAAAATAGATTGTAGTCACTTTCTGATGCTCTTATTAACACTTAAGCTAATAGGCAAATCTGACCCAAGACCAAACGACACCCAACTTTCTCTAAAATCTTTATTCCTTGGAGAACCAGGGCCTGTCACTCTTACATGGTTATCTGCTACCCTACTGTAAGGTAATTCACTCTTCTTTTCTCTGTCTTCCTTATCAAAAATCTTTGTTTTTAGTATCTGATAAATTAATCTGTGATACATTACCTGTAATTTCTTTCATTGTTTATAGCATAAGCCAGTTATCTGACTTAATATGTATGTGCGTGTAACTTGGATATTACCACAAATCTAAAATGTCCTTATTTAGTAGCTTTATTTTAGTAAAATAAACTTTCCTGTTTGTAAATGATGATAATGATGAGTGCCTTACCCTGTGGCAGACCCTGTTGTGTTCTAATCTCCTTTGTATGTTTCAAATCATTTAATCTTCACAACAGCTCTGAAAAGTAACTAGTGTTATCCCCATTTGCTGAAAAGGAAACCAAAACCCAGAGAAGTTGAATAACTTGTTCAGTTTTACAACTGGCAAGTAGAAGAGCCAGGATCTGAATCCGAACACTAACTTGAGAACCCATGCTTGTACCCCTTGTAAGCCGTCTTAAAACAATACAGGCAGTCCTAGGTTTTCACTGTGATGGACCTTCCTGATGTTGGTATTATTTAACCATTAGAATGTTTAATTAAAGGTTATGTTCCTGCCTAAGAGGGCTTCGTTACATAGATCACAGGCAGGGCAACAGTTTGTCCTTTTGTCTGGGACACAACTCTGTAGTTATAGTCATTTTAAATAGTAAAAATTATGCTTCACTTAAAAAATACACATATATTCTTCATGTATTCTCTTCTGCGAACAGTCCTAGCATACCATAATTTACACATAAAACATTTAAAAGTATAATTCCTCAGTGTAACTTGATCATCTCTTTGACCTATGGAAAACTCGTTTACTAGCTCGAATAAGTAATAACTCTTTAATTAGTCATTTTGCCTATTGTCTTTGAATTTGGAGGTCTTTCCAAGTGATTTGAATGGCTCATTTTCCTCTCAAAATTTGTTCCTAAGAAGATTCAACTGTTGCCTTCTTTTACTCTAAATAGAATTTCCCATTACAAGCAGAAGAATTCAAAATTATTTCTTTAGCCTTACATCAATCCTTACGTAATTCTTTAAAAGAAAGTTTTTGACATAGCTATATACTTTGGGGTTTGAAGTGAGATTCCCTCAAATTTGGTTTACTTGGTTCACCTTTGCTTAGCTTTTCTCTCCTCGTTGTCAGAGCATCCTCTGTCTGCCTCCCTCCAAGCTCACAGTGCTAAAGGAATCCATAGAGCTGAAAGAATGGGGTGTGGGAATAAAATGTTAAACAAGTGGTGTCCACTGAACTAAAATTCAACATCTGGTTTCATTTGTGATGAATATTGACAGTTACAGGTGTCCGTGTGTCTAATTAAATGACTATAAATCTAAGAACATCTGGTTCTGTTTTTCAGAGAGTGAATCTGGAAGTGAAAGTGGAGAACAAGGCGAAAGTGGGGAGGAAGGAGACAGCAATGAGGACAGCAGTGAGGACTCCTCCAGTGAGCAGGACAGTGAGAGTGGACGGGAGTCAGGCCTAGAAAACAAAAGAACAGCCAAGAGGAACTCAAAAGCCAAAGGAAAAAGGTAACTTATTTTGTCAGAATTTCCTTCAAAAAATATTCTGTGAAAGTTTGCCCCAGGCAGAGATGTTTCTTATTAATCAAAAAATGGTGAGAGAAAAAAAGTGTGTATTTTTTTCCAGATATTAAATCTTTTTAAAATTAAAGTGCTAGTTGTTCACATTATTTTCCTACTTGTAATGCTTAGCTTTCATTTTGAACTTGAACATATCTTGGGGTTACATTTTGAAAATTGGTATAACCTTGGAAGGCTGAGTTAAGTGATCAAGCAATAGGTATGAAACACTTAATTACCTTTTGTAGCGATTTTGCTGAGGGCTAAAATTAAATCCTTCAACACTTTGCCATTATGTAACCAAGACAATTGATTTTTCTAAATAATGTTATATTAAAAAGATTATGATCCAAATATTAGAGTCAAGGGCTGTGAAGGAAGACGGTCATAAGATCTTTAAGTGTTAGCACTTTTTAAGATCTCCCATTATCAATAACATTATCATGTATTAAAGTGTCATTAAAATTTTGAGTAATTGGGTCTAATATCTTGGATTGTGCAACTCTGTTTTCCCCGCTGCTGTCAGCGAGTGGCCTCTGCCGACATGATGGTCCTTTCCCCGGGAGCCTGCTGCCCGCTCACTTGATGAGCTTGCAGCCCGGCTCAGTCGTGGCTGACAGCACTGATTGGGGCGCAGTACGCTCTCTGCTCCTTTTATTACAGACAGTAATTAAAGCAGCTCTCCCTGCCACTTCCATAACAAACACAGCATAATGCCCTAATTATGACTTTATTAATTTAAGTCAGGATTTAATGATTTTAAAAGTGATTTATATTGTTTTTCCTGTTCAGAACAAATGAAATCTGTAGGTTAAATTAATACAGGCTTTTCATCATTGCAAAGTTAAAAACCTAGTTACCAGTAAATTCTTTTCATTAGATTAACATCTGAAACTCTAAGCAGTAAGGTAAACAATAATTACCATCAAAATTGAGTGATGCATAATAAAATAACACTTTTACTTTTAAAATCTTATCTTAAAAGCTAGAAGTTGAATATATTTAGAATCATTCACTTGTTGCAGCAAAGGAGCTACTTGGTTTATAATAGCCTTGTCTTTGAGAGAAATCCTGTACTTCTGCTTTAATATCAGCATGTCTATGATGATACGAGTTATAAAACATGTCCTGTTTCTAGAAAGGGAAAGTTTTGTTCAGTGCATGAAATGTCCTTTCAGATGGCAAAAGTCAGTATACTCAAAATTTGTAGTCATGTATTAGGTTTATTATTCTTTTCTTCAGAAATGGATTTTTCTCTTTACCCATGTTTGAATTTAAAAGAATTGTTTATTACAAAGAGAACCACAAATACATTCTAAACCTTATATTTTTAAGTACACATTTTAACCAGTGAATTGGGGATAATAAATTGCCATTTTTTTGCCAGGGAAAAACAACAACATATTTTTCAGTCTTCAAATATAATTACATGTGCTCTGAGATGTTACCATGGCTCCATTTTTAATAAATAGCAATCATATTTCCTCCACAAAAATCAATTCTAGGAAATATTGATTCTTTCCTTGTCTCACTCCTCTCCCTCCCCCTGTATTTTTCTGTCTCAGAATTTTTTTTAACTTTGCCAGTATGATAATTTTTTAAAGCTCCTAATAAGCTTTAAACATCTTCAAAAACCACCCTTTAGTAATCATAAATATTTATGACCAAATTTAAATTTTACACTCCAAGGTATTTTCA
The DNA here is from genome assembly GCF_000001405.40 of Homo sapiens. Classification (NCBI taxonomy): domain Eukaryota; kingdom Metazoa; phylum Chordata; class Mammalia; order Primates; family Hominidae; genus Homo; species Homo sapiens. The sequence continues at coordinate 78,112,002 of NC_000005.10, read as the reverse complement.
TTTGAAGGGAGATAGTATGACATAGTGGAAAAAATACGGACTTTGGAATGAGACAGGCTTGAGTTCAGATTCTAGTTCTGCCCCTCTTGTTATGTGCCCTTGAGCAGGTTATTTAACCTTTCTAAATATTAATTTCATTATTGTAAATGGGATAATAATGTACCCAGGAAGAGTGCATTTAAATTAGATAATTAGTATGATTGGTATGAAGTGCCTAGCCCTTTCTGGCCCACAGTAGATTCTTAAAAAAATACACACACATGTGGTAGAGAGAACTAGACCTTTAGTTTCCAGGAAAATATAAAGCACCACAAGGCATTTGTCATCCCCTGAGAGAAGGGTGTTTGGTCATCTCACATGTTATTCCTTCTCCTTGGAGAACTGTTTCCCTGCCCATCTGCCAGCCTTACTCCTATATCTTGGCTTATATGTCTCTTTCTCCAGGAAGCATTCCTAATTGGATCAAGTTTTTTTAGGTGTCTCTCCACATGTTCTCCTGACACGCTATAATTTATTACTTATTACTTATTATACTGTATTATCACTGCAACCTTATCTGTATCCTCCAGTGGACCGTAGACCCTGTAGGGTAGACACACAGAGATCCTCTGTGTCTTACTAACCATCGTTATCCTTAGCACCTAGCATAATGCCAACATGTAGTCAATAATTAATAAATATTTGTTGAGCAGGTGAACAAATGAATGGTGTTAAGCACTTAGGTATGATCATTTGATATTTTAAAAGTTTATATTTGATTAGCTTAAATTTTTAGCAAGATAGTACTTTAGAAGAATTTCCTTTGAACTGGTTAACATTTTCTCATAGAATGTGTTTAAGGTCACATTTGGGAACTTGTGTAAGTAATTTTCTTGGGTAGAAAATGTATAAAATACAAGTCTATTTTAGCAGAAGTAGATATATAAATATTTAAATATATTACTAAACCAGGTGTGGTGGCTCAAGCCTATAATCCCAATATTTTGGGAGGTCAAGTTGGGAGGACTACTCGAGCCCAGAAGTTCCAGACCAGCCTAGGCAACCTAGTGAGACCCTGTCTCTACAAAAAATATAAAATTAGCTGGATGTGGTGGTGCATGCCTGTAGTCCCAACTACTTGGGAGGCTGAAATGGGAGCATCGCTTGAGCCCGGGAGGTCAAGGCTGCAGTGAGCCGTGATTGCACCACTGTACAATGAGACCCTGTCTCATATACGTATATATATACGTATATATACATGAATATATATGTATATACGTATATATATACATGTATGTATACATACATACACACACACACACACACACACACACACACAGGCACAGTATTTTGAGATAGCGTTTTAAAAAATCAGCCTAAATATCTTTAACGTTGTTACTGGTAGTACTTAATTCTTGGTAAATCAAACATTTAATGTTTTCTACATTGCTTTTGATTATATTGTTTAGTGTCATTTTATGACTTTTTGCATTTGAAATTTGTATGACAGGATAGAATTGAATTTGAATGGGTTCTAATTTATTTGGTTATGGGTAATACCTTTTTTATTACCTCATTAATGTATTCTGGAATTTAAAAACAATTTTTTTATAAACTGCTTATATAAAGGAGTTAAAGTTCATATTTCAAAATTTACTATTATGTGTAGTGATTCTGAAGATGGGGAGAAGGAAAATGAAAAATCTAAAACTTCAGATTCTTCAAATGACGAATCTAGTTCAATAGAAGACAGTTCTTCCGATTCTGAATCAGAGTCAGAACCTGAAAGTGAATCTGAATCCAGAAGAGTCACTAAGGTAAGAGATTATACATTTGTTGTAATTGAAGGTAAATATTCTTATAGCAACTAAAATAGACAACACCATCCTCATCTACTCCTGTGATTTTATTTTTTCTAGATAAGCCTTTCCCTTATAACCCAACTCTGCAGAAATGCTAGAAACTTTAAAAAATCTCATCCCTTGCCACTGAAATCAAGGAACTCTTACGCATATGACCTTTTTTGTTCTTGGCTAGGTTGTGACAAGGGGGGGGTTTTGCTGAAGGGGAAGTGAAAGGAAGTCACAAAAATAGTATTGAGCAAAGAATTATAAGTGTACATACATCATAAGAAATTGAGACTATTCACTTTTTAAAAATATTGGGCATTTTGCATAATAGAGTGTGTTTTAAGGCTTCAATTAAAGAGTATACATTCTTTAGTTAGTAAGAATTTGCGTAGCCATTTATTTAAAAACAAATGGAACCACTTATATAATAAAATAATAATGCTTTTTGGTAATAACATTTTTAACACTGAATTTTGCCTGCTTAGCAGGAAAAAAATAAAGTATAAATTGCAAAAATATAGTTATTAATATAAAATGTATTCTATCTGATTTCAAGTCTAGTTAAAAGAATAAAAATATAGAATTCAGACCTAACGATAATTATCTTTTTGGTCTTTAATAATCACCCCCTTCCTATAACTGGACCATGTTCATGCTAGACTTCAAGTATAGTATTTTTATATACAACTGTGTTATTCTGTTTGTTGAAAATATGGCCAAACTCTGCCTTTGATTCAGTTCAATTTCTTCTTAATCCAATATTGTTTTCGTTTATTTGTTCTGTTAACTGGAATCTCTTCAATATGTTATCTGAGTAGGCAAGGATGAAAATTAATTTATTGAAGTAGACAATTGCCCTCCCCCATCCAGAGATTTATTGTTAAAGAATGTTTTAAAAATTGGCTAGTATTTGTCTTGCCTTATTTCACATTTTCTTGCATATATTAAAACCTATCTTAAACTTGAATTTATATTTAAAACTTGTGTCTGTATATAAAATAACCTGAGATTTTTATTTTTAAAAAATTCACATAAAATCTTAAGAGATTTTATGGTTTATTAATCTGGCCTCATATAAAAACTTATCACTTAGTGAGTCTGATGTACTCTCATTTCATACTTACATCAAATTACCAGAAAGTTTAAAATGTTATTGAAAATAAAGAGAGTTACAAATCGACAGTAAATACAACCCAGAGTAAGAAGTATTTTTTAAAAATGACAGAACAAGAAATCAGTGAGTGTCAAGTGGTAGAAGTTATTCTTAGGAAATTTTGTAACAGTTGAAAAATTATAGACTTCAGTGCCTCTGTAGTATTAGAAGCAGAGCTTTAGGATCCCATTAAAAAGCCACAGTGGTTGAACATCATGTTGTGTTGTACCCCTTCCTCCCCCTGAAAAAAACAAAAGAAGATAAAAACCACAGGGGCACTCCAGGTCAGTGATTCTGTTTGTTTCTTCTTTGTCAAAGACTTTCAGTGATCAGATTAAATCTCTTGATAGTTAAAAATATTTTCCTATAGAACGTCAGTATAAAAAACCTCAAACTATTGCAGTGAACCAAGGCCTTTGAGAAATTCGGGTTTCGCTCACATTGTTGATAGTTTTGTGTTCATGTGTTTCCCTTAGGTGGCTTATTTTCTTTATATTAGAATGCCTTTTCCCATCTATAATAGGCATACAGGACTGTGGAGTTTTTTGCTTTAGTTTAGCAACTGGAATAAGTACTCTCCACCTTGGAGCTACCATAACTACTTATTTATTTCTGTTTCTTTCTGAATGATTTGGTGTATACCATGCAATTACAGAATATACCTATTTTCTAATAATAGGTGACTATAATTGTGGAAAAGTCCTCCTTGCACCAAGTGTTGTGGCTTCTGCCCTAAATTATGAGTAATGAAGGCAGATGGTGGGTACTTTACTTTAATTTAGCATGACAATATGTTAGTGCTGAAAATTCATATGCCTTATATCTGCAGCCTAACTAAATCTATATTTTTACTCTTTCTTTTCTTTTTTTTCATCCAGACAATGTGTTTTGAGGGCACTGAGCATGAAAATGCGACCTAGGAGTTACCTTGAATATATGGCTTTCAAAACAGTTAATTTTTATGGTAGTCCTATGAGATAAGCATAGTGTTCTACTTGTTGGGAGAGAATATCTTTGTTTCAGTTTCCTCATCTGTAAAGCAGACATGCTAGTACCTACCTTACTTCTTTCAAGTGTTATGTTAAAAATAAAATATGAAAGATCAATGTAACACACTATGTAACTATAAAACAACAGTTTTAACATTTTTAAAAATTCCATAAAAGATCAACAGTATTGGAGAACATCAAATGCTAAAAGTAACCTAAATTTTTTGGTAACTCTTAAGTATCCTGCTCTTTTTTTTTCACTCTTTTTACACTATTCAAGTTGTAAGGCAACATTTAATTCTGTTCCCTTACCTACAGCCTCTGAGCTTAGCCACTTTCCTTAGAAGACAGCTGCCATCCACGGTCAGTGTTTCTGCTCTCTAACTCACAATCTCCATTTACCCTACTTTTCCTTTGAACGCAGCTCTGTGTAAGACTCGCATCCACTTCCCCAAGGGTAACTCCTACTTCCTTTTGGTCTTGTTTTGTTAATAATCATCTGTCTCCTTTGCACCTTTAATCTCTTTCTCCATTCATTCCTTTTCTGCCAACTGTGGCATTCAGGTTTTTTCAGCATTTAAAGAGAGAGAGAGGGAGCATGGAGTGAAAAAAACAGAGTGTGTGTACATGAGTGAGAGTGAGTTTAGAAAAATATTCTACATATCCTCCATCTTGTACTTCTTAACCCAGTTATTTCCAACTCTATCCTACACATACTGCTCTCTGAAAAGGCAGCTATGATCCTTCCCCAAACCCAGTAGCCTTCTCTTAATCTTGATCTTTTTTTATGACTATTCCCCTACTACTTAAAAGTCTCTGCATCCCTTTTGTTCTTACTTTTTTGACCTTTCATTCTTTTGGTTGCTTCACTTTTTACACGCCTCTGACACCCAAGTGTGAATGTTGACCCCAAATTAGTACTTAGTACACATTAGTCTTTTGAGATATTAATTGATGTGAATGAATTTTTCTTTAATCTTCTTTTTTCCCTCTAAATTTTTCCTGTTGTGAGACCTCATTCACTCCTATAGCTTCAGCTAAAACATTTATATTAATTACTTCCATGGTAACATCTTTCAGTCTTTACATTAAGTTTCAGCTTTTCTTCCCAAATTCATACCAAATTTTTAGACCTCTCTGAGGCTACTGGTTTTCCAAACCTAATACAATCAAAAGACATGCTCTACCATTTGTCACCAGCATTCTTTTCATTCTCCCAGATCTGAAGCCCCAGAATTATCTCTGACTACTCTGTCATTCTGTATGTTTAGATAGTTACCAACTCCTATATGTTCTGTGCGTTATTTCTCATGTCTGTTTCTTCTTTCCCTACTGCCACTATTCTAGATTAGCTCTTCATTACCTGCATAGACCATTGCCATTGGTCATCCTCTGACCAATGCTTTCCCAACCCCAAGTCCTTCTATACAACTGCCAGATGGATATTAAATTCACCTGTCCTGATGGCCCACTGCCATTTGAGTTCAGTAAACTCAGGCTAGCTTGCCCAAACCTACCTTGTCTTAACCCTACCCACCTTGTGTTCTTTCTTTCTTTCTTTCTTTCTTTTTTTTGAGACAGAGTCTTGCTCTGTCACCCAAGCTGGAATGCAGTGGCATGATCCCAGCTCTCTGCAGCTTCGACCTCCAAGTCTCAGGTGATCCTCCCACCTCAGCCTCCTGGGTAGCTGGGACTATAGGCATGCACTACCATGCTTGGCTAATTTTTTGTATTTTTAATAGAGAGGGGTTTCTCCATGTTGCCCAGGCTGGTCTCGACCTCCTGGGCTCAAGCGATCCACCCACCTCAGCCTCCCAAAGTGCTGGGATTACAGGCATGGGCAACCGTGCCCAGCCACACACACTAAATTCTAATCCCAGTGGAATATTTGTGGTTCTATTAACACTCTGTATTCTTTCCTATTTCTATGCCTTTGTTCTTTCTTTTTGCATCATTTACTACACAAAATAAAAGCTAGGGAGAAAGTGGCCTCATATCACTGTGACCCTCCACTTCTCCTAGTTGGGAATGGCTGCAGGGAATGAAAAATGTTACTGATGATGGGGTATCACTCATGTGAATGGGATAGTCAAAAGGGTGAGAACCACAGGTGGATTATTTATGTTCTTAAAATGCCCCAGCATATTCACGAGGCACAAAACTATAGTCACACATTCAGGTGCCATGTTTGTTTGTTTGTGTTATTGATTGGAATATGTCCTCATTTGAGGTCAGATGTTGTTAGTAATGACCATAGAAAATTTCCTTGTTTTAGTTATAATTATGTTGATTGATAAGCGTATTTTATGTGTAGGTGTTATTTTCTGAGATATATTTAATTGAGAAATATTTTTAGTATAGTCCTTTCAATGAAGTAATTCTTTTGTTCCAAATAACACCTATAACAAAATTACTTTTAGTAATTCCTTATTTTAAGTGATTTCACATACTTTACACAATGTAAAGGGGAAATTTTTTTTTATATGAAACAGTGGAGAGAAAATTCAGTGATGTAGACCACATTGTGTCAGGAAGAGATTCACATTTATATCACTTTATCCTGTTTTTGACCAATATAATTAAGTTATATTCTGCTTGTAGTTAAAATTATGTGAACAGATGGTGAAAAAATTTATTTAAAATAATGCTTTTAAAGTTTCCAGGATTTTTATCCTTCATGAAACCTAGGCTTCAGTGTTCTTACAACTACCCAGTATATTAGAGTGCTCCTCCACACCATAGTTATTTCAGCTACGTTGTTAGTCCACTATTCGCACCTTATTCATGATGCAATATTCTAGTTATATCTGTAGTGTCTGTGTACTAATGGCTGAAGATTTAGATACTCTATGATTAAAATGATAAAAACTTTAAATTATGATTGTAATTTATTGTGAGTAAATTTTATGTATTTTCCTTATATGAACATTTTAATTACATAAACTATATAAAGCATAATAATCTACCAATGTGAAATAAATATTAAGTATTTAATGTACTTGCACTTAATAATACTTAATATTAAAAGCATTTCAGTATTTGAATTAAAACTAAGATTAAGGTACATACTAGCTATGAAGAAAATAGTACCAACTGTATATACGTAGCAGTGTTTGAGTTGCTCTTGTCAGTTGTTTTTATCTCAGGTTATATTTGTGTCTCAAAACTTTGCTAATTCCTTTTGGGAGGTGCAAAGAAACTGAGTGAATCTCTTAGGTGCTCTAACGATCAGTCACTAGGATTTGACTGGTGTCTGAATGTCAGTAAATGTTAAGATTTGCCTTAATAAAAGATTTTGGCAATAAAGATCTTTTATTTGAAAGATTCTTGGGGATAAAGTAAATTTGGCATGTGGTGTGAAATAAATCATGGATAAGAGTGAAAGGAACAATTTTTTGATTGGTTTTATGTTCTATTTGAAAAGTAAGCAAGTTTTAGTTATGTTTTTACAACTATTTTTGTATGTTGCAATTATATAACTTTTATAAATATTGAAGAATATTGGGTTTTACTGTTATAATGCAAAGCCTTGCCTCTCAGTTTATGTCTTTCCTGATTTCATTTATATTTTAAGTTCTCTAAAATAAAAATATTATTCAATTGCAGTTGAGACCTTTGAAAGGAAGTGAATGCCATTAAGCAGGCTTTCTTATTGAAGTAGGCGTACTCTAATAGGAAAAGATCTGTTTTAGTGGGTTAGACTTCTTTTTAACTTATAAAGAAGTCTCAATTTACTAGCAGTGTACTTTTGTTTTAAAGCACAAGTTTAAGTGTTAGCCTCAGATTTTTAAAATCATATTTGTCAGTTAACTTGAAGGAAAAAAGTCATTAAATTATCTTTGGTTGATAATTCTAATTGAAAATATTTCATGCAAATATCTTGTCCTGTGAGGCTAGAAATTAGCTTTGACTTCTTGTTGATTTCAAAGCACAGTATGGCTTTGACAGACTTTACATACTGCTTATCCTATTTTATAGTTTCAAATTTCAAACCTCTTTACAATGGTTTCCTCTTAGAATGCATATTTGATGCTTGTCATGTCAGATCTTTTTTGCTATTTGCCTTTTTTTTAATCAGCATGAAAATGAACATGCATAATACATTAACAAATCTTTTCAGGTGTATTGTAACATATTTTTGTTTGTATTATTTGGAGGTTAATAAGTATTTCCAGGATCTTTTATTTATTATTTGAAGTGAAATACATTAAATAGAAATCAGTTTTTTTGACCCTGTGACTTTGTATTGCATTTTGAAAATGTTGATGTGTTGAGGTGTATAATTGAATACCATAGAAACAAAATGGAGATTTGAGGATGATGAATTGATAACTAGGTATTTTTTGTGGTGAGATTCTAAGATCAGTTACTGTTGTCCTTATAAAAGTCTAATACAGTCACTCAGCTGTTAAAAGCCTAATCCTCTATTTAAAAAAATATACAAAAACAAATTGTCTATCTTTCTGCCTGATCTCTTCTCAAGTACTAACACAATGGAAACAGTGGGTGATCTGTCAATGTGTTTGGTTTGTCGATGATGGTTTTGTATAAATATTGGGAGGGTAAGAAATAAAATCGCACAGTAAAATATGATTTCATCTGCCTTTTCTCTGCAGCTCCATGGCTCATGCTGCGGTGTGAAATTCTCATTTTACACACTTTGCAGGCGGAGCACATGAATTATGCATTGAGCAAGAAAAATCTCCTGCCTCAAGTCCTATATGCATTTACCCAGGTTCTGTCTCTATTACCAAGATGAATTGCAAATGGAGAAATGTTTGATGGAATAGAGCTCTTAACTTCTTCGTTTAGAATTCAGAATTTTATTTTTATAGTAGATCCTTTAAGTATGAAAATGTTTTGAACTTACTATGGATTTTTTAAAATGAAAAATGAAATATAAGAGGAATACCAAACACATCATGAAGCATTTTATAGCGTTGATTCAGAATGCAAGGGTTTTCCAATTCAGTAGAAATGACCATTATCTATTGCTAATGTTATATTTCAGTCACTGGTTATTTGCTGTTCTCAGAAAGTCAATGAAATTCTGTCCTTTTGAAAGCCTTTTTTCTCTCTGTTCTAGGCTTCTAATAAGAGATTATGCCAATTTCACATGCAGCTCTGTTCTGTGTTATATGTGACCTGATATGTATTTAATAGATATTGTTACACACTCTTGGCTGTGAAGTAGAAATTAAGGTATAGACTTGCCTTCAGCTTTAACTTTATCTTGATTTGATAGGTTTCTAATTTTTCAGGTGGGGAGGTTACAGTTCCATAAAGACAGTCATGCACCATTGTAGCTTATAGGAAGCTACACCCATTGTGCTCAGCATAGCATTTTGATAAGTCACATGATGGTATGCTCTTTTTGTTATATGTTCTTTCTTCACAGGAATGATATTCTAGTTGAGACAGCATTTTCATTCTGCACTTGTTTTCATTTACTTGCAACTTTTAAATTTTAGCTTCAAAACTAATGTTTCTTCTATTTTTTTCACCATCTTAGACATTGTTTACTCATTTGAGAAATGGAGAGAGGGACAAATACTGTTTCGTTCATTTTTAAATAAGGAATGAAAATTAAAACAACTAGATGATGTGGAGTGTTCAGTGATAAAAATAATTACTTTGAAGAATAAAATTAGTGCCTTTTTAAGTGTATTAATAATGTATATTATTATGTGGTCCTTGAAGTTTCTGAGTATCAGGACAAGGGAAAAAACAAGTGAAATTTAAATTATTTTAAAATGTTACCTATGTATAATTTTACGTAATGCTTTTGTTCATGTATGTGCACTGTTGTAGGAGCTCTAACACTGTGTAAACTTTAAATAGTGATAAAATATATTTTGCTTTAGTGGTACCGTCTCGTGGCTAGAGGAATACTTCAAAAATATTTATTAGCACATTAGCAATAAGCTATAGACTTTTGGTAAATTATAAGTTATTTGAAGGCAGGACTATATCTATCTTGGCTGTTATTTCCATTGCTTGGCACAGAATCTAATATATATTTAAAATTCTATACATACCTATTGAATGAATGAATGATTAAATAAACAAAAACATTTTAGTAGAAACTTTAGTTTTGGTCTGTGATTGAGAAAATTTAATGTAAAAAATAGTATAGATTAGAAAGATAAACTTTGACTCAATTATATTTAACGCCCTACTCTTTGTTGGCCTTTAGTTGTTTGTAATGCACTTAATACTGTTTTCTTTTTAAAAGATTTACAAATTTTTTCTGAATATCTAACCAAACTGTGAACAGTTCAGGCTTAGGGGCACTGTATTCTAGTTCATGGATATATACATTTTGTAAGTACAGTAGACCGAATAAGCAAATCTCTGCTGGGGGAAGCCCTAGTTATATGCAGATATGTTTTTGAAATATTTATTTTCTCAACAAAACAGTAGATCAAGTGAGTGAGTCCTTTCAACTCTAAAAAGAAAGAGCCTGGGAATGTCATTTATAGATTTTAATGAATATCTTTGGCAAAGAAGTTTGATACAACCCAGTATAGAAACATAAAATATCTAGTACAATGCCTGTCACAAACTATATCAGAAAAGGCTGACCTATCACAAGCCCATCAAAAATATCTGAGCTATGCATATGTTATTTCTTTTTCTTAAGTAAACCTGTTTAAAAGTTATTTTCAAGAATATTTGTGGACTTTCTACCAAAGAGCCACTTTACGTTTTTATGTTAGCAAGAAGTTGTCCGATTGTAGAATAATTACATACCTTTAAATTTTGTTCTGACATTTATAATTTTTAAACACAAAATAGTTTAAGAGTTTGCATAGTGGGTAAGAAATACTATATGCTAATTGAGACAAATGTTGATTCAGGAAAACATTTTATATAACCATACAGAAGTTTAATTTGTTGGTACCACTAAGCAGAGGAAAAAAAAGTTTGTTTTGGAATATTAAGGACTACTCCACAGATTTTTAAAACAGAACGTGTGATAAATGAAATATTTGTTATTTTATAGGAGAAAGAAAAGAAAACAAAGCAAGATAGAACTCCTCTTACCAAAGATGTTTCACTTCTAGATCTGGATGATTGTAAGTATTGTAATTTAAAATATTTCTTCTGTGTTTAGTAAGAGTATTTTTTATTTTTATAGTACCTTTCATTTACATGTCCCAAAATATATCAATATTTATTGTGAAAGACTTATAGATGAATAAGGCAAGAAAGTTTTGGAAATCAGTGGTATTTGTTTCTTTCATCTATTCAGCATATCACTTCATTATCACATGAACAAATATAGATGGCCAAATACAAGTACACAAAATTCATTTTAAAATCTTTTGCTTTAGTAATTTATACTTGTTTGCTAAATAGTCATCCATACCTTATAACTTCTACATTGTGAAATGTGGATTATGGGGATTGACACATGTAACTTAAGGAGGTAGAGGATTAAGGAATGTAAATAAAAATGGAAAGGACATCACCATCTTCCACTTGGCACAATTTCAGTAGGAATGGAAATGGGTTACAAAGCCTTTGGAGGCCAGTTTGGCTATACCTCTCAGTCTTTTAACTGCAAAAAATCTTTGTCCCAGCAAATCTAAGAATTCAGAATCCTACAAATATATTCACCCAAGTGTACAAAGATATATGTATTTACCACCTCCCCTTAAATCCTCCTGCATAGTGAGAGAGAGATAGTGGTACTTTGTTGCACTAGGAGAAGAGTAACAAGAAGTGAGATTTCATGAATATTAAACTACTATCATTTTTGATAGAGTTTTTCTATGCTGAGAGTGAGTTATGTTTTAGGTTATCTCATTCTGTCATAGATCTGTTCTGTTTATACTGTTACCTGCCCTGTCCCCAGTAGCCATGGCATATACTTAATATAGAGAAATTAAAATATATAATAGAGAGAAATAACAGAGAAACTAAAAATAAAATTGGAGTTAAATTTGAATCATGTTTTACACATTGGCTAAGATTTTGAGGTTTGGTATCATCCAGTGTTGCTAAGATTTGGAGAAACAGAAGTACATGTTTTTGATAGGAATATAAATAGGTACAGCTCTTTGGAGTCATTTTAGCAATATCTATCAAAACTTAAATTGCACATACCCTTTCACCTAGCAGTTCTTCCCCGCCCCCCGAGACGGAATCTCACTTTGTTGCCCAGGCTGGAGTGTAGTGGCACTACCTCGGCTCACTGCAACCTCCACCTTCTGGGTTCGAGCAGTTCTCCTGCCTCAGCCTCCTGAGTAGCTGGGACTACCATCACGCCCAGCTAATTTTTTGTATTTTTTTTTAGTAGAGGCGGGTTTCACTGTGTTAGCCAGGATGATCTTGATTTCCTGACCTCGTGATCCACCCACCTCGGCTTCCCAACGTGCTGGGATTACAGGTGTGAGCCACCACGCCCCACTGACCTAGCAGTTCTTTTCCAGAAATTTATCCTACTGATAAACTACTGATAAAATCAGATCTTATTTCTTTCTTGTTTTAAACCCTTGAATTTAATGGCTTAATTTTGCATTTAGATGAAAGCCCATACTCCTTTCCCAGGTTTCTCAGACTGTAGATGATCTGACCCCTGTCTTCTTGTTATCCACATTTCATCCTACTCTGTTTTTATGCATTTGTCACACATACCAGGCTCATTTCTGCCAAGGGCCTTTCTACTGCTGTTCCCCTGCTGAGAACAATTGACTGATCCTTACTTCCCCAACTCAGAAGTCACCTACTCTTACACACTGTCCTAGTCCCTTTGAGCTGGCATAACAGAATACGTTAGACTGGGTAATTTATAAACAGCAGAAATTAGTTGTTCGTAGTTCTGGAGGCTGGGAAGTCCAAGATCAAGGTGCCAGCGTATTTGATGATAGGTGAGGGCTAGCTCTGCTTCAGAGATAGTGACTTCTGTTTCCTCATGTGACAGAAGGAGGAAACACCATCCCTCATACCACTTTTATAAGGGCAATAATCCCATTCATGAGGGTAGAACCCCTATAACCTAATTACCTACTAAAGGCCCCACCATAGTCTGGATTAGGTTTCAACACGAATTTTGGAGGGACATAAATGTTCAGACCATAGCACAAACCTTCTTGTTATTCTTGTTATTCTTGTCATTCTTGTCTTCATGGCATTTTTCACTATCTGAAATTACCTTAAAATTTTGGTACTTGATTATTGTCTCTTTCTCCCAACTAAGATGTAAGTTCCATGAGGACAGGGTCTCTGTGTTGCTCACTGCTATTCCTAGTGTACAGAGTGGCTCCTGGCAGTTAGTGGGCACCCAGTAAATATTGCTTGAATTAATAAAACATATAAGGGCATATACAAAAATTTCATTGCAGCATTGTTCAGTGGTTAGCTCTGGCCTCCTTGTGATGTAGGACTAACCTGGGAACAGACAAGAATAAGACTTTCATTTTATATTTTGTATCTTTCTGTGACATTTGAATATCTTACATATGTATGTTTGTAACCTTCATAATTTACAAAGTTTAAAATTGTAAAAGAATAACAGTAAAGTACATTTAAAAGGGAACTAAGAGTAAATGTTACAAGGTACTAGAGTGTACTAATTACAACTTTTTCTTCTTATATTCAACTCTGGATTTCCTGGCAACTACGGTAAAAAAAGAAAAACCTATAAAATGACATAATTGTTATAGTTCCATTCTATAAAAAAGTATATTTTTATATGTTGAGATACAAGCTTTTTTTTTTTATTTTTTATTTATTTATTTTTATTTTTATTGATCATTCTTGGGTGTTTCTCACAGAGGGGGATTTGGCAGGGTCATAGGACAATAGTGGAGGGAAGGTCAGCAGATAAACAAGTGAACAAAGGTCTCTGGTTTTCCTAGGCAGAGGACCCTGCGGCCTTCCGCAGTGTTTGTGTCCCCGGGTACTTGAGATTAGGGAGTGGTGATGACTCTTAACGAGCATGCTGCCTTCAAGCATCTGTTTAACAAAGCACATCTTGCACCGCCCTTAATCCATTTAACCCTGAGTGGACACAGCACATGTTTCAGAGAGCACAGGGTTGGGGGGTAAGGTCACAGGATCAACAGGATCCCAAGGCAGAAGAATTTTTCTTAGTACAGAACAAAATGAAAAGTCTCCCATGTCTACCTCTTTCTACACAGACACCGCAACCATCCGATTTCTCAATCTTTTCCCCACCTTTCCCCGCTTTCTATTCCACAAAACCACCATTGTCATCATGGCCCGTTCTCAATGAGCTGTTGGGCACACCTCCCAGACGGGGTGGTGGCCGGGCAGAGGGGCTCCTCACTTCCCAGTAGGGGCGGCCTGGCAGAGGCGCCCCTCACCTCCTGGACGAGGCGGCTGGCCGGGCGGGGGGCTGACCCCCCCACCTCCCTCCCGGACGGGGCGGCTGGCCGGGCAGGGGGCTGACCCCCCCACCTCCCTCCCGGACGGGGCGGCTGGCCGGGCGGGGGGCTGACCCCCTACCTCCCTCCCGGACGGGGCGGCTGGCCGGGCGGGGGGCTGACCCCCCCACCTCCCTCCCGGACGGGGCGGCTGGCCGGGCAGAGGGGCTCCTCACTTCCCAGTAGGGGCGGCCGGGCAGAGGCACCCCTCACCTCCCGGACGAGGCGGCTGGCCGGGCGGGGGGCTGACCCCCTACCTCCCTCCCGGACAGGGCGGCTGGCCGGGCAGGGGGCTGACCCCCCCACCTCCCTCCCGGACGGGGCTGCTGGCCGGGCGGGGGGCTGACCCCCCCACCTCCCTCCCGGACGGGGTGGCTGGCCGGGCGGGGGGCTGACCCCCCCACCTCCCTCCCGGACGGGGTGGCTGGCCGGGCAGAGGGGCTCCTCACTTCCCAGTAGGGGCAGCTGGGCAGAGGCGCCCCTCACCTCCCGGACGGGGCGGCTGGCCGGGTGGGGGGCTGACCCCCTACCTCCCTCCCGGACGGGGCGGCTGGCCGGGCGGGGGGCTGACCCCCCAACCTCCCTCCCGGACGGGGCGGCTGGCCGGGCGGGGGGCTGACCCCCCCACCTCCCTCCCGGACAGGGCGGCTGGCCGGGCAGAGGGACTCCTCACTTCCCAGTAGGGGCGGCTGGGCAGAGGCGCCCCTCACCTCCCGGACAGGGCGGCTGGCCGGGCGGGGGGCTGACCCCCTACCTCCCTCCCGGACGGGGCGGCTGGCCTGGCGGGGGCTGAGCCCCCCCTCCCTCCCGGACGGGGCGGCTGCCGGGCGGAGACGCTCCTCACTTCCCAGACGGGGCGGCTGCCGGGCGGAGGGGCTCCTCACTTCTCAGACGGGGCAGTTGCCGGGTGGAGGGTCTCCTCCCTTCTCAGATGGGGCGGCTGGGCAGAGACGCTCCTCACCTCCCAGACGGAGTCGCGGCCGGGCAGAGGCGCTCCTCACATCCCAGATGGGGCGGCGGGGCAAAGGCGCTCCCCACATCTCAGACGATGGGCGGCCGGGCAGAGACGCTCCTCACTTCCTAGATGGGATGGTGGCCGGGCAGAGACGCTCCTCACTTTCCAGACTGGGCAGCCAGGCAGAGGGGCTCCTCACATCCCAGACGATGGGCGGCCAGGCAGAGACGCTCCTCACTTCCTAGACGGGGTGGCGGCCGGGCAGAGGCTGCACTCTGGACGCTTTGGGAGGCCAAGGCAGGTGGCTGGGAGGTGGAGGTTGTAGCGAGCCAAGATCATGCCACTGCACTCCAGCCTGGGCACCATTGAGCACTAAGTGAACCAGACACTGTCTGCAATCCCGGCACCTCTGGAGGCCAAGGCTGGCGGATCACTCGCGGTTAGGAGCTGGAGATCAGCCCGGCCAACACAGCGAAACCCCGTCTCCACCAAAAAAATACGAAAACCAGCCAGGCATGGCGGCGCGCGCCTGCCATCGCAGGCACTCGGCAGGCTGAGGCAGGAGAATCAGGCAGGGAGGTTGCAGTGAGCCGAGATGGCAGCAGTACAGTCCAGCTTCAGCTCGGCATCAGAGGGAGACCGTGGGGAGAGGGAGAGGGAAAGGGAGAGGGACAGGGACACAAGCTTTTTAAAAAAATCAAGTTTTTAAGAATTGAAATGAAAGTTTTTTTGAATTTTAAGGGAACTTTGATCCCAACCTACATTTTTTAACTCAATATAGGATATAGTGTTTCTCTTTGTTTTTAATACCCAAGTGCTATTTCTTTAAAAATCTTTCATAGTCCTGCTTTTGTCAGAAACGACACTTGAAACTCTCTTGTTAACAAGTCAGTTCAGCCTGTGTTTTCTGGATTGTCTGCTAAGTGCAAGGTACTTTAGTAGGTGCTGTAATAGATAAATAGAATTTAGTCATTCCCTTCCAAAAACTAAAATCTAGTCAGAGACACAGATAACAGGACAAATAACTATTGCATACGAGAGAAAATAGAGATGCAAAGTATAGTGAAGAAACAGAGAGGGAGATGAAAACCCCTCTTCAGGGTTTTCATTAACCCCAAATTAAAAAACTACAAAAACCTTGTGAAGGAACCATGATCTGAGCTTAGAGATAAAGACAAGCAGAGTGCCAACTTCACTGTATGCCTCCTATTAGCCTGCAATGGTTCTCCATTGCCCATGGCATGCAGTTTGTTGCTCAGATACTAAAATGTTACTCTCCAGTGGCTTTAGTTCTCAACTGTGAGAATTAGATTAATCTTGAAAGAAGGCCAGACACATTCCCTGTGGTTTATCTAAGAGGCACATCATAATCCACACAGGTTGTTTGCTAGGTACACAGTGCATACCAGGAAGACTGCAAGTACTGAATTTCTTCATTTCTTCATTCAGGAAATGTTAATTTAATACTTGCTGTGATCTTTGTAATCTGCTACATACTGGAGATTCTAAATGAATAAAATATTGTCCCTACCCAAGGAACTCTCAAAGTGTAATGGGAAAAACAGATAAACTGGCAATTAGATTGCCGCATTATAGATGAAATGAGGAGAAATGCACAAAATACTGTTCAGTATCAAGGTTCCTAATCCACCTAGCGGTATCAAAATTTAACTTTTGAGTTGAGTTTAAGAAAGCATCAGTTGGCCAGGCCTGGTGGCTCACACTTGTAATACCAGCACTTTGGGAGGCCGAGGCGGGCAGATCACCTGAGGCCAAGAGATTGATACCAGCCTGGCCAACATGGTGAAACCCTGTCTCTACTAAAAATAGAAAAATTAGCCAGGCGTGGTGGTGCACACCTGTAATCCCAGTTACTCGGGAGGCTGCAGCAGGAGAATTGCTTAAACCTGGGAGGCGGAGGTTCCAGTGAGCCAAGATCACACCACTGCACTCCAGCCTGGGTGACAGAGTGATATTCCACTACAAAAAAAGAAAAAAGAAAGAAAAAAAGAGTCAGTCAAGCTGTTAGAGGCATGAGGGGAGGGTATACTAGGCAGAATAAAGTTATGGAGGAGGGAAAGAGCTTGCTACTACCAGAAATAATGATTGTCTGTCTCTAAGGCAGCAACCCTAGCAATAGACTGACTCTACTACAAAACAATTTGGTTATTTCTCTTACTATTTCTCTATTATATCTGTTGAGGGAATGTTATCATGAGCACAGGTATTAGTCCTATGCTTTTAATCGGTTTAGTGGTTTCTTTGTGTCTCATTTTATTCATTTGTAATTTTTTTAAAGACTATAAAACTTCCACAGTTTCTTTAGATCATTAAGTTATATGACTCTTTTTCATGGGGGTCAGTTAACAATACATAAGAAAACATTTGTTCTAGGATAATATATGACCTAACAGTCTTTTGTTAGACTTAGAGATATCAATATGCTTTCTATGTTTCAGGCATATTTTATATTCCTGGAAATTAAACAATATATTTTAGGACCCCATACCATGTGCTCTCAGTAGGACGATCACAAATCAGTGATCATATTCTAGTGTTCTTTTATAGGAAATGTAAACCTATGTCATTACATTGTTAGTACAACTGACAGTGAAATATTTAAAAAATCTCTGTCAGCCAACAATAATCATACTTCAAATAAGCCTTATGATATGTGATATCACATTGTTGAGTGAATTTTGGTCAAGGCAGTAGAGTGGAGTCACTAAGAGGACAGTGGAGCAAGCTGTCTGAGTTTCAATCCCAGCTCTGTTACTCACTAGTTGTGACATCTTGGGCAATTTACTTAATCTCTCCATGCTTTAGCTGCTTTGTCTATAAAATTGGGATGGTACAAATACTTTTGGGAGTCATTTAATTCTCAAAGGATGAAATGACTTGATATACGTAAAAGCATTTAGAACTGTGCCTAACACATGATAGGCATTACTGGGTTTAGTGATGATGCTGGTGCTGATGATGCCAATGATGCAGATGATGCAGCAAATTACAAATTAAATAACAACATATTAAGCCATTATGTATTCAGTTTTTCTTATTCTTAAATCTTAAGGCAAAGCTTTGATCAGAAGAATAATTGAATAATTACTGTATTAGATCTACTTTTAGAAAAGAAAAAAGTTTTATAGAAAGTTTTTAAAATAAAAAGAAGAAAATAAAATTAACCTGTAATCCAAACACCCCAGGTTAACATTCTGACATATCAGTTTAGATTCTCTTCATATGCAAATCCCCCCTTCCAAATTGGATTCTACTGAGAAACTGTTTTATCACTTGCTTTCTCCTCTGTTTAAAGTACATGTTCTTAGTTGGTGTGGTGGCTCATGTCTATAATCTAGCACTTTGGAGGCCAAGGCGGGAGGATTGCTTAAGCCCCAGGAGGTCAAGGCTGTAGTGAGCTGCAATTGTGCCATTGCACTCCAGCCTGAGTGACAGAGCAAGACCCTATTTCCAAAAACAAAACAAAACCTACGTTCTTTATAACTGTATGGTTGTCCTTTATCCTGTTAGAACAAATTCTGTTTAACAGATTTACTGTTGTTGGGAATTTAGCTGTTTTCCATTTTTTGCTATCATAATTAGTGAAGTAACATTCATCATTGTAAATATATTTTTCAATATCTCTGTAACTGTTTCCTTAAGATAAATTTCCAGAAGTAGTATTGCTGGAACAAAGACTTTGAAGAATTTGTTTGTCCAAAATTGCCTTTTAGGCTTGGCATGGTGGCTCATGCCTGTAATCCCAGCTACTTGGGAGGCTGAGACAGGAGGACTGCTTGAAGTTGGGAGTTCGAGACCAGCCTGGACAACAAAGTGAGACTCCTGTCTCTACAAAAAGATAGAAAAATTAGCGGGGCATGGTGGCATACACCTGTAATACTAGCTACTCAGGAGGCTGAGGCGGGAGGATTGCTTGAGTCCAGAAATTCAAGGCTGCACTGAGCTGTGATTATGCCACTCCACTCCAGCCTGAGTGACAGAGAAACTCCTCAAAAATAAGTAAATAAAATTGCCTTTCAGAAAGCTTGTACCAGCTTACACAGTATTAATATGAGGGTGCTATATTCCTTGTACCTTCACCAATGCTAGATTTTGTATTTTAAAATTACCTTTTCTAATTTGCCAGGTGGGCATGATATTTCATTTTAACTTGTATACTATGACATTTTTTTTAAAAACCCCATAGAGTCACTTTGTTTTTACACATTACTAATTAAATACTTCAGCACAGTCACCTAGCCTCAGAATTCACTTTAGGGTAAGCTTTCAATGCCAACTTTCATCTTGCCATACCTGCAAACAGATGCATAATCATCTCTTTAATACCAGAGCACACATCTTCTGAAATTATATTAAAACCCATCCTTTTTTAAAAAACAGCAGAACTTGCTTGTGGTGTGAAGTTTCTTCTCTTGTCTCTTGATGGTATTTAGCCAAGCCACAGTTGAAATCAGAGGCTGTTTCTTATTCAGTTTTTTATTCGTTACATGGGCATTCTAATATTTTGAAAGGACAGATGGTGGACGGGTGGGTAGATAGATGTACAAAGGAATGAATAAACATGCATTTAGAACTTACCTGAAAAGTTACGTGTTGCATGGGAAGGCAACATATTATGATCCAAGTTAGAAGAAGCAGTTTCTAATTCTATAGTGGTTCTACCATTCACTTTTTATGACCTTGTCAATATTAATCTCCCTGTGGCTCAGTTTCCAGTGTCTTCAATATTAAATGCTCTTTTTAAGCCTTCTCATTGCCATTGGCTTACTTTAGTCTTTTTCACTTCATTCCTAAACTATTGTAAATTCTTCCCTACTCCCAACCCTGCCTTCAGTCTGTGCATTGTACTGCCATCTGATTAACCATCCTGCAGGACCATATTCATTGTCATTCCTCTGTTTGATCGATTTTTGACTGTTCCCCTTGGTCTATAGGATAAATCCAGTCCCCTTAGTTTTTCAATTTCCTACCTCTCAGCCTTTGTTTATAGCATTCTGTTATCCAACAATTAACTGGCTTCTTTCTTTCCTCTTATTCAAATCTCACTCTTACTTAAAAATTGGACTTCATTCCCTCCTGTTCATGAAGCCTCCTCTTCCACTCCTTCTCCAGTGATCCTTGTTTTGCCCCTGACTCTGTGACACTTGCTAAACTGTACCGGGGTTTTCAGTGTGGGTCTAAGGAAGCCTGGGGGTTTGAAGCTGTGCTTCAGCCGTACTAAGTGAGCGTAGGGAAGACCAAGAGCTCCACTCCCTCCCCATCCAACCTCCAGGCTGCTTTCTCTATTATATATGTTGAGATTTTGTTTAGTGTTTCCTTTGAAATTTTTCTTCTTTGGCCGTATCATTTATGGACTGTATTGTTACTTTTTTTTTTTTTTTTTTGTCAAATACATGTATCTCTTTTTCTTAATTAGGTTTTGTTACTTGAGGATCTTGAACTTTTTTGTCTCTCACTTGCTACCTTTCAGAATAAATATTTGTTGTTAACTTTACGGATTAATATTTGTTCTGCCTTGTTCACTGGATATTGTGAGACTGAAATGAGAAAAAGATGCTTTGAAAAGTAATGTCACAGCTGGGTGTTGTGGCACACGCCTGTAATCCCAGCAGTTTGGGAGGCCAAGGTAGGAAGATTGCCTGAGCCTAGGAGTTAGCGACCAGCCTGGACAACATGGGGAGATCCCATCTCTAAAAAAAAATAAAATAAAAAATAAAAAAAAAAGGCTGGGTATGGTGGCATGCACTTACTCAGGAGGCTGAGATTGCTTGGGCCCAGGAAGGGATTGCACCGCTTTACTCCAGCCTGGGCAACAGAGCAAGACCCTATCTCCAAAAATAAAAATAAAAAAAGAAATGTCAAATTAACTAAATGTTATTCCCTTTAGGGTATTATCTTGGAATGAGAATTTGTTGGAAGCTAAAACTTGACCACATTGTAATGTATTTTATTCAAATGGTTTAGAAACACCAAAAATTAATGTTATTGTCTGTTCACACAGACTAGCAGAAATGCAAACATGTAAAGACACAAATTTGTATTACATGAGAAGTACAGTTATAGAAGTTTGTTCAAGTATATCTGTGGAACAAAGAAGGCACATATAAGCTGTTTGCAGGTGAGCCAGAGAGTGTTTTCCTTTTAAAGGGTAGCTTGCCAGATCGAAGTTGCAAGATGAGCAAGGCAGAGAAGTAGGCAAACAGAGTAGAATATAAAAGGCTCCAAGACGTAGAACAAGATCTTGGGAACTATTATCCCATAGAGCTAGTGCATAACAATGCTGAAATTGGAGATAAGCTGGACCTGAATAGTCCAGTATGGCGGCCACAAGCCACATGTAATTACTTAAATTATGCAAAGTTTAAAATGCATTTATTTAGTCATACTAGCCACATATCAAGAGTATGTTAGGCATATGTGGCTAGTGTCCACTTTATCAAATGTAGAACATTTCCATTAGCATAGGAAGGGCTGTTTGGGCTGGGGCAGACCATAGAGGACTTTGTGAACTTAATTGAGGAGTTGGGCTTTTATCTTGTAGGCAGTTATGAGCCTTTGAAGAGTCTTAAGCAGGGGAGTAACATGACCAGACTTGCATTTTTAGAAGATTTCCAAACTTACAGGTATCAGTTCTCAAGTATATAGCAGTTTTAGAATCAGTCAAACATTTCTATCTAGCACATAGCTTTTGCTGAAAAAGTATAATTACAAGGGAATTAGGTAGCCTGATTAGAGTGGAGAATAAAATAGATATAGGATTTGAACATCTTTCAAGACTTCTAATTCCACTGCAGCATTCTCTTGGAAGCGGTTGTTATTCTTATGATAGTCTGGAAAAAAAATGTTTCTTTACTTTTTTAGGGAGATTACTGGGTGATAAATGTTAGTGATAATGTTATGTGATAAAAATTTTCACAAACTATTACTCAAGATATTTATATCCTTATTTTGTTATAGGATTTGCCATTATGTTTTGAAAGCTAAGACTAATAACTGCCATGACTTGATAATAAGTTGACTAAATCAAGATGTTAAATAGAATTGTCATACATTTATTAATCAAAGTAATTTAATTAGATTTACTAACAAAATAAAAATGTTGCTTTTAATAATTTGAATTAAACGTTCATGCACATTTACTAATTTGGGCCTTTTCTTACAGTTAACCCAGTATCCACTCCAGTTGCACTTCCCACACCAGCTCTTTCTCCAAGTTTGATGGCTGATCTTGAAGGTTTACACTTGTCAACTTCCTCTTCAGTCATCAGTGTAAGTTATTTTTAAAATCCACCAGCTCGGTTTTCTTATGTTGCCATTGTATCTTTTTTATTAAAATGTAAATACTTGAAGTGGATTCTTAGTTTTGAACAGATTCTTCTCTAAGAACAAGCCCAATTTAGCTAAGACCTTTTAATTTTTTAAATAATTTACTCAAACCATTATCTTCTCAATTTTTTTCCCTTGTTGTCCACACTTAATTATCATCTGTATGTTTTTCTCTGGTATTGTTATATATCTGTAACATACAAAGGTTCTTCACCACATTGACGCAGTACATATACCTGAACTGTGCCACAAAAAGTTGTCTACATTAACAGACTTTCATTTCCGTAATCGTTTTATTCCTACCACACTATTTTTTCATAGACTATTAAAAATTCATGACTGTTTTTATTTAAAAGTTCAAGATTTTTTTTTCTGTCTTATTTTTGTACATTTATTTACATGTGTTGGTGTCTTTAAAATTATTCTTTAATGTTATTTATAGAATGTGATGTGAAGTGAGGCTAGAACCTACCTGTCACAAAATAATGCAAAAACCGTCAACATATCATGGTATTTGAAGCTGCAACAACTGTTTATTGTGTTAGCATATTATATCCACTAACTTTTCACTGTAAATCAAGCACGCTGCGCCTAAGATGTATAATCTGTTGATATGCTTGACCTCCTGTTAATTTGTTGTCAGAAATCTGACAGACTAAGAGACAGAATAGTAAGCTTTGATGGGCATAGGTAGCTTCAATAGATCTGGTTCTCAGGGCTGGCAGGGTACTACATGGCATATAACTGATCATCTGAGCTGCCTGGGAGCATAGAGCTGCTTCTGCCAAAAGTGGGAGAAAAGAAGTGTTTAATTCTTGTGTGTTATTATGGAAAAAATTCCTCCTTTAAAGCAAATATGCTATCAGGGCTATGCAATGAAATACTAAAAAAAGCTATCTGCATTTCTGTTCAACATTGGTCACCTCGCTCAGAAAGTACAGGTGAAAAGTTTTAAGCTACAATGTTCTCCTTAAGCATAGAATGAGATTATCTCTTAACCACCCAGAAATGAGTAAGAATGGTATTTGTGATTTTAATTTGCCCTTGTTTCTAAAAGGAAAAGACACATTAAAAGATATGAGGGAGAAGCATTGAAAATAAGCAGTTAAGTCTTTTATTTATTCAGGTAATAAATATTTATTGAGCATTTGTGGTAGTCTCTAAAGAAAAAGTGTTAATCAAAAAATCAATAGTGAAGCAGTTAGTTCCTTGAATGGAACAGGAGGTCCCTAAAACCTTGGTTGGCAGTAAGGTAGTGAATAAATAATAACTTGGGCCCTGATATCAGATGTCCAGGGTGCAAACCCCTGCTTTGCCACTTAATAGCTATGTGACTGTGGGCAAATTGGTACTTTTACACCTCATTTTCCTAAGAGAATACTATCTACCGCATAGGATTGTTATGAGATTAATGAAATAATATATGCAAAGCTCTTAGAACAGTGACTGACACATTGTCATTACTCAGTAAATATTAACGAATATTCTCCAAAGTGATACGATATGTGATAATGGACTCTGAGTGTAGACTCTTCTACTTTATTAATAATAAGAAGAAAGCAGTTGAGATTAGAAAAGCTTGTAGTAAATTTTCATTCATCACAAAGTAATTGACAGACTCACCCTTTTATACTAAGGAAAGTATTTATTGAGATGGTCTCTTCAAAGGAAAGAAAAGCACTCCATCTAAAGTTGGGCAAAAAATGACCGCCAGTTGACACGGCTGAGTGAAGCAGGACCACAACACTCACTCCCCAAAAGCTAACAAAATGATCAAACAAGTAGCGCTAAAAAGAATGACAACCAGAAGTTCACCAGCAACAATAAAATATGGACAGGAATAGAACTTTAAACAAAGAAAATGCTAGAACTCTGAAAAATGGAACGTGTAGAAATAAACTGAATATTCTACTGCAGAATGTCATGGCTCCTAATAGCACATCCAGCCCTCAGAACAGTACTGAGAAAAGAAGATGAATCAACCAGAGTTTAAGCTTCCTCATTATGTGTCTGAATTTGGAAAGAAGTGGACAGAAGACATCAGAGGAAAATAAAGAAAACCCCTCAAGAATTACAACTCCCATATAATGCTGTGAGATCTCAACAAGTCTAGGAGCTTTTTTGGATCCTGAAATGAAGTTCATAGATGATAGAGTACATCTATAATTTTAAAGTCAACATGTTGTCCTAGTTGAATAGAAAAAATAAAAGTAATATATAATAAACTAATATTTTCAATGATATGTAACTGTTTGACCATGACTACACTAGAAGTAGTTAAATGATGCTGGCACTCGTATATAGAACTCATGAATGTGAGAACTATATGTGCAGATTGATATAGGTGTGTTATTCGGCAACGCAAATGCTACGGGTTGTGGTATTTCCATCAGTGACATAATTTTCCAAACACTGAACAGTTTTTCTGCACCAAAGTACTTGCATCCCTGGAAAATTGAGCCTGTTAAAATCTTGCCAAAGAAAAAAAAAACTTCGTATTTTATATGAAATGTTCTAGGATTGAGTAATTTTAAGCACGTTGTCCAACGTGTTTAACGTGTCTAATGAGACAGTTGAATGTTAATAGTTTCATTTTCTCATAGTAGGAAACAGAGCTTTTGTGAGGGACATGGTACAGTCTGTATCGTCAGGATCTGCCCTATTCATTACTACGAACATCTAGCATTCCTGGCCTTCACTCCTTAAAGCTAGTGGCATCTTTTACTGTCCCTCCCTCCGGTTGTGTTCTAGTTGTAAACGTCAAAGCATTATGTAGCAGTGAAAACCACAGGCTCTTGATTCAGACCACCTGTGTTCAAGTCAGAGTTCTGCGCTTTACAAATTAGAGACTTCGGGCAAGCCAGTTTACCTCCCAGTGCCTCCATTATTTTCATCTGTAAAATGATCATGCTACCTACCTCATAGGATTGTTGTTGGTATTAAATGATTAACAAACATGAAATGTTTATGACAGTACCTGATATGTACTAATAACTAAATATTTCCTGTTATCATTTTCATTACACGTACATCATTAGTGCAGCTTTATAAAGGAAATGAAGTGTGACCCAAGAAAACTGTGTTTTCTTCTTACTATTAAGGCTGTACATAGATATGCTGAAACATGAAAATTACTATGGATTCTACTTTAAAGAAAAAAGAGTGGGGATACTGCTGATTGTTGAAACCAAGGAAAGGGTGATTCAAAGTAATAGAATCAGTAGCTATAAAAATTGTGATCATGTGATTGAGTATAAATGATAAAAATAAGAAACCAAAACTAGAAGGTGGGGAAAGATGACAGGATGCATGGTAATTATTTTTTCGATGTAGGTAGGAAAACACTCCGTAATATGCAAAATTGAAACCGCTTTTGTTTTTGTTTTTAATGAAATGCAAACCTCTTAATGATTTGTATATACTCAAAGAACATCTATCTGATGTTTTGGAGGGTTTTTTATTTTTTGGTTTTAATTCCATTTCTTTTTCTTCAAAGTAAGATTATAGTCCCATTCTAAGGGATAATTTGTCTGTTTCTCTGTGTATCTGTCAGTGGTTACAGAAATGTCACGTTCACCATGGTTAACAGTTACTTTAGATGGAATGGTTTCAGAATGACTTGTTGATTGTTTTGGTTCTTTTCTGTAATGTTTAAATGTTTTATAATAATATAATGATAACTTTTTAAAACAAATTATTACTATAAAAATGAGCAAAAGGACTAGAACTGGAAAAATTAATTTATGGTATAACAAATCAGAATAGTGCTTACTCGTAGGAGAATTAGTGCTTATAAGGAAATACAAGAGTAGCTTCTGGGGTGCTGATAATGTTCTGTCTTTTGATCTGGGGGCTGTTACATGGGTGTATTCAGTTTATGAAAAATATCATTGAGCTTTGCACTTAAGATATGTGTACTTTATGTATATTCTACTTCAATAAAATATTTTTAAAAGTGGACAAATGATATAAACACATTATTCATAGAGGAGGAAATATAGATGATAATATGCGAAAAAGGTTCAGTGGTAGTAATGAAAAAATGTAGAATTAAAGAACCATCTTGCCTGTAACATTAGCAAAAATTACAAAAACCAACATCTGTTGTTGCTGAGGTATGCAATGAAGCAGGCATTATACACTGCTCCACTGGTAAAAGTATAAATTATGACATCATTCTGGATGGCAGTTGGGCCATCTGTATAAAAAGCCATCAAAATATGTATACCTTTTGACCAGGTAATCTCATGTCTAGATTCTTCTTCTAAGGAAATAATTAGAATTACACAGATTTATGTGCATGGTTGTTCAAACCTAAATGTCTAGTGATAGTAGTGATGGTTACAAAAAGTATGCAAAAACAATTTAAGGAATTTTGTACAATTATTAAGATGTTTTTATTACATATTTTAATAAGATAAAATATGGTATAATGTCAGATGGAAAAAAGGATACAAAATGTTATATATATAATCTAAATTTTGTAAAATTGTACAATTGTACTGTTTTCAAATACAAGGAAATTGAAAGAGTAGAAGAAACTGCATCATAATTTTAACAGCTTTTCTGAATGATGAGATTATGGATGTTTTATATTTAATTTTCTTCTGCATATTTTTAAATATTTTCCAGATTTTCTCTAATCAAGATGTAATACATCTATTACCCAAAAAGCAATACTTGTAAAATAGAAATGGAAAGCACATATATGAATGACGAGGATTCCTTTTTATTTGTTTGGGTCTTTTTCCTTTCCTTTTCCTTTTCCTCTTCCTTTTCTCTTCTTTTCTTTTTTTTTTTTTTTTTTTTTTTTTGACAGGGTCTGGCTCTGTCGCCCAGGTTGGAGTACATTGGTGTGATCTTGGCTCACTGCAACCTCTGCTTCCTGGGTTCAAGCCATCCTTCTACCTCAGCCTCCTGAGTAGCTGGGACTACAGCCACCTGCCACCACACCCTAATTTTTATATTTTTGTTGGTAGATATGGCTAATTTATTGGCTAATTTTTTAATTTTTGTTGGTAGAGCTAGGGTTTCACCATGTTGCCCAGGCTGGTCTCAAACTCCTGGGCTCAAGTGAGCCACCACACTCAACCAGATTCCTTTTTATTGACCCATCTGATATCTGTCTTTCTAGATCACCACTACTAATTAATTGGGTGATATTGAGCAAATCACTTGGTTTTTTTTCAACTATGAAATGATAGCAAGGCAGATTTCCATGTTTCCTTTTAACTCTGATATTCTATGTGTGTATGAACCTAAGATGGAATTTCAAATTAATGAAAATAATTTCACTGGGATAATTTGAATAAGTTTGTTAAAATAAAGAGATGAAACTTTTTTAGTTTAAATGATGACTTTCTAGTCCATCTATAATTTTTATTTATTCTAGTAAATGTTATTTGTTTTCCTTATGTATATTAGATTTTTTCAATTAACAAAATATTTACAGTGAAACCCAAAGAACAATTGCTTTTTCACAGCAAATATTTTTCTAATTAAAAAAGTCACTATTTGTTCCTATCCTTTTAATTATATATTCAGAACACAGAGATTTTAAAAAATAATGCCTGACAAACATTATTATCATTATAAGGAAAGGCTTTAGTTTTTTTAATAACTCTATAATAAATATTATTTATAAACACAGCATGTTTTAGTCTTGCCAGAGACTGGCCATTGGCCAACAGATAGCTCTATTGAGGGAACATTTTATTTCCTGCTGTAGTATCTGAGTGAACAAACCGGTTAACTTAGTAAATTTTTTTTAATGGATTATTATTTGGTCCTGAGTTTAAATCAAGACCTGCAAACACATAAACATCAATCCTTAAAATGTATGCTTCTTGCAGGGATGAAAAAAGAATAGGGGGAAAAAAGACAATTTTGTGTGTAAGAATAAATGTGAAATAAGAATAACTTGTTCACCTCTGGTATTAGAAATGTTGAGTGAAACTTTGATCTGTTGTGCTTTAAATTACTTTGTATATTTGGGTCACAAAAATTTTAAGTGAATAAAACAGTTAAAGTTAACTATTTTAGTGTATGTTCTGCTTTAACTGGTAAACATCAACATGAAACCTTGACTCATCCTTTGCGTTTTTTGTTTCTTATCAAACTAGTTGTGTAAGAAAATATATTTATTTACTCACTATTTAAGATTATGTTTTTATGGAAAAATCAGAGTCTGACCTTCCTAGGTTAATAGGTTCTCAACGTGGCCGGGCGCGGTGGCTCACACCTGTAATCCCAACACTTTGGGAGGCCGAGGCAGGTGGGTCAGCTGAGGTCAGGAGTTCGAGACCAGCCTGGCTAACATGGTGAAACCCCGTTTCTACTAAAAATATAAAAAATTAGCCTGGGGTGGTGGCGTGTGCCTGTAATCCCAGCTACTTGGGAGGCTGAGACAGGAGAATTGCTTAAACCCGGAAGGCGGAGGTTGCAGTGAGCCAAGATCGCGCCACTGCACTCCAGCTTGAGCAACAAGAGCGAAACTCCGTCTAAAAAAAAAAAAGGGTTCCCAAGGCAATCCCCAAATGTCATAATACCATAATGGAGATATACTATCTGTGATTCTTTAACACCTAATAACAAGTCAGAGGTTTTCTGTGGAAATACACTTTTAGAGTTCCACCTTAAAATGCTAAGAACTCATTTAGAAAGACAGAGTGACATTTGTGAAATGCATTGAATCTGGAGCCCAAAGACCTGGTTTTCACCCTTGCCTGAGCTGTGTTTATTATCATTGTGACTTTGAGCAGTTCTTTGACTTGCGTAAACTTCCGTTTTTTAATTTACAAAATGGAGATAATACTTTTCCCAAACACTTTTTTTGTTATGAAAATCAAATGAAATAATGATCCCGAAAATGTTTGAATTCTATTCTGTAGCTGTAAACCCTGAAATCTAGTCCAATGGCAAAATGAAATAATGATCCTGAAAATGTTTGAATTCTATTCTGTAGCTGTAAACCCTGAAATCTAGTCCAATGGCCGTGGAACAAGTGGAATAGTGATTTGGCAACAGATAATAGATTCAGATTTGAGGATCTTGGCCTGGATGTAGACTATAGGAGGAAGGATTCAGTCAAAATTGGGATTGACAGGGTAGAGAGGCTCCAAGGCCTTTATGTTCAGTAATAACATAGGGTTGATGTCACCTATTCCATTTCTTTCCCTTCCTCCCGCCCTCAAATTGGATACTAGAACTATGCAGGAAAAGCGACTCAGTGAAACAAAAAACATAAGGTCCTCAGGAAGCACCAGGATCTGCAGAATCAGGGACTGAAAAACCCTTATTGTACAGAAAGGATTATTGCTTAGTCTGCCCAGCAAAGTTGGCCATTTTTGTACTGGGCATATCTAAATCAGGCAGAAGTCACTGCACGCCAAACCTGAAAGCTTGTGATGGGATTATAACTGTTTTTTTTTTTTATTGCAAAGAATTCATACTAAAAGTAAATATCAGTTTGCTCTAAAATGTTTGGGATTGATTTCATAATTTTTCTGTTCCTCAGAACTTAAAAGGGAAAAGAAAGTTAAATTTCTTGAGTACCTTCAGTGTCTTACCGAGTTAAGGAAAAAACTACAGATAGTTATATTCCTAAAGTAATGTAAAAGGAGCAGTGAGTGGTACATGCTATTCCTTAATAACAAACTTTTTTTGTTTCCTATATACCTCTTTAATACAACCAAGGATAGTGTTACAGTAATTCACACGTTCTATAAAATAATGAAGTATGCCGGGTGCGGTGGCTCACGCCTGTAATCCTGGCACTTTGGAAGGCCGAGGCGGGCGGATCACGAGGTCAGGAGATCGAGACCATGGTGAAACCCCGTCTCTACTAAAAATACAAAAAAAATTAGCCGGGCGCAGTGGCGGGCGCCTGTAGTCCCAGCTACTCGGGAGGCTGAGGCAGGAGAATGGCGTGAACCCGGGAGGCGGAGCTAGCAGTGAGCCGAGATCGCGCCACTGCACTCCAGCCTGGGCGACAGAGCAAGACTCCGTCTCAAAAAAAAAAAAAAAAAAAAAAAAATGAAGTAATGCTGTGAAAAATAGGCTCGGCAGGAATTTGCACGTCTTGCATCCAAGTATGTCTCTTCCTTGTGTCGTATTCTGTGCTGAAGAAAACATTAGCATGCCATGAACTGAAGCCAAATATCAGTGGGTTAAGCCATCTCTCATCTTGTTCTTTGCCTTCTCTTCTTTAAGACTAGGGAATTGGTTATTGGATAATGCTCCCAAGTCTGGCCAATAATAACTCAAGAGTACCCTGAATCAACATCTATGGCTTTTCCCTAAACCCTGATCTTAGGGCCATCCATTTGTATTTTGAAATGATCAAGCTATCCTTTACTCCAGCTGAAAACTTACTTACCTGATACTTCATCAGGTCTGCTCACAGGTGTATCAAAGAGAGACGGTACCTTTGGTGAAACCATTGTTTAGCTGGTTTTCACTTCATCCAGTTACCAGCCAATCAAAAGTTTTTCCACCGATCATATTTTCATACCATTGATTGTATTAACCTAGTTTAAATCAAATCTAAAATATGTGTGCTTATTACAATTATTGAATGGTTGCATGTGAGGGTTGTTGGGTTTTGTAAAACAGGAAGCTTATTTTTAAAATTTTTAAAGTGGTGAAAAGTAGGCTTCTCTAAAAATTAGTTTTAACAGTGTGTTTGCAAAAAAAAAAAAAAAAAAAAAAAAATTGGAGGCATACCCAGTGGGTATTTCAGAGAGTAATTTGGAAATATTCACTCTAGTTGAATAATGTATTCTCCATGACTCACTAATCGATGTGGCTACACATGAAAACATGCAAGAATGTTCACCGACACATTGTAAGAGCAAAAAAAAAAGAAAAAGAAAAAAAAAAAAGAAAATTGGAAACTACATCTATCACTAGAATAGATACATAAATTGTGGCATGCATATACAATGGAATACTGTGCCAGTTGTTAAAATGAATGAACTGGAAATACCTGTTAGACAAATCTCAAAAACAATAGTAAGAAACATCACAGGCTGGGCACAGTGGCTCACACCTGTAATCCCAGCACTTTGGGAGGCTGAGGCAGGCGGATTGCTTGAGCCCAGGAGTTCCAGA
This sequence comes from Homo sapiens, assembly GCF_000001405.40. Lineage (NCBI taxonomy): Eukaryota > Metazoa > Chordata > Mammalia > Primates > Hominidae > Homo > Homo sapiens. The sequence goes on along the minus strand of NC_000005.10, from coordinate 78,080,224 downwards.
CCAGCCTGGTCAACATGACAAAACCCCATCTCTATAAAAAATACAAAAATTAGCAGGGCATGGTGGCACACACCTGTGGTTCCAGCTACTCGGGAGGCTGAGGTGGGAGGATCACTTGAGCCTAGGAGGCTGAGATTGTCAAGAGCCAGGATCGCACCACTGCACTCCAGCCTGGGTGACAGAGTGAGACCTGTCAAATAAATAAATAAATAGGAAAATTACAAAAGAATACATAGGAAGCCATTTGTAGAAAGTATAAAAGTATTTAGAATTATTTAATTGATGGATGCATACATATGTGGAAAATGTTTAAAACCATACTTGCAACTGGCGAACACCAAATCCAAATTCTGGTTACCTCTGATGCCAGAAGCAAAAAGGAAAGCAATCTGGGATGGGTATACTTGTGATTGTCATTCAGATTTTTAAAGTTTTACTCATGATGCTCGATGGGGGAGGGATGTTGGATTTTGTTTTTGTTTTAATCTATTCTTTATACTTCTTTGCCTGAATTATTTTATATACAGGTTTTTATAAATGTGAGCTACATTAAATATATACTAAAATCCAAAGTATAACTAAAATAAAACTATCAATAGTACACTTAATACTTGAGTCCGGGTTTTGTGCTTCCAAATTCTATTCCTTTTCTTCCATATCTTTCTGCTTTCCTTTAGAATTATATACTAAATCAATCTTTGTATATACCGTATGTGGTAAACTCCTTAGAATTATTTAATTAATGAACTGCATTTATATGTCCTGTAAAATCTTATTTGCTCCATGGTAGGTCTTTTGCTTCTTAGATGGTGCAAACTTAGTCCATCCTTCATTCCATGCTTAATTTTCTTAAATTCTCAATTAGAGTTCAGATTAATGAGGGTTTTATTTCTGTAAAATTCTTTTGTAAAAAAGAAAATGTCTTAAGATTCCTGTTCCAAGGAATTATATAAGAAAATTGTAATGAAATAGAAATATTTCAACCCTTTAGATTTTATTTCAAAAAAAAATGTTAACTTATGTTAGCCATGTAGTTGATTGTGGATGGTACCTTTTTAAAAAACATTCAGTAAGAAGAATTGACAGTATTCTAACATGAGTTTAAAGCAGGATTTGCCTTTGGCAAAGCCAGACACAGATGGTCTGACTTTCAGATGGTGGAATACTAGCTGTATTACTTAAGGCTTGCATTTTGCAATGTATTCATGAATATAGTCAATAAAAATTTGCAATACCTAAGAGCTTTCATATCTGAAATCTGTAAGGCAGGTAACAACACATGTTCCCCTAATGTTTATGTTGTTCATAGATACCAGTGAGATTCTCTAGATATTTGCATTCTAACATACATGCAGACTGAAAGGCTTTATTATAGCTTAATTTCATTTACTTAAAAGCTTTATTGAACACAGTATGACTAAATCACTATGCTAGGAATTACAGATAACAGGTTAATAAAACATAGTCCCTTCCTAAGGGAGCTCACAGTTTAGTGAATGAAAAAGACTAGAAAACTTCATTATAGGAGTACAGACAAGGGAGCAAGTAATTCTGCAAAGAGTGCCTATCAATATGGACTTGGATAGCGATATTTGTGTTGGGTCTTGGAGAATGATTGAGTTTACCAACAGGGAAGAAGAGGAGATGCGTATTTCAGCCCAGGGAATGGCCAGATGAAAGAGAGAAGATAAAATGTATATTATGTTTTTGCCAAATTCTGTAGCTAGATATAGCTAGTGTACAAAATGTATGTTTTGGGGGAGAGAGAAGTAGCTACTGGTTGAAAGCCATATTGTGAAACAGTTGAAAGGAGTTCTGAAGATTTTAGAGCAGGTTATTGATAGTGATCAGATCTTTGTTTTATAAAGTTGTGTGAAAGATTAATTGGATAGGAAGAGAACAAAGGAAGAATTTGGTAACTTTTAGGTAGATAACTGAGATTTGCACCGGAATGATTATCTGGATAGTGGTACCCAGTTAACCAAGATAGAAAATAAGGAAGAGGAAAGGACAATGACATTGAAATTTTCTTTGGAACATGTTACTCTGAGGTGCTTTTGGAACATCAAGTTAGAGATGTCCAGTAAGAAGGTAAAATCCATTCTGGATTTTAGTGAAAAATTAGGGCCAACTAATTAGAATACAAGCATGTGCACATGTGTGTGCATACACACACATCCTAAAGCCATCAGGTTATGGGTAATGGTTTAAGGTAGGGGAACAGAAGGGAAACCTTGTGGGTGAGAAGAGACAACTGAAGATGGAATCCTAGGGAACATCATGCTTTAGAAGACAACAAAGAAAAAAGCCAAATAAAAGCAGTGAAAGAAGGAGGTGAGTCATAGAGCAGCGTGTTATGAGGAAACTCACAGGTTACTGAGGGAAATAGTCAAATCATTAATGTAGTAAGTGCTGAACTAGAGACAAATCCACCAAGTTCTCCTGGGTGACAAAGATCTCTTAGAGAAGATATACATATGTAACCTTGGAACTGAGTCTGGAAGATGAGTTTGCCTAGGTGGCTGGAGTAGAAGAATGACGCTCCTAGAAGAGGAACTAGTATACCTGAAGGCTTGGGGTGTGGAAGAACTGGAGTATTGCTGAAACAGTATTTCAATGTAGGGTTTAAGTATAACATGTGTAACCAGATCTGATACTTGAGAAGTATGTTGGTGACGCACTGTCATGGGAAAATTGTAGTAATGATTCCTTAACTTGTTTTCCAATCTTTTTGTGTGCCGGTACATGTAGAAAAGTGGCAATACCTGTAATGCATTCTAGGGTAAACAATGCTGAAGGAGGTTGGAGGCACCCAGTCTAGGAGCTCCAGCTACCACAGACCCCAGTTGGCCTTGGGGATTCATGGGGGGCAGTATCGCAGCACACCTCTGACCCATTTGTGGCAAATTAGTGAGGGAGCTCTGACTTAGCTACCATAAAGATAACAGATTTGATCCTTGTGGATCACAAACCCTAAGTGGAATTTAATTTTGGACAGTACAGGAAGGCTCATTAAGAAAAGTGATCATTTCAAAATGCAAAAGTGGTACACTGAGGAATAGTAAGGAATTTCAAGAACAATCCATGAAACAAACAAAAAGGCCTAATTTGTTGTTGTATGCCTCTTGGAGGTAGCCAAACTCAAGGTTAAAGGCACAGTCCTCCAGACTAAGTTGGCCCAAGATTTCTGACACCAGCTGTAACTTTACGGATTTCCCAAAACCACTCTCTAGTTCAGTAATTTTCTAGAACAACTCAGAGAACTCAGAAAAGCACTGTGCTTAGGATTACAATTTTAGCAAAATGATTCAAATTAGAACCAGCCAAACGAAGACACACCTAGGGCAGATTCTAGGAGGGTTCCAAATGTGAAACTTTTGGGTTACCCTACTGGCATGAAAATCTGGCAATATGCATGGACTATTGCCAGCCAGGGAAGCTCACTGAACCTTGACATCCAGAGTCTTTATTGAGGCTTCATCATATAGCCTTGATTGTTTGAAATATTGCCACATGGTTGAACTCTAGCCACATAGTTGAACTCAGTCTCCAGCCCTCCCCTGTCTCTAGAGGTCAGGCTGATATTAAGTAGCTCAACGCCCCAACCCTCTAATCACATGGTTGGTCTTTCTATCTTGGCCAGCCTTATCCTGAGTTATCTCCTTAGCATAAGCTATCTGAGGGACCTGTCATGAGTCACCTCAGTGGCATAAATTATCAGGTGTGGTCCCAAAGGGCCCACCATGAATAACAAAGACACTTTTATCACTGGGGAAATTCCAAGGGTTTAGAGGTCGCCCCTCAAGAGCTAAGAGAAAGTCCTAAGCCTCTTTAGGTTAGGTCAAATTCCTTACTACACATATGCCAATTAAGTGTTTTATTCATCCAACATGTATTTATTCAGACCAGAATATGAAGCCATGGATATAGTGGTAAACAAGATGGGAAAGCTTCTTGCCCTGAGAAAGTTTATAGTTGACTGGGAAAATAAAGAAAAATTGCCTCAAAGTATGTAATTACAGTATACCAAGTGCTCTCCTTTTTGTAACAGTTTTGCCCATTTGGAAGTATCCGTAGATACAAGTTGTCTTTATTTGTCATTATTTCTCTGGTTATGAACATAAACACTATTATTTGATATTTGCTAAATTCCACATTTCCACCTTTTTTCCTCTGTACCATTATAACTTAAAACCTAAAAGAGTTACTTTCAATATTTGACACAGCTTAAGATTTAGATACCTGAACTACTCTTCTCCTTTAGCAAGAAGTAGAAGGATGATTTTCATAGTCCGTACTCTTCGCCGTTTGCTTTCCTTGAATTACCATTGAGGACCATCACTTTGTCACTTGATGACCATGCCAGGGTGAAGCTAGCATGGAATATCAGTAGCTAGCATGGAATTTCCTATGACCAGCAAAAAGATGACGTTAAGTTTGGCAGCATGACCAAGAAGCCCTGTACTCATGCCCCTCAGCTCCCCATGGATTTATAGGCCGAAGGATAGGAAGAAGCAACCCCATTTGTAATCCACTTGAATTTGGGCACCCAGAGTGGTACAAAGAAAAGCCACAAAGCAAATGTAGCTTCTGCAGTTTTTATCATTTGTCCTATCAGGTTCCTTATCAAAGGAATATGGGAAATTGGCTAGCAAGTAGTCTTACGGATTTTTGCTATTGTCGAAAATTGGCAGCCAGTGGAGTTACAACTCTTCCGTGAGTTAGGGATAAGTCCCTGACCCAGTTTGTGTTGTAGGAACTCAACTGGGAAACAGAAGACTCTTATCAGGCCTTTCCTTTGTTTTGGTATGGAAGTCACTCTGTTGGTTTTAAAACAATAATAAGAAAAAAACAAACCATAATTCATGAAGAAGTATCTGATTCACTCCATCTGAAATCTACTAAAACAGTATTTGGAATTATTAGGATAATTGTGCATTATAATAGTAACTATTGTGATTGAAGTTAGTTGCATTGTATTTAGGATTTCAGTTTCTCTTGAGTAGTCTTATCTTAGATATATCCTCCCCAACCACCCCCCTACCAGTTCTCCTCACTCTCTTTTAATTGCTACTAGGGTATTTTAGTTTTGTTTTCCAATCTCTTATATTGGCAGAGTGCTAGACTTTTTTCAAGTTGGTCTGCAAGGAGAGATTGCTTTGAGGGACGTCTTTGTTGAATATGTACGTTTACTAAGTTATATGCCAGACATTTCATGAATATGTGATCTCATTCAAAAAATTATATGATAAAGTTTTTCTAATATAGTAGAAGAATCATCTTTTTTTTTTGAGACAGGGTTTTGCTTTTGTTGCCCAGGCTGCAGTGCAGTGGCGCAATCTCAGCTCACCGCAACCTCCGCCTCCCAGGTTCAAGCAGTTCTCCTGCCTCAGCCTCCTGAGGCATGTGCCACCACGCCCGGCTAGTTTTGTATTTTTAGTAGAGATGGGGTTTCTCCATGTTGGTCAGGCTGGTCTCGAACTCCTAACCTCAGGTGATCCACCTGTCTCAGCCTCCCAAAGTGGTGGGATTACAGGCATGAGCCACCGTGCCCGGTGAAGAACTATCTTTAAAAAAATTTTTTTTTTCCATTTTATAAAGTTAAGGTATATTCAGGCCCCAGGCTAAGAGACAAGTCCAGCTAAGATCAAATTCCTTTGAGTTTGGAAGAGGGAGAAATTGTAAGTCAAAATTAAAAATAATTTTGTCATTTTAAATTTAGGAAAAATCCTTTATTTGTTCTGATGAAAATGTCAGTAGTCATGGAACTGTGGTAAAAATAATGAAAAATCACTGGCCTGGGTCTGCTTCAATTGAAAACATTTTTAAATTAAAGTGTGACAGTATTTTGTGCTTCCATTGCCTAGCCATGCCCCATCTTATTCTTTTATTCAATTCTCTGGGTATGAGGTTGCTTTAATTCTTAAATTAAACCTTAAGGTATGTCATCCTGCTGCTTGATCTTTCTATTTCTATGCTACTTCTGAGGTACTCATAACAGACCATTTTCATCTCTCCTTTTCCTAGATTACTAAAAGGAGCTACTTTTTAAAAAGAGATTGTTATTAATTTTTAGTTGGAATTTTTTTATTGCAAAATATTTTTAATTGGCTTAAGCAAATATGTGCCAGTTTGTCCTAACTGGCGGATAGTACTCATAATGTTAGTTGTTAGTATTTTAGTAAAATTCCCCACAGTGACAAATCCGCTGAATCAGATGCTAATTATAGTTATTAATGAACTAGCAATTATTTGTGGCAAAAAACCCAGGTCACCCAAAAAAACAAAGGAAACATGCACACAGATCTGCAAGAAATTGAAGGATTAAAGAGGTTGTGATAAAGAAAGCCTTAGGCCTTTCGACTTCCCTTCCTCCTCCTTTGTGGTAAGTAGTTCTGCTGGCTGTGAGTTCACTTGTTTCAGAGCTGAGAGTTCACTGAACATCTATCCACTTTTCCCTAAGATTATGATTTTTAGCTTTTAATTATTATTATTAAATATACCACAGTAGGAAATAAGATGATTTTTAAAATATAATTTATTTAAAAATGTAATATGTTTTTAAAAGATTCATCTTTTATGGCAGTTTTGTCATCTTCGGTGAAAATATGTAAATAAATGAGTTTCTGAAATTCTATCTTTTAAAAAACAGTTCATAGTCTGAAATTATGCATTTAAAAAAGGCAGTTCATAGTCACACAAATTTGATGGAATTTTGTGTGACTATGAATTGCTATATTTCAAATTTTGTTGCTACTGTTGAATTGTGGTATTGAAATGAAAAATATAGTTTTTAAGCATTATGGTATCTTAGATTATGCATTGGTCAATCATATAGCAAATATTATTTAATTACATGTCAGCCAAGTTAACTTCTGTTACCACTGTTCCCCTTAAAAACAGTGCCAAATTTTTTTCTGAACACAGGGCAGGGCATGGTATGGAAATTAATAATTCTTATTCTAATAGTATTAAATCTCTTAACATGAGAAACCTGACCTAAACATGGAAGATGTTATGATATTTACAAAACCTTTATTTCTCTTCGAAGGAAGAGAAACGAATTTAGCTGTAGAATACATGTCCAATGAACACTAAGAATTGATTACCACTGACAAGAGAGTATGGAGTAAAAACAAGTACAGTATATAACCCTAATATCAAAGAAAAGTAAAAACCACTTAACTTAGAATATATCAGACGTGGGCTGGGCGTGGTGGCTCACGCCTGTAATCCCAGCACTTTGGGAGGCCGAGGCAGGCAGATCACGAGGTCAGGAGTTCAAGACCAGCCTGAACAACATGGTGAAACCCTGTCTCTACTAAAAATACAAAAATTTGCCGGGCATGGTGGCTTGTGCCTTTAATCCCAGCTACTCAGGAGGCTGAGGCAGGAGAATTGCCTGAACCTGGGAGGTGGAGGTTGCAATGAGCGGAGATTGCACCATTGCACTCCAGCCTGGGTGACACAGTGGGACTCCATCTCAAAAAAAAAAAAAAAAAAAAAAAAAAAGAATATATCAGACACATTGTTACTCAAATCATTCAGGGAATATAATTATATACAGCTTTTATAAGCCTATCAGTAAGTGTTTTTCCTTAAATTTGCAGCTGTTTTTCATTACTGAATTTATGACTTTTCCCCTCCAAATGTTAATATGGAAAATCTGCTTTACACCTCTGTACAAATAATACTCCCCCCAAAAAACAAAACAGAAAATTTCAGCAAATTCCAATTCAGAAGGCATATACCTTTAGATTAAGAGAGATTTAAAAGCGATACCAGCCAAATGTGTTCATCTTGCTTGAATTGTGATTATCTCTAAAATGATATGCGTGAAATGGCCAAGGAAATGTGAATACTGTATTTTAGGTGAAATTAGAGGAATTTTTGTTTTATATCATTTTTAGATGTGATAATATTGTATGTTTTCTTTCAAAATCTTTATCTGTTACATATACAAACCAAAGTATTTACTGATGAAATAATACATGGAATTTGCTTTTCAATAATTCAGAAGTTGAGTAAAAGATTAGATTAAACAAGATTGGCTAATGTTGGTAATTTTGAAATTTAGTGCTCAGTATCTAGTTGTTCATCATATCAGTGTCCCTGCTCCTGTATACATTTGAAAATTTTTCATAATGCGTTTTTAAGTGCGTAATTTCAGAAACTCATTCATTTACATATTTTCACTGAAGATTTGACATTCATGCTTCATAGAATATGTGACCTGACAAAATATCTTGTAAATATAAACTAGTACATCAAAGTTTACATTCAGTTCAGGCTGTTAGCTATGAAATTAGGGAACAGGATTCTAGAGTCCCTTCCAGCTCTAAAATTTCTAGAAATCTAAAGAAAGTAAGTGGAGAGACTTCAAATGGCTTCAGTAAACATCATCAGCATAGGGGAAGGGTTGCCTTGTCTTTTACATTAGAAATATAGATGTAATAATATTGGAGTCTGGGTTTCTGGAAGATAGAACAGGACCTTTTTTTATTCCCAGTGCTTAATACATAATAGGTGCTCATCAAATGTGTTTGGAATGAATTAACCCTTCCTATTTTCCAGAGTCATCAGTATAGAACCCATTAACACTGCTGTCAGTTTAAAGAACTCCATTGGTGTTTGAGTGTTTATTTATTTTTATTTTATTTATTTTAAGTTCCAGGATACATGTGCAAGATGTGCAGGTTTGTTACATAGGTAAACATGTGCTGTGGTGGTTTGCTGCAGTATCAACCCATCACCTAGGTATTAAGCCCAGCATGCATTAGCTATTTATCCTGATACTCCCCCTCCTCCCGTGCCCCCTGACAGGCCCCAGTGGGTGTTGTTCCATTCCCTGTGTCCATGTGTTCTCATTGTTCAGCTCCCACTTATAAGTGAGAACATGCGGTGTTTGGTTTTCTGTTCCTGTGTTAGTTTGCTGAGGATAATAACTTCCAGCTCCAGCCATGTCCCTGTGAAGGACATGATCTTGTTCCTTTTTATGGCTGCATAGTATTTCATGGAATATATGTACCATATTTTCTTTATCCAGTCTATCATAGATGGGCATTTGGGTTGATTCCATGTCTTTGTTGTTGTGAATAGTGCTGCAATGAACATATGTGTGCATGGATCTTTATAATAGAATTATTTGTATTCCTTTGGGTATATACCCAGTAATGGGATTGGTGGGTCAAATGGTATTTCTGCCTCTAGATCTTTGAGGAATAACCTCATTGTCTTCCACAATAGTTGAACTAGTTTACATTTCCACCAACAGTGTAAAAGCATTCCTATTTCTTCATAGCTTCGCCAGCATCTGTCGTTTCTTGACTTTTTAATCGCCATTCTGACTGGCATGAGATGGTATCTCATTGTGGTTTTGCTTTGCATTTCTCTAACGATCAGTGATATGGAGCTTTCTTTCATGTTTGTTGGCCACATAAATATCTTCTTTTGAGAAGTGTCTGTTCATGTCCTTTGCCCACTTTTTAATGTTTTTTTTTTTGTTTTTTTCTTGTTAATTTGTTTAATTTCCTTTTAGATTCTGGATATCAGACCTTTGTCAAATGGATAGATTGCAAAAATCTTCTCCCACTCTGTAGGTTGCTTGTTCACCCTGATGATAGTTTCTTTTGCTGTGCAGAAGCTCTTTAGTTTAATTAAATCCCATTTGTCAATTTTTGCTTTTGTTGTAGTTGCTTTTGACGTTTTCATCATAAAATCTTTGCCTGTGCCTATGTCCTAAATGATATTGCCTAGATTTTCTTCTAGGGTGTTTACAGTTTTGGGTTTTACATTTTAGTTTTTTTTTTTTTTTTCTTGAGATGGAGTCTTACTCTGTTGCCCAGGCTGGAGTGCAGTAGCGTGATCTCTGCTCACTGCATCCTCTGCCTCCTGGGTTCAAGCAATTCTCCTGCCTCAGCCTCCCAAGTATCTGGGATTACAGGTGTGCACCACGATACCTGGCTAATTTTTGTATTTTTAGTAGATACGGGGTTTCACCATGTTGGCCAGGCTGTTCTTGAACTCCTGACCTCAGGTGATCCGCCTGCCTCAGCCTCCCAAAGTGCTGGGATTGCAGGTGTGAGCCACGGTGCCCAATCACATTTAAGTTTTTATTCCATCTTGAGTTAATTTTTGTATAAGGTGTAAGGAAGGGGTCTAGTATCAATTTTCTGGATATGGCTAGCCAGTTTTCCCAGCACCTTTTATTAAATAGGGAATCTTTCCCTATTGCTTGTTTTTGTCCGTTTTGTCAAAGATCAGATGGTTGTAGATTTATGGTCTTATTTCTGAGTTCTCCATTTTGTTCCATTGGTCTATGTGTCTGTTTTTGTACCAGTACCAGTCTATTTGGGTTACTGTAGCCTTGTAGTATAGTTTGAAGTCAGGTAGAGTGATACCGCCAGCTTTGTTCTTTTTGCTTAGGATTGTCTTGGCTATACGGGCTCTTTTTGGTTCCATATGAATTTTAAAGTAGTTTTTACTAATTTTGTGAAGAATGTCAATGGTAGTTTAATGGGAATAGCATTGAATCCATGAATTACTTTAGGCAGTATGGCCATTTTCATGATATTGATTCTTCCTATCCATGAGCATGGAATGTTTTTCCATTTGTTTGTGTCCTCTCTGATTTCCTTGAGCAGTGGTTTGTAGTTCTCCTTGAAGAGATCCTTCACTTCCCTTGTTAGCTATATTCATAGGTATTTTACTCTCTTTGTAGCAATTGTGAATGGGAGTTCATTCATTATTTGGCCCTCTGCTTTTCTGTTGTTGGTGTATAGGAATGCTTGTGATTCTTGCACATTGATTTTGTATACTGAGACTTTGCTAAAGTTGGTTATCAGCTTAAGAAGCTTTTGGGCTGAGATGATGGGTTTTCTAGATATAAGATCATGTCATCTGCAAACAGAGGCAGTTTGACTTCCTCTCTTCCTATTTGAATACTCTATTTCTTTCTCTTGCCTGATTGACCAGAACTTCCAATACTATGTTGAATAGGAGTGGTGAGAGAGAGCATCCTTGTCTTGTGCTGGTTTTCAATGGGAATGCTTCCAGCTTTTGCCCATTCAGTATGATAATTGGCAGTGGGTTTGCCATAAATGGCTCTTAATTATTTTGAGGTATGTTCCATCAATACCTAGTTTATTGAGAGTTTTTAACAGGAAGGAATATTGAATTTTGTCAAAGGCCTTTTCTGCATCTATTGAGATAATCCTGTGGTTTTTGTCTTTAGTTCTATTTATGTGATGAATTATGTTTATTGATTTGCATAGGTTGAACAAGCCTTGCATGCTGGGGATGAAGCTGACTTAATCATGGTGGGTAAGCTTTCTGACGTGCTGCTGGATTTGATTTGCCAGTATTTAATTGAGGATTTTTGCATTGATGTTCATCAGGGATATTGGCCTGAAGTTTGCTTTTTTTTTTGTTGTTATCTCTGACAGGTTTTGGTATCAGGATGATGCTGTCTTCATAAAATGAATTAGTGAGGAATCCCTCCTTTTCAATTGTTTGGAATAGTTTCAGAAGAAAGGTTATCATCTCCTCTTTATATTTCTGGTAGAATTCAGCTGTAAATCCATCTGGTCCTGGGCTTTTTGGGGTTGGTAGGCTATTTATTACTGCCTCAATTTCAGAACTTGTTGATCTGTTCAGGGATTCAACTTCTTCCTGGTTCAGTCTTGGTATTTACCCATTTCTTCTAGATTTTCTAGTTTATTTGCATAGAGGTGCTTATAGTAGTCTCTGATGGTTGTATTTCTGTGGGGTCAGTGGTAATATCCCCTTCATTATTTTTTATTATATCTATTTGATTCTTCCTCCTGCTCCTCCTCCTCTTCCTTCTTCTCCTTCTCCTTCTCCTTCTTTCTTCTTCTTTCTGCTTTCTTCTTCTTCTTCTTTTAGATGGAATTTTGCCCTTGTTGCCCAGGCTGGAGTGCAATGGCATGATCTTGACCCACTGCAACCTCCACCTCCGGGGTTCAAGCGATTCTCTTGCCTTAGCGTCCCGATAGCTGGGATTGCAGGCATGTGCCACCATGCCCAGCTAATTTTGTATTTTTAGTAGAGATGGGGTTTCTCCATGTTGGTCAGGCTGGTCTCCAACTCCTGACGTCAGGTAATCTGCCCACTTTGGCCTCCCAAAGTGCTGGGATTACAGGTGTGAGCCACCACACCAGGCCTCTTTTCTTCTTTATTAGTCTAGCTAGTGGTCTCTTTTATTAATTTTTTTCAAACAACCAGCTCCTGGATTCATTGATTTTTTTTTTTTCGAAGGGTTTTTCATGTGTCTGTCTCCTTCAATTCTGCTCTGATCTTGGTTATTTCTTGTCTTCTGCTAGGTTTGGGGTTTGTTTGCTCTTGGTTCTCTAGTTCTTTTAGTTATGATGTTAGGATGTCAATTTGAGAGCTTTCTAGCTTTTTGATGTGGGCATTTAGTGCTATAAATTTCCCTCTTAACACTGCTTTGGCTGCATCCCAGAGATTCTGTTACATTTTCTCTTTGTTCTCATTGGTTTCAAAGAACTTCTTGATTTCTGCCTTAATTTTTTACCCAGGAGTCAATCAGTAGCAGGTTGTTCAATTTCCATGTAGTTGTGTGGTTTCGAGTGAATTTCTTAACCTTGAATTCCAATTTGATTGCGCTATAGTCTGAGAGACTGTTAAGATTTCACTTATTTTGCATTTGCTGAGGAGTGTTTTACTTCCGATGATGTGATCGATTTTAGAGTAAGTGCCATGTGGCACTGAGAAGAATGTATATTCTGTTGTTTTGGGGTGGAGAGTTCTGTAGATATCCATCAGATCCACTTGATCCGGAGCTGAGTTCAAGTTCTGAATTATCTTCTTAAATTTTGTGTCTCGATGATCTGTCTAATATTGACAGTGGGATATTAAAGTCACCCACTATTATCATATGGGAGTCTTAAGTCTCTTTGTAGGTTCTGAGAGCTTGTTTTATGAATCTGGGTGCTCCTATATTAGGTACGTGTATATTTAGGTTAATTAGCTCTTCTTGTTGAATTGAGCCTTTTACCATTATGTAATGCCCTTCTTTGTCTTTTTTGATCTTTGTTGGTTTAAAATCTGTTTTGTCAGAAAGTAGGATTTCAACCCCTGCTTTTTTCTGCTTTTCATTTGTTTGGTAGATTTTTGAAGCTTAGTTTGGCCAGATATGAAATTCTGGGTTGGAAATTCTTTTCTTTAAGAATGTTGAATATTGGCCTCCATTCTCTTCTGGCTTGTAGGGTTTCTGTGAGAGGTCTGCTGTCAGTCTGATGGGCTTCCCTTTGTAGGTGATCTGGCCTTTCTCTCTGGCTGCGCTTACACTTTTTCTTTCATTTCGACATTGGTAAATCTGACGATTAGTGTCTTGGGGTCGATCTTCTCACGGAGTATCTTACTGGGGTTCTCTGGATTTTCTGAATTTGCATGTTGGCCTGTCTTGCTAGGCTGGGGAAGTTTTCCTGGATGATATCCTGAAGTATGTTTTCCAACTTCTTCCATTCTCCCCATCTCTTTTAGGTACCCCAATCATTCATAGGTTAGGTCTTTTTACATAATCCCATAATTCTTGGAGGTTTTGTTTGTTCCTTTTCATTCATTTTTCTCTAATTTTGTCTGCCTGTCTTATTTCAGCAAGATAGTCTTCAAGCTCAGAAATTCTTTCCTCCGGTTGGTCTGTTTGGCTATTGATACTTGTGGGTTGCATTGTGAAGTTCTCATGTTGTGTTTTTCAGTTCCTTCAGGTCATTTATATTCCTGCCTAAACTGGTTATTCTGGTTAACAGCTCCTGTAGTGTTTTATCACGGTTCTTAGCTTCTTTGCATTGGGTTAGAACATGCTCCTTTAGCTCAGCAAAGTTCGTTATTACCCACCGTCTAAAGCCTACTTCTGTCAGTTCATCCATCTCAGCCTCAGCCCAGTTCTGTACCCTTGCTGGAGAGGTGTTGTGGTAATTGGGAGGAGAAGAGGCACTCTGGCTTTTTGAGTTTCCAGCAGTTTTTCATTGATTCTTTCTCATCTTTGTGACTTTACCTCCAATCTTTGAGGCTGCTGACCTTTGGATGGAGTTTTTGTGGGGACTTTTTTGTTGATGCTGTTGTTGCTTGATGTTTGTTTTTCTTTTAACAGTCGGGCCCCTCTTCTGTAGAGCTGCTGCAGTTTGCTGGGGCCCACTCCAGACCCTATTGTCCTTGCTCCCTCCTATACCTGGAGGTGTCACCAGTGGAGGCTACAGAACAGCAAAGATGGCTGCCTTCTCTTTCCTCTGGGAGCTTCATCCCAAAGGGGCACCAATCTGATGCCAGCAGGAATGCTCCTGTGTAAGGTGTCTAGCGACCCCTGTTGGAAGATCTCACCCAGTCAGGGAGCACAGGATCAGGGACCTGCTTAAGGAAGCACTCTGGCTAACCCTTGGTGGAGGGGTTGCTCTGTGCGGGGGCGGGAATCCCACTCATCCAGACTGCCCGGATTCCTCAGAGCTAGCGAGGGGAAGGACTAAGTGCACTGATCCACCAAGACCATGGCTGCCCTTCCCCAGAGTGGCTTTGTTCCAGGGAGATCAGAGTTCTGTCCCTAAACCCCTGGCTGGAGTTGCTGAAATTCCTGCAGGGAGGCCCAGCTCAGTGAGGAGGAATGGGTCCATGTTCACTCTAAAGAAGCAGTCTGGCCATGATCTGCCACAGCCACTGTGCTGCGCTGTGGAAAATTCCTCCGGGGTCCAAACCGCCCAGTCTCCCCGGCACTGGCAGGGGAAAACGGCAGCCTGGAGCTGCAGTGATGGCTGCTGCCCCTTGCCCGGGAGCTCGGTGGTCTTAGGCAGCAGGCAGCCACAGTGATGGCAGCTGCCCCCCTTCCCCTGCCAAAGCTCAGTCATCTTAGGCAGCAGGCAGCTGTATGATGATGGCTGCCCCTCTTGAACTCACGAGTCTCAGGGAGTCTCCAGCCGAGGGGCCACTGAGAGTCTGCACAGCTGTGCTTGGGACCCAAGGCCCTGGTGGCATGGGCTCACGAGGGGATCTTCTGATCTGCGTCTTGCACAGATCCATGGAAAAGGCGTGGTTTCCTGGGCGGGATAGTACAATCACTCACCACCTCCCTTGGCTGGGGGTGGAAGCTCCTCTTGCCCCATGTGGCTCCTGTGTGGGCTGTTGCTCCACCCTGCTACTCCTCACTCTCCGTGGGTCGTGCCAACCACCTAGTCAGTCCCAGTGAGAGATACCTCAGTTGCCGGTGCAGGATTCACTCACCATTTTCATTCTTCTTGGTGAAAGCCTCTGACCACAGCTGTTTCTAGTCAGTCATCTTGGCCCCTCCCCACTGGTTAATATGTTAGTTTATTACATTACTGAGAGAATTATTCCCATCAAGCCCATATCTAGAAAGTGGTTGTGCTACTTACACATTCCTTTTATTACTTAGCATGTAATATTTAAGACAGTAAAATGGGGATTAAGTTATTGCTTTAAATTATTTGACTAAACGTAGCTTAATATTCCATTCTTTATATTTCTTAAATGCTCTCTCTAAAAATACAGCATGGTAAGCTGAAAAATGAAAAATAACATTTTGATTTTATTTTTCTGTCAATAGAGCAGATCTAAAAATTTAAAGCACATCTTTCTAAGGTAACATTTACCTCCTCACATCTTTAGCAGCTATCAGACATGACATGGGACATATTCATTGACCCTAAAAATTTTCATCAGAATCATGCACTGAAAGGGGGCAGCCCCAGCCAGACAAGAGGCTCATTTCAATTTTAACGGCTGTAATTAAAGGTTAATTCACTGAGTCAGGATTAACAAGGAAAGTACAAATGATAGGCAAGCAGCTGCCTTTATAATACAAGATTAGAACAATGCAATTACAATAAGAATTAGAAAAAATCAACTTCCAGAAAGGGTCTTTTAATGAATGAATTAAATTGTGATCTCTAAACATGCGTATATAAGGTAATGCTTCTTAAGGAATCATATAAATTGATACTGTATATCTAAGCATATTATGTTAAATGTGGAAACAACAGTTAACACTAAAAACTTTCATTATTAGTAAGTTGCCCAAAAATGTACTTGTATATATCTGTACATGATCTTTTTAAATGGCAAAATTTTTTCCCTACTTCATGCTCCTTTTTTTTTTAATGTCCACTGTGTTTACCTGAATTGTAATTGATCTTTCCCTCTTCCTGCCCGACCCCCCCTGCAAGTACTTCTTATGTTTATACCTTAAATCCATTTTTCTTATAGAACGTATTCCTAAAACTCCTTTTCCACCTAGTGTTAATTAGAAAGTTGACAAGTGTCATTTTCAACTTTATTATGTTTACATATTTTATCATTTTTAAAAAAAATTAAGCTCAGTACTATATTTTATGCAGATCCTGTTTATTTTTTATTTGATGTACACTTTAACCTCATTGATCCAAGCTTTTATAGGTGTCGTAGATTGCTAGAAAACTACTAGACTACGTATTATATTAAACATTCCTATGTGAAAGTCTTTTCATAGTGAATGGCACATAGTAGGGCTTCAGCAAATGTTATCACTTCAATCTGTTTTTGTGTTACTGTGA
Source organism: Homo sapiens (assembly GCF_000001405.40). Classification (NCBI taxonomy): domain Eukaryota; kingdom Metazoa; phylum Chordata; class Mammalia; order Primates; family Hominidae; genus Homo; species Homo sapiens. Next base: position 78,063,644 of record NC_000005.10, on the reverse strand, counting down.
TTGAGGCCATATACTATTTAAGAATTTGTTGGATCCTGCATTCAATCAAATATTTACCATGTGTCATAGGATTCAAAAAAGAAGATGTAGGCACTTAGGCTTATAGATGTAAAGAAAATAATTGTCCATCATGAATGCAGGCTGTGGAAATTGTTCCTCAAAAACTGAGGTTCCATAAAAGGAGTTTACATTTTGTCAATTGCTGTTGAGCTGATTTAGTATAATAAATCTGTATGCTGGGGTAAATCTGAGTATTGATGCCTAGAAGCTAATAATCCAGTAGCATCGTTCCTGAAAAAATATATAGTGCTATTTGAAGATTATGTAGCCTGTGATATGCAAAACTATAAGCACCGAACTGCTATTACTGTGGAAATGAGCTGTAGGTATAATATAGATTTACTTGATGAAATGATCTTTATTTTGTTGTTAAGCTGACAAGTGCTGGAGAATTTGCTTTATGTATACATTGTGGGAAACCTGAGGAAAATTGATAGTGTTTCACTGGTATTTACATTAACCCAAGCATTGTATTTGGAGTGGGACAGCATGCTGTTTTGAACAATATTTTGACATTAAGAACTCTACAAAATAGTATTTAAGCCCCCTTTGGTGTGGGCAGTTGATAACTTTTCATTCATAATTAGCTCATAGAGAACCGAGAGACATTTCAGGGAAATTGAACTGTCAGTGGGTAGAAACAAGCATTTGACCTCATCACATTGAGTGGGGCCCATCATAATTTGTTCATTTGGTGCCCATCAGCCCAGCCTCATCTCTCATACGGCACCTCGCTGACCTTCCCTCTCCAATTCCGCTCAGTTCAGCTTTAATTATGACTCTGCAGACCTGAAGAAATATTGCAGCTTGCTCTCAAAAACCCTGAACTGCCACTCACCAAAAGATTGGTTTTTAACAGGTAATAAATGCCCAGAGGAAATGGTGCTATGTCCACAAAGAGAACTGTGGCTTCTTTTGAGATTTTGCTGGCTCTCAAGTGTGTCCCTGTTGCCTAGTGAAATTTTTATTTCTAACACAGTAAGCTTATGACTAAATTCACTGCTATACGGAAATGTCATGAGTTTTTTAAGTAAACTTTTATCTATTCACAGAAGAAATTCTTAGTTGCTTGGTTACCTAGTGAATTCACCTATTGAAAGTTGAGAGACAACTTTAGGTCTTTTAGATAAAGTGTTAGTAATTTTAGAATACTTCATTTTTACTTTTTAATTTTAATTACTTTTTGAGCTACTGGCCACCCCAAAGAGATAAAATGAGAAATTATAAGTACCTCTTCTAGCAATATAATTAATTTGGATTCATCAAATCACTTGGCAGAAGGAATCCTGCTGAGTTAACAATGTTGTCTCCACTAACAAAAACAAAAACATGAAGTTTAAAATAAACATTCAGGTTACCTACCATACCACATCTAACTACCCTGTCCACACCATGACGGTATTTTTGCAGAGAAAGTTGATAGCAATCAGAGACTGTGTAGGAGGAAAATACAAAGCTTCAAAAATTATAAAGCTAAACTTTTGTTCTCAAATTATATCCCTAAAGATTTCACTGCAAATAAAAATATTGAAAACTGTAGTCTCATACTGTGTATCCTTGTAGTGAGTGTTAAACTGTCAGCAGGATTTTCAGGTCATTTGACAAAAAGGATACAGGTGCAGTAGCTAGCAGTGAAGGTGACTGCTGGTTTCATCAATCACTTTGCCTTTCTTTAAGTTGATACATAATGGACCCCTTCAATCAGCTTCCTTGTTCTTTGTCACTTGTTTGGAAAGAAGAAAAAGAAGGGTGGAAAGGCTGGATGGACTCTAAAATCAAGGTTAGGAAATGAATTGTAAGTTATTTACTCAGGGTACAGAGGATGTCAGTGTGAAAGAGGGGCTCTTCATAAAATGTCGAGTTTGTCAATGGGTGATAATATGCAGTTGGAAGCTTCATGCCAGCCTTGCGCGCTGACAGTGCTGCTGAAAGCAGTGATCCTAAATATGAGTTTGAAATTAAGAAATTGTGTTGTGGCAGAGACATGTTTTATACCAGAAAATGTTCACAGGTTCATTTTACTTCTAGGCATTACATCAAGTGCTTGATCATACCAGCATCATATAGATGGTGAAAACATGTCAGCCACTGACAACTTAGTCTTGTACCTTCTGCCATACTTAATGTGTGTCGTGTGTCAGAATTTTCTCAAATTCCTTGATAAGAATTTGAAATTTTTACATAGCTTTATTTACTAGAACCTGTAGACATACCACTCACCAAGTTTGAATGCCTTGCTAGTTTTAAATGCTCAGGGAATAGGTAAAACAGTTGAAAGGAAACTATCAGAAATTAATGTCTGTCTTTTTTTTATCTGGTTTTCTCTTAGAAAACAATACCTTTTCACTGATTTTTAAAAAGGATACATACCTAGAGAAGGTTATCAATTCATCAGTCTTTTGATCAATGAGGGATGTGGGAAATCATAAGAGAAGTGTTTTTTTTTTTTTCTATGTTTGACCAGATTATTTGTATTCTGAGACCCAGCGGTGTGCTTTCTGGAAGTATGTTTATGGATATGTGGTTCAGTACTTCTTTTTTCAAAGGTATCAACCAAAGGGTGCCACTATATGTCAAGAGGTAGTGTGATGATCTGAGCAGGTGTCAGATTAAACATAAAAATTACATAACATGATTGTTTGAAATTTCTCTCTTCTTAGTCCTCCAAGAAAAATTTGGGTAGAATCGTGGATATAGGTTAATGCCCTTTATTTTCTTTGCAGACTTTTATCCATGGATAGAGCAAATTCTCTTTTGCTTTCTAGTAAAACTTTAGGGATTATGGTACTTGTGATGAAAGATTTTTTTTTTTCAAAAACCTGAATATTTCTGTTAATAAGCATGGATGGAATGTCTACTACATTCTGATCTTTGGTATGAGCTGTGGCAAATAAAAAAATAAGTCATGATGTCAGTTTTGAGTCCTATCTTATAGTCTTATGGAAACAGAAATCATGTAAACACAAGAGTTCAGTAGCGTATGAGTCGGGCTGCAGTGGACGTTTACATAAGGTGTCTTGGGATCATGACAGAAGGAATTACTAATGCTGCCAAATACACAGAGAAAACATTCTTTTATATTTGTAATATATTCTTGAATTATAATGTGCATGCCTTCTATAATATGATTTACCCATATGGAATATCCACAAAGAAACATTTTGTCCTTCTACATGTGTGTTTCTATCAGACCGATACAGACTGAATTAAATTTTTTCTGAGCAGCATTTGCTTATATGTTTTGTGGTTCCACTTTTCTCACATAGACCTGATTGCATAAGCGTTCACTGGTGCACCTGTATTTATTCCAGCGGTTATAATGGGTTATAGACACCTTAACTTGACACAAATGGTTGCAGAATGCTTAAGAGTCCTCATTCAGAGACTCGGTATAACTTTTATAAACATCTGACTTTTTGTATTGTGCTTATTTTAGAGAGAGGTAACTCTAGACAAAAATAGCACATTTTAGAGTTTTCAGGATTTCCATTCTTTTTTGATACCTACTTACTATTGATATTTTTCTAACCTAGGTATTTTATTATCCTGAACTTGTTCTGCCCCACCCAGACCCCCTCATGTTTTTGTTTTCCTTCCTTTTCCCCATTGAAACATGTCTGTTTGTATTTCTTCAACCAAGTGTCTATATCTATCACTACTACTTCTAATAATAATCCCCTTTGCTTATATGCAAAATGCTTCTTTATGTGTATTTTACCAGAAAGATTCATACTAAATAAAGGGGGTAAAGAGGGAGTCTTAGATAATAAGCAGTGCATTAAATTGAAGCCTCAATTTAATGATGGCAGTTCATTTTTATTTTTTTCATTTGTTGCCAGCACCTGTCTGGCAACTACAGATAGATCAAAACCAACCCATGGCGCTTATTGAAAGCATAGAAGGAGTGTTAGGGGAGGGGAGTTTTTTTAAACCAGCTGTCTAAACTGATTCTGACAATTTGAGAGCCACTCAAATTTATTAGTGTCTATAATAGTTGGAGTTTAAGTTCAATGAGAAAATACTGCGGAGTTTTGTTGCTTCTCAGATCACAGATCAGCCATTGAAAAAGTTGCATGCATACAAACTATACTATAAACTCTGAAGATAGGTTTCACAACATAAGAATTCAGAACAGGGGTTTTCAACTAGGCACCGCAGTTACCTTTATTAGTTTCCAGTCACTGATGTAACACATTACCACAAACTTAGTGGCTTAAAACAGTGCAAATTTATTATTATTTTTCAAGGCGTCAGCATGACCATGTTCCTTCTGGAGCTCTAGGGGAAAATCCAATTTGGTTTTTGTTTTTTGACTTTTCCAGTTTGTAAAGGCAGCCCACATTCCTTGGTTCATGGCTCTTTTCCACCTTCAAAGCCAGCAATGGCCAATTGAGTTGTTTTCATGCTGTATCACTCTGACACTGAATCTCCTGCCTCTCTCATTCACTTACAGGATCTGTGTGATTACTTGGGCCCTCCCAGAAAATCCAGAATGACCTCCAATCTCAAAGTCAACTTATTGGCAACATTAATTCCCTTTTGCCACATAATGTTACATATTCATTGGTTCTGTGGATTAGGACCTAGACATCTTTGAAGGGGCTGTTTTTCTGTATACCACCTCACTTATAGAACCTGTGGGAAGAAGGAGGTGACTCAGATACTCATGTCTCACCCCAACCCTATCAAATTGCAGAGGAACAGGAGGGCAGGGTGATGGCACTCATAGAGGCCATTTCCATGAAGAGCAGAACCCGGCACCACACCCAGGCTTGTATTCTCTGGTCATGATGTTGATTGTACCATGGGGATAACTCACTAGTCATAGAGTTCAGATGCAGCCCTGCTGTAGAGATTATGGCCATCTGCCTAATGAAGCAATTCGTATTTGAGGCAGTTCTGCTTAACTACAGTTAAGGAAATTAAGAGAAATTTGAAATTTTCAGATCAGTCATATTAAATAAAGTGTCATATCTTCCTAGTACTGTCTCTTTGATGCTTCAGGTCAGGAAATTTAACACTTATATTTAAAAATTTTTACTTACTTTACTTTAGAATCAGAATTATAATAACATTTTTTTTTTTGAGATGGAGTCTCACTCTGTCGTCCAGGCTGCAGTGCAATGGCGCGGTCTCGGCTCACTGCAACCTCCGCCTCCCGGGTTCAAGCGATTCTCCTGCCTCAGCCTCCGGAGTAGCTGGGGTTACAGGTGCCTGCCACCACGCCTGGCTAATTTTTGTATTTTTAGTAGAGATGGGGTTTCACCATGTTGGCCAGGCTGGTCTCAAACTGCTGACCTCGCGATCTGCCCACCTCGGCCTCCCAAAGTGCTGGGATTACAGGCGTGAGCCACTGCGTCCGGCCTATAATAGCACTTCTCAGTGAAACATTTATCTCAAGATAATGGAGATATAAATCTCAAATGAAATGAATTTTTATCGAGATGTTTTAAAATATTTTAAAATATTTATTTACCATCAAATATAATTACAGGCACAGATAACTAACCGGTGCTATTAAGGTAGTAGAGAACTAAAAAGTAATTTACATTTTTCAAAAATCATGCAAAAACATGATTCGCATACTGTGATTATTTACCTGGCTAATTCTTTTTTGTTTGGTATGAAATTATTATGTAATAAAGAAATTATTCTTATCTAGGCTTAGCACTTTGTTAGTTACATGGGATACAAGATTACACATAAAGTTAGTGTGAAAATTAAATTATAACATGTCAAATGGAATATGGTTAAGATCATAATGGGCTGGAGTAGGGCCAGGAAGAGTTGAATAGATAAATTGGGACTTGAACTGAGCATTGCATTGTGGGTAGTAATATTTAACTAAATATGATTTATGATAGTAGATCACAAGTAAATAATGATTTACTGTGATTTAAGTAAATCATAGAATAAACAAGTGAGTTCTGTGTGCAAGATTGGCAAAAAGTAAGGGGAGCACTAAAATTTAGGATTAAAATACAGTGTGTTTAGAGGGCTGTACATTTAGATGTTTTAAAGGCTTATTTTTTCATCAAAGTGTTATGGATCTATGAAATCCTGTTCTTAAAATGAAGGGACACTTTTCTGAAAATACCCAGCTCAAGAAGAGACGGGAAATTGTTTCATATCATATGATTATCTCCCTGGCTAGTTCTTTTTTTCAAAGATTACTGTCTATCAGACTTTGTGTCTTAAACCAAACGGGCGACTTCATTTTTCCCCTCCCTGGGAACTAAGTGTGGAAAGGAACCCTAAGGGTCCACTGCTGTCTCCTAGTGGACTAAACTAAAATGAGAGGAACAGTGGGAAGAAATAGATTAATAAAGACTACAGAAGAGGAGCTAAAAGTTAGAATTTGCCATAAATTGGATGGAGAGTTCACTGAAGCAAACCTCAGTCGATTGTGGAACTAGATTCATGCCGTGGGAAATCTCGGAATGACTTAGCCGTGACTTCTTTCCTGTTGGCATGGTGTCTTTTTCAGTAAACTCCTAAGGAAAACAAACAAAAAGTACTACAAGTTGATGATAAGGTGGGTGGGCAATATCCTGTATAAAAATGAAACTATGTTCTAGAAGAGTTGGATTTATTTCTGGACACCGACCTTTTTAAAAGCAATGCATCATTCTCCATCCAACAAATGCTGCCATAGCCAATAATATGTTGGCTTGTCCATTTTCGGCTTGTAGTACAAAATAAATGAAAGCCAAGGACATTACAATTGGGAGGGAAAGAGGACTATTATTTAAAAGGCTTTTAAATGATGTCACTATATATTCTTTTAACAACATCCTCTAAAAGCCTTTGAAAAAATAGTCCCTTCCTCCCTCAGTTGTTAACAAAGACCATACTGGGGACTGCTCTTTAAAAGGCTGTTAAATGGTGATACTATATTTTTTAACATCAACATCATTTAGAAACCTTTTAGAGAACAGTTCTCTTCACCCACAACTAACAGAGGAGGGAAAAACAGATGCGGGGGAAGGGATTACTTTTGTAAAGGCCTTTGGATGGTACTATCAATAAATACAGCAATGTTGTTATAAAAGCATTTTTCCAATGGTGATTCAGCTTTTTGACATGTACTTTTAATCTCAGGACCCTGCGTTATCTGACAGATTGGTGTTTTAACGTGGGCTGAAAACTCAATTTACTAATAATCCAAATAATGCCTTTTATTGAACTTTCTGCAGTTTAAAAATCAGTTTCACATATATGGTCTCATTTGATCCTCAAGACAACTCAGTGAAACAGACAGGATATGTATGATTAGCCCCATTTTACAGAAGAGGAAAACAGAAGCTCTGAGGTTGTGGTTTAGCTAAGGTCTCACCATTTAATATGTGGCTGAGTTCAAACTATAACCCAGATCATTTGACATCTGGTCTCATACCCCATGCAGTTTCCTGAGGGTACCTTCATTGCTTTTTTTAAAAAAGTGGTATTCATCATTAGTCTTTTCAGCATGTCCAAATACTGAGTTAATTCCTTACAATTAGTATAAAAGTGGGATTCTGTCATTTTGGTACTGAAGGTAGGTATCTAGTAGAAATTTTATTAACAAATAATCCTGAGGAAGTAAAGAAGTGTAAAATATTGTCTCAAGGTGTGGTTGTCCCCTGTGATGTAGCATTCAGACTTCCCCTTAGATTCCTTTGCCTTATGATGTATGCTTATGAAATTATCACTTGAAATCCACTTTCAGACATGCAGTTTATTAAATAACTGATATTTTAAAGACAATTCTAATCTCAGTTTATGGATTTGTTTTTAAAAGTTATTTGTTAAGGATACTGATTATAATTAAGATCACATTCAAAAAAGTTTCCATGCTAGTTCTTTCCACCTCTCTCCTTGAAGGAGAGAAAAAAATCTCCCCATGAGCTTGCATGACTGACCTTTACTTTCCTTTATCATAAGGACCATTTTGTGTTTATTGAAAAAGGAATTATAGCTTATTGCTTGACAGAAATGACACTGAAGAATATTACATTTCAATCTTAGCTCTGCCACTATTTTTTCTCTTATGCTAATAAACATTGTCTTTAATAATAATTAAAGAAGGAGACTTTCACCAGCAACACACTGTCACATGCAGTGTCACACTGACTCCTCAAAAGAATCCTATCAATTAGATACAAATACAAGCACAGAGAAGTTAAATGATTTTCTTCTCATCAAATAGCTTGAAGGTCTTCTAACTTAAAATCCAGTGTTTTCCTTCGTACCACTGCCAGCTGTAATTCTGCCTCATGAGAAGGAAACTAACCATTCTTACTTCTGAGGAAAAATGTTTAATATGTTAAAAATACGTATAGCCTGAGAAGACCTGGCCAGTGCCACAGTGCAGGAGTGAGGCTCAATCCCAGGACTTGACCCGGAACAGCCATGCAGCCAGGTGCCTTTGCCATGAAGAAAACCAGGCCTTATGTAGTAAATCACGTTCTCTCCATCCCCACCTCCTTACTGAAAATTTTAAAATATTTACACACAGATCAAGGGGAATAATGTTTATATAAGTAAGTGTGTGTGTGTGTGTGTGTGTGTGTGTGTGTGTGTGTGTGTCTGTAGGTCTGTCTGTCTGTCTTATGGTCTCAGGGAACCCATTTCCCCATCCTTTCCCTGCATCAGGAAATTTTCAGCAACTTGTGGTACCTGGAACTGGCATCTAGGATGTATGAGGATCCTTTTCCCTTCTGTCAGATTCAAAGAAAGCATCTGTAGTTTAAAATCACTATACCCATAATAAAATTCCCTTTCCAATTTGTACATCTCCTAAGACATACTTCTTTCCTTATCGCCAGGACCTCTTCTAGGTGACATCCGCATCCTTCATCAAGGGGAATCCATGTCCCTAAGTCACAATTCACTTAAATGCAAGGCAACACAGCCAGCTTTTAGAGGCCACAGTCCCATCTCTGAAATATGTAGAACAGCTTACGGTTTCCCTCATACAATTTTGTAAGGTTCATGGCCTAGCTTTTCTCTGGGAATCTCCATTTGGATCTTGAAGTCCTGTTGTAAATCTGTTCAGCATGGCCCCATTCATAATGGCTGATAATTCTGTCTTGACGAAATCATTGTTACTACCAAGATTGTTTGTGTGAAGCTCACCTGTTCCTTTTAGGCCATTCTGTTTTCATCCTCATTTTCCTTCCTCTTATGGGGCCCATTCCATCTTCCTATTCCTTCTTCCCCTCCTTGTCATTCTTATCTTTGGATCTCTTAATCACTTATCCATATTCAGTGAAGATCTTAGTATTTCATACATAATCTCTCTGGCCCACCATCATCTTGGGGAACTGCAGTGTTCATATTCATAACCTGTGCAACATGTAACCTCACAGTCTCTTGATCTGTTCAATTCTAATAACTTCACCTCCACTGAACTTCAGTTTTTCGTCCTTTCAATTCTGAAATCTTAACTCACTCCCTTACTTGTGCCTATCCTGCTCCTCAGGCCCTTCATGCCTCCAGCTGTTTATGTTTAGCCTAGATTAAAACAACCCTGAAAGATAGGTGCTAGTGTCCCCATTTCACAGACTTGAAAATTGAGATCCCTTCAGCTTCAGTAACTTTTCTGGTGTTACAAGGCTAGTAAAACATGTGCTATGTATAAAACCAATTTCAGCTCAAATCTGTATAGTTTCAAAGCCCTGTGTTTCCCACCACACCTCACTGCTGAGTGTATGAAGGAGTTACAACTCCAAGAGAATTATTTTGTGTAGCAGCTTGTGGTACAGCTCAGAGTAAAACGAACCTAATGACGGGGGCAAATTAGAGAGACCTCGTATAGTATAAGCAAGAGAAGTCATAAGGGAGCAAAAGATCGGAAGGGACACCAAATTGTTATGGTTACCTGAGGGGGACTTTTCTTTTCTTTCTTTTTTTTTTTTTTTTTTTGAGATGGAGTCTTGCTCTATCACCAGGCTGGAGTACAATGGTGCAATCTCGGCTCACTGTAACCTCCGCCTCCCAGGTTCAAGTGATTCTCCTGTCTCAGCCTCCTGAGTAGCTGGGATTACAGGCATGCGCCACCATGCCCAGCTAATTTTTGTATTTTTAGTAGAGATGGGGTTTCACCATATTGGTCAGGCTGGTCTCGAACTCCTGACCTCGTGATCCACCGGCCTCGGTCTCCCAAAGTGCTGAGATTACAGGCGTGAGCCGCTGCACCCGACTGGGACTTGACTTTTCTTATATTTTCATACTATTTAAATTATTTTCAATAAATATATAATGCTGTTGTAATTTGAAAAAAAAGATTTAAAAGTATTTTCAGTGTTAATGAAGACTTGAATTAAGCTGGTGGTAGAGGGACAGAAAAGAGGAAATGAATGCAGGAGACAGTGAATTTGTTTCTAATTAATGTGAGGGTGTCAAAGATAATGCCAAGGTTCTGAGCTTGGTTATAATGGGAGAAGACACTAGCATTTTCTTTTTTATATTATGTTTTTAATCTTGTGAATGAAAAAGCAGTAGAACTGCTAAGATCACGTAATTATCACATCTTTCAAATCACAGCTTAACAATGCATAATTGTTTTGGGCTTCTGTAAAATGCTCTGGGTTCTAAAGAAATTTGTTATAACCAGTTACTGAGAACTTCATGCTGAACACTTTACAAGTCAAATTCAGTCTGTTTTTATTAGTACTCTTAAGCCAAAAGTCAGAAAAGAAATATAAAAAGAATAGGAGAACATATGTATGAATAGTATAACATATCAGTATTCATGGTTCTGGTGCTATTTACCACGTACGTGATATATAAAACAATATAGACATTATTCTGGCTTTCAGATATATAGAAAAGCAGTAAGTGTATTGATAGTGAAGTTTATTGATCTGTCTTTGGGGAGGAGAAAGAATGGGATATTAATTTCCTTATATCAAAACCATTGTAAATTGAATATATCCTATACCAGGGATCGGCAAACATTTTTTGTAAAGGGCCAGGTAGTAAAGATGTTCAGCTTTGCAGGCCACAACCACTCAACCCTGCCATTTTAATGCAACAGCAGCCACAGATAATACATAAATAAATGAGTGCATCTGTGTTCCAGTAAAGCTGTATTTATAGACACTAAAATGAATTTCATATCATTTTAATGTTACAATCATATTACTTTTGATTTTTCAACCATTTAGAAATGTGAAAGTCATTATTAGTGAACAGGCATTGCAAAAATAGACAGTGGACCAGATTTGGCCTCTAAGCATGGTTTGCTGGTGCCTGCTTAATACCGAGCATGAAATAAGATGCTCATTAAATATTTGTTCATTATGTGTTCACGTATTTCCACAAATATATTTTTAATATATATTATTACCAAAATAAGAGGTGAGAAAGTCTTGTGTGCTTTATAATGTATAGTGATTACTAAAATAAAATATGAGAAATTATCATAAATTTGTATATCAAAATTTATATACATAAGGAAGAAGTTATCTTTAGTATTAAAAACCATTTATTTGAAGTAATATTTGCTGGAAGATTCAAATATATTTCTTCGAGTCTGTGCTTATATGTAAGAGTTAACCAAATTTGCCGTTTACTTTTTTAAATCCTATTCTAGGTCAATACTAGGTTAATGCTAGCCTCAATGAAATGGATTGAAGGTAAAATCAAGACCCACTTTCTACAGTTTATAGGATAAATGAGACAATACTGTGACTTTCTGCATTACAAATCTTATCAATTGAGACATACATTGGTTTTAAAAGTACTAATTTTAAAGATGAAGCTGTGCCTCTGTTTATAGCTATTTTCTTACCTCGTCATTTTTATAAATTATATATCAAAATAGATACTGATGTAAAGTAAGCCAAACAAAACTAGATACAAAGAGCATTTTATATACTGCAGATTTTCATATCTTTGAAATTCAAAAACAGAATGGATTGATAATACTTAATGACTGGGTAACTAAATGTGGATTAAAGCATAAAAGGCTGGGAAACATTGTTTTCATAAAGCTTTACGTGGAAATGTCATCTTTGAATAGTAATGTGGATGCTGAACAAGGCTTATTCCAAGGCACTTACTTGCTATTCCATGTTTTATTTTTCGAATCTCATTTTAAATTTTATAATTCAATCATTTTGAACAGCTATGTTCAAAAGAAGTTTTACAACTTTAATCTTAATAATCTCAAAAAAAAGCAGACATGCTATGTCATAAAATAACTATTAGTGACTAGTTTGTATCCTATAAATCTAACTTGAGTTGATAATATGGTCCATTACCAGCTAACTGCACAGAGTATTTTTCATTTTACACTCTTCAGTTACTTTTTAGTGAAGTGTTAAAAAATATGAAGCTTTTCTCCTCTCTAAAATTGCACGCTGTCTGTCTGTTATTAGGGAGATAACAGCTCTTATAAATGTTTCAGTAAGCGCTAAGTAGACAGTTATGTGCACTCTCATTCCACGCTTATTTGCTTACTGTAATAAACTGATAAAATATGTGTGGTTTGTCTCTGTGTATCTACAGGCATCATGAGTCACATAGATTTCCTTTAGAAATAATGTTGTGTCTGCAGAATTGATTGCTTATTTTCATAAACCATCTAAAGGTACACAAACGACTTTTATTATTTAAACATATGCTGTGTAAAGATTTGTAGAGGATTATCTCATTGTTACTGGATGCTTTTTGTTCTGTTAACTCTTGGGGGAGGCTTGTTATTTTACAGTTACTGCAGTTACTGAACTAATTACTTCCTCACGAGCCATAGTAAAGATGACCTATATCATTTGCTTATAATGCATCTAAGTTTTTAATTCTTTGAATGTTAGTCGTTAAACAATTAAATCAAAACTAATGTTTTCAAACTTTGTCTTTCATACTCTTGTTTATATAAGTTTTAATAAAATAATACACTTATAAGTAGACATTTCAAGAATTAGTGTTTGAATTATAGAAGTCCCTCAATAAGCTGTTCTTTGTGCATTTAAGAAATGTACTTCTTTATTTGTTCACAATTTTATGTAATAGAAAATTCAAGTTATATCATAAAACCAACAAATATTAATATAGAAGATCTCCACATATCACCACAGTGTGTTCCTATAAGGCTGTAGTATTTTTAAGGACACTGTTATAATTGAGCACTCAGCATTAAATAATGTATAGTTATGACCAACACTAGAGGTATATTATTTGCAAATTTCCATAATCATTTAAAATAGTAAAATTATGCTTTGAGTTCTGAGAAAGGGTAAAATTAAGTTTAATACATTGAGCATAAAAGTGGGAAGTAGATGGGAAGACAGGTAATAAACATAACAAAAAAGTAAATTATATATTGTGTTAGAGAAGGTATTAAGTGTCTATAAAAAAGGAAAAAGGAAATCAGAAGGGAGGGATGCCAATGGGTTAAGCCTTACTAAGATGGTAATATTTGAGCAGACATACTAGAGCTGAGCCATGTGGGTCTCTGGAGAAAGTGCCTTCCAGGTAGAGGGTCCCAGGGAATAACCTATAGTGGGACTGTTACTAATATGCAAAAGGAATAGCAAGGAAGTCATGGCGATGAGTAGAATAAACAACGAGTTCAAGAGTAATAGGAAACAAGATCAAGGAAATGGAACAAGGATCCTGGCCATTGGCGGGTTTTGAGCAGAGGGGTAACATGATACAACTTTTCTTTTTCTTTTAACTTTTATTTTAGGTTCAGGGGTACATGTGCAGGTTTGTTATACAGGTAAACTCATATCACGGAGTTTGGTGTACAAATTATTTCATCACCCCAGTGCATGATGTAACTTTAACTGATACATTCTAGCTGCTGTGTTCAGGATAGACTAACATAGCAATTCAGTCTATGTTCAATAAGATGCAGGGGTAGGAACAAGGAAACCAATTAGGAGGCTGTTGGAATAATCCAGATGATAGGTGGTGGTGGCTCAGACCGGGCTGGCCACAGTGGCAGTAGTGAGAAATAGCCAGATTATTTCATTAAAATAACTGGGTTTTCATCCATGATGACTCCCTCAGGTGTCAGCTATGACTTTTGTGTTCTTCTAGCCTACTGAGCCTGCTTCTGTCATGACATTTATCACACTAGTTGATTTACTCTGTTTTCCCAGGCTAAACAATAAACTTCTTGAGGACTAGGATACTTTGGCTTTGTCTCTGTATCATACTCCTTAGCACAGGGCTGGTACAACTCATTGAATAAATGTTATTTACATGAAAGAATGAATTAATAAATTAATGGTGAGTAATGATTAATGATTTGTAGTTACTTTGTGTTTGAAATAACGGTGTTCTTATTGGACAGAGAGCTGTGAAATACCTAATTCTTGCACGTTACCACCTTTCTCCCCAAGATGCCCAAGGGAGACATAGGGTCAGAGGACAAAGAAAGGCAAAGCCGTACTTTGTTGTTATTGTGGGCCTTGCTCTCTAACCGCAATACAGAACTCCAGTGAGTTAGGTTGGCCCACATCAAGGACTCAAAGTTCTTTTCTATTAAAGGTAGAATTAAGTAGCCTTGATGCAAAACAAATTATTAGTTGAGTCACATGAAATTGATAGTTTGACTGTTTTTGACCTACAGATATGGCAGATACATATGGTTCAGTCTAATCAAAAGCCTTACCTGAGTCTGTGATCTCCTGGCTCCATATCTACCAGGACTTTAGAGAAAGTGGGGGAAGGGGGCATTCTCCCATTACAAGCTTATTTCCCCTTCTAATTAGTGTCCTGAAATCTGACTAATCCCAACCAGTAGTAGAGTGGGGGAGATAGATGATAGAATCCCAATTTGAACTAGGTTAAGTAGTAAATAAATAAATAGGAAATTACAGCTACAGTTCAGAGAAAACAACTTCAGCAAGGACAGTAATGTGTCTGGGCATCAAGAACCATCCAGCTCAAAGTTACCAGCTAGTTTCTCTGTCTCTCATCTATGCTTTTCTTTGAAATTTGCTTTATTATTTTTTTTTCTCACTGAACAATGTGGCAGGAAATGTGGCCACAGACAAAATTAGAGTTTTAAATCTCAGAATTTTAGCTGCTTGAGAGAGTCTGGCTCAAATTACTAGGTACCAAATCCAAAAATCCTAGGAAAGGAACTCATTGGGCCAAATGTCCATCCCTGAACCAGTTAACTGCAGCCAGTCATGGGGAGGCATAAGAACTTGCCAGCTCCATCATGGGCTGAATGTGTTTCTAGAAAATAGTAGGGCATGTTGGGCTGACAGTCTCATACATAACCACTATAGGGTAAAGAAGCATTGGGGGCAAAGCTTCCTCAAAAGGCCAGCACTTAGTCTTGAACCAAATAAAAGCAATTCTGAAACAATGAATTCTTATTCTGCATTGTCATTGGACTTACTCAACACTTTGTTGTCGGCTATCAGAACATTTCTGATACTTCAGAAACCCACAGGAATAATTAAAGTCATAACATGGATTTTCATAAAGGAAATCCAAAAGAAAAAAGTAACCTCTACTTTGTAAAGTTGTATTCTGATTAGTAAAGCCACTAGCCTGTATGGCACCATTGCGCAGATTCCAAAAAGTTTCCCTTGAATGTAAGCTGGATTTTAGCTCCTATTCACCCTTTCAGTCAGTTGCCACTGCACAGATGTATATGGTGGTCTAAGTGTTAGCTGTTTGAAATAAGCGGCTCTGGGAATTGTTAAATTATTTTTTTTAAATCAAGCATCAAGAACTGTGAAGAGTCTGAGATGTTACCCTACTTACAAGCTAACTAGTTAATTTGCAACAATTTCATGAATGCTGGTAGAAGACACAAGACTCCTGGTCAGAGACAAAGGACAGTTTGTTAAAGCAATAGAAGTAGCCAGAGTAGCATCATTTGCATCACTTCTCTGAGCCCCACATGCTGAAGGCTAGGTGAAGCCTGCACATGCATTGTGTTGCTTTACAGGAGAGGAACCTGATCAGAGTAAACAGACAACCTACAGAATGGGAGAAAAATTTTGCAATCAATCCATCTGACAAAGGTCTAATACCCAGAATCTACAAGGAACTTAAGCAAATTTGCAAGAAAAAAAATCAAACAACCCCATCAAAAAGTGGGCAAAGGATATGAACAGATACTTCTCAAAAGAAGACATTTATGTGGCCAATAAACATGAAAAAAAGCTCATCATCACTGGTCATTAGAGAAATGCAAATCAAAACCACAATGAGATACCATCTCACACCAGTTAGAATGGGGATCATTAAAAAGTCAGGAAACAACAGATGCTGGAGAGGATGTGGAGAAATAGGAACACTTTTACACTGTTGGTGGGAGTGTAAATTAGTTCAACCATTGTGGAAGACAGTGCGGCAATTCCTCAAGGATCCAGAACCAGAAATACCATTTGACCCAGCAATCCCATTACTGGGTATATACCCAAAGGATTATAAATCATTCTACTATAAAGACATATGTGCACGTATGTTTATTGCAGCACTATTTACAATAACAAAGACTTGGAAGTAACCCAAATGTCCATCAATGATAGACTGGATAAAGAAAATGTGGCACACATACACCATGGAATACTATGCAGCCATAAAAAAGGATGAGTTCATGTACTTTGCATGGACATGGATAAAGCTGGAAACCATCATTCTCAGTAAACTAACAGGAATAGAAAACCAAACACCGCATGTTCTCACTCATAAATGGGAGCTGAAGAATGAGAACACATGGACACAGGGAGGGGAACATCACACACCAGGGCCTGTTGGGGGTTGGGGGAGTAGGGGAGGGCTAGCATTAGGAGAAATACCTAATATAGATGACAGGGTGATTGGTGTAGCAAAACCACCTTGGCACGTGTATACCTATGTAACAAACCTGCACATTCTGCACATGTATCCCAGAACTTAAAGTATTTTAAAAAAAAAAAGATTCTAGGCTTTTATAAGGGGACTGTTAGCAAATCTATTCAGCCTTTGCCCCAGAGGGAGATTTTGTCTTTCTAATCCTGGACAATGAACAAACAAATCTATCACCTGCCCCAGAGGGAGGCATTACCTCTGTCTTCCAAAGGCTGTTTGCTGTGGAAACATCTTTGAAAAGAGCTTCAGAAGCAAAGTTGCTAATGTTTCTGCTCAGAAGACGTGAGACCTGTAGAGCCCTTTTTGGCACCAGGGACCCGTTTTGTGGAAGACAGTTTTTCCATGGACCGTTGGGAATAGGGGGATGGTTCTGGGATGAAACTGTTCCACCTCAGATTATCAGGCAGGCGTTAGATGCTCATAAGGGGCGTGCTGCCTAGATCCCTCGCATGCGCAGTTCACAATAGGGTTTGCACTCCTATGAGGATCTAATGCCACTGCTGATCTGACGGGAGGCAGAGCTCAGGCGGTAATGCTTGCTCTCATCAGCCACTCACCTCCTGCTGTGCGGCCGGATTCCTGACAACCCATGGCCTGGTACAGGTCCATAGCCCAGGGACTGGGGACCCTCTGCTGTAGAGAATTGTTTCCAACAACAAGGGAAGGGAAGTGGAATGGCAAGGATCTAACATTTGTGCCCTTAGATCGGGGGTCAGCAAACTTTTTTTGTAAAGGTACCAGATAGTAAATGTTTTAGGTATTACAACTACTCACCTCTGCCATTGTAGAGTAAAAAAGCAGTCAAGGACAGTATGTAAATGAAAGAATATGGTTGTGTTCCAGTGATACTTTTTAAAAATAGGCAGCAGGCCATATTTGGCTTGTGGGTTATAGTTTGCAACCTCTGCCCTACATGTATTGTGTTTAGACTTATTAAATCTTCCCTTTTTCTTAAACCCTCATTTTCACAGCCCAAATCTAGATCACTTTATAATTATGTTTTATCTTTTTTTGCATCTAATAAAATCATTGTTGTCTATAAAATATGAAGTCAAGAACGCCATTTGCAATGTTGAGCATCTTAGAATATAAGCAGCCACAGATCTCATATGTATTTCTGGAATATAGGTATCTGGTCTGATGTACAAAATATTGAACTAAAGTCTAAATATATGTTAATATTAATATAACACTGGATTAAATGTATTATATGTGGAAGTAGTCGAAGTATTTATGGAACCCACTCGGTTTATTGAACAAAATATCACCTATGTATTTTATCTAGATGCTGGAGAAGTTTGGCGTAATATGACTTGTATAAACTTAGGAAACAAGGTTAAAAAAGTAATCAAACATTTTCTTTTTCTTTGTGTTTTTTTTTTTTTTTTTTTTGAGACAGAGCCTTGCTTCATCACCCAGACTTGAGGACAGTGGCACTATCTCAGGTCACTGCAACCTCCACTTCCTGGGTTCAAGTAGTCCTCCCACCTCAGCCTCCCAAGTATCTGGAATTACAGGTGCATGCCACCACGCCCAGCTAATTTTTCCATTTTTAGTAGAGATGGGGTTTCACCATGTTGGCCAGGCTGGCCTCAGACTCCTGACCTCAAGTGATCCACCCATCTTGGCCTCCCAAAGTGCTGGGATTACAGGCATGAGCCACCACACCTGGCTATGTTTTCATTTACTACCTTTCTGTAGTTAAACAAGTATATATTATTACCACGAAGTGTCATTTATGATCCTGTTTATTGTGAAAGAGTGCATAGACCTCTGGGAATTATCACAGATAACCTTTGGAGGTTGTAAGGGAGGGCCTTTTTAGACGGTGAATTCATTAGAGAATGCTTTTTACCTTGAACTTGGTTGAATGTGGAAAGAATGAGTGGAGAGAATTATACTGTTTTTCTTTCTTTATTCATCCCTTAACATATTTTTTGATAATTATAATAAAGCTGTAGAATTTTGAGACAAAGTTGAAAACACAAAATAAATGTTTGGACCATGCATCCTAGGATTAGACTGAGAGAAGGAATCAGTGAGTCTGCCAAGGCTTGATGGCTCTTAAATGACTAAAGGCATACTTCTAACCACCTTGTATGATATCTACAGTACTGATTCCTGGCCGCTGTGAACCAGACCTTTGTTCTGTTCTGCTCTAGTCCCACTCCTCTACCCTTGCCTTTCTCCAACTTTCAAATAGTCTTCCCTTTTACATTACAGTTTCAGCTTTCTTTCCCCGATATTATATGTAGGCCAACTTTTTATGAATTTCCACAGAGATAAAGCTGGCTACATCAACATTTATTTAATGATTTGATAACAAATATGTTTGTGGAACAATGTAGAATAAAAGTAAGACCTGTCACTGTCTCTAATATGCTTATCATTAAGGAAATAAACATGTAACACTGAAAAATATAATTAGCCAGATAAGAGCTTATATTTAAGGTTGATTATCATAGCCTTAGTAGCATGGGAATTTATGGCAAAAAAGAAAACTTTTGCTGAGTATAAATCTATAAATATAAAATATATAGCTCTGGAGTCATCCCAGTACAGCCTTGGTGCCATGTGCATGTCGGAGAGTCCCAGCCCACCTTGCTCTCTAGTACTTGTAGCCTTTTTCTTTCGAGATGCCTGAGAAAGTGCACGTGGAGCGGAGGAGCTGGAAACTTGCCTTTCAGGCAGATATTGCCCAACTCATGTCTCTCGTCATCAATACCTTCTATTCTAACAAGGAGATTTTCCTTCAGGGGTTGATCTAATGTTTCTGATGCATTGGACAAGATTTCCTGTAAGAGCCTGACAAACCCTTCCAAGTTGGACAATGGTAAAGAGCTGGAAGTTAACATCATCCCCAACCCATGGTAATGGTTCCCAAATTAGGAGATCAGCCTTGGTCATGTCAATGCCTGTGTCTACCAAAGTCAGGGTGTATTCCCTGGTACTAAAGGATTTATGGAGGCTCTTCAGGCTAGTGTAGATATCTCCATGATTGGGCAGTTTGGTGCTGCCTTTTTTTCTGCCTACCTTGTGGCAGAGAAAGTAGTTGTGATCACAAAGCACAACAATGATGAAGAGTATGCCTGGGAGTCTCTGCTGGGGGTTCCTTCACTGTATGTGCTGACCATGGAGAGCCCATTGGCAGGGGTACCAAAGTGACCCTCCACCTTAAAGAAGACCAGACAGAGTACTTAGAAGAGAGGAAGGTCAAAGAAGTAGTGAAGAGCACTTACAGTTCATAGCCTATCCCATTACCCTTTCTTTGGAGAAGGAAAGAGAGGAGAAAATCAGTGATGATAGGCAGAGGAAGAGAAAGGTGAGAAAGAAGAGGAAGATAGGCCAGGCACAATGGCTCATGCCTGTAATCCCAGGACTTTGGGAGGCTGAGGTGGCAGATCGATTGAACTCAGGAGTTTGAGACCAGCCTAGCCAACATGGTGAAACCCCAACTCTTTAAAAGATACAAAAAATTAGGCGGTCATGGTGGTGCGCACCTTAGGTCCCAGCTACTTGTGGGGCTGAAGTGGGAGGATCCACCAGGAGGTGGAGGTTGCAGTGAGCTCATATCACACCACCGCACTCCAGCCTGGACGACAGAGTGTTACACCATCTCAAAACAAACAAAAAAAGGCAGATAGAGATGATGAGAAAAAGTCCAAGATTGAAGAAGATGTGGGTGGGTTCAGATGAAGAGGAGGACAATGGTAAGGATAAGAAAAAGAAAACCAACAAGATCAAGGAGAAATCATTGATTGGGAAGAACTAAACAAGATCAAGAACATTTGGATCAGAAACTCTGATGACATTCACCCAGGAGGAGTATAGAGAATTCTACAAGAGCTTCACCAGTGACTAGGAAGACCATTTGGCAGTCAAGCACTTCTCTGTAGAAGGTTGGTTGGAATTCAGAGCATTGCTGTTCATCCCTTGTTTGGCTCCCTTTGACTTCTTTGAGAATGAGAAGAAAAAAAGAACAACAAACTCTGTGTCCATCATGTGTTCATCATGGACAGCCATGATGATATAAGAGTATCTCAACTTTAATCCTTGGTGTGGTTGACTTGGGATCTGCCCCTGAACATCTCTCGAGAAATGCTCCAACAGAGCAGAATCTTAACAGTCATTCACAGAAACATTGTTAAGAAGTGCCTTGAGCTGTTCTCTGAGGTGGCAGAAGACAAGGAGAATTGCAAGAAATTCAATGAGGCCTTATCTAAAAATCTAAAGCTTGGGCCAGTTGTGGTATCTCACCTCTGTAATCTCAGCACTTTGGGAGGCCAAGGCAGGAGGATTGCTGGAAGCCAGGAGTTTGATACCAGCCTGGGCTGCAAAGCAAGACACCATCACAACAAAAAATAAAAAAAATTAACCCAGCATGGTGGTACACACCTGTAGTCCAAGCTACCTGAGGCAAGAGGATCACTTGAGCCCACGAGTTCCAGGCTGCAGTGAGCTATGATTGCACCACTGCACTCCAGCCTGGATGACAGAGTGAAACCCCTATCTATAAAAAAAAAATAAATAAAATTTTAGAATTTCAAAAATTAAAATCTAAAGCTTGGAATCCACAAAGACTCCACTAGCCAGTGACGCATGTCCTAGCTGCTGCAGTATCACACTTCCCAGTCTGGAGATGAGATGACATCTGTGTCAAAATATGTCTCCTGCATGAAAGAGGCACAGAAATCCATCTATAGCATCACTGGTGAGAGCAAAGAGCAGGTGGCCAGCTCTGTGTTTGTGGAGCAAGTGCAGAAGTGGGGCTTTGAATTAGTATATACAGCCAAGCCCACTGATGAGTACTGCGTGCAGCAGCTCAAGGAGTTTGATGGGAAAAGCCTGGTCTCAGTTACCAAGGAGAGTCTGCAGCTGCCTGAGTGAGCTGAGATCGCACCACTGCACTCCAGCCTGGCGACAGAGCGAGACTCTGTCTCAAAAAAAAAGAAAAGAAAGAAAGGAAACAGAAGAGTTTTGAAAATAGTTTTTATTCAAGGAAAAGAACCTAACCTTAGAAGTGAAAGTGCTTTGAAAACTTAAAATACTAGATTGTTATCATCATCAGAAGGCTTAAATAGAATGAATAGGCCAGTAGCCCTATTATTTTATATAACCAAAATTTTAAATTTAGCTAATTGTTTATTATATTTTACAAATAAACTATCCCATAAATTTTTATGATTATTATTTTATTATTATTATTTTTTTTTTGAGACAGGGTCTTGCTCTGTCACCCAGGCGGGAGTGCAGTGACCTAATCATGGCTCACTGCAGCCTCAACTTCCTGAGCTCAGGCAATCCTCCCACCTCAGCCTCCTGAGTAGCTGGGACTACAGGCGCAATGCACCACACCCAGCTAATTTTTTACATTTTCTCTAGAGACAGGATCTCACCATGTTGCCCAGGCTGGTTCTCAAACTCCTGGGCTCAAGTGATCCTCCTACCTCGGCCTCTCGAAGTGCTGAGATTAGAGGTGATGATTTTTTTTTTTTTTTGAGACGGAGTTTTGCTCTTGTTGCCCAGGCTGGAGTGCAATGGCGCGATCTCAGCCCACAGCAACCTCCGCCTCCCAGGTTCAAGCCATTCTCCTGCCTCAGCCTCCAGAGTAGCTGGAATTACAGGCATGCGCCACCATACCCGGTTAATTTTGTATTTTTAGTAGAGACAGGGTTTCTCCATGTTGATCAGGCTGGTCTCAGACTCCGGACCTCAGGTGATCCACCCACCTCGGCCTCCCAAAGTGTTGGAATTACAGGCGTGAGCCACCGCGCCTGGCCAGAGGTGATGATTATTTTAAATTGCCCACATTTTTTGTTGCACTTTTAGAGAAAGAATACTATGTTTTGATGATGCTTAGAAGGCATGATGTAGCATTTTGTATATATGATATTTAACTCTTGGATTTTTGTGGAACTTTAAATCATTACTATAATTGCTACGTTTGTAATGTCATCAGGTGTACACGGCATAGTGAAAATGTTTAATAGGTTGATATATACTCTCAGAACTATAATAGAGAATCTAGTTGGGAGACAACACTTGTCAGGAAAAAATCTTAATCAAGCCTGTTTAATTACAAATTGATTTTTTTTTTAATGCTTGCCCATGTCAGGTCAAGCCTAGTATGCAATACTGATATTTTGAATGGAAAGAAAGCTATCACATGGTTTTAGAATGGACAGTGTTTCATTATTTAATATGCTGCCTATGATTTCAATGAAAATGAGATTGAGGGAAGAATTTAATTAAGAGTCTAATGTTCAATAGAAGGGTAAAAGGTGATTTACCAAGAAAATATTCGGAGGGGGAAATAAGGAAATATTTGTTTTACCAAATAATTGAATTATATTGTAGGTCTACAAAAAATAAAACAATATGGGACTGGTTTAACAGGACAATCAAGGCCCAGAAATATCTCCTAGTACATAAATAATTAGAATTTTTGCATTTAAAATCATTGAGAAAAGACTATTCATTAGCTCATGTAGGGACAATTAGTTCAGTATCTGGAGAAAATTAAATATGGAGTCAATATATCAAAATCAATTCCATATGAATTAAAATTTGAAACCATCAAAGGTCTGGAAGAAAATATAAGTGAATAGTTAACTTGATCTCAAAGTAGAGATCATTAAGGCAAAGGAAGAAGCCACCTTATCCTGGGGGCCATGGTCTTCAGTTTACAGTAAAAGAAAATAAAAACAAAAAAACAGTTCAAAGAGTCAGGATTGGAAATGAAGGTCCAGACGTTCATTTTGGTAGTTGGCTAAAACACCCAAGAAAATCAATTGACAAACTGTTAAAACCAATAAGAAAGTTAGCAAGATGGCCAAATATAGAGGATCTAGGGAAAAAAACTAACAAAAAAGTTTATAAATCCCTGCCCCCCAGCAAAAAAAAAAAAAATGAGTATGTTTGTAATATTAATATATGCTTGGAGGTTACAGAAAAATTTCTTTTTTTTTTCTTTTCTTTTCTTTTTTTTTTTTTTTGAGACGGAGTCTCGCTCTGTCGCCCAGGCTGGAGTGCAGTGGCGCGATCTCGGCTCACTGCAAGCTCCGCCTCCTGGGTTCACGCCATTCTCCTGCCTCAGCCTCCCAAGTAGCTGGGACTACAGGCGCCCGCCACCATGCCTGGCTAATTTTTTCTATTTTGTTTAGTAGAGACGGAGTTTCACCGTGTTAGCGAGGATGGTCTGGATCTCCTGACCTCGTGATCTCCCCGTCTCGGCCTCCCAAAGTGCTGGGATTACAGGCGTGAGCCACCGCGCCCAGCCGCTTACAGAAAAATTTTCATACAGTTTTGAGGGCATTTACTTCTTTGTATCATTTCTGACTAATATCTATGTGTGTGATATCCTACTAATGTTTGTTATTGTAGTTCATATAATACTGTAGGGGAACCAAGAATTAAATGTCATAAATGTTTGCATATTTTCTAAAAGAATAATTATATTCACTAACTCATCTTTTTTTCTTTTTGCCGTGTGTAATAGGTCAGTACTCCTGCATTTGTACCAACGAAAACTCACGTGCTGCTTCATCGAATGAGTGGAAAAGGACTAGCTGCCCATTATTTCTTTCCAAGACAGCCTTGCATTTTTGGTGATAAGATGGTCTCTATACAAATAACACTGAATAACACTACTGATCGAAAGATAGAAAATATCCACATAGGGGAAAAAAAACTTCCTATAGGCATGAAAATGCATGTTTTTAATCCAATAGGTAAATATTAATTCTCATTTAAAACCTTAACTATATTTGATCACTAAATATGTTCATTTTAAAAGTAAAGTAGAATACTTTTTAGTAAAATAGTAAAGTAGAATATGATTGTATTGACAATTAGCATATTCAGTTTATATTTGCTTTTTCTTGTTAAACTGAATTTATCATATAAGATAAATACATTTCTTTGCTCTTAGTGAATCAGGTCCCAGTAATAGTAATACCAGTAGTGATGGAAGGCTAGGTCTGCAGAGTCAAGATTGCCATCATGTTTTACTTACCTGTGTCACCTTTCCCCATCTCTCCTCCTGGTCAGCTTCATTCCCTGCATAATTTTAAGTGGTTTATTGTGTATTAAAAGCAAGAAAATCGCTCTGCATTTCTGAATACAATACTTCTCGTATCTCGAGATCCTTTCCTGTTTCCCTTCACTTTTCAATTTATGGGAAAGTGAAGGGAGTGAAGACTGAGAGGATATAGACCAAGCTTGACCAACCTGGCTCAGGCCAGCTTTGAATGCAGCCTAACACAAATTCATAAAGTTTCTTAAAACATTATGAGATTTTTTTGCGATTATTTTTTCTTTAGCTCATCAGCTATCATTAGGGTTAGTGTATTTTATGTGTGGCCCAAGACAATTCTTCTTCCAATGTGGCCCAGGGAAGCCAAAAGATTGCACACCCCCGATGTAGACTAGTCTGCTTATCTTCCTCTCCATGTATAGAATATACAGTAGCCTAGAGGATATCACTGGTATTTATCCACATCCAATTTTTACATGTTTTCAATCTGTTGCCACCATTTAAAAATGAAGATGCTTTTACATTTTAAAAAATGAGAAATCTCACTTTTCTTGGAGCAGAGCGTAAAATATGGCAGTACTGGCCCTTTATCCCCACATGCAGCAACCAATGAGTGGGTTGCTGAGCAGCGGCTGCCCCCAGCTTTGGCTCGCACTTTCCAGGTTGCTTCTGTGCCCACCGCATCCTGTTGTCTCTCCAACAAAGTGTCAGTGGCCATTTTTCATCCCCTTTGCATTTTTTAAGTATTTTGCTAAAAATATACCCTTTAAACATTAAATGTAACAATTGTGTGTCTTACTTTGAAATTTGAAATAGTGTAATATTTAGAATGTCTATCTCTTTCTTTTTGGTTTTTGTAAGTGGAGATAACCCTAAGGTTTAGTTGAGAGAAGCTTCAGGCAAAACCTCAATTAAAAGTAATAAAAGGTTTATGTCATTGTATCTTCCAAATGTTATAACCAGAATGCTCCAGAGAGCTCCTTTTTATAATACTTAAGATAAACAATGCCTTTTGACCAGGATCAAGTAAAATTAGGTAATTGTACCTTCTTTACTCATTGTTTCACATAACTCTTCCATTTTTCTTTATCTGAGCTCTTTGGCATTGCTGAATTTTCTCCTCTGGTTTTCATGAATCTTTCGGTAAAGAAAGTCATTTTGTGTGTGTGTTATATTTTTACACAAAGGAATAAAATAATTTTTGATAAAGCCTGGTAAAGTTTTATAAGCAACTAGAGCAAAGAAAGTGGAGTTAAAGTAAGCTGATTTCAAAATCCACTTAATTTTTAAAAATATTTTGATAATTAAGACACTATTTAAAGAACACAAAGTATCCTAATTTTTATTATATAATGTGTGACATTAATATATTGCCAAGGAATTATTGTGTTATTTTTGTTGCTTGTAATTCAACCTTTTTTACCTAGTTAAAAAAAATTAGTTTAGGAAGTGTCAAGCAGCTGATACATGAATTGTCTGAAGGTTGAGAATGTTATCCAAAGGTTAAAGCAGTAGAACAGTATTAATTTTTCTTTGAGCTGGCATAATGAGTTGATGAGTTGACCTTTAGTTGGCCTATGTAGAATAGAAGAAATAAATATAATAAATTTCATAGTATGACTTTAACAGAGAAATAAAATATGAATGTTTACCATTGCCTCAGTATTGGTTGTAGGCTTTTCTTTGTCATTCTTAGACAAATTTTTGTGACTGTATGTTTCATTCATTTGGTTGGCATTTATTGAATGCCTTCAAGATACAGAGTTCTTTTGTCTGCAGTATGTACTTGTATGTAACACCACCTGGATGACACTATTATCAATAGATTGTAGGGTTAAGGAATATAATATGTCTAAATTAGTCCTCCAAAAACATTTTAAGAATGCAACAGAAAACAAATACTGTATTTTAGTGTTTTAGTAAAATAAGGGAGGTAAGCTATTTGTTTTATTTATTTTTAAGAACGTATACACATTAAGGAGTCCGCAGTTTTCTTATTTGCCACCAATCTGGTTTTGTCTGTAATGTGCAATGACTTTTTTTTCTGGATTTCACTCTGTGTTTGGCATGAAACTGTATTCCTTACAAGAATATTAGGAATAATATTCCATTTTCCCCAAAGAGACCCAGTATATAAGAGGGTTTTTTTTAAGACACAAAGAATAGGTTAAGCTCTCTTTACTATATTCAGTGGCTTTATGTTAGTGGTTGACAAATTTGAGTTCAGCTAAGATTTTACCAGTTACTGTACAACTGTTACATCAAAGTAAATGGCATCCTATATGATTTCATGTGTTGATATTAATGTTGTGGCGTAACAGAGCCAGTGTTTTTCAGCCACTTCTACATAGCCATCTCAAATATATAGGAGCAAATCTAGAAATGGTGTCCAAACAGAGACACCTAATTGGGTAAGCTTTCCCAGTTTAGTCGGCTCCAAGTATTATAAAAATCCATTATTTGAATGAGTTTATGCTGATCATTTTGCTCCTGAAGCATCCATATAATAAAACATGCCATTGATCATGGACTGTCCCCCAGAATTAGTATGGCACTAAGCTCACAGTTAATTATCTTAAGACTGAAGACAGTATCAAACAGTGTCAAAGAGTGCTATCAACAAGGCATCTTGAGAGCTGTCACTTTGTCAAATGACATGCAAAGATACATGATGAAGGGAGATCTAAATCATGAAAGCCATCAAGTTTTGGAGATGACGGAATTTGCTACTAATGTGTCAGATAAAAACAAGACCAAACCCCAAAATAGTTATGGCACAGAAGGCATTAAGAATTCACTCAAGAATAGCCTGGAGCAGCGTGTGACTGACAAAGCTCTAAACTGTTGACAGCACATAGCTTTATGAGAAATGAAAAAAACATATGTATCATTATAGTTATTTACCCTACAGTAAAGCCTGTTTGCTAGAGATTTAGGGAGCAAGTCTTCTAGTATTTGAGTGGCATCCTGGAAAATGTTAGGTTTGTAAACAAATGAAATTCAAACTAGAATCAGCAAACTAACATACATACCACTGAGCAAATAGCATTTTAATTATTACTTTTTTTATTTTTAACATACTTCCTTTGCCTAACAAATAGCATTTTAAAATCAGCATTGAACAAATACTCTCTTGTAATGCTTACTCCTCATTGAGCCTATGAGATATAAACATAATACTTAATAAATGAAGCTTATTGAATTATTATTTTATCCCGACTGTACCATCATCTCTGTCGTGGTTAGCATTCAATGGCAAATCATACTTACCAAGAAGCCCTAGAATAGTCACAGTCTATTGAATTAGAAGTGTGCTTGCTAAAATATAACTACGTGTGATAGGATGTATAGAGAATAGATAAAGCTAAATATAAAGTGATTGTATGGTATAGCTGCAATTATACAGAATACTTTGAGCAAAGTAGAAATCAAAAATGGACAGTTTCTATATATAAACAAATATATACATATTTATTTAAGATCCCCTCAATTATTCTAAGATATAGCTAAACTTTCAAATCATAAGCAGAATAAAATTTTGTTCTTGTTTGCCTTAAGTTTTGTCATTGTTAACTGAAAAAAAATACTGTATTGTATATTGGTATAGTTATTTCCTATACTTGGTTAGTTGATAGATGAAGCTTCTGAAATTCCAAATCTATCAAATGTCATTTTATTTTTTGTTTTATAAAGATAATCTAATCTGCCACAAATTTTTTTGAGTATTTAATGCAATTAGACTTAACATTTTGGTTTCAATGTGAGATCTCTTAATTAATTTCTGAGTGCATCTTAATTTCTTCTTCCAACTTGATTTACATTTTTTAATTTAGGATTTTTTTCATTGAAAATTTTGGACATTGTTTAAAATTTACTTTTTATATCTAGAATAAACATGCCATAGTTTTAAGTACATAACCTCTTATGAACTCCCAAAGTCCATTACAGGTATGCGAAACAAGAACACATTTATTTCCTTCTCATTTTCAGTACCTATAGAGATAATATTAGAAAACATGACATTTCTCAGGAAGATATGTATTTCTGAAACAAATGGGTATAATGTGTTCATTGGTGTATGCGCAGAATTAATTTGTGAAAAAGAAAACCTTGAAACAGAATAGTTAGGTTACTTTGTAATTTGCTTTAATATTCTTAGTTTGAAATTTTTAAGCCATCATTACATTTCACAGTTTCAACCAAGCTACAAACATTACCTAAATTTTCAGTGTTTAGTTTGCCTCTTTTTCACATCCTCTGTGTTTTCATGTCTAAATTATCTTATTTCCTAGACTCTCTTGAGCCTGAGGGATCCATTACAGTTTCAATGGGTATTGACTTTTGTGATTCTACTCAGACTGCCAGTTTCCAGTTGTGGTAAGTTCAATTGTTCTTCTATTTTTTATATAACCTGTAAAGGATAGCAGATCAAAAACTAAGCTTTCAACAGCTTTTGTGTGTGTGTGAAAGACAAAACATTTAAACAAATATGTTTTGCTTTGATAATGTTTAGACTGCCTTGGAATAGTTGTACAAATTGTGTGTAGTATATGTATTTTTAGCATTCGTTACACACCTAGCCATTACAACCTGCCATATGTGATTGAAATCCATGGTTTGTTGGTTAAAGAAAGAAGCTACTACTAAGTAATTTTTAACTTATCACTCCAGTTTTAGAAAATTTATGAGAAAATTCATGAGGAAAATCCAGGAGAAATTAAAAGCATTAATAATATTATTAAATAGCTCAGAGAAGATATCTTTTGAGATATACATACATGTTATCTTGAGATTCTTAAGTGGAATATTATTGATGCCATCAGTACCTAAAACTCACACATTTTTTTTTTCCTTTTTACATCCATTTACAAACTGCTTTGATAAAAGTCAAAAGAGAACATTTATGCAGTTGGCAAAGGTTTCATAGCTGAATGCTGTTCAGAAGAGCTTTTTTAGGATTGGATTTTGTTGTTAATGTTTTTCTATAATGCTTTATACATTTCTTGTGAAATTCAGAGGCTATTAGCAAATTAGAACAAAGCCGTATTCATGCATCATTGAGAATTATCTTTGAACTCTTTTCTTTTTCTGATATAAGGCCCAATTGGCTATTTTGAGTTGAAGTTTCTTTGTTTTTATTCTAAAAAGAATTGAGACATTTTACCTACATTTTAGCTAGCTTAGAACAGAATTTGTTATGATTTAAAAGTCTTGAAGTTTTAGAAATAGACATTTTAAAATAAATGTATAGATTAAACATAGTGAACTTTTCATTTTCATATACCTTTTCAGTTTACCAGTAATTCTGGCCTAATGTTATACCTTTTATTGCCGAGAACCTGCAATGATAAATATAAGCAATGTAGCATAACACATTGATTTTATGCAGATCATCACCTTTATGTTTTGGGAGGTCTGCTGTATTAGTGATATATAAAAACTGATTACTTTTCCCAACATTGCCTAGTAATTGTTTATTATTTTTCTATTAGACAAACAACACAGATCAATATTACTGAACAACAGGCTATGAGTAACATCACTCTAAATAGATTTGCCTCTGACACCAGAGGTATATTCATTTTAATGATTTGGACAATGTGAACCCAATGACAAAGCTCACGTACCAAGTTAGACCAAAATTAAGAACTAAAAAAGATTCCTTTTTCTTATCAATTTGTATAAAGAACCTTTTGATTCCTATGTAATTGGATTTTTTTCCCCAATTTTATTTACAAAGACTTCCTTTATAGTCTCTTGAACAGGATTTGCATTTTGTCTTTCATAATTAACTAAGTCTCTTTAAGGATGGATATATATGCAGGTAGTATTTGATTTTTATCTTATGCCAAGGAGTGTATGTGAATAATATTTTTTCTAAATTTCTTTCAAACTAACATTAGGAAAATAATTCATGTATTTCACATAGAAAATGTTCTTGACTATTAAAAGCATTTACATTAGTATGTTTTGTTATTATAAAGATACAAATTATTTATTTTAGATTTTGTTAAGCACAACAGCATGCTAGATCAAAAATTTTGTGTGTGTGTTCCAAAAAGAGCACTTTGTCTTGCATCAAATGTAATTGATCCTGAAGCAGTGTAATCACAATTACTCACTTTCTTGATTGGCCTGCCCAAAATCAGAAAATGGAAACCGATCGACAGTGTTTAAATCAATAGCTTCATAGTAATGCTTGTGGGGGTAGGGAGATAGTGGTAATGGGTAGATCAATTGGTCTTAGATGCCAATCACTGACTGTGCCTTTTGCATAGTAAATAGCACTTTTTGCTTAGTGATGTGCTGTATTAGTCTTGGTAGTTCAATAAAAAGAAAAAAAGAAACAAGAATGGCTGATATTGAATTTTTTCCTTGAAATACATTATACAAATCGATACATAAAATTATGGGTAATAACAGCATATTTGATAAGAAGCCTTCAGAAATGCTGGGAACATGGACCAAAAGCCTGTCAGATACTCTTTTATTAGTTAGAATAAAAAGAATAGAGTAAAATGATCCTACTTTAGCTTCTGGATTAATTCTATATCATTATAATTGTATCTATGGATAAATAGATATAGACAGAACTGTTAAATTAAGCCATGTAGTTATATGTATATCTGATAAGCATTTTTGCCTCTTTTTTGCTTGGATTTTAAATGGTCATCAAATTAAGTTCTTGATTAAATTTATTGAGATCAAATATGTGCGCAATATACATAAATATATCTGTCTAAAAGTTAGTGCAGTACATAAACAGATCCTCATCCCCCACAGGCATGCATGCATTAACCAGTGTGGGAAGTCACACAGCTTAGTGCTAGTTAGAGAACTGAGCACATGTTTTTGTCCAAAGATCCATTAAAAAGAAAATACATTCTTTAATAGTGAATGAACACTGAAAATATAAGAACAGATGCCATTAGCTGACCAGAAATTATGAGGCATTATTGACAGAAAACAAATAGGAGCAGATAAACAATAACAGAGAAAATAAAAATCACAGGGTAAAACACTCGTGGGGGAAAACTACCATAATGGTAAGAACCAATCTGGCAGAACATCAAGCACAGCATGAGTAGGGGTCTTAAGACAGTCATCAGGGAATTAACTGCTTCCAGCCCCTTAGTTCCCCAATCTTACCCCTGACAGCAGGCAACATACACATTTAATTTGAGACTTAAGAATAAAACTGTAAAGAGAATGAGCCACTTGCCTGGGAAAGACGTTTTGGTGTGGATGTGGGGACCTACAAGAACAGAGCAGGGTTTGAGTTTGTGTGAAGGAAGCAAGGATGGTCAGAGATGAGATGAAATATAGTTTTATCCAAGAGAGTATCCAAAATATTCTCAGATCCTCACCACCAGGGTAAAGCCAGTGTCACGTTTGCTGGTGGGGAGGAAAGGCCATTTCCTACCTGCCTGCCTCCAACTTCATGTCCACATAACCAGTTAGTATCTCGTCCACTTATAAAAAATAAAACTTTAGTCAGCCCACCCAGGGGAGAGGAGACCCATAGTAATGATAGTTGCTAACTCAGTAGGTGAATAATGGAATGGACACAGCTGAATACTGATCGAGTGTTCTGGAAGAAAGGGTCAAGGAAATCAACTAGAATACAAAGCAAAAAGGCAGAGACAGAAAATAAGGAAAGTTAGAAGGATCAGTTCATCTCATAGGAGCTCTGGCAGGAAAGAAAAGACAATGAAGGGAAGAAATAATTTAGAAAATAAATTATAGAGGAACATTTTCTGCTGGATGTGGTGGCTTACATCCATAACCCTAGCACGTTGGGAGGCCAAAGCGGGAGAATTGTTTGAGCCCAGGAGTTTCAAGACCAGCCTGGGTAACATAGCAAGACCTTGTCTCTACCAAAAATCAAAAAGGGTTAGCCAGGTATGGTGGCACACACTTGTCATCCTAGCCACTTGGGAGACTGAAGTGGGAGGATCACTGGAACCCAGGAGTTCAAGGCTCCAGTGAGCTATGATTGCACCACTACACTCCAGCCTAGGCGACAGAGTGTATCCCTGCCCGTAATGAGTGAATGAATGAACATGTGCCCCAACAAAAGAAACACGCAAGCCTTCAGATTAAGAGGGCCAAACAGGGTGAATATGAAAAACTATGAAAAAGATCACGTCCTGGTGAATTTTTGATAAGGAGAAGAATATCCTATTATCTTCCAAAGCAGAGAAAAAAGCAGTTTACCTAAAAATGGACAAGAATGAGAATGGAATCAAATTTCACATCAGTACTCTTATCAGTTCTGGAAGCCAGAAGGTAAAGGAAATGACCTTTAAAATTTTGAAGATACCAAATAGTCATTTTTCAGCGAAGGATTCAATCAGTTTACCACCTGCACATCTTTTCTGAAAGGATTACTCAAAGATATGCTGTAATAGAATATTTTCTTAAATCTGAGACAGAACCAGGCATGGTGATGCATGCCTGTAGTCCCAGCTACTCAGGAGGCTGAGGCGGGAGGATAGCTTGAGCCCAGGAATTAGAGGCTGCAGTGCGCGATGATTGCACCTGTGAATAGCCGCTGCTTTCCAGCCTGGGTAACATAGTGAGACCTTACCTCAAAAAAAAATCAGAGACAGAGAAAAACATAGAATTAATAAAACAGTAGTGAGCAAAGCATTCTACGAAATTTATCAACGTATAAAAATAATTGTTGACATAATGTGAAAAATAAATATTAACAATAAATTGGAACCAAAATCCCCACAGAGACAAGTGCAAGGAGGAGTGATGGTATACTAGGGTTCTTGTTATGTCTGAGAAGAGAATTGATCGATGGCAAAAATTAGTTTAAATATTGTTTAAATTATTAAAGATAACCACTAAAATAATAGAAATGTGATGTATTATAACTTCTAAACAGCTAAAGGTAGGAAGAAAGGGAGTAATTAAAACCTGATCAGAGCTGCGTGTGGTGGCTTATACCTGTTATCCCAGCTCTTTGGAAGGCCAAGGTGGGAGGATCCCTCGAGGCCAGGAGTTCAAGACCAGCCTGGCCAGCATAGCGAGAACTTGTCTCTATTCAAAAAAATAATAATAATTTAAAATAAATGTTTAAAACTTGGTCAGTTTAACCAAGAGGAAGAGGAAAAAGCATGGCAAATATAAAACAAAAAAAGGTGGCTGGAGAGGCCATGCACACCACACATACTAGTTTTCACAATTCACGTCAGAGATTAAATCCTACTTTTACTAAACAGGTAAAAAACAAAATTTAACATATGCTATTTATGAGAAACCTCCCTAAGAGAGAATGGCACAGAAAAGTTGAGATTAGATAGATGAAGTGTGTGTGTGTGAGCGTGTGTGTGTGTGTGTATGCATTTATCAGATAGATGTGCTAAAACTAGAAAAATTAAGAAGTATTTTAGGTAAAAAGTAATAATAAAATATTTTGTGTTCATTGTAATCCTCCAAGAAAATACAATTGTTACAAACCATTAAACCATGCACTTTTGTAATTTATAAAGCAGAAAACAATACAAATACTAGGAGAAATTGTCAAAGCCATAATCATAGTATATTTTAACATGCACATCAGAAATGGACAAATCAGAGAGTAAGGTTAAATAGGTATAGATACATACAGGTTTAATGATTTAATTAACAAGCTTGATCTAAGATATATATGTTTACATAGAATTCCTTGTTTCCTGTGTACAGAAAATACTCATTTTTTAAAAGAACATATAGGATGTACAAAAAAAAGGAAAACTATGGGATAATATGATTAAAGAAAAAAGACAACGAAGAAAGATTAGAGAGGAGAAAGATGACAAAGCACAGAGATCTTTTAAGTTACAAAATAATACCATACAGTTCTACACCAGTAAATTGGAGTAGTTAGATGAAATTATTTCCTAGAAAAATATAAATTAGGAATAAAAACGATTAAATTGTATCAGAACCTTAAAAAAGAGAATTTTTCTAGAACAAAAGAAACGGAAATCATGCCATGTCATTCTGTAAGTCTAACATCACCCTGATTTTAAAGCCCAAAAGGATAACCTATGAAGATGGACATCAGTTGTAGTTATAAATTCAAATGACTTCTGGCCCGTACAGGTTACCCATAGCCACATGAAATATCAGAAACAATCTCTTTTAAGTCAGAAAAGCAAAACAAGGATGTCTGCTCACCACACTATATTCCACATTATAATGGAAGTTCCAGCCAATACAGAAAGGCAAGTAAACGCCATTTGCAGTATAAATCCTGGAAAAGAAGAGACAAAATTATAATTTTTTTTTTTTTTTGAGATGGAGTCTCGCTCTGTTGCCCAGGCGCTCTCAGCTCACTGCAACCTCCGCCTCCTTGGTTCAAGCGATTCTCTTGCCTGCCTCAGCCTCCCGAGTAGCTGGGACTACAGGCACGCACCACCATGCCCGACTAATTGTAGTATTTTCAGTAGAGACAGGGTTTCACCATATTGGCCAGGCTAGTCTCAAACTCCTGACCTTGCGATCCGCCCACCTCAGCCTCCAAAGTGCTATAATCCCATTACAGGCGTGAGCCACAGCACCCAGCCAAAATTATAATTTTTATTCAATTTAATTATTTTCTTTTTTTTTGTTGTTTTGAGACAGAGTCTTACTCTGTCGCCAGGCTGGAGTGCAGTGGTGCGATCTTGGCTCACTGCAACCTCTGCCTCCCAGGTTCAAGCGACTGTCCTTCCTTAGCTTCCCAAGTAGCTTGGATTACAGGCACGCGCCACCAGGCCCAGCTAATTTTTGTATATTTAGTGGAGATGGGGTTTCACCATGTTGGCCAGGCTGGTCTTGAACTCCTGACCTCAGGTGATCTGCCCGCCTCGGCCTCCCAAAGTGCTGGGATTACAGGCCTGAGCCACTGTTCCTGGCCTATTCAACATAATTATTAACCCATAAAGTTGGAATCAACAGAAAATCTATTATTTAAACTAATGAGTTTAGAAAGGTGGTACAAATACTTATGTAGAGAGAAAAAAACCTGGAACTTTCCTAAAGGGCATAAAGGAAGATATAATTAAATATAAAGAAATATAAGCAAAATAAAAAATAAATATACTGTGTTTTTAAATGGGAGACAGTATTGCACCTCAAATTAATCTTCAAATTCAATGTGATTCTAGGCTAAATGCCAGTCGACTTTTTCAAGAAACTTGACAAACTTCTAACATTCAGCTGGAAAAAAAAATGCACAAGAAAAGTCAACATTTTTAGTGAAAAAAGTCTTTCTCTATAATAATTTAAAAATATTCCTTAAAGCCACAAGAATATTTTTATTCTGTGTAATTGATATTGACACAAGAACCAATGAAACCAGAGAATTTAGAAATGTAGAAATTTTGTATGTCATAAAGGTGACATTTCAAATCCGTGGGGAAAGAACAGACCATGCAGTAAATGGTGTGAGGACCATTATTTGGAAAAAATCAAGGTAGCTTCCTCCCACAAATTATACCAAAACAAGTTCCATGTGGATTTATTATTTAATTATAAAAAACTATAAAAGTATTTAAATATAGTATAGATAAATATTTTCATACTCTGAGGACAAAAGTCTTAAGCAAGACACAGTACTCAGAAAGATATAAAGGAAAATAACTAACAGGTTCTTCTATTAAAAATTTAAAACTTCTCTACAAGTAAAGAAAAAGTAGACACCATAAACAAGATAATGAGAAAGCAGTGCAGCTTATTTGGCAGAAAAAAGTTTAAAAACCAGAACGTGTAGCTCTCACAATCAATGAAAAGGGAATCCAGTAGAAAGGTAAGGAAAAGGCTAAGAATAGGCAATTTACAAGAAAATAAATGCAAGTGGCCAACTTGCATTTGAAAAAGATGTTCAACATCACTAATATTTAGGGAAATAAAAATTAAAACATTTTACCCATCAGATAGGCAAAGTTTTAGAATAACTTTTGTGTCTGGTATTGACCAGGAAGGTAGAGAAAAACATGTACTCTTGTATGCTGTTTGTGGGATCTTAAATTGGCAATATCTGTAAAATATTCATACTTTTCAATTCAGCAATTTCACTTATAGTGTATCAAGCCTAGAGAAGTATTTGTGCTTGTACGGAAATAGATCTAGCCAAGTATAAGCATTGTTTATAATGGAGAAAAATTGGAAATGATAATCTGTGGGGGAATAATGAAATAATGATATATCCCTATTACATATGTAGGTTTTGAGTACTTCCTGTGCATTATTTCATTTTATTTCCTTTAATAGTTAAAACTAGCCTGCAAGGTAAATGTCACTCATTCATAGATGAGAAACTTGAGTCTCAGAATAGGCTGCTTGCCCGTTTCTCTTACCTACAAACTTTACCAGTTTGGATCCTATAAAGGAATCCGTGAACTGAGGTTACATGTACTACAAGAATATATGCTACAGTTAAATGTGTACCAAGTAGAATCTTGCCTTACATTAAACTTTTATGCCATCTGGTCCTATGTAGCTCGGCTATTTAAAGCTACCCTAATAATAGTGCTTCATTGATCTGGTAACTGTTAATTCTGATAAATTTACATCTATCATCAGTCATTTTCACATTCCCTATCCAAGTTGAGGCAGTTATGTGTAGAAATGGAGATAATCTGTCTCTCCCCTGTTTAATCAAAGGGGTTGTGAAGAAAAAAGGAAAAGAAAAGCTACATGGAGAGAGAAATAAATCAAAAAGAAGGCAAAATGGTAGAAAAGGAGATGCTTATAAACTGGAGGACATCCTAGAACACTCATGTAAATGAAAGTAAATTTTCCCCCAAATAAAGAGGAAATGTTCCATCTTAGTTCTATTATAAGCCACGCCTTGCTTACAAGATGAAACTGGCTTACAAAGTGAGTTATGTACTGGTTATATTGGATTTTGTATTTGGTTGTGTGTAACAGAAACCCAACTGCAGTGGCATGACCAAATAAGGATTTATTATCCTCCTAGAACAAGAACTGCAGGGGTTGGCAGTTCAGAGCTGGTGCAGTAGCTTCCCACTGTCTTCAGGACAGTAAGGTCTTCCACCTTTTTGTTTCATGTGCTAATTTTGTTAGCAAATGCTGGTCAACTTCGTGATCACAAGATGGCTGCTCCACCTCCAGGCTTCCATCTGCATTCCAGACAGAAAAAAGGAAAGAAATGACATGGAGAAAGGGGCCAGGTTTATGTCAGAAAAGCAAAACTTTCTCAGAAATATCTACTGAAGTTCTGTTTATAATTCATTGGTCATAACTGGGTCACTTGATCACTCTTAGCTACAAGAGAGGCCGAAAAATATGTTTCAGTTGGGCTCTCTAACGCCTTGCTTGTTGCGAGGAGGGACATTTCAGGATCGCTTTCCCTACCCCCTGCAAGCAGCTAGACATTCATAGATGCCTTAGAAGGCAGATCTCCTGCCTCTTCTCTCTCTGAACACCCCACCCTTCTCCCTTGGCATCATTGCTGTCAAGCCACTTTTAATCGAGGAGTATGTGGTGTCCTTCAGGAGTGTTGGGAAGAAGAGTTTCTATTAAAAAGAATAAACAAGTAATTCAAAAGTGTTGTAAATAATGATGTAACTCAGTGGTTCCCTAACTTTTGAAATTGTTTACCTCTATTAGTAAAAATATTTTGAGTATGTACTCTGTAGAAGTTTATTTGTAATTATATATGTGTGTGTATATATATGTATGTGTCTGTATTTCTTACTGTGCTAACATGTATTTTTACTAAAACATACAAAAATAGAGGCCAGGCACAGTGGCTCATGCCTATAATCCCACAACTTTGGGAGGCCAAGGCAGGAGGATCACTTGAGGCCAGGAGTTCAAGATCAGCCTGGGCAACATAGTAAGACTCTGTCTTTACAAAAAAAAAAAAAAAAAGGCCAGGCGCAGTGACTCACACCTGTAATCCCAGCACTTTAGGAGGCCAAGGCGGGTAGATAACTTGAGGTCAGGAGTTCGAGACTAGCCTGGCCAACATGGTGAAACCTCGTCTCTACTAAAATACAAAAATTAGCCCGGCATGTGGCATGCACCTGTAATCCCGGCTACTAGGGAGGCTGAGGCAGGAGAATTGCTTGAACCCAAGAGGTGGAGGTTGCAGTGAGCCGAGATTGCACCACTGCACTCCAGCCTGGGCGACAGAGTGAGACTCTGTCTCAAAAAAAAAAAAAAAAAAAAATTAAATTAGCTAGGCATGGTGGCATGTGCCTGTAGTCCCAGCTATTTGGGAGGCTGAGATAGGAGCATCACTTGAGCCCAGGAGGTCGAGGCTGCAATGAGCTGTCATCACACCACTGCACTCCAGCCTGGGTGACAGAGCTGAGACCCTGTCTCCCAGAAAAACAGAACCTTAAAAGGAATGAGAAAAAATAAATATAATTAATAGGGTTTTTGCCTATACCTCAGTTGATTGTCTTGTGCCTCTGACTTTGGAGAACTTTGTATACAGTGACTTGAAGCTGAAATTTTAAATTTCATACTGAGTTCATTTGTAATTTATATATATGTATTCCATGTATGTATACATACATCTTCTTCTAGTCCTTCACCAGTGTTTACATGTTTCTCTTAATGTGACTGTGTCTTCCCCTCCATCAGGTTTGGTCTCATTCTTCGAGTAGCCTACCCTCAATCCTTTCTCTCTTAAGCACTCCTTTTCGGCTGTTTCCAAAGAAGTATCCTACTCCTTTCTAGAGCTAACCCGCTCACCTCATTCTTGTGCTCTTCATCCCAACCTCTTTTACCTCTCCTAAGACCTTGCTCTACCAGTTATTTCTTTGTTTCTTCTTCTTTACTGGCTCTTTCCCCTCAGCCTCTAAGCATGCTCAGGTTTCTTTAGGTGTTATTCCTTTGCTTCTTCATTCTCAGGAAGCTTCTGCTTTCTGTTCCTTCTTCCATTGCCAATCTTCCCTTCACCCTTCAACTCACTGCATTGTGTAGTCTTCCTGCAATCTGAACAGCCTTGCTAAGATTAACAGTTATACTTCTTTTTATCCCTTATCTTATTCTGCCTCCCTGCAGTATTTGGCACACGCCTTTTTTCCTGACCACTCTTCCTCCAGTCTCTTCTGCAAGTTGCTTTTCTTCTGTTTTTACTTAAATACAGGTCTTCACCAGATTTGCGCTTTATCCTTTTTGTGGTATCCTCTTTTCCTATATGATTTTTATCTACTCATAAGGCTTCAGCTCTTCCCTACACCATTTACACCATTCTTACTGCTTCCAGACTCCTACATACTGCCCTGTCCTCTCTCCTGATTCCCTTTCTTTTTTCTTTTCTTTTCTTTTCTTTTCTTTTCTTGATGGGGTCTCACTCTATCACCTAGGCTGGAGTGCAGTAGCGTGATCATAGTTCACTAT
This sequence comes from Homo sapiens, assembly GCF_000001405.40. Lineage (NCBI taxonomy): Eukaryota > Metazoa > Chordata > Mammalia > Primates > Hominidae > Homo > Homo sapiens. The sequence continues at coordinate 78,023,380 of NC_000005.10, read as the reverse complement.
AGTCTCAAACTCCTGGGCTTAAGCAATCCTCCCAGCTCACGCTCCCAAGTAGCTAGGACTATAAGCACCTGTCACTATGCCCAGCTAGTCTCTCTCCAGATTCTTGATTTGTATTTCCAATTATCTGCTGAATATCTCTTCCTGGGTAACTCAGTACTCAAAATATAATGTGGCTAAAGCCAAATCTTTTTCTTTAAGTCCCTAAACTCCTTCAGCACACTGTCATTCACCCAGTTGTTCACATTAGAAGGTGTGAAGTTTCTTCCCTCCATTCATCACCAGGTGTGTCCCTTCTGTTCTAGAATATCCATAAAATATTCCATCTTCCCCTTGCCCAGTGCTACCCACCCTGGGGAAGCTGTATATTATAGTGGAATAAATGTGGACTTTGAAGTTAGATACACCTGGGTTCAAATCCCAGTGCTGTCAGTTACTAGCTGTGTGACCTTGGGCATATTGTTCAACTTCTTTTCAGTTTTCTCATCAGTAAATTTGAAATAACAGAAGCTGTCTCTTAAGATCCTTTTTAGGCTTTATTTAAGTAAAAAACACACAGTAAATCCTTAAAAAAAATCAAAATCCTGCCTAGACTATTAATTTAGACTCCTAACTGATGTATCTGCCTTTGATTTCTCCCTTACTCCACCTTACATACTGCCACTGGAGTTTCTAAAACATAAATGGGACCATTTACCTTCCTATGCCAAAAATCTCTAGTAGTTTCCCATTGCTTCAAGAAACACTGAAACACCTTTGTCTTAGTTATATAAGTAAAGTAACCATATGCTTTATCACACATATCAGGACACTTTAGAGAGTGAAAGGAGGCACCAGCTGGACAGGATTCCACAACAACAGCCATAAACTGGGACTATTCCTGGGAGGACTGGGATGAATGGTCATACTATATATGATACTCTGCAATGTTCCCCCAACCTCTTCTGTTGACATATTAGGCTGCTCATCATTCCCAAAGTACAGGCCTAGAATGCCCTCTTTCTCCTCTTGGAAGTAAACTTAGCCTTCATTCCTGCAGAATGCTTTCCACATACCTAAGGTAGTGCCTGCCATTCCATTATAAGTGTAATTTCTTTCCCTCCCGCTAGACTTGTGAGCTTCAAGGGCCAATCTCACTTGGCTTTAAATCCCCAGATATTCACACACTACATAGGATCAAGGTTGTATTCAGTGTTTATTGAATTGATAAATAAATTGGATTTATTGGTTTGCCTTCAACAATCCACATATGGAAAAAATATAAGGCCACTTACAAGAATACAATACATAATAGCATAAAATAAAAGTCGATTTTATGTTCTTTTTTTATATTATGTCATTTGTCTGTACCCACACATGAATAAATTCAAGTGTTTCTTAACCTAATGTTTAGTATTTCTTATCCACAATCCCTGTTTCTCTAGCTACCATCTCACAGGCTGTGGGATCCAGTTCTAACATGAAGGTAGAAGTCCCTCTATGGGACTTCCTGAAAGCTTTTGCTTTTGTAATAAAAAGGAACAGATTTGGTTGACATAGTTACTCAACACTCTCTCATCACCACCCTTCCTTCAATGGAATGTAAACTAGGTACCTGGAGATACAGCAGCCATGTGGCAACCATGAGGATGAAAGCCAACATAGTAAGGATGGCAGAGGGAAAGCTAGAGGAATCTGGGCCTCTAAAGGGTTTTTTAAGCCACTGAATGAGCCTGTGACTGGTAACTCTAAGACTTCTTGTATTATAAACGATCAATGCCTTTTTCTCAAAAAACTGTTAGTCGGATTTTCTGCTTATTTGCCATCAAACACACTACTATCATTTAGGATACACTCATCAACCTACCCCTAAACATCTAACTTTAAAAAATTTTTTAGACAATTTTAGTATTTTTTATTGATCATAATATCATGAGACTTAGGTAAATGCACTTATTGTTTTTCTATCTGATATTAGAACAAACAAGGTTGGCTTTCTTAAATTCTTCATATCCTGTCATTTGAAATAATAACTTTTACCATGTTGGTCAATAATGTCAATGAATAGCACTGCTAGCAAATAAGGGCTTTTTTTTTATTTTAGGAAAGCAAGTTTGCAGATGAGATATTACTTTATTAGCACCTATCTAAACACAATATGGTCACTCTATTTTCTTCTTCATTTAAAACTAATATTTTTAAAAAGATATCTTAACTGTTTCAGACTAAAGCATTTCATCTTCTATACTTTAAGATGTATGCAAACTAGAGATAAAATATTACTTCTCTATAAGCTGCATGAAGTGTTTCTCTTGGTGGTAGTGGTTATATACAATTACTGCAATTTTTTAAAGTTCTTTTTCAAATGGGATAATTTACTATACCTGTGTAGTTTTGTTTTTTAAAAAATCTTGATTGAGATAACAGATGTATTTTTCTGCAAGTAATGTTGTTTGTTTGGGAAAATGTTTAAACCTTTTTAGCTGTGATGTTTAAACCAAAAAGGTCTTATACTGTATATGCTAGCATAGGCTTTCATTGCATTGATTTAACTACTTAGTATTAAGAATGTTTATTTATGAAGCATTTAGTCAGCTTTGATTGTTTTTCTTCAGTACCAAGGATGATTGCTTCAATGTTAATATTCAGCCACCTGTTGGAGAACTGCTTTTACCTGTGGCCATGTCAGAGAAAGATTTTAAGAAAGAGCAAGGTGAGAGATGTCTACAACTTACTAGAAATTTACATACCAAATAATATGTGCTTATTCCTGTACAGTCTCTAAAATAAATTTTCATAGGTACATAGCCATTAACAGATATTAGTGCACAATCTTCCAATTTTTGTTAATGCTTTGCACTTACAACCTTAAAAACAGATGTTTGTCTATATTCCTGGCATACTTGAAAATTGATTAATATGTCTTTAAATGATACATTAATTCTTAATCACCTTTTCAATGCTGAGAGTTGTTGCTTGTCAACCTGATGATATACTAATGGGTTTTGTATTATTCAAAGTGCCAGGAATTGGGGACTTTACCGATGTCCTACCACTATAATTGTTATGTTTCTGTATTTTTTCACTATAGAACTGTTTTTTTATGTCTTACTAATGTATTTGTCCCTGCACACATTAAACTACCTTATCCTTCAAAATAAACTCCTAATTATGGCATTAAAATACTTCTAGTTTCTTTTGACCTAATTCTATATTAAAGAAATGCTGTGTTGTCAGAACCTATTAGAACTGAAACATTTTTAAAATAAGTACTTAAAAAGAAAATATTTTCAGCAAAATGCAAGTATTAATATCTGTAGTTGGCCCAGAGTCAAACATACCTTCTAATAAAAACGAGGTGGTTTTTTTTCGTATGTGAATAAGGGGAGATAACTGTCTGATTTTATGTGTTTAATTAACGATAACATTTATAAAATTAAGGCATATTTAAATGCTATAGTCAGCAGTTTTTACAACTTTATGTGAATCTAAGCCATTTTTTCCTGTGGAGGGTGTTATCAAAGATCCCTTCATTTTGAGGTAGTAAATCATACCCATCAAACTTCCAGAACGTACTAGGCACACACAAATACCTACACCTAAGAAGAGGGGCACGCTTCCTGGCACTCTGCTATTGTGCTGAAGATACTGTTTTTACTCTAAGCCTTTGCAATTCACAATGTCAAAAAGAAAATCTCATACAAGTCCATAAATTAATAGTAATATTTTTGCTGGGCATTATTTAAGCAATAAAAAAGAACGATGAAATCTTTCTTTGGATTTGCATTTCTTGGAAAGTTGATTATTGCTATAGAGGAAAATTATCTTTGTGATTTTATTTTTCTATTGACAAATTGAATTGATTCTTATATTTGCTATTCTTACCCTTTGCTGGCTAAAGCCTGCCTCTCTGCTTTACATCTGCTCAGCAAACCAAGGTGAGTGGCACACGGTGACTGAATAAGGCTTTGGCACATTTATTGTTAAGGGGATATTCTTTTTTTGAAAAGTGCAGCTAAAGTATATCTGAAGCAGCAGATTATTATATACCCTTTCACTCCCTCAGCTTTTGGTTAGAATACTTAATATTTCGATCAAATTTTTTGTGCTCTGCTGTGACTGAGGGATTTTTCGCTGACTAGCCATACAGAACCTTAAGTGCATGAGAGAGGTGCACTTGGAGAATAGCTGTGGTCCTCTGTGGAGTTGTTGCCAAAATTCCTTTTTCTTCTGCCATTTTACTTCTATGGTTGTTGATTATTTGTCTGAATAAATCTGGCAGCTGTTTGCTATGTTTAATAGAGCAGAAAGGCTACTCTGAATAAAGCTATTTGAAAATTTGTTTATATGAAGTATTTGTAAATCCTTGCAAGTCTCTTGGCATTTCTGTATCATTCTTTCTGTCTTCCTGAATTCATTCTTTGATGTGGAACTTGATGCTGGCAAATTTAGCACAGGTTTAAAGAGTCTTTTCAATAGCATCTTTTTAGTTATAGATTTCAGCAGGTTTGGTAATAGAGGTCTCAATCCTCAACTTTACACATGTATTTGTTATACTACTCTAGTAAGAGCTTAGCTTATTTCCACAAAAGATACCTAGAAATCTCTCACTAACGGAAAAGCCTAAATCAGAATAAAAATCCGTTTCCTCAGATTTTATCAATGCAAAATTCTGGAAGGTAAAATGCAAGTAAATTTAAGGGGTGTGTGTGTGTGTGTGTGTGTGTGTGTGTTACACCAGCTTTAACCGATTTTTCTACCTTGAATAAAGTGGATTTACATAATTAATATCTTATTTCATATGACACATTTTAAAACTCAAGAAGTATGTTAAATGTGTTAATTAAATTTAACTGAAAAAATTATAAATAAGGAACATGGGGAATATGGTTCTATTTTCATTCTAAAGATATACGTAACTGAAAAGTGTACAGTATTAAATAAAAGTGGTTCTAACAGAGTATTACATTTTAGATTAATATTTTTTAAAACAAAAGTTTTATTTCTAATATGCAACATGATCTATCACTTTTTCTCAGTTGTGTTTAGGGTTTCATGGCTAAACTTTTTTATATATATATAATAAGATTGGTAGTCAAAGTGGTAAATGAAAGATTAGATTATTCTACGTATTGACGGTTATGTATATAAGCCTCCATCAGAAGCATGATTTATTCATTGCTATGAGTTTCAAGCATTGCAGAATTAGTTAATGATCTAGCTGTGAGATGCTTTCAATAAGAAAATAACATGGGATCTATTTTTTACTTAAAAATATTTAATTTGGTTTCTTCACGCAGTTTTAATTTCAAGAGTACGTGTTCCGAGATAACTCCTCTTATTCATTTTCTTCTTGTGAATTAAATTGCAAATGTAAAACTTAGAATTTTTTTTGAATTTTTATTCATTTTCTTCTTGTGAATTAAATTACAAATCTAAAACTTAGAAATTTTTCTGAATTTTTTTATGTTATTTGGTTTGCCTTTTAGTAGTTAATTACAGCTGATTAGCCTAAAGTAAGTGCTATCTACTGCCTTCACCAAAATTTAGATAGATTCTAATAAAGCCACAAATTATTTAGCCTACAGTTTTTAAATATTTTCCCAGTGATTTTACCTTTATTATATATGAACAGGCTCTACAGTGTTTTAAAGTATTATTTTTTAGGAGGAACTTTTAATGAAACCTTTGCCTATTTTTCTTTCCTGTTAATTTGAGAATACCTGATATAGTTTCATTTAGAAAAATCTCTGGTTTAAGAAACCTAAAATGTTTACTTAATTTTATTATGATTTATGCATCTATCTTATGAGTTCCTAGCTAGCAAGATGCTAATTCTTTAAATGGTCAGACATTTACTATTTTCTGGCCCTTAACTACCATAAGCAATCATATTTGATGCCCCTTAATTAGAGCACCTTTTTTTCTTTCCAGGTTCTTTTTCCACCTCAGCAATCGAGACAATACATTTGCTTACCATGCTGCTCTCCTAAGTGTTCTTTTGCATGTAAATTAATCTTGATTCAGTTTACACTGTCATGCTGAGTGGTACAAATTGCCTATAACAATAAAACAGCATGAGTTAAAAATAAAGGGGGGTGGGAAGGCAGATTGAATGTGTGCCTTGATAGGATGTTACTTTGCTTTATGCCAATACATTAGCTGACGATAATGAATCTTCTGTTCTGAAAAGCATGGTTTAGTTGATTTTTTTAATTTTACTTCAATGGAGCAGTACCTTGTCTTTTATAGAACAAGTTAGACAAACCATTAATGACAAGAGTGTTAAGGTTAAATATGAAGCAATGCATTCACTTCTCTGAGTGCTATCCATCTTTCCATTTACAGGAGCTTGACAAAAGTACTGGCTTTGTACAACATTTCCTTTAATTACATGCTGCGGGAAACAGGCTTTTAACATAAACATAGTTGCATTCATTTATTCAGCAGTTGCTCTTCAATAGAGCTTAATGGAGAAGGTTTAAATCCTAAATGAGTACACACATCTCTCAGCAGTGTTATGTCAGCCACTGTGCTTTACTTAAAAGCAGTGTTTGACTGTTTGTATAGTTTTTAAAGCTTTTGCCTAATATTGAAGTTAAACGGTCTAAGACAGAACATAGTGTTCCCAGAGTTTGAAAGTGGTTAGTGAAAAATGCTTGTTGTTAGAAGCTAGATAGTTCTATTTTCTAACTGACGGCAAAAGTCTTTTCACAATGTTAGGCTTTAGTGTTTTCATACTGTTAATCGTAGGGATTCTTTTAAATTTTAGTTTTCATTTGCAATAAATAACTAAATTAAATATATATGCCAGACGGTGCAGAGTCTTTTGAAAACATGAAATCAGATTTTTACTATTTTCATCAATTTTGTAAACTACTGTGCACATATCAAATATCTCAAAGAGTTATTGGTTCTAATAGATAACCATTAGATGTCTATGACTTATATCACCGATCCAAATAGATGGCATTTGTTGTAATTAATTTGTTTTTTAACCCGGGCACTAAATTTCAGTATTTGTTCCAAGTGTTTGGTATGTTGTTGAATTTGTTCACTGAACATTTTTACAGGAGGTCTGGATATTAATGGCATGTCTTGCATTAACTCTGTATGGTTTTTTTCATGCTTTTGCTTAACTTAATTTCTCTCCTAAATATTATTTGAAATGTCCCTGGGATTTAAGAGTTTTCATTCTCATTTTTTCTTTCATTTTCAAAGTTTTTGCTTCAGGAGTTTCAATTAGTGTTTTTGTCAGCAAAACACTTTCCATTCACTAGACAAGTACTTTTAGCTCTAAGTATAGCCTAAATACTTGTGCATTTTCAGTGACTTCCAGTCACTGTTGAGATAACTTCGATCTGTCATACTGAGGCCATTTACCAGGTATTGCTGCTAGTTATCCTGGAATTACTTTGATGTGTTCTCAAGCAGCATTTGGCAATGAGAGATCTTTGAATGAATAGAAAAAAATAGCAATAGTAACAAATACATTTATATATTATTAAGAAGTAAAAGCTTACTAGTTTACATAAACCCCAGATTGAGTATACTTTAAAGAGACTGAAATTGATATTTCATATGTGTGATTCTAAGTTTTTATCCTATCATACTTAAAATTAGATTTAAGTGATTTTTTACTGAATTTTTACACATTTTCCTATACAATGAGGATTTTAAAAAACTTCGAAACAATTGCATTTTGTTTTAGTTTTATAATTATCTTGTAAATTACATCCTAAAGTAGTGTTTCTTTTGTTGAAAAAAAGTTAAAATTTTGGCCATGAGCTTAAAATTCTGTAAATGTAATTTTCAAAAAGAAATTAATAAAAGGGAGCCTTCTTTTGCTTTTACAGGAGTGCTAACAGGAATGAATGAAACTTCTGCTGTAATCATTGCTGCACCACAGAATTTCACTCCCTCTGTGATCTTTCAGAAGGTTGTAAATGTAGCCAATGTAGGTGCAGTCCCTTCTGGCCAGGATAATATACACAGGTAGGTTCACTAACACACGATGTGGAGGTGAAGATGACTTGAATATGTATAAATATATAATTTTAAATTCATTGTTTTCTTTGGAAATAATAACCCCTAAACATATATATATATACACACACTCCCTTTTTTTTCTGATGGTATAGTTGTTGATTGCTTTGCATTAAGGCTGTCTTTCCCATCTCAGAGCATCCTTATCATACTGGCATGGTCTTTCCTGAAAGATATACAGAGCATATTCACATTTTATAATAGCTTGGTAATTTATAAAGTTACCCTTTTTGAGGTGGTTGAGAGTTTATCTTATTTCACCAGATTCAGTAGATGTCCAGGAAGAACTATTCTATAAAGCAGTATAGTTGGACTTTTTTAATTGAAAGGGAGGACGTTTGGGTACTACATACAGATTTCCTTTTGATAGCCATCCCCTGAGACTGCTTCCAGTAAATAAAGAGCTGCTAGATGACCAACATGGGGGTAAATACAGCTTCTGTTTCTTAGACCAGTAATATTTTCTATCACCAAGCATCTGAAATATGAGATCCAAGTTATTTGTCCTGAAAGGCAGCAGAAAATGTGATTAATGTTTGCCCTCTTGTATTTTTATGAATTCCAGTGGCTTTAAATGAATGTAAAGATAAAAATAATTATCTCTTATCCATTTGGTGATTGCACAGTCCTCTGTGAGCTTAAGGGAATTCGTTGCAAACCATCTCATGGCAGGCATACTTCTGCCATTAAAAATATCTACACACTGTATATTTAGTGTGCCCTTTCTTATATAATTATCAATCATAGAAAACAAATTTAGCATCAAAGGGAAGGCCTGCAGACCTTAAAAAACATTTTTTTAAGTTAACACAGGAGCAAGAGAGGCCCCATATGAAAAATGCTACAGGTGATTTGGGTTTTAGATCTAACTCTGCCACTAATGGGCTTGGTAATCTTGGGGAAGTTATAACTTCTTATGTGCTTTACATTCCTTATGTGTTTGGAAATGGGTGGCAGGAAGAAAAAGTGAGGTAGGATTGAAATGAAATTCTGTGATAGCTATGAAAGAACATTAGATTTGACTTCAGAAGAGCTGACCTGCCATTACTGTATCCGTAGTTGCCTAACTTCACTGTACTAATCACGGCGGAATAAAAACTGCATGTACTAGTTGAAAAATAGATTTACCTTGTACTGTTTTTTTTTTTTTTAAGTTGCTCAAGAGGTCTCATGCTTTCATTTCTTTTTTGTTGTTGTTGAGACAGTCTTACTCTGTCACCCAGGCTGGAGCGCAGTGGCGCGATCTCGGCTCACTGCAAGCTCCGCCTCCCGGGTTCACGCCATTCTCCTGCCTCAGCCTCCCGAGTGGCTGGGACTACAGGCACCCGGCACCACGCCCGGCTAATTTTTTGTATTTTTAGTAGAGACGGGGTTTCACTGTGTTAGCCAGGATGGTCTCGATCTCCTGACCTCATGATCCACCCGTCTCGGCCTCCCAAAGTGCTGGGATTACAGGCATGAGCCACCGCGCCCGGTGTCTTTCATTTCTTAGTTTTTGACAAGCTCTATCTATCTCACATAGGATGGTGATAAAATAAGAAAATGGATGTAAGGTCATGATACAGACCACCACAAAAATACAACTTATTTATCAGTTAATGTTGTTCAATAGGGAAAAGAGTAACAAAAGCCTTTTCAGTGAAAATAAATATTTTGAGTTTTCCTGTTTTAATTTTATTCTGCTTTAAATACTTCTTTTCACTTTCCTAGGTAATTTTCTCTAACAGAAACTGTTTTGTTTTATTTATGGGTCCTTGGAATTATTGAATTTACTAAAACACCAAAATGCTGTATTATCAAGTATAACTTCTTCAGTATGAAATTTTACCTGAAACACCTAGTATCCAGCAATACTGCAGTCTTGTTTTAATATAGAGTAGCCACTGTTTATGCTGGAACATCTAGTTTAGTTTTGTTTTGTGTATAGGTTGTTTTGGGTTTCTTTTTTTTGTTAACTTTTCTGAAAGCAATGGCAGCTGTCTAGATTTTTGTTTCTTAGAAGAAAAAATGTCAAGGCTGGGCAAGGTGGCTTACATCTGTCATCCCAGTACTTTGGGAGGCTAAAGTGGGTAGATCTCTTGAGCCCAGGAGTTCAAGACCAGACTGGGCAACATAGGGAGACCCTGTCTCTACAAAAAATATAAAATTAAATCCGGCATGGTGGCACATGCCTGTAGTCCCAGTTACTTGGGAAGCTGAGGTAGGAGGATCGCCTGAGCCCATGGAGGTCAAGGCTGTAGTGAGCTGTGATCACACCATTGCACTCCAGCCTGGGTGACAGAGTGAGACCCTGTCTCAAAAAAAGAGAAAAGAAAGAAGAAAAGTGAAGTTACAAAGCCACATAAAATGAAAGCTATCTTCCTATTGGGAGATAGACTTAGAGGGACCCTTAGCACAGTTGTATAATTCTTATTAAAGATAGTTTGCCAGTAACTTGTCTTGCTGGTTTGGAATGTAATACCTGTAATACCTGCTCAAATGATTTAAATTAAAATTACAATCAATTCTCAATTGTCCATGCTAATACAGAGGAGACACACAACTAAGAACCATTTATATTTGACTTTGGAGTGCAGAGATTGAACCCAAAACTTAATGTTCGTGGTCCTCATACTCATCCACAGTGTCTTGAGGCTTTTCTGTTCTAGCCGTATCATCAGTGGCCTGGTGTTTGGCTCTGTAACCTGGGGGAGGGCCCAAGTTACTACAGGGTCAAAAGTCAATAAAATACCTGTAGATACTTAAGAATAGCCTGTGCTGTCTTAACTTGCTTCTCAAGTCCCATCATACTGAATTGAAAAATATTTCATATTTGCTTTTATAGCTAAAGTATGACTGTAATAATGTTCTAAATTTTAGAAAGCTTCCAGGTAACAAACACCTAAAGTTATTTTTATTTTTTATACAGATATTGACATAAATTATTATCCTGTGTATGTAACACTTTTTCTCATTCTTTTTGCTAATAGCAATTAAAACAAAAATAAACAATTGTTAATAAAACGTACTTTTGTACTTTTTTTTTGCTTTTCTTAATTTCATTTAAAATGAAATAGGAATTAGTGTTTACATTATAATAATATAAATTAACTGTTTACCACTTTATTGAAATAAATGTTTTTAACTATAGTGTTCCATATTATATTACCCTACTCCATGGAATTAATACATTTCTATATCTAAGTTTATATATTATTTAATTGCTAATGATAAAATTGAAATCCCTATGAGATTTTGAATGATTCCCTTATTCTTTTGTGATAGTTACGTTTTTGAGTTTATAAAGAGTAGGACCAAAGCCACTCTAATATTTATTAATGGTAATCAGTTTGGGATTATTTTTAAAAACACCAAGTATGAAAAGCATTTTTACTACTAGTATTTTAAGAGATTAAAATTTTCAATATGATAAGTTACTCTTGGCTGGCTTATGTTCTATTTAATTTTTCAGGATCTTTTCTTTCTGAGAGGACTTTTAATAAGAATTAGTGTATTCGTTCTAACCCTTTAATGAATAGAGTTTCCATTGCCTAATTTTGGAATACTTTATTTCTACTACTCTTCAAATTTTATACATTTTTACATTAAATGCCAGGTAAAGAAATACTTAGTGTAAGAATTATCTAAGGAAAAGTGAACCTTTATTAATGTGGAGTAGTATGTAATGGTATAAAGTACAGATTTTAATTGAACACTTAATAGAAAATGATTCCTAACACAGCAACAGAAAATGGCCCTCATTAAGAAAAGCCAATTAAAGGCGCACAGGTTTTATGAAATACACTTCAAAAACCAGAGACATTTTTTATTTCGTTAACACTTTTAAAGATCAATTGAGAAAGCAGCTCTACTGTTAGATTATATGATTTTTAGTTGTAATTTTCTAAATGAGTGATAGGATCAGAGCCAAACAGTATACTATTGAGAGACTCAACTTTATCTTCATTTCTGTCGTACTTACTTGAAAAACCTGCTCTTGGAGAACAAAATCATCTTATTGAGATATACAGAGTGGCCGGGCATGGTGGCTCATGCCCGTAATCCCAGCACTTTGGGAGGCCAAGGCAGGCAGATCACTTGAGGTCAGGAGTTCAAGACCAGCCTGGCCAACATGGTGAAACCCCGTCTCTACTAAATATACAAAAAAAAGTAGCCAGGCTTGGTGGCAGGCGCCTGTAATCCCAGCTACTTGGGAGGCTGAGACAGGAGAATTGCTTGAACCCAGGAGGGAGAGGTTGCAGTGAGCCAAGATGGTCCACTGCACTCCATCCTGGGCAACAGAGGGAGACTCCATCTCAAAAAAAAAAAAAAAAAAAAGAGAGATACAGAATTATGGTCATTGCGTCAATCTGCTGTTTTCCAAATTACAGTTAACGCATGATAAGGAGTATTACAAAAATGAGAAGTTCCATCATCATCAAAAAGCATTTATTAAATATGTAGCTGAATATCTTCACTTCCTGTGTAAGATATTCAAATTTATTTTAATGAGATATACATTGTGAAGGTCTTAATGCATATTACTTAAGACAATACTAGTAAACTAATACATAAATAAAGTGTATCCCAAGGGCAAAATGGACAGCATTAAACCAGTATATGAATGGACTGCAAAGGTGAAAGGGCAAGACCTCATGTGTTCGAAGGTAGGAGATTAGAGGCGTTAGCTGTGGGGATCCCAGTTTCATTCAGGGCCAGGAAAACTTTCATGTGATTCTCTGTGAAATATCCAGGAAGGGTTTAGGAAGGAGGTTTGTGTTCAATGTCGTGGAAACTGAGGTGCCTTGCTTTTGTTACATTGCATGTCCTCTGATAACAGCACTTATGAGTAAGTGCAGTGGCCAAAAAGCAGAAAACAAAAAACATGTAGCTCCGAAATCGCTAAGGTTTTTCTGTACAAAAAAATCATGTGTGAGTTTGTGTAAAACTCAGATTTCTGGAACCCACCCCAAAAACTCAGCTTCAGTAAATCTGAGAAAGAGCCCAGGAATCTCTATTTTAGGCAGCACTCCAAGTGGTTGGAAGGCAAATGTTCCGAAGTCCACAGTTTGAGGCTGCCTGGAATTATCAAGCTGTAATGCCACATGACACATTTCAAAATATTTTTTCCTATGTTTATATGTTTTATTTTTTACTGATTAGTCAGTAAGGGATGCCAGTAGATGAGATGTTTGGTTTAATTTTTCTTACACATATCCCAGAGTGCTCCAGCAAGACAGTGTATTGTCCATTACGGGAGTACATTAGAGCAGTGTCTATAAAACAGTCTTAGACCATAACTGTGTATGTCTTTCAGCAGTCTCAGCCATCTCACATTTTCACCCATAGTCAGAAATCCTGACATTTGTATACAATAATATTGTTGAAAAAGTTGTCACACTTACCTACTCATTTTGCCTTTTCATGAACCGCAAATTAACCCTCTGAGGAGAAAAGGTGATATTTGATTGAAGACAGAACATCCTGTCTCTGCCATGATTCTATTTTAGTTCTTAGCTTATTCAGTAAGATTCTGGAGCAACTTTCATTATTAACTTGTATTCACTACTGATATTCCTTCCCCTCTCCCCCTCCCCCACCCCCCCGTATATCTTAATTAGTAATTTGGATTTTGTTTATCCTGTCACTTTTTAAATTTGCAAGCTTTTACCATATGCAACTTGTGGATAATTACAATCCTAGTCGAATAAATGTTGGTTTACTGTTGTCACTAGGTCCTTAACTATTAGGAAAGTCTGGTGCTGTGAGTGAAACAGTGTATCCATTGGCAACCAAGTAGTCAACTTTTTAATTTATCAACACACATAAAGACAGTTTATTTCAGGTTTAAAATAAAAGTCTTATTATTTAATTCAAGTACAGGTAAAGAACAACTTGTTTCATTTCTTTTTTTTTTTCTTTTAAGACAGGGTCTCACTCTGTTGCCCAGGCTAGAGTGCAGTGGCACAGTTGTAGCTCACTGCAACCTTGAACTGGGCCCAGGCAATCGTCTTGTCTCAGCCTCCTGAGTAGCTAGGACTACAAGTGCATGCCACCATGCCCAGCTAATTTTTTTTTTTTTTTTTTTGTAGAGACAGGGTGTCCCTATGTTGCCCAGGCTGGTCTTGAACTCCTGGGCTCAAGCAGTCCTCCCACTTTGGTTTCCCAAAGTGTTGGGATTACAAGCATGCGCCACTGTGCCTGGCCAACTTGTTCCATATCTAGGCCTTAAACTCACCCAGTTAATCACTGTTATTGCATACCTGTTTGAAGGTTGTTAATAGGGGAAATACTGGTACACATTATTTTTGGTATCCTAAAAAGATCTATAATGTGTAGCTCCTTCACTTAGTATTTTTTTGGAGACCTTTGTGACAGATTTTGCTGGTGCTAGGGTTGCAAACACAAATGGCAAAGACACTTCTTGATGGGGTCTCTAATATTTCCCTTTCTCTATTCTTAGTTTGATTAACTTTTGAGTTACTGTTTTTGTTTGTTAGTTGTTTTCTTCTCTGTTGGTAACTATATGGGATTTGAATTCTGGGTAATTTTGGAGAATTTGTAATTCTCCAAAGAATTTTTGCTTTTCAAATAACATTGGACATCTTGTTGCCCTAATTGTATAAGCCCTGATACTACTGTCAACCTTCTTCATTGTATAAACAGAAACAAAATTTTGTATAAATAGTTTTAAGTATAAAACTATCAGGCTCAGGTCTTTTCTACAATATGACAAATTTTGAGTCTCAAACAGGACTGAAGATTTGTAGAACCTCTTTAGTAATCAAAACAGTTCTTTCTCAGGTTGGTGGCTGTCCACTAGAGGACAGCACTGCATTTTTATCTGACTGCTTTGAACTCTGCAGGCCCTGAGCATCAGTTCATTGACAAACAAATGCGGACCTCAGTTAATTTTCACACAGAAAGCATATTTGGATATTTCAGAAGTAACCAAACTGCACAGCTGATTTTTACTTTAAAACATTCTCTATTTAAGTTTTATTTAAGTTCACCATTTAATGTCCTCTAATGCAACAATTTTACTAATGGGAATCTGTAACTGTTTCACGTAAAAATGAAAGAAAGGTATTCTTGATGCTTTTCCTTCTGGTTTGACAATTTTGTAAGGAATCAAAGAGAATGGGGTAAGAATGTATTTGTTTTACTATTAGTTTTCCCTTGTTAACCCCATCTCACCCCACCCCCACCAGACAAACCAGAAATGCTCTGAAATAACTGGGATGTTTTATGTCTTCTTTAAGCAAGGGCACTTAGATTTTTTAGCTTTCCTATATAAAGAAAGAGAATGCATCATTGGCCTGATAGTGTGGGGAATAATTTTTTTATACCATCTCTGAAGATTAGAGTAGGAACTAGAGAGTCCTAAATTATGGTGGTTGTTTATTTTTTATTTTAACTTTTCTCATTTGAACGTTAGAGGAAAATACTACAATATTGTTAGGTGATTTTTTAAATAACTGGGAAAAATACATTGCTTTGTGTAAATTCTCTAAAACTAAATCACGTGTAAATGCTTTTTTTGTCCTTCACTATTAATTCAATAGTGTAATGGTTTAACTTTAAAATGCAATTTTATAGTCAACAAAATAGAATTTTTTACAACTTACAAATTCTCTGCCTGTTTAAAATGTTCTACTATAATAACTCAAGGTAATAAAGATTTATAATTTTAAATCCTTTGGCAGATAGCGCTCCAAATCACTATACTTTGGTATTGATGTTTAGGAGGCTTATTCCAACCAGTATTTCTTACATATAATGATCGTGCGACTTCATTACACATTTGTCAACTTTGGACTAATTATTTTTATACAGCTAGGGCAGGGCACTGCATCTTGTGATCGTCTTTCTTACTAATAGGATTCTGTCTGCTTCAGCAGGCAGTAATTGAAGGCTTCATGTACAGAGTACAAAAAAAAAAAAGTTTTAGCCTGAGTGGGTCATTGTCACAGCTTCTGGTAACCAGTAGAACAGAAAGCACAAGAAAATTGAACTCAGAATAGAAAAATCAGAAACCAGGAAGACTATCCAAGAGAAGAAAAAGCATGTCTTAGAGCTGTTGCATTAAGTATAGCAAATCTGATTCTGTGTAAAAAATGTTATGTTTGTGACTACCCTGGAGACTGACGCAGCCTCTCAGATAAATACTTTTAAATTCATGCTGTACCGTTAATGTTAATTGTTAGAACAATTGAATTATAGGATTTCTTTTCCTTCTAACAAAGAACATGTATGATTTATAGCCAGTTTGTTACAAATCTTAAAAAGTATAGTTTAAGTGCATGGAGAATAAATCTGTGTATTATAGATATTAGATTTTTTTCAAATTTGTTGTTGCTATTTGGTCTGTTTTTATAATTATGACTATAGTTAAGACAAAATAACTTTTTAAGAAGAATGAAACTTTTTTTTATTTAGCTTTGACAACCAGCTTATTCTGTCTTTTTCGTAAATCTTAAGAATTCCTATAGGCTTCAAAGATTAAATGTCAATTGCTGGAGATAATAGACAAAGACATTTAATAAGATGAAATACAGATATAGCCAAACAGTTTTACCTTCTCAGTTGGTGATTACAAACAGCAAGTGGTTGGTGATAGAATGAAATGAAAAATATCTAGATGGTGTCCTTTTAATAACATGGAGCCCGTCATACACAGGCAATACATCTTTAACTGTCATCGCACTTATTTGTTCTCATTTGTGGTGTTACTGCTTTTCGAGGTTGATTGGTCTCCCCGTAGTCCCTCCCTGTGTTACAGCTCCATTCAAAAAGGCTTTGTATTTTTCATTGCTGGTGTCTCTTTAGGGAGAGGAGAGTAGGGGATATTTAAAATGTTTTAAATCTTTAAAGGCAGAAATGTAAAATATATGAGGAATCAAGTCCGCACGCTTTGAATTACGCATTACTACAAAATCAAGTAAACAATTTTTGAAGAGAGGACTCTTCCTTCTTAATGTTTTTGGAACAATAATAGATTATGTGTATATTAGGTAAATGGGAAAAACTTTATCTGTTGACTGATAAAAACAAATTATTATGGGTGCATTTTTGTATATATGAAGATAATTTGTGTGACCTGGAATCAGAATGCTTGGGTTCAGATTTCTGCTCAACCAGAAATTTGGTGTGTGGCCCTGAGGAAGTTCTTCAACTTCTCTGGGCCTCGCTTGCCTCATCTATAAAGTGACCTGCCTCATAGGATTAAATGAAATAATTCCAGTGAAGCACTTAGAACCCACTGCCAGAACACAGTAAGTGCTTAACAAATGATAGCTGCTATCATCATTATAGTGATCAAAAATTTCTCATGCCTTTTGAAAAAATTTTGTCACAGTGTGATCTTAGTTCAAGGCCAAGCACAGAGGTTCTGATGTCAGCCATTAAGTTTAGTATGTAAATATCTGACCCACGCTGACTTTATAATCAATGTTTCTGACATCCCAAAGCTAGCTATTTATTACTTATGAATTAGTACTCTTTCCATAACTATTTTTTGCATGTATGTTGAAGCATAGCCTGTGCAGGAGTTAAATGATGAATAAATCTGGGGTAGTGGTTTTTGCCTTCCGAGGGCCAAAACAAACCAATTTTGATCATGCTGTGTTCCAATTAAATATATCCTTTCTGAACTGTGAAATGAGAATGTCAGAACATCTGATCTTCTAGTCTTCCGCTTTAAAACATTGCTTCCACCATTTGTGTCCACTAGAACATAGAGACCTAGTTAATAAAGGCAGTAGCTTTTACACCAGCTAGCAGATTATGTTGCTAGGATGATTTGCTTAGTGTGTTTCCATTGCAGCGTAAGCAGATGCCTCTTTTCTTTCATACCCCTATTCTTTATAGTACTGAGACTTTTGTGGCAATAGGATTTCAAAAATATGTCCAAGATACTAATTCTAATTTCTGTCAACATACTGACACCAAAATTGACATTTGTCTCTGCCAACTTTATATTAATTGTAACATTAACTCTAAGTTTTTTAATAGAAAAGAGACAAAATGTGCCTTGGGGCTGTGCCACCCTGAAATTCAAACAACAGTGCTTTTGTGTTCCTATTCAGGCATAATCTCCTTCTCTATGGTCCCAAGGCACAAGTGTTAAGTAAATAAAGGGACTAATAAGACTATTGTTTACATAATTATAACCCTGTCAGAAATAGGGACCTCTGTTGAAATATTTGTTGAGTGAATTACACACGTGATGACCGAATCTGTGGGAAAAGTTGCATAAATGAATGGGAAAATAGAGCCACCTCATATCCTTTGGTGACGTGGTTTTACAGGAATATAGAAACAGCATTCTCCTATGAAGCAGAAGAGCCTGAAAAATTTAGACAAAAGAAATGCATAAACCTGTGAGGAGCCTTAGAAAAGAGAGATCATTTTAGGGCTGGTGATCTTTATGTTTCTCAAAGATGAAATTGAGGTACCTAGTTCATAATCTCTCATGTGTACGTCTGAAAAGCAGATGGATGTGTGTGTTAAGAGGTTTATAAAAACCTCTTTAAAAACATTGGTATGATTTATATTCCTAAACTGGTTACTTACAATTGCTTCTCTCAGTAGGAATACTGCTCTGTCAGATTCCTTGCAAGTTTTCAGCATGCTTGTAGAGTGCACAAGCAAATGCCTAGGAAGATTTTCTAACATATTTTGTTGATAGCCCATTAGCTAACATTTTAAAACACAACTTCAAAGTGTTTATAATATTTGAAATTTAGTAAAATTAGCATATCTGTTTTGGTTTGGATACATTATTCTAATTATTGTTGGACAACCTAGTTCATGATTTTATTTGTCCAAAAATGGCTTGTTTGGTTTTAAAAAAATTAATGTGTTATGAGATCTTGATGTTATTTTTTAAAAAACCCAAAAAAGAAATTACTTTTCATTTAAAGAGAATCTGCTTCCTGCTTAAGTGGCTAATATTTTAATTAAGTCGGGAGTGAAGTTTTTCTGAGTGTCTCCTGATAAACTCCCTCTTTTATGTTGATGGTAATTAAACAGATCCCTGTGGACACCGTGGGCTCTGTGCGAGGCCCATGCTAATTGTCAGACATGAGACACTGACCAGTTGGTTTGCTCTTGAATAGTCCGCAGCGTGCTGTTAGCGCGGCAGTTTTATTTTTATGTATTGTGAGCTGTTGTCAGGGCTAACTGGGTGCCATTGTGGCTGAAGATGTTGCGCAAATTGAGGCAGATGGCTCAGATTCAGACACGTGTCATATAGAAAGGGGCAAGGGGATTGGCCCTGCAAAGTGGGGTCACAGCAGGTCACAGACCTGCTCTACACTTGTTAGTGTTTTCAAAAGCTCATGTGCAGCAACTTTGTTTTTCTCCAGTCATCCCTGCAATCAAACCCCCTCCCCCAAAAAGTGTGTGGAACATGCTTCATGTGGAAAAGGGAGGCTTGGGAGGTTCCTGTCCTCTTCCTTCATGACCCTGAGGCTCAACTGTGCATGCAGAATGAATTAGCAGGATTGACAGAAGTTCGTTATGCCTGCAACGGCTTTTCAGTCAATTGCAGTGCTTAAAAGGCTAGTTTTGCTTTTAGTTCCGTGTAATCAGTAGGTTCTTCATGTCTTGGAATTTAGAGTTAGAGCTTTAGACCTCCAGTTTCCTCTGGAAATGTTTTTGTTTACACTCTACAGAAAGAAAGATCTAATGTCCTAAACATTTCAAAACAAAGAAAAAGGGAAGCGTGAGGTTGCACTTAGCTGTCACGTGATTTTGCTTCATGTCATCATTAACATTAGAGATTTAATTTGAATATTGTTACATGAGTGAATTCATTGAAACTTAGTAAGAATTTTATAATGTACGTAAAATTATCTAACTTATTACATAATCATTTTCAGATATGAGGAGTTAAATTTTGAAGCTCTTTGAGAAAGGTACCTTTTCTTAACATGTTTTAAAAATAAAAATACAATGGCTTATTTAAAATGTCCCTATGCATGGTGAAATGTTAAATACCAAGTGGATGAATGGTTCTCAAATATATTGTAATGGAGAATTATTCACATGCATCTATTGTTTAAACTAATAAGTAAAATAGACTTCCTTTTTCTGTTCTGTTTTAAATGTGCACTAAAATTACCTGCTTGTGGTTAGCATGGGCTGGACAGTTTATTGATTTTTCAGAAGAATGCTTGGCTTTGGGTTTTTGGCAATAGGGAGCCTGCAGCAAATTATTTCATTTGACAAAAAAGAGTTATTTTAATCCTATTTGAATGTATGCTATCTCCTTTACCCTCCCCATCTTATGATAAAAGGTCTCTCTTTTTTCTCTTCCAGGTTTGCAGCTAAAACTGTGCACAGTGGGTCATTGATGCTAGTCACAGTGGAACTGAAGGAAGGCTCTACAGCCCAGCTTATCATAAACACTGAGAAAACTGTGATTGGCTCTGTTCTGCTGCGGGAACTGAAGCCTGTCCTGTCTCAGGGGTAACCTGCTTACATCTGGACTTTAGAATCTGGCACACAACAAAAGTGCCTGGCATCCACTACTGCTGCCTTTCATTTATAATAATAGCCCTTCCATCTGGCAGTGGGGGTAGAATACACTCTTGACATTCTTGTCTCCTGCTTTAGAATGCTAGTGTGTATCTATCATGTATGCAATACTTTCCCCCTTTTTGCTTTGCTAACCAAAGAGCATATATTTTACTGTCAGTTGTCTCAACTCTTGAATCCATGTGGCGTTTTCTCTGTCCTGCTGCTTCTTTTGGCCTCCTCGTTTTCCTTCTCTTTTTCGACAATGGTAGACATGAATGAGATATTTAAAGTTCATTGGAAATCTTCTTCCCTACAGCAGTAAGCAAAAATTAGCAAAGAGATAGTCTAAATGGCCTCTCAGCTTGGTATGTGAAAATGAGATCACATACTTTTTAAATCCAAATACAAAAGCATAGTCTCTGCAAGATTTTGTTCTTTGAATTTCTTGATATTGTAATTGATTATTGATAACTGTCATCATGAAATTATCTCTCAATAATAAGATAAATAAACTAGCATATGAATCATATTTGTCTTTGCATTTTTAATGAGAAACTATTAATAATCCTGAAGTTCATATGCTAAAGTTTTCTTATTTTAAAGCAAGTATTTTGAGTGTTACATTATGCAGAGAAGCAATGTGGTTTAGTTAGCGAAAGAAAAACCACTTCCAAACCAAGTAAATTTTCTACTTATAGTTTACTCCAAGGAAAAAAAATTGGTGTATTTAATAACAAAAACAAAAATCTTCATATTGCAAAATAAACATCTTCTAGGTAGTTTTGATCTATTAGTAGATATCTGATTATGTGGCCTGCTGAATAAATTCTTTGAATCTCATTTTTCCTTATGCCCAACTTTGGAAACTAACTAGCATAAACTTATAGAAATGTTTAAAACTAGTTATATGATCAACCTATTAGCATCTTTTCCTAGAGTATTTGTTTTATTTGCTACCTTAAGTTACTGTTTTCAAGGTTGTTCTATAATCAGAGAACTTTTCTAATACTTTCGTACCTTTTTAAAACCAGCTGAAATTTTACTTCCTTTTTGAAGCAAGGTAATGGACTTTCAGGTAGTATAAGCTACTCAGTTCTTTTTGTATAGAGCCACATACATAATGATTTTTAAAAAGTAAAAAGGAAGTGACTGTACATTGCTTGAAGCATTATAGGAAGGCTGAAAAGAAAAGAATGGAATTTTCTTGGAACATACATATTGAAAAGAACAAAACAGAGTCGAAAAATTATTTAAATTTTCAAGCTGGTGGGATGACAAGAGTAAACAAAATTGTTAAATTTTCCTGCTCCAGAAAGAAATATAGCCCTGAATCTCCGGGAAGAGAATGTACAGAAGTGCAATGTACAGAAGCCACGTGTACATTTTGTGCCAATTCCGTACCATGTGTACATTCTGTACCATTCTGTACCAATGTATGGAAGCCACGAGTTCCACTTCCCTCTGGAGCCTGGGCGCTGTGGTAACACACCCAAAAGCCCCTTTGTAATCGCAGGTCGTTGGCATTTCCATATTAGCCTTATTGCTCAGAGCTTCATAACTTTGAATTTTAAGTCAATAACTTTTTGAAATGTCAGACAGAATTTGACAGGTTTAATACCTGTTTTCTGAGGAAGAAAAAAAAATTATATCCATGCTGTCTTCAGGCAGAGGGAAAGTGCATGTTGTGATTGAGAAAGGTCTTATTTTTCCTTAAATTAGGACACTCATCTTTAAAAGATAGTTCACACATTTGTATTTTTTTAAACTAAGGAAATTTAATTAGGGCTTTACTTTTGACTAAGTTATTTTTGGCTGCTAACTTTTAAAATTATGGTAAATCAATAATATAATGTAGTATGAATCAGTGAACAGTATGTATCGATTGTAATGTGCGCTACCAGTTGAAACCATTTTAACACTAGTAGCTTAATATCATTAAAATGTTTTTCACGTAAAACAGAAAAACGACCAAAGCCCCAAGTTAAAGGTTTGGTTTTTTTTCTTTTGTGGTGTGGTGATTCAGAGTTCCTTGCCTCATATTTCCTTTAACTTTGTCATAATCCATGATTATCTTTAAATTGTTCCATTGAGTCGAGTTAGTCAATGTTGAATTCTTAATTCTAGCTATATTTTTTCATTTTAATGTTCACTTAATGGGACATTTTATGTACACCAATCTTGAAGAATGGCTCTCATAGTATATTTCAGACTAAGCCTCATTTTTGATATCACAATACATTTGCTTTATTTATTATGAGAGTTTTTTTATTCTAAAGAGACTGTAACAATGCATTTCTCAAATTAAAATACTGTATACTTGTCCTTCTCGATAACTATTTGCAAACGTATGAATAACTTTATAGCTTACAAAACGTTTGCCCTTATAACCTGTGTTCCCGTTGTTAAGAATTTAGATGTTAGACAAGATAAGAATCCAGACTGATGGAAGATTTCAAAAAAAGAAAAGTTGGACCAGCTAAAAGAGAACCTAAGATCTTTCCCCTGACTTGTTCCCTCTCTGTTGTCTCTCTGACCTTCTAGGGAACTTTGTTTAAAGGGAGAAAGGAATCCTGTTTTCACAAAATGAGAGAGAAAAAAAGAGCACTATGTTTGCCAGCTGTGGTGGCTCATTCCTGTAATCCCAGCGCTTTGGGAGGCCGAAGTGGGAAGATTACTTGAGGACAGGAGTTCAAGACCAGCCTGGGCAACAGAGCAAGACCCTGTCTCTAAAGTAATTTAAAATCTAGCCAGGTGTGGTGGTGCATGCTTTTAATCCCAGCTGCTGGGGAGTCTGAGGCAGGAGGATAGCTTGAGCCCAGGAGTTGGAGGCTACAGTGAGCCGTGATCATGCCCCTGCACTCCAGCCTGGGTGACAAAGTGAGACCCTGTCTCAAAAAAAAAAAAAACCAAAAAAAAACAGAGCCTTTCTATTCCCTTTTTGCTGAAAGACTATATCTACTGTGAATGTGGAGAACTACAGTAAACCTCATCAGGGGTGTAGTAAAATATAAGTTATGCTCTGTACTTACTCAAAAAACGTACAATCTAATTGGCAATAAACAAAGGAATGACCATGTGGACCTCCCTAAGTTAGTGAGCCCTGGTTTGCAAATAAGTGTTGCTTACATCCTAACACAGGTTTGCCTCCGCCCCACCCACACTTCCTTCAGGTGCCAAGTCCTGCAGCTTGGCAGCCCCAGAGGCCTGCTGGCCCCAGCTTTTCACCTCCATGGCCTCCTTACACAGGTGACCGCACTGGACTGGCCGGCCATGGGGGACACACTTTTGTTCTTCCATCAGTTGGGGTTGATTAATTGAAAGACAATGACTTCTCGACTGTGCTTGTTTATCTTCTTAAGTCCTCTTCCCCGCCGGCTCCCGTCCCCCTGCTTTCTAACCTCAGGAAACATTTTCATGATCAATTCATTCTCTTGTATCCTACTTTGGTAACATGACTTTTTTTTTTCTACCGCTTTTCAGCTGAGTTGTGGAGTAGGCAGAACTTTATTATCTGACCTGGGAAGCTAACCACTATGTGATACTGTTTTCTGAGGAAAATATGTTAGATTCCACATGGTAACTTGACAAACAAACTTGAAACATGGCTGTTTGAAAGCTGAGATGGTTTGTGAGAAACATTGTGAGGCAGTGTGGCGTGATTAATTGTCAGATAACACCAGTAAGTACCTTTGAGTTTAGGGGAAGAAGTGATTAGTGGCTAGAGAGGTCTGAGAAGGTTCCACTGAGGCAATGAAACTAGCTAGTTCTTAAAAGTAGGGTGGCATATAGAAGAGAAAACAGAGTTTCTAGGCATGGGAGAAGGGCAAATATGTGATTCTCAGCTGAGGCTGTATCTTTTAAAATGTTTTGAAAATACCTTTGTACAGAAAGCAACACTGGCCACACCTAAGAAAGCGATGCTTCCACTCCCCCTCCTTGCCCTCACTTCTCTTTCCCCTCTCACACAGTCCCTTTCTCTCAAAGCCATTCCCCATGTCTCCACCTCAATGGCCTGTGGTAGTTTAGAGCAGGGGTCCCCAACCCCTGGGCCATGGACCACTACCGTGGCCTGTTAGGAACCTGGCCCACAGCCAGAGGTAAGTGACAGGCGAGCTCTGCCTCCTTTGATGTAAGCAGTGGCATTAGATTCTCATAGGAGCACAAACCCTACTGTGAACTGCACATGTGAGGGATCTAGGTTGCATGCTCCTTATGAGAATCTAAATATAAATGTGATGCACTTGATTCATCCAGAAACCATCCCCTCCATCCCCATCCATGGAAAAATTGTCTTTCATGAAACCAGTCCCTGGTGCCAGAAAGGTTAGGGACCACTGGCTTACAGGAGAAATGAATGGTTGAGATATCATGGATGGGAGTAGCCTGCACTTGTAAATAGTGTAGAGGCAGAAAAAAAGGTTGGGAAAACCTTGAACTAGATAGAGATCAGGAGAAGCCAGCATTGTTTATGTTACTCTTCTGCTTAAAGGCCAATTTTAGATATTTCCTTGGGGATTTTAGTTATTTCCTGTGCCTTTGCAGGTTCTAAAATGATTCTTTTCAGACTTAGAGTCAAAGTAGCTAAAGAATATTAAATTCTGGCTGGTTGCAGTGGCTCACGCCTGTAATCCCAGCACTACGGGAGGCCGAGGTGGGCAGATCACGAGGTCAAGAGATCGAGACCATCTGGCAAACATGGTGAAACCCTGTCTCTACTAAAAATACAAAAAAT
Source organism: Homo sapiens (assembly GCF_000001405.40). Taxonomy (NCBI): domain Eukaryota; kingdom Metazoa; phylum Chordata; class Mammalia; order Primates; family Hominidae; genus Homo; species Homo sapiens. The sequence goes on along the minus strand of NC_000005.10, from coordinate 77,998,122 downwards.
TAGCTGGATGTGCTGGTACGTGCCTGTAGTCCCAGCTACTTGGGAGGCTGAGGCAGGAGGATTGCTTGAATCCGAGAGGCAGAGGTTGTAGTGAGCTGAGATTCCATGCCACTGCACTCCAGCCTGGCGACAGAGTGAGATTCTGTCTCAAAAAAAAAAAGAAAAAGAAAAACATATATATATATTAAATTCTAGCCAGGAGTGGTGGCTCACGCCTGTAATCCCAGCACTTTGGGAGGCCGAGTGGGTGGATCACTTGAGGTCAGGAGTTTGAGACCAGCCTGGCCAACATGGTGAAACCCCGTCTCTACTAAAAATACAAAAATTAGCCAGGCGTGGTGGCGGGCACCTGTAATCCCAGCTACTCGGGAGGCTGAGGCAGGAGAATCGCTTGAACCCAGGAGACAGAGGTTGCAATAAGTCGAGACTGTGCCACTGTACTCCAGCCTGGGTGACAGAGCAAGACTCTGTCTCAGAAAAAAAAAAAAAAAAGAATATTAAATTCCATTACTATCTATTTACTGGTTCAGTGATTGTGAGCTGAGGTGATATTAAAATTTCTAATCTTCCCTTGTGTTTGTCTTTCTCTGGGGCCAGTTTTATGTACATAGTCACTTGTGCATATAATTCCTAGCTGATTCAGTAAATATGTACAACTGAAGACTGAACCCTCAGAAACTGACATGAACCTGCCTTTAATAACAGTCTAAGACACTGATAACAGTCTAAGACATCTGCAATCTTGAGGGCCAGAGACACCAAAGATCCAGGTGTAACTCAAGAAACATCTTTATCCTGAGATCTAGAGATGTTTAGAAAACCTAACTGGTAGATAATTCTGCCAGTAGACTCAACCATGTCAGGCCTTGGATCCTGCAGATGATGCGTGGGCACTTGAAGAGAGCAGGGAAACCTCACCTCCACCTTCCTCATTCACTGCCCTGGATAGGAAGGGAGGGAGAGTGGTTGCCAAGGAGAAAGTATCAGAACATAGTGGGGGAAGAGATAAAGGAGATTAGCTTTCTCAAACAGTGCCCCACCAAGATTCCCGTTTCCCCCCGCCACTCCAGAAGAGCATTTTCTCACCCCATGTAAGAACCACATATTTTTTTTCTTTAGTGATGTGATGAATGAGAAGTTTTATGTCATGATAGGGTCAACCAACTCCATGGATGGTAAGGAATTGTTAAGACCATGACCTATGAAAAGAAAACTTAAATTCTGCTTTTGCAAAGTAGTTAAGAAAGGTCGTATGAAGGTAGGCCCTTCAAGCTACATTTAAACGTCGTTTCTAATGAGTTCATCTTTCGAATGCTTATTTCATTTTGTCAATAAACCATATATAAAATTAGGAATGGCAACCAAGGGTAAGATACGAACTCAAGCATGCTGATAAGGGGGGCCTAATGTAGAAATTTGGCGGACACAAAAAGCCCTTCCAACTTAAGGTTTGATTTTTGAGTCTTAAAAAATGAAGCCAGTGTGAAAGGGCCTCTTACTGGCATCACACAGAAATCCTCATCATCCAAGAGCCCTCTTCCTTGACCCCAAAGTCTTTGTTTTATTCAGGACTCATCAAAACCATAGGGCCTAAATAAAAATATTTTGTAAACAAAGTTATGGACAGCCCAGTTTTCTAATTGAAAGTCATTATGATTTCTGTGCTGTGGTGTAATTACCTAAAAAAATGTTATTTGATGATTAAGATTCTGGAGTGAATTGTGTTCTTTGGGCTCCTGCACCGTTCCTCCATCAGGGACTTGGTTTCAGCGGTGTGCAGCTGCTGGAGTTGATTTACAGTGCTGCGGCTGTGGCTGGTCATAAATAAATCCTCTTATATAGTTGTTATGAACACCTGTTAGATCATCTGTCAGCAAAGCGCTGTTCACATTTATCATGGTGCGGGAGTTATTTTACCTCAATCCATTTCCAACCGACTCGGCCTCCATCGCTGGATTACTATTACCACACCATAATCGCTTGCTCCCACTCCATGTTACAACTTGCAGATAAAAGATTTCACTACTTGGCCAAATTTCATAAATAAAGGAGCAGTTCAGTGCAGTAAAAGTTTATTTTTGTCATCATTTGTCACCCCATTATTCTATAAATCAAATGGAATAGCACTATTGCCAGCTCAGGCGTTGCTGTCAGCCCTAGGCATGGAAATGGTCCGTTTCTTCCTTTTAGATGAGATGACATGTCTTTCAGACTTAACTGGCTTATGGCTTTGTTTCACCCATTTTATTTTATTGCCCCTTCGGAAAAATCCCTGGGGAGCAGAAAGACTTAAGGAGTGAAATGGAAACAGAAAACAGAGTCTAGCATGCTGCTTAGCAGAGTGATCTATGCTTCCCCCACATCTAGTCATTAGAAACTTGACCACCGCCCTCACTCAAACACTGCACCCTTGGCTGAAGATGCTTTTCATAAACTTCCAAGGGGGTTATAGTTTCTATTTTGGAAAGGCCGTTACAATGTAGAGTTACAGATAATGAAATACCTGATATGTATCCCCAGAGATCCTCTCGATTTGACAGGCTTTATGCAAAGAAAAGACTAACTGGTTTCTTTTCTAAAATGCATTTTAATGGAGCTGAGGTTTTGAATGGGAATGGTCACCCCCAGAGAGTGTCTTACCCTGGGAGGGAGGTTTGTCGGCTGTAGAGCTTTGGAGGAAGAGTCAAGATGTATTAGCAAGTTGTAAACTCTGTCTCAGGTGTAAGTCTGAGGAAGGCAATGTCCCTTGGTTAAAAGAAAGAGGACAGAAAAAGCTAAAGGGATGGGGTAATAGAAAAGCGTTTATAGTTGATATTATACTTCCGAGTTGGTTCTAATTCAAGTTAACATTCCTCATAGTCATTATGTAGCTCATAAATTCAATAAAGTGTTTTACTGTTACTATAAAAATGACAGGAGGGGGGTTTTATGTTGTAAGTTTCGTTAGTTGCTCTTCCTGTTTTATATTGAAGTTCTCAGGCCATTATGTCATTAAACTCCTTGGAGTCTGAAGGGCTCAAGCCTTCCATTTCTTCTCTTTTGCAGACTTGGCCAAGGCAAATGTTAGCCCAGGCCAGGTCAGGTCACTAGACACTTGGAGCCAACTGGCTATGATGCCAGGGGACAGGGCTGTTTAAATCTATTATTTCATGAGAAGTGCCTTCAACCCATGCAGATGTAATCGTGAGGAGTGGAAAGGTCTGGGGTGGGAGGGAAGCTTTAGGCAGACTAAGAGTTCTAACAATTCACCCTAGAAAGAAACAGTCCGTTTGGTCAGGAGGCAGAGGAGGGCTTGCTGGATGGGGTCAGGAGGCAGAGGAGGGCTTGCTGGATGGGGTCAGGAGGCAGAGGAGGGCTTGCTGGATGGGGTCAGGAGGCAGAGGAGGGCTTGCTGGATGGGGTCAGGAGGCAGAGGAGGGCTTGCTGGATGGGGCGCAAGTAGCTTGAGGCCCTGTGGACCCAGGAACTCTTCTCTGCATCCCCAAGATTTGTCTTGGTCCTGGACTTTTTGCCAACTTCTTAAACTTCACATAGCTCTAGGTCCTTGATAAAGTTCATAGCAAATTTAGAGTTGGAATCTTATGAGAAAGGAAATACCACTCTCCTTTGGCTGTTTTCTTTGATTCTAGAAGAAGCAAAGGACATTTCTGTCCCAGGAAACTTGCCTCTCTCCAGATGTTTGTTTTGAACAGGATATGCACACGGAAACAGCAACTACTAATTCTCTGGCCAGAGTGCATCAAGGCCTTAATCCAAAGCCTCCCATCCATCCAGCTGTCTGGCATTTGCTATTATAGGGCACCAACAGAGAAATGAGGCTGTGGCTTTATCACTGCACCCTGGGTGACAACTTGATTTTCTGCTTTCACCGCAGGCAGCAGCAGCCCAACATGATGGGGCTGTTAATTTGTGCATTTCATGGTGTCTGTCAGGGGGGCTGAGAGAGGAGGGTTTCAGGGGGAAGGGAATGGAGCATGTCCCAGCCGCGGAAGCACCTGTCTGCATTGACGGCACAGAGCACTTCTTATTAGCGTGCAGGTCTCTAAATGCAGCCCGGGGATGACAGCCTGGCATCCCAGCACCCACACACTGTGACAGGCGCCGGCAGCCGGTCCCATTGTTTGCCCTTGATGAGCATGTCATTAATGGAAATAGAAGAAAGTGAGGGCCACATCAGTATTCAAATAGCCTCTATTCTTTCTGCCATTCACCCGGCTGGCTCAGCCTGCTGCAGATTTCCTTCTGCAGGCTCCTCTTAGACTTTTTTAAAAAGCAGATTTATTCCCATTGCATATAAATCCTTTCCATGTTGTTCGTGGTTTCTTCCAGTCCTGTGTTTACATCCACCGCTTTAGACTGGATTTAGCTACATCAAAGCAGATTTGGATTCTCGCGTATTGCAAAGGTCTAATTAGCAAGTGTGTGCTGTTTGCAGCCAAGAAAATGCAAGTTGCCGCTCGAGGAACCTATCTCCTATGCCTGCTGAATCCTGCATCTCCTCTCGGAAGATGTTGGCTGCTCTGCTTATCACTCTCAGAAATATCTGATAGGGCTGGGGAGCACTGAGTGTAGAAAATCTGACTTCTCCAAAACTGGCTTGTTTGGAAAACAACACTTCCCTTTCTCAAGCTTAGGAAATTTTTTAAAAGTTACGGAAAGGGCCCCATAGTGCACTTCGGTTGGAAAGAACTGTGTACTGCACGTGATTATTTACAGCCAAGTGGAGAGTGACTGGATCCTAAATACATGTTTCCGTCCCTCAGCCCCTGTGTTGGTCTGTTTGCTTAATAATGTAATTAGTGCTCAGAGGGAGAATATTGACGCTGCTGCCAGCAGGCTTTGCTCTTCCGTGCGTTTCCGAACCGTTCCTTTTGCCCACTTGGCTTTTGCATCACCTAGTTTGGTAGCTTCAGCTGTGCACCTAGCCATGCCTACTCCGCCCCACACACTCCTCAGAGGCCCCTCTCCTAATAGAAGCCCAACTCCACACTCCCCACCTGCGGGCTGTCTAGTTCTACATTTGCGAGGTTCACATCTTAAACGTTCAGATGGAATGTTCCTTGAGAGAAGCAGCTATGAAGACCACCTCTAATTTCTTTCTGACCTTTTAGTAAGGAAAGGTTGGACGTACTGCTTGCTGTGCATTTCCCTAGCAATGTCCCTTATCTGGTATTAATCTGTCAGTGACTTGGGGCCCGACTCACTAAGACACTACCCATCTTTTAATGCAGTCTTGCTGGAGGCTGAAAATGGTGCAAACTCCACTATCTGGAAATGGAACTCTGGGCTAATACCTCAGCTCGGCAATGTTTTTCCTTCTTACCCCAGCTGGAGGTGAAGACAGTAACTCTTACTAAGCTATTTTCTCCTGGAAACACAGACGCTCCCTGAGAGAGAATGAGAGAATGACCAGTGATGCCATCTCCCGTTGGCAGCGCCATGCTGTGGTGCGGCCCAGATGGGCCTCCATGGGACTGCTGCTACCCGTGGGATCACGGCCCCTCCGTGGATTTGGGGGATCTGAGAACACGTTTTCTCAGGTGTTTATCTGGCAACCTACAAAATCCCCCAGCCCTTCTCCAGTAGAAGCCCAGAAGGGTGATTATGGTTTAAAAAGCCAAGTCATAAATCGGGCTTTCTCTACTCAACTTGCTTTGTAGCTGAGGAAATCCGCAGAGAGCAATTTAAAAGGAAAAGAAAAAGGCTGAGAAAAAAAAAAAAAACCACCCAATGCTTTAGCTTTAGTGTCAGAGTGATGGAAAATAATTTTCACATTTGATTAATTATTAAGAGATCTGTTTAATAAAATATAGAGAGAGCATTTTGTCTCTCCACAATCGTTAGCATGACCCAGGACCCCTATATTGGAAGTGAACAAAAAGCTATTGAGGAATAACAATAAATTTTGTCCCCAGGGGTTTTTGCAGAAGTGGCCACAGGGCCATCCTGACAGATTTAAGACAGAGATCCCACAGCTGACACTGAAATGTGTCAAATCCAGTGGCTTCCCTTGGCAGGTCACAGTCACCAGCCTCACCCAGACAACTGGATAAAGCAAAATCATTGACCTAGAAAGAAACTGTATTGGTAGGAGTTTTTCCTTCTTGTTTTTTTTTTTGTTAATTATTTCTCTAAAATGTAGGTTTAATGTTTCATCTTCTTGGTAGCTTACTTATTTCAAACGCAGAAAGTTATCAAGGAATTCCGTTCCTTTTTTTAAAAAAATATTTTCAGAAAAAACCACAATATTTCTGCCTTTGACTCTCCTTATTTTCTTTGAATCTAAATAAGAATATCTAAAAATACCCCATTTGAAGGAACTGGATTTCTTCCCCCACCCCAGAAAAAAGAAATATAGTTTTATCTGTAAGATTAGTGTGTTGAGTCTATTTCATTCAACCTTGTGAGTTGAACATAATTTAAAGGTAGTCTTATTTAATTATATGAATGTGCATATTAATTAAAAAGCAGTTGACTAAGCATTTCAAAGTCTGGATTTGTTATGCAGTCTGATTTGTCTGTTATTTCTCACTATTTCTTGTGCTGTCCAGGCATGGCAGCAAGAAGTGATCAAAGTCAGATGTAAGGTTCAGCCTCACGTTGCTCCACAAGCTCTACCTACTTTTACATTTGCAAGGTTCATGTCTTTTATGTTCAGATGGGATGTTCCTCTGGTGAAGGCAGCAATGAAGGACCACCTCTAATTTCTTTCTGACCTTTCAGTGAGAAAGGACAAGTTCTACCCTGTGTGAGGCCCCCTCCAACCGTGTGGAGTCACTGGCTGCACCCGCCCGCCTGGTGGGGCAGAGTTGAGTCACGCCTCTGCCTCCCACCCAGGCCTGTGCCAGTGCTGCCTCGGCCTGCAGCTGTGCTTCTGACCCTTCCACCACTGCCCACCTATTTTGAAGACAGATTTTTCAACCACTTTGAAAGGAATTCCAAAGCTATTGGTCTGCAAATCTTTTCACTCTCCCAGCAGTGGCCACTCTCAGGGATGGAAAGCACAAAGGGGTGGGGTGAGGTGGGTGGGGGAGCAACCCAATCTTTCAGACAGTTACTAGTCCCCCCTTCCCCCGCCACACTACCCCTGCACCTCAGACATCTGTGGGGAGCGTGGTGTGATACGGGAGGCTACGTCCCCCAACCCCCCGCACTGTTACCTATGGCCTTAGAGAAACCTACTTTGGAACAAAACAAGCGCATATTATTCTTCTCTCTGGACCTCCAGAAAGCAGAAAGATTTACAAGAAGATCCAGAAGCAACAGGGAGAAAATATTTAAAATCTTCATCTTTATTGTTCATCTCATGCTTTTCAAACTTCTACATTTATATGTGTTTTATAATGCACTTAATATTTTGGTCCAGAGCAGTGATACATGTATGTGTACAGTAATACATATGTATAACTAGAGACCCCGTATATAATTAGTAATACATGTATATAATGTACAATCAATAGTACATGTATATAATTTACAAATAACATGCATGTTAGAATCTCAGTCAAAACCACCTGGAAACCCCAGGACTGCAGTGTGGCTCCCAGCATGCACTGCTCTGTGCCGCTAAAATACTGACCCCAAAATGCCATTCTGAGCCCCTGGTGATTTTCTCCATAACTGTGCTTTGGGAAGAGTAGGCAGAGAGGCTTCTGTTGAAGTGTGAGGAAGTATTCCCACTTCCCAGACAATAATAAGACTTACCTTGGCCTCTACCATCCCTCACCCCTTTTTCTTCAGGGCCACTTAGAAAAGAACATTGAATGTTCAGTCACCTTAACGAAGGAGCCAAAGGAGCACAGGAGGAGGGAGATCCACTCCCTGGCAGGTTCCCTGTGCAAGGACTAATTACAGCCCACTTTGGAGAAGTCGGAGGCAGGGCACAGGAGCCGCACAGCCTCTGTTGGATGGAGGAAGGAGGGGCCAGGCAGAGGGTGGGATGGCATCTGGATCCCTCTCATCAGGAGTGAGGAATGACTCATGATTCACAAAAGGTCATTGCCTACTGAGGTAGATAAATTACCTATAAGCCTTCAGCAGAGTTAGAGGACCTATTTGGTAGGAAGTTTTCATTAAATCAAAGATTTTATGGCTTCTATTTTGTTGCATAGCAAAAGGGAAATAATTAGTAATTGACAAAGTAAGTGCAGGGAATAAAAAAGTGTAATGTTATTCTAATAGGCCCTGTCTTGGTCTTTAACTTTTCACTTGCAAGCAGCATTATTTTTTAACTCAGATGTATAAAAATCATCCACACTGAGAAAGTGGAACCAATTGCAGTTAAACAATTGAGGGGAGCACTAACCAATAATGGATAGGCTTTAAAATGCCATAAATATTGTTTCTTTTTATTGTGTTTGATTTTTGATGATTCCCATAACCCACTGGTTAAAATTAAATAGACATGGTCTTAGGTATTACTCAAATACATTTTAATGCTAAACTATATAAAGCAGAATATATCTGTGCATGTGTGTACATATATACGTACGTATGTATTATTTTATAGTTTAAAAAATCCAAGGAGTGGGTATTCTACACTTAAATACTGAGGAAAGGAAGGAAGTTGGAAAGTACATATGAAAAATGCAAATATATATATATGTGTATATATATATATAGCCCTGAGTTTCTCAGATGAGTCACTGTTTTTCTACTGATATGTCTATCTTGGAAGACCCCCAGATTATAACAATAGTGACACTGAAATTAAAATTTCTCAAGGGTGAATTCAACTTAACCTATTGGGAGTATCACTGTTGCTTATAAATTAAGCAGATTTTCACAGAATAACAAACATTGGCGCCTATCAGTGAAATGTTTACTCCTTCACATGGCCACAGAGATTTCTTTTTCATAGGATTCCTGCCTTTTTAGCCCCAATTAAATCTGCTTTGGAGGGGATTTGTGCTCCTGTGAGATTCACAGGCAATAAGAAGTAAATGATAAACAAAGTTATATGGAAAATACCAAAATGGGAGAATAGATTCACACTAATTAAAATTATTTTTTAATGCTATCTTCCATAATGAAGGGCATCCTATACTTGGCCTTAGGCTAATCCTTTTTAAAGTACATTTTCTTCTTCTATCCTCACCACAGCCAGATTTGAGAGAGGCTGTCTTCATCTGCATTTTACAGATGAGGGAACTGCTACTTGGAGAAGCTACCACCTTGCTCAGAGTCAGACAGCCGGAGAGGGCGGCTGGGCATGGCCCAAGATCTGCCTGGCTCCTGAGAACTTACAAGAAATTCCTCTGCTCTCTCTCCCAGCCCTGCAGGGACAGTATGAAATGAAGAGGGCACCTAAAATTCAGACAGATAAAGTGCCCAGTACCATGCCTGGAGCTCATTAAACATTAAATTATGGACATTATTTTATATTTAAAAAAATCCAAGGAGTGGGTATTCTCCACTTAGAAACTGAGGAAAGGATGAATGTTAGATAAGAAAAACGGAAATGTTCTCATGAAAGGTCTGTACGGGGGAACGCATGTGAGGCTGCCCCGTTTATCGGCCTTTTCAAGCGTCTCCCCGGTTTCCCAAGTTCTTTATTTAATAGCATTTTAATCATGTCAGATGATGCCATTCTTAACCATTTCCCCACAAAGACTTTCCCACTCATTAATAGATTTTGCTGTCGGGGAATGTTTCTGGATAATTATTTAGCAGCTTCTCTTCTAGATTTCTTCTCACTGGAATGCCATGAATCCTGAAATGGAGCAAACAGGAGGGCGCTCGCATTTGTGACCCTCAAGACATCAGGTGGGTTCTGGCAACGTTGCCGGAAGGTGGGTGATTTACTGGCTTTACTGCCCAGTGAGTGACAGCCACTGAGTCTCCTGACCGCCCGGGGCCTCGGGTTCTTCTTGTGGTCAGGTGGGACAGCAGAGAGATGTGTGGAAATCAGGGCGAAGCAGGTCCTCCCACGGCATCCCTCTCCCACGGGACGCCAGCATCCTTCGGTGGGGCTCTGCGTGCACCCAGGGAGCGGGGCTGGGTCTCTGGGCTTTGGGCGTCTGAGGCAGGGAAACACCCTTGGTAGCCTTCGTCCTCTTCCTATATGTTTAAATCCGGGACAATCGTACGTGAGACTTCTCCAGTCACATACATAAACACCCTGATTTCTTTTCCCCTTCACTTCAAGAGTTTGGGCCTGCCCTCTGTGACTTCTACCACACAAAAAAGGTGGGCCCTGGGGGACCTAGGCCAAATTTACCAAGGTAGCAGGGGGTTTCCTGAAGCGCTGAGGACACAGGAATTCTAAAAGGCCTTTTACAGAATGTTAATGACTCTTGGGAAATCTCCTAGTTTAACTATATTGCCTCACGAAAATTAACATTGCATTAACCTCTCTATCCTCTTCTACTTTGTTTTGAAAAAGTAGCAGACAGTTTATTCTAAAATGTAACAAACATCCTATTTGTGTTTACTTTTTATGCCACCAACAATGCACTGGGTATTGAGTTGAACCAGGCTCCAAGAGAAAATACAATTAATGAATAGTCACAAGGTTGCTAATCTGATCAATGCCGGGTGATAGGACATTTAATCTGATTGTCTGTGACTGCAATTGCACAGAGCTTTGGCAGCCAAGAGGACCGCCCTGGCTGGCAAGAGCGTTTGTAGTCTGGTCACTCCTTGGGGTGGAGGTGGGGCTGGGGAGCTGTGATGTAAACAGATGTGGGGAGGAGAGAAGGCGCCCAGAGCATGAGAGGAACTGGCTGAAAGGATCGAACACAGGGAGGTGAGCCCACAGAAAGTAGGTACCTTTCATGCCAGGAATGGGAGAGACAGCCCCATTTTTTTTTCTGAGACAGAGTCTCGAAGTGTGGCCCTGGCTGGAGCGCAATGGCCTGATCTCAGCTTACTGCAACCTCTGCCCCTCCAAGTTCAAGCGATTCTCCTGCCTCAGCCTCCCGAGTAGCTGGGATTATAGGCACCTGCCACCACACCCAGTTAATTTTGTTTGTTTGTTTGTTTTAGTAGAGACAGGGTTTCACTATGTTGGCCAGGCTGGTCTCAAACTCCTGACCTTGTGATCCACCCGCCTCGGCCTCCCAGAGTGCTGGCATTATAGGCATGAGCCACCGTGCCTGGCCCACAGCCACATATTTAAGAAGATAATAAAAAAATAATCTTCATGCCCCACATCTCCTTCAGGCAGGTGTCTGGACCCCAGCACAGGAAGCCATGGGCCATGGCAGAGACTCGCACCACTGGATACCCAGGGCTGTGGCAGCAGAGGAGGGTTTCTTCCTCCTGTCCACGGTGCTGTCTTTCCTGAAGTTTCCTGAAGAATCTTCTGACTGAGAGGGTGGTCCGCCTTGTTGGCAATATCCATGGTAATCATCAGTATATATTTCCACCTGAAAACGTAGTGACCCTGCTGATAGCCATAGATTAAAACGTACCAAATGCCTAAACCCCAAGGCAGGACCTGCAGTGGTTGGGGCCAAATAACAGAGGGAGAGGGCCGAGAAATCATCCTCAGCATCTTCCATGATGCCCCCGGAGGCCGTCTGGAGGGCCGGAAATAGACCTGAAGGCAAGTCAGCCAGACTCAGCTGACTCCCACACCCTGACCTGCTGGCCCCTTGCCCTCTCAGACCTGGAGGAGCCTCTCTTGTCCTTTGTTCTTTGAGGGGTCAGTGGGAGCAGAGCTTTGTGTGGACACCAGCAGGTGGCTCAGTGTTCTCTTAAAACCATGTTTCCACCTGCAGCTGCACCATGAGGGTCTCCTCCTCCTGTTCCACTGCCAGCTTATCTTCCTTGCGGCAGGCACTGAACACCTTCCCAAGACAGGTGTGTTCTAGCCTAGATATGCAGCGACAGTGATGCAAGGCCCCTGACCTCAAGGGGCTCACATCTCAGTGGGGGAACAAGACACACCAATAAGTGTCAATCCGGGCCCGGCACCCTGGCTCACATCTGTAATTCCAACAGTTTGGGAGGCTGAGGTGGACGGATGGCTTGAGGCTGGGAGTTCCAGACCAGCCTGGGCAACACATACCTGGGCAACATGTGCAATGCCATCTCTAAAAAACACACAAAAAAACAAAAAACAAAAAAAGCCTGGCATAGTGGCAGATGCCTGTGGTCCCAGCTAATCTGGAGTCTGGGGCAGAAGGATCACTTGAGACCGGGAGGTCAAGGCTGCAGTGAGCCATGATTGCATCACTGCACTCCAGCTTGGGTGACAGAGTGGGACCCTGTCTCAAAAAAAAAAAAAAAAAAAAAAAAGTGCCAATCCGGGAACAGCCCAGAAGGTAGTTCTGTGTATGGTGACTTTTTTGAAGTCACAAGCACTAAAGGCCCCCATGATGGGGTCCCCCGTGGCCTTTTCAAAAGGTGTTTCTGGACCTCTCTTGAGGCCATGTGATATGAGTGGTTCTGGGTCCTTGTACCTGGGCACACCATAGCTTTGAACTGGTCATAGCTCCTCAGCCACATTTTGATCGATGTTTGTGCTAAGTGCACAAACCATCATGCCAATATCTGACAGATCAATGGAGCCCCCTGAATGCCAGGCTATGAGGTCAGTGGGAAGCTACAAGAGGGTGTTTGCTCAGAGCCTGCATGGGGTTCCAGTTCTCTCCCTCCATCTCCATCCTCCTGCCCCCACCACCACCCGCATGCCCCCTGCTGCCCCTAGCTGCTAAGGACTCTGTTTAAACTGTTGCGGGACCCCAGGGGAACTGGCCAGGGCTCCTAGGAAAGCCCAGGGCAACAACCCAGGAGAAAGAGCTGTTCTCCCAGCTCCCCGGGCTGCTTTGTTTGTTTCTCCCTTTCCCAGGATGTCCCATTCTCAGCTAATGAACAGTTTAAGTGTGCAGATGAGGAGGGAAACAGAGAATGCAAGCCCTGATCATGAAACAATATCAGCAATACGAGAAGCTGCCTGAGTGAAAAAACAGCTCAACCTAAAGGATCTTTTCAAATGCCTGGTTTTGTCCCGAATTTGCCTGTTTGCTTGTCCCCCTCTTTTTCCTTTTCTTTTTAAAACCATTGCAATCAAGCATGCATTAAAATATTGAGGCTGAGGGAAGTACTTCTATGAGCTATTCAAGCCCAAAAGCCTCAAAGAAGGAGGATGGGACTTTGATGGTCTAAATGATTTCCTACTAGAATAAAATTAAAAGCAAGGCAGGGAGTAGCAAACAGCACTTGCCTCTCCCGCACGCCTTGGAGCTTCGCAAATAGAGGGCAACTCTTCAGTGTTTGGTTTAGGGTGAGGGAGGAGGGTTATTATGAGAAAATGAAAAACAATTAGGTTGAGAACCGGGGGTGGGTGATTCATGGGAGTGGCTCAAGGTTGCGCTTAAGGGGGCCCTGCCTTTCCCGCTGGCGCGATGGCTGGGGGCACCGTCTCCTCTCTGAAAAGTGTGCTCCCACTCTGGCTTGTGCTGGCCTCTGCCTCCAGGCCTGCAGAGCTGAGGCTCTACTCCTCCGCAGAGTGTAAACAAACCAGAGTCCTCTCCCTGCGATAACTGTGACATGAGAAGCCATTTCTTCCTTGTTAAGTAGAAGAAGCCCACCCCTGAGAAACCTTGTTCCCAAGGCCTGTGCACTGCTAATGGAATTTTTAACTCAACCTAACCGCACCTGAAGGTAATCAGCTCTGGGCCAGTTGTGCATTCGAAGTCCCTGTCAGGCTGACAGGAGGGCAGAATTAGATGGTTTGATAACATTTCTCTCTGTGCACCCTTGCAACAATGTTGGGGCAAGTGTCCGAGGGAAGGGTCTTCTCTGGTTGTCCCTGCTCTTGCACCAAAATAGGACAACAGGAATCTACCCCTCCTCCTGATTGGAGCGCCCTCACCCAAGAGATGAGGGGTCTGGCTTTCAGAACATTACTTCCACGTTTCTCCCCCCAACCCCCCAGAAGACAGGCTGTTGAGGTTCAGGGTGTTAAAATAAGGCTGTAAAAGCTTTTTCAGACAAAGATGTATTTCTAGTAGGAAGTAAATTGTACATTCCAATTTTCAGTATTTTCACCCCAACTCTCAAGTCACAGAATGTTTTAAAAACAGTGCCCAGTCATTGAAAATGCCAGCCAGCTATTTTGAAGTTGCATTCTATTCTTAGCATGGGACAGAATCTTCTGGTAGGGAACTTTCAAGAAACAAGATTTTCAAGGAGAAGCCTGAGGCAATTTTAAGAGGGATACTCTAGCCATATGTATAACATTTTCCCCCACTCTCCTGTTTCTAATTCCATTTTAGAGGCTTGAAAATGCGTTTTTTTTCCCTTTATCAATTTTGTGTTTTTCGACTTGGCAAACATTGACTCTTTTCTGTGTCCTAAATGGAGGTGAAATTAACTTGTCTGTTTCTTAAATAAAAATAAATAAACAACTTCAGTATGTATAGATCCAGATCCTGCCAAATGCTTTTTTGTGGTATGCCAATGTCACCGAGGAATGTCAGCTCAGCACCGTGATTAGCATTTTACAACTGCTGTAGAGCCAAATGTTGAGAGAATAACAAATGCTGTTTTGGGCCCCATGAAAATTACAGCTTAAGAAATGGAATTTTTCAGTCATATAGCTGGAAAATAAAAAGCGGGAGTCTGGGATCCAGATGACTTCATTTTCAGGCAACTAACTTTAAGATCAAGATTAGAGTCTAAAAATGTATGCATGTTAATTTAGTTTTAGTTTTTTTTTTAACTTTTATTTTACATTCAGGGGTACATGTGCAGGTTTGTTATAGAGGTAAACTTGTGTCATGGGGGTTTGTTGTACAGATTATTTTGTCACCCAGGTATTAAGCCTAGTACCCAGTAGTTATTTTTCCTGACCCTCTTCCTCCTCCCACCCTTCACCCTCCCATAGGCCCCACACTGTATATTGTTCCCTTCTGTGTATCCATGTGTGCTCATCATTTAGTTCCCACTTATAAGTGAGAACATGCGGTATTTGTTTTTCTGTCCCTGCGTTAGTTTGCTAAGAATAATGGCCTCCAACTTCATCCATGTTCCTGTAAAGGACATGATTTCATTCTTTTCTATGGCTACATAGCATTCTATGATGTATGTATAGTTTTACTTTTAAAACACTTTCATCTCTAAAGGTTTGTATTATGAGTCCACTTCAGGTTTTGTGAACCCTAATTGCCAACTTAAAAAATGATATTAAGTTGAAAGCTACAAGTGAGGGGAAATATTTGCATAGCATATATCTGATAAAGAACTTGAATCTAGAATGTATAAAAAAACTTTGACAATTTATAAGACCAACAAGCCAATTAAAAACAGGTAAAAAAAAAAATTGAAACGACACTTCACCAAAGAAGATAAACAAATAGCTAATTAGCACATGAAAGGATGTTCGAAACCATTGGGTATCAGGGAAACACAAATTAAAACTACCATGAGATCTCAGTACACACCCATAAGGGTTGCTGAAATTAAAAAGAAAGTCTCTGCTAGTAAGAATGCAAAATCATACAGCTACTTTGGAAAACAGCTTAGCAGGTTCTTAAAATTGTTCCCAACAGGAAACAACCCAAATATTGTTAACTGGTGAATAAATACACAATTCCATTCAATGGAATATCATTCAGCAACAAAAAGGAATGAATGACACATGGCTACATGGATAAATCTCAAAAACATCATGCTAAGTGAAAAAAGCCAGACACACAAAACTGGATACATAGGATTATATTTATATGACATTCTGGAAAAGGCAAAATTACTGGGGCAAGAGACAGATCACTACACAGAGACAGAAGGAAACTTTTTCGGGTAATGGAAATGTTCTGTTTCTTGATCGTGATAACTGTTACACAACTGTGTACTTTTGTCAAAACTCATCAAACTGTACACTGTATACTTTAAGGGAGTGAATTTTATTGTGTTAGTTACACCTGACTTTATAAATGTGACTTTAAGAAAGACACCACCACTTGGTGTGATAGGCTGAATAAGGCTCCCAAAGGTATCAATGTCCTAATCCCTGGAACCTATGACAGACTATTACCTTGGATGGTAGAAGACACTTTGCAGATGTGATTAAATTAAGGGTTTTGAGATGAGGGGATGATCTTGGGTTAGACCAGTGGGCCCTCAATGCAATCACAAGCAAGGCAGAGGGAGCTCTGACACAGAAGAGGAGAAGGCTGTGTGGCAGGAGCAGAGGGAAGCACCGTTGGAGAGAGGAGATGCTGCGCTGGTGCCCTGAAGGTGAAGGAAGGGGCCATGAGCCAAGCAATGCAAGGAACGCAGCTCTAAAAGCTGGGAAAGGCAGGGAACAGATTCTCCCTTAGAGGATGACCCTGCCAACACCTCAACTTCAGCCCAGTGATACTGATTTCAGACTTCTGACCTCTAAAACTGTCCAGTAATAACTGTGTCTTGTTTTAAGCTACTAAATTTGTGGTAATTTGTTACAGTGGCCATAGGAAACGGATGCACTAGGGCAAAGGTCCCCAGCCCCCATGCCACAGACTGGTACTGGTCTGCAGGACCATTAGGAACCGGGCGGCACAGCAGGAGGTGAGCGGCAGGGTAGCAAGAATTACCGCCTGAGCTCCACCTCCTGTCAGATCGGTGGTGGCATTAGATTCTCATAGGAGCTCAAACCCTATTATGAACTGCATATGTGCGGGCTCTAGGTTGTGTGCTCCTTGTGAGAATCTGATACCTGATGATCTAAGGTGAAACAGTTTCATCCTGAAACCATCCCCTCCAACAACATCCATGGAAAAACTGTCTTCCACAAAACTGGTTGCTTATGCCAAAAAAGTTGGGGACCACTGCACTAGAGAACAAAATAAAATTGGAACACAGATCTCAAGGGACAGTCTTGCTCTCATTTAACATGAGGACTGATGGCATAGACCAGCATCCTTAGACTCAGTATCTGAGATGCCTTTTTAAAACTGCGTGATTCTGACCTCGCCCCTCCTTTCCCACCTTCCTTTCTGTCTCACCGTTACCTCCCTCCCTACTCCTGCCAACCTAACTCAGTCTGAATGATGGGCCCTAGGTAGCTGCTGTGGGCATAAAGCTGCTGTTCGAGTGCCCCAAACTTTGAGACACCTTGGTCTAGACAGAGCATTTTCTATTCTCATAATCATAATTCAGCACAATTGCTGCTGCTTATTTGTAGGGTTTGTTCCATGCATGGCATCTAGCAGGTACTCAGAGAGTATATTTATCTATTTGACAACTCCCTAAACACAAACCTCTCCAACAGTCTCTATGTTTGCTGAGTGAATTCCACATTCCATGATCCTTGCTATAATCCTACTCTTTTTTTTTTTTTTTTTTTTTTTTTTTTTGAGATAGGATCTTGCTCTGTCACCTAGGCTGGAGTGCAGTGGTGTGATCACAGCTCACTGCAACCTAGACCTCCCAGGTTCCAGCAATCCTCCCACCTAAACCTCCCCATCAGCTGGGACTACAGGCACATGCCACCAAGTCAGGCTAATTTTTTCTTTTATTTTTCGTAGAGACAGGGTTTTGCCATGTTGCCCAGGCTTGTCTCAAACTCCTGGGCTCAAGTGATCCACCCACCTTGGCCTTTCAAAGTGCTAGGATTATAGGCATGAGCCACCATGCCCAGCCCTAATAATCCTACTCTTCATCAAATTTTACTAAAAGCCATTGATCATTGGCCAAGCATGTCACTCATTTTCCTTTATAAATCCCATGGCTTCATTTGTGGCTTATGGATTTTAGAAGCAAACAGGCTTACAGTATCATGAAGGGGAGGCCATGCTCAACAATTGTTAAAAATTACACACACACACACACACACACACACTCAGAGAGGGAGAGAGAGAGAGAGAAATTGTACCTTTTTTTGGGTTTTTCTATATTCTATCCTTGAGATCCAGAAACCAACAAGATAAAATGCTGGCATTTGGCAATCCTCATGGTCAGCCATGCACCTCCCTCTTTGGCATCCCTCTGTCCACCAGATGCCACTTCTATCTGCCCAGCTGAAACACCATGTTGATAAAAGGGACTCCCATAACCTACTGCCAGGGCCAGCCTCCCCGCTGGGGCATGGCAGAGTCAGTTTTTACTGCAGAAGATGGGTATAGACCAACCTGAAGAGTCTTCCATATTTGGTGATAAGTTTACTGTGCTTGACTTTCAGATTGATGTAAGAAGTGTGTCAATGATGTAAAATCAATAGAGCTTGAGAACCCTCTCTGGTTGCTTCTGCTGGATGATAGCGAAGAGAAGCCTGCAAATGTCTAGGCACTAGTGCGAGGTCCATTTAATGTGGTTAGCAAAGCTGACAGTTTGCACAGTTTAAATCCTATCCAGTGAAAGCCCAAGCCCTATCAAATAACAGTTGAAAAGAAAAATGTGAGAGAGAGGAGAGAGAGGGGTAATTTTAAAGGCAGAATTACCAAACAGTTCCATTTGTATGCAGGCAAATTTATGTTTCCATGAGAATCTGCCAGGCTACTCTAGCAGTTTTAGCAATGCATTGCTCTACCCATGTTTATCAAATATTTAAACACCCCATTTTTATTGAGCCATAATGTCTGCTGAATATGTAAGCAAAAGAAGAAGGATGAATTTTCTTTTTCACAGCAAGACTACAATGGCAACTCTTTGCTCATCATCTGTTCCCATTTATAGAATAAAGTCACATTTGGATTCTCTTATTTGCTAGAAAAAAATAAATAAATCATTCTCTGTCTTCCATAAATACATATTATCTAGGTCCAAATCAATTGATTGATCTATCACAACATTAATTGATCAACGTAGCATCTGTCTGTCCATTTATTAATCTGAGAGAGAAGCAGATGACATTTAATTAGTTCCATAATGGAATAACACTTTTCCTTCAATTAGCACAGCCATGAATGTGGTAAGAAGGTTCTATTTCTTGAAAGCAAGTAATATTTATTATTTCATTGCATCAGCTCTAACAAATCAGTTTAGAGATTGAATAGCTCCTATTTAAAATGAGTATCATTGGTCAGAAATATCCATTTTGAGTATGGTGCCTATATTATAGGCTGTAAATCTCCATAGCAAATGATTGCAGCTCCTGTAAACTAAACCAATGTCCAAACCACCTTGCTCATTATGATGGAACATAATCAGTGAACTCATAAAACGATTGGAGCTGAAATCATATTTTGCACTCACAGCAGCAATGGAATAACAAATAAGCCATAGAGATGAATATACATATTCATTTTTCCTCCCCACAAAAACACACAAACCTCACTTTCTCACTTTCTAGCTGTATAAGAGTCAACACAGTGATGCTCTGAAATACAGTGACAAATCATGTTTGATGAAGGAGATGGCTTCTGCTATAGTGCTTTCCATTCACTGGGGATCAGTGGATGGTTTGTGAAGGTCTCTCTCTAAAAAGTCAGAATCATAATTCCAAGTCCAGAGGTCAGGAATTTGTTTTCATAGTGTCAAAACCATATTTTAAAGATGTAATGCATATTCTGGTATCTGTGCTGGGTGGTGTACTGCTTGTTACAGAGATTACTGAGGTTTTACAACACAGAGTTTAGGTCAAGAATGAAAAGTTTTGAAGATTTACATTTTTCTCCAGCATTGACCTTTTGGCTTTATTCCTTAATTAAGCAAAGACACGGCAGCAAAAGGGAGTATTATGGGCCTGCTGTATCCCCGGGGCGTTATGAGACACCAGACAGAGTTAAGCTATCTCAAGACAACCATGTTCTCTGGAGTTACTTTATTGCTATTATAAAAAATCTTTATTATGGGAAAATATGTATTTTTATGCCAGAAGAAGATGAAGATGACAGTTAAGCTGTTGAAAGGTAGTTTCAGTTGAGCTTCGTGCCCACTGAGATTGTAAAACACCCAAGACTAGGGGAGGCGTCCTGATGGAATCTTAAGAAACCTAAAGGGGTATATTAATCTTTGGGAAATTCATAGTTGGAACAGGGTACCATTAACTGGCACTTTCCAGTTATCAAGATATTTTATGAAACTGAAAAAAGTCCTATTACACTTGCTAACAGGGCCAACTTTGGGGGTGTGGTTAATAAAATAATCTCTTTCCAGATTGTCTTGACTGGAAGAACCTTGAGATTCTGAATCCCCAGTGATGCCTGCTGCTTTTCTTACAGGCTGTTAGCAGGGCACTTCTGTAGAAGCTTCTGTGTGAGTTTGCTTTTCTTTTACTAAGGGGGGAAAACATTATTGAAGGCTTTTTAATTGCTGCATTTTTCTTTTCCATTGAGAATCTGGCACTTTCCAATTCTATTTGCATTGTTTTTTTTTGTGTGTGTGTGTTTTTGTGTTTTGTTTGTTTGTTTGTTTGTTTGTTTTTTCAGATGGAGTCTCGCTCTGTCGCCCAGGCTGGAGTGCAGTGGTGCGATCTAGGCTCACTGCAAGCTCCGCCTCCCGGGTTCACGCCATTCTCCTGCCTCAGCCTCCCAAGTAGCTGGGACTACAGGCGCCCGCCACCACACCCAGCTAATTTTTTGTATTTTTAGTAGAGACGGGGTTTCACCTTGTTTGCCAGGATGGTCTCCATCTCCTGACCTCGTGATCCACCCGCCTCGGCCTCCCAAGGTACTGGGATTACAGGCGTGAGCCACCGCGACCGGCAGATTTGCATTGTTTTTAAAGCAAATAAACTGCCCTCTCCGTTCCGAAAAAGAGTCACCTTGACTTAAAAATCACTCACACATCTTTCCATTGATGTTTACCAAAGTAAGACTTCTTTTTAAAAGAATGTTATTATCGAAAACTTTCATCATGAGGCTCCTTTGCTACCAAGAAAATTTATATACTTGCTCATCTATTAATCTTTGTGTTTATTACTTACATTTCTGTCCCACTAAATTCTGGAGAAAATTTGAAGTGGCTCTTGGATTTATCTTCTTCTGGCTTTTACTAATGAATCTTCCAGGAACTGCCTCCTGAACTCTGTCTGTTATGTGTATGTAGCCTAGGAACAAATAATAGAATTATGTCCCTTCTACCCAAGGTAGGAAGAGATGAATTGGGAACTTTAATCCACACTTTAGCTTCTGAACTGGGGAAATCCAGCCAAGCAGAGTGGCTGACAACCTGTCATCCCGACACTTTGGGAGGCTGAAGCGGACGAATCACTTGAGGCCAGTTCAAGACCAGCCTGGCCAACATGGTGAAACCCCATCTCTACTAAAAAATACAAAAATTAGCCAGGTGTGGTGTCGTGTGCCTGTAGTCCCAGCTCCTTGAGAAGCTGAGGCATGAGAATCACTTGAACATGGGAGGTGGAGGTTGAAGTGAGCCGAGATTGTGCTGCTTTACTCCAGCGACAGAATGAGACTCTTGTCTCAAAAAAAAAAAAAAATGTAGCAGGGAATCATTTAATTATTAGCATCTTTTGCTTGGCAAAAGAGTTGTAGTCTTACCTGGTATATTCGAAGTCAAGAGGAAGCTAAGGACCCACGTTCAAAAGGGGCAGTTCACAAAACAGAATTGCCAGAAGGCAAGACCTTTGTTTCTCCATTTGTGAGGCACCACCTTTAGAGCCAGCTCTACGATAGGTGAGTTATGGAGTGACACTCCTCACTATCCAAGCCAACCATTTAGCCTCCTTCATGAGAATCAAATCCTACCAAGAAGCAAAAGCCAAAACAAAAATTGCATGGACAAAAAACCCATGTTCCTATGTAAAGAGAGACCGAGGTGAATTTTTAAATAAATTGTTATTTTCCTGTCACATTGCTAAGCAGATTTCACATGAGAAAGTCTATAGCACTGGTCTCACTGCAGCTGGCCACCTCAGAATCAGGAGCTCCAAGCTGCCTCCCATCCATCCTCTCTTCTTGCTGCCCCTCAGGAGCTCCGCAGGGCAAAGCTCACCACACACATTAGTGTGCACTGAAAATCTGTCAACCCAAGGTTATGGCCCACTTTTTAGGTTTGTTTTTTTTTTCAGTATAATAAAACTGCCTTCCAGGCATTTGGAACAGTTCCTTGAGTCATAATGGGACTTCACTTGTTGATCCCACAAGTGATTCGTGCAGAGCCTATTTTGCGAATTGCACAGTGAAGGAGCAGCAAGATAGACAAGATGAAACACTGTCTCTGCTTCTGTCTGGAACAACATGGTATTAGGAAAGAGGAACATGTTCCTTTTTCCCTCTCACTCTACAAAGGGAACCACTGAGGGTGTGAACCAGCAAGAGAAATTCCAGCTGGACCTAGAGAGAAATGGAGCTGGAAGGGATTTGGGTGTGGGGCGGCAAGGAGTGGGCCTGTAACTTAGAGGAATTCTGTGGCTAATTTACTCTCTGCAGACTTAGATATTCAGAGTCCTTTCCTTATGGTGGAAAAGGTTTCCTGGGTACCAGTTTCCTAGAGAGAATGCCATTTTAGTTTTCTGTTTTATTATATTCTTATTTTGGATAGAATTTGTTGCATAATATAAGTTTGTTGGGCCCACCCTAAAGAAAGGTGCTCAAATTATACGTATTGTAATCCAAACCATTCAATACTCAGCTCCATGTTCCTTTCCAAATACCAGGTGGCATCCAGTTGGCCCTATAAGCCGCTCCAAATAACAGACCTCTCTTTCTGTTGTGAAAGTAGAGTAATCTTAGGAGACTGATGTCATTGAATGTCTCCAAGCATAGCTGTCAAGTATGTAGATTCAAAACTTCACCATTTCATTTTATCAATCTTCAGAGCTTATTGAGTCACTTGTGCGTTTCTTCTCTTCAGAAATGCTGTGCACTCTTCCTGTGGTGCTCTTTTATTTTGAAGACCCCAATGCAGACCACCTAGGAGACGGGGGAAAAGCCTTCCCATAATGAACCAGTGTGAGCAATGCAGGGAAAATGTGTTGCAGAGCTGACTGAAAAGCAAGTTCTAGTTTTCTTACTTCTAAAGGATTATATCAAGCAGTTTTAAAATAATGGAAAGTATCTGGTCTCTCTGTGTGTGGTAGCAGAAAGGTGACTGCCACCAATGAGACAAAGTTATACAGACTAGGTGTATTATGAAACACTTGAAACGCTATGTACATAACAAAGTTAGAGTACTTGGCCCTTAGAAACAAAATGCAACTCATATATTGGCACTGGGATTCCAGGTTTGAATGGAAACAGCTAAACCATAAGTCAAACACACAGCCCATCTATTATTTCTTGTTATTATCACCAGCTTTGTCTGATTCCTCTTTTTTTGTAATGCTACCAAGAAGTAGAAGAGTAAAATTTGAGCAAGGTAGGTGATGATTAGCCAGGGAGACTTCTGGGTAATTACCAGTAAGATTATTCAGCAAGAACTACCTAAAGACAGAATTGGACCATTATGAGAAAGTAGTACAGAACTGATGTCATGTACACACACATACACACACATAAACCCCATCAAATCCAGTTCCCCATCTTCTGCCCAACTCATGAAAATTCCAAAGAGCTTTATTCAATCAAATTATTGACTTGGGGGTCCCAACCAAATCCCACTGTAGGTGATGCTGTTTCACCTAATTAAGACCCATGGTTCAGTAGATTCAGTAGAGAAGAAATTCCAAGTCCTTGCACTTGGCAAAGTGTTTGTTATTGAAGGATTCCTAAGTTTTCCAAATTCCACTAGGTATGAAGGGACTCAAAAAAGGAAACATTTTCCTTTCCACTTGCAATTTGTTCATTTTGTAGTGAGCAAGCACCAAAGGCTTTTCTTTCTTTTCCTTTCCTTCTCTTCTCTTTTCTTTTCTTTCTTTCGTTCATTTTGGCCTGAGAATCCAGAATATAATCATGTAGTCATTTTACATAAAAACTATGTCTACATCAGACATTACAACAGGATTACACCACAGGCAGGCGCCCTGGTGGCTCACACCTATAATCCCAGCACTTTGAGAGACCCAGGTGGGCCGATCACTTGAGGCTAGGAGTTCGAGACCAGTTTGGCCAACAAAGCAAAACCGTGTCTCTATTAAAACTACAGAAAACTTAGCCGGGCAAGGTGGCTCATGCCTATAATCCCAGCACTTTGAGAGGCCGAGGCAGGCGAATCACTTGAGGCAGGAGTTCAAGACCAGCTTGGCCAACGTGGCGAAATGCCTTCTCTACTAAAACTGCAGAAAACTTAGCCGGGCGTGGTGGCCAAGGCCTGTAGTCCCAGCTACTACTAGGGAGGCTGAGACAGGAAAATCGCTTGAACCCGGGAGGCAGAGGTTGCAGTGAGCCGAGATCGCGCCACTGCACTCCAGCCTGGGCCACACAGCGATACTCTGTCTCAAAAAATAAAATAAAATAAAAAATAATAAAAAAACACGACGTGGTTAGGTCACATAATTCTAACTGGTTTCTGATCCAGAATGTGAGCTTGTGAGCCACTATTTTTTGTTGCTGTTCTTTGTATTCGTTAGCGTATTAGCACTTGAGTCCAATACTTAAAATAATAAAGATAATCACTAACAGCAATGTTGTACCTGATTTTGTTGCAGTGTCATTAGAATTCTGTTGTGATGTTTATCTCTCATTTTTCCTTAAGAAACTGGGTTACTTCCTCCGAGCCCCGCGGGGAAGTCAGAAAGCCAACGTTAGAGATAACGTGGCAATGCATTTTAAGAAGAATCAGCTCCTAAGAAGTGGGGACAAAATATATTATCGGACTTTGCGGACGTAAACACGCCCCAGCAGGTTGAAGCCTGCGAGGAGTAAGGTTTCCCTGATCGCCGGTCCCCCTCCAGCCCGCCCCTGGTGCTGGCGTCCATTGCACGACGCCCTGTCGCCGCCACTCCCAGAGGAGCCGGGCCCTCGCGCTCCCTCCAGGATGGGACAGGATATGACAGCCCGGTTTGTGCACCAGCATCCTTAATATTTCCTTCCTTTCAGAAGCAAATAGAGCGTTCCCTTATCTGAATGCTAATTTCCTAGTTAAAAACCCTCCCTTGCTGACAAGGGACTGAAAGAGTTTTAAATCACAGATGTAGAGTATCAAATGCAATAATGCTCTTGCAATAGTGCATTGAAGCCTCAATTAATTAACCCTTGGGCTAAGTAGGCAGGTACATGGCGGTGGCCGCAGGCGGTGGATGGATGAGATTTAAATGTGCATCTCATTTCCCCAGCACGGAGCATGCCGTTTGGTTCAGAAAGGAGTCATTTTGCACACTCGCCTCATTTACTTGCTGCTTTAATCCTCCTAATTCCACCTGAGATCAGGGGAGAATTGAAAAGGAAGGCGAGGAGCAGGGGCTGCGGGCCGGGCTTTTGTTGCTCGCGGTCCCCGGGGGCCGCGCCGCGCCGGGCCACGTGGGGGCTCTCGCCTTCCGAGCGGGCGTCGGTGGGAAACCTGCGCGGCGAGAGACAGGGGGATGGGGCGCTTTTGACGCGACTGTGGGGTGCGGGTAGTCCTGGAGGAGGATGTCCGGCCAAGCTCACCCTGCCCAGGTGCCGGATCCCCAGCCCAGGCTGCGGCCTGCTCTGGGCTCGTGAGGCGAGGCCGCAGCGCCCCGACGCCGGGTGGGCGTGTGGGTGGAGTGGAGACTTGGGTCCCTCGGCGCATGGGAGTCCCGCCGCCTGCGGTAGGGAACCGCCTCCCACCCCTGGCCCGGCCCGGGCCGGGAGCCGTGTCCCGCGTTGACTCGGTGTAACTCTCCAGCTCATTTCTCTCCACGCGATTTACCATCTGTGAACTCGTCTTTAACCTAATAAAAATCATCTGGCTTTTGACTAACAAGAAAAGGAAACAGTGCTCATTGTGGGGTTTGGGGAAAATGGCTTCACTAATGTGCAGGATGAGAACGGAGTGATTTATAGGCGGTTTTAACTGTAGGCTATGATTAGGGGGCTGGTAGTAAGTGCATTAGATGTCTAAGTGTGGCAATAGAGTAAATAGGCGTTTTATTTATCGCAGTGCCAGGGGCCTCTTAGCGGAAGAGCGCTTCTCCAAATTGAAATATAGCAGAGTTTACACTCCTGATTAGGGCTTCAAGCGCAGAGCCCAAGGCTATCAGCTAAGCAGAAACAACGCTCGCTGACACCTAATTGTTACTGGATTAATGTGCAAACAGGGACAGCGAACAGCAACAACAAATAACCTAGTGTCAGAGACGTTGGTGGCAGTGTCCACTCGCAGTGACTTGGGGCCAAATTGGAGTTTATATGTCAAAACAGGCTCAGATCAATGTGTTGGGCTCCTCCTGCAAAAGGCTGGATGGAGTCATGGCAGTTGTTGATGTATGTGTGTGTGTGGGCATATTATGTGCCGGGGAGTGGAGGAGAGCAGGCAAACGGAGGAGGTGAAATGCCTTTCCATTAATTTTTTTTCTGCTTTATGCTCCCGAATTCACAGCTATTAAGATAAATTTATGTGAATCAGGTCTTTCTCTCCAGGATCTTGTGACTTTCGCCTGTGTCTCCATATAAAATTTAATAACCTTGTTTGTGAATCAAATCATTCCCACAACAACAGATTCAATCTGGGTTGCCACCTGTCTGGCTTTGGACAGGAGCAACCGAATTGGGCAGCTGGGTTCCAGCCTTTCACGGGGGCTGGTGGTTGGTTGGCTGCCTGGCAGGTCCGTTTGCCCTGGGGTTTTCCAAAAGCAGGAGTAGATGCGGCTGACATCTGAAGGGGAAAGGGAGGACAGCCATCCATATTCCTGAGACCCGCCTTTTCTTCGAATGACCAAATTGGTGGCAGCCCTATTTAAAAAACACAAGAATTCATGAGAGTCTAAAGCAAATGGGGGAATAGGTCACCATCCAAGAAGTTCTTATGCTCACTCATTTTTCTTCTACAATTAGCCATTTAGGGAGGGAAAAAGTCACAAATACATGAATTATGTTCTTAAATGTATTTCTAAAGTTCTTAAGTTTTATCAAGCATGAAAGTTGGTCTTTCCCTGTGTTAAGGACTGAAGAAGCTATAGAACTAGCTAGTAGCTCAATGGTGCAAAGTCTTATGATTTAAACTTGACACTTGCAATTTTTTGCCGTAAAATATTACTTTCTTTATTTCAAGACTTTAGTTGAAAACCTCCTAATTCCCTTTAAGCTCCATTTGATTGTCAATTGCACAACTCTCTCTAAAGCTTAGGGCTTATGATTTTCATACACACACGATTTATGCTTTTTGTGTCACAATATAATGTACTTTGGTACAGCTCCCACTTATTTCTCTTGCATCACGAGAGATTTTCCTTTTAGAGGCTGGGAGTTTTATAGTGAAGCTGTGAAAGAGTTGTGATCTGGCTGTACGTCTCGTTGAATTGTCCAAAATTGCCATTTTTGTTGCCCTGTACAACCTTCTGTGCCACTCCATTTAATATGTTTCCAGAAAATGTTGACCTGGATATCTGCATATCTGGGTAAAAGAATGAAATTAATTTCACGATTGAAAATTTCAATAGCTGGCTGCAGAAAGATCATTCATTGCCTCAAGTATGGATAGAGAGATAGCAGAGCCAGTGTTGGATGTTGCAGACACAGATTTCCTTTAGTCCATTTGTTGTCAGTAAATCGTAAAGCTGGATTTGCAATGGCAAAATCCCAAATATGTTTTACTGGATCGATTCAATGCGTTTCAGTTGTAAAACTCTAAGGTCATCCAAGCTGCTGATTAGAGCATAACATTTAAGTTAATGCTGTATATTAACACAATACTTAAAAACAAAAATACCACAAAGAGATATTAAGCTTTCTGAAAAACCATATATTGTTATGGCAAATGTTGGAATTCATGCAGGAATTTTGTTGATCCTAATTGTTATACTTTGCAGATTTTACTTTGTTGTCTCCTAGAACTAGAAAGAAATTTAGAGATTATCATACTCTCTTTACAGCCCTACGTGCACATGAAGAAACTGAGGCCCAGAACGGTTAAATATTTTGCTTAAACCTACACACACGCAGTGAAATTTTCCAAGTATTCCTCCTATTTGTCATTATTCCAGTCAAGCCATAAGCATTATAAGTATGTGAGAAAAACATCAAATGTTTTTGTTATACCTTGTCAATGTTAATTATTCAGGCATTTATAAACATTAACATTTTTCTGGCACAAAAAACTTTTCAAATTCTTGATTTAAGAAATAATTTAAAATGGGTGTTATTCCTTGATTACATATCTAGAAATTGTGAAACAATTACAAATGTAAAGGAGTTTTCAGTATTTGAAAGTGTTGCCATGTCTTGGTTATTTGAGGTTAGGATTATATTGTTTGTTTTCGAGTTTTCTGCTTCTTTTGTCTCCCACTCTTTCTGCTCTTTTGGCTTTTTGCCTTCTCCTCCCAGCTCTACAAGGAGCATACTAATACTCAAGAAGCTGATTTTATCATTGCTGATAAAAATTTCATGAAGAAAATAGGACAGAGCTAGCAGATAGAATGGAGTTTGATTATCATACTTCTCCCTGGCTCTCCCTGGCTATCAGTACAATGGGTAAGCAAGAAATAATCTAGCCTGTAGAAGAAAAGGTAATATTTGGTAGGTTTTAAAAATAATTCTGCTGGAAAGTTACAGATTTATTTGTGTATGAATCACTCTTGGAATTCCTATGATTGCCTTTGAGGCATAAACTTCAGAATGTGTCTGAACTATTAAGCATCTACCTTGTTGGTGTAGCTAGGTGTTTAAGAGAAATACACTGAAATTAAGTTATGTTAACCAAGAAAAAAGTTAGCCCCTTACCCCCAAGTTTAGGTGTATCTGTTTAAATCTAGATCTAATCTGAAATTTCTGGTAATGTGGTCAGACTCTGGGTAGCATTTGGTAGCTCTGGAAATTATAGTCACTCTAGTGAAACTGCTGAAATCTAAGCTGAGGACATCATGGGCACTATAAACCTGGAGTCTCAGCTACAATATATACTAACCAGATCCACTCACCTCCTCTCGGCTTCACCCTGAGTGTTTGGGAATTTCTTTGTTTCTTTTTTTTTCTTCTTTTTTTTTTCTGAGTTGGAGTCTTGCTCTGTCGCCCAGGCTGGAGTGCAGTGGCACAATCTCGGCTCACTGTAACCTCTGCCTCCCAGGTTCAAGCGATTCTCCTGCCTCAGCCTCTTGAGTAGCTGGGACTACAGGCGTCCGCCGCCACGCCCGGCTAATTTTTGTATTTTTAGTAGATATGGGGTTTCACCATATTGGCCAGGCTGATCTTGAACTCCTGACCTCATGATCCACCCCCCCCCCCCCCCCGCCCCAACCCCTGGTCTCCCAAAGTGCTGGAATTACAGGCATGAGCCACCATGCTCGGCCTTCTTGAGAATTTCTTAACCAGACATTATAAAAAACAAAAATAGTACTAGGTCTGTAACTGGGCATTTTTGTATAATAAATGGTTTAAACACAATTCTGATTTTATAGACTAAAATGATTGTAAAGAACTCTTAAAGGAAGAAAGAGAAGCTATTTAGGAATTATTTCCATGAAGGGAATATCATTTGTCCTGGGTGAACAATTCGAGAAGCATTTGAGAGTAACCAAAGCCATTTCAGAGAGAAGAACCAGGTGTTGAAGGGAAAAGAATGCTGATGTGGGACAGGTGGGAGGCATGGTTAAGGTTGGTGCCCTAGAATCATATAGTGGGGTGGCCTTGAGCAAGTCATTGTCAGACAGCCATGAAGTAGTTTCCTAACCTACAACCAAGGGACTAGGCACAGAATTTCTTAAGGTAAGGTCCACAAGCCATTAGGTCAGCATCTAATAAGCCCCTCCAAGGGATTATAATGCACTCCAGAGTTTACAACGCTTGGATCAAAGAACCTATGCATTTTCTTGTAAATGCGGGATTTTTAATCATTTACACTTTAGCAAGTTAAACTCTATTACGGTTTGTGGAAAAGACTTAAAGAGACACTGATGACTGATTTAAAATACTCTTTCAGGCCACAGGAAGACTTCATTAGACAAACTCTTCAAGAACTCTCTTCTTAGATTACACCTACTTCATGGAGAACTGCAATGGTTGTCCCTATTTGCTGTTTTTGTTTTGTTTTGTTTTTTGCGGTGAAGTCTCGCTCTGTCACCCAGGCTGGAGTGCAGTGGCGTGATCTTGGCTCACTGCAACCTCCACCACCCAGGTTCAAGCGATTCTCCTGCCTCAGCCTCCCGAGTAGCTGGGACTACAGGCACTCGCCACCACGCCCAGCTAATTTTTGTATTTTTAATAGAGACGGGGTTTCATCATGTTGGCTAGGCTGGTCATGGACTCCTAACCTCAGATGATCCACCCGCTTTGGCCTCCCAAAGTGCCGGGATTACAGGCATGAACCACCATGCCCAGCCCCTATTTGCTTTTTAAAGTTCTCTTTAACTTAAAAAACCACAATACTTTTCTGTAGTTAACAAAAAATTGTTTGTGGATTAAAAATACTGTGAGATATCCTCTTCCTAATTTTCTCAACTAGTTAAATTACCATGTTGTACCTTTGAGAAGTAGCATGATTTCATCTACATAGTAATGCAATTTTATGTACTTTTTGTATTTTAACTTTTGAAATGAAATGAAAACCAAAATATTCCAAATTAATATTCTTTAGGATTGTGCAAGAAGCCCAGTTCTTTTTTTTTTTTTTTTTTTTTGAGACGGAGTCTCGTTCTGTCACCCAGGCTAGAGTGCAGTGGCGCGATCTCAGTTTACTGCAAGCTCCGCCTCCCTGGTTCACGCCATTCTCCCATCTCAGCCTCCCGAATATCTGGGACTACAGGCGCCAGCCACCACGCCCGGCTAATTTTTTGTATTTTTAGTAGAGATGGGGTTTCTCCATGTTGGTCAGGCTGGTCTTAAACTCCTGACCTCAAGTGATGCGCCTGCCTCAGCCTCCCAAGTGCTGGGATTACAGGCGCCCACCACCACGCCCGGCTGATTTTTTTTTTTTTTTTTTTGTATTTTTAGTAGAGATGGGGTTTCACCGTGTTAGCCAGGATGGTCTCGATCTCCTGACCTCGTGATCCGCCGAGGCCCGCCTTGGCCTCGAAAAGTGCTGGGATTACAAGCGCGAGTCACCGCGCCCGGCTAAGAAGCCCAGTTCTTTAACACCATAAAATGATATGCATCTACGTATATTCCGTATATTTAAACATAATTAAAGGCAAACAAGTTATACTATATCCCAAACATGCTGACATGGTTTGGCTTTGTGTCCTCACTCAAATCTCATCTCAAATTGTGATCCCCAGGGTGTCAAGGGAGGGACCTGGTGGGAGGTGATTGGATCATGGAGGTGGTTTCCCCCATGTTGTTCTCATAATAGTGAAGGAGTTCTCATGAGATCTGATGGTTTTAAAAATGACAGTTCCCCCTGCATGCTTTCTCTCTCCTGCCACTTTGTGAAGAAGGTGCCTTGCTTCCCCTTTGCCTTCCGCCATGATTGTAAGTTTCCTGAGGCTTCCCCAGCCATGCTTCCTGTACAGCGTGTGGAACTGTGAGCCAATTAAACATCTTCTCTTCGTAAATTACCCACACTCAGGTAGTATCTTTATAGTAGTGTGAAAATGTACTAATACACTTGCATATTATTCTTTGGCAAGCCAATTGTAGAAATCACTTTTTTTCTACCCCAGTGCCATAGAGCTAATTCCATTTTCATTTTATAAATGAATCCAATAAGCATTTCCTGCACGGGGCCTACAAGGTTTTTCAGGCTCAACGTGTATCAGTTTGTGTTCTTGCGTGGTTAAAAGAAAAGCAAAAGTATGTAGTAAGCAGTAAGTTCCTTCTCCCATCATGTGTAATATTGGTCACGGAGGAACAATATATTGTGTGCTTTCTGTATATATACACTCTTTGTAAGGTAGGATTTCCCCCCCTTACTTAAGGGAAGTTTTTCTAAGAGCACACCTTTTTAATGGTATTCTTTCCCCTTCTCGGTGAGGGACTATTGATTGAGTGGACACTGCTTACTGTAGCTGTTCTGAGCTGCCAGCAGCAGGGTTTCCTGTGATTGATTTTATATAGCACCTTTTCTACTTGAGAAATCCCAAAGCACTTAACAAAGCAGGGAGTGAGTTTGATGCTGATAGTGATGGCGCAGGCAAACACTGGCAGTGGCATGAACCGGCGGCAGCTCACATTGCTTCAGATTCTCGACTCCAGAGAGCTGGCAGCCAGGTCGCCACCATTCCCTCTGGTCTGCCTAGAATCTCCAGACTGGAAAGGACATCTAGCTATCCTTGAGGATATTCCTTGACCTCCACCCCGACCAGCCCCTAAGTCACTCAAGATAAATAAGATTGGCCACTGTGGGTGGCTTCAGAGGAGTCATTTACTCTTGAATCCTTTATTTCCTCATGGGTTCCATATGGTAGATAGATTTGGTGTCCTGTCCAGTCAGCAGTTCTAAGACTCTATTTCTTGATTTTTTTTATTTTTTGTTTTTCAGAGACAGGGTCTTGCTCTGTCACCCAGTCTGGAGTGCAGTGGCATGATCATAGCTCACTGTAGCCTCGAACTCCTGGACTCAATCCATCCTCCTGCCTCAGCCTCCTGAGTAGCTAGGACTATAGGCATGTGCCCCCACACCCAGCTAATTTTTTATTTTTTGTAAAGACAGGATCTTCCTCTGTTGACCAGGCTGGTCTCAAACTCCAGGCCTCAAGCAATCCTTCTGCCTTGGCCTCCCAAAGTGCTGGGATTACAGGTGTGAGTCACCACACCCAGCCAATTTCCAGAGTATTTTTTGAGTCTCGAGGAGGTGCAGGCTCAAAAGTAGATTGTGCCAGGCATCTGCTCTGGAGAGAGAATACTCTTTGGCTGATTTTAGTACTAGATAAGTGCAAAAACAAGCAAGAGGGCATCTGCAGAAATGCGTGATGTGTTTGCCCTCAGAAGGAACATACATTGCTTACTTCTTTGACACCTAGCACAGTGCTTAGCACATAATAACCCCTCAATAAATGTTTGTTGAATAGATGTGTAAAAATGAAAAGCGTCTTTTCAGTGTCAGGGAAGGACAAATTTCAGTCCAGAATTAGGGGTGCTCAGGGCCTAGCATTGTCTACTTTAGCAATAAGCGTGCAAAATAAGCCAGCCCTGTCCCTATAGAGGCACCAAAAATGGCACAAAAACAATGGTCTTTTTTCCCCTGTCTTTTTCTACCTCGTTTTGATGCAAAAGTGAAGCTGCTTGTTTCATTTGCAGGTTGGGGTGAGGAAAGAAGGAGAAATTTGATAAGGTAAAAAGAACTAACATTAAGCTCAGAAGTGTGATCTATTCACTTCCAGTAAAAATGAATTGGAGAGAGGAGAGATGTGGCAAGACTCCCGGAAGGGGAGGAGAGACCTCACCAATTTGTGTAGGTCTTGAAGCAACAAGGAACCTGTCACTGAAGGAACAGAAAGAAGGCCATATGATTCTTCTTAGGATCTGGACTATACTTGCCCTCATCTTCATAGACGTGAACTTCCTTAGTGTCTCTAGCAAGGAGCAGGAGGATAACTGGGGAGGGAGAGAAGGAGAAAGTCACACTGAGACCTCTGGGTCCATACATGCCCCTGTACCCCATGGGAGGAGAGCAGTGGCAGTTGTGAGGTGACTTTGGAGGAAGAGTTGGCAGGTCACATCCTGTGGCTCCAGCTGAATTGATACCCAGACGTCTGGTGTGTCATACATGCGATCACCCAGTTAGCTTGCTCAAAAGAGGTGAGGAACACCCTAATTAAAATGTCTGTGCGCATTCGTCTTCACCTGTGGTTTCTTTTCTTTATATGTATGGCCATAGCTTTAATTTTTTTATTTATTTTTATTTTTTGAGACGGAGTCTTGCTCTGTCGCCCAGGCTGGAGTGCAGTGGTGTGATCTCGGCTCACTGCAAGCTCCGCCTCCCAGGTTCATGCCATTCTTCTGCCTCAGCCTCCTGAGTAGCTGGGACTACAGGCGCCCACCACCACGCCCAGCTAATTTTTTGTATTTTTAGTAGAGGCAGGGTTTCACCATGTTAGCCAGGATGGTTTCGATCTCCTAACCTCGTTATCCGCCCGCCTCGGCCTCCCAAAGTGCTGGGATTACAGGCATGAGCCACTGCGCCCAGCCTATGTATGGCCATAGCTTTTAAATTCATTTTCATTTTCAAGTAAATAACTCACTTTTGTCTTGCACAGTGCATTGAACTATCAAGTGTCCTTTGCTCTTCAAATAGCCCACAGAGGCCCACAGTATTTTTGTCCTCATTTTACAGATGAAAAAGCTGAGGCCCAGAGAGGATAAGCGACTTGCCCAAGGTCACACAGCAAGCAAACGGTGGAGCTGGAATTCAAACCTAGGTTACCACGTGCTACTTCTCACTCACTGTCCACTGTGCCTTGCTTTCTCCATCTCAAACAGAAAAAAAATTATAAATCTGATTCAAAAGAGAAACTGTATTGTTATGACACTCAGCATTTGAAGAACTATGTTTATAGTTTTCTTTTGAGCTCAGACCACACAGCCACAGCCAGCTGGCTTACTACCCTAGGCTATCAGCTAAAATACACCACTTTTTATTTCGTGGTCTTCTTCTTTTTAGGAACAGGAATAAACACCTGGGATTTTTGCCCATAAGGTTCATGGCCACATATATTGTCTCTACTTGGGGCATCCTTGACACTTTGGTAACCCCATCTCTAGGACGAGAGTGCTGGGCTGGGCTGAACCAATGTGCTCCAAGGCCCCTTTCAGCATGGACAGCCTATGACGGCAGGCAGGTGAGAGTCCACTGACCTGCAGCTAAAGAAAGAGGTAAACTGGGGTGGGCACAGCTGGCAACTCAGTTCTTATCCATGCTGGCTTACTGGGAGCAGATGATGGCAGGCATTGGCTTTGAAGCTGGGCACATGAACACACACAGGACATAGTTCTTGCCCTCCAGGGGTACGGAGTCTAGTGAAGCCTTCCCAAAGGAACTTGCATGATTGGCAGTTACTGCTCACATGTTTACTTTGTATTGGTGAATTTTAAGATGTGTCCCTTGCACAATATGAGTAATTTAAAATATATCTACACGTGATCAATTCTTCCTTCTATCCACTGGGGGAAGAAGCCCTATTTAAATAGATAGACAGACATTGAGTGGGTGTCTCTGTGTCCCAATAAGATGAGCACGTTCTGCCCTTAAACAGATGCACATTGCATCCTTGGGAAGCTGCAATGGACAACTCTGGAGGCTTCACTGTTAGGAAGCACACCTTGGAAATACCACACAAGGAGAGTAGGGCCTCTGGTGTTTCTGACTGACATGAATGAGCTCAAGAAGAACCTGATTAAGGGAACCAGGGCCCTCCTTGAGAGGTTCGGGGGAGCATGGATCATACGGCAGTTTTGTTTGGAAGAAAAGCTAGTCAAAGCCACAGGGAGTCCTTGTAAGGCCAAAGGAGAGAAAGTTGTTCCCTTGGAGAGAGTGGCATTTTGGAAAACTGAAGATCACTTCAGTAATATTGTATATGAGAATCTTTGTAACCAAAAAGAAATGCAATAAATCTCTCAGTTTGAAGGCTTCTTCAATATTTTACAGATCACACAATCATCTCCTGCTTTTGGCACAAAGAAAAATCCACATGACAAACCTTACGGAACATTAGCAATATCAAGATAAGCTACATCTGCAGAATACCAGTGAAATTATCCCTACCTACTGCTGGTGTTTTCAAAAATGTGAGGCGGAGGGTCCATTTTTTTTTTCCTGTTAAAAATGGAAATCGGTGTTTGAGTATTCCATGAAGTTCTTCAGGTTCATTAACAAGGTCAAAATCAATGTTATTTTACTGTTTGGAATCATTTTTGGCGGAACAATGGAAAGAAACCATAGTAGAAGTAGTCTTAATATAATCATTTTCTTTTCATTGTTCTTTATGGGAAAATAATTTGGCCCGAAATTTAGTGGTCCCATCAGGGAGGTGATATCTTTAAAAAGGTGGTCTGAAGGACAGGTTTTACTGTACTTTAATAGGCTTATAGATTAATATAAATCTTAATATTCATAATCTTTACCATTTCTTTTCTCAATATCTGCTCCATCTATACATCTATTTATAATGTATGTTTCAAACACAAGATATACTTGATTTTTATTAAATATACTGATGGTGCTACAGGGACAGCAACTTGACCTAGTTAAAAAAAGAAAAAAGAGCCAGGGGGTCAAATTTGTGGATAGTCTGCTGCTGAAAACAGATTTTTGCAGATAATACAATGGCCTGAGAGCAGGGCTGTCTTTGCAAATTTGCCATGTGCTATTATTTGTGTATGGCCAGGTCAGTAAAATAAATATGTGTATATTGGGTGCCAAGTGTGAGCTGCAGATGATCATGATGAAATGTGGATTTCTCACCTGACAGCTTGATTATTCTAATCAAAACATGGAACATTTTCAACCTACATATGCTCACAAAAGAAAATCACAGTGATCACTACGTAGGAAATTTACTTATTGGACAGAAAAGAAAATATGTAGGTATGCAATGCTTGGCAAGAATAAAAAAAACGCTAATTTATTTTAATGTGGTTATTTAAAGGAAACATTATATAAGCGATTTTGGTTTTATTTTGATTCTGAGATTCCTTGTTTGCCTGTCAGCTTATTATGTTATAAACATCAAAGAAATTAATGAATTGTAGATGTGTACAACATTGATATATTATGTAAAAATATGTACATATGTATATATATCTTTTACTGATTATTAAATACATCCTTATTATAGAAAATTTACAAAATATGAGGCAAAAACCAAAATGCTCACCACCCAGAGATAATCATGTTAACATTTTCTCTCCTCTGTTTTGTTTTACACAGTTTAGAGGATCCTGTATGTATAAAATTGAATATAGGTTTATTAAATTCCATTGTAGGATCCTATAACTTACTTCACTATTTCCTATAATTGGATGTTTGTATGGTTTCTTGTTTTTTCCTATTATAAATATAAAAGATAAACATCTTTTATATAAACCTTTGGTGGCATTTCACATAACTGCCCCAGGAGCTAGTCCCAGAGATGGAATTAATGAATTAAGTAGAATAACATTTTTAAGGCCTTTGATATGTATTGCCAACCACTTTCCACACAGCTTAGGCCAATTTGTAGTGTAAGCTTATTTTAATCAGATTTGATGTACTTTGCCCACATGAAGAAAACGCTGTGGTTTCAGGTTTCCAAAGCACAGATCGCCTGTGATTGGCAATGATGTTCCTTTGTGGTTGCCCTGAGGAAGATGTGAGAAAGTGTTGTAGAGGCCTATTTGTCTGCTGTTAGGGAGTGCTAGTTCTTCTGGTTAATTCACATAAAGGCTTTTTTTTTCTTTCTTCTTTTTTTAGATTATGTGATCCTCAGAAATAGTATTTAATGTTTTAAAGGTTAATATTAATTGAAAAAGGAGAGAACTTAAATAATTGCCTATATAGTTTCTTTACCTTTGTATGTGTATATTTGTGGTAATGAGAAAAAACCGTGGAATTTATTACTAGAAAAATGGGTCTATGAAAGTATGTATGCTTTTTTGCCCACTCAACTTCCAGCTTTACTGGCTTTAAATATTTTGTCCTCAGTACCTCAGTCCTCTAAGGTGTTTGGCTGTGTGCAGAATGTCATATTCCTGTCCCCTCTGTTGATAAGGATGTGGCTTTGTGTCTGTGGATGCCTGTGTGTGCAGAGGCTGGGCTCTCTGAAGGCAGAAAGCAGTCACTGCCTCTGTGGCTGCTCCCTCGTGATCCCTGCATCCTACACACACTGGTTTCCCACCACTGGCTGTCTGGTGACAATGTGTCTACTGTGCTTGAAACTGTTTAAATCCAGGGTATCATTTGGACACTGTCAGTTACTCCAAGATTCAACAGTATGGGTATGCCTGCTTTAGACATGGCAGGAATCATGTAAAGGAAGGAAAGCAAGAAGGCAGGGTAGACACACAGCCCCATTCACATTTAAATGCAAGGCCAAGGATTGGGGGTTGTTTTCCGATGAATCTTTCAGTTTCTGCTAGTGTGTGGCTATAACCATTCTAAGTGGCAGTGCAGGGATCTTCTTTGCTTTCTGGCTTTCTAATTGGCAACTAAATCCTATTTCTGAAAAGCAAAAATAGATGTTGCAAACAGGTATCTTTCTTTGGGTTGCCTTGGTCACCTTTAGAGTGCCATTTCACAGGAAGAAGGAGAGAATGAAAGTTCTTTTGCTGAAGAGGAGTTTCCTTCTCAAAACTTCTCAGAACATTGACCATGACTGCTCATGGCTAATCCTGGCTCCTTTTCACTAAAGGGAAACACTGAGAAAAGTCTGAGAACTCAGGACTGGGGACAGGCTCTAGAGGGAACTAACCCACCTTCAGTGAGGCTTGCTTTTGTCCAGACGCTGCCTATTTAGTACATCAGTAACCTGATTTTATTCAAAATAGAGCATCTCACTATATTTCAAAGTGGTTTACAACTCTGTATAAAATAGAACATCTTTACTAGGGGATGGTGGAATATAAACGTAGAAACACAAATATTAATACTACCCTCACAATGCATGCCTTACAAAAGACATTCGCTAAGTTTTGTTATGTATAAAAACATATTTAGCTACCAACTTTACTGTCACTGTGGAAAATTGCACAAACCAATATATGTAAGTGAATAATTTTACATGTAGTTAGCATCTTTTCTGATTAAGAGAGTCTTTTAAAGAACATATTGATTATGCATCTTATGTATCCTATGTGGCTAAAGCAGCTCTGTGAATAGAGACCTGCCAGTTGTTTTGTTAAAATAACAGAGTGCAGCTGCGATTAAAAAAAAAAAAAAAATGAAAACAGCCTATCTGGAAGAGCTATTTTTAGTTTTAAAAGGTGGAAGAGGAGGGAATCAAGAGCTAATGTTTTAGTTTGCAAATATAAGAGTTTTGGGGAAGAATGTCAGGTCAGGCAAATGTGTGGGCCACAATGGAACGATGGTTACGTATTTGCTAAAATGTTTCCAGACTAGGACTTCCCAAGTGAGTGGCAGATATGCGTGGGAAAGTCACCCTCGAAACCAAAGAGGGGAGGATGCACACCAAAAGAGAATCTGTTTTTTTACATTGTAGTTGTAATGGGAACAATCACTGTTGCCAAATGTAAACTTCTTAGGTTTGTAAAACCCCAAATAACACCACTCTCCATAGATAAAAATGTATATTTGAAGGAAATAGTTTTACAATCGAACTAGAGATTGTCATTGCCTCTCAGAAACAAAACGGAATATTATCTGTCCAAGATAAAACACTCTTTGAAAGTGCTTTCCTGAATCGTGTTGACTCTTCAGTGTGTCAGTGGGCAGGTCCCGGCTGTGTTCGCAGCTTTGTGGTCTCCTCCGGGCCTCTGGGGGTGGCTTTGAATGGGACAGCTTCACAAAATCTGCATGAAAATTGGGAATTGTCAAAGTAATTTGCCATTTACTGACTTGCTCTCTATGCCTTTTGTGTTTTGATCAATAAAAACTTAAATCCTTTACCCAGTTTAGTAACAACCTATTCTAAAGCATTATACTCCCCCTAATGTTTTTCGAGCTCTGGTTGTACAGTTATCCATTTTCAATGATATTCATTTTAAAAGGTTAACAAACGAGAAACTAAACCAACCATACAAATAACAGCCTAAAGAACACTTTCCAAAATGTGTTGCTGTAGTGCCATTTCACATTTAATATTCATGCAGAGGAAAGCTAAAGGCCACCAAACCAGGTGGATAAAATAGTACTGCATTTTATGACTCATTCTTAAATGAAATCTCTTAAATATTGCTAATGAAGCCGGCTCCCCCGCCACAGCCTTGCCGGGCGCCCTTTCGAGCTGCTTCAGTTCCATTTCCCTGTCTAGCAATTTGCCCCAGGCCCCTATTAAATGAATTATCACGGCCCCTAAATCATCTCTGCGGGGGTTTCCTCTAATCCCATCAAGACACTTACACTCCCTTTCTTCCCTCCTGGTGACATAATGAATGATTATTTCATGGGGAGCCGTTAAAGAGGCCCCTCTGGAAGAGGGGAATGCGCGCTGCCCGGGGCGGAGGCGCGGGGCTGGGCCACGGGGAGGCCGGGTGGGCACCAGCGCCGCCTCGGGCTGACGGGGACAAAGAGGCCACGCCGCCACCAACTGCCCTCCCGGCCGCCCGAGGTGGGGGTTCCCGCGAGCGGCGGGCCGAGAGCCTCCCGCTCCAGGCCTCCCCGTGCGCCCGGCCTGGGTAGCGACTCCGGGAGCCCAGGAACGCTGGGCAAGGAGAGAGAATATAAATGTTTTCCTTAACCAGAGGAAACACAGCACTCACAAACCACTTGCGGAATAGATTAAGCTAATTTATTAAACACAGTTTGCCTGGTGACTGAGCTGAGCTGAGTAATGATTTACAATTAAAAAAAAACATTAATAAGAGAAAGTCAGGGGCCACCGTGGCCCTAATCATGGGGCCATGGCAGCTCCGATGGGGCTGGGGCGCGCGTCCCGGCGCTGGGTTTGGGACCAAGGGTGGCCTTAGGCCTGCGGCATCGGTGAAACTTCGCAGCCGTTGCGGAGCCGAGGCCCCCAGCTCCGGGGAGATGGCGTCCAGGAGAAGAGAGTTGGGCCCTGGGCGGGGAGCCATCTCCAGGGAATCAGGCAGAGGGACCCTCTTCCCCAGAGGACGGGGTGGTTTGGTTGGGGGGGTGTGTGCGTGTGTGTGTTTTACGTGTTGTTTCTGAGGCTCTCAGACCTCCCTTCGCATACCCGTGCTGGGTCTTCTGACAGTGAAGTAACATAAAACAGTTTCCAGGAAATTTTGGAAATTGAACTTGAGGACACGCGTCTTGATAGCGATTCTCAACAGCGTTGGGTGGCAGCAACCGTCTTTTCATAACAAATACTTCCTAATGCCCAGCGCGGTGGCTCACGCCTGTAATCCCAGCTCTTTGGGAAGCTAAGGTGGGAGGATCTCTTGAGCTCAGGGGTTCGAGACCAGCCTGGGCAACACAGTGAGACCCCCCTCTCTACCCCAAAAATACAAAAATTAGCTGGGCATAGTGGCACACGCCTGCAGTCCCCGCTACTCAGGAGGCTGAGGCAGGAGGATCACTTGAGCCTGGGAGGTCCAGGCTGCAGTGAGACGTGATTGTGCCATTGCACTCCAGCCTGAACAACAGAGTGAGATCGTGTCTCAGAAAAAAAAAAAAAAAAGAAAGAAAGAAAAAGAAAGAAAGAAAAAAGTTGTAATATCTTTTACTATTCCAAATAAAAATATTGAATAATATATCCTACATGTGATTTAGAAGAAGAGAAGATAGAAGGAACGAAGAAAAGAAAGAGAGGCAAAAACATGAGGGCCTAACTATAAACAACAACACAAAAGGTATAATATAACAAAAATATGGTAAAATACATGTTTCAATGGGTACATTCTCCGTCACGACAACTAAGAAATGAAGTAATCAAATAATCTCACTGCCATTTTTTTTTTTTTGACAGGCTCTCACTCTATTGCCCAGGCTGGAGTGCAGTGGTGCCATCTTGGCTCACTGCAGCCTCAATCTTTGTGGGCTCAAGTGATCCTCCCACCTGAGCCTCCTGAGTAGCTACGACTACAGCCACATGCCACCACGCCCAGTTAATTTTTGTATTTTTTTGTAAAGATGGGGTTTTGCCATGTTGCCCAGGCTGATCTTGAACTCCTGAGCTCAAGTGATCCTCCTGCTTCAGCCTCCCAAAGTGCTGGGATCACATCGCTTTATAACAAATGTTGATTTAAGAGAAAGCTTTCAGTTGATTGTTGTTGACTCTTTTTCTTTATAATCAACGTTATGAAATAAGGGCTGAATAAGGATATTTCCTCATACAAGTAGAATCATCATCCAAATGTGACAGCTGTGGTTGGAAGAACTCAAAGCCCAAGGGCTACATTGCATTGTTGTCCATAACATGATTTTCTAAAATGGTGAGCAACTCTTGGTCAGGTTCCAGACAAAACTGTGTACATGGTAGTTGTATTCCTGGAAAATTTAATGTACATTAAAACTAGGTAAAAACACTTTGTGCTCATATGAAAAATGGAGCTAGAGATAGTTATCAAAGGCTTTTTCACCTACATGAATATCCGATGGAACATTGGGATGTGTTCTGAAGGACCTGGAACAATTGTTTGAGTGCCAATGTACTGCCTTTTTGGGATGGACACTGCCCCCTTTGAAACTCCCTGGTCTAGAACATTGGTTTCTAAATTCTTTGCCTTAGAATTTCATGGAAAGCAGAACATTTTACATATGACATTAGAGGGTTTGCAGGCCTCTTGAAACCCATTCATAGACCCTCTATCAAGTCTATGTATTCTGAATTCTAAACCCTTGGTGCACAGCAGAAATTGAGAGGCTAGAATCATAGAATAGGATAGAACCTTACCTGGATCCTCTGAGGAAAATCAGCTCATCCAAGGTCTAAAGGCCATATTCAGATTTTGAGTTTATTTGTTTATTGCGGGAAATTAGTCATCATCCTGGTTCTGGAAGTGTAAACTAAATTACTTTAGTCCTTAAGGTGGCTCTAACACACTGTTTACTTCTACTCAACTTGTGATCAATAAAAACCCTAAACCTATTCTACTTTTTCTGGCTAAAAATGTTTGACCTTTGTACTTAGGCAGATAATTTTTTGTATTGAAGTGTAGGGCTTTACATTTAGTACCTATTAAATGCCTTCCTTTGAAGATGACCCTTTATCCCGGCCTTGTCTAAATGTTTTTAGATACCAATTTTGTCTTTGAATTCATAAGCTTTCCTTTCTAGTTCTCTGTCACCTGCATGTCAAAATGTTAGAATTAATTATTATAAAAAGGAAAACTGAGATAGAGGCCTCTTTTGCCAATGCTATATCACTGGTAATAATAGGAATATGTTAGCTTTTTCTAGTGTATACAGAAAAAGCCCCATTAGTTTAGTGTGTATATCACTGCATATTTAGAGTTGAAAAAATAAGGCTCTGTGCATTATAATGGTGCTTCCTTTTATGTTGCCAGAAACATTTGATTTTTATTTAATTAACTTTTATTTAATTAACTTATTTATTTTGAGATGGAATCTCACTCCGTTGCTCAGTGCAGTGGTGTGATCTCAGCTCACTGCAACCTTCGCTACCTGAGTTCAAGCAATTCTCCTGCCTCAGCCTCCCAAGTAGGTGGGATTACAGGCATGCACCTCCACACCCAGCTAATTTTTGTATTTTTTTGGTACAGATGGGATTTTATCATGTTGGCCAGG
Organism: Homo sapiens; assembly: GCF_000001405.40. NCBI lineage: Eukaryota > Metazoa > Chordata > Mammalia > Primates > Hominidae > Homo > Homo sapiens. The sequence continues at coordinate 77,955,000 of NC_000005.10, read as the reverse complement.
CTGGTCTTGAACTCCTGACCTCAAGTGATCCACCTGCGTGGGCCTCCCAAAGTGCTGGGATTATAGGTGCGAGACACCATGCCCAGCCTGATTTTTATTTTAAACGTCTTTTAGAAGATTGCTGTTCCCCACTCTCAACGCTGGGATTTTGTCAGTTCTAAAAATAATATTGTACCAAATTCAAATATGTTTTATAAGAAGTTTTCCACAACCCTGCCATTCTAACATAACTGTTTTTATTTTTTCACATTTCTTTCCACAGCTTCTACTTTTTGTTTAGGCTTTTACATATTGCATGCCCAATTTTCTACATCTCTTTCTAGTTCCCTGTTACAAATGGGTGTTAGCCTGGATTTATTCTTAAGCATGTGCAATTGAACTAAAACAAGCAACAGAGCGTCTTCCATACATACAGCTTTGCCTAAGTGGGCTAACAAGTGGGCTGAAATCTTTGTAGGCCTTACAGAAAGTGATCACCATAGAAAGGAGGTAGAACTGTCATGTGAACTTAGCAGCTCACTTTTTAAAGAATCATCAAACATCTACATAAGTCAGAAGTGTATGGGGGGCAACGGGGTCTTGAGCTGCCAATTTAGAAAGCCCTGAAGTTGTGATTTGGAACATTTTGGTTTAGGGAGCCCAGACTAAAGTCTGTGTCTTCAGTTCTGCTCAAGAACAGGGTGAGGGGGTAGGAAAGGGTGGTAGAGAGGGCGCTTGGATTCATTTTTGGTTTTGGAGGGCGCTGGGACAGTTGGGGAAATCACCTCCTCATTAGAAGCCCTTTATAGGCCGGGCACAGTGGCTCATGCCTGTAATCCCAGTACTTCGGGAGGCTGAGGCAGGCTGATCACCTGGGTTCAGGAGTTCGAGACCAGACTAGGCAACATGGCAAAAACCCGTCTCTATTAAAAAAAAAAAAAAAAAAAAATTAGCCAGGCATGGTGGCTTGTGCCTGTAATCCCAGCTACTCAGGAGGCTGAGGCAGGAGAATCACTTGAATCCGGGAAGCAGAGGTTGCAGTGAGCCGAGATCACGTCATTGCACTGCAGCCTGGGCGACAGAGTGAAACTCCGTCTCAAAAAAAAAAAAGAAGCCCTTTACTTTACTTCTGTTCGTCTCCCCCTGGAACTTTCTTCAGGACCCAGGTGAGTGGCTACAGCCTAGAGATGCTTGTCCACAGCCCAAGGAAGTCTAAGCTAAAGTTTCATTTACAATTCATACATGCTTTTCTACCCTCTTATGCTGAGTATTTTATAGAACATCTTCTCTGCAAATATCCTTTATCTTTTAGAAAATTGATAATAATGGTGGCTATCATTTATTGGGCATCTAGTATATGCCAGGCAGTGTATACTTACATTATTATGCTTCACAACAATACCATGAGATAGGAGTCATTATGTCATTTTCACAGTCCAAGGTCATGTCACTATATAACATTCTGTGTCTGTTTAAGACTATATAAATTTGAGCAATATAAAATGACACCACATGCTGGGCGCAGTCATGCCTGTAATCCTAGCACTTTGGAAGGCTGAGGCAGATGGATCACCTGAGGTCAGGAATTCAAGACCAGCCTGGCCAACATGATGAAACCCCGTTTCTACTAAAAATACAAAGAAATTAGCTGGGCATGGTGGTGGGAGCCTGTAATCCCAGCTACTCGGGAGGCTGAGGCAGGAGAATCGCTGGAACCCAGGAGGCGGAGGCTGCAGTGAGCTGAGATCGCACCACTGTACGCCAGCCTGGGTGACAGATGAGACTCTGTCTCAAAAAAAAAAAAAAAAATTAAAATAAAATGACATCACAATATCCCAAGGCTTTTCTCTCATTCAGGAAGACAAGAGAAGGTAAACAGAGAGACCTGGGGCTTTTCCAAAGCAGGAAGGATAGTGTGACTGCTCTTACTGACTTCTTTCTGCATAAAGCACAGGATGTTTCTGGAGTAAGCGAAGGGCAGACTCTTGGAAACTTAGCAACAGGAAATGATCTTGAGACAATGAAGCTTAAGAGACAGAGCTGGCATATTTTCAGGATGTAAAATATTGGACTCGGAATATATAAGTTGTAGCACAGAATGTCTCACCAAACCACTGGGTGACTACAGATCAGTTACCGAAGTAAATTCCTTCAGCCTTAGGTTGCATCAATGTTTGATGAATAAATACATGATGATTTTTCAGAGTTGCTAAGAATTCCTTATAAGAGAGGAATAGGAAAAGCTGACCTTGTTTAGCATATGCAGTGCTTCTCAGCCTTTGAATGGAAACACTCAAACCATAAAATGTAATTCTGTTTTCTCTCACCACTGAAGTTTTTGACAAAGAGTTACCCTTGTCAAGCTCAGAAATCATTCTGGGTGATGTAAAGCAGGTTATAGGGCAACCCGGTTCCATAATTGAATAAATTATAAGTTTTCAAATGTTCCTTGCTCCAGAAATAAAAATAATTGGCCAGGGTCTTTTTGAGGTTGGCCTCATCCATAATCTGAGTCCCTGCCTGAGGCAGCTCTAATCCCACGAATGCATGACTAACACAGTCATATTTTTGCTGTGGCCCCTGGAAACACCAAGAGTCTTCCTAAAAATCAATCCCGGACTTTATAGTATTATCAGGTTTTCTCTGTAGGTGGCTGGGATTGCTGTCATTGTTCCAGCTTACGATGACTTCAGAGCTCCGGGAGAAATTAGGCCCTGATTCAGCCGATCCCCAGAAACCTCATTCAAGGGAACCTGGGCATCCAAAATGTTTTCTTTAGCAAGTTAAGCCAGTGTGCTTAGTTCTGCCATCTGCAGCAGAAAAGACTGTGGGTCTGGTCACAAAACCTAGGACATTTCCATGTCCTGATGATTTATTACCAGGGCAAACAGAAATATTGCAGACCACAATATCATTTATCATTTAATTACATATCTTTCTGGAAGACAACATACACAACCAAAGAGGCAATTTAGAGATGACTTGTCTTTTGCTTTGGGCCTCCGTTTCCTTGCCTGCAGTAAGAGAGGCTTGGGCAGAATGGTCTCTGGATCTTGAAGGGCTCTTTAGCCCTAACCTGCGAGAGTCTATAGATACATAGGGAGATGAAGCTCTTACACGGAAGTGGCCTTCTTGAGCTATAGTTTCATTGGTACCACCTCCTATCTGTGCTACACAACTGCTTAGCCTCATCAAGCCTCAGGTTCCTCATCAGCAAAAATGGAGATAAGGACAGTACCAACTTCATAGAGTTAATTGCTTGAATTATTAAGGTAATGCATGTGCACATCAGAGAAGGAAATCTCAGAGGGCACTCAACTTATATGCGCTGTTATAATGATTATGGGGCCATCTGATTGTAATCACTTTTCTTTGCCTATTTTCCTCCTTGCTCCCTATCTCTCCTTCTTTGCCTCCACATACTTTTCATCACTTATCTTTTCAAATTTACTTTTACCACACAAACCATCTTCAAGAGATAAACTTTAAAGAAACCAAAAATGAGGGGTTCCAATATCAAGTTCAAGGATGATTGATTTCAGGACCCAATCCTAGATCTTTCAAGGTGTATTAGTTCATTCTATGCTGCTATAACCAAATACCTAAGGCTGGGTGATTTATAATAAACAGGAATTTATCCACTCACAGTTGTGGAGGCTGGGAAATCCAATATCAAGGTGCCAGTATCTGGCATGGGCCTTCTTGCTGTGCTATAACATGGTGGAAGACATCACATGACAGAAGCAAGGGGGGTAGAGAGAGAGAGAGAGTGCAAGAGGGGCCAAACCCACTCCCATGATAACAAGCTGCCTCTCATGATAATAGTTTCAGTTCATTCATGAAGGTGGAGTCCTTGTGACCTAAACACCTCTTTAAGGTTCCACATCCCAATACCATCACAATGACAATTACATTTCAGCATGAGTTTTAGAGGGGACAAACATTAAAATCATAGCACAAGAATTGTAAACAATTCCCTGCACTTTTTTTTGCCTTACAGTATTTGCATATCTACTGCCCCTGTCAAATCATTTATATGGGTACAAACATGTAGGTTGGGGTGTTAATGTTGTGGAGATGTTTAGGAACAGATATTTCTTTTGTGTACCTTCGTTTTTCTATGTGTTAGAACAGGAAGGGTTGGATTCTCCTTAAAAGACTCTGTCTGGACGAGGACTACTGTTAGTTAGTTAGTTAGTTTGTTTGTTTGAGATGGAGTCTTGCTCTGTTGCCCAGGCTGGAGTGCAGTGGTGTGATCTCCGCTCACTGCAAGCTCTGCCTCCCAGGTTCACGCCATTCTCCTGCCTCAGCCTCCCAAGTAGCTGGGACTACAGGTGCCCGCCACCATGCCTGGCTAATTTTTTGCATTTTTAGTAGAGACCTTGTTAGCCAGGATGGTCTCGATCTCCTGACCTAGTGATCCGTCCACTTCAGCCTCGCAAAGTGCTGAGATGACAGGTGTGAGCCACTGTGCCCAGCCGAGGAGGACTACTATTTTGGCAATGTTTGTGGAATCTTATTTTCTTTGTGATGGATTAGGAATACATAACGTATGAAGCATTTTCCTTTTAAGATTTAAGTGTTTTCTACTTAGTCTACCACAGGTTAAATAAACATTCCTGTGAAGAAGCTCTTTAAAACATTTATATTTTCTCCTTCCCACATACCTCAGCAAATCTTAATTAGTGTCATTTGCTTCAAAATATGCCCAGTTCATTTCCAGGCTGCCAAGGCAGAGTCAGAGTTCAAGTTGCCATATGTTGATGGGAACAGGTCGACAACACTCTTCCCTGTCCAGAAGACATCTTCCTTGGTCCCTGAGCATTTGATAAAACCCACTTTCCCCATTTGCTCTGTAAATTCATTTCATCTGTACTATCTCCTCTTGGAACCAGGTATCTTTGGAACAGAAAACTGGGAAAACAATCATGAGTGGCTGATGTCCTCTAGTCTTGCTTACTGACCAAAATATCAGCTACTTCATGGGATTCATCTATTAGCCTTACTATGTCATGCACCATAGAAAATTACACTTAATAGTCTCTAGGCCCCTTCTTAGGATGTTGTTAATTATTTCTACGATACAAATGCAAGAAATAACCAGAACACTAGCAATGCAGTATGACAGAATGAAGCAAATTTGGAACAAAATATTAGATTTTTAGCGTAAGCCAACCAGTAAGTCATTCTCTTTCTTGCTTCCTTGACAACAACGGAATGGGTTTTTCCTCTTCTACTTTTAGCTTCCTTTATGAAAAATGCCTTGGAATTATGGTCCTTTCATGGTTTTCCACAATGAATGTTGCTCCCTTCTGCCCTTTCTTTGGGAGTGATATTCTAGCCACAGCTGAATGAATATTGTTCTTTGTGGCTGGAAATGCAGAAAGTGAGATCTGGAAACTTGGTGTGGTGGGTACGGGGTGCCCCACTCTGAGCCCCGCTTTACGACCAAGGCATTTATTCCTAGAATTGCTGGAAGTGTTGTTTGCTGAAAGCTCTTAACAAAATATCTCTCCAGGAATTGTCCTATGCCAAAGAGAGCTGCCTTGCCAGAAGTGACACTCCCTTCCAGGAGTCAGCCTGCATCCAGTGGCTGTCAAAGGGGGAACAATTCTGCAGGATCATCCGGGCCCCCGAGCTCTCTGTAGAACAGCTGAAGCGACCGCATGGCCTCAACTTCTCCTTCCACCCATTCCTGTTTCCTGCCCTCCCTGCTCAGGGGTAACTCCAAGAGCACCCTCCAGTAAACCTCTTGCAAGAAATCTTTATCTCAGAGTCTATTTCCTGGGGAGCCTGACCTATAACACTCAGACTAAAAATGTTAGAAATCATATGAACCAGCTTAAAGTGAGTCTTAAGTCCCCATATTTACTTTTTTTCTCCTAGTAATATTATACTCATTGGGCTAAAATACAATGAAGAACTTTGAAGTGTTAAAGAACTTTGGGATATCAGTTGCAAAATAGAAAAAAGATATTGAAGTGTATGAAATGATGTCACCAAATGAGAAATTCATTATAGAACATTCTTTTTTTTAACAAAAGCACCCAACTATCACTTTAAAAATCAGAGTTGTGAAAAACATAAATTTTATCAATTAGAATATTATTATAAGAAATTCTGAAACAAAGAGCTGTCTTAGTACCTTGATATTTTTAGTGTTGTTTTAAAGGAGCGAATTGCCTATCATAATAAATGCTTAGTGATTAAAGCAGCTACCTGCCATGGTCAGCAAGGGTGGGGGATGAGGGAAGAAGAAATCAGCTTCCAATGAGAAAACTAAGGCACCAAGAGACTTTTGTTTTAACAGTTTGCTCCACATGCACACCTTATCAGGACTGTAATTTTAAAACTTTTTTTCAAGTAGTTTATTATAACAACATTCAATGATGACTATCTCATTCAACACATAGTTATAGCAAAAGTAATCATGACTGATTTCTTTTCAGGCACAATGTATGTATCAAAATAGGGAAAAGGCCTCTTTTTTCCTTTAAAAACAAACCTTTACTGGAACTCTTTTTTTTTTTTTTTTTTTTGAGATGGAGTCCCGCTCTGTTGCCAGGCTGGAGTGCAGTGGTGTGATCTCAGCTCACTGAAACCTCTGCCTCCCAGGTTCAAGTGATTCTCCTGTCTCAGCCCCCTGAGTAGCTGGGATTACAGGCACATGCCACTATGCCTGGCTAATTTTTGTATTTTTAGTAGAGACAGGGTTTCACCATGTTGGCCAGGATGGTCTCAATCTCCTGACCTCGTGGTCGGCCTGCCTTGGCCTCCCAAAGTGCTGGGATTACGGGGGTGAGCCACTGTGCCCGGCTACTGGAACTCTTTGAAAATTCATTTATATAAGTCATATCTCAAAACATTATAATAATGTTATATTATTATTATAAATAAAATCATACAACACCAGAGTATACAGAGTAAACAGTTAAAATTCCCTCCTCGGAGGTAATCACTGTTCTGCTCACTTTCAGATCCTTTGTATGGGGGTCATAGTTATTCTGGGATCTATATACATACACAGCATGTCTTTCATTGTGTTTTCTCTTGTATTCTTACATTAGTAGGATCATTCTATTGTATTGTAACTTGTACTTGTTAACTTAAGGTTTTATTAAAATTCTTTTTAACCTATTAAATTCAAAGTCACACTGTGGTATTCCCAACTACTATATTAAAATTAAATTTGATGCTACATTGACCCTAGGGATGTTAACTATTTTGAGGAATCAAACTGCTTATCTAAGTGAAACAAATGAACTATTTCAGTTTTCTAATATAAATTCTAATTTTTCTCAAAAGTGCAGAGAATTACATTTTCCCTTTTCTTTTCAGACTGATTCATTTGAGCCTGACACCAAAAATAATTATTTTTTTAAATATCCAAGCAAAATTAAATCCAGTTCTAATCCTATTCTCAAAATGACCTTAATATTTTCTTTTTGCCTTGGTATTACCCTGCCTCCTCCATAGATGTGTGTTAAAGGAAAGGCTGGAAGGGAAAAACTAGTTTCAGCCACCCAATTTTTGCTTATATTTGTTTTCAAATCCAAGTGGCCTTTGCTTTTCAGTAGCAAAGGTCCTCTCTCCTGCTCCATCACTGGTCTGTAAAGTAAATTGCAAAAAGCTACCAAAGTCTGGCTACACCCTCATAGCGACTGTTTAAACCCATTACTTTCTCTTTTAATCAAATCACTGTTGTGTCAAAATATACGATTCTCGCCATGAATCTCCCCAGCTTGTTACAGGTCACCGGTTGCACCTTGAAAATGTTTGCTCTCCTAAGCGTCTTCTCTCCAGCCTCCAGCTAAATTGCTCCACACCAAGCCTGATCATTTTTCTATACACATGGACCTCTAATTGATATAAACATAATGGCAACGAGAACCTGTACTTTACAAAGAGAGGAAAGGAAAATACCTGGTCAGTAAGTATGTGAAGCATCATTTGGATGATGGCGAATGGGCATTTAGGCAGATATAAGCATTCATATCATATTAAGAAAAAAAAAGCAACCTCTGAAAATTCCTTATCCCTGAATTACTGAGAGATTTCAGCCTTTATTCTTTTCTGCTTTAAGAAATGTTTTATATAAAGCCGCCAGAGGGCCAGTAAGGAAAATAGTAATTATGTTTAAACAGCCAACACTTCACTAACATAAAATATTTGTACAGGCTCTTAAACATGAAGTTAAGTGCCAGAGGCTATTTTCATTGTTTAATGTATTAAGTAAATAAAAATGTATCTAAGATGTGGACACACAATTAGTTTTGAGTTATTTATCCTGGAGTTTGTATGGTTTAGAAAAACTCCATCTTCTTGGCTGCTGCTGTCCTAATGCATTTAACTTCAGCCATCAGCTATGATTAAACACCTGCTGTTGTGGGGAAACAAAGCACACTAATCCAATATGTATTTCTGACATCTTAAATATCACCCAGTCCCCTGACATCAGGCACAGCTTTTCAGCGGGATGGAATTCCAGAGCATATTTTTCTAATTTATGGATGGACAATAAATCAAAATTAAGCCTTGGGCAATGAAATATACATCAGTGCAGAATGAACTGACTGCAAACGAGGACCCTGCACAACCGAGGGGAAAAGGATATATTAATGGAATCCTAAGCTGCAAACACTGAAGTGAAAATTAAGGAAGTTTATTTCACATTTTATCCTTATGAAAACAAAAGACGGAAAATGAAAAGTTTTCTGTTTTTTCATGCACAGCACCAGAGGAGCACATTTACATTTTTAAAAAAGTGATTGTTTCCAAATGCTGTTATGTGAGTGATTAAAAAATCTCCTCTGCTCTTTTTCTTATTTTCAATATTTAAGAGAGTTTGAAGGGCTTAGCATGGTTTCAGTGTTCCTTTTCTGGAAGAATGAACAAAGGCCATTGTTGACAGTCGTCAGCTTCTCCTGCGAGGGCAGCCTTCCATTCAGCTGGACTGGCTGGGCTGGGAGCTGTCCAGTGATGAATGAATCTTCCTTGGACTGACCTCCAGCTATCCTGGAACCTGGAGACAAGAGGTGACCTGAGAGCTTTGCCCTCATCAACGGCCCTCAGGAACCTCATGTGTAGGGCCACTACCCTGCTCTGGCCACCTGGCTCTGTCCACCCCAGACCCTGGGCTGAGGTCACATTGGAGCTGCAGAGGTGGCTTATCCTTCTTGCCCTTGATGTTACCAATCACCATATGTCTTCAACAGAGCATGCCAAGGCAAGAACCATCATCTTTATCAGGCATAATGTTTTATGTTTATGAGCATGTCATGGCTCTTAACAAATATTATCTCTTGAATCCTCACAGCATCTCTGTTATTGGAATAAGTGGCAAATATTTATTTAATTGCTAGAGACAGGAATACACAGCCATAGCAAAATTGAGAGCTTTGTCTTGGGCTGCATGAAAAATGGTGGAATTGATGAAAGGCTCCCTGCTGACTGGCTTACAGTTCTAGGTCTCACCTAGACAGCAACCCCGCCCCCAGCTGACAGAAGTATCTTTAGCTTATTCTTCCTAAGGCATTTGCATCTATAGAACAATTATTTCTGTAGATTCATATGTTACTGGCTTACTGACATCTGGTATCTATTTATGAATAATTATTTACATAGACTTATGTTATTGAGAACATTTAAAATTATTAAAATTAATATTAAAGGAAACAATGTCATTTGGGAAATTTTTCATGTATCTCAGAAAGAATATAAGGTTCCTGATCTTATATTAAAAAATTCTAAGTGGAAGAATGACTGATTTTTAAAATTGATATCCTTTGGCGTCAGTAATTATTGGGGCTGATATCCATGGCTGCTATGAAGCATAAACATGAAGAATATATTCCCTCCACCATTCCACCATTGTGGTTTTCATTTTTGAATTAAAACATCTTTCTTTCTTTATTTTTCTTTCTTGCTTTCTTTTTCTCTGTCTCTTCTTTCTTTTTTCTCTTTCTTTCTTCCTTCTTTTTTTCTTTCTCTTCTTTCTTTTCTTCTTTCTTCTCTTTTTCTTTCTCTTTCTTCTTTCTTCTCTTTCATTTTTTTCTTTTTCTCTTTCTCTTTTCTTCTTCTCTTTCTTTCTCTCTCTCTCTCTCTTCCTTCTTTCCTTCCTCTCTCTCTTTCTTCTTTCTTTTTCTCCCTTTTCTTTCTTTCTTTTCTTTCTTTTTTTCTTTTTCTTTCAAGACAGGGTCTTGCTATGTTGCTCAGGCTGGAGTGCAGAATCTATTCACACGCATGATCATAGTGCACTATAGCGTCAAACTCCTGGGCTCAAGCAATCCTTCTTCCTCAACTTCCCAAATAACTGGGACTGACTTTTCTTTCTAGTTCAAATCCTTGAAATGATTCCTTATGGGAAATATTCATAAACCTGGCAGGAAATTCTTTGTATAAAAATATAGCTTAGTGTTAATCAACTTATCAGTTTTTGAGGAAAACTTTGTGCTTTAAAGAAACAGGTTTTTTGTTTTTTTGTTTTGACAGAGTTTTGCTCTTTCACCCAGACTGAAGTGAAGTGGCACAATCTTTGCTCTTGGCAACCTACGCCCCTTGGGTTCAAGCAATTCTCCTGCCTTAGCCTCCCAAGTAGCTGGGATAATAGGCGCCTTCCACTACGCCCAGCTAATTTTTGTATTTTTAGTTGAGACGGGGTTTTGCCATGTTGGCCAGGCTGGCCTCGAACTCCTGATCTCAGGTGATCCACCTGCCTCGGCCTCCCACAGTGCTAGGATTACAGGCGTGAGCCACGGCGCCCAGCCAAAAAACAGTTTTTAAAATACCTCTTTTCCATTTAATTATCACAAAGCTACAAAGTAATCTTGGTAGTAGTAATAGAAATGGTTGATGTTAGTTGACAGCCCTGTTTTGGAAACCTTAGGTGAATTACTTCTAGTAGTCCTCATGAACAGCCTGTGGGTTCAGTACTGTTGTCACCCTTCTCGAAGGCTGAGGACATGAGTCTAGAGGATCAGACACTTTCCAGAGGTCATACGGTGACAAGTGGAGAAGAGAAGCAAACTCTGGCAGTCTGTTTGCAGAGTCTGCCTTTCAAGTACATTGTTATTCTAAAAATATTTAAAAGCCACAACTTAATGCTATATTTAGTCTCTCTCTGAAAATATGCATAGACATAAAGGAAAGTTTGATTTTTATATGTTTTAACTTTTAAACTCTCCAGGCTAGCTTAACTTACCTCCTCTAAATGCAGTGTTTTTCTATAAATCACTAAAAGGGGATCACTGGCTACTGTTTATAGTCACTGCCACATAATGGCAAGTAGAATTATAATAGTAAAAATTGCATCCTCAAGGTTCAGGTAGTACTCTATCCACATTGTAAGCTAAACATTTTTTTTGTTTAAAAATTCTAACTAGTATATCAGTAAATATGGACAAAAACCTATGGATGCTAATAAGGGATATGGAATTTCAACAGTATGAGTAAATGAGTTTGAAAACTAATGATTTTTCCCATGCTGAAATTAAATAAAATCATATAGTTTGGTTTACAAAAGTTTTTTAAACATTTATCAAAAGCTTGCCATAGCATTAGAAGAGTTCATTGTGATTTTAAAATGTGTATATTGATGAACAAAAGCACATTAATTATTGCAGCTGCAACGTTTATTTTAAAAGCTACTAAATTAAAATAGAATATTTTCTTAGTATATTCCATGTTTTTCAAAATTAATATATTTAACCAACTTTTATTGGTGGTCCACCATGTACCATGCATTATGGTAGGCCCTAAGGGATCAGTACAAAAAAAGATAGATGGGGTTTCCCTTATGGAGTTTATCTTCTAGGTGTATATAATTCTGTTCTTCATAATTGCAAAAATATGTTATGAGAAAAGTTGGAGAGCATGAAGAATGAAGAAATGTTCCTGACTTAAATAAGAACTTTATTTTGGCATTGTAATCCACATAAAATTTCCTAGAAAAATTGTCTTACATTCTTTTATATCTGCTTTTCTAAATGTCAGCATTTTTATTTCCTAGGTCTACAGACTCCGAGCTCCTGCTCATTATAGTTTCTTGTTAAGGATGTGCCTGGAGGATAGTTAGCCAGTCGGTTACTCTAGATCTGTTTCTTCCTTCTCTGTTTCTTGGCTGAGACTCTTGTCAAACCTAACATTTAGAACATTTAGGTAACATTCCTTTTTTTTTTTTTTTTCCAGACAGGGTCTTGCTCTATTGCCCAGGCTGGAGTGCAGTGGCACAATCTCAGCTCATTGCAGCCTCGACCTCCCAGGCTGAGATGATCCTCCCGCCTCAGCCTCCTGAGTAGCTGGGACTACAGGCGCGCACCACCATGCCTGCTGATTTTTTGTAGAGACGGAGTCTCGCCGTGCTGCACAGACTAGTCTCGAACTCCTGAAGCTCAAGTCATCTGCCCACCTCAGCCTCCCAAAGTGCTGGGATTTCAGGTGTGAGCCACCATGCCCAGCCATATTCTTTTTTTTTTTTCAATTGAAGTGAAATTCACATAACATAAAATTAACTATTTAAACTGAACAATTCAGTGGCGTTTAATACATTTACAATGTTGTACTACTACAACCTCTGTCTAGTTCCAAAACATTTTTATTACCCCCTCAAAAAGCCCATACATTGTAAGCAGTAACTTCCCCTTTTTCCCCTCCTCCCAGCCCTTGACAACCACCAATCTGCTTTCTGTATGGATTGATCTATTCTGGATATTTCATATAAATGGAGTTATATAATATGTGACTTTGTGTATCTGACTCCTTTCATTTAGCATGATGTTTTCTAGATTCATTCACATCGTAGCATGTATCAATACTTCTTTCCTTTTTATGACTGAATAATATTCTATTGTATAGAAAAACCACATTTTGTTTATCCATTTATCCATTGATGGACATTTGGGTTGTTGTAACCTTTGATTATCATGAATACTGCTGTTACCAACATTCATATGTAAGCATTTATTTGAATACCTGTTTTCAATTCTTTGGATAGTGTTTTTTTAAATACTCTTTTTATTTTGGAATAGTGTTAGATTTTAAGAAAAGCTGCAAAGATAACACAGAGAATTCCCATACACCCATCATCCAGTTTCCCCTATTCTTATTTTACATACCCATGGAACATTTGCCAAAACTAAGAAACCAACATTAGAACAACATTATTTACTAAACACCAGACTTCATTTGGATTTCAATAGCTTTTCCAGTAATATCCTTTTTTTTTTTCTTTTTTCATTCCAAGATCCCATCCAGGAGTCCACATTTTGCATTTAGTCTCCTTAGTCTCCTCTGGTCTATGACAGTTTGTTGATCTTTCCTTGTTTTTCATGATCTTGAGAGTTTTAAGAACTACTGATCAGGTATTTTGTAGGATGTCCCTCAATTTGGGTTCATCCAGTGTTTTTCTCATGACTAAACTGGAGTCTGGGGAAGAATACCATGGAGGAGATGTGCCCTTTTCATTACATTACATCAAGGGGTAGCTGCTACCACCATGATTCATCACTGGAGATGTTAACCTTGATCACCTGGCTGAGGTGGTGACCGTCAGATTTCTCTACTGCAAAGGTCCTTCCCACTGCCCTTTGTCTATTCTGTTCTTTGGAAGCAAGTCACTAAGTTCAGCCACAGCCAAGATGGGGGTGGGTGGGGAGTGCTAGAATTGATCTCCGCCTCCTGGAGGGAGGAATATCTACAAAAGTTATTTGGGATTCTTCTATAAGGAAGTGCATCTCTTTCCCCCATTTATTAATTTATTTTTACTTTAATAGATTCAGAGGGTACAAGTGTAGTTTTGTTACACGGAAATATTGTGTAGAGGTGAAATCTTGCTCTTTTAGTGTATTCACCACCCGAATAGTGAACATTGTAGCCAATAGGTAATTTTTCAACCCTCACCACCCTCCTATCCTCCTGTTTATTCAATTATGTATTTACATCAGTGTGAACTCATGGATATTTATTTTATAGCTCATATCCTTTTAAAGTCTTGTCACCAATATCGGTCAGAAAAGTGATAGATGCAGAGTGAGTGCAGTTTAGAGTGCTTTGAAGGCAGGGAGACCTTGAGTTTACTAAAAGATGTAGCAGCCACAGAACAAAATGAGGTGACTCTTGTACAATTCCTATAGGATGGGAGCGTTGAAGATATTTACTGAGTGCACCTATAACACATTTTCGTGCAAGCCTTTTAATGGAGGCTGTTTATTTTTACCGGGCTTGTTTAGTTAGGACCTAGGTTTTCTGATTCTTTGTTCTGTGCCACTTTCATAAACAGGTCAACCCATAGAGACAGAAAGAAGTCTATTACTGTTTTCAAGAATTGAGATGCCTAGTATAAAATTAGCCTCTCAAACAGGAGGCGTTTAAGACCTTTAGACATTTAAGACTTTTAGATTCATTGTAATGAAACTGTGAAACACCAAAGTCAAAAAGAAAATATTTAATGAGTTCAGAGAAAAGAAGATAGGTAACTTATAAAGGAACTACATTTAGACTTGCTGACTTCTTTATAGCAACAATAAAAATCATAAGAAAATTAATAATATAGTCAAAGTGCTCAGAAAAATAACTGTCAACCAAGAACTCTGCATTCAGCTAAGTTATCATACAATAGTGAGAGAAAAATGAAAATGTTTTTAGACAAACCCTGAGAGCATATTTTACCAATAGATCCTCAGTGAATAAGAAAATTGAATCCAGAAGGAAGAATTGAGATGAAAGAATAGGAAGCAGGGCTGGGCACAGTGGCTCACACCTGTAATCTCAGCACTTTGGGAGGCTGAGATGAGCCTGAGGTCAGGAGTTCGAGACCAGCCTGCCTAACATGGTGAAATATCGTTTCTACTAAAAATACAAAAAATTAGCCAGGCGTGGTGGTGCTCGCCTGTAATCCCAGCTATTCTGGAGGCTGAGGCAGGAGAATTGCTTGAACCTGGGAGGCGGAGGTTGCAGTGAGCTGAGATTGCACCATCGCACTCCAGCCTGGGCAACAAGAGCGAAACTCCATCTCAAAAAGAAAAAAAAAAAAAAGGAAGCAAATAAATATGTGAATGAGTCCAAAGAATAACTGACATAAAGCAACAGCAACAATAGTAATTTACTGGGGATTAAAAAAAAAAACTAAATTTAAAATATTGAACAGCAGGTATATGGAAAGCAGGAGGGGATTACTTGAAGTTAAAGTGTCCCTTTTTTTTTTTTTTTCTTGAGATGGAGCCTGGAGTGCAATGGCGCCATCTCATCTCACTGCAACCTCCACCTTTCGGGTATTTTGGGTTCAAGTGATTCTCCTACCTCAGCCTCCCGAGTAGCTGGGACTACAGGTCCCAGCTCACCCAGCTAATTTTTGTATTTTTAGTAGAGACAGGGTTCACCATGTTGGCCAGGCTGGTCTCAAACTCCTGACCTCCGGTGATACGCTCATCTCAGCCTCCCAAAGTGCTGGCATTCCAGGCGTGAGCCACGGCGCCTGGCCTGTAGGTAAAGGGTTCTAAGCTCCATGACTTGTTGAGGAGGCAGAATAGATAGTGATTAACTTTAGATTTTGGTAAGCACATGGGCCAAATTTTTAAGAATAATAACTATTCTTAAAGCTTGTTGAGATTTTGTTACATATTCATGTTATTCAAAATTTTTAAAAAATAACCTCTATAAATGCCTACTGATGCTGATACAACTTCCAAAACCAGGGCACTTGGGGAAGAGAAGGAGGGAGAGGGAAGGAAGGCAAAGAAACTTCAACCCATCTGCCAGAATGCAGGAAAGAAAAGAAGAGAGAGAGAAAAATAGGATAAAAGAGAGTGTAGAATAAGATGGTAGAAATAATTTCAAACATATTAGTAATATGTGTATGTAATTTGCCTAAACTTGCCAATTCAAAGAAATTATTAGACTGAATTTTAAAAATCTAGCTGTATTTTGCTTATAACAGACAAATCAAAATTATTAGGAAACAGTAAGACTAAAAGTAAAAGACTAGGGGAAAAAAGTTGGTAGCTTCATTATTACCAAACAAAATAGACTTCAAGGCAAAAAGTATTATTAGAGAAGACATATGGACACAGTGTGTGGAACCAGACATTTGAAAAGCTGTCGTATCATGTGAAAGAGAGATTCTACATCAAAAACACACTCACATGATTTTGTATGGCTCAAAAGGACAGAACAAAAGGTAGAAATTATAGAGGCAGGTATTGACGCAATGTGTTGGAAAGAGCTTTCTGACAATTAGCTCTCTGCAATGAAAGTTCTGTTTCTGAAGGTATTTGGGCTGTGGCTGTGGATGCATGAGCAGAGCTAGACAGATTGTGTCCAAATTTGTGCATTAGAATCACCTGGAGAGCTTTTTAAAAACATATTTCATGGCTTCTTTCCAGACTTAATGAGAAGATTCTACACCCTAGGGATCTGCTTTTGAAATGCACCCCAGGTGATTTTGATGTAGCTAGCTCAGAACTGATCCGTGGAATAGCATTTGGGAACGCTGGCCAGATGACTCCTAAAGATTCCAGTAGCTGTGATGTTTAGTAATTTAATAATGCCTTGCTGGACATTTACCTGTGAACTAGAGAGATTACTAGAAACTGGAGAGGTGACATCATGGTTTTCAGGGTACAGAATAATGGAGGCTAAGAATATCTGCAGTTTGTTGTAACTGGGTGAACAGCCCATGTGCTTTCTCCACCGTTCACAAGCTTTTCAGAGATGTTGGTAAAGATGATGGAAATTAACATTCTACTCAGAACAAATGGCCTAAGAGGTCCAACATGACTTACTGTTTACATCTCCGACACCCTCATTTTCATTATGGAGAGACTCTGTTACATGTCTAGTGGCCCGGAGCACTGTGTCTCAAACTTTTCCTGAGCACACGGATTACCTGAGAATCTTGGTAAAATGCAGATTCTGCTTCGGTTGAACTGGGGAGGGATATGCATCTCTAACAAAGCTTTCATTTCTTTTTTTTTTTTTTTTTAATTTCATTCCCTTCTATTCTAACAAAGCTTTCTATCTTCTCAATTTATCACTCAGTATTCAGGAACCTTCTTTTTCTTTAGACAAGATAAAGAGAGAAGTTCTCTGGTCTCCCAATGACCCTTTACCTCCTTATTCTAAATGATCATTTTGTCTTCCTTTTGCTGTGAACTGATAAGTAGAAGAGGCTGGAAACAGTGCTATGGGGATTGGGTTTTGCAAGAGATACGGGAGTCAGAACAAAATTTCAGAGCTGAGAATGGTGACATCTTAAGAGCTTAGACTTCTATTCCTACCCAGAGCAGGATAGAAGCCCTTCCTGGCCTGTCAAAAGACCGGCATTCTCCCCTCAGAATGAACTTCTTTGTTTCGTTTTGAAAGTTTCTGTTCTTTCATAAGTCACTTAATCTTCCTGAGGCTGTTTTTCCCCTGAGAAATGCTAATTAGATTTTCATGTGCTTTATAATTTATTATTATTTTTCATTAAGGTAAAATTCATATAACAAAATTTACCACTTTGAAGTGTACAATTCAGTGGCATTTAGTACACTTACAATGTTGGGCAAGAGCCACCTCTATCTAGTTCCAAAACATTTTTATCACCCCAAAAGAAAACCCTGTACTAAGCAGTCACCCCCTCTTCCTGCTTCTTCCTAGCCTCTGGCTACCACCAATCTGCTTTCTGCCTCTATGGATTGACCTACTTTGAGTATTTCATATAAATGGGATCATATAATATGTGATCTTGTGTGTCTTGCTTCTTTCACTTAGCATAATGTTTTCTGGGTTCAGCCACACTGTAGCATGTTTCAATACTTTGTTCCTCTTTTTTCTGAGACGGAGTCTCACTTTGTTGCCCAGGCTGGAGTGCAGTGGCACAATCTCGGCTCACTGCAACCTCCACCTTTCAGGTTCAAGCAACTCTCCTGCCTCAGCCTCCAAGTAGCTGGGATTGCAGGTGCACGCCACCACCTCACCCAGCTAATGTTTATATTTTTTAGCAGAGACAGGGTTTCACCATGTTGGCCAAGCTAGTCTTGAACTCCTAACCGCAAATCATCTGCCAGTCTCAGCCTCCCAAAATGCTGAAATTACAGGCATGAGCCACTGCGCCTGGCCCATTCCTCTTTATGGTTGACAAATATCCTATTGTCTGGATATACCACATTTTGTTTATCCATTCGTCTGTTGCTAGAGATTTTGGTGTTTTCACCTTTTGGCTATTGTGAATAGTGCTGATAGAAACATTCATGTACAAGTATTAGTTTGAGTAACTATCTTCATAATTTATTATTTTTAAATGTACCACCTCATTTGTTTTTCAAGTTAGGTTGAGAACAAGAAGTATTTTACTGACAAAAAACAAGCTCAGAGTGATTTGCTCAAGATTTCAAAGGTAGTAAGCAACCAAGAAAGTCAAAACTCCTGACAGAAACTCCAGTGCCCTTTCAACTTATACCACAGCTGTCTCAGCTGGCTTGAGAGTCAAAAAGGAGAATGTCTGCAAAAATGATTAGCAGGCTGTAAAGCACTGTGTATATAAGGTGGTGTTCGTAGTTAGTCTTTGATATGCCAACTGACGCTATGGGAGCAGTTTCCCTAGCGGGAGGTCAGCATGTGCTGTCTCTATTATGGCCAGAAGAGAGATTTTAGAATTGCAAAAGGTATAACAGAGTGGTTGGACACCAGCAAAGGAGTTTGACAAGGCTGTCACATCTGTTCAATATTTCTACTGAAATAATCATGGGTATTGCTGTTGATGGTTACCATAGTGGTATTAAGGTTGGCAGAAGGAGATGATGTAATCTCGAGTATGCTGATGACATCCTGGCTGCTGAGTCTGTGGTTTCTGCACCAGAAGAGCTGGCGCCTTGGACTGGGGATGATTTAGACGCCGATACTGGCAGCTGAGAAGCAGAATATTTTAGCAGCAGCACAAACTGGAAGTGAATAAGAAAAGCAAGTGAAGGGTTACGCTGCCATAGTTTATGATAGGTAGTGAGAGCCACAACCCTCTCGCCTGTAAAAGAGGAGAGCAAATGGCCTAGTAAGCATTCATGAGGGGTGATCCAGAGCATAAAATGTCGCTGTGGCCTCACCCTATCTTGCCATAGACCTTTTCTTGGTTCTAATTTAGACCCAGTGTCTGATTAGTATGAAATAGCTGTTAGCTGAGCCTCAATTTGCAGACTTTTACCAAAGGAAGAGATGAAGAGCAACATGGAAGTGTGGCTACTGTCAAGCTGAGTTAAACCCAGAGTGATGACGACAATATCTTGGTGAAGGAGAAGAATGACAACAGGCTGAAAGAAAGCATCATCTGTTTCCAGAATCCTGGAACACTTCCTGCTGAAATAACTCATTCTGTGTGTCTTCATTTTCTGACAAGCAAATCTTGAAGAACAGAACTGGCATTCGTCAGGGCAAACACTAGAAGTATGCGGGTCTCCAGAAGGATCTGTGACAGGGCTTGTGAAAACTGTGTTTTTGAAGAATTCATCGTCATGTGAAAGTTCTTAGAATCTTCTTTGAAATAAAAATAGATCTTTATACCAAAATGTTCTTATGATTTTGAAAATAACACCCACTCATTGCTGAAACGTACTGAAATATGTGAAAGATAAGAGGAACAAATCATGCTATTTTCACAATTAAGAAATAATTAATGTTATGCCTTATTTTTTTCCAATATTTTATCTGTCTACATTTATTTTCTATGTATTTGGGAACCTACTTTATGTTCAATTGGTTTTCTGCTTTTAAAAATTTCACGTTTGTACATGGTATATTTCTGGCTGCTTCTCTGGATCCAAGGGTCATTCTGGGCTTTGGATTTCCTGTAGAATGGCTGTAATATTCCAGTTAGAGCCGAGGAAACTCGAAGCCTGGACTTGTCCATTCTATTAAGATAGGACATGAGGCCCGGCGCAGCGGCTCACGCCTGTAATTCCAGCACTTTGGGAGGCCGAGGTGGGTGGATCACTTGAGATCGGGAGTTCAAGACCAGCCTGGCCCCGTCTCTACTAAAAATACACAAATCAGCTAGGCATAGTGGTGGTCACTTGTAATCCCAGCTACTCAGGAGGCTGAGACAGGGGAATCACTGGAACCTGAGAGGTGGACTTCGCAGTGAGCCGAGATCTCCCCACTGCACTCCAGCCTGGGCAGCAGAGCGAGACTCCATCTCAAAAACAAAACAAAACAAAAAAGATAGGACATGACAGATTCAAGAAAACCACTCTCTCTGGTATAGTTCAAAGTTGTTGATTTTCCTTGAATACGTAATATGGTGGTGAGCCTGTGGGAAACTTCTTCGGAAACTTCCATCGGAAAGGCAGATTCTGCTTTGCAAATGTACCCTCGAGATTACCATGGGAAGATTAAAATGTGGGTATCCTCATAGTGTGGTGGAAACCTAATGTCCAGGGTGGAGAGGGATAGAGAAATAGGACAAAAAACCAGACTGCGGTTAGGCCTAGAAATTGCTCTGGAATGCCTTTCCATTTCTTTCTGCTTATCCAGCCCCTATTCAGGCTTCCAGGTTCAATTTGAGTCCCATCTCCTATAAAGCCTTTTCCAGTTAATCTCCCTTTTCTCACCTCAGATATTATTATTATTTCCTTTTTCAGTTCAAGTGTATTAATCCTGCCACGATGATACCTGATCATATTTTCTGGAGTCCATATATTGAAACATTAAAATTAAATTAATCAACATTTAATTAACAAATCAAAATTAACAAATATTTATTGAGTACCTACTGTGTATAAAGAACTGTTTTAAACACAAGTGAGGTAGAGCAGAGTAGGAGGAGGCGTAAAGATAGAGTAGGAGGAGGCGTAACAGCAGGCTCCTAACTTCAAGTATCTTACAGATTGAGCCATTTGTAGTTAATTCAGTCCCATTCTGGGAGAAAAATATATGTGGTGTATGAGTGGTGGTGGCGGCGGTGGTGGTGTGTGTACAAGTGGTGTGTTCGTGTATGTGTGTGTGTGTGGTGGTGGTAGTGGTGGTATGTGTTTGTATGGTGTGTTTGTGTGTGTGGTGGTGGTGGTGGTGTGTGTGTGTGGTGTGTTTGTGTGTGTGTGTGGTGGTGGTAGTGGTGGTGTGTGTATGTGTGGTGTGTTTGTGTGTGTGTGTGTGTGTGGTGGTGGTGTGTGTATGTATGGTGTGTTTGTGTGTGTGTGCGTGTATGTGTGTGTGTGGTGGTAGTGGTGGGGTGTGTGTGTGTGTAATTGTGGTGGTGGGGTGTGTGTGTGTGTAATTGTGGTTGTGGGGGGTGTGCGTGTATTTACAGTTGGCGGTGGTGGTGTGTCTCACCTCAGATATTATTTATGATGAAGCCCTCAGAGTTTGGCTCTCTGACCATGGACTGGCTTGAAGTGCTTCAGAAACCTACCCATTTGCCATGCACAGTTAATAAGCTCTGTGGCTAATTAGAGATGGCCACAAATTCCTCCTCCGTTGAAAATTGGGGTCCGTGTTCCCTCCCCATGAATTTGGGCAGGCTCCATGATTCCATGAACAATGATCTATGGAGGAAGTGATGTTGTGCCACTTTCTGAGACCAGGTTTTAAGAGATTGGCAGCCTCCACTTCCTGTCTCTTGAACCCCTCAATGGGGGGAAAGTCAGCCACCATGTACCACTTTGCATGGAAATGGACCAGTCTCCAGCTGTTCCACTCATCCCAGCTCAGATGCCAGTCACGTGAATGGAGGCACCATATTGGACATTTCAGTTCCAGGACATGCCATGTTGAGAAGAACCAGGGGCCCGGACATATGGATCTAGTTGAGCTGACCCATTCATCTCCAGATGTTTCAGCTGGGGAGCTGACATCACGGGACAGAAGAAATCACTCAGGTGAGTACTACCTAATTCTTAATCCATCAAATCATGAGATAGAACAATGTCATTGTTTTTATATAGCACAAGCTTTTGTGGTAGTTTATAATAAAGCAATAGATAACAAGAACAAGTTGGGGCGAGAGGTGGACCTTTTATCAGAGCTTCTCAAATTTTGCTGTGCATTCAGATCACCTAAGGGTCTTGTTAAAATACAGGCTTTGATTTAGTAGGTGTGGGGAGAGGCTTGAGATCCTATCCTGTATTTAGACAGAGTTTCGCTCTGTTGCTCAGGCTGGAGTGCAGTGGCACGATCTCGGCTCACTGCAACCTCCGCCTCCCAGGTTCAAGCAATTCTCCTGCCTCAGCCTCCAGAGGAGCTGGGTCTACAGGCGCGTGCCACCACACCTGGCTAATTTTTTGTATTTGTAGTAGAGACAGGGTTTCACCATGTTAGCCAGGATGGTCTTGATCTCCTGACCTCATGATCAGCCCGCCTCAGCCTCCCAAAGTGCTAGGATAACAGGTGTGAGCCACTGCGCCCAGCCAAGATCTTGTATTTCTAACAAGCTCCCAGGTGATAATGATGCTGCTTCTCCATGGATCATACTGTGAATGGAGAAGTACACTGAGGAGTGAGGCGTACCAGTTAGGACACACTGGAGGTACATTTATACAACTTTTCAAAGCGCTTTCACGTCTGGATCAATTACTTGAATAGCTTAATTAACTGAAAATCAGAAGCCAGAAGACACTTGAATAAAGCACGATTTCTCGAAGTGTGCTCTCTGGATCTAATTGAGTCACATTGCCTGAATTTGTTAAAAATGTACTACATCCCAGTCCTATCAGATCAGAATGGAAGGGGTTAGGAATCACCACATTGAACGAGGTCCCTAGGTAATTCTTAAGTATTTTAAAGTTTAAGAACAGCTGGTAAAGAAGAAAGAGCATTGAATTAAAAGAACTGAGTTCTAGTCTTTATGTTCGCCCCTAACTAAAGACAAACAAATCACTTCACCTTTCTGAGTCTCAGTTTCCTCATCTATCACATGGGAGGGAGATTGCTGGGCTATATGCCTTCTGTCTCTGATGTAGGGTGTATCCTACAATTCCTACACCAGGCCAACTTGACCTCTCTTCCTCTTGTCCTCTCTGTACATTGAAGGCTGGGGAGCACCATGCACTCTGCCTTAAGGCTGTCCACAGTATCATTGTGTTTCCTATTGTCTTCGTTGGCTCACAAAGAAGTGGATACAATCAGAGACACAGAACACAAAAAGTGCCATTTCATTTTTTTAAAACAAATATTAGTGTCAAGGCCAATGTGTCCTCAGAATAACATATACCTGTATCTGATATTGTAATTAAACTAAATCATTTTTGAAATTATATGTTTTTAATGGTAATTGTGCAGCCTTTAAGATTTCCTCTTACCTTGAGCACCATTGGGTAAATGTGTTCATGATTGAATTAGCAGAACTCTGATTTCAAAAGGACTTTTTAGTGATCTTTTATGGTAGATTAAAAAGCAATTTACTAATTTACAGTTCATAGGAATTCTGTGCCCTCCTTGAGTTTTGTAAATCAATTCTGTGCTAATAAATGCAACTATTGCTCCAAATGTTTCATATTGGGACAGCTGGTGTCATATACAACTCTAAACTCACAATTACATAATCAATAAAACTGTATTTTGTGCACTCCTTTCGCCCAGCATAAGCCCCTCTTAGGAATTCCTAAATTTGCAGCTGTCAACTTCTAGTTTTTGGGTAGGAAAACTTAACCAACAGGGCTGGAAAGTACCACTTTAATTATTTAATTATTTGCTCACCTTTTTTTCTAATCTGTCCTCTTTACTGTAGTGAGTAATCACAGTTGAAATACAACTGGAAAAAAAGTGACTTACCCAGGGCCCTTCCTCCTGGACACAGTTCTCTTAGCAACTAGGAAGACTAGTTTCATACTGGACACTCTTGTTTCAAAGAATGTATAATAATAATAATCATAGTAATAGTAGTGATGGTTAATTCAAGTGGAGTCTACTATGTACCAGCTAATTATCCACTTACTTCATCCTCCCAACTCAGTGAAATTCATACCTTCGCTCACACTTGCATTTTGAGAGGTTGAAGAAACTGAGGCATAGATTAAATAACTTTCCCAGGGTCCCAGAAGTAGTAAATGGTGGACCTGAGATTTGAACTCAACGACCCTGGCTCCAAAGCTTGTGCTCATACTAATATACCATACTGCCTTTATCCTTCATGTCAGATGGGCTCTTTCCACACAAATCTGCTCAGTTTCAACTGGATGACTGGTTTTCCTAAAGGAGATATCTATTATTTCTACTTGGGGCCGGTGTAAAAAATCGGCAGAGAAAGCTTTTAAAACTCAGTGCACATGGAGAGAATATCTGACAACTTGTTTTATTATTTTTCTTTTTTCCTTTCAAATTCAACTTTAACTATAAACTGTAACTCAGCCTTTGACAAGTCAACTCAGATCTGTCGAAAATGGAACTGAAAGGCTCAAGATGAAGAGTTGAGCATTTTTCTTTGGTTGGTTCCTGGGAATGAGTCTGGCTAGTTTGGAGATGGGGAAAGGCACTTTGCCCTCTGACAGCCCTTCTGCAGGAGGAAGGTGGCCAATGAAAGCTGGCACTGAGTTTGCCTTTTTTGTGGTAGCAAAGCTGGGGTGTGGGCTGAAGACAAGGTTTTCTCCTGGCTTTCTTAGGGTTTTACTAAGATGGAGGGAGTTTGGATCACAATAGGAAAGTAGAAGAGGGGTCTGGAAAATAGGCATTTGGCCTGTGGTAGTTTAAAGAATAGGTATTGGAAGGGTGGAGGAGTGAAGCCACACAGCCCAAGTGTGAACACCAGGGCTCCGTGGTGAACCCAGACATTACCCAAAGCTATTCATCCAGAGCCTTTCACAAAAGTTATAATTCTGTTAAATTGGAAAAAAGAGCTCAATGTGCTTACTTCAGTGTTAATACTTCCCTGTTCTAGGTCTTGTTGGACCTAAAAGATTTGTTGAAAAATAAATTGTTTATTCCAAAAGCAGTTACGTTATACTTGCTGAGACAGAATTGTTTGGAGAAATAGCTAGAAATTAGAGTT
Source organism: Homo sapiens (assembly GCF_000001405.40). Classification (NCBI taxonomy): domain Eukaryota; kingdom Metazoa; phylum Chordata; class Mammalia; order Primates; family Hominidae; genus Homo; species Homo sapiens. The sequence goes on along the minus strand of NC_000005.10, from coordinate 77,930,078 downwards.
CAGATTTCACAGCCTGTTGTCATCCATTATTTATCTAGTCAATTTTCTTTCCCAAATTTTGCATTCCTTTTTTACCCTTCTCCTAGTCAGCTCCTGCGTTTTCTATGGATGTTGAGCAGCCGCCTGGTGCGGGGAGGCTGGCAGGCTATTGTGTATAGAGGCAGAGACCTCAGGTAAGGGAGGAAGCCAACAGGCAGGAAGCCCTACTGTTCAATATGTCAGGAACAGCATGAGGGCCCCACCTGCAGTACCTCTTCTGGAGGGTCAGCACGCCACCTAGACCCCCAGTACCTCCCTTACTTAAACTCATCTTTAGGTTCCGACCATTCCAGTGTGGCACACCCTGTGGGGGATGGGTTGGAATTTAAGGTTCAAGAGTTGGAATCCAGCCTTTCTGGAGTTACCCATAGATGCAGATGTTGGCGATAACTTATCACCAGAAGCAGGAATGAGGGCATAAGGGGAGATGTGTGCCTTAATATTGATACAAATAGCACTCTTTCCAATGTTCAAGTTGCTAAAAAGAGTCTAGACTGAGATTTGACTCCTTCGTTAGTTTGGAAATTATCACTATATTTCTTCTCCCATCATGCTTATCTCATTGCCAGAGAGATAGAATGGAAATGACTCCTCTTCTTCGTGTGTCTGAGGACTTCCCACCCTCCCCCACGGCTTTCTTTGAACAGTCTCCTTCTCCCCAAACTGCATTGCCCTTCCCTCTGCCCCTGCCCTTCTCTCTCATCTTCTCCCCCTTCTCTCTGGCATCTCTTCCTCCTTTGCCAGCCTGGCCCTACCCTGCCTCCCCGGCTCTCCCCAAGCACTCCTCTCCTTGTCCTTCCTTGTATTCTCTATTTTCACAAATTAACATATTATAAGCATTAACTGGCAGCCACCCTGAAAAGAGATGAGGCAGCGAGGGAAAAGGAAACATTCCTGCCAGGTTTTACTAATTCATGCTGCCAGCCCCGAGTTCTGTGGCATTTGCCACAGCTGTGAAATTGCAATAAACAAGGGGCTGCGCTTATATTTCTAACCTTTCCTCTGTTGGTGCTGAAGACATGAATTGAATGTTGAACAGTCTTACCACGCTATCGCTTGCTAAATATATTACATACCCTTTCGAAAGAGAATTGAGAAACGCTCAGACTTGGGGGTGTGTGGAGGATAGGGAGGGAAGTCGCTAGTAATATAGCAGGAAAATAACAATTTCTTTTATTGAAAGGAATTTGTCATCCTAGGAACCCAGTAATGAGCCAGTCTCAAAATGAGGTATTCATAATTTTCTAAGAATTAACCTGATATATATACACACATGCATATACATACATGCACAAACATATACACACATACACACATATGTGTGTATATCCTCCCAACAACAAAAGAAAGTTTGTGTCTTTTTTTTTTTTTTTAAAAAAAGAAATCCTTTATTCTTTTTCTTTTTAACTTTTATTTCAGGTTTAGGGGTATATGTGCAGGATTGTCACATAGGTAAACTGCGTCTTGCGGGATTTAGTGTACAAATTATTTAGTCACCCAGGTAATAAGCATAGTACACAATAGTAATTTTTTTTGTCCTCTCCCCCCTCTCTACCTCCCTCTCCCCCCTCTCTACCTCCACCCTCAAGTAGGCCCTGGTGTCTGTTTTTCCCCTCTTTGTGTCCATGTGTTCTTGTTGTTTACCTTCACTCTTTTAAGACAGGTAAGTTGAGAATGCTGAGAAAGAAGGGTTGTCAAGTGAAGATTAAAACACAGCCTACGCCATCATTACCTTCTGTCCTAGAAGCAATAGGTTCTCCGTCTCCACTCAGAGGTCGATGGCATTCATGAAGCAGATACTGTCTTCACAATGTGAGGGCACTTAGTACTTAAAGGGAAAGACTTTGTCTGTATTCAAATATTCCATAGCGTCTAGCCCAGTGACACAATAATGCAATGTGTATTGGGCTCTTGCTTTCTGCCAACCAAGTGCAATGCTAATGTTTATACACAACATCTTACTCCATTCTCAGGCAAGCCCTATGAAGAAGTAAAGGATCAGCCATCTTACAGATGGAAAAGCAGAAGCATAGAGAAATTAAGTGGAATCCCAAAGTCACAGAGGGATAGATGGTCATACATACAGGTGTACAATACATGTCTTTAGCCTTCCTTCTCTCCTTCCCTCCTTTCCTCCCTCCCTCCCCCCGCTTTCTTTCTTTCTTCTTTCTTTCTCGCTTGCTTTCTTTCCCTTCCCTTCCCTTCTCTTCCCTTCCCTTCTCTTCTCTTCCCTTCCCTTCCTTCTTTCTTTCTTTCCCCAGTTGTTATAAGAGTATTCTATGCCCAGAGCTGAAGTGAGCCATCCAGGGCTGGCAAGGTGGCTGTGCTCTTTGGGGACTGGTAGACAAGTGGGCTCTGCTGCCTTTTAACATGTGGCTCCCATCTCCAGGTCCAAAGCAGAGGCTCATATTTCCATTTTCCAGCCCTCAGGAAAGGGAAGATAGAGAGTCTAAGGCAAGTGTGTTTTTCTTTATGAATTTGACCAGAAGTTGAACCTGGTCATACCCATGTCTACTCATAGTTTGGATTTGCCCAAACTTGGTCATGTTGCCATACCTAGCTTCAAGGGAGGCTGGGAAATACAGTCTCTAGTTGAGCAGCTATGAGCCCAGCTAAAGCAGCAGTCAATATTGTGTTTGGGGGCTGTTGAGGGTGCTCCTTATTGCTAAAGGAAAGAGGGTGTAGGGTGTGGGAGAGGGCGGGCAGTGAACAGCAATTAACGGATGCTACCAGGGTGCTAAACTGAAAGTTTGCCTTTACAATGAAAAGTGACTTAGCTACTCAAATAGTGTAGCTAAGTCTTTACATTATAGGTTCTCTGTCTCCAATCATAGGTAATGGCATTCATAAAGCACATACTAAGATCTCACACTAAGTGTAGTGTAAGATCTTAGAAGAGGTCCGTAAGGTCTTAGTCCATTTTCAAGCTATATGTAAGCGTCCGTATAATATTATTCAAACAGATCAAGAACCACTACTTGGACCTGATTCTAGCACTTCTAGCTGTACGACTCTGGACAGATGATTGGTAATTAGTTTCTCTCGGTTTATTTTCTGTAACTTTTTTCCTGATAATACCATCCCCAATTATTGATAAGAAATAGCCATGAAAGCATTCTGGAAGAGTACTTGCTCAAAATAACAGTTTTTTATTACTGTTCCATCAGTCAACTTTCAATATTCTTTGGTACATAGGAGGAGAAGAGAGGCAGAAGTGGGGTTAGGCAAGTGGCAAAATTGTGCACAGATTAAAGCAGCTGAAGTGAAATGAAGTAGCAGAAAAGTTGGGAATATTAAAAGAGCAAAGTAAGTTTATATCTTAAATAAACACTGTTAATCAGTTCAGTTGCAATTAACAAGATATTATATTTTATAAGGTATTGCATTTCTTAGTGTTCCATTGTGTTTATTTGAAAACCCCTTTATTTTGTCTTCATTCTTGAAGGGTATTTTTGCTGGATATAAAATTCTGCAGTAACAGTGGTGTTTTTCTTTAACCACCTTTATTTATTTATTTATTTATTTATTTATTTATTTATTTTTGAGACAGAGTCTCACTTCATTGCCCAGGCTGGAGTGCAGTGGTACAGTGTTGGCTCAATGCAACCTCTGCCACCACATCCAGCTAATTTTTGGACTTTTTTTGTGGAGACGAGGTTTTGCCATGTTGCCCAGGCTGGTCTTGAACTCCTATGCTCAGGCAATCTGGCTGCCTTGGCCTCCCAAATTGCTGATACTACAGAGGTGAGCCACTGTGGCTTCACCACTTTAAAGATTTCTTTTGGTCTCTGTTGTTTCTTTTCTTTTTTCTTTTTTTGAGATGGAGTCTCACCCTGTTGCCCAGGCTGGAGTGCAGTGTATGCAGTCTCAGCTCACTGCAACCTCCATCTCCTGGGTTCGAGCAATTTTCCTGCCTCAGGCTCCTGAATAGCTGGAACTACAAGTGTTTGCCACAATACCAAGCTAATTTTTATATTTTTGGTAGAGACAGGGTTTCACTATGTTGGCCAGGCTGGTCTTGAACTCCTGGCCTCAAGTAATCCACCTGCCTTGGCCTCCAAGAGTGCTAGGATTACAGGCATGAGACACCACACCTGACTGGTCTCTGTTGTTTCTGACAAGAAGGCAGCTTTAATTCTTACTGGGTTTTTTGTTTTTTTGGTTTTGATTTTTGTAGGTAATCTGTTGTTTTTCTCTAGCTGCTTTCAAGATTTTCCCCTTTTCTTTGTTCTCAGCAGTTTGAGTATGATGTATGTACATAGATGTGATTTTCTTTGCATGTACTCTTCTTGTGGTTTGCTTAGCTTCTTGAATCTTTAGATTTGTTTCTTTAACCAGATTTTGGAAAATTTTGTCGTTATTTCTTCAAAGACTCCCCCCACCCATACTTCCGCTCTCTTTAATTCTTGAGACTCAAATTTTACATGCGTTACACTTTCTGATATCATTCCACAGATCTCTGAAGTTTTGTTCAAATTTTTCAGTTTTTTTCTCTCTGTTCTTCAGAATGAATAATTTCTTTTGATGAATCTTCAAGCTTACTGGCACTTTCCTTTGTCACTTCTATTCTTTTTATATTAAGCCCACTCAAATTTTTGTTTTAGATATTTTGTTTTTCATTAAGTTTCCATTTTATTTTTATAGTTTTCATTTTTCTGCTGAGATTTCCTATTTTTTCATTCATTAAAAGCATATTTTCTTTTATGCCCTTAAGCATAGTTAAAACAGCTGTTTTAAACTCCTTCTATGCTAATTTCAATATGTGGGTCACGACTGCAATTGATTTCACTTTCTCTTGAGTCTAGGTCACATTTTCTAACACGTTTATATATCTGGATCGTATCCGGAACATTGAATGATACATTGCTAATACTCTGGATTCTGTTTTGTCCTTCTGAAAGTTGTTGCTTTAAAAAAATAAAAGCAGTCAGCTAATTTCACTAAAAAGAAGGTGAAATCTCACTTAACACTTTTGTCTTACCTGGGCTGCTTGGAGTCTGTCCTATATTTGAATAGTTCAGTGGTCAGCTAGAGATTTGGGCAGAGTTCATATGCAGAATTTGAGACTGTCTCTTTCTCTTGCTTGCTCTCTTTTGGGGCATCCCACCTTCACTTTTAGGCTACTGTGGCTGCTCTGAACTATTTTTTCTTATTCTTCAAGCCAGTAAGACTTAAGACTTTCTATCCTAGTGTTAGCTAGCCTGCTTGGGATAGATTAGGGCCTGCCTTGAGGTAAAAAGCCATAAAAGTGAAAATTTTAAACTAGTGCCATTCCCCTGTCCAAGTATTGACTCTCCTCTAGTATCTGCTTTTGGCTGATCTTCAGTACTTTCAGGTATTTATTTATGTTTTGTCCAGTATTTATATCGTTACCTTTGGGAGAGTTGGTCCAATAAGTGCTTGTCTTAGTCCATTTTATGTTGCTATAAAGGAAAATCTGAAACTGGGTAATTCATAAGGAAAAAAAGGTTGGTTTGGTTCACGATTCTTCAGACTGGAAGACTGGGCATCTGGTGAGGGCAGAAGGTGAAGCGGAGTTGGCATATGCGCAGAGACCACACGGTGGGAGAGGAATCAAGGGCAGGTGTGGGACTCTTTTAAACAACCAGCTTTTGTGGGAACTAAATGAGGAAGAACTCGCTCACTATCACCAGGAGGGCACCAAGCCATTCATGAGGGATCCACCCCCATGACCCAAACACCTTTCATTAGGCCCCACCTCCAGCATCAGGATCAAATTTCAACATGAGGTTTGTGGGGGTGGGGGGGGACAAATATTCAAACAATAGCAGGGCTTCTCTTCCATCATCAGAAACCAGAGTGTCTGCTACATCGTAGAGGCATGCCAGGATATAATTAACTGTGGTGAGTTAAAGATGCCTCAGGGTCTTCAAAACTCCTCCTATTGAGTCATGGTATCTATATTCCTTCTCTTGAATCTAAGTAGACTCTTTTTTGACCAGTAGAATACAGTAGAAGTAATACTGTGCCTCTTGGGCCCAACGTCTTAAAAGTCTTACACCTTCTTGTTTCTGTTTATGGGAACAAGTTCTTGGTGTCCTCAGTTGCCATGTAAGAAATATATCTACCTGGAGGCTTCCATGCTGTGAGCAAACCCAAACCAGTCATGTGGAGAGGCTATGGGCAGAAATAGATTCGGGCTTTTATCTTGAAGGAGGGAGGGAAGAAGAGAGAGACAGAGACACAGAGAGCTACAGCTTTTCAGCTCCAAGTTATTCCAGCTGTGGTCCGAGGCATCATAAGGCAGAGATGAGCTACCCATACTGGTCCGGTTTGCATTATTGATCCACAGAATAATGGTGTATATAATACTACTAATAAAGTACTGTTTTGAGCCACTAAATTTTGGAGTGGTTTGTTACACAGTAATAGGTAACCAGAATATTAACAAAGTCATATCATTTTAAATAACAAATAGAGTTTTAAAAATGGAAATGACACAACTGCCTATATTATACCTGAGACATCAAGTGTTCACACTCAGTAAATCTACATGTTGTAACTACACTACCTTTCTCTCTCTTAGCTGCTTCTGGAATTATAGGCACAGAGTCTCTGGAGAAAATAATTAGACATTAGGGGTTACACTTTGTTAATCAACTTATTTTTGTGATGGCAAAATCAGTAGTGCCATTTTGATAGATGAAAAATCTGAGAAGTGGTTTAACTAAGGATAAGTGGCTGGAGTGGGGTCACTATGCTGGTGCTATGATTTCAATTGAATGTTCCCAAATTCACTGCTTAGTTCAGAGAACAAATTGATTGATTATTGATTGATTTCTGACAAGTTAGATCAATGAGCACAGATGAGTTCAAAAATAGCTACTATTATCCAATTGTGGGCCTTAAAAGGAAAATCAGATAGAAGACTTTGGGTCTCCTTTTTTTCACTGATCCCTGTTAACATCAATTAGCCTGTGCCCTGCTGTGATATTCTAATTTTTAGCACACGGAGAAAAATGAATTGATTTCAGGGTTGATATATCTTAACATTTAAAAGGAAATACTTCCATTGAAAATATGGGCACCTCAACAATAGAATAAATGGCTTGACATTTGTGAGGGCAAAATAGTCAATATAAAGAGAATTTTCCTATTGGAAAATAAATCATTAACCTCGCTATTTCTAAGTTCGATTTAAAAAGCTTGAATATGTCATTAATATATTTTTTCTTGTTCTTTCTAGATTAAGGCCGCGTCTATAGGGGGAAGGAGTTGGCTGCTTTCCCTGGTACCCCTGACTCTTGGATGTTCTAACAGTCCCAGTTTTTTTCTTCCTCCTTACTGCTTTAGTACCAAGGTAGGAATCTCCCCCACAGTGAGCAGGAGTGATTTGGGGAGACAGATTCAGTCAGGTAGCTTGACGTGGTGGGTAAAGGTAAGACCCTCACAGAAGCATTCTGCAAAAAGCTATGTTCTCTCTTTCCAGTGTCTTGACAATGGAAATGAAATCAGGCTAGGAATTCATTTCCAGAGTCCTCCAAAAGCATGTTACCATGTCAAATTCTTCAACACTTCTATCAACAGATAGAGTCTCATTTTCCTCCTCTTAAATATGGGTTGGCCTTAGTGACTGTGTTAGTCCATTTTGTGTTGCTATAAAGAAGTACCCGAGGCTGGGTAATTTATAAAGAAAAGAGTTTATTTGGCTCACAATTCTGCAGGCTATACAAGCATGGCACCAGTATCTGCTCAGCTTCTCAAGAATCTCTTACTCGTGGTATAAGGTGAAGGGGGATCAGGCAGGTCATATGACAAGACAGGGAGCACGGTGAGGGGGAAGGTCTCAGAATCTTTTTAAAAACCAGATCTTGTGATAACTCATTACCATGGGGAGGGAACCAAGCCATTCATGAGGGATCTGTTCCCATGACCCAAACACCTCCCACCAGGCCCCACCTCCTACATTGGGGACCATATTTCAACATGAGATTTGGAGGAGACACACACATCCAAACTATATTAGTGTCTCATTTTATTTATTTATTTATTGAGATGGAGTCTTGCTCTCTCACCCTGGCTGGAGTGCAGTGGCACAATCTTGGCTCAGTGCAACCTCTGCCTCCCAGTTTCAAGCAATTCCCTGCCTCAGCCTCTCAAGTATCTGGGACTACAGGTGTGTGCCACCACACCCAGCTAATTTTTGTATTTTTTTAGTAGAGACAGGGTTTCACCATATTGGCCAGGCTGGTTTTGACCCAAAGTGCTGGGATTACAGGCATGAGCCACCATGATTGGCCCAGTGACTCACTTAAATGAACAGATGCAACATAAATGGTGCTGTGTGACTTCCGCGGCTAGGTTAGAAAAGACAGCACACCTTCTTCTTGGTACTCTCTTTTGGGATGCTTGCTCTAGGAACCCAGTCATCATCCTGTGAGAAGGCCCAGGCCACATGGAGAAGCCATGTATAGATATCTTAGCTGACAGCCTAGGCAGAAGTCTCAGCTGTCAGCCAACATCAAATTCCAGACGTGTAAGTCAGGAAGCCTTAGACATGATCTGTCCTATGGCTACTTGTATCTGCAATCAGGTGAGTGAGTCCCAGCACAAACTGCCTAGCTGAGCCCAGTCAGCCACTAGATCTGTGAGAGAACATAATAGCAAAATAATTGTTGTTTAAAACCACTTTGTTTTGGGGTGATTTATTACACAGCAGTAGATTACTGGAACATCATGTAAAGTGATGTAAATTTTGTTTGGGTCTTCATTTTATGAATAGATTCACAGCTGGCTCTTTAAAATCGCAGTTCCACCCAGTTAGCACTCTCTGTCTTAGTCTAGATTTCCCCAAAAGCAGACCTAAGATAAGGGCTTGGATGCAGTTGATTTAGGAGGTGATCACATGAAGCAAAAGTAAAGTAGAAGAGAAAGTGAGACAGTGCAGGAAGAAAGCCAACAAATGTTTGCAGATATGTTGCTTACTACAGTGGGCAGCTGGGGCCCAGTCCCACTGGGGATCCTCAGAATTGTCACACTGGAGGGTAGGGAGATTGGAGCACCTATCACTCACTCATCCTCATCCTCATTGATTGAGATTGGTGGTAGGGGCATTAACTCCTCTGCATTGCTGGGCTATGCTTTCTTACAGATGGGAATCCTTCTGCAGCTCAGGAGAAGACAGAGCATAGGCACCCTGCTGCACATGCTCAATGTGGGACTCCAGCCAAGGTGCATGTAACTGTCCACAGTAGCTGTGCCGAAGTCAGGTGGGTTCAGTAAATGTGTTGCTTTAAATCCCAGGTTTCTGCCACATCTTCTGATCCATTCTCCATACACCAGTTAGGAAGAACTTTTCAAAACACAAATATGCTTTCAGAACACTCCCCTGATTTTGATCCTTCAGTGATTTCTCATTGTTCATAGGGAAACAATGAAAATCCTTACTGTGAGCCTGCATAGTCTAGCCCTGCTTACCCCCAACTATTTTCATATCAATCTCCTTCACTCTGCACTCCAACCATGTCGGCATTGTTTCATTTCCCCCTAAAAGCCACAGGGCCTTCGGACATGTGGTTCACTCTGCCCAGTCCTCACTCATCTCCAAGCTAGCTAGATAACTTCTACTCCTTCCTTTCATTTCAGTTCAAGCAACGCTTCCTTCCATTAGAAAACAGCTTTCCTGACACCCTCTCCCCCTGGCACCAGATCGAATAAGCCTTCTCTAAAAGCTAATTTCAGTTTGTAATTATATACTCCTTTAGATGTTCATTTTATTAAAGTTTGTCTCCCCCACTACACTGAAGCCCCAAGAAGGCTGGGATTATGTTTTACATCGAATAGCTGGGATATAAAAGGTGTGTGTGTGTGTGCACGCGCGCGCATGTGAGCATGTGTGCACACATGTGCCCAGGTGTGCATGTTTCAGATTAGATGCAAAGCTATTTGAAACATCTGCATTCTTTGGGTCCTAGAGATTTTTCCAAAGACCCAATTCACCAAACTTTCTTTTCAAGAATGCATCTTTGAGTAGCTTCTGCTGTTTCTCCTCCTCAGCTGAAAACTCCCCTTCTGCTCTGAAGGAAGTTCTAGGGAAGAGTAAGTGATAGGGTCCCTGTAAAACAAATCCATTGTTAATCTCCCGAAGGATAGATCTCCTTTTAGTTATTGGGCTTCTGAAGAAACAGCCAGAATTGCCTGCACCTGCTCTTTAAAGTGAACCTGACTAAATACACTTTACACTCCAGAATCCTTGAAAAAAAAAATGTATGTTTAGCTGCCAAAATGGTCCAGGATTTCTCAGTGTGTTTGGAAACTAGAAATTTGGATGAATAAAAGGGAAGGAGAGGAAAACCTAACATTTTAAACTTTCAGAGTTTGAAAGCAATAAAGACAGTATAAACACTCCCATTTAGAAATGCTTAAGAAGGATTGAATATAAATCCAGAGAATTATCCCTGTTATCTGTAAGGGTTGGTGAGGCCACATTTGGAATACTATGCACAGTTCCAGTCACCTTACTGTAAAAGGATATTCTAGAAATGGAGAAGGCACAGCAGAGGGCAACAAGAACCACACGGGGATTTAAGGATCTTAGTTATTCAGCGTGTTATTCTTTGGCAAAGGAGAGATTAAGTGGGAACTCATCAAAGTATAGACAATTCTGAAGGGAGTCGAGAGGATAATTGTTTCAAGACTATTTGAGTTAGCGTCAAATACAAGAACAAGGGTTTAGTAACTTAAGCTAAGAAAGTGAATTTAGACCGGCATTTTCTGAATCAAAAGTAAATGATATAAAACAAGAACCAAGGATGATAAAAATAAGAGATGTAGATTTTCTGAGGAGGAAATAGGTAATTTTTCCAATTTGTTCATTTGCGTTAAATAACAGAGAGTGATTTTTTTTCTTTTCCACTTTGAACAATTATGTCTTATCAGTGGGGTTAAATTAAAAAGGGTTAGTCCATTTTCACACTGCTATAAATAACTGCCCGAGACTGGGTAATTTATGAAGAAAAGGGGGTCTAATTGACTCATAGTTCTGCCTGGCTGGGGAGGCCTCAGGAAACTTACAATCATGGTAGAAGGGGAAACAGGCATCTTCTTCACAAGGCAGCAAGAAAGAGAAGAGTGAAGGAAGAACTTCCAAACACTTATAAAACCATTGGATCTCCTGAGAACTCACTATCATGAGAACAGCATGGGGGAAACCACCCCCATGATCTAATCATCTTCCTTCCTTGACACATGGGGATTATATGTTCCTCCATTGATATGTGGAGATTACAATATGAGATGAGATTTGGGTGGGGGCACAGAGCCAAACCATATCAAAGTGCTAGAGTGGCTATGTATGATTTTAAAGAATCTAGAGGGGAAGTTACCAGATTCAAATAAAGAACACATGGTTAAGAACTTATTGTTTTTTCTATGCCTCAAAATGTTATAGGTTTCTGAGCTGAACTTGCCAAAATGCCACATTATCATTCACGGTTTTGCACCAACAGCCAGTCCTAATGAAACTATACTTGTCTTCAGGCTGTAACATATCCAAACAATGATTTCCAATGTGCTAGATACTATTTTACTTGGATAAAAATGAAGGGGGGATAATTATATAGTGTATTAAAAATATTGATGGTAAGCAGTGGTTTGTTTCATCTTGATCTTAATAAATGTGATGCAGTTCAGGCCACATTTATTTATGAAGCACCAGCTGTGTGCTGGGCACTGTGGAAGATTCAGTGGATATTGTTAACAGATGCTCAGATAATGCTGGCGGATGTCTACATGCGGCCCACTATGGCCCCCAATACTTCTCCCTTCCAACCATGGCTTCGTCTGGCCTCAAATTTCTACTCTTAAAGTCACATAGACCAATGGTTCTCAACGATGATCTTTGGCAAAATTTCGACCAATCTGCAGCACAATGGAACAAAAAAATAAGAAAAATTATGTATTTACCAACTGGGCTCTCATGGAAAGCATCCTTCCAACTTCATTCTGAAAACCTGTGCTTCGTATTTTGGGGGGATTTTGTTGTTGTTGTTAAATGTTCTTTCTCATATCAAAGTATGAGATGACAATTTTTGGTGTTTTTATTAAGCTGCCAAATCATTGCTTCACAAATCTGTCTTTTGAAATTTAAATGGTCTGGGAAATCCAAAATGGTGGATGGAAATCCAAAACTATCTGAAATGCTCCTGCCACCTGGGAAAGAAGGGAGTGCACTGGTTGGAGAGGATAAAGGTGAGATTCTCCTCAGGTTTGGGAAGACAAAATATACAATGGCATGTGGAGGATGAAGGTAAGAAGAAGATGGGAAGGGGTTAAGCCTAGGCTGAACTGGAGCTGGCAAAGGGCCCTAAACCAAAACACAGGCCCAGGAGACGGCCAGGAGGAAGCTAGCCGGGGAGGGAAACCTGGGAACAACCAGACTACCTCAGGCTGCCCCCAGTCAGCTCAATCCAGCTGAAAAGCATTTACCTGGAACCTAACAGGCTGGGGCTGTAGAATGAGTGTGATACAGTTCTGTTCTCCAGGAAGTCACATAGAGAGCTGCTATGAGAGCCTACATGATAGGCATGGCATGGGTACACCACAGTACTTAGAACAGGGCAGACCCTTCCATTCCCTCACCCGCCATTTCTGTGCCCATTCTCCACTCTGCTCCCTTATTCCACCCTCCCCTGCCTCACCCCAGAGAGAATGGTGCTATAGTAATTTGGGCATAAAATAGATAAACCGACAAATGATTTAAAACAGCTTTACAGTCCTCCTTGTTGTCTTAGAAGCTACATTGGTGCAAAAGTAATTGCGGTTTTTGCCATTACTTTTCCTTTTTTTTGAGATGTAGTCTCGCCCTGTCACCCAGGCTGGAGTGCAGTGTATGATCTCGGCTCACTGCAACCTCTGCCTCCCAGGTTCAAGCGATTCTCCTGGCCTCTGCCTCCTGAGTAGCTGGGATTACAGGTATGTGCCATGATGCCAGGCTAATTTTTGTATTTTTAGTAGAGATGGGGTTTCACCATGTTGGCCAGGCTGGTCTTGAATTCCTGACCTCAAGTGATCCGCCTGCCGTGGCCTCCCAAGGTGCTGGCATTACAGGTGTGAGCCATTGTGCCCGGCCTGCCATTACTTTTAATGGCAAACCTGCAATTACTTTTGCACCAACCTAATATATTCTTAGATGGATGTATTAGGCCATTCCTGGCTTGCTATAAAGAAATACCTGAAACTGGGTAATTTATAAGAAAACAGGCTTAATTGACTCATGGTTCTTCAGGCTGTACAGGAAGCATAACGTGACCTCAGGAAGCTTCCATCATGGTGGAAGGTGAAGGGGGAACAAGCATATCACAAGATTAAAATAAGAGCAAAAGAGAGAGAGTTGTGGGGGAGGTGCCACATACTTTTTTTTTTTTTTGGACGGAGTCTCGCTGTGTCACCCAGGCTGGAGTGCAGTGGCGTGATCTCGGCTCACTGCAACCTCCGCTTCCCAGGTTCAAGCAATTCTCCTGCCTCAGCCTCCTAAGTAGCTGGGACTACAGGCATGTGCCACCATGTCTGACTGATTTTTTGTAATTTTAGTAGAAACAGGGTTTCACCATGTTAGCCAGGATGGTCTCGATCCCCTGACCTCATGATCCATCTGCCTTGGCCTTCCAAAGTACTGGGATTACAGGCAGGAGCCACCGCGCCCTAAAGACAGCACTAAGCCATAATCGGTCTGCCCCTGTGACCCAAACACCTCCCTGCAGACCCCACCTCAGCACTGGGGATTAAAATTCAATATGAGATTTGGGCAGGGACAAATATCCAAACTATATCAATGAGAGTGTTTCCTGAGAGCAGGCTGACACTGGGATTATGGAGCTGTGGCAGGCACCTTTCTGGGGCCCACAGATTGCTGGTGGATGGATACATGAAAGGGAAACAAAAGGGCTCAAATGGAGGTGAGCAGAGATATAATGGGATCACGGCAGGCTGCAGGAGGTGGGGAATGTTCTCTGAGTCAGTTTGGAACCTGAACAATTTGTCCCAGAGCAGGCCAGGCTCCAGTTGAGTGAGGCCCACTTCACTTCCCTCAAGCCTCTGACCTTGCCACCTCCCCAACTCTCAGCAGGCAGAAGACACCCCAGCTTCATGTCAGCAGCTGTCTCCCTCTTTTCTCAAGCCCACCCACTCCCCTGCATCCTCCCCCAACCTCTGGCCTCTCCTCCCTGGTGAGACCGGAGGACAGTAGTCTTCTGGCCCTTGCATCTGTGCTCTGCATTGCTTACCAGCCTTGACCAATCTTCCTCCTCAAACAACAAGCCAACCCTCCTGGTACAACACATGCACGCCTCTCTGCATCTCTTGGAATTTTAGCGCTTTCTGGTGACTTCCAGCCGGCTGCACCTGCTCCCTGGCCCACAGAAGGCCATTCCGCCCCAGCAGTGGAAGTGCTGAAGAGAGAGTTCACACTGTGGGGACAGGCCTTGACCAGTGACTCCAGAGTTGGTGTATAAATACGCCAGCTTTCTTGCCTGGGCAGGACAATTTTGAGGCAAGCACTCACACCACATTCCAGAGTCCCTTGAGGGATTCAGCTCTGGTTGACAGCTGGCCTAGTGGTAAACAAATGCACTCTTTACCTCAGAATCTGTTTCTGGAGAACTCAAACTAAGATGGCTCCCTGCAGTCCATGTTAGTCTTGCAAAGTCACTGAGCACCTTCCTGCTTGTAGCTCTGCTGGGCACTTTTTGGTTCTGTCTTACTTGCTCTCTGACCAAATTGGCCACTGATGACCACCTCCTCCTTCATGAAACATTCTGTGACATGCTGTGCTCTTTATATCTCTGGCCATTCCTTTCCAATCACCTTTACGGGGTTTTTCTTTTTTTCCAAGATCAGTTTATTGACATGTAATTCACATACCATACAGTTCACCCATTTAAAGCAGACTATTCAATGTTCTTTAGTATATTCACATGGTTGTACAACCATCACCACAGTCAATTTTATGACACTCTCATCACCCCAGAGAGAAACCTGAGACCCTTCCTTATTTCCTTCTCCTCCAAGTCCTAAGCAAGTACTGGTCTATTCTCTGTTTCTTTATATTGGCCTATTCTGGACATTTTATATGAGTGAAGTCTAACAATGTGGTTTTTTTGTGTGTGTGTGTGACTGGCTTCTTTCACTTAGGATAATGTTTTTAAGGTTTATTCATGAACCTTACATCAGTACTTCATTCCTTTTCATAGCCAAATAATAATCCATTTTCTGGATATACCACATTCATTTTATGTATCCATTTATCAGTTTATAGACTTTTGGGCTGTTTCTACTCTTTGGCTATTGTGAATGAAAACTCCATGAACATTCATGTACAAGTTTTTGTGTGGGCATATGTTTTCATTTCTCTTGGGGATGTAGCTTGGGGTAGAATTACTGGGTCATGTGGTAACTCTGTTAAACATTTTGAGGAACTATCAGAGCATTTTCCATGGAGGATACACCATTTTCCATTCCCATTAGCCATATATGGAGATTCCAATTTCTTGACATCCTCTGCAACACTTATGATGATCTGCTTTTCTAATTCTAGCCATCCTAGTGGGTGTGAACTGGTATCTCACTGTGGTTTTGGTTTGCTTTCTCTAGTGGCTAATGGTGAGCATCTCTTTACGTGCTTATTGGTCGTTTGTACATCTGCTTTGTAGAAATGTCTCTTCAAATCATTTACCTATCGGCTTATTTTGTGAATTTGGTATAATTCTGGGTTCAGTCTTGACCCCCTTTCTCTTCTCCCTCACTCATACACACGAATGTCCATTTCCTTCTCATTCCCCACTCATTTATCCAATCATATTTTCATTCAACAAATATTCATTAAGCTTCTAAATGTCCCAGGTGCTGTGCTCAGTGTTGAAGTCAAACACCACAAGTAAACAGATGAGGTCCTTGCTATTGGGAAGCTTGCATTCTTACAGGGTATGAAGACAGTAAATAAAGAGGCAAACGGGTAAGATAATACAACCATTTGCTTCTTTATTTAATGTCTTCATCCCCCACAAGAATCATGACATCCATATGATAGGATGAAGGAAAGTACTGATGGTTGGGCAAGCAGGTCGGCATTACTTCAGAGTGGGTGGTCAAGGAAGACTTCTCTTGCGAGGTGACATTTGAGCGGAGACCGACATGATAAGAAAAAGCAAGCCATAGGATGGCTAGGAATGAGCCTCCCATGGAGAAGGAAGCAAGTGAGAGGAATGAACTCCGTGTTCCAGGAGGAATGAGAAAGGCCAGCATGGCTGGAGCGATGGGGTCAAAGGGGAGCTTGCAGGAGCTGAGGTCAGAGAGGAAGGCAGGGCCTTTCTTTCCAAGAACCATCAGGAGAGACTAGTCTAGACCTGCGGTTCCTGGGGTTATCCCTGATATGAGTTTGGAGAGAACAGCCAATAAAACACAAGCATTCGGGCATCCTCAAAACTGGAAATTAAAGCTTCTCCGTGCTTCCTCCATACCTAATTATAACTCTTCCCGCATAGAAACCAAAAGATATGGTATCTGAGAACAGCTGATAAATTAAAAAACTGGCACGAACCATTATTTAGTTTAAAATAGAAAAATAAAACTCAAACCAGCACTGCAAGGCGGCAATTTATGGTGTTGGAAATGCCTTCGGAAGTCTTTTTAGCGTTCTGTGTTGAATGTTTATAGAAGGTGTAAAATTCTTATAATGCCAGTGTTTTATGAACAGTGCAGGTGGCAATTCCTTTTAGCTTGATCTCTGCTTTCGAGAAATGTGGATTTTCCTTCATTTATTCATATTGTTTCCAGTCCATCAAAAAGAGACAAGATGTAACAGGACAGTCCATTTGTACCATTCTTTTTGGAAATAATTGCCAGAAGCGCTTTACGGTTGTCAAAGCCCCACCGATGCGACTCCCTAGCGGTCCTCTGTGTTAAAAAGCACACGCTTCCCACTCATCTTTGTATTCCTCTCCCATTTCCACCACCGGGAGGATAATCAGGCTGGGAGAAGCAGCCCTTTAAAATTCAGTGCTATGCAAAGGGCAAGAAAAGGGGTGAAAATGATCTGTACAGAAGCCTCCAAAGAAAAGGGAGGCATGGACTCCCTCTGTTTAAGAAAGGGCTTTTTGAAAGTGTTAGGAAAACTCGGGTTCACCAGATATGCAGAACCATATGCATGCATTAATTAAAGGAATGTGAAGGAGGAGGAGGGGATCTGAGAAAATAACAAAGCTGCAGTGTATGCGTGCAATGATTTTTCATTCTGTTTCGCTTCAGCTCTGCCCCTGCAACAGAGGATCTAATCAATCTGCCGGCTATTAAGTTTGTTAATTGATAATGCATACTAATTAGGCTGTGCGCAGTTACTTAAGAGACTTTGCTAAGGTGATTGTAGGCACAAGTCCAAATGGAGTTTAAAGTATTCTGTGTGAGGTTAAAACCCATCAACCAGAATAGATGGATTTTATATTATAACAGAAGGCACAACATACCCATAAGTATTTAATGTATTGCACAGTTATCCATTATTACATATTTTAACACTACAAAATAATTAAAAATGTAAAAACAGCTACTAAAAACTATAACTAAATCACATTGGTGAGGTGTGAGGAAGTGTCAATGAGAGAGCGCTATTTTCTCATTGAGGTAAATGTTTAATTTTCTCATTTATATTTGGGAACAGTCAGGGTTAGCAGGGGAGGCGGCTTTGTGAGAAGCAGGACTTATGGAGCTATGTGGACGCCAGAGGCACTAAACCATCTCACGTATCAGATTGTGATGCCCACATTTCAAAGGTCAGCACTCCCGAGGCTGCCCAGTTGACCCATAGAAACACATTATCTAGGAGCTCAAGGTTGAAACATGTTTATCAACCATAAAATTAGCTGCGGGTGGTATGGTTGGTAACCTTCCTTGGGAGCAGTTACTTTGGGAATGAACTGAAGAGGACATCTGGGCATCCTGGAAATGTCTCTTGGGTAAATGTTCTCAAGGAGGATGGCTTATTCTTCTCTATATCTTAGGGAGTTAATTGATTCCAGTTTAGCCCCAAAGGATACGTGTAGGTTGGAGTAAACAGATCAGGTCAGGTTTCTCCAGGTCAGGGTGACGTCTCCTTCTGCTCTGATGAATTTCTTGGAAGTTCAGATGGGTCAAGGACATGCTAGTAGCTCATAAATCAAATCACAAGGCAAAACTTGAGGAGCTCACAATTCTCCATGAGGTCCTGGAATATTTTCTATTCTTCTGGAAGGTTTAGCGATTAGCTTCATGGACTCTTTATTTATTCATTCAGTGGATATATCTTGAGTAGTTTCGATGTCCCAGGGACTGTGTTCAGTACTGGGGATCCCACAATGAAGAAGACAGGCAGTGTCCCCTCCCCTACATAGTTTAGGGTCCAGTGCATCTAGCAGATGCTTCCAGAAGGAGCTCTCTAGGGATAAACATTTGTTTGTGTACCTCCCTTACTTAAAATTACTAATTTCTCCAGGATGAAGTCCAAGTATTTTACATGACCTATAAAGTTTTCCAGCCTTATCTCTTGATACTTCCCTCTTTCAACAAAACATTTTTTGAGAAATTTTTGTGTTCTAGGGACTGTACCAGGTGCTGGTATACATCAAAAAACTAAATAGATACAGTCCCTGGCTTCGAAGAGCTCACTATTGCACAGACTTGAGCCATATCCAGTACAAAATCTGTCTACAAGTTTGTGTTCAAAGTAGGTTGATCTCTGCAGGTTCTGGGTAGAACCATAAAGTGGTAGTTGGTGGTTATTATCACTAGACTGGTGTTACTATCAAATGAAATTATTGATTTAATGTTTTTAAATTTTTTGGGAAACAAATGGAGGAGTTGACATTCAGAAAAATTCCACTAGATTAATCTACAAACAAACATTTAAAAAGTAGGCATGGGAGAAAAGATCCAAGGAAGACTATTTAGCAACAGCAGAGGGAGGTGTGTTTTATTTCCATTCCTTAGACAAACTGAGAGTGCCCACAAACAGAAATTTGAAGCTAGCAGGAGGCAGTGGTGTAGCTAGTGTGGATTTAATTAACAAATGAATTGTGTTCCTATAGTGTGACCATTGAACCTGGAGCTGATCCATACTGCTTTGTTTTACCTATTTTGAGATGACTGAATTCAATGACTCTGTGTGGGGAAAACTAATCTCTGAATAGTATATTGAAAGCATCTAAGAGAAAAATAACTGGAGGCTATGCTTACAAGCCAAACATTCTTAATTTGGTCAGATAGAATAATGCAGGATTGGGGTGACTAAAGACACTTTGAGATGGAATAAGCCATTTCCAAGAGGAAATTATGCAAGTGAGAGTTTATCTGAATATACTGAACATATATTTTAAAAATAGCATATTCATGGTAGTATTGCATACATGCAATAATTAGTGTTTAACAATCAGAAAAGCATTTCTTGTGGGCATGTGCCAATGGCACAAGCATTTATTCTTATTGTAACAAAAGGTAAGATTAGATTTAAAAAATTAAAATAATGAGAAACTCCATATGCATTTTTTTTCCCTCCTTAAGGAGGAGTGACAGGGCACCCCTCCTTTTATTCTGACATATTGATGTGATCATTTGGTCAGTGAATAACTTTCTGAAAACTGAAAGGTTTTCAAAAATGGATTCAAGGTGAAGGAAACAAACGAAATAAATACTTAGCCCTAAGTTTTTATGACATTTATCCACCAAAAATGAAGTCTGCTATTTATAAGACTATAGAACTAAATGCTAACATCTGTTAAAGTCATTAAGGAACAGGCATTTTCTAGACTTTTCCTGTAATGATCAGCACATCTCTTGTGCCTTTATTTTCATTTGTATGTATAAACTGAGAAGATAATTATAATAGCATTTTTTTCATATAAAGATCATAAGATGTATTAATCAAGGTGAGTTAATTGCTGTAACAAATAGTCCTAAAATCTTAGTGGTGTAACACATCTATGGGTTTTGTTGTTTGTTTGTCTTTCTAGTTTACATCAGAGCTCAATAAGGGTAGACAGGGAGACTCTGCTCCACAGGGTTTTTCAGAGACCCAGGCTCCTTGCAGCTAGTGGCTCCATTTCAGAGTCCTCTGTTTGATCTTCATGTTGGGCTGACATACAAAGAAAACAGAGGGAAGGGAGGCCTAACGTATACATGGCTTCTGCCCACATTACATTGGGCAAAATTTATCACATGGCTGCACCTAACTCCAAGGGAAGCTGGGAATAATAGTCTAGCTGGGCACAGAGGAAGAAAAATAAATAGTCTGATGAACAGCTAGTCAGTCTTTCCTGTATAACCTTGGCCCAAACAATATCTCTAAGAGAAAGATTGGTGATAGGGTTTGGCTGTTACCCCAGCCAAAATCTCATCTTGAATTGTTATTCCCATTATCCCCATATTCCCTGTGTGATAAGAGAGAGACCAGATGGAGGTAATTGAATCATGGGGGTGGTTTCCCCCATGCAATTCTCATGATAGTGAGTTCTCATGAGATCTGATGGTTTTATAAGTGTTTGATAGTTCCTCCTGCATTCATTCGCCCTCCAACCACCTTGTAAAGAAGGTGCCTGGCTTCCCTTTTGCCATCCGACATGATTGTAAGTTTCCTGAGGCCTCCCCAGACATGTGGAACTATGTGTCAATTAAGCCTGTTTCCTTTCTAAATTACCCAGTCTCAGGCAGTTCTTTATAGCAGTGTGAGAATAGACTAATACAATTGGTGACCAAAGATAGTATCTTTTCCACACTTGGCTACATTGAGAGGGCAACCAAAGCTACATTGTTTGCCAGATATCCCTTAAGAGACATTTTATGAAGTGAAATCTGATCTGCCTAACAAGGTTTGCACAAAATAATACAATAAGAATTCCAGGGGAAATTTCATGTTGTTAAAGTGTAGTGTTAGGTCAACCCAGTTTCATCAGTTTCTGAGCCCAAGGGCCATGGGCATGGGGAGTCTTTCTGTCTGCACCTCCCTTGAATGCCCCTGACACACGCAGATCCTGCCCCTGCCCCACCACTTGAAGTGCTGTCACCCCATCCATACCTCATTTTTCTGAGCGTAGACAGCCACAGTTTAGAGTTTAAAGATGCAATTAAATAGGCCCCTGGTGACTACGAGACTGACAGATGCTAACTGGCCTATAAAGAGGTATGCAGTCTTTCACAGTCCTCTAACTAAGGGCTCTGATTGGTCACAAACCACAGGTTTATCCCTGTCAGTTGCTCCATAAGAAGTTCATAAAAAGAAGTCAATTTTATAAAGCAATTACATTCAAAGTTAATTATTTTTGTTGCCCAAAATTTCACCAGTAGAATTCCTTTAAGTGGTAAACTTCTCTAGTATAGTCAAAATATTAATATCTAAACATTTTAGATGGTACCAAAAAGTTGTATGGCTTTTCAGTAATATCTAATGTGTCATACTAATAGAAAAATAAATAGATACCAATTTAACCTATGATATGCTATCTTTTCTTGTTTTTGCAGCTATGATAAAGCTGTTTCCTTTTGTCTTTGAGACAGACTTGACTTAATCACAAGAGTAATTGTGGTGTCATTCTATTTCTTGCCATATTTTTGTAATTATTTTTCAGGTATCAAGTCTTTTTACAAGTTGGTACATTAGAAATCAAATTTTTTTATTTGAAAAGTGTATCTTTTAAGTGATAGTCCTTTACAAATTTGACCTTATTTATTCCCAAACTGAGCTATTGTAAATGGGCCAGAAAAATGAAGAAAAACTTTGGGTTGTCTGTCAAGTAATATGAAGATAAAAGAAAAATGATTGACTTTTAGACTGGGCATGGTGGCTCATGCCTGTAATTCTAGCACTTTGGGGAGCCAAGATGGGAGGATCACTTTTGCCCAGAAATTTGAGACCAGCCTAGGCAACATAGCGAGATCCCCTCTCTACAAAAAAAAAAAAAAAAGAAAAAGAAAGAAAAGAAAAGAAAAAAACAAGCTGGGTATGGTGGCATGCACCTGTGGTCTCAGCTAGTCAGGAGGCTGAGGTGGAAGGATCGCTTGAGCTCAGGAAGTCAAGGCTACAGTGAGCTGTGATCATGCCATTGTACTCCAGTCTGGGCAACACAGCAAGACCCCATCTGAAAAAAAAAAAAGGAAGGAAAGAAAAATATTGACTTTCAGCTTGTTTCTACTGTGTCAATTAAATTATGGTAATTTTAAATTTTAAAAATGAATCTGAATGAATCTCTTTTATGATGTATCTAACATTAATTCAAATTATTCCAAAATGATGCATATTGTTTAGTACATTGAAAGGAGCAGAAAATTACTTAATAATTCAGTATATCTGATTGGAGACTGGCAGTGTGTCTGAATTTCACTTGGCTGCAGGTCACAGAAGCCTGACATTAAACAAGTAAAGGTTTGTTTGATTTTCGAAGAAGAGAAAAGATGGTGAAAAGCCAGTCTCCCTTTCTTTCTTTTTTGAGATGGAGTCTCATCCTGTGGCCCAAGCTGGAGTGGGAGTGCAGTGGTGCAATCTCGGCTCACTGCAACTTCCACCTCCCAGATTCAAGTGATTCTCCTGCTTCAGCCTCCCGAGCAGCTGGGATTACAGGCGCATGCCACCATGCCCAGCTAATTTTTGTAGTTTTGAGTAGAGATGGGGTTTCACCATGTTGGCCAGGCTGGTCTTGAACTCCTGACCTCAAGTGATCTGCCTGCCTTGGCCTCCCAAAGTGCTGGGATTACAGGCATGAGCCACCGCCTCCAGCCCAGTCTCCCTCTCAAAAGTGTCCTCAGAAGTCTCGCTCAGAAGCCTCGTTCCTATCTCCTTGTTGGAGATGTTTTGCTTGTCTCTCCAGGCCGACTCCTACTCTCCCGCATCCTGCTCTGTGCCGGTGGAGGCTGACCTGTGTGGCTGCTCCAGTGGATTCCTTTGCCATCCCACTTCCACAGGAAGCTGCAGCATCATTTGCTTTGTGAGATCAATGAGAGGATGGGAAGACGTGAAGGTGGAAGGAGAGTGAAGTTGAGCAATTTACCTCCGTAGCTCTTCCCTGCTGACTCATTAAAGTCTGATTACATCCCTCTCGTAAGGCCTCAGACCTCATCAGTGAGCCAACAGTTGCTCATGATAGGGACTGGACTGGGGCTGGGGAGGCCTGGGAAAGAGTTCGCCCTACAGATGACAGCCTCACAGCCAGCTTGCTCTTGAACCTGAAAGGAGCGAAGGTATCTGCTGCTCTGTGAAAGTAAGCATTGGACCTGCTTACCATCAACCCAGCCCCAGGCTTCCACTTTGGGATATAGTCTGCCAACAGTTCTGAGGGAATCAGAAGTCTGCAATTCTGGTCAAAAATGTACTTCACAATACAATCAGACAGCAAGAGCTTGGGATTTTCTACACCAACCAATTATCCAACTCTCCAGATACTAACTGGGTGTCTGACAATTCACTTCTGACACTACCTGGAGTTAGTGGGGACTCCACAGGTAGAGGGCTCTGTCTCACAAGACTGCCACCACTTCAGGGGTCAATCACAAGCAGTGGGTCCCCCGGTTGCTCATACTTCTGTCCAACTTGGCTACAAATTAGAGGTTCCCATGATCCCCTCCTCAGGTTTGATAATTTCCTATAACAGCTCAGGGAACTCAGAGAAACACTTATATTTACTGGTTTATTATTCTAAGAGATATAAGAAAGGATACAAACAAACAGCCAGATGAAGAGGAACATAGGATGAGGT
Organism: Homo sapiens; assembly: GCF_000001405.40. Taxonomy (NCBI): domain Eukaryota; kingdom Metazoa; phylum Chordata; class Mammalia; order Primates; family Hominidae; genus Homo; species Homo sapiens. Next base: position 77,906,313 of record NC_000005.10, on the reverse strand, counting down.
CTGGAAGGATCCCAACCACAGGAGTGTCTGTTCCTGTGGAGTTGAGTTATGCTACCCTCCTGGCATGTGAATGCCTTCACCAACCTGGAAGCTCCCCAAATGCCACCTTTTAGGGATTTTAATGGCGGCTTCATCACATAGGCATGATCGATTATCAACTCAGTCTCTAGCCTCTCTCCCCTTCCCTGAGGATGGGGAATGCAGCTGTAAGTTTCAAGCTTCTAATCATGGTTTGGATTTTCTAGTGACCAGTCTCCATCCCGAAGCTTTCCAGGAGCCCACCAAGAGTTACTTCATTCGACAAAAGGCACTCCTATCACCCAGGAAATTCCAAGGGATGTAGGAGCTCAAAGACCAAAATGTCAAAGACCAAATATTAGAATAAAAAATGCTCCTAATATCCATGTTACTTAGGAAAAAACATGGCTTTGGGAGCTCTCTGCCGGGAACCAGGGGCTGAGATCAAACATATATTGTTTATAATGTCACACTGCCCCAGTGGAGTCTCCCCTTGACTCTCAAAACCATCATCTCCCATAAACCTAGAAAGAGGAAGATTGTAATGATAGTATTTCTTTTTAAGACCAAGTAGAAATCAACCTTCAGAAACAACATCTCACCTAAAATTTCTGAGGGAGGCTGTGATAATGTCAGTCCCCACCCGCAGCTTCTGCTTTGCCTGCTGCAATAAGGGAGGGAAGGAATTCACTGTACAATAACCTGCCTGTTCCCCATCCTTTACCATCCTAAAATATACAGGGGTTTTCACCGCAGCGTTGATTTGAAAGAGCTTTTCAGATATGAGTCCCAGCTATCCCCATTTTAAGTTTGAAGAAAGCGGCCCAAATTCTACCCTTTTTTCGTATGGCCACACAGCTTACATTTTATCAAGACTTTATGCAGGAGTGGCCCATTAGTCAGATCTCTTTTAAATGACAGAAAATCCATTTTCTCCTGCTACATAAACCTAGATTTTTGCCCAGCTTGCATTTCCTTTAAGGTAGGCAGCAGCAGCGAAAAACAACCTACAAGAAGAAGAACAGAAGATGATAGCTCCACGGTCACTGGTGTCTACTACACAGGGAAAAGCCATCTAGACAGAGGTGGGCTTACCATGAGGCTACCAAGGCTTACTCTGCACTAAGCTGCAGCTGTTGGAGCCCCAACAATTTTAAATTTATAATTTCGTACTCTTTTTCTAAAGGAGAGACTTCCAAATTGTATGAGCTTAAGGACCCACCAAACTTGGATCTTCCTTTGAACATAGACATTGTCAAAATACATAAAGCCTGAATCCATTTCATAATAACTGAACTATGGACACTGGGCCAAGCTCTAGAAGAAATCCTAGGCTGCCCTCAACCTGGGGTTAGGAGCAGTCAGACTGACTTGGGGTTTGGAAATCAGAACAAGTGATTTCAGCTATATTTAATAACCAATTATTTTGTTGCAGGCTTTTTAAAAGGTGCCAAAATAAAATTTACGAAGATTAAATTCTAGGTTTTTCTGCAAAATGGGTTAGTGCTGAGCACATTTAGGCACTCAGTGTTACCTTAGAACCAGAATATGTTACAGACTGTCTCAGTTTCCACTCCCATTTGGTTATGAACTCTGAGCCAAAAAGCCCAAGAAGAACCTTAATCAGATCACACATCAGCTTAGAATAGTGATTTAGACATCTGGGTATTTGCAACTGGATAAAGGCCACCAACTCACTTGTCAAAAGCCACTGAACATCTGTTGGTATGGAAATAGCTCTCCTAGCTGACCTGGAATCAGATTTCAACAGCCGACCTTACAATGAAAGGGCATCTCTTCTCCTATTATCCAGATACGTTGGTGCATCCAGAAATATACTATCAAGTAATCATGCTTTCTAAAATATATTTATTTGATACAAGTGCGCACAGTGTTAATGCATTTTCTCTTTCACCTGTACTTGTCTGCCTTGCTATAAGACATGTACAAGGATGATATAAAAAATATTGAACTCAGGCACTGAAGCAGAGTGCTGGAGAGAGTCTGTGTGGAGTTCTTGGGAAGGGGCTTTAGGGAAGGAAGGAGGGGATACGTGGAGGTGGGAGACACTCTTGGAGTTTAGGACAACTACTGTTTAACAAATATGGAGGTATTTCAATACTTTAACAGTATGGCAGCATCTATGTGAGCCTGCTGAACCAGACTTGGACATAGATAGAGGGCAGCTTGAGCTATAGCCTGGCTCAAACAGGAAAGTACGTAGCGGACAGTTTCAGAGTCTATGAGGCAGTGTCATTAGTTGGTGTGAAAGCAACATTTATTAAACTCCTTCTGTGTGTGAACATCACATGCTGTGCTGCACACAGAGCCAGGCAAGAGGTGGCCTTGTTCTGGGGCCTGTACTTTAGAGGGCCCTACAGTCACACACACATGCGTGTGAACAAACACACTAATTTAAGGAACACTTGGGATCTGGTGCTCAGTGCTGACATAGGGCACCCGAACCCCTAAATATCAGCTCATGTGACTTACACCTTTTTGGCCCCAGGACATACTTTACTTTTCTTATCTTTTCTTTTTTTTTTTGGCAGGGTCTTGCTCTTTCACTCAGGCTGGAGTGCAGTGGAGCCATCTTGGCTGGCTGCAGCCTCAACTTCCTGGGCTCAAGTGATCCTCCCATCATAGCCTCCCAAAGTGCTGGGATTACAGGCATGCAACACCATGCCTGGCAATTTTTTTTTTTTTGGTAAATTTGTAGAGATGGAGTTTGACCATGTTACCCAGACTGGTCTTGAACTCCAGGTCTCAAGCGATCCACCCACCTCGGGCTCCCAAATTGCTAGGATTATAGGCATGAGCCACCATGCCCAGCCCAAGACACATTTTTCTATATGGTTTGCCCTATGTCCTCAAAACAAAAGGTGACTGCACCCCAGTGCTGAGAAAACTTGTGGGTTGTGCCGCTACTAGATTCAGAGATGGACTCTGCTTTTGAGTGCAGAGGAATTTAAGTGGCTGAAGCGCTTAGGTAAGAGAAAAGACAAATTAATTAACTTGTCAAATCCTTCCTGTCAGCATGAATGCAATAGACTCTTGTATTATGAAGTCTTGTTTCCAGCAGTGCTAAGCATCCACTTTCTTACTTCTCTTCATGTTCCAGTTGAGTTCCGAGCCCTGGTTCACAAGGTACTGCACATGGTAGCTTAGAACGTTTTGCAATATTAAATAGTTTATATTACTCTTTAATTTATACATATAGATACAAGCACATACATACATACAGATATTTGTCTAGACATATATGTAGAAGCGTGACATCTGTTCTTTAAATTGGCAACCAAATGGAGGTTGAATTCTATAACTGGAAATAGTTTTATCTTTATAAAATACTCAGTAACATTTAATTAAAATTTCAAAATATTAAAGTTTTCTGACTGGGAATGGTGGCTCATGTCTGTAATCTTAGCACTTTGGGAGGCCAAGGTGGGAGGAACACTTGAAGCTAGGAGTTTGAGGCCAGACATATAGTGGAATCCCATCTCTACAAAAAAAACTAAAAATTAGCTAGGCATGGTGGCACACACCTGTAGTCTCAGCTACTCAAGAGGCTGAGGTGGGAGATCGCTTGAGCCTGGGCAGTCAAGGCTTCAGTAACCCATGATTTTGCTGCTGCACTCCGGCTTGGGTGACAGAGTGAGATCCTGTCTCAAACAAAAAGAAAAAGAACAACCACCAAATTTTCAGCATTGCTTAAGTAAAGAGGCTAACATTTTTTATATTTACTAATTATAATTTTCAGTCTGCCTTTTAAGTTTAACAAATAATTCTGAGTATTTTCGAAGAAAAATAATTTTTAGAAAAAATATATAAAAATAATATTTTAATATTTAATTTGTTATAAAAATATATTAGACTTTCCATACTATATACTTTCTACTTTTTATTCATTTAGGTCACTGCCATTAATAGAATATAAATTATGTTAAAATGTTTATTACAACATCTTTAATAATTTTGTTGTAATAAAAAAGAAATTTTATTGGCTAAGTTTTACATTTTAATGAATTACGTATGTTTTTATTTTGTTACCCATTCAAATTTTACCAACCCAACAATGGAACACTCCCACATGCACAAAAATCAAAGACAATCATTCGGTTGTCTTTTGTATTTGATATAACTTTAAGTCATATATATAAAAAACAAGGCTTTTTACATATTTTTCCATTTTGTCATTACGGAATATTTGTCAAGGTAGAAAAGATCCTATTTTATTTACTAGTTTGTTAGTTTCACTTATAACTTTCAAATATGTAAACCTATGGTGTATGGGCCTCCAATTGCACTCTTCCCGCAGGCCTTGCAAATGATAATCACGGCTCCAGTCATAAGGTTTTAAGAACTGTACAAAGATGCAAAAAACCAGTCCCTGAAGTGTGATGAAATTTTGAGGAGTTGTCAATAGCAAGCATTTGGCTTCTGTTTCCCTATATTTTCTTCATGCTTGATCATGAACAAATCTGACTTTTCTCTGTCTGGCTTCCCTCTCTGCCATATCAGATGCCCCCTCAGCCATGGAAGAACAGGATGGCAAACATCAAATGGCACGAGAGCTTCCAGCAGCAGTTGAAATGCAAGTCCACAAGTGCAAGCAAAGTTTTGCCCTTTTTGTCAAAAATGGACTATAATTTGGAGAACGAATTTGAAATACATCATAACCAAGCTGTTCTAAAGACTGATTTTAATATTTTATGTAATATCACATATGTTTTTGAAATCAGTAAAGACACCTGGAATCATAACGCTTTTTCAGTGGTAAATGTCATATTACGTTTTTAGGGCATTACGTCAATTTCGTATTTCACGTATTATTAATAATGCCTCATTACATAAAATTATTACTAAACTGGCAATTAAGTGGATGTGAAGGATCCATATGCTAAACTGCTCATAACATTTCAATTATGAACTTCACATCAGATGTCTTCTAGTGTACATTAACAACATTCATGAACAACCTCTCTGCCAGAACCACCCAAATGAACTCTGCTTTGTAGCATGTGATAGAGGCATAAAGTCATTTTGCACATTTTCCTGAATTTAAGAAAATTAGAAATGGAGGCAGCAGAGGAAGCCGCTAGTCCTCTCTCTCGGTAGTAGTAAAGCATTTGCTAATGCTGGAATTTGCTCTCACTTGAATATATAAAGCCTTGGAGGTGACATTTATGCTTCTTGGTTGACCAAAGAGTTATTTTCTTGTTCTTTGATTTGCATTTTCTCCTCCAAATAAACAAGCAGACAAACAACAGTGCTTCCATTGTTTCTAGATGTATGTTCTATGCTCACTTTTGTCCCTAACGGACTCAATCTCCTGGTTGTTTATGAATCTGAGTGGTGTAACAATAGAGTGTCTCTGCCTGGGGGCTGTCCTTGAACACAAAACCCAACGATGCCTTAAAGAAGGGTTTGGTGCACATCACCCCACAGTGTGACTATCCTGGATTCAGTCCCTCCCTTTGTTCTCCTGCAACAGTGGATAATAAAGGCCTCAATCAGAGTCTGATTCCAGGGCCTCTTCCGAGAATTGGAGGTGGGTGACTCTAGCTATTAGCACAGTGGTCAGGGATTTGCCCTCTGATTTCCTTAGCACGCCCTGCTGATGTGAAGTTTCATAAGGCAAATACACCTTAGTCTCCGCTGTCCTCACAGAACACTGCCCAGTAGTATAATGAGTAAGATCAGCCAGCTCCTAAACCACACCTTCCAAGGATATGCGGCATCTTTTTTTTTTTCTTTTTTTTTCTTTTTTGAAATGAAGTTTCTCTCTTTCGCCCAGGCTGGAGTGAAGTGGCACAATCTTGGCTCACTGCAAACTCTGCCCCCCAAGTTCAAGCGAGTCTCATGCCTCAGCCTCCCGAGTAGCTGGGATTATAGGTGCCTTGCCACCATGCCTGGCTAACTTTTGTATTTTTAGTAGAGACAGGGTTTCACCATGTTGGCCAGGCTGGTCTAGAACTCCTGATCTCAGGTGATTCGCCTGCCTCAAACTCAGCCTCCCAAAGTGCTAGGATGACAGGCGTGAGCCACTGCACCCAGCCGATATGCAGCATCTTATTGGTGGCTCCATGATTCAATGTTTGGACCCCCACCCTAGCTCAAATGAAAATGATCAGATTCTAAGCTAGATAAATATTTTAGCAGAATATTGATGTATTAACTCACAACTAGAGGGCTGGGTGTGGTGGCTCATGCCTGTAATCCCAGCAATTTGGGAGGCTGAGGTGGGCGGATCACTTGAGGTCAGGAGTTTGAGGCCAGCCTGGCCAACATAGAGAAACCCTGTCTCTACTAAAAGTACAAAAATCAGCCAGGCGTGGTGGCACACGCCTGTAGTCTCAGCTGCTTGGGAGGCTGAGGAAGAAGAATTGCTTGAACCTAGGAGGCAGAGGTTGCAGTGAGCCAAGATTGCACCACTGCACTCCAGCCTGGGTGACAGAGCGAGACTCTGTCTCAAAACAAACAAACAAAAATTTACAGCTAGCATTTCACTTGTCTTGGAAACTAGACTATTTAGTCTCTTCTGTTCACAGCATACCTTTCTTAGTTTCTGAGAACTAGGGAAGTTTAATCAATAGTCAAAAGGTTGCATTTAATTTGACAAACATTTATTGAGACTCAATAAAGTACTAAGCACCAAAGATGCAAATATGATAAAATACATTTTCCGCCCTGGAAGGATTCATAGTCTAGAAAGAGTGGTGCTGAGTTTCCATATTGTGTATTCAAGAAAAAATAAAGGCAAAGACCGTTGAGGTGTGGTCGTTTCTGATGGGATGAAGATGGAAGCTGAAAATTGATTGGGAAAGGGTTGATCAAGAAGATCTGAGTTGAGGCCGTGAAGAATAAGTGGCTGTTTGCCTGGTGAAGACAGAGGGAATAACATGCAAAGGCAAGAGGGACAAGAAACAGCAGAACACATGCAGACAGTTCAGAATGGCGGGAGCATAGGGAATAAAGGATACAGCAACAGAAATGAGGCTGGACAGCTGGCTCGGGGTGCCTGCACAGAGTACCGTGTGAGCCTTGCTAAGGAAAGGACATTTGTCCTTAAATGTTAAGGTCTATGCAAGATTGTGTTATCGGCCCCAATTTTTCACTCCTCTGTGCAGCCATACCCTTTGCTATGTGACTTTGTAGTTTTTACCACTAAATAAATGGAATATGTTGCCCTATTTCTTGACTTTGGGGTTTGGGTTTTTTGTTTGTTTGTTTGTTTTTTTGAGACAGGGTCTCGCTCTGTCACCCAGGCTGGAGTGCAGTGGTGTGATCATGGTTCACTGCAACCTCCGCCTCCTGGGTTCAAGCAATCCTCCCACATCAGCCTCCGGAGTAGCTGGGACTACAGGTGCACACCACCTTCCCTGGCTGATTATTGTATTTTTTGTAGAGATGGGGTTTTGCCATGCTGTCCAGGCTGGTCTCGAACTCTTGGCCTCAAGTGATCCACCTGTCTCGGCATCCCAAAGTGCTGGGATTACAGGTGTGAGCGACTGTGGCCAACAGGCCTGTGACTAGCTTTGGCCAATACAATGAGGTGTAGGTGTTGGTGTACCTGCTCCAAGCCTAGGTCTTAAGAGGCCTTGTATATTTCCATTTCCCTAGTTACATGTGTGCCATCACCACTAGAGGAGCATGCCCAGGCTAGCAGGATAACAGCACTGTGGACAAGAACCAACTCACCCCCGCCAAGACCAGTCTAGGTCAGCTCAGCTGACCACTCAGATTCATAGGCCAAATCAATGCTTATTGTTGCACGCACTTGAGATTTGTGTGGTCTTTTGTTCTGCAGCATTTTTATGGATTTGGCTAATGAATATAGGCCATTAAAGGGCCACAAATGGGTATAACATGCTCCAATTTTTGTTTTACAATGTGTATTTTATCTGAATGTGATGGGTAGGCTAAAAAGAAGCGAAAATGGAGGCTGGGAAAACAGTGTCACTATTGTAATAATCCAAGGAGAAATATCAGGAACTTAAACTAGGCCCTTTGGCCATGGATAGAGAGGTGAGGGGAGGAATTAAGATTTTTTCCCCTTAAAATAGTTATAATTCTGAAATATTTCAAACATACAGGAAAATTCACATAATAGCATAACTAACACCCATGTGACTATAACCAAGAATTAACGTGTCAAAATGTTTCCACTTTTTAAAAAGAGATGTAGCCTTATCCCCAACTCTTACTCCTCTCCTTCCTCCTTAAAGGCCATCACTGTCCTGAGGTTGAGTGTATTATTTCCATGCATGATTTCTATTTTTATTTTTTATTTTATTATTATTTTCTTTGAGATGGAGTCTCACTCTGTCACTCAGGCTGGGGTGCAGTAGTGCAATCTCGGCTCACTGCAACCTCCGCTTCCTGGGTTCAAGTGATTCTCCTGCCTCAGCCTCCCGTGTAGCTGGGATTATAGGCTCACGCCACCACGCCCAGCTAATTTTTGTATTTTTAGTAGAGACAGGATTTCACCATGTTGGCCAGGCTGGTCTTGAACTCCTGACCTCAAGTGATACTCCCGTCTCAGCCTCCCAAAGTGATTACAGGCATGAACCACTGCACCTGGCCTCCATACATGATTTTTAGTTTTTACACACACGTATGTATCCATAAACAAAATACAATACTCTTCCATATATTTAGAATTTTACATATCATCCCATGTATCCTTTTGTAACTTGCTTTCTTTGTATTATGTTTTTGAGATTTATCCATGTTGATATACGTAGGTCTAATGCATAGAGGAATTTAGAGATAATAAAAAAGTAAAACTCAACAATGTAAAATGCAAGAGAGAAGAAAAAATCTCAGATAACCACCATATTTCTGGCTAGGATGAACACGTAAATTACAGACAAAGATGAGGCATATAATAGAAGGAGTAGGTTTGAAATGAGGAGGCCTGCAAGATATTGAGCTCAATCTGAGTGTGAAGGTGTGCTTGCTTCTTGGGGCCATACTGATGGAACATGCTTTGTGGGCAATTGCATTTGAGGAGTGCTCAGGAGCATGATCTCTCTGGAGACAGAGCCTTACCCTTTTACCATAGTGAAGCAGTTACAACTATAAAAGTTGATGAGAGTAACCTAGGAAATGCAAGCTGGGTGAGAAGAAAAGAAGACCAAAGGCAGGACTCCCTGCCACATATACCAACAGTTGAGGGCAAACAGAGGGCCAACAGATAGGGCTTTCCTTACATCTTCGCAGGGAATATTCTCTCCTTTAGATTTAAAACAACAGCCATAGCAATTGGCCATAAGATATTCAAAGGCAATCTCACCTTGCTCTAAATAATAATAATAACACAGATATTTAAAGGAAAAAATCTTGAATTTTCTTTTCTTTTTTCTTTTTCTTTTTTTTTTTTTTTTTTGAGATGGAGTTTCACTCTTGTTGCCCAGGCTGGAGTGCAATGGGGCGAGCTTGGCTCACTGCACCTCTGCCTCCCAGGTTCAAGCCATTCTCCTGCCTCAGCCTCCGAAGTAGCTGGGATTACAGGCACCTACCACCATGCCCAGCTAACTTTGTATTTTTAGTAGAGATGGGGTTTCACCATGTTGGCCAGGCTGGTCTCAAACTTCTGATCTCTGGTGATCCACCCACCTTGGCCTCCCAAAGTGGGATTACAGGCGTGAGTCACTGTGCCTGGCCAAATCTTGAATTTTCTAATGAAAGAAGTGATGCTTGCTTATCGGTAAATAAATTAGTGAGAGACAGTTGACTATTTAGATGTCAGAAACAGCATCTGTTTCTCTTCCACTTGGAGGGCCTCAGGGGCAAGTTGGAGATATGGAATATAGACCCAATTGTCTTACATTTTCCAAACACGTTGCTGCCCATTTTAACTTACATGTACAGTTTCCCCCCAGATAAAAAAGAACAATCTACATTCTACCAGAGAATATTTGAAAAGGCTTCAGCTGTCAAATGCTGACCATACACATAAAAAAATCAGATGGTTGAGCCAGATCCTATGGGCTGATGGCTGACGTTAGGCACACTACTCCTTGGATCACACATTCCCATCAGGAAAACATTTTTGAGCTTGTATCCCCATATTCACATGTATCAGTGATATCTTGGTACTATGAAGCTAATAAATCATATACGTTATAAAACATACTCTGAGATGTGTGTGTGTGTGTGTGTGTGTGTGTGTGTGTGTGTATAATTTATTTATTTTATTTATTTATTTTTTTGAGACAGAGTTTCACTCTGCCACACCCTGGCCGGAGTGCAGTGGCATGATCTCGGCTCACTGCAACCTCTGCCTCCCGGATTCAAGCGATTCTCCTGCCTTAGCCTTCAAGTAGCTGGGACTACAAGCCCCCACCACCATGCCCGACTTTGTTCTTAATAGAGATGGGGTTTCACCATGTTGACCACGCTGGTCTCGAACTTCTGACCTCAGGTGATCTACCTGCCTTGGCCTCCCAAGGTGCTGGGATTATGGGCCTGAGCAACTGCACCCGGCCTAAAATATCTGAGATATTTTAAATACAAAGGATATGCAATAAATAGAAACAGGCATTCTACTATTTCTCTCCCACTCTCCAACAGATTGTCTTATTTATCCTTGGGAGTGTCTGCCTCACTTTTGAATTCCCCAAATAAAAGAGATTATTTGACTACTCCTTCACATGGGAAAAGATGTTTTACATTGCTATGATTCTGAAAATGATGTTGGTTACCCTTTTTTTTATTTTTTTGAGACAGAGTCTCACTCTGTTGCCCAGGCTGGAGTGCAGTGGTGCAATCTCGGCTCACTGCAACCTCCACCTCCTGGGCTGAAGTGGTCCTTCTACCTCAGCCTCCTGAGTAGCTGGGACCACAGGCATGGGCCACTATGCCCAGGTAATTTTTGTATTTTTTGTAGAGGCGAGGTTTCATCCAGGCTGGTCTCAAACTCCTGAGCTCAAGCGATCCACCCACCTCGGCCTCTCAAAGTGCTGGGATTATAGGCGTGAACCACTGTGCCCAGCTGGTTACTCTTTTTCAAAGATATTTATCACACATGAAAATGCAGAGTTAGAAATAATTAAGGTTTAATTTAAAAATTACCTGTGCCACGTGAAGTGGAAATTAGAAACTCATTTTTTTCTGCAAGTTTACCCCAACATCCCTAACCCATAGAATGACTAGTTTATTCTTAATCTGTATAATTTTGTCATTTTGAGAATGTTATATGCAGGGAATCATACATACGGTATTCGTACAGCAAATTCATACAATAACAGTGACTTTCAAGATTGACTTTTTTCACTCAGTATAATGTCCTTGAGATTCATCTGAGTTGTGTCATGTATAAATAGTTGGTTCTTTTTTTTATTACGGAGTAGTATTCCATGGTAGGGGTGTACCACAGTCTGTTTAATCATTCACCTATTATAGGACATTTCAGTTGTTTCCTGCTTTTGGCTATTACAAGTAAAGCTGCTGTGAACAATTGTATACAGGTTGTTGTGTGGACATCAGTTTTTATTTATTTGGGATAAATGCTCAATGTACAATTATTGAGTAATATGGTAAGTACATAATTTTTTTAGAAACTGCCAAACTTACATTTCCACCAGCAATGTTACAAGATACCCAGAAGAAACTCAGTTTTAACTGGATTACGTATCTAGAGGGAGCTGACTTTTCTGTAGGAGCAGACTGCCTCTCTCCTTGCTTTGTAACTTCTAATCAACAACTGTGGAGTTTGGAAAAACTCTAAAATGAGCAACAATGAGTTTGAGTAAGACACTTTCTTCTTAAATAATGATTTTTATCGTACCTGTATCCTCTCCACATTGCCTGTTAATGAGTCTGATTCTTTCAAATCATAGTGTATATTTTTTCTGTCAAAGAAAACAGCCCTATCTACTTGAAATACAGGTGGTTTTTCTTTGAACTTAACATTGATCGAAGTGCACAATGTCCTATTTGTCCTATTCTTAATGCTAATTAGATTCCCTAAATCTAATCTCATGATGCCAGTATATTGGTCATGAGACTGTGAATGTTATCTATTCCTCTCTCCAGGCTGGAGTGCAGTCGTGCGATCTTGGCTCACTGCAACCTCCGCCTCCCGGGCTCAAGTGATTCCTCTGCCTCAGCCTCCTGAGTAGCTGGGACTACAGGCCTGTGCCACCATGCCTGGCTAATTTTTGTATTTTTAGTAGAGACAGGGTTTCACCATGTTGGGCAGGCTGGTCTTGAACTCCTGACCTCAGGTGATCTGCCTGCCTTGGTCTCCCAAAGTGCTGGGATTACAGGCATGAGCCACCATGCCCAGCCCATTTTTATTCCTTTGAATCAAATTTATTTAAACAACTGAAGTCTGGAAATTAAATTTGACACTCCTCAGGAAACAAACTTCAAGTGACAAGGACTCACTGCAGTGAAAGCAAGAGCCCACAGACGCTCATTCTCCTAAATTTGATTGGAGTGAAAAGTTGCAGTGCTTTTCCATCTTCCCAGAAGTGAGTAGGATGCATGCAGATTTCTTCTCAGCCCCAATTCCTGCAAAAAGTCATTACTGCTCTCCAACAGTCTTAGTGGGCTTATTCATAAGCCTGAGTCACGTATGACTCAGCAGAGCCTACTGCCAAAAGGCCTGTCCTCTGAATGGAGAAGAACCCTCAGGGCCAGCCCACCAAGAACCAAAGCACTCATATCCAGGAAGGGTCACTGTGGACAGAGACTTACTAGAATAGAGGCCCCTTGTCATCAGGGAGATTCTAAAGCCCAGAGTGGAAAATTTCAGTTGGGCTCAGAAGCCCTGGCCACCTTGGCCTCTCTTCCTTTTCTCCTGACCTGTGGCCAGGGATTGGTGGTCTGGGGGTAGAGCCTACAGAGGGTCAGGAGGCTGACATGTTTTGAGCCTGTATGGTTAGGTAGGTCAGCCTGAAGCAATAAATAGACCCAAACATATAGTTGCTCAGCACAATGGAAGTTTATTTCTTGCTCACCTCACATTATAGCAGAATTGAAAAATCATGTAGACAAACAGAAACGTGGCTGGGAGGCAGGGCTCTGCTCCAGACAGTCACCCTGGCACTCAGGCTGACGGTGACCTTTAAAATCTGTCTTCCAGGAGAACACTTGGAGGAGGGCAGAATAGGGGAGGCATTTCCATCTCAGTTAGACAGAAAGGGGGAAAGAGTGTGGACGAGTATGTCCAGGAGGACTTTATGAGCCCAAGCAAGATGTGGTACACATCACTCGTGCTCACATTCTACCGGGAAAATCTAGTTTCATGTCATCTTATTTCCCTCCAACTACAAGGAAATCTGGGAGACAGGGCCTACTAGTGTGGCCAAAGAAGGGAAGATTTCTGGTGGCCAGAAGTGACCAGTCATGCAGCAGTCTCCACCACAGAGCCCTTAGCACTCAGCTGGTGTCTGTAAGGGCTTCTGATAAAGTGGGAAGGGGATGCGAGGGCCTGAGCACAGTGAATCCGCAGCCAAGGGGAGGGTGTGTTTTCAGAGCTCAGACTCTGCCATGTCCTTCACATAAGGTGTGAGAGAGGTAAGCAGCGGCCTCACTAGGCTGACTCTGTCTGCAGACAGAATCGCTGCTCTCTGGAAAGAAATTTCCTATCCCTGGGAAGCTAGGTAATTTTTCTATGAGAACAGAGGATCAATGGCAAAAACGAGTTCCAGGGAGATTGTAGAGCATTTGTTCATTCTGTGTGACTGCAGGAGTGGGTGATGGGAAGTCAGTTTAGTTGTACAAACAAAGGAAAATGAAACAGAGTCATGTCTGTCTTCAAAGGAGCCCAAGCACCTAACTTTCCAAAAGTGTAGGATGCCCTTGAAGTAAGTTCTTGCTGACAGATCACAGAAGCCGGGCAGGGGAAGGCTCTGATTGCTCCAACATCAGGATAGGAACAATTGCATAGGTGCTCTCCTTTATTACAGCCCCACCCCCTGTAAAGATAAAGAGCTGATGCAGAACCAGCGTGTGCAGATTCCCTTCCCCTCTGCCCTTGGCCCAAGGGCAACCGCACAAAATGGGATTAATTGGGATTATGGGGGCTTTGGCTGCTTGGCTGCTACTCAAGGATGAATGCTTAATTTATGTCTCAGTGGTCTTGACTCCTGTCTGATTAAACTGGCTCACTCAGGCCATTGTTTGCCAAGGACTTTCCTTTCAAAGGAGTGGCTACAGGTGGTGCTTTTATGTGACAGCTTTTTAGCTTTGACGCGGTACGTGGCTTTAGTGGATTGCGGCAATGCCACCTTTCTCTCAGAAATAACTAAAAGCACCAACAAATTCAACGGCTTCTCCTTCCATCTTTCAGGGCTTTTCTTGTGACTATCGAAGGGTCAACAGGTGTGATTCTTCACAAATATATAGAAGGGTTGTGGAATTATTACTGGACAAGAGAATAGAGCATTTATTTGGAAAACATTCATCAAGCACAGAAGTTAAGATTCAGAAATGCCTCCCCTCCTCTTAGCAACCCACTCCTCTGAATCAAAAGGTGCCCCTTGGCAGGCCTGAGGCTGATAGTGCCCTGGAACTGATAGAGACAGGGACCCTCCTCCAGCTCCCCTGTGCTGTTCCTGCCAGGGCGCTTAGGATCCTCTCCTGTGTTAGACCAGAAGCTTCGTCTCTAAAGTTTGCTACAGCCTGGGCTAAGCTCTGTTGTTATTTGCAGTGATGGGGAATGATGAGCAGCTTCTCTTCTATTGGGATTTAAACAGAGACTGTCCACAAACCTAAACTGGCTTGATGGTTTTAGCCCATTTGATTGTTAACTTGATTTACAAATACTGCTGGGCGTGGTGGCTCACGCCTGTAATCCCAGCACTTTGGGAGGCCGAGGCAGGCGGATCACGAGGTCAGGAGATCGAGACCATCCTGGCTAACATGGTGAAACCCTGTCTCTACTAAAAGTACAAAAAATTAGCCGGGCATGGTGGCGGGCACCCGTAATCCCAGCTACTTGGGAGGCTGAGGCAGGAGAATGGCGTGAACCTGGGAGGCGGAGCTTGCAGTGAGCAGAGATCGTGCCACTGCACTCCAGCCTGGGCCACTGAGCGAGACTCCGTCTCAAAAAAAAAAAACAAAACAAAAAAACAAAACAAAAAAAACCAAACAAATATATTAAGCAGTTTTTTGGCTGACTTGATATTTCCTTATTGACTTGACCTTTGAGGTCAGTCAAAAGAGCCAAATTGATTTGGGTACATCTTCCCTGCAGTGTAAAGATTCTCATCTTTTTTCCAGCAGCCATATACACATCTTCATCGGCAAATAAGCTCTTAGACTGCATAAACGGAGTAAAGTTTTCTGTCTAAAAGGGACGTGTTTTGAGAAATTGTTGCCTATGACTTTCATGCTAGTTAAAACTAAAGGTTATGGTTTTGAACTAAACTAACATGACAGAGATCTGTACCTTAACTATATGATATTTCATTAATTTAATTAGTGTAATCCTAGAAACTTATTTTCCAATATCAAATATTGCATACAAATTACTACAGAGATTATGAGTCCCCTTGTTCTATATTTGTGTAGTGTTATTTGGAATATACTTGGGAAATGCTAAAATGTATCAATATTATTTCTCCTAGCTTCATAGAAGAAAGCAGCTACAGAACATACCTCATTCATGGGAGAGGTCTATCATATTAGTATCTGGAAAAAGTACGATGAAAAGTGCCCAAATTCTGCTTTTGATTAGGATTCCATAAGTTTAAAGAACTTTATGGAAAATACAATTATAAGCATAGTATGGTGTTAATTAAAAATGACTTTAACTTGGCCAGGCACGGTGGCTCACACCTGTAATCCCAGCACTTTAGGAGGCCAAGGCGGGTAGATTATGACGTCATGAGTTCGAGACCAGGCTGGCCAACATGGTGAAACCTGGTCTTTACTAAAAATACAAAAATTAGCCGGGAGTGGTGGTGGGTGCCTATAATTCCAGCTATTCTTAAGGCTGAGGCAGGAGAATCGATTGAACCCAGGAGGCAGATGTTGCAGTAAGCCGAGATCATGCCACTGCACTCCAGCCTGGGTGACAGAGCAAGACTCTGTCTGGAAAAAAACAAATGACTTTAACTTTTATAACATATTATTAATATCTCCCAGAAATACTTTGATTATAAAATCTAGGTTTTAGTTGAATGGAGAGTGGTGGATAATAAAACTGATTGTGTAACTCAATCTGAATATGAGAGAGAGACAGAGATCCTAGGGAAATAGATAAATGAGAGCATATGAGTTTAGAAAGAAAATTAGGCAACTCCATCAAACAACTTAAAAGTTAGAGAGAACATAAAGATGTTGCTAGATTCAAATTAGCAAAAGTGAGGGATACCATCTGTCCTGAAGTTTGATGAAGCCCCTCAGGGAAGATGTACCAAGGTAAGGAAAGGCTGCTGTAAGCATTATATGAAAATACCACCAGGAAGTTTGGCTGGAAAATGTCCTCATCACTTGCCTGTCAAGGCAGAGTCAGCATACACCCTCTCCTGCTGAGTAGATTCTTCCAAACACTGGACCAGTTTGCAGACCTGGCCTACTGCTGTGCATGGAAACACAGCCAGAGTCCCTGCCCTCAGGATGGCAGAGTTGGCAGAAATCCACAAAATTTTCCAGTTGAAACCCATCTTTTACAGATGAGGAAACTGAGGCCCAGAGGGGAAATGAGCTTGCCTCGAGTACACGGTAAATCATTCCCAGCGCCCTTAGCTGA
Source organism: Homo sapiens (assembly GCF_000001405.40). Classification (NCBI taxonomy): domain Eukaryota; kingdom Metazoa; phylum Chordata; class Mammalia; order Primates; family Hominidae; genus Homo; species Homo sapiens. The sequence goes on along the minus strand of NC_000005.10, from coordinate 77,889,584 downwards.
TTTACAAAGAGCCCATTCACCCTGTCCACACTCTCCCCAAATGTAGGAGGTAAAATTCTGCAGCTTTCTTGCTAAAGATAGATATTTAGTGTAATCATCACCCAAAAATTATACCCCTGTCTTTAAGCAGCTTCCCTGACTAAAGTACTCCTCTAACCCTGAATCCACTGAAAGCCAGAACCAAACACTCCAAATAATATATGTTGTTTTGGAATTGTTCTCTAGTTAGGCCACAAAAGCCTGCCTTGTTTTCCCATCTACTGCCGGTAGGCAGGAGCCAGGTGCTTGTCTTTCTTTGGATCTCTCCTAGTAGAACCAATGTTACTAAATGAATAGTGCATGGATGGTTCTAGGTACCCCAATGCATAGCCATTCACTGCCCAATTAGCCCTTGCTTGTCTAGTTGTTGGCAGCCAGGGGATGTAGAAGAAGACCCTATGAAGTATTTTTAAAAGAGGGATTGATAGATAGCTATTAAGAGCCCTTTCTACAAAATTTCATTCTGAACTTGCAGCAAAGCTATGAATTTGCCTTACAGTAAAAAGAGGCATATTCAGAGAAAGTAATAAAACTTCTGTTCTAGTTAATTGGCTGGGTGCAGTGGCTCACACCTATAATCCCAGCAGTTTGAGAGGCCAAGGCGGGTGGATCACCTGAGGTTAGAGTTCGAGACCAGCCTGGCCAAAGTGGCGAAACCCCGTCTCTACTAAAAATTAGCCAGGGATGGTGGTGTGAGCCTGTAGTCCTAGCTATTCAGGAAGCTGAGACAGGAGAATTGATTGAACCCGGGAGGTGGAGGTTGCAATGAGCTGAGGAGGTGCCAATGCACTCCAGCCTGGGCAACAGAGTGAGACTCTCTCAAAACAAACAAACGAACAAACAAACAACCCAAAAAACTTCTGTTCTAGTTAATAAATATTCTACTTCAAGACACTTTTCATATAAGAACATTTCTTATATATTCTTAAATGAGATTTTTTTGCTTTTGTTTTGTTTTGCTTTATGAAATCATACTAGAAAATTGAATATAAATTTCGAGTTTTGCGTTCATGCCTAGCCCTGGGTTAAAGATGTGAAATTAGCAAAACTGAATCACAGGCCCTTTAGGGCCTCGAAACCCCAGCCAAGCCCCCTCAGCAGCACCTCTTGCCGCTCCTTTGGCTGTCCCTCACACCAACAGCTAAATCTTTGCTAAATGAAATAGTGAAGGTGCTCACCCCTGGCTCCAAATCCTGTAGCCAGGGCAGGAGGTGAGGTGTTGGGTCCTATGAGTATGTTGAGGCCCTCAATAACCACATTAGGGATGTGTGGAGAGGGGAATGCAATTTGTCTCCAGAAGAAGGAGAACCTGCTAGGAACACAGACATTCAGTAGGCAGAACTGGGAAATTTGTCTACAAATCTGGCTTTGCAATTATTTGTAACTATCCACCTCTTTAGCCATGCAATTTCAATTTTCTCCATGTGTCACCAATAATTTCTCAGGTTATTCCTCCATTCTAGCACAGATCTGTCATGGAGGCAGTGCTGGGGATCAGTCAAGATGAGCCTGGGCTCCGAAGGCAATATCACGCTACGACCTTGGACAACTTGCTTACCGTCTCTGGGCTCGGTTTCCTCATCTAACCATGAGGGGCTACTAATATTTACTACTTCATAAAGTTATCATGAGGCTAAAACTAGTGCATCAAAGCATTTAGGGCAGTGCCTGGTATAGTAAGCCCTCAATAAACGTTAGGAGAACAAACGCCATTATTTTGACATTTGAGAAGTGTTGTGTGAATGGCTGGATATGTTGATTCCAGTCACTGGAAGTGAGGGATCCTCCAATGTAAGGTTTGCTTTGCCTTATGCTGGCACTTAGACATTAATTTTATAAGCTGAAACACAGAATGGACCTTAAACATTAACCTAATGTACCAAGAAATAAAAATACGAATCAAAGTGGCAGAAATAGCATAAATCATAGATATTATCTTTGTGTAATTTTTAAAAATGGTTACAACAAAATTGCTTCTTTTCATTATACATTTATGAAACTGAGCTGATTTCATGTGACCATACTGATTTTAATGTCTTTTTAGTATTTAGAAAATGTGAAACAACCTTCAACATGAGCTATAGCTTCTAAGTTTATATCTTCACTCAGCATGGAGAAAAAGCAATTTTCTTTTTTTTTCTTTTTTTCTTTTTCTTTTTTCTTTCTTTCTTTTTTTTTTTTTGCCAGGCTCTGATGTGGCACTTGGCTCTAGACAAGTGGAGAAGGTTCTGGCTGGTGATACAACTCGAAAATCTGAGTTGATAGCGACAGGGGTTAAGTCTTCGCATTGTGAGGTTCTATTGACTTTTCCTGCAGGCTTGCCCTTTATCCTTGTCTGTATTTTAGTTTTTAAGAAGCCTTCAAAAGGTAGGGCACTCATTAGTGGTTCCATAGTGGATGGTTATGTTCAGTTGTTATTTCTTTGTATGCCACTATTGTCTAGGTTATATTATGCAGTGTGACAAGTGCTGTGGAGAGCAAATGAAAGGCAAGGTTTCAGCACGAGCAAAGCTTACGTTACAAAGAGGGAGTGTTTTGAAATGGCCTTATGACAGAGCAAAGCACTATGCCAGGTGTAGTTGAACAACGAGGAACAAAGCCGTCCTAACAAACAGCACTGGTCCATCTGGGAGGGGGCGGGAAGGGAGCAGAGGGAGGCCACTCTTCTAAAGTGACTCTTTGCCAACAATTTAAAAGATATTATGCTGGATAATAGTTTTTACGACTCTGATGAATATTACAAGAAGCAGTGAGAGGTGGGATGTTAAAGCTCTGCAGAAGGAGATCTGGGGTGTCTCCTGCTTTTGAACTTCAAGATTGCCCCTCCTCTAGCTGACAGTTTTAGATACTGCCCCCAAGCTCCCCTCCTCCTAAACATTAGAAAATGGTCATACCTGGCCAGGCGCAGTGGCTCACATCTGTAATCCCAGCACCTTGGGAGGGCGAGGTGGGCAGATCATGAGGTCAGGAGTTTGAGACCAGCCTGGGCAACATGGTGAAACCCCGTCTCTACTAAACATACAAAAATTAGCAGGGTGTGGTGGCAGGCGCCTGGAATCCCAGCTACTTGGGAGGCTGAGGCAGGAGAATCACTTGAAACTGGAAGGCAGAGGTTGCAGTGAGCCGAGATTGCACCACTGCACTCTAGCCTGGGCAACAAGAGCAAAACTTCTTCTCAAAAGAAAAAAAAGAAAAGAAAAGAAAAAGGGAGAAAGAAAGAAAATGGTTACTACTTTTAGACAATGGAACTCAAGCCTAAAAGAAGTTAGATTTCTTTCTGGTCTACCAGTAAGTTTGGAAAAAGTTGAGAAAGATGTGTAAAGTAATAAGCATATTAACCAGGGATGGTTGTTATTTTTATTTGTAATATCCCTTTTCAAACAATGAGCCAAGAATGGCAATCACAATAGAAAAGACATCTCATGCACAGAAGACTAACTGGAGTTTTAGGCGGGAGACTGGAGAGTCATTGCTAGCTTGTATGAAGTAAGCAGGTGGTTTAATGAACTGTAGTATTTACTCCCAGAAATCTGGAATTTTCTTTGTTCTTATGCCTTATATTTCAAGAAAAGCTTTATTGCTATAGAGGAGGCAACAACGTTCAGTAGCATGAAGGCAGCCTGTGGCATTCCCTACCTCTAGGGGTCAAAGAGCCTAACACTGTAGATGGATTTAAAAGGTGGCTAGAAAATTCTGTGGCAAATATTAGCATTTGCTGTCATGCATGTTAAAAGACTGGTAATCAAATCTCATGCCTCAGAGAGTGAATGAATACTGCCAGGGTAAGCCTTCTTTCTCCCGCTCCTCCCTCCCCATGCTCCCGTCTCCACTACAGGAAACGTGACTGAGTTGATGGGAAGGGAAAATGCTCTTGCCATAGCTCATTGAAATCACACAATTCCCTGTGGCTCAGGACCTAGGAGGGGAATTGGGAGGTACAAAGAGAGGAAAGTCAGGTTTCTCAGCCCTGGGATTCTGGCTGCTGCCCTTGAAGTTTTTCTGGACTGACAAGACGTTGAGGTCTGCAGGAAAGACAAGGCTTGATGACAACCTCCTAAGTCTAGGTAAGTCCTAGGCTTTTTCTGGGGGAGACAGCCCTCCTGAGAGGTTGCAGCCCTCCCCCATATCATCTGGGATTTGGCCTCGCTGTTATCCCAACCACCTGGGGAGAAGAGAAGACTGGCCATCTTTGTTTTCTCCTTTCTCCCTTCCTTCCTCCTTTCTTCCCTTTTTCATCTTTGTCTTCCCTCTTCCTCCCTCTACAGGGAAGAAAGAACATCTGTTTCTCTTGCTCCTTCCCCTTAGAGGTTCCATAGGACCCCAGTGCCCATGAAGTCACTGGAAAAATCAGCTCTTTATTCCCCAGGCAAGAGGCTTGCTTAGGAAGCGTCTGGGCTGCAGGTCCTGTGTAGTGCCAAGGTCAGGTGTCCTCAGGACCTTGGCTCTCCTCATTCCAGCATCTTCTCCCTTGCCCTCTCTACTTGACCCTTCCCTAACACACAGAGGAGCTCTAATATTTTCCAACAGAAAACACAACCAGTCAGACATCCCCCGTGTGCCCATGAGCTCCTCCAACTGTTCTCTCTCTGCTTTCTGAGAGCCACATTTCTCACCAGGCTGACCACAGAATGCTGTTTCTTTCCTGTCTCCCATTCTCAGCTCAGTGGCTCCCTTCCTTTTCCACCCTCCGCCCTCTTCTCTCATCAGCATCAACAATTACCTCTATGTGGTCCCAGCTGCTTTTATCTCTCTTCGTGAGACAGACCTCTCTCCTTCCGGAGCATCCAATTTTTCTTTGCCTGTGACACCTCATTCTTCTGGGTTTCTCCATGACTCCTTCTTCTGTTCAGAGGTCTGGGCTCAGCCCTGGGACTCCTCTCCGTGTTTTCTCTCCCTAGGCAATCTCACCAGCCCACCACTTTCATACCACCTGTGCCGAGTTCTCCCAAGTGTGTATCTAAGCTCCTAACTCCTGTATCCAATGACATCCTCCTATTGGATGTCTCAGAGGCATCTCAATTGCAACCTGGCTGGACCTGAACTCTTCTGATCCCCCCAGATATCAGTAAACCAATTCAGACACCCTGAAACACGAGAGTACCCTTTCCCTTTCTCACTCTGTATATACAGTTGATCCGCATGTCCTAACAATTCTACTCCTAAAACATCTCACAGTTTCACTCATGTCTGTCAATTCACTGCCATTACCCAAGTCCAAGCCACCCACATCCTACACCAGGACCACTGCAATAGCCTCACAGCTGGTCTCCTCACTTCTACTTTTGCCCTCGTTACATTGAACCCATTCTTAAGTGGCACCCATTCTTCTATTTAGCAGTAGACAGATGTGTTAGGACCTAAGTTCGACCATATGATTTATCTGCTGAAAACTTATAAATGGCAATTGCAATTGGAATGCCTACAGGAAGTTGGTCCTGGCCAAGCTCCCATCACTTATGTGTCTCCAGTTTCCCTGTGGTGGCCCCTAACCTCATTTCAATTCTAAGCTCTCTCCCACCACAGGGCTTCCACAAGGTTGATCCCTCTGTCTGAAATGCTCCTTCTCCCACTTTTGGCCTGAATTCTACCAACTTTTCTCAGGTTTCAGTGTAGATAACACTTCTTCATGGAGACTTTCCCCAGCCTCCCAATCTAAATGAGATCCTCCAATTAGGCTGTCTCTTAGTTCCTCGTCTTTTCCTTCGTTTAATTCATTGTAACTTATAAATATTGTGTGTATTTAACTGTTGACTGCCTTGTGCCCATAGGTTCCATGATCAGGGATTATGCCTGTCTCACCATTACAGCCTGGGGCACAGGTCTGTGTCTGCCGCCTAGCAGTGCTCTGTCTTTAGTTAAAGAATGTGTACTAGTCAGGTCAGAACCACCTGCTGGACATCACATGAGAGAAAAATGGGAGGCTGTCCCTACAAATAAGAACCCTTAATAAATCATCTGAGCATTTTAGGTAGTGTTATTCTTTTCCTACCATACCATAAAATGAATTCTTATACCCTTCATAATTATCAAACTCAGATGACAAAGTTCCTGAAAACCAAGCTTTTCTCTTAATTATTAAATGTGCTACTATGTCCTCTCTGGGTGGACAGATTTGCAAGCACTTGAAAATGGTCAGCAGAGCAAGGTGGCTCATGCCTGTAATCCCAGCACTTTGGGAGGCCGAGGTGGGTAGATCATGAGGTCAGGAGTTCGAGACCAACTTGGCCAACATGATGAAACCTCGCCTCTACTGAAAATACAAAAATTAGCCAAGCATGGTGGCGCACACCTGTAATCTCAGCTACTTGGGAGGGTGAGGCAGGAGAATCGCTTGAACCCGGGAGACAGAGTTTGCAATGAGGTGAGATCTCACCGTTGCACTCCAGCCTGGGTGACGGAGCGAGACTCTGTCAAAAAAAAAAAAAGAAGAAAGAAAGAAAGAGAAAGAAAGGAAGGAAGGAAGGAAAGAAGGAAGGAAGGAAGGAAGGAAATGGGCTAGTGGATCAGCACTTGCTGAGCAACTATCACTGAGCTGCAGAGGCAGATTCTGCAAGGGCACAAGGCCTGGCCCAGCTCTTGGGGCATGATCAGCACAGGCAGAAAGGCAGAGTAAAGTCACATAAAACAATATGTACAAGACAAGTTGCGTCAGCCCCAAATCATGTAATATACACATCCTGCACAAATATCTGCAGTGCACAGTCATTGCCTTCCTGTGTGGGCTGGTGAGGTGGTATGTTAAAGAGCTAGGCACAAGTTGGGGCTCCAATCCTGTATTTGTGAAACTCTGGGCAAGCCACTTTATCTCTCTGGGCCTCAGCTTTCTCTTCTGTACAATGAAGATAATAATAGCTCCCCTTCCTGCTTCATAGAAAAGGGAAGGACAATCACCTTTTATTAAGTCTCTTCTTCATGTCAGGTCCTGTAATAGACATGTTAACATAAGGCTCCGGGCAGGGCGCAGTGGCTCATGCCTGGAACCCTAGCACTTTGGGAGGCTGAGACAGGAGGATCCTCTGAAGTCAGGAGTTTGAGACCAGCCTGGGCAACAAAGCGGAATGCCATTTCTAAAAAGAAAAAAAAAAGAAAAAGAAAAAACCCATAAGGCTCTCATCACACTCTTTCAACAATCCTGAGAAGCTGGCATCACTCATATTTTACAAATAAGATGATGGATGCTCCAGGAGGTGAAGTACTGTGTCTAAGCTCACAGCTGCTAAGAAAGAGACCCGCAATAAGAACGCCAGTCTGACACCAAAGTTTATGCTCTTTCTACTCCTGTCCCAGGTAAACGTAAGGCTTGCTAACTAGAAAGTGTGATACAGATATAAGTATCATTATTTTATGAAAATGCCAGGTCAACCACAGTTAGAAAACTGAGTTTTATCCATTCGTTCACAAATATCATTGAATGTCTTTACTGTGCTTTGTGTACTGTGCCAGATAACTCTCAGTATTATCAGAAGCAATGACTTAAGAGAAAAAGTAAAACGACCAATGATCTTTTCACCGTTTCTCAAAAACTTGTGTCATTGGATTCCTGTAACTAATGTGATTTTCCATAAACTCAAACGGTGATTTTCTGGTTTTGAAATTTCCACCCTCTTTTTTTTTTTTAAAGGAACATATCTATTATATGAAGTGGGCAACACCTGTATGTGAGGCACATTGACGAGTAAACTCTGAGCTGCTGTCACAAGCAGTTAAAAGTAAAAGGCCTTTGTCAAAGCGAGTTAACAAAGTCTATTGTGTGACATGGAATCTTTGACACATTCATCATGCTGGTGTGGACTATCTCAAAACTCAGAGCTGGTGGACTCTAGCCAGCTTCCTTATCATGCGTACAAATGAGTCTGTTTCCACGAGGACCCGCATCATCCTCTCTGCGCTGTTGGCTTTCACTGGAGATGACCCCACAGACCTGTTCCCAAGCATGTGGGACCTGAAATCTAGCAAAGGTAATAAATTTGTTCTGGTGCAGTATCGGAGAGGTGACCATCTATCTCAAGCCCTCATTTGCAGAGGAGGATGTGGGAGCCATGAGGTTAAGAGAGAGGACAAGGACATGGAGCTTATACAGGGGCAAAGCCAGTATTAGGATGAAGGCCCTGTGACTCTCAGCTCAGTGCTCCTTCCTCCTTGTGACCAAGAGTACTGTTGTAGACATGACTGCAGCTCTCTAAGATTTCTGGTTCTCTTCTTCCTCCAGGCATATAGGAGGACTGGCTTTAAGTCAGGTGTGGCCATATGACTCACCTTGGCCCGTGAAAGGTGAGGGGGGCCTGTAATCCAGCACTTTGGGAGGCCCAGGCGGGCAGATCACTTGAGGCCAGGAGTTCAAGACCAGCCTGGCCAACATGGCAAAACTCCACCTCTACTAAAAATACAAAAATTAGCCGAGGGTGGTGGTGCGTGCTTATAGTCCCAGCTACTTGGGAGGCTGAGGCATGAGAATCGCTTGAATCCAGGAAGTGGAGGTTGCAGTGAGTCAAGATCGTGCCACTGCACTCCAGCCTGGGTGACAGAGCAAGACAAGACTCTGTCTCCTAAAAAAAAAAAAAAAAAAAAAAAAAGTAAGGGGATTTATGTCACTTCTGGGCAAGCACATTTAGGAGTCATGTTGTAACTTTTCATGCCCTCTTTCTGTGCGATGGTGAATCCTGAAGCATTGTATTGTGATGTTGACTTAAGATCTAATGAGATGGTGGAGTCTCTGTCTGCCTGAGTCCCTGAGTGACTAGGATACTTAGAGCCTCCTAACCAATCTGCTTTGGGTGTGTCGTATGAATAAGACTTGTTTCATAGTGTAACTAGTTAACTAGTTCATCCTGACTATTGCAAGTGCCCACCATGACAGGATGGACCAAGGTGCAGAGTAGTGTTTGTGACTATGACAAAGAGGAGAACTAAACAACTCACTAAGAATAAGCTGGCCCAGTGCAGTGGCTCACGCCTGTAATCCCAGCACTTTGGGAGGCCAAGGTGGACGGATCACTTGAGGTCAGGAGTTTGACTCCAGGCTGGCCAACATGGTGAAACCCCGTGTTTACTACAAATACAAAAATTAACCAGGCATGGTGGTGCATTCTTGTAATCCCAGCTACTTGGGAGGCTGAGGCAGGAGGATTGCTTGAACCCGGGAGGTGGAGGTTGCAGTGAGCTGAGATCATGCCACTTTACTCCAGCTTGGGCAACAGAGCAAGACTGTCTCAAAGAAAAAAAAAAGAAAGAAAAAGAAAAAAAAAAAAGGCAGGACCTCTTTCCTGTCCCCCAGGGCAGCCCCTGGCAGAGTGAACTTCAAGTCAGAGTGAACTTTGAGTCAGAGAGAGTGGGGTTTCCCTCACTGACCTCTCTGAGCTGGCGGTGCAATCCTGGCTGCATCAGTGAATCCTCCTGTGAGTCAGCCCCTTTATCTGTGAAGCAGGGATAACAAGTTCGTACTTGCAGGTCTGTTGTCAGCGTCAGTTTTCTGACACAGGTCACAGTATAGCTCAAAAATGTCTGTTGGGGGAAGAAAGTTGGTTGGTTAATCCCACACGCAGAGTCCTGCCCAAAGACATAAAAAAAAAAGAAAAAGAAAAAGAAAAAGAAAACCCTAAAATTCCTGTCTAGCCTTTACTCAGCCCCTCAGGCCACCTTTGAAGGAATTATGTTAAAATCTCATGGGGGCCAAGGCCAGACACAGTGACTCACGCCTGTAATCCCAGCACTTTGGGAGGCCAAGGCGGGCAGATTACGACGTCAGGAGTTTGAGACCAATCTGGCCAACATGGTGTAAACCTGTCTCTACTGAAAATACAAAAATTACAGGTACGGTGGTGCATGCCTGTAATCCCAGCCACTTGGGAGGCTGAAGCAGGAGAATCACTTGAGTCTGGGAGGTGGAGTTTGCGAGTTTGCAGTGAGCCAAAATCACACCACTGCACTCCAGCCTGGGTGACAGAGCGAGACTCCATCTCAAAAAAAAAAAAAAAAAAAAAAAAGAATCTCATGGGGCCTGAGAGCCTGTACATTTGGGATTCTGTAAAACTCAGGTTTCTCATAATAGATGTGAGGTGTTAGAGTGGATCTTCTTCACTTTCTCAGTTCCCACTGGACATGCTTAACTGTGAGAGTAAAAAGATGAAGAAGGCAGGTGATGATTGAGCAGAATTAGTACTATACATTTTTTTTTTTTCTGGTTAGGAGAATGTTAGAAACTGGAAGATTCTTTGTGAACCAAGCTACTTCATTTGAAGGGTCAGAAGCAAGGTTTGGGGTGAACTTCTTTTACTCAGGACACAGTTATTGATGAACTGTAAGGATCTCCCTAACAAGAATGCCCTGATCCAGAGAAGAGTCTCTGCTCAGTTGTTTATTTACAGTAATCCCCAATATAGTCAAAATTTGTGGAAAGCATTGCAGACATTTTTAAGAGTCGATTTACCCTATTAAAGAGGCAGAGGTAAGTTTTCCTGTGGTATCTTTCGAAGTGTTCATCCATGCCAAGCTCTAGAATGGGTACTTTCTTTCAATTAGGTTCTTATTCATACAGATTCATTTCCTGCTGACTATATAATTATATAATTAAAGCTAATGTAGGCCATTTACACATTTTAGTTAATTTAATAGCTTGAAATAGAATCCTTAAGGTCAAAAGAAATGTGAACACCTGGAATCTAGTTAAAGTCCTGGTGGAATACATATATATATACATATATATATATATATACACACACACATATATATATACATATACATATATATATATATAATGATTATGCTTTAACAAAACAGGTGAAGTTTGTCAGGCAGATCAGGATTTTGAGAATGTCATTTATAGCTTTCAGTTTAATTTTAAGCAGAGGAAAATGCTACAATTCCAATCTCAACCTAATTCTATAGGTAGATGGAATTTATGGGAAAAAAAAGTCAAATTGTGTTTTCTAAGAAAAATGGTTTCCCAAATCATTGGCTCTCTTCCACTTAACCTTCCTTACCTTCTAATCCCCTTCCTTTCCTCTAACTGTGCATTCAATAACAGGCAGCATTAGGGTAGTTTTCAGAAAAACTTAGCATTTCTAGAACTTCAGAATCCGAGATGGAAATTCCTGAATTACTTGTTCGAGTGCTTAGTTCCTAAGACCAAGCTCAGGTGCCCTAAGCTTTGTTTCTTGCGTAGGTAAAGATTTAACAGAATTACATGGCCAAGATTTCAGAAATGCCTTGAATAAGAGAACTGTAGCTTTTTCCTCCACAAAATCTTGAAGCCTTCATTCTGGGCCTCTAATACTAGATAATTTACCTATTACACAAGAGAAAAAAAATGAATTCATACTAGGAATCATTTAAATTGTTTCCTTATTTGGCAAGTCAGTGGCTTTTACACAATTCAGAATACATTGAGGTGGAGGAGGAAGAAAGCTGGCTATGACAAATCTTGAAGCTTTTTAACCCGTTTTAGACCTGATGTGCTGTAGAAGCTCCCTGTCATGTCCTCAGCCACACTACACAGCAAGGCCATTAAACAGAAATTGACTGCTTTGTTTTGCCAAAGAGAAGAGTACACACAAACAAAAAATAGGCGGGCCAGGTGGTGCATGCCTGTAGTCCCGGCTACTTGGGAGGCTAAGGCGGGGGAATCACTTGAGCCCAGGAGGTTGAGGCCGCAGTGAGCTGTGAGTATGCCACTGCACTCCAGCCTGGGCAACAGAGCAAGACCCTGTCTCAAAAAGCAAAGCAAACAAAACAACAACAAAAAAGTACACATCAACACTGCAAGGGTCCCAACTAGACGAGATGTGGGGCTGCTGAGAGACCAGGGCGAAGGGGCAGTGTGTTGCTCCCGTTCCCAGGCAGAGCATAAAACATGGATCACAGGCATGATTGCTTAGGAGAGCGGCTCCAAGGGAAACTGCTATAAGACACTGTGCAAATCTGTGGTGTGTGGCCATCACGGTGTCAGGATGGGTATTAAAATGTAATTCTTGTAAATGAGAGCCAATTTTGATGCATTCACAGGAGGACCCGATCCAAACACTCAAGCTAACCCATTACCCTGTACGATGCAGACATACAGGCTGAAAATTTTAGTCAAATAAAGCTAAGCTGCCTTACTTGCTGTCAAAAAAAAAAAAAAAAAAAAAAAAAACAAGACTGGCTAAAATGTTATTCTCCCTGTGCCTGTATAAAATATCAACAAAACCAAGTTGACTTTGTTTGGATGGTTTAGATATACTTTCACTTTCGGATACCGTCCACTAAGTCCTTTACAAAGCACATTAAGTTGGCCTTGGTTGATCAAGTGAAATTGCAGATCCACCTTTAGTACTCAATTAGCCAGGGGTTATAGCTCCAAGAATACACAGACATATGGATCAGACATGGGGACTTAAACCTGATTTGGGAGCCCGAAAGAATTTAAAGCCAACTCTATCTCCTGCAAATGTCTGAGGAAGGGCGTGTGGCCAAAAAGGGACAGTCCCTAGAAGCCCTGGATATTTGACCAGCCTCTTTTTGTGAGATTGTGACTCAGTTCTCTGGGGGAAGAAAAAAAAAGGAGGCATAATGCCTGTTACTAAGGAAAATGCCGAAATCATGGCTGGTAGGTGAGCTCTCGGAGTGCGTAGCTTGGTTTCCTGACACGGATCTTCTGCAATTAAGTTGAATTTGGTTGATCAAGCAAAGTTGCTGATCATTCTCTTCCTACCAGGACAAAACAGTAGTCATAATCTCTACTATTTGTTTAGCGCTTTAATTATTTGACAAAGTGCTTTCTGGTAATTGTCTCTCTTAATTCCTATCACAACCCCTGTAATGCCGGGAATGATCATCAGGGCCAAAGCCTGGGGTTTCCAGAGAGAAGGAAAGTGGGTCCCGAGACACACAGTCAGGGAATTACCTGGGTCCTCAAACTTCAGAGCTGGTGCTCCCTTTCAAGTCAACTTGACCCTCTCAAGCCTTCATCCAACAATGTCCTCACTAAATAATTCTAACTCAGAGGGTGTTGTGGTGAAAGACTTCCTCCACATTTTACTAGTTCTCTTTATTGACAGTCTTGGCAGCTTTCCATCATGATTTTCTAAATGTATTTCAACATAAAAAGCTCACACAAACTCTTCTCTAGAATAAAGTAAGTGCTGATGTTGATGATGATTTTTCAGCACTTATTTGGGGGACAAATATATTGGTTGCAGGAGCATCCTTCTAATTATTTGGCTGTTGAATACAGCAACTCCCTTGCCAGTGAATGCACTGGGGTATTAGCTTGTGGAGTTGTTGCTCACAGCAGAGGATGTCTGAGACTGGTTAGTTGGTTGACCAGGATGATAGGGAAAGACCATTGTTAGTATGGAAAGTAATGTTATGATGATTTAAGGTATTTTCCTAGTTTATAATTCTTATCCATCCATCTAACAGTGGGCTTCAAAGCTGTATTTGGTGCCCTCCCTTGACTGCAGTGTGTATACTTGTATACCTGTACATTTTGAAAGAAGAGGTTAAGGTAGAAAGCAGGGCACCCCAGATCCACTCTCCCACTGAATAGATCTTCCCACTACAGTCTCCCAGGCACTGCCCATGAGCGCAGAAGGAGAGGAGCCTCTGAACAGGTCCTATCTTCAAACTCACACGTGGTTACAGTGCCTCTCACAGAAGCCAGCTTAGCACTAGATGGGCAAGCACCTCATACCCACTGAGGCAGACTGGATACAGTTAGCATGATTGTTGCTTCTAGTGAGCTAACGCTGATCCTGGGTCCAGGAGAGGCAGAGCCATTTCTCTGGATTTTCCCGTGCTTATTTCCTCACTGCCACCACCACCACCAGCAGCAGCAAGCCCTATCCCTCTGCAGTTTGTCATCATCTTGTTACCATAAAAATCACATCTCAGTTTGGGCTGCAGGGCTCAGAAAATGTACAAGCACCATGTTAAATGTTATGATGTGAAACATCATTTATTTCTTCAAGAATTCAGTCCAGAGCTGGGGCCATGGTTTTGCAAAATTTGTTGTTCTGCCTCCTCCTCTCTCGTTCTTTTCTTCTCCTAAATCTCTTTCTCTTGCTCTCTTTTTCCTATTGACCACTTGTTAAATCTTTTTGTTTGTTTCCCCTCTTTCTCCTGGGACCCTCCGACAGGCAGCCTTGCCAGATTCATTTTCTGATCAAAGCTGTTTGATTTGGTCAATTTTGCCACATTGGAGACGTTCTCTATTACAGAGATAAATAGCTTTGGGCTAACTGTCAACGAAAACTTGTAAGCTAATAAATTATTCCAATTTCTTCTCGCGGATTTCTCTGGAGACAGCCCTAGGAAATACACTTTTTGATTAGTAAATTTCTCTGTGTGTGTGTCTGGACATTCAAATGTGTCGGCTTTGATTAGCACCATTGCTTTTCAAGTCGACGTTGGCTGAGGGGCTGTCAGTTGCAGGCAGCCCTGATGCATAATGCATCAACTGGGCCCAGAAACAGGAGCCTCTTCCAAGTCTGGAAAGGTGGGAAAATTGCCCTAACAACCCCACTGGCCCACTCTGCACCAAAGGGAGCTCAACTTGAAAGTCTTGACAAGACTTGCTTCAGCTGCAGTGGAAGCCACCCACGCTGGGCTGGAGAGACCACGACTGCAGGCCTGCCAAGAACCAAAGCCGCTGCTCCACCTGCTCCACCACCACCTCTCCCTCCCACAGTTTTGCCCCTGCATCCTCACCCACACGCTCCACTCCATCATCCTGGAGTCCCTGGGCAAAGGCCAGCCCCTTCTGGGCAGGCCTAGATTTCCCTTTGCCTCCCCTTGGATTCTGGTTTGCCGTTTGTCTAGTTAAGGGCCCTTGGGTTGTTATAGAAACAATATTTTGGCTATAACAAATCAATCGGTGCGTGTGAACGCAAACATACAGATCATTTATCAATGGCAAAATACCCTAAATTATGACCTTTCTAAAACCTATCAGAAGGGCGAGCGAATGCATAATGTAAATTAAAGTTTGAAGGGTCAGCGGTTTTTACTTTCACTATTCATCTTTCTTTCACCTTATAGGTTTAAGAACAAGAGGGCTGTGTAATTACATTTCAATGGGGTGCAGCGGTTCATTATTCCCAGCTATACCAATCTGCTGCAACATTTCCAATGCAGTCAGGTACATTTTAGCAGATATTAGTTGGTATAAGACCATACTTGCTCTTTGGACTGATAACATCTTTTAATGCATAACAGTGCTATCATCTCAATTTAGAAAAGGCTAAAAGGGTGAGGATTTTTTCTCAGATCAATACAGTTGTTCATATTTTATAAATGTGGTAAAGCCTATCTGGTAATTCTTCCCAGATATGATTTGCCCTTTGCCTCCCAGTTGCTCCCTGTCTCTGATTATCATTTCCCAAAGTCCCCACCACCCCATGTGTTAGGAGACAACATTTTGTGCTGAAGCCCACTGCACTGATGGAAATGGGTAGCTTCCAACAGAAAACCCTTCTGTTGCCAATGATCTGGCTCCAGTGGTGACGGGGCCGCGCTGCTGAGCGCAAGGGCTCTGAAGTTCCAGCTTAGCCCTGAGGTTTGGTGATAGCAGCCATTGTGTTCTTTCTACCTGTGGAGCCAGCATGCACCTTCGGAAACAATTGATGTACTCTGCCCCAGAATATGCAGCCACAGTGGAGTCACCAGAGTGAGACGAAGGGGACCTCTTGTATCTTGAAGAAATCCTGTAGAATAGAACAAATCTTAAATGTCTTCTTCAAGCAAAGAAGCCAGTCCCAGAGCAATAAATAAAGTTTATTTATTGCTATATATATATATATAGCAATATATATTTATATTATTTATTTGTTATATATATATGTAAGAATGTAGGTATACATACATGTGTCTGTGTGTACATGAATGAAAATGTATGTAAATCATGTAAATCTCCTAATAAAGGCTGGAAAATACACATCAAATGGCAAAGTAGTTATCCCTGGGGAAAGGAATGAAGGAGGATAACTTACATTTTGCAAAAATCTTTTACCCACAAGATTGCATTCATATTTGACTTGTGTAATGAGAGAGAGAGATGGAAGGAAGGAAGGAAGGAAGGAGCAGGAAGGAAGGAAGGAGAAAGAAAAGAAGAAGGAAGGAAGGAGCAGGAAGGAAGGAAGGAGAAAGAAAAGGAAGGAAGGAAAAGAAAGAAAGAAGGGAAGAAAGGAAGGAAGGAAAGAAGGAGGAAGGGACTTCTTTTTAAAATTTTTTAAAATTATGAAACACAAAATTTACTATTGTAACCATTTTTAAGTGTACAATTCATTAGTGTTAAGTATACTCACATTGTTGTACAACTAATCTCCAGAACTTTCCTCTTGCAAAACTGAAACTCTATTGTCATTAAATAACAACTCCCCATTGCCTCCTTGCCTCCTCTGTCCAGATGCTGGCAACTACCATTCTATTTTCTGTCCCTATTAATGAGTCTGACTACTCTAAATACCTCTTGTAAGTAGAATCATGCAGGATTTGTCTTTTTGTGACTGGTTTGTTTCACTTAGCATAGTGTCCTCACAAGGTTCAGCCATGTTGTAGCATGTGCCAGAATTTCCTTCCTTTTTAAGGCTAAATAATATTCCATTATATTATTATATATAAGGAATATTATATATTATTATATATTATATTTCTATATAAGGAATGTATATATTCCCTTCTAAAGCTAAATAATATTCCATTATTTTGGAATATAATTATAGTCCATTAATTATAGAATACTCCATTATGCCATTTGTCTAGTTAAGGGCCTTTAACTAGACAAATATTTAAGGAACTAATAATTCCAATTATTATTCCATATTATTGGTTCCAAATAATATTCCATTATTTATTGGATATAATTATGTTCCATTAATTATAGCATATAATTATACTATGATGGAATATTATTTGGCCTTAAAAATATATATATATCCCTCATATAAAGATAAACACACATTTGTTTATATATATATATATTTATTGTTTTTAAGGCTAAATAATAGATAAACACACATTTTGTTTATCTCTCTATCCATTGATGGATACCTGAGTTGCTTCCACCTCTTGGCTATTGTGAGTAATGCTGCTACCAACACAGCTGTACAAATGTCTCTCCAAGATTCTGCTTTGAATTCTTTGGACACATACCCAGGAGTGGAATTGCTGGATCATATGGTAATTGTATTTTTAATTTTTTGAGGAAAGAACTTTCTGAAAATAATTTTTTTTAAAAAAAGTTTACTATCGTCCTAGGCTCACATAGGGTTTAGGACCTAACCACTACAGCTCTGTGGAGAACACAGCTAAGTGTGGGGAGAGCCAACCCTTATCCTTCTTGATTAGGAGAGAGTTCTGACACCGTAAGAGGCATTAAGGAGGCTCCTGGGCCAGCCACTGATAGCCCTGCCTTATGTTAAACTAAGACTTCTTAAGGAATTCATTGCTTGGGCTCCCTGCATTCCTGCAAGGCAGATCAGGAATGAGAAGTTAGATAACTGTTAAAAGCATGCTCTGAGTTAGTGGGTATCGAAGCTCCAGAGCACAAATTGATCCAAGGCAAAGACCACTAGATCATGCTACTTCCAGCCCGTGCAAAGTGGCTACCAAATGGCTATTTTCTAAACGCGTGGTGTTTCTGTAACCTTGGCCGAGGGCTTTCAACCCTATACAATCGTGCAAGTAGACAGAGGTAAGAGCACCTTTTCTCGTGTTAACGTTAATTTTATTTTCAGAAATGAGTCAGGCCTGCATCTGCCTGTTGAGAAAAGCTATTTTCCAAAGTAGTGTCTGCACTTGGCATGACCTTAGGTGGGCCATGGACTTGCTCTGTGTTCACTTTTGCAAGAAACTTTTTAGGAAAGATTGTAAAACACTTTGAAAGCTAGCAACATTTGTGTACCAAAAGTCTGTTTCTCCCAACTCAATTCTGGCTGTTCTCTTCACACAACTTAACAGAGTTAATTGATGCCTAACTCTTTCTTAGTTTTTCCCCATCTGAAAAAAAGTATTAAGTTCCTTATTTCCCAGGTGGTATTTTCTTAATATTTCTAAGTAACATAGTCACTGGACCACCTACATCAGCATTGCCTCTGCCTTATGTTAAAATGCCTCGGGAAATTCTGAGGTGAGGCGGGATTTTTTAAGATGAAAATTTTGCGGCACCACATCAAACTGAACCGGAATCCAAGAGGGACAAGTCAAGGACTCTGCATTTTAAAAATCATTTGTTGAGGTTCACATAATATAAAACTAAGCATTTTTAAACGCTTTAGTACATTTACCACGCTGGGCAACCACCACTTCTATCTACTTTCAAAACATTTGTATCACTTGAGAGGCAAACTTGTCCAACCAGCGGCCTGTGTGTGGCCTGCACATGACCCAGGACAGCTTTGAATGCGGCCCAACACAAATTTTTAAACTTTCTTACAACATTGTAAATTTTTATGACTTTTGTTTGCTTGTTTTTTAGCTCATCAGCTATCATTAGTGTTAGTCTATTTTATGTGTGGCCCAAGACAATTCTTCTTCTTCCAGTGTGGCCCAGGGAACTAAAAAAACTGGACACCTCTGCTTTAGAGTAAAACCCCTTAGTCATTAAAAAGAATCTGCATTTTTAACAAGCTCCTCATGTTGTCACTGCACACCCTAGGGTTTGAGAACCACTGTAGTTAATTTAAAGGTGGGAGGCCGGGCGCGGTGGCTCACGCCTGTAGTCCCAGCACTTTGGGAGGCCGAGGCGGGCAGATCATGAGGTCAGGAGATCGAGACCATCCTGGCTAACACGGTGAAACCCGGTCTCTACTAAAAATACAAAAAATTAGCCGGGCGTGGTGGCGGGCGCCTGTAGTCCCAGCTACTTGGGAGGCTGAGGCAGGAGAATGGCGTGAACCCGGGAGGCAGAGCTTGCAGTGAGCCGAGATCGTGCCGCTGCACTCCAGCCTGGGTGACAGAGCGAGATTCCGCCTCAAAAAAAAAAAAAAAAAAAAAGAATTAGGTGGGAGGTACATAAATATGACATTGAACCACATAGGTGAGCAAGTTTATGATCCTGGATGTTAGGATTTCAACTGCATTCTGTTAATAATGTCTTCTATAATGCTATGGGGTTTGTATCACATTTCACATCATTAAAAGACTGGATCCTTACAGCATACTTGAGAAGTAAGCATTAGCACATCCATTTTACAGATTTGAAAAGCAAAGTTCATCATGGCTTCTTAGTGGAACTTGACCTAGCTACAAAGAGGCGGAGTACGATCTGGAATCTAGGCCTCTGGCTTTGGGATCTTGGCCTCCCTCTTGTGAGCACCTCCACTGAGAAGCCCCTGACCCTGCTAGGAAGGCTGCAGAATGAAGGGACTCAGCCTGAGAGAGGCCTCTACACCTCAGGGGCTACTTTCATTTTAAAAGTTCTTTTTAATGCCTCTGCTTTTCAGAGTCTCATTTGGCCCCTCAAAAAGGTTCGAGATATATGGCAACCCATGAAAGGGAAACAGAAAAGTTATAACAGATGAGCAAAACAGTTTGAAATATTGATGTATTTAAAAGAGGTCTCTCTTGGTGCCATTGGAGAAGCGTTGCCATTTCTTACTTAATGGATTAACTGCTAGGCTGACATACAGTGTCTTTTTAAACAAAGCTCCCTGCTAATCCAGACCAGTCTCTTATGTACTATTTGTTCACCCAATCTAACATGCATCAGAGCCTGAACGTGTGTTGTCTGTGGATAACTAAGGCTGGGATCACGCAAAATGGTTGATCACAGATCTGAACTGGCATTTGGTTTACCCTGACAATAACCTGAAAATATCTCTATAGATACACAGATAAACGTGGCAGACAGTTACTTTGCTTATCCTGTTTTGCATTGACTGGAACTTAGAGATGCAGGTTTCAATTGGATAAAAACACGGCAGCTAAAATATTTTGCCTTGCAATAGAGAAAGGAAACTGCATATGGCTGAAACCCTCCCCGACCGCCTGCTCTTCCCCCAGTCAAGGTGTCTGTCACCAAAAAAGGGCTATATTTGTAAATGTTAACGAAAGCTAAACACAGGGTTTTGCTATGGTAAGAAAATGCCACACTCCCCTTCTCCATAAATTGGGTTTCTAGGAAGCAATCCCTCCCCCAAGAAACGGCTTGTGGGGAGGGCAAAGCAACCAGCTGGGTTGTAGGAGTAATAAAGAAGGAGAATCAATAGGGCATGCAATGGAGCCAAGGTGCTGCCATTTATCACGCCGCTTCTCTGACTCCAATCATTCATCATGCTCAATGAGGCAGCAAATAGGAAAATGACTATTTGTATCAAACACATCTGCACTCATCCACTGAGGTATTTTATTCCCATTAACTCTGAAAGTAAAATACGCAGAGTTTTCTAGCTTCTTTCAGCTCAGGTTGGCAGAAGAAATTCACAGCCTATGAGCACAAACGTCGGCATGAGTTTGCACAGCATTTCTGGGAAGGATTTGGGGGGATGCCGCGGTCTTGCAGAGCTATCCCGGCCCCCGACGTTTTAGCACGGCTCTCGGAAATGCGGTCGTCTAAACTCACCACCCAGCTTCCCCTTCTCCCCAGTGATGAGAACACCATCAAGGATACAGTAAATACTCATTACATTATCTCTCAATGGTTCCCTTTTTATCTCATAAATTACCCCTGCTAGGTGGCATGGAAGCTAATTTCACTAAGTCTGTGGAAGATCAGATGTAAATGGGAGGATTATCATCATTATGGTGTAATATCCCATGAAATGGTAGCATCATTCCTGGTTCTTTTTATGAGGTGCGCAAGTTTATTTCAGCCTGCAAACGTGCTTCTGTGGCCCTCAGCGGGACGGAGAACCAGGCGGTTGCGGCAAAAAGAGCTTGGGATTTCAAGGCAGGATTTTCTCCAGGCCTAGAAAGGAGAAGCCTCTGCCCAGAGAAAGGTGAGTGCAGCCAGGTTTGTGGAAAGTTCTCCCTGGTCTTTTCACTGGCACCAATTTTAAGCCGAGCAGAACCGTGCTGCCTCCCCGCAAATCACCACCATCCCGCCTGCCCCTTGAACATCTCTAAACCTTTAAGCTGACCTTATTTTTGCCTCATTCTTCCTGGTTTCTCTTGTAATTAAACTGATTTTCCTGCTCAATCTCTGTGAATTCCTCCCTGTGCATGGGAGAACTCGTCCTAAATAGAGAAATAAATGAAGGAGTGTTGGGACTCCTGCCTCTTCCGGCCTGCAGGCCCTGAGAGAGCACACAGGAAGTGAGCCAGGGCTTTGGGATGGGACCAGCTGAAGTGGACTCAGCCAGGTGCCAGGCTGCTGCCCCTGTGGAATTGTTCTCTTAACCCAAACAGGAGGGCCGTTCTCTCAGGGCCTGGAATTCTAATCCCACCTCTGATTTATCTTCTGCTCATTAAGTTTGGCATGTATAACTGATTATTTCGGGAGCAATCTGGTGGCATCTGCTGGTGGCTGTGGGCACAGGATGTGTCAGCCACACTGGGCAGTAATCACACACACACATGCACACACACAAACACATGCGTAGCCGGCCACACACCCCCACAGTGAACTCTAGCAACCTCCCCTCTTAGTGCCCCTCTCTGTGTGAATACCTGTCTGGCATATTCACCATTAGGTGCCAGGGGTGGGGTTATGTTCTAATATCATAAACCACTGGCCTGGACGGCATATCAAGAGAAGACATGGGCAGGACCTGGGCTGTGTTTATGGCATGTTAGATCATGGAAAAAAAGACTAAAAACTTTAAAATGAGAACATAATCCAAGCAATTCCTCATAACAACAAACACTGTCTAAATTATCTGCACAAGTGGTAAATATATGAATACCTGTTTATATATTTAAACAGAATACTCATACTGATATAGATTGAACTAATTTTTCTAGCTTCAAAACAGATTTTGGGGGCTCTCCCCCAAGAGTTGGAGCTCTAGTCCTTGGTGACATTCGGGGATTCCTTTCTGTGTATTATAGCCACGGGTTGTGCCTGGAGGCTGTGATAAGAATTGCAGCATTATTTAAGGCAGTGAAATATGGGTCTGGAATGTTAAATTTTATTGTTGAATAGGCTCTATTGCCAAAATGCCCTTAAAAAGTGCATTTTATGTATTTAACATTTTTGTTTTCTTGTATGATCTTTGTGAAAGGCATTTAAAGCAAACCATAAACAAAGAAATATTGATATGGAAATCATTTAGTACTGTGCACAGCCACTTTCATGTAAGAAAAACATTTTTGAGTTTGTTTTTTAGACATCTATTCCCCCTACTGGTGATATTTATTCTTATTTGGCTACCCAAAAAAAAAAAAAAAAAAAAAAAGTTCAGATAATAGGAAGAGAAGAAGCCTGACTGGATTGTTTGAATATCTCAGTGATGTGATTGCTTTTGCGACAAATTCTTAAATTGTAGACTTTCTAACCCCTCTGCCACTAAGGACAGTTACTTTGCAAAGTTGTCCTTTCTCCTTGAACTCTGAAGCACGTATTCCATTGTCACTTCAGAGTGTGAAATGTGGAATGTCCTTACTGATGGGCTGTGGCCGCCACTGTTCATTTGGATAATGGAAGTTGGAGACTAAAGAAACCTTGGACTTTTCTGTCCTCAAAAACTACCTGTCCAGATCTGGTCTGCTTATAAGACACCCAGATTGGGAAGCAATATATCATAGAAGGGCCTATTGTAAGGTGTTTTTACATAATGGCTCCCTTGGACATCTTTGCACCTAGGGAAGCTTATGGAGACCCCCCACCTCACCTCCTCCATGGCTGGGTCATTGCCTTCCCATGTGCTCTCATAGCCCTTGTCCTCCTGCGGCCATATACTGCATTGTAATGACCTGGCTCCTTGGCCACCTCCCCAACAGAACCATACATTTCATGAAAGTAGGACTGGGCTTGCCTGAACCATAGTGGGTAATCCACAGAGCACAGGATACCTTTGCCCTCCCTCCAGGGCAGCAGTCGGATGCCTCGTATCTAGAAGTCCTAACAAAGCAAGAGAGTGCAGGGCAGGGCCACCTTTTTTGGAACTCCAGGGGGTTCCACTGCTGTCCACGTGAATGGTGCCCCTGAGGCTCACAGTGCCCAACCTGCATGGCCACATGCAGCCACCCTGGCTCCACTCCTTTGGGGCTGAGTGGGAGGCAAGAGGAAGACAGGGAGCTGATGCCCACCCAGTGGCTACCACATGCTGGGCACTCTGCCAGCTGCTGGCATCCACATCCATGCCCTTGCTTAGTCCTCAGGCCCGCCCATATCCACCCTGCCTCCCTCCCACCCGCCCCACTCCTGCTCCGTCTCCTGCTGTAGGAGCTAAGGGGAGCAGGAAAGGCAAGACACCTCCGAGGGGTCCAAGACCAGGTGCATGAGGATGGGCACACACTTACATTCCCACAACCCCCAGGACTGCCCACCACCCTTCTCGCTGTTCATTTCCCATTTCACAACTCTAGAAAGTAGTTAGAAGTTCTAGATACTATTCAAGTCAAAGTTTTGTTATTATTATTATGATTATCATTAAACAATACAACGAAAACATCATTTGCAACAGAGCTTTGTTGGGGGTGGGAAACACCTAGCAGGACACTTCTAGCACCCCTCGCACTGCCCCAGCACCCCACATGCCCCCGCTCTTCTTCACTGGAAAATGAGGACAAGGGAGCAGAGTGGACAAACGGAGGCTGGAAAGGCACCTGTAGTAGCGCAGGGGCTGGTCTGTGGCTGCTGCTTGTCTGAAGTGGGGAATCGTACCCCTTCCTCCTCGCACAGGCTGTTGAGTTCCTAGAAGGAGACGAAGGAAAAGCCCTAGAAGGTTTGTGTTTGCATGTGCTAGAAAGGGAGAGAAGAACCACAGAAGAACCCAGAGGCTCCTGCCCCATCCCGGGCCCTGGCGTACTGCAAGGTACCCACACATTCCATGGGGACAGGAGGGCTGGGGTCTGCTGCTTCCCTTCGGGTGGGGGATGTTGAATGGCCTGGAGCCTAAAGTTAACGCATGCCTGACCAGCTCTTTAGGCTCTTTAGAGGAAGGACTCCGCCTGTGACACGTGCCCTTATAATGTGCCCAAGGCCCCTGAAAGCCCACTTGGAGCCCACGTGGCTGTGGCTTTCCAACCCACCTGCCCTCAGGGGGAGAGCTTCCTGGAGCAACATTTACCTCAGCCACCTCTAAGCTACCAGAGCCCCTGTCCACGAATTGCCTCCACCCTTCCAACAGCAAATCAGTACCTTTGCTGCTTCTGACAAAGGACCGCTCCCAACTGCCACATCGGAGCCTCTGTTTCCTCATCCAGATGTCGACACTAGCAAGTGTTCTTTCAGAAGGAGGATGACAGGACACTTTAGGAGCCACAGCAACCACACACAGGGAACGAGCGACTGCCGGGGCAGCTGATCAAGCAGGAAGTCCCACTTATTTGTCCTTCAGGCCCCACACCCTTGCAATGACCTGTGTAGGCTGCTCCTCCACTGGAGGCTGGCCCAGCCCCACAGACTAAGCAGGGAACACAGTTTGCAACCTAAACGGGGTGGGGAAGCCAAAAGTCCAGTTAGCAGATCCCATGGGGTGGCCAGGGAGGGTCACGGAATGGGCATTTAGGCTCACAGGACTGGGGTTCTAATCCTGACCCTGTCACCTTCTTGTGTCTT
Source organism: Homo sapiens (assembly GCF_000001405.40). Lineage (NCBI taxonomy): Eukaryota > Metazoa > Chordata > Mammalia > Primates > Hominidae > Homo > Homo sapiens. The sequence goes on along the minus strand of NC_000005.10, from coordinate 77,864,908 downwards.
TGGAAAAATCTCCGAACTGGAGTTTCTCATTCTCAAATTGGGGGACTTGATGAGATGATGTCTAAGGCATTCCTCTTCCTTAACATTCTGGAATCCTAAGAGAGCAGAAGGTATGAGGCACCCCCTGTCCTCTCAAGCTCCAGCAATCCATGGAAAACTCTGCAGCGACAAAGAGCTCTCTTCTAACAAGATTTCTGGAATAATGGACTCCTTTAACAAGACTAATGTAATCAGCAAAGTATTCATGAATCCGAAATAATGTATTAAATTTCATGTGGCCTTTTAAAATTAAGAGGGAGAGCCGAACAAAATGTACAGTGGACATTATGAACTTAAAAGCCTTGAGAAATCACTCCATTACATTTAGTAAATATGTGTCAAACCCCTGCTTCATGCCAAGCACAGTGCTAGGCTCCAGGAGCCCAGGATGAATAAGACAGCCCCTACCCTGCAAAGAAATCAAGGTATGGCGTGGGCAGACCAACATGTCAAAAATGTCATTTCAAAATGCTTTAGTAAAGACGGTGACAGAGATGTGCCCAGGATGTTCTGGGGCTCAGCCCAGCCTGGGGAAAGTTCTAAAAATGTTCTTATAGAAAGTAATGTCTGAACTGACTTTGAAAGACGTACTTCAGGCCTTTTTGCTGAACCCAAAGCTCTACAAAGCTTTCCTACTTCAGCACAATATCTACCTGCACTATTGAGGTTAGGTCAAGTTATTGTTGAGGCTCTTTTATCTTTCCCCACTGGCCAGCAACCCATGAGGACTACTGAGAGCAGGAGAGGAGAGTCAAACGTTCTTAGCCAATTCCTTTCCAATTATTCTACACATTGGCATAGGTTTGGGTTAGATTAGCATCTTCAGGCTCAAATTTTAAGTATCCTGAAGTATATTCCACCGACAGAAAAGCTGACTTAAGATCACGGATTAGGATCAATTATGATTCTCCATCCCTGAACTAGACTAGCCTTTCACCAAAGTGCTCAGTAACTTCCTTAAAGCTCACTTATAGCAGGTAGGGATGGAAGGAAGAAGAGAAATGCCGACACAACTCTAGGCAGGTTAGAAAGCTTGAGATCTTCACTGAATTATATTAAATGTCTTAAGTCTACACTTGGTGTGCTCCCCTTGAAGTGGCTTAAATTTATCGAGTTTCTAGATTAAATTAGACTTTCTTTTTAGAAACAAAACAAAAACCTTAGGAAAATATCACTGTAGAGCTACTACATACAGATATTCTGCAGATACCATTATTTTTCATGTTTTAGAAAATAGGAGATATATAAATGTCACTGGGGTTGTGAAAAGAAGATCTTGTTTGTTCCAAAGAAGATTCTAGAACAAAGCACTAAAAAGATTGATTGTGAGCTCCTAGAAGAGAAAACTGGCCTCAAGGTCTTCAGGACAAGCCACAACAAACAAAAGACAGAATTATCATAGGCCTAATAAATCTGGAATTAGGGAGGATTGCCTCGTACAGTATCCTGTAGGCATGACAGAAACAATGTGTGTGATGCCAGGACCTTGGTTGGATTCATAACTAGTTGCATGGCTCTCTGGAAATGAGCTGATTTGAATATGTGTCATCTTAGGAGTTTTGTAGTATAATGCCCTAGAGAGCAGCCTTGCAACTTTTTGGAACAAGGCAGGGAGGAAAGAGTGTAAGAGAGGAAGAAAAAGAAAATAAGGCAGAAGGAAAGAGAATAAGGGCTCTGAGCTTAATTTGATTCTGTCTCGCATTTGTATTAATTTGGAAGATGGTGTAAAGAGCATGATCACCGAAATTGTAGAGTATGCCAATCAGGAAGAGAACTGGGATGCAAAAAGTCCTTAGGATAAGATAATGGGCTAAATACAAAAGATGAAATGTAACTGGGATGAATGCAAGCTTCTATCTATGGGTCCAAAAAATCAATCTTGCAAGTTAAGAGAGACATGAATTAGCTGCAACATTTATAAAACATAAAAATCCTGAAAGACTAAGGCTTTGAATTGACTATAGCTCAATGGCAATGGGGCCAAATAATCAAATGGGATTTTAGATTAAAATGAGGGAGCTGATGGTTCTCTTTTACTCTAAACTCCTCAAACCATGTCCGGAAAATTGTGTCCAGCTCTGGGCCTCATGCTTTAAGAAGATGGTAGCAAAGTGGAATGTGTCCAGAGGAATAACCAGGAGAGAAAAAACCCAAGTGTTCTCCTGGAAAAGAGAAGATAAGAAGAAAAAAAGTGCTGACTTCAAGTGTTCAAAAGGAATTGGATTTTGGGGAGAGACAAATCTGAGACTGATATGAGGAAGAACTTTCTAACAAAGCTATTGAGAATTAAAATGGGCCACCTTGGGAGCTAGTGATGTGCCTATCAGGAGAAGTGTTTTAACACAGGCCGAAGGCTACTGCTGTAGAATGAGGTAGAAGGGTCCCTCTCTGTATACAGGTTTTCTTTATAGATTCTTGCGGGAAGTATTCTCTGTCAGGCATCATGCTGGGCACTGGGGATGCCAGGACATTGTGCCTTCCATGAGTGAGACAGATCACAATCATAGCCCAACAAGACACATGTGGTCCTGGATATATGAAAAATAAGTACAATAAGCAAGGGAAAGGGAGTTACTAACACTGCGGTGAAGATGAATTCTTGGCCGGGCAAAGCAAAGGAGAGAGTAGTGTAGTGGCATCCCGCTGGGGAAGTTCCTGGGTGTGTGGGGATGGAAACAGTCCGGTGGGAGATGAGACCACAGAGGTGGGCTGGGGCTGGGTTGTCAAGGACGTTGGGTTGTACAATAAATGAGCTCGCTCTCTCTCCAGGAGGAGGAGGAGAGAACTGGCAGGGACTCCTTAAAATAGAGATGTAGGACAGTGATTCTGGTGACAGAGAAGGTGGACTGAACTCAGGAGAAATTGGTGACAGGAAGACTGGTTAGTCATTTCCAGTTCTGAGGTACTTGATTTCATAGGGTGATAGTAAATGTGAACATCTTTGGATGAAAAATGCTTTTACAGGAGGCTAACAACAAGAGGGCAGCTCTGTGCAGAAACAAGTTGTTTGTCTATGAAAATGAGCAGAAAAGGTCTGGGCAGACCTGGCTGTGTGATCCCAGGTCATGAAGACCCGGTCCAGGACATGGTCAGGACTGACCAGGCAGGTTTTCCAGGGAGAGTAGCTTTACAGAGTTTCTAAATGAGCCCATCAGCATTGGACAAATAAGTCTTGCATGAACTGAATATAAACTTAAACAGGGAATTGGAGAGAAATTGATAGAGGGCTTTCCAGCCTTTGAAGCTCTCAAGGACTCTAAGACCTGAGAAACAGAAAAGCTGCCTCTGCCATTAGGAGCCTGCCTGGCCCTCACAGCTAGGCCTTAGTAGTCTCCTGTTGAACACTTTCACAGAACTCCAGACAAGGCCACTCTGTGAATATCATGATAAGGCAAATCAAGACCCCTTCATAGTCGTGTCTGATCTCAAACCAGAACAAGAACATTGTCCAAACCACAAAAATGATCAGACATTCCCTTATCAGGCTAATAGAAGCGACTGCTGCTGCTTTGCCAATTACAGCTTTAGCCTCACTTCATTCTTCCCATCTTTTAGATAAGATTTGTTAAGATAATCAAAGATTTATCTTGTTTCCTGATGGAATCCAATGCACAGCAGAACCCTCTATTTCCTTGAACGCTCCTCCAAATCACCTAACTGAAGTCTAAGTCCTATAAGTAGTCCTTTCTAACCCCTATTACTGAGCTGCCTCATGGTTCCTCATGGTGCATGTTCTCTTTCCTTGCAATATGTCAACAAATCCATTTGTTCCTGGTGGTCTGTGGCAGGAACACATTGACATACCATTACATTATACTTTATCCCGAGCTTTCTTCTCAGGGGTTCTAGTGTCTCTGAGGTTTTTATGTAAAATGTTATACATCACTAGCAGTGGTGGGCTAGTCCATGGACTGTTTTGAGCACAGGCCTAGGCTGTCCTCTTGTCCACCTGATGCATTACAAAACCAGCTCAAATATTAGCAGCTTCTAAGAAGATTCCTGATATCTCTTCCTTGAAATGACCCATTCTCTGAGACCCTACTGCACATGATATGAGCCTTGTTTGGCAAATATTTCACGGTGTTGTAAATATTTTTAAGCACTCTTCTATAAGAAGAATTTGAACTCATTGAGGGCAAGGACTCTGTCATATTCATTTTTGTGTCTCCAGTGTCTAATGTAATAGCATGCAGAAAGTTCACTAAATGAATAAATGATCAAATGAATAAGTGAAATGTTAGACTTGGAAGGGACCTAAACAATCATCTATCCCAGAGTTCTCAAACGCAAATGCCTAGTGGGGCCCAGCAGTGATAGCTAGAGAGGGGCCTGTGGCTACATGGCAATCCATGCCCCATCAGTGACAGTGAGTTTTTCCCAAGAATTTGAGTTCACTGTTGCCAGATCTTCTGAATTTTAAAGAAAAGCTAGATATCTCAAACTTTAAAATGTTTAAAAATACTTGGTGAGCCTAATAAAATATGTCTGTGGGCCAGGTTTAATTTCTGGGCTGCCAATTTGTGACTTCTGATCTTGGCCAACCTCTAATTTTGTATGCAAAGACACTGTGGTCCAGAGAGGTTAGGGGCATTCCTGAGGTCACCCAATTATTATCAGTGGCAAACAGACTCCAACCCAGGAGTCTTAAGAATTCCAATTCCAATTAGTATCTCCTGATCATATTCTGGGAGCAGGGCACTCAGATCTCATACTCTTATTGAAGGCAAAGTGCAGGCACTTAGGATGATAGAAAATATGCGCAAAAATCTAAGAGGTAGCGTCTAGACTTTGCTAATGGTTCCCTATGTCAGGTTATATTTTTAAACAATCCTAAATATTTTCTTCTCTTTCCCAATGCTGTGTCTGTTTCCTTCTCACTAGAAAATTTAATTATATACATTTTAGTTTAAATTTTGTTCCTATCAGTGTAATACCCATAGCTGTATAAAATGTTAAATTATACTACAAGGCCTATAGTGACAACTCACAGTTGCTTGCCCCATACCTTACCAGCCCTCAGTCCTGCTTTCTTCAAATTTTTTAGTTGCTGAAAAGTCTTTTTAAATTATGGTGCTCCAGTTTTAACCTGGAAACACATGCCCATCTTCTCTAGGAAATTTTCTTGTATCATTTATTTGAAATTGTTCTTCTCGTTTTCTCTGTTGTCTACTAGAATTCCTATCCGTTGGGTCTTCTAATTTTCTTTCCTTCCATTTCATTTTAATTTATTTCTTCAGAGACTTCCTCAGCATTATCTTACAGCCCTACTATTGAATCTTTCACTTCTACTATTACACTTTTAAATTCCCAGAGGTTTTTCTTCTTCCTCACTCTCTGAATGTTCTCTTTGGAATGTCCTCCTGTTTTTGTTTTGTGGCTTCAGCAGTGTCTCCTATCTCCTAATAATTGTGCTTTGCCTGTTGATTTGTTTGAAGTTGCTTATGTTCTGGTCTGTTTTCTCTGAGTTCCTTTTTATTCTGTTTGTTTCTGTCTCTACTTTTTCCATTAGAAGCTTTCCTCAAATGTCTGATAGACTTTGGTTATCTAATCATATTTAAAAGTGAGGCACTAGAAGAAGTAAATACATGAATAATTAAATAAGCAAAGCACTACAATTCTGATAATAAGTTCTGCGTGCAAGGTGGCCTTTTTGACTGGTGGGCTTTACTGTACAGCATCCAGCTATTTTTCTCAGGGGATTTCCGATGGTCAAGTCTGTGGCTAATTTTATGGAAGAAGAATCCTCTAGATGCCTTCCTGAGAGGTAAAAACACTGGCTCCCAGTGTTCTGAGAGCCAAATAGAGGAGGAGGAGGGTTGGAGAACTCGCCATTCAGTATGTAGATTTTCACTTCACTCCCCATGTTTCTAACATTCTGCCTCATCCCTATCTTGACTTGTGTCCCCAAATCCCTTCTGGTTCAACATCTCTAAAGGGAAAATCTCTAATCTAATTTGAGTGGTTGTGGGGATAGAGAGATTGATATTTATTTATTTATTTATTTATTTATTTATTTATTCGTTTATTTTTCGAGATGGAGTTTTGCTCTTGTTGCCCAGGCTGGAGTGCAATGGCGCGATCTCGGCTCACTGCAACCTCCGCCTCCCAGGTTCAAGCGATTCTCCTGCCTCAGCTTCCCAAGTACCTGGGATCACAGGCATATGCCACCGCACCCAGCTAATTTTGTATTTTTAGTAGAGATGAGGTTTCACCATGTTGGCCAGGCTGCTCTGTAACTCCTGACTTCAGGTGATCCACCCACCTGGGCCTCCCAAAGTACTGGGATTATGGGCAAGAGCCACTGCACCCTGCGTAATTGGTCTTTAAAAGACTTTGACCAAGCCTCTTGTTTGCAATCCCTCCTGACACTACCACCTTTAGAGACGCCTACGGTATTTCTAGTTCTTGAACCTCTCCGAGTTTCTGTGAGATGGGTTGCTTTGTTCCTTGTTAATTTCCCCCACTGAGGCTGAAGCTTCAGTTTTGGGCGGTCTGCTAAGTCAGTTACTCTTGGTACTTATGCATTCTAGCTTCCAAAATTTTACTTGCACTTCTCCTCTGCTGTCACCTCCTCTCTTGCTGTCTGCCTGTTTTGATTGGTACCTTCTTTATTACTTTACCATCGTTTCAGAGAATCTTCCATAGAGAGCACAGACAAACACATTTGTTTAATCCACTGTGCGTAATAGGAAGTTTTCCTAGGAAATTTAGATTTGATTTTTAAGGCCTGTTAATCTAAGATCCACCTTGACTAGGTGGGTACGTGGACAGTGACAACCTGGCCCATTCCATATTCTTAACAAGGAGTCTTTCTGATGAGGCTACAGACACAAACGGCTCTTTGATTCCTCTTGCATAACATGATTTGATGGAGATCTAGCAGATCTATCTGTGATGTGACTACTCCAATTCTGAATAAGCGATGCTGTAATACTTCTCATTATATTTCCTGATTTTATCGAAAGGCTCATGTGTCAACAGTTTGAAGATTTTAAACCTGGCCTAATACTTTTAAAATTCTGTGCCTTTTCATAGCTGAGTTGCACCTCACTTACATATGCAGTTATATTTACATAAGTATAATGCTACTTTGGACTGAGTTATAAGAGAGTCCTGTAACATTCTTTATGAAGTCAGTGTCTGTTACCATCAATAATAAGGGGTGTGTGGTATATGCCACCAGATTTGGCCCATGATAAAGAACTTCTGTTACTAACAATTATGGCAGTGGCAGTAGGGATATTGGAGTGGTAGTGGAGGTATTAGGGACATGATCAAGGTGACAGTAATAGCCTGGGCAATAGTGAGACCTTCTTTCTGCATTTTTTTTTAACTAGCTGAGCGTGGTGGCTTGCGCCTGTGGTCCCAGCTATTTGGGGAAGCTGAGGTAGGAGAATCACTCGAGCCTGAGAGGTCAAGGCTGTGGTGAGCTGAGATCACGCCACTGTACTCCAGCCTGGGTGATAAGCAAGACCCTGTCTCAAAACAAACAAACAAACAAAAAAACAGTAATTGAGTGGTCTTTGTAAATTAATTAAATTATCTTTATTTACTTACTACTCTTTAGCTCTTTATTATACAATCTAAAACATTTGGGATAAGCCACCATGAATAAAGTTATGTTCACAATTCTGGGTGCCCATTTGTAGCCTTACCCAAAGAGTGTCAGATGCTAGGAAAACCAGGCCATTACAGTGTGACTAAAAGAGGCCACCACTGTTTTTCATGGTGGTCCCTCCACCCTACAGAACAACCAGGTTTGACTCATATAACTGAAAGTGACAATTATATCACTACAACCATGCCCACTTATCAATCAATCAATATCTATGTTCCAAAGCTTGGTACTGGGGGTTTTGAGGGACACAAAAGGAGAGAGTCCTTTATTCTTGAGGAACTTACCAATAGTACGAGGCAATGTAGGGTGAGCTTCCGTGGGCATGATGGGTTTAATTTAAGAGGGGAACTTAGAATGGAAAGCAATGAAAGGACTGGGACATTCTCATTGTACATTGTCTGTGTCCTAGTCATAGGATTTTTAGTACATGGCATTGTTGTTATTTGCCTACTACATGATGTTATCTCCATTGAGGACATGGGACTTGGTCTCTTCATCTCTGTCTCCCCCGCAATTTGCATATGGATAGTGCCTGGCACATTCGATAAATGTTCATTGAATGAAAGAAAGAATGAATGAGCAAATTCATTGGCAGAGGGTGGTGGTGTTGGGGGCAGGGGTTGGCTACCTCTTTTTTTTTTCTTTTATATATATATATATTTTTTAATTATACTTTAGGTTCTTGGGTACATGTGCACAATGTGAAGGTTTGTTACATATGAATACATGTGCCATGTTGGTGTGCTGCACCCATTAACTCGTCATTTACGTTAGGTATATCTCCTAATGCTATCCCGCACCACTCCCCCCACCCCACAACAGGCCCCGGTGTGTGATGTTCCCCTTCCTGTGTCCAGGTGTTCTTATTGTTCAATTCCCACCTATATGATAAAGGGGATAGGCTACCTCTTAAATAACCTATAGGAAACAGGCAAACAAGACAGGAGGGTGTTCCTGGTGCAAACTGTGATTAAAGTATGCAGGGGGGTGTTCTGAAACAAATCTTGCTGGAATACAGGGCTCAGTGGGTGAGCAGTGGGAGATAAGTTTGGACATGAAGATGAGCCAGATTATTGAAAGACTTGAAAACAGGTTCATAGAGTTTGGACTTTATTCTCTATGAAAGGGTGAGATGTTGGTGTATTTAGCATGCAAGACGAATTTGATGAGAGCAGGGTAATATTAACATTAGCTCGTCTGCCCCAGGCAGAATGAACTGATTAGGCAAGAGACTAGAGCCAGAGCAGATAGTTTAGGAGACTACTGTGATAATCCAAGTGAAAAATGATGATGGCCTCGATGGAATAGTTGGTGATTGAAAAGGAGAGACAGAAAGAGAGGCAATACAAGAAAATCTATAAGAATAACCTATTAAAATGAAAATCCTAAAAAAATTTTGCTGGATAAACCCAAGTTAGGAGGTTTTGTTATCTCATCACTTTCCAGCAGTTTTTGTAGTGTGAAGACTTTTTCAGCATACATTTTTCTGAAAAAAACAGATGAGAAGGGGAGCCCACACATGAAGGCTTCAGCCCAAAATGTTCAGAGTAAGGAACCAAGGAAAGGGTTCCTGTAGAGGGATTGCTATGGCTTTGTTTCCTACAAGCTTCTCCTCTGCTGAGAGGAAGCCCACAAACTGCAGGGAATCTGACTTTCTCCAGGAATGAAAGGCTATGTTTGATCTTGGGGTGGGGACTGGCCTGGGGAGGACAACCATTTCCTGCAGTCTCACAAACCACCGGAATCTTCTTCTCTGTGGATTTAATTAGATCCAATACTTAGTAAACGATCATATTTCCAGCCCTAAACCTTACAAATTGGTCTTGAGCTATATACAATGATGGCGACAAATGTTTCCTGGGGGTTGAGGGTGGGAGGTGGGGGTAGGAAACACACACACACAAAAACCCCACAACAACATTTTTTTCTTTTTCTTTCTTTTTTTTTCTTTTTTCTTTTTTTTTTTTTTGAGACAGAGTCTCACTCTGTCGCCCAGGTTGGAGTGCAGTGGCTCGATCTCACTGCAACCTCTGCCTCCTGGGCTCAAGCGATTTTCCCACCTCAGCCTCCTGAGTAGGTGGAATTACAGGTGTGCACCACCACACCCGGCTAATTTTTGTATTTTTAGTAGAGATGGTTTTTGCCATGTTGGCCAGGCTGCTCCTGAACTCCTGACCTCAAGTGATCTGCCCACCTCGGCCTCCCAAAGTGCTGGGATTACAGATGTGAGCCATCATGCCTGGCCAAGAAAACAATGTTCTGATTTAAAGGAACTGGAGTGGTAGGTTTTTTTCTTTTTTTCCCCCCAATCTTGATTTTCACCAACGTTTTTACTGTGGAGGTTTAGGTCATGTGATTAACCATGTGATTAACTCAGATTTAGACCATTCTGAGAAAGCTTTTGCAGTGGGAATACTGTCCTGTTCATAATAAGCACAACAAAAAACTTACAGATATATTTATATAAAGGAAAAACCAAAATAGGTGTAGGGTAACATTGAAAGCTTAATGCTTGCACAAAAGTCCTCTTTGTTTAAGTTTCTTTTTAAAAATGAACTCACAAAAAAGGTGCAAAAATTAATACTGTGTCCTGGTCCTAAGCTTGAGGCAGATCCTGCATCTTCAATTTAATCTTCTTTTGTGTTCCTTATTCACCCCAGTGATTAGAGGTGGCCTTAAATTTCAGCACTTAAGTGGTGCTTCATGACTTCTTGAACAGGTTAAATAAATAATATCTATATCCCCCAAATTTAACATGACGTGTTGTTAAATGAAGAAGAGAATGAACTATTATCCTTTGTATTTGAAGATTATTCTACTCATGGTGATCACTGATCATGTGTGCAAGCTAGAAAAAGATGTGAATGACCTGCTCCTTTTCATGCTGTAATCGAAGGAGGTCTGGGCTAATTTTCAACTCTGCCCTCAAGATCCTTCTTTACATGTTATCTTAATACTAATGTCACAATAATACTACTACTGCTACTTATAACAATAGTGATCATGATGATGCTGCCACCAACAACAGTATAATAGTAGGAGACTTAATACCCAATATTCTTGTTGGATCTTTTATCAAAATACTGTGATATGGGCAAGGATGTTATTGCCCCTATTTTCCGAACGTTGGACACCGTGGTCATCTGTCTTTTACTGTTCTCAAGAATATTTAAATTAAAATGGAAAAACACCTATTTAATTCACTTTAAATATTAGTAAAATAATATCTTTGCATTGTTCAAATTCTGTCTTAAGTGACTGACTGGTTTTCTTCTATTTGTTTCCATCCTCAAATGATACCTTTCCATCCACAAAAGACTGAACCAAAGACACAGCTCCCATTTTCCTATTCGTTTTTTCATATGGAAGTTTAATGGTGATTTTATTCCAAACCTTGCACAAACATAAATACTGCATTAAAGGAAGATGAATTTATTTTGACCTTTACTGAAAATGCACTGTGAAACAAAGCACTTAAGCATTTATAGCCTGTTAGACACTCACATTACCCACTTCCATGTAGATAAGAAAGTCTTTCCCAGCAAAAGTAATGTTCACAAGCAGAGCAGTTTTACGGGGCACTTAACTGCAAAGCCAGATATTATCATGTTCTTCACTATGAGTCTGTTTTGCTTGGTTTTATGCATCTAAGATCTATAGAAATTAAGGGAGTATCTAAAAATGTTACATTCAAGAATCATAGAGGATGACTTTTTTTGATGGGTTTTGATGAAAATACAGGATATCTGCAACAAAATACTTGGGGAAAAACATTATTTATTAGAAAGGAGATGGAGTGTTTGGGGATTTTGTTTGGTTTCTTTTGAACTAGTTTCTCCCATCTCCCTCCTGTAAAGAAATTGGTGGCATTGTTTCAGTAATTTTTGGTTAAAAGTGGGTTCCACTTCTATTTATAATTATTAACATAACCTGTCCCCTTAAAATAGACCACCCTTTCTTTGCATGGGCAGAAATGAGTATTTTGTGCATTTTATTTTTTGCCATGATCCTTCTCCTTTAGTCATAAGCCTCTGACTGCAGAGCTATTTCCTCCATCTAGATTCTTGTGTCAGAGAGTTGAGATGTTAAACCACAGCAACCATGAAACTTTAAAATCTCTGATGCATGATGAATGGGTGCTGGGCAAAGCAGCTTAAAATCTATGCTTTTGCTTCTCTTTAAACACTTTAAATTGACAGCGCCATAGATCAAACATTTTTACTGAGAGGAGAAGCTTTGGCAATTTAACTTAAACAAGTGCAGAGTTACCATCATCTCAAGACCTCACCCCTCCACAATTACCCCTTCCACCTAGCAGATTGGGTACATTTCTCATTGAGAGCAAGTGTGTGTGTGTGTGTGTGTGTGTGTGTGTGCGCTCGCGCGCGCGCAGTTATGCTACAGGGCAGCGGCCTGTAACCGGGCGGGTATAACACCCCATGCAACTTCCCCCACCGACCCCCATCCCACCCAGTCTCACCCCCAAGGAGGTTAGCCGGGGGATTCCGCCCGCGGCCCGGGACGTCGCGGAGCATGCGCCATGGTCCCGCCTCCGCCCACCGTTACCACAGCCTTCCACCTCCCCTCTCTCCTCATCCTCCTCCTCCTCCTCTCCCTCCCCACCCCCCTCCTGGAGCAGCGAAGTTGGCGCGCTGCCCATTCAGGCGTTCAGCGTCAGCTCCTCAGGGATCAGCAGGCAAAGTCACAGTCTGCACAAACAGAGCTTTCAAATTCATAAAATTCATAGGATTTTTCACAAATGAATGAACACAATTTTCTACCAATTTCCTCATTATGCAAATATGCAAAATATCAAATTTAGGCCAATTAGGGTCCTCCACAGTCCCAAATTCACCCGTTTAAGCCATAATTGCAGAAACTATCAAATAATTACGGTCGCTAATTGGAAATATTTGTGACAGATACAACAAATTCTTGCACAAATTACATTTCATTCGAGGAACCACTGCGCGCCACTGAAATTTTATCGAAGTCTAATTTAACTTACATAATGAGTTGAATTGAGTACTTGTTATCAAATTTGAGCAATTCATAGCCCCGTAATGTGGAATGATCAAATAAATTAAAAGGGAATTTATTCAATATTTTGTTGTGATCCTTTTCTCGGAACCATTGCTATTTTGCAGGGAATTTCCTCCTCCCGCGGCCCGGGGCGGGTGCCTGGTGTCACTGAAGCCCCGGCGGTGCCCGCGGCGGCGGCGCGAGGAGGCTGCGGGTGGCGGGGAGCCGGGAGCCGGGAGCCGGGAGCGAGAGTGCAGAACCCCAGCTCCGAACCGCAGCAGCCTCCGCGCCGCGAGCGACCGGGCTGACGCCCTGTCGGCGTCCAGCTCCGCAAGCCCCGGGCTGTCGGAGGCCCGCTCGGGCCCTTTGCTTTGTTTTCATTAATTGGGTGGAGGGGTCACCGAACACTTCCGGGTGAAGCAAGGGGGAGTCCTAGAAAGGATTTGACTTCTGGAAGTGTAAACACACGCGCGCGCACTTGCACACGCGCCTACACACGCACTTCTCGCGCGTGCACACACGCACACATGCACGCCGCGCACACCCACACCACACACGCACACGCCACATAGACACTTGATCACACGCGCACACGCCACGTGCAGGCACACACATTGTCCCTCTTACACACCCACCACACAGACACACACCCACATACACGCGCGCGCGCGCACGGGACCGCCCGCACCTCGCGCCGGCCTGTAAAAGCCTTGCTGGAGTAGAGCAGAAGCGCGCCCCCTCGGAGTTCCTCTCTCCTGAGCCGGCCTGCCAAGGGTTAACTGCTGGATGGAGGGTCCTGCGATGGTCGCGCGCACAGTGTCCCACGGGCACAGTCACACATAGACACACACATACACACACTCTGGGAGAGGGAACGCGCACTCGCGCTCCCTGGCCTTTGTGTGTGTCCTCGGGAGAGGTCCAACTCCGAGTAATTGAATGGCACTCTAACCAGTAGTCTAAACCCTCCCTGACACGCGAATCCACGCGGCCCCTCTGCACGCATGTCCCTCGCGTGCGGCAAACACACGGGCTGCCGGGATCACCCTCTCCCGAAGGTCAGCCTTGCAGAGAGGGCATTCATTTTCACTTTGCACAGTCGCGCAACACACTCACTAGCACATTTTTTTCCAACTGCCTGTGGCCTCGTTGGCGGGTTATAAATGTCTCCTTCTCCCTGTGATTTGTTTAATCCGTGGAAATGGTGCTGGTCCTATGTAAACAAGCCAAGTGCGGAATGAAGGCAGTCACCCATGCGTGGCCAGCCTGCCTATTTGTCAGAAAACCTTCATAAATACTGAGCTGGGGCTGGGCAAGGATGTGATGTCTCCATTTTTGCCAGGAAAGGGCACGAGGAAGACAAAGCGAGGCACGGCAGCGTGTAACCTTTAAGGGACAGATAGTCTGGGAGCTCGGAGGAAGCTCTTGGGCTAAGTCAATGAGGGAAAATGACGGATGCGGGGCTGACTGCGCGCCTGGCGTCGGCTGGGCGGGAGGAGACAAGGCCCGGGCGTTTTTATACCAGGGAGCACACAGATAAGGGCCACATTGCCTCAGGCCGGGCCCGCGAGCCCGAGGCCTTATGAGGCCTTACGGCTGGGCCAGAGTTGCTTCTTGAGAAGCGAATCTCAGACACCCGCAGGTCTGCAGGCGCACCACCCCTCCTAGTAAACCCGTCCAAATATTTTATTTCCAACCTCACCTGGTTTCATTCAAAGCAAATTCCTGGTGTCCCGGGCAGGTAGACATGGAGCAGAGCTGCGGACCCATCTCTCGATTTGTCAAAACGTCCGTGGGTGACCTGTCCAAGCTCTGTTTGCCCACCCCTAGACTTATGATCCAGCTCCCAAACCTGCGCTTTTTTTTTTAAAGAACAATGCATATGTGGCTAATTACACACTCCTAACAAAAGCAGTAATTACCGCCTGTAATTATCATCGTCCTTATTTAGAAAAAATGTGAGAAAATGTTGAATATTAAAACATGAAAGCAGCTATTAATCAAACCTTTACACCTTCTTTAACTCAGGCGTAATGGTGGGTATTATCATAAATCTACTCTGATAGTAACACAAGAATAATGAGTTCAGTAATGATAGCGATGATGATCATAATGATTTTAACCAACAAAGAATGGTGTAGATTTATTGCTAATAATGTGGTACAGGAACCTCTTTCATTAAAATTACCTATGTGTGTTCTCCTCGCTGGGGTAACCTGCATGTGTGTGTGTGTGTGTCTGTGTGTGTCTGTGTGGGGTGTTGCCACCTTCCTCTGTGGCTAAAGATCAAAGCTGGTTGTTTGCAGCGTATTGACCTCTCTCTGGAAAGCCTTTATCTGAGTCTCTGTCTGGACACAGGGTCCTCCCTTCTCCCCTCAGAAGAATCTAGTTCAGAGACTCTTAGAGGGGTGGAGTGGATGCGGGAGGCCTAGGGCCTGGAGAGAAAGCATTTTGTGGGGCAGGCCTCCTCCTCCAATCTACCCAACTCCTCACCCCTGCACCCTCTCCAGAGAAGGTCACTGTGGGGGAGTGGAGGATGGCATTGGCTATGGTAGATCTTCCAGGTCACAGTCTCAGAAAAGGGGCCGGGTTGGTTTGGGGCTTTGATTGATACAATGAAAAGAGGAGGGGGATAAGGATTCAACCCTTGAGACTCCAGCTTTAAACTTTGTTTTCTCTTCCAAAGTAAAGGGAAGCGCTCCAGGTAGCCTAGGGCCTACGCTTAGAGACCATTAGCCATTCAGAAGCGCGAATGCTAGGGTACTAGCCAGGTGGAAAACACAATAAAGAGAGGGAATGTTCAGTTCACCTGAATGTACTCTTGTTTTTAATGAAATTAACTTGACATTTGTCCTTTGCAAATATTATGAAAATTATCAGTGGAAACCCCTGTTTTAATGTAAACTTTTTTTTAAAAAGACCCCACTTTGGGACATAGTGCTCCATTTCAGTGAGTGGGAGCCCCAGGAGTTCAAACTCCCAAACCTAATTTTGCCTCTGAATTTTCAGTCATAAGCAATTCTCCAAAGCAAATCATAAACTTTTAGGGCTTATGAGGTTTCATAAACAGGAGGCTCTGTGAGCTTGAACTCCCAGAGACCAGTCAGAAAACATAAGTATCCCTCCTGGAGTCCCTGCCCAGGAAAAAGTGTAAATGTAGATATATTTAGTGGGTTTCATAGACTAGTCTGGTTATATTTTCCTAAATGCCAACCTTTCCAATTAACTGTAACATTCTGTCAGTTATGGAGTGTAGAATGCAGTGGTGACATAATTAGGACTTATACATAATAAATAATACATCTATAGTATTTTAGCCTCCACTAGCAGTTATGAGATCAGTGTGTGGGCCAATTAACTAAAGGGGCTTTTTTTAAATGAAGGTACTATAAACACACTGGTTTTAGATGTCCTAATTAGTAACTTGCTCATTAATTAACTTTTTGATTAATTGTGTAGCAATCTAATTTGTAGATGAGCCACTCAAAGAGTGATACCTTGTAATTCTTTTTTCTGTCTTTAAAATTCCCCCGTAAAATGTAATTTTGTATCCAGCTGGCCTCTTAGTTGTGGAAATTCTCTGCTTAAAAGATGCTCTGCTTTTGGTCTAAAACTAAATGTCACTTAATCCTTTCCTATCTGGACAGGACAGTCTGGCTAGAGGCAGAGGGTGAGGAATAGGAGGAGTGAGGTGGGTAGGGGCACAGGCGGGCAGAGTTCTGCTAATAATATGAAGAAGTGGATAAAGGCCGAAAGTACTCTATACATTTAGCCTAAACATAATTCCCCCTACTTTGTAAAGAAAAGAAGAGAGAAA
The DNA here is from genome assembly GCF_000001405.40 of Homo sapiens. NCBI lineage: Eukaryota > Metazoa > Chordata > Mammalia > Primates > Hominidae > Homo > Homo sapiens. The sequence goes on along the minus strand of NC_000005.10, from coordinate 77,848,412 downwards.
GCACTTATGACTTTCATCATGACCAATTCTCAAATCCAAAAACCATTTTAGGGGAAAAGAAATAATTTTTAAAGAAAACTTATGGTGGCCTCCATACCCCTATCATGGACTAGCCCAGGGGATAATTTAATGCAGTGGACAAAGGGCTAATGGCCGATTTCAATAGGAGCTGCCTCACACTGGAACATCCCGGGGCTGTTCTATTAGCATCAGAAAGGGCGCCAGGCCCTGTTTCCACCAGAGCTATTGTTGCCCGGGTGTGTCGCCAGTCCTATCCTGCAGAAAGCCTTTAGCCCTGATGGCAGATGATTCTCTAAGTGAATAGAGATGAAGGCAGGGATATTAAGTGACTCTATAAAACATCCCGGACACAATTGTGTGATTGATGGAGGACAAAGTGGGAACAGCAGGACACAGGATCCTGGGAGAAGCAGCCTTGTCAATGCGAGAAACCCATCTCTGGAAACAGCTTCTCCTGGAGGAGTTTGCAGTCTATTTGTATGAGTAATCAGCTGGGCCCCCTCTCTGTCAGCCCTGTTTACTCACTGATTTTCTCAACAAGACAACCATTGACACTGGATGGATGGGGCTAATCTGGCGCAGAACTGGCGGCTTCGCAGAGGCTACAGGTCGAAAATAGAGCACGGTGCCAGCTTCACCTCGCCTAATCTAGCAGCTAATATTTATTAGAGCCAATTTATACCGCTGCTCTCTCAAAGAGCAAGGAAGTCCTGGGTGCAATTAATAACATGGGCAATAACCACAGACAAACAAATAAATAAGGGTTTGTGAACTGTTTGGTTGGTTTTAAGGGAGGGTGGGGAGAGGACAGGGTTGGGTTTGCCACCTGGAACTGCAAGGAGAGGAAGTAAAGGTAGCCTTGAAGCCCCTGAAAAGGGGCATTCTCTTTGGCCCCCTCATCCAATCTCAGAGCAACAACTCGGCTGCAAAATGGCTTAGAAACCTGCACAAATGCACGTAATTCCACATTGCATCTAACAGAACTTGTACACAGACACCTGCCCTCGCAGGCAGAGGTGCGAGCGCACACTGCCATTGTTAATATCCAGCTTATGCGCATCCGTACACTGGGCGGAGGGAAACCCAGATCACAAGCCTTGCACTGCACTTAGCAGCCAAGCCCTGCAGCCACCAAGGAGAGTGGCTATCTGGGAGCTACAAACTGGGGAGGTGTGGGAGAAAAGAGAATGAGGATGGGGTACTAGCCGGAGGGACTCCAAGGTCTTGCTTGGAGGCCTCAGGCCCCTCTTCCTAAGATCGATGTTCTAGGATTTGAGAACTGTTTGTACAGATGCTGACAGTTGTTAAGTTTGCAGCGTTTGGATGTTTAACATGATTTTTGCCGGGCCAAGCTGGGGAGAAACAGAAAAAGAGAGTGTGTGTGCTCCCAATGGTGCCTTGTGGGCCTCAAGTGGGTATAAAGTCACGGACAGGCGTACATTGTAAAGGGATGGTAGGAAGCAGCATTGTTCTTAACCGGGAGCCGTTGCAGCGGGGGCTGCTGCACAAGCGCTGACCTCGCCGCAGCCAAGGCCTGCAGACCGCAGCCTGCCAGGAAGGGAGCCCTTTGCCCTCGCGCCCTGGTCTCCCCACTCGCCCTCCCCGACCCCCTCTGGGCAAGCGGGCGCCCGCGCCTTGCTAATTGCTCGGCTCCCTTCATGCACACATCTCCACTAATTTTACATTTCTCATTCTGCGGGTAGCTGGAAAGCGGCTCAGGGAATACGGTTCCTTCTCTTAGCTACCGCATGAATACAGTAAGTGGTGGCCGTCCAGGCCTCCCTGGCTGGGAGGTTTGGTAAATTAGCAGCTTGGCTGTATAATCAGGCGTTCGCCATTGAGGCCACAGTGCTGTACCCGTTAACCAGGTGAGATTTCATCATCTAATGGGTTGGGAGGTGTGACCGAGCTGCTAAGTTAGCAATTAAACTTCACAAATATCATTGGATTGCATTTTTTTTTTACAGGCCAAAGCCACGTCACCCCAGGCATAAAAGAAGAAAAAAAAAACAAACAACTTTCCAAAATGTACACACTAAGGGAAAATCTTTTGTGAAACACATGAAATGAAAAAACATGGTTTGGTACCTAAACACCATATTTGAATTATATTATCCTATAAAATACAGACCTCGTAGTTATGGTTCTAGGTCTGGAAGGGCCTGTTCTGCCAGCCAGTTCTCCAAAGGCAGGGCAGGATATATAAAACATATTATATTAGGTAATATCTAATATAGGACAGAAGAATCTGGGAAATAATACAGATTTCTTCCTTTGGGCCTATTGTTTTGATTTATTATTTTAGTAAGAATTGGAATCAAAGAGAAAAGGGCAAACACTCAGGTAAAATGTTATTCCAAGCCTGTAACAGCCAACAAGAGCCAGCTCCCCAGGTGCCTGTGGGACCTGAACCCCTGCACCTCCACCTTGCTCTTTAAGGTGTAGCCATATTAGTTGGAGCTGGTGACTGAAATACTTGGTGTACATTAGGAGATCCTACTTAGATTTTCTTCCTGGAAACAAGTAAGCTCTCCTCTTGATGTTGAGAATTCCCTGTGTCTGTAGGTATGTGGGATAAATATGTAGTATCTCTAATAGAGAGAGATAGATAAAGACGGTGCAAGCAAGACCTAGTAGATTCTTCTGAGTGTTAAATGCCTAAATGGAAACATAACAGAAAATATTATTAGCTTTATCTGCCGACACCAGGGACGCAGGTTAAAGTATTTTTCATTTAATTTGATAGAGAATAAAGCACTTAAAGCACTTGATGATTTATTGATCAAATAGAAATCAGGCGCCAGACAACAGCTCCTTACTTAATCCCCATTCACACGATTAAAAGCCAAGTGAACTTTTTTTTTTTTTAACAATTTGCTCAATAGGCTTTATGCTGTATAAAGAATAAAAAGAGAACCGTTCTTCTGACCTATAAATCTCTCCTTTGGCTAATATGAATGACTACGGGGCACGTGAACCTCCATTGAACTGTAAACACTGTTTTAATGGACAGTAATGGCCCTATGATTTTTAGCTATTGTTCCAAAATGACTACCATGTTTATTGCCATCATTAAAAATGAATTAAAGAGTTATGAAACTCCTCAATAATGAGAACTCCGGCCGTTTATAAGCGGTAGCACTCTTTTCCCCTGCTCAGGCGGCAGGTTCTGCCTGTCTAGGCTGGTGCAGGCTGCGGGACACCCACCTGGAGCAGCGGTTTGGGGGAGCGGGGTGGATAGAGTATTTCTTTGGGGGAGAGAGGTGAGGGCCTAGAGGACTGAGAGAGTGGAAGGAGGAGACGACGGGGTAGTGGAGGGATGTCCGGAAAGCCCTGCCTGCTCGGACGCTCCCCACGAGGAGGCGCGCGCGTGGGTAAAGCGGGGAGCCGAGGGTCTCGGGGAGGGCGCGATGTGCCCCCTCCCCGGCAGCCTGAGAGAGGCGGTCTGGAACCAGGACGGCGGGAGGGGGTTGGGGGGTGAGTGGAAATAACAATAAGGAGAATAGGGTGGAGGCTTCGAGAGACATCCACGCGGCTGCAGCCAGGCCGAGAAAGTACCCGGGACCAGGGCGGGGGCGTCCGGGCAGCCGCTCCAGTTCTCCCCACGCCGCGCAGCAGCGACCGTACTCCCACACCACCTCCCCACAGCCCCCGCGCCGCTGGGGGCCTCGCGGGAAAATGGCTCAGCAAAGTTGCGCACAGCCCATGCACTGTTCTCCGAGGGGTCCCTGGCTGGAGCCTGCACGTTTCTCTTTGCATTAGCAAAGCCCAAAGTCATCCAGTTTGCGCTAATCACCACAATTAGTCCTGAATTATCACCGGACTCTGACAGACGTTCCTTGTAACTCTCTTTTATTTCCAACAGCCCTAATCAGCCGCTCTCATTACAAACGCTGATTAAACTGCAAATTATCCAGCAGCGGCCCTGTTCCCGTCTACCAGCAGCTCGTTCAATATCAATTAAGGCCGAGCGGCAAAGCCTGCAGCCTCCCAGAGCTTCCAACTGCCTGATAGTGGCACTTATTAGTTTGGAAAACTAGGAAAATACTAATAATCAACAACCAAGGGGGAAGAGGAGGCAACCAAACAAAAGGAAGGCAGAAAAGCAGCCGGAGAGAGGAGCGAGCGCGCCGCCTGCCCGGCCCCCACTCCTCCGGCCCCAAGTGCGGCGCCAGCCTCTCACTGGGGAGGGGGGAAGGGCCCGCTTCTCTGGGAGGGCCCCAGTTCCCAGATCAGTGAGCTAGGTTGTGCGGGACGGCCAAATGCATTCACTAACATACTGTCTCGGGCTCGCTGAAGACACTTTTGCAAATAATGCATAGTATTTGGGCGTTTGAGATTAAACCAACTTCCAGAACCTCCTTCATTGAGTCGTCCTGAAATCTGTTTCCAATAAACTGTTAAATAAAATGGGAGCTGATGACAGTTGATTTTATTTACCTATTCTGTCAAATTAGATTTCCACGGCAGAGCACTACTCTTACGGGCTGCAAATATGCAGCCCCGCCCCACGTGGGGCTGAGGTGTGAAGACAATAGTTGTCTTTGTCTGTCTGTCTCTCTCCCCTCTCCACTGGGACCTTCTAGGAAGGCAGTGGCAGCGGGGAGAAACTAGCCCTACCCCTACAAAGTGGCTTGTATTTGCTGAGGGATTCAACTGGGTGAAGGCAGCAGCTGCAGAAAGGCCCTCGTGGATTTTTAGGTGGCTGGGATTCCTACAGGCCGGGCCACTAACCCTTCCGTCTACCCACTACTCCTTAGGCAGGGACAGGCACTCTGTTTTGTCCCATTTGATGGAACTGCAGCCCACCTCCAAAATTTTTAAAACGAGGAGGACTATAACTCACTAAACCTGGAGAAGGGAGTTAATAGATGGTTCATTTCTATCTAGGATTAGGGCATGTATTTGAGGATTTATACGTCATTAATAATCTGCATATATTTGTTTTACCAAAAACTGTCTATTCACTGACAGGCCTGACTCCCTTTGAGAATTCAAGTAAGGAGTCCATTATCAAAGACTGCTCAACATGGCTAAGCCCACTAGACAGTGTGTTCAACAAGAAGTCTATGTTTAATTTTTGGTCCCTTTCCTAAAATTGGATCAAGCTAGTTATAATTACATGTTAGAACTTAAAGGCAGGAAAAGGTTTACTGCTTCTGAAGATCTGGTTTGCTTCTTTCTTCCCACTACTGATTTGTTTTCCTTTTTTGTGTTAACTGACAACAAACTCAGATCTAAATCCCATGCTTAGCATGATATCTATCTTTGTGAAAAAATTACTGTCTCTCATTCCTTAACCCTGTAGTTCTGCTTTTTGTTGGAAATAAGCAGGATATAAAGAAATGTCGGCTGGGCATGGTGGCTCACGCCTGTAATCCCAGCACTTTGGGAGGCCGAGGTGGGTGGATCACGAGGTCAGGAGATCGAGACCATCCTGGCTAACACAGTGAAACCCTGTCTCTACTAAAACTACAAAAAATTAGCTGGGCATGGTGGCGGGCACCTGTAGTCCCAGCTACTCGGGAGGCTGAGGCAGGAGAATGGCGTGAACCCAGGAGGCAGAGCTTGCAGTGAGCGGAGATCGGGCCACTGCACTCCAGCCTGGGCAACAAGAGTGAGACTCCATCTCAAAAAACAAACAAACAAACAAACAAACCACAAAAAAGAAAACTGTCTTCTAGGTATTTATTACTCTATCTTTACATCTCCAAGCCTTTACAAAAATGCTACTTTGAGAAACATAGCACTTTTGCAGTTGAAAATACTTTGGGCTCCTAGGGAAAACAACTTTTATAAAATTTACTACATTTGCCTCTTTCTATTTCTGGCAACTTATTTGTTGTCTTAAATTATGGGAGACATTCCTTTGATTTAAAGTATGTTTCCGCTCTTTCTTATCAGTGTTGGTGATGCCATCTCTTTCCTCTATGTGTTCACAACCACTGCCTTAGGCTAAGATTTCATCATCTTATGCCCAAATTTGTGAAGCATAATCCTAAGCGAGTCTTCCAAATAATGACACATTAATTTACCCCAAACAGCTCCTGGTGCAATCTGCTGAAACTATTCTGTCTTCTACTATGGTTCAAATAGTGTTTTATCCTCTGAATCACTCTACATGTTTTGTTCCCATCTCTTGAAACCTTTGAATTTATATTCCGAAGCTAATTTTTGTTGGCTGCTAAATGCTTTTACATGGTCTTAAGCTTTCCCTATTTAAAAATGTATTGTTAAAGATTTGCTACGTGCCAGACTCTTGCTAAACTCTCGTTATTTCATTGGATCACTAAACAACCCTATGATGTAGGTACTATTATTATTACTGCCATTCACAAATAAAGCTTACAAAGTTACAGCTCAAGGTTCTGCAGTTAGTAGCCATGTGAATCAGAGACCAAGCACAAGATTCAGCCTTTCTTGAGTATTTGATCTTCTCTCTCTTTGAGGAAGGGACTATGCTTTCTGTTCTATTTTCTCTTCTATTTCACATAGTAGGAATTCAGTACAAACTATGTGGGGTGTCTGATTTAAACAATCTATGCTCCCTCCTCCAAACACCCACACACGCATGCTCTTGGAGAGCATGACTTTGATAATGAGGTTTCCTACTCCCAAATCCCAGTGAATGTAATCCCTGGATTACTCATCTTCCCACTGAAAAGGGGAAACATATTTCTTTCTTTTACTTTTAAATCCACCCTGATCTGATTGCCACTAGCAGCTGTGGGCACGTGTCTAAGAAGGAAACATAGTCTTTGGGGGTCTCCTTCTATGAGATAATACCCCAGTGACCATATGACAAGGCATCTCTGTCCAGCTGACATGGGTAAAACCATTTGAACCCTACTTCTGCAGCATTTCGGAATTCAGCATTCCCAACCAAATATACTTCTCATATGAGACCTGCCGGAAAGACAAGATTAGGGACACCAGCCAATGACAGCTTTTAAATAAAGGCATGTATACATGAGTTTATATGTTTTCTATAAAAGCTGAAAATATTTCCCCAGTCAATTTAGCAACATTGGTAGAGGACAGTTTTGCCCAAATGTCCTAGAACACAGATTAAAGGCCTAATCTTGATGAGTAAGGCCTTATTTTGGATATTTTTAAATCTAATTTTATGTCCAGTCATGAAAACCTTGAAAAATTACTTCCCGTCATGACATTTTAAAAATCGCCTTTTATCCCTGAAACTGGAGAATAAAGATGCTTTTAGCAATAAAATATAGTACAGGATAGGACCCATGTTTAAAAATACTGCTGACAAAGACACATTTGAAAAAAAGGAATGCTACTGCCACTGGCGGAGTCGATCCTCCTTGTCTGAACCTTTGGTGTACTGACGCCTAAGAGGCCATTTCTACTTACATGGTACAGTTAGAGGTTATTGTAACCATCTTAGCAATAGACGGGAGCTCAGCTGGAACTGATATGTGTGATCACTGATTGATTACCTGTCTGCTTGATAGTGTGTAGTTGAGTGAACTCGTTTCCTTTACAGGACAGAAAGATTCACAAAGTAGAAAGTGCAGGTCCTTAAATTACATGAAAATTAATGTTAAAGATATAGTGATGAATATCTATGCATATATATGCACATATTATGGGTATGGGTCTACCCAGATTTGACATAAGAAAATCACAGCTAGGGCAGTCTATATTTACAATAAAGACAAAAGGATGTCCTTATTAGCATTACAGAAAAGAATACTTAATTTCTCATAAGAGGATTAGCCTCAAGTTTTCTTAAAATCCTCATCTTCCTATTGCATTTGATATATACTTTGATCTGTAACCATTCTGTTTGAACACAGATATCTGGGGACTCATCTGTTACATAGAGCAAGGTGTACCTATATTTGCTGTTTTCTTGGAATTCTGCTGCTTGAACCCTTATTTAAGAATAAGAATGTTTTATTCATCTTCCTATCCTAAGAATTGTGAAGAGTACCTTTAATAATAACCGTTTCATAGGTATCTGCTGAAATTAAAAGCGAAAAGGCCATGTTATTGCGCAGGTAGCTCTGGGTCCCCTAGTTCTTCCTTTTCTGGGCCCACACATGAAGGACTGTCCTGATGGAAGGAGGCATTTGCATTTTTGTGGGGTTTGTTTCTATTTGCTATTATGTCTCTTGAGAGCAAGATAAGGCTTAGATTCAAACTGCCGCATGTGGCTGGGTATGGTGGCTCATGCTTGTAATCCAAGCACTTTGGGAGGCTGAGGCAGGAGGGCTGGGCTTGAGCTCAGGAGTTCGAGACCAACCTGGGCAACACAGAGATACTTCTGTCTTTATAAAAAACAAAAATTTTTTTTAAAAGCAATGCTGCATACTGTGCTGCCGTGATACATCTCCTTGTTCACTGAGGTCAAATTGGAGCCTCTGCCTTAGTCTTTCTAGTGTTTGTATTGTCAATGAACTGGTCTTCTTCCTGCCTCAGTTCTAGAAGCAGCAGCCTAGTTCTGTGGGTACCCTCATAAATCTACGTCATAGGGGAGGGAATGCAGCCTGTGACACAGTATCCCAGACCTTTGCTTATGTCAGAATTGCTGCTTTTAGTTTGTCCACTTGGAGAAAGTCACACACCCATCCAGACTCCCTGTCAGCGACTGTGTGTGGCTCTAGGTGTCCCAGTCCTCATTATTGTGACATGCAGTGGATACAATAACCTGGGATTTCCATGAGTGGTGTGTGGGGCTTAGCCTTCAGTGGTCATGGATTTCTTTGAGGATCCGATGAAAGTTACAGAACTGGTCCTCCAAAAAATGCATATATTCACATTGATGGGAAATGTTGCAATTTTGAAGAGTTCACAGACACCACCCAAGAGACCTGTGGAACCCAGGTTAAAAAATCCCTTCATTAGAGACAGGCCCCTTTAGTCCTTGTTCACTCTGAGACACACCATCAAGAGTTTTTCTTCCCCCATCACCAATTAAAAAAGCAGCTGAGGGCAGATCAAGTCACTTCTCAAATCCCTACAAAAAGTCCGGTGAAGGCACAATTTATGTCTGTGAAATCAAATTTCTCTCTTTATCTGATAATCACCAGTGCACACATTTGCACCATGTTTTGCACAATGGATGGCATGAGAATTGGTAAATTTTTATCAACATTTTTAATGGCAGGCCAAGAGGAAATGTTAGGTTTCATTTTTTTTCTCCTTTCCCACCTCTGGCAAATTGGTCACAGATATTGAAATGCCCAACAAGAGAAGCTGAAAAGCCCTATAAAACCGAAACTAACCCAATCAATCAAGTCAAGCTATCTATTTCAGATGGAGACCCCAAATCACACAAATCTACATCGAGGAACATACAAACATTTAGGATTACTGAAGGAAATGCTTTAATTTCCTTTGTGAGAACTGAGCAGAACTCTAAATAGTCCTTTTTAAAATGCCTGAGCAGATGTATTTGCAGACAGTCTGTTGTGTGTGTAACCAAAGTGGACTTTTAATTATGGGACATTAACTATGAATTAATATCTCATTATAGCCGCAGAGTAGAGAGCATATAAACTGTCATTAGTACTGAGAACACGTTTGTACTGTATGGGATTAGTTCTGACTTTTGATGCTCACTTCTTTCGGGCTCAGTCCTCACCTCCATGCCAAATGCCTTTCCACAGTTCTCAGTGCAGAGGAACTTTGTCCCACTCTGTGGGCAATAGCAGCTTGAATGGCAGTTGGCTCTAAACATGGCATCAGTGCATCCAGTCAGACTGTTTGAGGAGTTATGCTGCCAACTGCACCTCTATCCCAGAAACACTCTTCAATAGCATCCTAAAAATGGCAATAAAGTGAGAACCCCATGTTCTGTATTTGCTTCTCCAAGAACCCAAATCTCAAGCCAGAATATTTGGCTCAGTGGTTTGCATCAAGTTCCTGACTTTGCTGGGTCTTGAATGACCTATGAACAAAATAGTGCTTTTATTTACAAGGACCATGAGAATCTTGATTAAGCAGTTTAAGAATTGAAAGAATTGTAAGATATTAATATAGCAATATATTCTAGAGGAATATTGGAAGACTTAGGAACAGAGAGCCCCTACCGAAAACAGGAAACAACTATCTGGCTGAGGCAAAACAACTGACAAAGGAAAGAAGAAAATCAGGATGGCATCGCCAACAATGAACATATTTTTCTCATAAATCTATTTTTCTTATAATGTGTTTTTCTGAGAAATACATTTATGAAAAATATGTTTTTGAATATATTCTGAGTTTGAAATTTTCTTATGAATAGATTAATAATAAATGAATAATATATTCATAAGAATCTTTATGTTTAATAAACGTGTTTTTAAATAAATTCTCTTTATACTCCTGTATTTTTCCTTCCATTTTCTCTCCATCTCCATCTTCAGTAGCAACAAGTAGACAGAGACAATTTAACTCCTTCAAATGTCAATAAGAAGTTATAAGGCCAGGTGCAGTGGCTTATGCCTATAATCCAAGCACTTTGGGCGGATCACCTGAGGTCAGGAGTTCAAGACCAGCCTGGCCAAAATGGTGAAACCGTGTCTCTACTAAAAAAATACAAAAATTAGCCTGGTGCCTGTAATCCCAGCTACTCAGGAGGCTGACGCAGGAGAATCGCTTGAGCCCAGGAGGTGGAGTTTGCAGTGAGCAGAGAACGCACCACTGTATTCCAGCTTGGGCGACAGAACAAGACTCTATTTAAAAAAAAAAAAAAAAGTTATACTCATGCCAATCTAAAATAGTTGAAAGATACAAGTAAGTAAATCTGGCTTTCAGTGAATTGGCTTTGGGCAAATTGGCCTTCTTGCCTCAGTACCAAGTTCTCCTTGCTGCTAGTCCACTTTTGAATCCAAGTCCCAAGTTTGCTAACAGAGTTTCTTAGTCCTAGGTTCCACACCTCCCTCAATCCTTCAGGTCTAGTGAATAGATTTCCCTCTTGTTCATTGAGTCTAGGTTTTGCCTTCTTTTTGCCAGTGTAATTTCCAGGGAGGAAGTCCTGCCCCTGTGGCTAAAGACCTGTTGCTCATTCAAGAAATTGTATTGAGTACCTACTGTCTGCCAGACACTGTTCTAGCATTAGAATTATGACAATGGACCAGGCAAATAAAGCTTGTATTGACCTCATGATGCTTATATTTGGTAGAAGAGAATACGCAATAACAAAGTAAACTAACAAAAAGAATAATTTCAAATATTGATTAGGGCCCAAAAGAAAATCAAACGAATAGATTTTAACAGAAAGAGATAGAAATGGGCTACATCAGATTGGGTTGTCAAGAAGGGATCTTTGACTGGGTGACATAGCTAACATGTCAGCCAAGTGAAGATGAGGAAGAATTCCAAGCAGCAGGAATAGTTGGTGCAAAGGCCCTCATATAGGAATGTTCTTGGTAAGTTCTCAGAACAGAAAGAACATTATGACTGGAGTTAATGATCAGGACAGGAAGCAACAGGGGTTGAGGTCAGAGAGGTAAGGCAGAGGCCAGATCCTATAGGGTCATGTAGACCATGGTGAGGGATCTGGGTATTATTCTAAATGCAATAGAAAGCAATTGGAGGATTTTAACATGGGAATTATGTGATTGAATTTGTTTTAAAGGATCCCTTTTGGGGGAGAATGAATTATAGAGGGACAAGAGTGGAATCAGGAAGTTAGTAAACTATTACGGATACTTTGGTGGCTTGATATGGGAGGTAATTGTGATGGATTTAGGATATATTTTGGAGATAAATGACAGGATTGCAGTTGGAGTAAATGTGGGAGATGAGGAGAAAAGAGGAAACAAGATGACTTCTAGGTGTTGGTCTTGAGCCCCTAGGTAGATGCAGTGTCATTTCCTGGAATGAAGAAGGGCAGGTTTGTTGGGGTAAAGAGAGTAAGCTTTCTCTTTGAGATGCTCTCGAACATCCAAGTAGTTACTTCTAACAAACATTCTTGATGGTCATCATCTACTTTCTTGCAACTTCAAACAGTATCTGACATCAAGTTTCTAGCTCCTTTGCGGTGCACTGTGTTCTGATACCCCATTCCTTCATGGGGGACCCCCCAAGATGTCTGCGGTTACCACACTGTCATGCTTTGCTTGTTGCCATGTCTGTTGGACACTGTCTTCTCCATGCCCCAACCACGCACATGTGGTTAGGTGTGTTTCTCCAAAACAAGCCCAATCTCGGGAGAGTTTGAGTGCAGGTTCCAGGCCCCATCTTCCTTTCTTGCCCTGGACAAGTTGCTTCACCTCTCTGGTAGGCTCTGGCCTCCTTGTTTGTAAAATGCATTGGCTCAGTGGTTCTCTCAGTGGGGTCACTGGATCAGCAGCATCGACATCACCTGGGAATTTGTGAGAAATGCAAATCCTTAGGCCCCTACCCAGACCGCAGAATCAGAACCTTTGGGAGTGAAATCCAGCAATCCATTTTAACAAGCCTTGCAGGTGATTCTCAAAATTCATGCCAAATGTTAAGAGCCACTGAACTAGATGTTCTCTAAGGTCCCTTCCAGTGCTACATTCTATGAATCCATTATCCTTTGATCTGTATGATTAAAGTGATTCAAAAAAAAATTCTTTAATCATGTCTTAAGGTTATGCACAGTTCGGGCAAATGAAAGAGCAAATCTGGAAACAACACATTTCTTATATAATTATGTAGTTTCTCCAAACATTTATTTAAATTTGTCAGCCTCCAGCCATAATACTTTTAAAGAAACTTTAATAAAAAATCACTCTGAGATTTATCACAGTGGAGTTGTACATCATTTTAGTGAGTGGTTGAAAACTGCTGAACAGGTGTAATAATGCCTTTGGGATTAAATAACTGTAACAGAATTACATCTTCATAATGACAGCAAAGGGAGGCGGCACCTCTCACTGCTCCATCACAGTTGATTTTAGAAGAGCTACAGGAGTTGGAAAGACTCTGAACCATTATTTACCACCTACTATTTGGGATGCTATATTTGTAAACCATCCATAAAATTGTAATTATTAAACTCTGGTCATATGCAAATTTCTAAGAGATATTTTTAAATTGATGTAATGTTTTATACCATAATACAATTCTCTTAAATTTATATCTGTGTGATGCTGGAAATTGTTTAACCAATTTAACTAGGTGAAATAACCAGTTGTTTCCATCAATTCAGTTTAAAAGCCAAATAACAGTCATTTCTTTTCTTTTTTTTTTTTTTTTTGAGACGGAGTGTCGCTCTGTTGCCCAGGCTGGAGTGCAGTGGCACGATCTTGGATCACTGCAACCTCTGCCTCCTGGGTTCAAGCAGTTCTCCTGCCTCAGCCTCCCGAGTAGCTGGGATTACAGGCGCCACCACCACACCCAGCTAATTTTTGTATTTTTGTATTTTTGTAAAGACGAGGTTTCACCATGTTAGCCAGGCTGATCTTCAACTCCTGACCTCAAGTGATCTGCCCACCTTGGCCTCCCAAAGTGCTGGGATTACAGGCATGAGCCACCACACCCAGCCAATAACACCCATTTCAAGTCTGCTGTCAACATGACAAAATTAAAATATTTAACTGAATGTCTATGTTACTATGAGTTCTATATTTCTATGAGATTCCATGAGTTCCAGAGGCAATGTGAAACTGAAGAAAATACTTTAAAGCTGTCAAGATTCATCACATTTGCAAAGCTCAAGAAACCAAACAACCTGCAGCTCATGAGTTCTCAAATTGTCCACTAGAGCAGTTAAATTTGATGTGTTGTTGTAAAAATAGGGTTTTTTTTTTTGTTTTTTTTTTTTGAGATGGAGTGTCACTCTGTTGCCCAGGCTGGAGTGCAGTGGCACGATCTTGGCTCACTGCAACCTCCGCCTCCCGGGTTCAAGCAATTCTCCTGCCTCAGCCTCCTGAGTAGCTGGGATTACAGGCACCTGCCACCAAGCTCAGCTAATTTTTGTATTTTTAGTCGAAACGGGGTTTCACCATATTGGTCAGGCTGAGTCTCGAGCCCCTGACCTTGTGATCCACCTGCCTCGGCCTCCCAAAGTGTTGGGATTACAGGCGTGAGCCACCACGCCTGGCCAGGATTCTTACTTAAAAGATTGTAAATATCTCCAGGGTTGACTTAGAAAAATTCACTAACATAGGTACTTGCTGCATACAATGTGTGCAAAGAGGTGAATTCTTGGTAAACACATGTGTTTGGATTTCCCACTTTCAGGCCCCTGTGTTCTTGGTGAATATAAAAACAGACCCCGCCTTTCTAAACCATGAATCGGACACCTAAGAGGACCACAAAAAGAAAGATCTCAGGTGTCCTCAGAGTTCATTCTTTTTGTCTTTAGTATAGGCAGCTCTACCATTTAATTGCATCAATTTCTAAAAGAAATGTAACAAGATTTTAAGTGTGTGTTCTAGTTGATGCTTAAGCTGAAAGGAAATGAAGTACTCACAAATGTTATATAATATAAGCCAAAGGGTTTTCACAGTTAATTGAAACATCTGAGTAGCATGAAGATTACCTGTGTTTTATGTCTGCCACTGATGAGAAAACGAGAGATTGGTGTGATGTACTCATTGGTTTGTGAATATAAAGGTGTACGGAGAGTGTCACAAATCACCTTGATGTCCCTGAGAAGGAGATTTTACCTCTGAAGCCCTGATTAATAAAAAAAGATATTTAGCTCAATAGCTCTTGGTTGCCTATGCATCTGTGTGTTCTGACACACAGCAGGCCCCTTCATTTCAGGGCTGGAATAACTTACACTCATGAAATCAGCTCAGGATTCATTGTCTTTAGATTAGTATATGTAAAACATCTCAGTTGGAGGCAGTAAAGAGTCAAAACAAATCACACTACACCTGGTTTGAAGATCTGTTCTCATTTGCAAAGGTTATATGAATTTGATATAAGAATACCAGATCATTTTTCCCTGAGCACAAAATTTGTTTATGGCCTGTCCAGAAAAGAAGTGGCAAAGACAGAGAGTTAGATATATTCATCGTCTGCTGTGTGCATGCCTGAGGTCAGCCTGATTTCTGCTGAACTCCAGGTTTTTTTTCTTTTCTGAAGGTGGGGAAGCTTTGGGAGGGAGTGGTCAGGGTGGTGAGCAGCAGGAACAAGAAGACTTGAGCTAAAAGCCCTACTGGACTTGTCATATCCACTTGCACTAGCATACACATAGCTAAAGAACAGACTAGAAGGAATTCAAAGGAACAAATACGCAGATCGAACTTCAATGTTCCCTGTCAGGCATAACATCCTGTGTTGTCTTCAGTAAGGGAAATGGAAGGGGAAGCTCCTCTAGGTTAAAAGGACCAAACCACCACCACCACCAGACAATTACACTGCCCGGGGCTCAGAGTGATTTTTGACTGTTTGTGACTGCATAGCTGGTTGGGAGTGGAGCCAGTTTCCCAGTTCAGTAACTTTTCTTCTACACCACAAAGAATGTTTCCCAGAAAGCTTATTTCCACAGGTAGTTAGCAAAACAAGTGTTACAAAAAGGGGTGATATGGTCCAATAAGGTTAGGAAGCAGACGTTTAAATCCATTCTTTTATTTAAACAATGTTAAGCAGTTTTCTTAGGGGCAGGGCTCCTCAGAGTCCTCATTTGCCGTTGTTGATTGTGACTTACTGATATAGGGTGCAGTGTTCCCAGGCGTGCTTGATGACAGAATCTTTTTCTGTTTTTTGGATCATGGAGGCTCTTTCAGGTTTAGTGATCACAAGGCACCCTTTGGACAAACTTTGTCTACATCAAGGTGATCCTGCAGTGACTGCTTATGTGCTTATTGGTCGAGAGAAGACCAATTCACAGTGTGATGAGGCACTGAAGGGTGAGTCAGGCTCTCAGACCTGCAGGAGCCTTCTCTGCTGAATGAGGTAGTTGGTCTAGAGGAGTGGTTCTCAATTAGTGAAGCAGTTTTATCACACCTGCTGGCAGTGGGACTAGAGGCGAGGAGGGAGCATGCGTGGTAGGCAAAGCTTTCTCCCTCCCCAGTGAAGAATGACTGATTTAGATGTCCCTCCCCATGGTACCTTTATTGACCTAATAACATCGTACATGCATATATTATTTGACTCAGCAATTCTTCTTACAGGAATTTTTCTTACTGGCAAAGTTACATTTTTAAAATACACATAGTGATATTCATCGAAGCAGTATTGGTATTATATTAACAAGAGATCAGAAATGGCTAAATATCTACCAAAGGAAAATATGTAGCCATTACAAAGAATAGAACTACCTCCCTCTGTATGATTAAATGAGAAAAGCAAAGCATGGACACTATAGAGCAGGCAACCTTGGAATAAAACTATATTATACACACTATCAATGTAAGAAATATATTTAAAAGCATATATATAAAGCATATGTTTGTTTATATATTGAATATCTCTGGGAAAATACGCAGAAAGCGTAACAGTTGTTATACTGGAGTGTCTTGGGGACAGAGTTGCCAAAGAGACTTATTTTATACTGTGTACCCTTTTGCACTGTTTGAATTTTTTTCCATATGCAAGGTAGCTGTTCCCAGTTCCTTTTCCCCCCATAAATGTATGCCAATCTTCATATCAACAGATGGAGTCTCTTTCTCCTGCTTTTGAATCTGGGCTGATTTTGTGACACACATTGGTGGGGAAGTGTCCATGAGGTAGGTCCACCCCTAGCCTTTGGGAGAAATGGCAGCTTCTGCTTCTGCCGCCGCTTCCATTAGAAGCCAGCTAACCTCAACCTTCAGGTAAGAAGTTCAATTGCCCTAAGAGCACTATGCTATGAAGAAGCCAATCTAGCCACGTAGAAAAGCCGCATGGAGGGAGAGATGCCCAGCCAGCCCCAAGCTGTTCTAGCCATCCCTGTTGAGGCACCCAATAGGCAAGTAAAGAAGCCATCTCAGACATTTCAGCCCCAGCAGCCAACACATGGAGCAGAAGAATCATCCCGGTGAGCCTGTCTCAGATTGCAGAACTGTAAAAAAAAATACATTGTTGTTTTAAATCAGTAAGTTTTGGAGTGGTTTACTAAGCAGCAAGAGATAAAAAATAATTACCTATTCAACATAAATATGTAAATTAACTTAAAAAGTGTTAATTCATATAATTTTGTATAAATGTAGGATTAGAGAGCAATTTAATAGGAGGATAAAGGAAGGGAGCTACAGGTGACTGCAGTGAGGCACCAGAGGGTATCACTTGGGGGAAAAGAGTGAACCTAGTGGGGAGTATAGGCAATTTTGCTGACTCCAAAAATTACCCTACGTCTTGCTTCTGTCAGAGTACCACATCTCCATCCCATCCTTCTATCTGTCTCTCTTTGTCACACATACACCACTTAATTATTCTCATAATTGGAGGGACAGGAGGGAATGTAAAGCAGGTTAATTGCTACCACCATCAACCAGTGTCTGCGACTGTGAATTGAGCGTGTGTTCCAAGTTACACCACTGGATGCCCTTTGGGAACTGGTAATACAACATAAAAAGAAATAAGACAAAAGAACCTAAGTAGCACAACCTCAATATTTCAAAATAATAGACAAGAGGAAGAGGCAATTAGTTTGATTTTAATGAAAAGAATGAATTCTAAAAGATTTCAAAGTGCTGCAGTTATTACTTTTAAGTACAGTGCATTTTACAAAGCTATAAATGGGTACCTAATAAGTTAAATGAGGTAAGTTAATGAAAGAATTAAGATTCACAAGAGGCCTACGTTATATAATTATGTATCATAAAACAGAAAGTCCTTTAACATGCTGAAATTAATTGGATGACCCAGAAATTGAAGGTACATAGAAGTTTTAGTTTGAAAAAGCAACTAATTTCAGATTAATGCTTTGTACATAGTAGGCATTCAACAGATGCTTGGTGAAGTAAAATGAACCAATTAGCAAAGTCCATTAGCAATAGTCACTCGCTCTGGACTGAGGATTATATCCAATTCCCAGTGTGTACTGGTAACTGCACCTTCACTCAAAAGCATATCCAAAGGTAACTGAGAATGAAAGGATAACCTTGAGCGTGTTCTCGTTTATTTTTTTGAAAAGCAAATCATTTAAAAACATCAGTAATAGAACTATCAATAGTAAAAAATTACTTGCCGAATATTGCAGTTAAGAACAACTGACTTAAGAAATTTTCTTCAGAAAATTGCAATTAAAGTGTGAATAGGTTAACTGGGAAGGAGTAATAGAGAAAAGAGTAGAAACAGTCAGAATAGCAGATCATTTTCCAGGTGCAGGCTGAAGACCTTGCAGTGGTGGTGATAGGGTGTCTGTAACACGAGAGCAATGGGCATAACAAAATATAGAACTTAAACCAAAAGTCACCTCCTTCTCAGATTTCTCTGTGACACACTCTAACACCCTGTTCAGGGTTATGAGCCTAGCTCTGAACAGCAAGTCTGAACATTGGGTGGAAGGACATTGTTATCCTCAGCTATAATATTAATTGGAATCTATCCAAAACATTACCTTGGGTAAGATCTGCTTCCCTAGTTCTTTTCATTCAGCAGGGACTCAAGTGAATTTCTAAGACCATAACATATCTTAGTATCAAGATCAATACTGAATTAGCAGACATGGCTAAGGATAACTGGGGGAAAATAATTAACAAAATTAAGGAGGATTTGCACCACTGGGAACCATAAAAGTTATTTTATGGGTCCATGTAAATGTAATAAAATCTCTGTCTGTGCCACAATTTAATTTCACATCAAAAAGGTCCCCGCAGATAGTCTGTAAGATTATTTTACTAAAATTGAATATGTCTATGCCTCCCTACTCTGAGTAAGAAAAAGCTTACCTCTGCTCAGAAAGTTATGTTTCACACAGCGAAAGGATTAAGTCCCATTCAATCTCAAGCACTGTCTAATGGCAGCTACTCAAAGTAGGCAATGTAATTAATTTTTATTAATAACAGCACTTTATAATTGGCAGGGGCAGAACATCATAAATCAAAAAGATGCTTCTAAGTATAGCACATACTTTTCTCAAACAAAAAATCAAGTATTAACAACAGTAGAATACAAAGCAGACAATGTCTACAACACAGACATTCTTAATCTTATTGCAATATATTTTAATAGCTTTATTGAAATATAATTCACATACTCTACAATTCACCAATTTAAAGTGTATAATTCCAGAGTTTTCAGTATATTCAGAGTTTTACATCCATCACCATGATCAATTTTAGAACATTTTCTTTACCAAAAAAGAAACCCCATCTCCACTAGCAGTCACTCTTCCTATCCCACCCTCCCCCACCGCTATACCCCAATCTTAGGCAAACACTAATTTATTTTCTGTGTCTGTGGATTTGCTTATTCAGGACATTTCGTATGAATGGAATCATACAATATGTGGTCTTTTGTGACCAGCTTCTTTCACTTAATGTAAAGTTTTAAAGTTTCATCCATGTTGTAGCATGTGTCAATACCTCATTCATTTTTATTAACAAACAATATTTTATTATATGGATATACTATGGTTCATTTATCCATTCATCTGTTGAGGGAGATTTGGATTGTTTCCACTTTTTGGCTATTATGAATAATGATGATACGAATATTCATGTACAAATTTTTGTGTGGTTATAAGTTTTCTGTTCGCTTGGGTATATACCTAGAAGTGGATTGCCAGGTTATATGACAACTTTATATTTAACATTTTGTGAAGCTGCCAGATTCTTTACAAAGTGACTGTATGATTTTACATTCATATTTATATTACATATAAGCATTTCAATTTCTCTACCTCCTCGCCAATCCTTGTTTTTATCTGATTTTTTTTATTATAGCCATCCTAGTGGGTATGAAGTGGTATTGCAATGTGGTTTTGATTTGCGTTCCCCTAATGACTAATGATGTTGAGCATTTTTTCATATGCTTATTTGTTATTTGTTTATCTTCCTTGGAGAAATGTTTAATTCAGATTATTTGCCCATTTTTGAATTGATTTATTTGTCTTTTTATTATTGAGTTATAGGGATGGATCATACATCCCAGACACAAGTTTCTGTTATCAGATACATGATTTGCAGGTTGGGCACAGTGACTCCCACCTCTAATACTATTGCTTTGAGAGGCCAAGTTGGGAGGATTACTTGAGGCCAGGAGTTTGAGACCACCCTAGGCAACATAGCAAGACCCCATCTCTGTAATATCTAAAGGAAAAAAAAGCTATATGACTTGCAAATATTTTCTCCCCTTTTGTGGGTTGGTTTTCACTTTCTTTTTTTAATTTTTTTTTTTTTTAAAGACAAGGTCTCTGCTGGGCGCGGTGGCTCATGCCTGTAATCCCAGCACTTTGGGGAGGCAGAGGCGGGCGGATCACCTGAGGTCAGGAGTTTGAGACCAGCCTGACCAACATGGTGAAACCCCATCTCTGCTAAAAATACAAAATTAGCTGGGCGTGGTGGCACATGCCTTTAATGCCAGCTACTCGGGGGGCTGAGGCATGAGAATCGCTTGAACCCAGGAGGCAGAGGTTGCAGTGACCCAAGATCACACCATTGCACTCCAGCCTGGGCAACAAGAGCGAAATTCCGTCTCAAAATAAAACAAAAAAAAGACAAGGTCTCACTATGTTGCCCAAGCTAGATTTGAACTCCTGGGCTCAAGAAATCCTCCCACTTCAGCCTCCAAGTAGCTGGGACTACAGTACAGGAAGGTGCCGCTGTGCATTTTGCACTTTCTTAGTGGTGTTCTTTGAAGCACAAAAGTTTTTAGTTTCAATGAAGTCCAATTACCTAGGCTTTCTTTTGTCACTCGTACTTTTGATGTCCCATCTGAAAAGGCTTTGCCTAATGCAAGGTCACAAAGGTTTACTTCTAGGTTGTCTTCTAAGAGTTTTATAGTTTTAGCTCTTACGTTTAGATCTATGATCCATTTTGAGTTAATTTTTGTGTGTGGTGGAAGGAAGGGGCCCAACCAACTTCATTCTTTTGCATGCGTATCTACTATAATTATATTTTAACACGGTTTAATACTCATTTCCCCCCTGTGTTTTGAGAAATTTATATGCTCAATCACAAAAAGGAAAAAGATAGTTTTTGGTTTCTCTCTCATAATTTTTTCTTGGATCACACTCACGTCTAGTTTGAAAAAATAAATACCCTCCCAGCCAATGCCCAAATGCACTGGTTAAAACACCCTGTATCAAGCTATGAGAGGTGAAAATGTTCAACAGTAATTGGAATTGATGGGGATTATTAAATCATACCCAAGAAAATGAATCTTGAAAGAAAATGGTCATTTTATCCTATAAAATTCATGATTATAAAAATTGATAATACTCAAATTGAACAAGGTGACAATAAAAAAAGGGTTTTTCCTATTTCACCTGGGAAGTGCAAATCAGTACAATGCTTTCTGCAGAGCAACTTGGTTGCATTCCTTAAGTTTCAAAATGTTCATGCCCTTTAATGCAATTACCTCTCTGCTTAGTAGTAGTATCTACAGAAATAAACAATTTGCTCAGATGGATATATCTACAAACATATTTATCCCAGTATTTTAAGAATTGACTTATTTTCCTCCTTTGAAATTTTCTACTTTACATAAAATTTTGAGTATACACCCTCTATATGTATTTATTCACTCATAAATTACATGCAGTAATATAATATGCATACTATAAAGCACATGCATAATAAATTAAAAGATAAGGTAAAGATGAAGTAATAATTTAAAATAAATAAAAATTTTATTTATTAATAATACAGAAAACATTTTTGCTTTCAATAAAATTATTATTAAAACCATTTTGGTGAGAACAGTGCAACTGAATGTCAAATTCAATACGGTAGTTGTATTTTCTCTTGATAAAGAGCTTTTTTTAGTTGTAGAAGTGTCAGCTCTGCCATTTTTGGTTATTCACATGTGCTTGAGTGATGAATGTTATCTTTAATCTAAGGTGTATTCACAAATATTTTTAACTATTTGTCTATTTTGAGGGGTTAATTTGGTTACAACGAAATCATTCATTCATAACTCAACAGGAGCATACAAAAGTGTCAATGCACTGAAAATCATCTAACTGGGAAGTTGACTAACAGCTCTGCTTTGTACAACTTCCAACTTACATTCTTTCCTGAGGACCCCATCCCACATTTTTTTTCTTAGCTATCATCAGCTGAAATATGCACCTAGTGTGATTGTCACTGTCAATCCATATATTAAATATAAGTATAAATCTACAGAGATTTTCTAACATTTCCCCCTGTATCCTAGGGATTATTTTATACCCCTCCTAGAAAGAATGCCCCATTTTGGAGATAACTGTCATAAAGCTAAATGTTTAAGAACTTAGATTCTGAAATCAGATCATGTTCTACATCCTGAGTCTCATATTTTTACTGAGTCTCAGTTTTTTCATCTGTAAAATGGGGATAGTAGCATTCATCTGTAAAGTGTGGATAGTACTATTATCTTCTTTATAGGGTTATTATAAGGATTAAATAAGATCGTGTGTACAGAGTACTTAGCACATTTAGTGCAGGATTAATATTAGAAAATAATATTCAATTTTCCTACAAGGATCATTTTTTATTTTCATATTCAGAAAAAAAGCAAAACCCTTATAAAAAACAAGACATGACTCTAAAATCCAAAAAGCAAGGATTGTGCCTTCTATTTCTCTCTTCTCTACCCCTACCTACCTATCTATCCTGATACCTGGCCCACAGTTGTGTTTAAAATGTATTTGTTGGACTACTGAATAAAGTAATGGCTAAAGATAGAGACGACATCATTGTCGCAGTGGAGAGTCCCTTCACTTTGTGTGCTGGCGAGTATGCAAGACAGTGTGGAGGATGGTTTTGGGCAAATTCACAGAATATATTATTTAATTGCAATGATGCTAAATCCCATTGCACAACCCGAGACATGTTTAAATGGTTTGCTTTTGCCGTACACATGCCTTATGGCATTCCCTTCTCCATTAAAAAAAAACCCAAATCTTCCAGACTTTTGTCCTGAGATTCCATGGAAGGTGGGCCAGGAATTTTTTTCTGTATATGTAGCTGTGTGAGGATGTGAAGCTCTAATTACTGATTTAATTTAGCATGAAAGCAGAGTCGTAAATAAAATGTAAATTCATACCTTAGAAAACATTTATCCTCATTTTATATTTCCAAGTCAAGCCATATATTCAGTCCCTGCATTTACAAGTGTTTTGCACAGAAGAGTTCTGTCTCTTGGCCACAACCCAACCTCAGTCAGACATCTTACAAATCCATCCTATTGATCAAAGGGAAATTCTCTGTGTGGCTCCTTGCATGAATAACTCTCAGGACTAGAATAAAAGCTTGCCCTGCATGTCCTGCTGCTGAGAGGCTGTGAGTTTCCTTTTCATCTGTGAAGGACTGAATATTTCATCAAGACATGCCTTCTTTAAAAGTAAACCTATAATATTTTATTCTGAATTATCCAAATTTGTATTTTTCAGAACCTGGGGTTGTACGTCAGTCAATTATAATAATATCTGGTGCTTATTTAAGGCTTCCAGCACAATTTCAGTTGAATTAAAAGCTGCAATTTTAATTAAAAAATAAAGTCAACTCCCTGCCATTTATTTCAGATTAAGTATTGCAGAGTTGAAAGTAATTCCTTTAGGAATCATTGTACCCAGTAGCATTCCAGTTGATATGGCTGCATATCCTAAAAGCCAGCTCTCCTTTCAGCATAACTTTCCTCATTGTTTCCACCCCAGAGAGCTGCTACTGACCTGGATGGGGTACAAATCTTATCAATACGGAAGAAAGGCCATGTGACCTAGAGAGCACCCTCAGGTACAGGGAGGCGTCCACCAGCTTCTGTTAAATTTCTGTCCTGGCAGTGTGCAGTCTCCAGCCTCTCGAAGCTCTGTGGAATGAAGTGGTGAGAGGGAATACCTCCAGAGATAGGAGAGCAAACAGAGGCTTAGATAGCCATCTCTTTACTCCTCCCTGCTTTTACATGCATTTATGGAATTCACCTGAGTGACAGTGGTCCTGGCTCCTTGGGAGAACCTAGGTTTTCTTTGCTCTCCTACAAGATCTTTTTTTTTTTTTTTTTCAACCTAACATTCTGCCTTCTTCATTAGTTCCATTTTAGCCAGTGTGGAAAATGAAAACAGGACTGAGAATCAAACCCGGATATTTAAACTCATGTATTACGCTCTAGTTTGGTCCAGCGGAAGAAGGTTGAAGGGAGAATCAGAAGTAAGATTCTAGTTCTACCTTTGCAACAAATTAGGTAGTTGTGACCCTGAACATGTCACTTTAACTTCCTTGTGGCTCAGTTTCTTCTCTAAGATTCAGTTTCAAACATGGGTAAAGAAATCTGCTTTAACTCAGTTTGCTTTGATAATCAGTTGAGATTACATACATGAAAATTCTCTACAAATTGTTTTCAAGCAGAAAAAAAGGTTTAAAAATGGATCTATCCGTGTATATATAAAGTGGCTTAAAAGATTATACAAAATAAAGCAAAATAACCTGAACTAGAAATACATAAGAACATATGAGGCATCATTTTTATTGTTCTAGTAGATATTATAGGAGGGAGGGAAACTTGTTATTCAGGCTGTCAGGAAAAAAATGCAGAAGATCTATATATAAGCATTGATTTGAGGTGTAGGCCTAAGAAAACTGTTGAGTTTTCAACAAATAAGCAAAAGCCCAATCTCGATAATGAGATTTCTTGCTTGACCTGAGTCATGGTAACTTCAGTCTTGGGGTCAGGATATCTGGGCTTGAGGACAGCTCTGCCACTTATTGTGAGTGGTGTGACCCTCAGCAAGCCATACGTGCCTTGGCTTGCACTTCCTTACCTGGGAAGTTGGGGAAATAATAGCCATCCAGATAACCTCACTGGCTTATTTTGAAGATCAAAATGGTCTGGTGTAAGCACCGCATTGCATGGACTGTAAAGGATCTACTCATATGAGGCACGGGTGAGCAGTGCAGATTTAATTGGAAAAGGCTTTTTGTTTGAGATAGAGTCTTGCTCTGTCGCCCACGTTAGAGTGCAGTAGCGCGACCTCGGCTCACTGCAACCTCTGCCTTGCGGGTTCAAGCGATTTTCCTGCCTCAGCCTCCCAAGTAGCTGGGATCACAGGTGCCCGCCACCATGCCCGGCTAATTTTTTGTGTTTTTAGTAGAGGTGGGGGTTTCATCATGTTGGCCAGGCTGGTCTCGAACTCCTGACCTCAGGTGATCCTCCCATCTTGGTCTCCCAAAGTGCTAGGATTACAGGTTGAGCCACCGGGCCCAGCCGGAAAAGGCTTTTAAGAGGGCAGATGAAGAGTGTGATATTTTTACTCAAAACACTCCCATAAGACACATTTCTCCTCAAAATCCTCAAAATTATTTTTTTTAACTGCCGATGCCCCTTTGACCTGGCCTCTGCTAGCTTCTCTGAGCTTTGGTCTCTAAACCTGCATACCCAACGATAAGGTTTGGATCTGTGTCCCCACCCACCCAATCTCATGTCAAATTGTCGTTCCCAGTGTTGGAGGTGGGGCCTGATGGGAGGTGATTGGATCATGGGGGTGAATGTCTCCTGAATGGTTTAGCATTGATGCTGTTCTCATGCTAGTGAGTGAGTTCTCATGAGATCTGGTTGTTGGAAAGTGTGCAGCACCTCCCCTCACTCTCTCTCGTTCCTGCTCCCTCTTCGTGAGACGTCTTGCTCCCCCTTTGCCTTCTGCCATGATTGGAAGCTTCCTGAGGCCTCCCCCAAAGCAGAGGCCACTATGCTTCCTGTACAGCCTGCAGAGCCGTGAGCCAATTAAACCTCTTTTCTTTATAAATACCCAGTCTCAGGTATTTCTTCATAGCAGTGTGAGAACGGACTACTACACCCACTACCTGTTCTCATTAAGAATAGGAAAGGTTGACATACAGAAGATGAAGATTATTTTTTGTGCTCAGCCTGTAAATCAGTGGCTTTCAAAAGTTTTTGACCTTGCCTCCGGAGAAACATTTTGTATCATAACTCGGTACACATATGCGTAGATATAAAATAGAACCAAAAATTTCATGCACCATTTTAAATAAGTGAAGTTGCTCCCTTTTTGCCATTTGGGTCCCAAGAACCCTTCCGGGGCCTCCAGTATAGGAGTTTCAGATTACGGAAGCATCAATGGGACTGAGTACATTAGTTGGAGCAGAACTGATGCTCTGATCTGACAAAGTTGGGGACACTGAGCCTTGTGCTAGGTCAGCCTGCGGAGTGTTGTCTGACTTAAGTATGGGTGAGAAGGGTCATCTGGTTTCACTTCAAGGTTGCTTATAATTTGGTTACCTCTTAAAGCAGTAAATAAGCAATCAGAAGCTATAAACAAGACAAGGGTGGAAGGAGGTGAATGTGATTTTTAGAAGCATGCCATAAATGAAATGTTCTTTTAAAATTATTATAATTTTTTTATTTTAAAAGTTTCTTTTAGTGTTTATTTTCTGTGGGTACATTGTAGGTATATATATTTATGGGGCACAAATGAGTGTTCTTGACAGCTCACGTGGCAGGACCTTGTCATACAGGCCAGAAAAACCTAGAATGGTGCCTGCTCATCCCTGCAGGACCATGTACCACCTGGTACCCAAGTACCAGATATCGGGCTTGGTACATCACTCAAGCCCAATATCTGGGGTCTGGGTCTTGAAATTCTTGCTGTGCCAGCACTGAAGCAACATTGCCTTTAGCTGTGCTTGAACTGTTGGAGCCAAGGAGTTTATCATTTATGGCCATTCACAGGCTTTCTAAGAGCAGGCCTAGACATGGCCTCTTTCAAACAGAAACCCTGCAACATCCCCAGATAGGCTGGGTATCATTTTATGGGAAAGGACTTTAGCCATGTCCAGAATTGAGGTTCAGACCTGTACCTACATGTCTGACGGCCTGAGCGATTGTCTAGGGGAAGCCAATTAGCAGAGGGGAAAGAGGCTGCTAAGAGAAAAGCCACCACGAATGAATGGGAGTCTGGAAGAGCACCATTAGGCAGCAAGTGTAGTGAGGCTGCAGCTGGACACTCCCCATTCGAGCTTCCCCTTGCATGGTTCAGGGGTCCAGAAGGAGAGCAGGACAGAGGGGAATGTATCTGGGAGCTCCAGCTCTTACTCCGAAAGGACTTCCTGTGAAAGAGCCAGAACCAGTCAGGAAGGTAAGCAGTGGAGATGTGCTGTCAGGGACTATGAGAAAATGCCTCGTAGAAGCAGTGTGGAAGGGGGCCTACAGAGCTTCTGCCCTGACACTAACCCTAGGTGAATCCAGAGCCAGAGAGGGAGTGAGCAGGAGCAGAAGCCAGAGACCACTGAGAGGAGACCAGCAGCTCTGATGACACATCAGCTGTCAGCTCTCCCTCTGGAAGCTCCTGCAGAGATGGATAAGGAATGGAAAGGGCCAAAGTTCAATCTGGCAGATGAGAGCATCCACTTTAGTAAATCTGGGTCCAAGCAACTAGAGCACCCTTTCCTAAAACCCTCAAACTGGGTGGAGAGACTTTTGGGTTATATCATAGCTAGGCTGGGTTTGCACAGAACAATTCTGTTGTGCGTTTTCAGTAGGGATAAGCCAACAATTTTTTCCCTGCTGCATTCACAGTTACGTAACCAAATTGGCCTCTGGTTTTCAATGCGGGGTAAGTTTAGAATCTCACAGATGGGTGCATCCTAGTCAATGTCTTGTGAGAAACTCTGCGGTGAATAAACTGCCAGCCCACCTTTGGTCTCCCTCCTGACTTGCTCTGGCAGAACATCCCCAAGACACCCAGGATGCTCGTGGTCTCTTTGTAGCCCATCCCAGCCTACGAAGACCATGCCATCCACCAGCTGGGCACAAGTGCCCTAATCCCCACCATGAGTGCCCCACATCCCAAGGCTCAGCAACCTGTGCCATGGGCCTTGCAAAGGGAGTAATGAAGCTATGAGCTATGAAGCTATGAAGCTATGAAGCTATGAAGCTATGCAAAGGGAGTAGTGAAGCTATGAGCTGTTACCTTCTGAATGTGTGAGAAAGTGCTTTCTTTTCAGGGATCAGACGGGCTTTCTGACAAGTAAAATGCTATTTAGAGAGAACCCTGATGAATTGGGAGAAAATTGATAGACTCGTGCTATATATTAACTGAAATAGAACATTGTGGTGCTATGTCATGTGAGAAGGAAGAGCACGTTGTTCTTTGGGGTGAAAAAAGGCATGGCCAAGCCAAAGTTTGAGGACAAGCACTCGCCATCTCATTTGATATCAAGGATGTTTAGAACCCACCTAATCTCAGACAGAACCCTGCCTCACAAGAAATGAGAATTTATCTCTTTTTTTTGAGATGAAGTCTTGCTCTGTCGCCCAGGCTGGAGCGCAGTGGGGTAGTCTCAGCTCACTACAACCTCCCCCTCTCGGGCTGAAGTGATTCTCCTGCCTCAGCCTCCCAAGTAGCTGGGATTACAGGTACCTGCCACCACACCCTGCCAATTTTTGTATTTTTAATAGAGACAGTGTTTTGCCATGTTGGCCAGGCTGGTCTCAAACTCCTGACATCAGGTGATCCACCTGCCTCAGCCTCCCAGAGTGCTGGGATTACAGGTGTGAGCCACCACGCTGGGCCAGAATTGATCTCTTAAAAAAATTATCCCAGGGATTTAATTCAGCAATGTTTTTTTTCTTCTGTTTATTTTTTATTATAATTTTTTTCCTTCTTAAGAAAGTAATGTATGCTTAATAATTAGAAGTCGTAAAATACCAACAAGTATAAGGAAGAAGGAAAAAAACATCTCAAGCCTTTGCTTGACCATTCTTCCCCAGCCCTGTCCATGCCTGGCTCCTTCTCACCAAACATTTCCTCTGTAGAGGGGCTCTGAGGCCCTGATTCATATAAGTCATGTTACTCCACAGTCACTTTCTATTAGATTATTCTAGTCTTACTTTCTAGTACTTACTATTCACCAAGATGAGATTATTTATTATTTAGCTTATCGTCTGTCTCTGCACCTGCTGAGAGTAGGAAGCTGTCTTATTCACTAGTGCTTAGAATAGTGCCTGGTGCACAGAGGGCACTTTGCAAGTACTTGTCAAATGGGTGAATAAATAAATAAATAACAAATGAATTCTTATTACATCTTAAAAGACCCATGTTTGAGCAAATATGCTCAATGTCTTAGTAAGGGATTGCCAGGATAATCCCCTTTTAGGGGCCTGAAGCCCCGCATACATGCCATTTGTTAATAAGACTTTTTTCTTTGGTCACCATATTGTCTTCTAAAGTACTGGAGACAGTAGACTTTAAATATAAAATTTTCTGATAGAGATTAATGATAATACAGCACTTTGATTTAAGATACCCATGCTGGGTTTGAAACATAAGAGTGTGGTTGGCATTTAGCCATATAACTTTTGAAGCTTTAGTGGATGCTTGTGCCTGGGCGGCCTGGCCTCTGAATGCCTGACTCCATAAAAGAGGGAGCCCAGT
Source organism: Homo sapiens (assembly GCF_000001405.40). Lineage (NCBI taxonomy): Eukaryota > Metazoa > Chordata > Mammalia > Primates > Hominidae > Homo > Homo sapiens. The sequence continues at coordinate 77,819,005 of NC_000005.10, read as the reverse complement.
GGCTATGCTCTAGGGCAGCACTGAGGACAGGCACTCAGTCTGTGCTGCTGACACCAATAAGGTCTGGTTCCTCCCCTGACTTGATGAGGAAGAATTCCACTTCTTTAAAGGCCTACAGGCTATCCTAACTATCCCATCCCACCATTCTCTACCATCTGCACACCCAGAGTCTTGCCTGGAGTGGGAAAATACTATAACCCTTAGCTCTCCTCTTTGGCTAGGGGTTGTCTCTGTTTCTCCTCAGTGGGTCTAGGAATGAATGGAAGACAAATTACAGCTTAACTATGGAGGAGAGGAGAATGAGGAGGAGGGAAGGGAGGAAGAGCAGTAGCAGCAGCAGCAGCTTATCTGTGTGTGACCCATCTCCTATGGGTCTGTTTCCTCGACACAGATGCCCATCCATAAAGAGTACCTGCTTCTTGCTCTACCTCTGCTATCCTGATATGACAGTCTTTGTAACTTATATGTTCCCTTGGGATATAGTCCTAGAAATAAAATAGTTGAGTTAAGAAAATGTACACTTTTAGGCTTCTGCTATATATTTTAGAATTGGCTTCAGGTCAGTTTATATCATCTTACGTACTCACTGAAGGTTAATGAGGGGGACTTATTGTCCAGTGCCTTTAAAGATCTTAGCTAGTTTACTGGGTAGAAAAGAGCTTCTATTTGTTGCTAGAATTTTCATTTCTGAAATTACAATCTATTTAATCATTTTAATAAAGATTTAAATAGAACTACCATATTCTCTCCTCTCTTCCATTAAAAAGCACTTTGGGAGTTACTAAGGAAATGTATGACCTACTCCTTGCACTCACATGTAAGGGGAGCTAAATATATGCTCAAAATCCTTGAAAGAGAAGACAAGAGAAGACCTTTGAAAATAGCTGAGGCTGGGAGGAAGAGGAAGTTTGGTCCACGGCCTATGTAAACAGTGGTACTCAAGGAAGACTTCATGGAAGAGGTAGGATTAGTACAGGGCCCAAAATATGGATAGGATTGAATAGGTGGAGACAATGTTGCAGGATATTGCAGGAGGGCACAAAGGCAGGAGCAGAGAGCAAAGATTTAAGTCTGAAATGAACAAGGTACATGTATTAGTTCAGGTTTCCCAAGGAGCAGACACCAAAATAGAGTTCAGTGTGCAAGGATTTTTATTAGGAGAAATGCCTGTGAGAGAAAATAAGAAGGGCCTGGAGAAGGCTTGGAAAACCACTGGACTGTGATGCAGGTCTGACCCTGAGGGAAGGAGAAAGGGAAGGAAGTTTGATTGAAGTATCCTAGACTACCCTGTATAGATTAGGGAAAGGCTGTCAGGGAGTTCTTGAGCCAAAGCTGGACATCAGAGGAGTCCCACGCCTCCCAGGAACAGGCTGCATTTGTGTCTCTGCGCTCCCAGTCATTGGCTGTGAGCAGCCTATGAGAAGCCGGGAAGGCCTTCATAGCACAGCAGTTGGGGCCTTTGGTCAATTAACAACCTGTAGTTAGAGGTCTGTGAAGTCCATTCTCATGGCATCACAACATGACTGGGAGAGAGTGAGAGGACTGGCCTGACAAGGTACATTTAACCAGAGATGGGAGGTTTCTGCCTTCACCTTTTGAGAAGTCTCTTGATTTTTGTGGACAGAAAACATGGTAGTGATAGAAGCCTCGGTAGTGCAGCTTCACCCCCATGCACTCCAGGGGCTGGAGTGTGGATAGTCAGGTCAACGAAGGGTGTAGCCGAAGGGCACTAGGCATCAATTCCTCCTTCTGTTGTGCTTTCCCGCACTGCAGAGGCTGGAAAGCTAATGCTACATTTTCTAAGGTCCTTTGCTGTCGTAATTCTGCATGCAAATTAAGTTCTGCCCCTTACATGCATTGTTGGGAGATGTGAAAAGCAGAAATAAGGCAGAGGCCACCCTCTTGCTGATTTTAGATGTTTTCTTCTGGCAACATAGGCCGTGGAGACTTTGAGTTTTTGTGCAGCAGCATTCCAGAGTGTTGTCTCCAACTTCAAGAGTTGTACAAATTTTGAGTTTTGGGGGTGACAGCTTCCTGATCTCTGAATCTCATAGCTACAGTGATGTGTTCTGGGGCTTGATCTTTCCAGCAGTGGTTTCCTGATTCCTCACCTTCCTGGCAGTGGCAGAGGGGACACACCCTGATGAGCCAGCTCAGCAGGTTGTTTTGGGAGTCATTTCTGAAGGCCCAGCTGATGCCTGATTTTTGCTTTGTTTCATTTTTTAATAGACTTTATTTTTCTAGAGTAGTTTTAGGTTCAAAGCAAAACTGATTGTAAAGTGCAAAGATTTATCATATACTCCCTCCCCGCAACACAGGCACAGCCTCTTCCACAACCAATATCCCCCACCAGAATGGTATATTTTTTTATAACTGAACCTACACCGATACCTCATTATCACCCAAAGTTCCTAGTTTACATGAGAGTTCACTCAGTGTTTTACATTTGGTAGGTTTGGATAAATGTATAATGACACATATTCACCATTATAGTATCATATAGAATGGTGTCATTGCCCTAAAGATCCTCTGTGCCTTCATTCCTCATCTCCCCTTAACCCCGACTCCTGCCAACCACTGATCTTTTTACTGTCACCATAGCTCTGCCTTTTCAAAAATGTCATATAGTTGGAATCTATAATATATAGTCCTTCCAGACTGGCTTTTTCCTTAATAATATACATTTAAGTATTTAAGCTTACTCCATGTCTTTTCATGACTTGATAGTTCATTTCCTTTTTTTTTTTTTTTTTTTTCTGAGATGGGGTCTTACTCTGTCACCTAAGCTGAAGTGCAGTGGTGTGATCTCGGCTCACTGTAGCCTCTGCCTCCCAAGTTCAAGAAATCCTCCCACCTCAGCCTCCCAAGCAGCCGGGACCACAGGTGCATGCCCCCACACCTGACTAATTTTTTGTATTTTTGGTAGAGATGGGGTTTCACCATGTTGCTCAGGCTGGTCTCGAACTCCTGAGTGAGAGTGATCTGCCCAGCTCGGCCTCCCAAAGTGCTGGGATTACAGGCCTAAGCCACTGCACTCAGCCAATAGTTCATTTCTTTTTAGGATTGAATAATATTCCATTGTCTGCATGTACTGTAGTTTATTTATCCATTCACCTTCTGAGGAACATTGTGGTTGCTTCTATTGATTCTTTAAGCACCCAACTCCCTGCATCAAATACCTGAATGCTTGAAATACCTATAGAAGTTTTTATTTATTGTACTTTACCCCAACTGATGTAAGGGAGAAGGTGTCTATTGAGGACATACTATTGGTATGGGGTAGAAGCCAGTTCAGAAGTAGGTTTACTTGACCATTGCTTTTGTAATCTATATCCTTCATCATGTTACTTAAACTCTTCAGACACTCCAATCTTTTTCCATTCCCAGTAGAAGTGAAGAGATTACTGTCACTAACTAATCTCAGAAAAAGAATTCAGAATCTAAGTCTCAGGCTTTACCATGTGGGAACCAATAAAGCCGGGCTCCCCCTGCCTCCATGGCTTTGCTCCTATAGGTAGTTGTCTCCATTCTCAGAGTGCACTAAGCTTTTTCTCATCTCAGAGTCTTTGCACTGTATCTGAGATGCCCTTTCTCCAGCTCACATATCTGGGTCTCTTGCATCCTACAGGTTTTTGTACAGATGTTACCCCTTTATATAATGTAACCCCTCATGGTTGTTTTCTAGAACACCTTCCTTTTCTGCAGAGAGATGTACTTAATCCAGTCTATGAGAATCTCAAGCTTTAGTTCTGATCAAACAAAATCTTTGCCATATCCCAACAGTTAAATATGAGGAACAACATTGAAGGGAATTTTTTCCATTCTCCATTCCTGTGTAACAAAACATGTCAAAACTCGGTGGCCGAAAACAATTTATTGTCAACTCACACAATTCTCTAAGTTGGCTGGCTTCAGCTGGATGATTCTTCTGCTGGTCTGTCTTTCAGTTTCTCATGCAGTTGCAGTCAGGTGGTGGCTAGGCTAGAGCATTCAAAATGGCTTCACTCACATGTCTGGTGCTTTGGTAGGGATGGCTAGAAGGCTAGATCTAGATCTAGTTGGATGCGAGGTGGCTGGGATTCTCTTTCTCCATGTAATCTCAAGACCTCTCCCTCTCCACATGGCTTCTCCACATGGTATCTCCATGTGGTTTATCCAAAAGGGTAGCTAAACTTCTTCCATTGTGACAAACAATTACCAACAGCACAAAAGCTGAAGGTGCCAGGTCCTATCAAGGAATATTGCTGGAACTGGCACATCACTTCTGCCACATACCTTTGATGAAAGCAAGTTATAGAGCAAGGCCAGATTCCACGTGGAAGGGAAATATACAACAGTGTGACTATCAGGAAACCTGGTGCACTGGGGCCCATTTTTGCAGACTAGCTACCACCGTACTTAAAAATTGCCTGTCAATGAATATAGCCAAGATTCATGAAGCTGACTAATGAGTAAGTGATGATTATCCATGATGATGATGATGAAAGAGGAGAAGAATTCTATCTACTATTTAAACCTGTCTACTAGCTACTATTTTTTCCCTTGGGAATTGATGTAATTTTTAGGAAGCCATAGGAAGATTCTCCAAGAACTGAGAGCCAATTATGATCTAAGAACAAAAAAAGTTAAAAGCCATACATGATAGATGATATTAGCCATCTGGAAACCTCTTTAGGGCTAACATATCTCCTAAATCATTGGAGAAAAAACGTGATCATCAAATTTCATAAATAGGAGGATATTGATAGCCTAAAAGACACACACACACACACACACACACACACACACACACACACACAGAGAGAGAGAGAGAGAGAGAGAGAGAGAGATTTTGGTTGGAAGCCAGAATCAGAATACAGTGGGTTAAGGAGTAAGGGGGAGGTAGCTGCACATGGGAAAAGCAAGGGTAGATGACTTTCCCAAGCAACATGGCCAGGAGCTCTGATGCATTGTTACTGGGAAGGGAAATGGGTACAATCTTTCTAAATGGTAATTTGGCAAGTAAGAGCCTTGAAAATGTTAACATCTTTTGACCCAGTTATTCAACATCTAAGAAATTAGCCTAATGAAATAATCAGATATATGCCAAGATTTACATACCAGGAGACTCACTTAACGAATGTTGCATTTCATTGTGAAATATACCTCATATACAGAAGCATGCACACCACATTTGAGTTCATTTTAAAGAGTAGTAATGTGTCCCGAGTTCGGTCCTTCCGGTGGGTTCTTGGTCTCACTGACTTCAAGAATGAAGCCATGGACCTTCGTGGTGAGTGTTACAGCTCTTAAAGATGGCACAGTCTGATTAAGGACTCCAAGAGCTATTCCTGCTCTGTCTGTGACTTATAAAGAGAAGTTTTGTCCTGTGGGAAGGCTTAAGGCTGGAGCTTGAGTTTGTTCCTTCCAATGCCCAGACTTCAGGGTTGATTCCTTCCTCAAGCATGGGAGAACAAATGGGTAACTTGTCCACCATAGTCATGTACATAATAGCTCCAGCTTTGGCTAATATGTCCCTCCTTAATAAGGGTGTGGGACTTCCAGGCATAACAAGAAAGACATGTGAAAAGAGCAAAGTCTCCCAGTTACAACTGAGGAAGTGAGAGAAACACCTGGTTATAGGCCGTCCCAGGATTCCTTGGATGCTAATGGACCTTGAGGACAGCTGTCCAGGACAGGAGATTAACACTGAGAGAGCCGCACCAGTGTCCAGGAGGAAGTCAATTTCCTGGCCCTCAATGGTTAAACTTATCCAGGGCTCAGTGAGGGTGATGACATGAGCTGGTGCTTGCCCCAGACACCCTCAGTCTTGTTGTTGGATCATCTGGTTGGCGGCTTCTGGCCCAGAGAACCTTTGTCCTCTGGGGCAGTGTGACTTCCAGTGATTGCATCAGCATAGTGGACATGGGTGAGGGGGCAGCTTGTTTCTGTTGGACAATCTTTTTTTAAGGTGTCCTTGCAAACCACACTGATAACAAGCCCTCCCAGGTGATTGGTCTGCTCCATATTCTGTCCTCTCTGAACCAACAAGGTTTGTTTGTCTGAGGGCCATAACTAAGGCTGCAGCCTTTCTCTGATCTCACTTTTTCTTTTCAGCCTGTTCCTCTTGGTCCATATTATAGAACACCAAGTTTGTGAGGTTTAATAATGCCTCCACATTTTGTTCAGGGCCCAGGGCTCGCTTTTGGAGCTTTCTCCTGATATCTGCAGCTGATTAGGTAATAAACTTCTCTCTTAGGATTAATTGACCCTTGAGTGAGTCAGGTGACAGGGGAGTATATTTTCTAAAGACCTCCTGTAGCCGCTCAAGGAAGGCAGAAGGATTTTCTTCCTTTCCCTGAGTTATAGTGGACATCACTGAATAATTCATGAGCTTTTCCTAATTCTCCTTAGTCCTTCTAGAACACAGGTCAACAGATGTTTGTGACTCCAGTCCCCATGATCTGAGTCGAGGTCCCAGTGGGGATCCATACTGGGAATGACTTGCTGACCAGTAGGGAATTTGTCCCTTTCTTTGGTTATCATTCTATCATTTACTTGATTAAGATACCAGGTATCTCCAAACTCTAGGGCTGCAGCTAAAACCACATTCTTTTCATTAAAGGCCAGGGTTTGATCTAACAATAGCATGACATCTCTCCAAGTGAGGGTCGAAGGTTTGCCCTAGACCCTGTAGGACATCTATATACCTATCAGGATCATCTGGAAACTTCCCCAGATATACCTTGATATGCTTTAAATCAGAGAGGGAGAAGGGGACATGTACCCGGGTTGGGCCAAATTCCCCTCCACCTACAGCTTGAAGGGGACATAACTGATAGCCAAGGGTGTTTTGTGGTCCCTAGGAGATTTCTTTGCTTGTTTCCTTCCGGGCAGGGGAGGTTAGAGGAGGCTTATCATTAATAGGAAGGGGAGCTATAGGAGGATAGGATATGGGGGTAAGCTGAAAGGTCCTCCTGTGGGATGTAAATTGCAAGCTTTGCATAGTTGTGGATTCTCCTTCAATGAAAAGAAAGCTTGGACATAAGGTATTTCACTCCATTTGCCTTCCATTTTACAGAAAAGGTCAAGCTACAGGATAGTATTGTAATTTATACTTCCCTCAGGTGGCCATTTCTCCCCATCAGAGAGAGAATACTGGGGCCAGGCCGCAGTGTGGAAACAAATGAGCCACTGCTTTTTCAGGGTTTGTGGGTCAAATTGGTCCCAATGGCTTAGGATGCATTTCGAGGGTAAGCCTGTTGATGCCAGAATGTTTCCCATCTGAAAGAAAACCCGCCCATGGTTTTGGTTTGTTTACCCCTCTTGCCCAAGAACCCACAACGGTCCCTGGATCCTGCTGATTGGAAAAGTTGCACTCACCGATGCAGCAGCAGAAACCCCTTTTGCCCAAGAACCTGCAGCAGTCCCTGGACCCTGCTCATCGGAATAGTTGCACTCACCAACGCAGCAGCAGAAACCCCTCTTGCCCAAGAATCCACAACGGTCTCTGAACCCACTCATCAGAATAGTTGCGCTCACCAACACAGCAGCAGAAACCCTAATTTTCCTTTAGACCACAAAAAGGAGTGAGGAAGATCGGATTTAGTGGCCCTTACTGACGCACTCTCAAAAACCTGTTAGAGTCCTTAGTGTTCTCCTGTTAGTACTGGGACCTTACCCCTGTCCTATAAAGATGTTATGCCCCAAAAATGAAGTGGAGGGCCATACCCTGAGGGAGGGAAGGGATCTCCAGGGTTGGAAGAGTGTCTTTTGTCCTCATTTCTCATCATATGAATAGGAAGGATATCATTTCTGAGGCTCTCCATATCCTAGCTTCAGGAATAGCTTTTGTTAGGCCTGTTAGTCTGAGGAGGGATCCTAAAGTTCCAGATAGTCCCCCACTGGCTCCTGATGGGGCTTTGGGCAAAAATTATGTCTTTCTGATTGGTGAGCCCAGGTTCCTAAAGAAGGGAACAGAGTGCTGAAGTTTATACTAGAAATCATTCTTATAGGAGAAACTAGTAAAGCACCAGAAACTGGGAGTTGTTTTTAGAAGTGGGACTAGCCTCAGAGAAGAGAGTTGGGAGGAAGTTTGTCTGACAGGCATTAAGACCCAGGAGGCAAGGGTCAGGATAGATAGGATAGATGGATGAGTCTCGGTTGGGTGACGTGACTTTGAGAGTTCTGCTCATGACTACAGGGTCAAGCAACAACCAACTTTTTGTCGGGACCCCGGAGCTGAATGGCTTTCTTCTCTGTCGACCCTTGGTTCAGCCCAGAAGTACAGGAAAAGCGGAATCTGGTTCCAGGAAAATCAACACTCCCAACTCTGAAGAGTCCGGGGTTGTTAGAGAGCCCTTCCCAGAAAGGCTGACACCCATTTCTTTAGTCCGGCGGCCATGCTAGTGGCTTTTAACTGGTTGATAGGTGCCCGGTGTTGAGCCCCCGAATTCTAAGGAAAAATAGGACAGAATAGCAAGTGAAAGAGGTCCAATGGTACTCACTGCTTGGCAATAGTCCCTTCGTGGTCGCCAAGATGTGTCCAGAGTTTGTTCCTTCTGGCGGGATCTTGGTCTCACTGAATTCAAAAATGAAGCCGCGGACCTTCACGGTGAGTGTTACAGCTCTTAATGGTGGCACGGACCCAAAGAGTGAGCAGCAGCAAGATTTGTTGTGAAGAGTGAAAAAACAAAGCTCCCACAGCGTGGAAGGGGACCCGAGTGGGTTGCTGCTGCTGGCTGGGGTGGCCAGCTTTTATTCCCTTATTTGTCCCCGCCCACTTCCTGCTGATTGGTCCATTTGGCAGAGTGCTGATTGGTGCGTTTATAATCCTTTAGCTAGACACAGAGCACTGATTGGTGCATTTTTACAGAGCACTGATTGGTGCATTTACAATCCTTTAGTCAGACACAGAGTGTTGATTGGTGCATTTTTACAGAGCACTGATTGGTGCATTTACAATTCTTTAGCTAGACACAGAGCACTGATTGGTGCGTTTCTGCAGAGTGCTGATTGGTGCATTTACAACCCTTCAGCTAGACGCAAAAGTTCTCCAAGTCCCCACTTGACCCAGGAAGTCCAGCTGGCTTCACCTCTCAGTAACAAAGTAAGTGATTATGTAGCCACCATCCAAGATAACAAGTAAAACATTGCTCTCCATATGTTCTTTCCCAATATTGTGCCTCTCTTCCCTGCCAGGACTAACAATTGGGCTAATGTTTGAGCAATCTTTTCTTTGCCATTCTTTTGAAGTTTTACCATGTTTGAATATATCTCTCCAAGATATAATGTTTAGTTTTTTTTTTTTTTTTTTTTTTTTTTTTTTTTTTTTTTTGAGACGGAGTCTGGCTGTCGCCCAGGCTGGAGTGCAGTGGCGCAATCTCGGCTCACTGCAGGCTCCGCCCCCTGGGGTTCACGCCATTCTCCTGCCTCAGCCTCCCGAGTAGCTGGGACTACAGGCGCCCGCCACCTCGCCCGGCTAATTTTTTGTATTTTTAGTAGAGACGGGGTTTCACCGTGTTAGCCAGGATGGTCTCGATCTCCTGACCTCGTGATCCGCCCGCCTCGGCCTCCCAAAGTGCTGGGATTACAGGCGTGAGCCACCGCGCCCGGCCCTAATGTTTAGTTTTGTCTGCTTTTGAAGTTAATATAAATGCAAACATGCTGTCTGTGATTGTGTGTAATTTGCTTCTTTTGCTCTACATTGTCTTTGAGATTCTTCATGTCAATGTGTGTAGTTTCAGTTCATTCATTTCTACTGCTGTATGATACTCATGCATTCTACTTTGATGAATATTTGGTTATCTTTTTTTGCTATTATGAGCAATGCTTCTAAAGCATACTTATTCACATTTACTGCTACACATATGCAAGAATATCTCTTGGGTATAATCATAGAAGTAGAACTATAGAAGTAGAACTACTAGCTTAGCATATGTTCAACTTTTCTAGACAATACAAACATAAACTGTTTTCCAAAGTGATTTTGCTAATTTACATTTCAGTCTATGAGAGTTTCATTTGTACCATATCCTCATCAGTAAGTGAAATTGTCAAACATTTTCATTTTTGCTAATCTAGGGTACAGAATGGTATCTTATTGTGCTTCTAATAACAGTTTTATTGAGATACAATTCACATTTCATTGAATAAAATTTCAGGGATAAATCCTCATATATCAATAATAACTTTGAATGTAAATGGATTAAGCTTTCCACTTAAAAGATATAGACTGGCTGAATGGATTTTTTAAAAATATGACCCAAGTTTATGCTGCCTACAAGAAATTCATCTCACTTGTAAAGACACACATAGACTGAGAGTAAAGGGATGGAAACAGATATTCCATGCAAATGAAAACCAAAAGCAAGCAGGAGTAGCTATACTTAAATCAGATTAAACAGACTTTAAGTCAAAAACAGTAACAAAAAATAACAATAAAAAAGGTCACTATATAATGAGAAAGAATCAATTAGCAAGAGGATGTAACAATTCGAAACATATATGTACCCAATCCTGGAGCACCCAGATACATAAAGCAAATATTTTTTGTTTTAAAGGGAGAGATAGACTCTAATACACTAATAGTTGGGGACTTTGACACCCGCTGTCAGCATTAAACAGAATCTAGACAGAAAATTAACAAAGAAACATTAGATTTAAACTGTACTTTAGACTAAATAGACCTAACAGACATTTGCAGAACATTTCACCCAACAGTTATGGAATACACATTCTTCTCATTGGCATGTAGAACATTTTCCAGGACAGACTGTATGTTAGGACATAAAATAAATCTCTACAAAGTTAAAAATATCAAAATTATATTAAGTATTTATTCAGACATCAATGGAATAAAAATAGAAATCAGTAACAAGAGGAACTTTGGAAACTACAAATACATGGAAATTAATCATGTTCCTGAAAGACCACTGGGTTAAGGAAGAAATTAAGTAAGAAATTAAAAAATTTCTTGAAAGGAGATATAGCAAAAGCAGTGCTAAGAGGGAAGTTTATAGCAATAAGCACCCACATAAAGAAAGTAAAAAGATTTCAAATAAACAATCTAATGACCCACCTCAAACTAGGTGTAAAAGGAGCATACCACAACATAATAAAGGCCATATATGACAAATCTGCAAGTAACATGATACTGAATGAAGAAAAGCAGAAAGCCTTTCCTCTAGGAACTGGAAAACAAAAGGATGCCCACTTTCATCACTCTTATTCAAAATAGTACTGAAAGTCCTAGCCAGAGCAATCAGGCAAAAGAAAGAAATAAAAAGGCATACCAATTGGAAAAGAGGAAGTCAAATTATTCCTTCTTGCTGATGATATAACTTTATAGCTAGAAAAACTTAGACATCACCAAAAAACTCATAGATATGATAATTAATTCCATGAAGTTGCAGGATACAAGATCAACATACAAAAATCAGTATCTTTTCTATGCCAATAATGCACTAGCTGAGAAAGAAATCAAGAAAGCAATCCCAACCAGGCACCGTGGCTCACACCAGCACTTTGGGACAGCAGAGGCAGGAGGATCACCTGAGGTCAAGGAGTTCAAGACCAGCCTGGCCATCATAGTGAAACCCCATCTCTACTAAAAATTCAAAAATTAGCTGGGCGTGGTGGCACGTGCCTGTAATCCCAGCTACTCAGGAGGCTGAGGCAGGAGAATTGCTTGAACCCAGGAGGCGGAGGTTGTAGTGAGCCAAGACTGAGCCACTGCACTCCAGCCTGGGCAACAGAGCAAGAATCTGTCTCAAAAGAAAAAAAAAAAAAAAAAAAATGGCAGCAATCCCATTTACAACAGCTACCAAAATAAATTACCTAAAAATACACTTAACAAAGGAAGTAACAAATCTCTACTAGGAAAAGTACAAAACACTTGTGAAAGAAATTGAAGATGACAGAAACAAATAGAAAGGCATCCCACGCTCATGGCTCAGAGGAATTAATATCAGTAAAATGACCATGCTTCCCAAAGTGATCTACAGATTCAGTACAATCAATATCAAAACACCAATGTCATTTTTCACAAAATTTTTAAAAAATTCTAAAATTTATATGGAACCAAAAAAAGAAAAAAAAAAAAGCCTAACTAGCCAAAGCAATCCTAAGGAAGAAAGAACTAAGCTGGAGGAATCACACTACCTGACTTCAGAAAATATTACAAGCTTATAAGAACCAAAACAGCATGATATTGGTATAAAAACAGACACACAGACCAATGAAACAGAATATAGAACACAGAAATAAATTCACATATTTACAGCCAACTGATATTCATAATGGTACTGAGAACATATATTGGGGAAAGGACACCCTCTTCAGTAAATAGTGCTGGGAAGATTGGATATCTATATGCAGAAGAGTGAAAGTGAAACTGTTTCTCACCATATAAAAAGATCAACTGAAGATGGATTAAAGACTCAAACATATACTCAAAACTGTAAAACTACTAGAAGAAAACATAAAGGAAACATTTTAGTACATTGGTCTAGGCAAATATTTTGTGGCTAAGACCTCAAAAGCACAGACAACTGAAACAAATATGGACAAATGGGGCTATATTAAACTAAAAAGCTTCTGCACAGCAACAGCAACAATCAACAGAGTGAAGAGACAACCTGTTGGATGGGAGAAAATATTTGCAAACTATTCATCCAACCACGGACTAATATCCAGAACATATAATGGAAATCAAACAACTCAACAACAAAAACAAAACAAAGCAAAAAGCCCCCAGAATAAATAATCTCATTAAAAAGTGGGCAGTCTGGGTGTGGTGGCTCATGCCTGTAATTCCAGCACTTTGGGAGGCCAAGGTGGGAGGATCCCTTAAGTCCAGGAATTCAAGATGAGCCTGGGTGACACAGTGAAACCCTTCTCTACTAAAAAATGCAAAAATTAGCCGGGCATGGTGGTGTGCTCCTGTAGTCCAGCTACTTGGGGGCTGAGGCAGGAGAATTGTTTGAGCCTGGGAGGTGGAAGTTGGAATGAGGAGAGATTGTGCCACTGCACTCCAGCCTGGGTGACACAGCAAGATCCTGTTTTTTTGTTTTTTGTTTTTAAATAGGCAAAGGACATTGACAGACAAAAAATAACAGATGCTGGTAAGGATGCAGAGAAAAGGGAACTCTTATACACTGTTGGTGGGAATGTAAATTAGTATAACCACCATGGAAAACAGTATGAAGATTTCTCAAATAACTAAAAATAGAACTGCCATATGATCTAGCAATCCCACTACTGGCTATTTACCCAAAGGGAAAAATATCAGTATACCGAAGGGATGTCTGCACTTGCATGTGTATTGCAGCACCATTCACAATAGCAAAGATGTGGAATCAATCTAAGTATTCATCAGTGGACAAATGAATAAAGAAAATGTGTCATTGATACACAATGGAATATCATTTAGTCATAAAAAAATGAAATCCTGTCATTTTCAGCAACATGAATGGAACTGGAGGTCATTATGTCAAGTAAAATAAGCCAGGCACAAAAAGGCAAATGCCATATGTTATCACTAATATGTGAGAGCTAAAAAAGTTGATCTCATGGAGGTAGTGAGTAGAATGATAAATACGAGAGTCTGGGAAGAGTATGTGGGTGGGAGAAGAGGGTGAAGAGAAGTTGGTTAATGGGTACAAATATACAGTTAGAAGAAATAAGTTCTAATGTTTAATAGCAGAGTATGGTCACGGTAGTTAGTAACAATGTATTGTATATTACAAAGTCGCTGTAAGAGAGGACTTGAAATGTTCCAAAAACACAAAAATAATTAATACCCCAGGTGATGGATATCCCAAATACCCTGACTTAATTATTACACAGTCTGTGCATATAATACTCACATATAACCCATGAATAAGTAAAATATGATTTATCAATTTGAAAAATGAGGATGATTTCTATGTATTGATATGAAAAATTTTCCAACTTATACTAAGAAAAAAATTAAACACATTCAATTTCTACGAGTCTAAAGTTAATGAATACTTCACACTAATTTTTATAACTTATTTTGATTATTAAATATTTTAAATGTATCAAATATAGAAAATAATATAAGAGACATGCATGTACAGTCTTTATTACTAATATTTTTTTTTTTACTGAAAAATACAAGTTCTTAGAACAGGTTAACTCCGTTTATTTCCTTTATGACTTCTATGCAATTGTTGTCACTTTTTTTTTTTTTAAGAGTCAGGGTCTGGCTCTGTTGCTCAGGCTGGAGTACAGTGGCACAATCATAGCTCATTGCAGCTTTGAACTCCTTGGCTCAAGCAGTCCTCCCACTTCAGCTTCCCAAGTAGCTAGTACTACAGGCGTGTGCCACTATACTTGGCTAATTTTTAAATTTTTTTTATTTGATAGAAAAAGGGCCTTGCCAAGTTGCCCAGGCTGGTCGTAAACTTCTGGCCCAAGCAATCCTCCCTGCTTGGCCTCCCAAAGTGCTGGGATTACAGGCATGAGCCACCTTGCCTGGCCTTTTTGTATTTTAATTTCAAAGTATTGTTGTGTATACCATTTTAAAATTTAAACATTTAAAACAATTGCATATAGTCATGAGGAGGATACATGGAATTAATGTGCTCTAAAGGAATAAATTCAATGTTTGATAGCAGAGTAGGATGACTATACTTAACAAAAATGTATTGCCAGGCACGGTGGCTCACGCCTGTAATCCCAGCACTTTAGGAGGCCGAGGCGGGAGGATCACGAGGTCAGGAGATCAAGACCATCCTGGCTAACATGGTGAAACCCCGTCTCTACTAAAAATACAAAAAAGTTAGCCAGGCGTGGTGGTGGGCGCCTGTAGTCCTAGCTACTGGGGAGGCCGAGGCAGGAGAATGGCGTGAACTCAGGAGGCGGAGGTTGCAGTGAGCCAAGATTGCGCCACTGCACTCCAGCCTGGGTGACAGAGTGAGACTCCATCTCAAAAAAAAAAAAAAAAAAATGTATTGCACTGAGGTGATAGATACCCTGAATATCCTGACTTTATCACTACGCATTATATACATGTAACAAAATTTCTCATGTGCCTTATAAATTTGCACAAATAAGAAGTTTTTGTATTTTTCAGTAGGAAACTGAATACATTATCTCCAATGACTGACATATGTGTTGTTTCATAGTCTATCGTTTTGATTTACCCACATAATTGCCATTTTGAAATTTCTCACTTGTTTTCATTTCACACCTTCTGTCTGAGGTTATGTTCCTTCTGGTAAAACTAAATACATGTAAAGGTGTGTGTGTGTGTGTATTGAAATATCAATGTGCCAGAAAATAAACCACTATCAACATACAATTCTATACCCAGTGAAAATACCTTTCCACAATAACAGCAAGATAAGATATTTTCAGATAAAAACACTGAAACAGTTTGCCAGCATCAGATGCTTGCTAAAGTAAATGCTTATGAATACGGTTTGACACACTGAGAAATTATTCCACAGACTTCTTGCTTCCACTGTTGAATTAGGAAACATAGCTCTTAATATGTTGTTCCTATCAAAGTAAGCTACCTTTTATCCATGGCTGCTTTTAAGATTTTTGTTTGTTTCTTTGTATTTGATCTTCTGGGTTTCTGTATTCACACAGTGTTTGACCTGGATATTCTTTACTTCCTTGCCAGCTCTTTGATGCTTTTGAATATGTCATCAGCAGGTTAATTTGTTTCAGTGTGAGTATCCATATGGGAACTTATCCTGCCATGATACCAGAAACAAAACATTACAATTAAAAACTGTCTTACTACCTAACAATGCTACTGGTTAAATTAAATGATAACTACTTTCAATGGAATTATATACAGCCATTTAACTTATTTTTTTAAGAGATGTTATATTTTTAGAGCAGTTGTAGATTCACAGAAAAATTGAGAGGAAGGTACAGAGATTTTTCATATAACCCCTGTCACAACACAGGCATCATAGCCTTCCCAATTATCAACTTCTTCCTCGACCCTACTCTGTCACCCCATGGTATATTTGTTACAGCTGATAAACCTACATTGACACACTATAATCACTAAAAGTCCATAATTTACATTAGGGTTCACTCTTGGTGTTGTACCTCCTATGAGTTTGGACAAATGTATAATGACATGTATCCATCATTATAGTAACATGCAGAATATTTTCACTGCCCTAAAATATCCTCTGCACTCTACTTATTTATCCCTCCCCATCACCCAATTCTTGGTAACCACTGATCTTTTTAGTGTCTCCATAGTTTTGCCTTTTCCAGAATGTCATATGGTCATAGCCATTATGCACCCTTTTCAGATTGGCTTTTTAACTTAGTAATATGCATTAGAGTTTTCTTCATGTCTTTTCATGGTTTCATAGCTCATTTCATGTTAGCATGGAATAATATTCCATTGTCTAGATGTACCACAGTTTGTTTATCCATTCACTTACTGGAAGACATCTTGGTAGCTTTCAAGTTTGGGCAATTATGAATAAAGCTGGTATAAACATTTATGTAACAGGGTTTTTGTATGGACATAGGTTTTCAAGCCATTTGGATAAATATCAAGGAGTGTGATTGCTAAATTATACGGTAAGAGTATGTTTGGTTTTGTAAGAAACTGTCAGTGTCTTTCAAAATGGCTTTGCCATTTTTGCATTCCTACCAGCAATAAAAGAGAGTTCCTGTTGCTCTACATACTCATCAGCATTTGATGTTGTCAATGTTTCAGACTTGAGCCATTCTAACATGTGCATAGTGGTATATCATCATTGTTTTAATTTGCAATTCCCTAATGATATAGACTGTTGAATATATTTTCATATTATTTGCCATTTGTTTATCTTTTTGGTGATTTTTAAATTGGGTTCTTCCATTTCTGCCCATTGAAATTTTTTAACTCATTGTTGACTTTTAAGAGTTCATTGTATATTTTTGGTAAGAGTCCTTTATCAGATGTGCCTTTTATAAATATTTTCTTCCAGTCTATGGCTCATCTAATTATTCCCTTGACATTGTTTTTCCAGAGTAAAAGTTTTTAATTTTAATGAAGTACAGCTTATCAAGTATTACTTTAATAAATCATACCTTTGATGTTGTAGCTAAAAAGTCAACACTATGCCCAAGGTCATCTGGGTTTTCTATTTTCTAGGAGTTTTATAGTTTTGCATTTTTCTTTTGTTTTTGAGATGGAGTCTCACTGTGTTGCCCAGGCTGGAGTGCAGTGGTGAGATCTCGGGTCACTGCAACCTCCGCCTCCCAGGTTCAAGTGATTCTCCTGCCTCAGGCTCCCACGTAGCTGGAATTTTAGGTGTGCGCCACCATACCTGGCTAATTTTTGTATTTTTAGTGGAGTCAAGGTTTCGCCATGTTGGCCAAGCTGTTCTCGAGCTCCCAACCTCAGGTGATCCACCTGCCTTGGCCTCCCAAAATGCTGGAATTACAGGCATGAGCCACCGTGCCGCCCAGTTTTGCTTGTTTCTAGCTTCTAGGAGTTTCACACTTTGTTCTATGATTTTTAAGTTAATTTTTGTGTTAACTCAGAACACACAAGAGTGCAAGTTCTGTGTCTAGATTAATTTTTTTTTATTTTTGGATGTCCAGTTGTTTCAGCACCATTTTTTGAAAAGACTTTTTGTTGCATTGTACTGCCTTTTCTCCTTTGTCAGAGATCTGTTGACTATATTTAGGTAGATTTATTTATGGGCTATTAGCTAGGTCTATTTCTGTTCCTTTGGTCTCTTTGTCTATTCTTTTGCCAATACTACACTGTCTTGATTATTGTAGCTTTATAGTAAGTCACGAAGTTGGGTAGTGTTAGTCTTCTAACTTTGTTCTTCTTCAATATTTATTGGCAATTCTGGTTCTTTTGCTTCTCCATATACATTCTCTTTACAATCAGTTTGTCAATATCTATAAAATAATTTGCTGAGATTTTGATTGAAGTGGCATTGAATCTATGGATCAAGTTAGGGAGAACTTATATCTTGACAATATTTGGACTTACTATCCATGAACATGGAATATATCTCTATGTAGTTCTTTGATTTCTTTCATCAGAGTTATGTGGTTTTCCTCATATTAGTTCTTGTACATATTTTGATAGGTTTATACCTAAGTATTTCATTTTTAAGGGGTGTTAATGTAAGTGATACTGTGTTTTCAATTTCAAATTCCACTTATTCCTTACTAGTATGTAGGAAAACAATTGACTTTTGCATATTAACCTTGCATACTGCAATCTCTAGAATCATTTATTACTTCCAAGAGCTTTTTTTTTTTTTTTGGTCAATTCTTTTGGATTTTCTACATAGACAATCACGTCATCTAAACAAATATAGTTTTATTTCTTCCTTTCCAAACTGTATACATTTTCTTTTCTTGTCTGGTCTCATTGCATTAGCTAGGACTTCTAGTATGATGTGGAAAAGCAGTGGTGAGAGGACACATCCTTGCGCTGTTCCTGATCTTAGTAGGAAAGCATCTAGTTTCTCACCATTAAGTATGATGTTAGCTGTAGGTTTTTTTTGTGTCTATTCTTCATCAAGTCAAGGAAGTCTACCTCCATTCCTAGTTTACTGAGAGTTTTTATCAGGAATGGGTGTCAAATTTTGTCAAATGCTTTTTCTGCATCTATTGATATGATTTTTTTTAGCATGTCGATGTGATAGATTACATTAGTTGGTTTTTGAATGTTGAAGCAGCCTTGCGTAACTGGGATAAATCCCACTTGGCTGTGGGACATAATTCTTTTTATACATTGTTGGATTCAATTTGCTAATATTTTGTTGAGGGTTTTTGCATCTATGTTTATGAGGGATATTGGTCTGTAGTTTTCTTTTCTTGTAATGTCTTTGTCTGGTTTTAGTATTAGGATTGTCCTGGATCCACAGAATGAGTTAGAAAGTAGTTCCTCACCTTCTGGTCTCTTAAAGATATTATAGAGAATTGGTATAATATCTTTCTTAAATGTTTGATAGAATTCACCAATAAACCCATCAGAGCCTTGTGCTTTCTGTTTTGAAAGGTTGTTCATTATAGATTCAATTTTGAAAATAAGTACAGTCCTATTTTAATTGTTTGTTTTTTCTGAGTGAGTTTTGGCAGATTGTGTTTCTTAAGGATTTGGTCCATTTCATCTAGGTTATCAAATTTGTGGGTATGGAGTTGTTCACAGTATTTCATGATTATCCTTTTAATGCCCATGGGATCTGTAGTAATGCCCCCTTAACCTATCTTTTTAAATAAAAAAAATCTATCAAAAGTGCAGAATGTTTTAATAATATAATCAAAGTAGGAGTAAAAATAAGAATCGAACTTGAATGTTTTGGGAGCTTTCTGTGTGTTAGGCACTGTTCCTATCAGTACGTATATGGACTACTGCTTTTAATCCATATAAAGCCCCATCAAATAGGGATTATTGTCCCCAATCTAAAGAAGAGAAAACAGAAAGATTCAATAACTTGTCCAAGACTGTATGTCTTGGACACATAAAACTGTAACTAACCACATATTAACTACATGAAAAGATATGCTGACAGAAGGCTGGTCTCAGCCAGGAGCCAAGAAAAGAGGAGAGAAAGATTGAGACTTGGGGGGACTCTGCTGGCTCTATACACATGGTGAGGAGGCTTACTAGCTGATGTGAGCATCTGGTCAGTTTGCCTAGTACATCTCTCTAATGGAGTCAGATATGTCAGACAATTGTGCTATGAAGCTCAGACAACCAACTCTCCCACTCTCACTTTATGACCATCAGCCACCTTCTGACTATCACATTTTCCTACAAATGAAGGAATGCATACACCAGTTTAAACATTTATGTAGTAGTATTTCTCACTATAAATGAACACTTTGGCATTTGGGATTGTTCAATGGTCCCATGTAAGTTGGATCATGTGAGTCCATCCATCTGAGCTTTGTCAGTTCTTGATGTTCTGACAAACTTGAGTTTCTGCGCCTAGAGAGCTGAGGACCAAATCCTGGACTAAGGGGGCTCTTTCAAGGTAATGCCCTAGCAGCCCTACATGAGGCAGCCAAATCGCCTATCTGCTATCTTCATCTTGCTTAATTTAAATGCAATGATAATAAGTTGTTGGGATGTTCTGTCAGTTATTAAGTTTTCATCTCTCACATCCACACTTATCCTTCAATAGTCTGCAATGTGATGCTAGGTTTAGAATTCTAAAATACACATTTTTACTTTGTCAAGAGGCTGCAATGCTAGAGGAACAAAAACAGACTCCTTCCTGTGGGCTTCCTGAATGTTTCCTGTTCCTGTGGGCATCACACTAGCATCAGTTCTTTATTCCAACAGCTTCAGTTCCTTTCTGTGGCAGCAGCTTAATTCTGTTTGGGGTTTTTCCTCTATATTGCAGGATCAAATTCATTGTACCCTCTCAGAGGAACCAGCATAAGCTGCCCGATGTCCTCACTTCAGAATTCTGCTTCCTCCTCTGAGTTCCTAAATGCAAATAATTTTAACTTCTTTCCTTTGTTCCCCAATTCTAGGAGTAGTAAATGCTTCTTGCAGTTGCTACCTTTGTGACATCTTTTTTTTTCCCTTTCATTTACTTTGTTAACAACTTTATACCTAGATAAGGATTATATTCTCTCTGTTCAAATAACTGATGTGGTTTCCGTCTTGAATGATACAGATGCATATATGAGCTGCAATTTTTCTGCTTTCTTTCATTCACATTGGCAAAAAGATATTTATTCATGTCTAAGGATCTGTTTATGATTCACAAAAACAGAAACAATATGAATTCACATCAAACAATTTGTCAAAATATAAGAAAACTGAAAGAAATAACAACAGAGCAGCACATAGTGTAGATATTTGAGGTTTTTTTCCCATTCTCCATAACTGAGCAGTTTGCTCAAAGTGCTCCTATATCTTTTTCTCAGTTCTGGAAGCCAATAAATCCCAAAATAACACCATTACAGTAAAACAAGCTGCATAGCCCAAAGATGGATTTACTGGAATGATGTCAAAGGATTGTTTCCATGGTATTGATTGCTTACTTTAGAACTTTCCTAGACCTGAGATGTCGAAAGGTTATTATTTTGGCTTGAGGAGAGTCTTGAAAGGATATTCTAGGGGAAAAGAGCATGGCCTGACAGCTGCTTACTTCTGGGAGGATTCTGGGGCTGCCTTCAGGACAAAGGAGGGGCAACTTGAGATATATTTTGAGCAGCTAGAAGCCAAAGGTGTCTCCAAGAGAAGTAACAATTTAGCTGCTATGTCAAATAAATAAGCTAGTCCTGGGGTTTAAATCAAAATTTGAATTGAAAAATTGTGTAATTATTCAAGGTTAGATTGTTGTATATTGCTAAGTGTTGTACATGCTTTGGGTTTATTTAGGATGTCCCAGTTCAGAAAGGATGTCCCAGTTTACCCTATTACCTGATCATCTGCTTATGGCACAAATTTCTTTCATTTTCTCTGAAATCTGGAACCTCCCTCCATCATCACAGGTATAGGTTTTGTAGATGTAGCTCAGGACAGAGTTTATGGAAATAATTGTCTGTTTTTGTGCTTGCGAGTTAAGCCAAGCATCACTTATTTCAGGGAAATTGCTCCTTTCACCTTCTTCTTCTAGAGGGTGTTTCAACATTAATAATACAGAGAAGTAACAAGATAATCTTAAGCCTTTCTGAGTACTATGATTACAAGATATGCAATCCACTCACCACCCACACACTCCTCTTTCCCAAGCAGTGCACTGAAGCTATTTGAAGCAAATGACATTGTGTATCCAAAACATTTAATTCCTGGTTCCTTGCTACAGTCTTAACATTACCACTAATAAAACCTCTGTTCTAATCTTTGTATTGCCTCATTCTCACAGCCCTCTTAATTACCTGAGATTTTTTGTACTGTAAATTAACTCCCAAGTCACCAGATGCCTAGACATCATTTTCTACAAACGACAGTATACTTCAAATGACAACTGTAACATTAATGTGGGAGGATAAAAAGACTTATGTGGTTTTAACGAATTTGCATTTTATTTAAAGTGGTAAATAGTAACTCTGAGTAGACTGTCAATGGTTAGGTAAGTGTATTACAATCCCTAGAGCAAACACACACACATACAAAGAGACAATAGATAGAAGTGACAATAGATAAATTGAAATAAAATACCAAAGAATATTGAAATAATCCAAATAAAGGCAAGAAACGGGGAAACAGAGAAACCAAAAATGAAGGGGACATACAGAAAACAAATAATAAAATGACTGACCTAAATCCAACTATATCAAAAGTTACATTACATGTAAATGTCTAAACATACCAAATAAAAACAGAGATTGTCAGATTGGTTAAACAAACAAGCAAACAGATAAAGAAAACCACAATATATGCTATCTATAAGCAGCTCACTTCAGATAGATTAAAGTAAAAGAATAGGGAGAAAAATGTACCATTCAAACACTAATCAAACGACATATGGAGTGACTACACTGACATAAAACAAAGTAGACTTCAGAACAAATAAAATTACCATGGGAGACATTACAAGTTGGTAAAAGAGTTAATTTACCAAGAAGACATTACAATCCTAAATGTAAATGCACGTAACAACAGAGCTTCAAAATACACAAAGCAAAAGCTGATAGAACTGAAAAGAGAAGGAGACATACCATAACTACAGATATGGTAGGAGACTTCAATACTCCTCTGTTGGTAATAGATAGAAATTATAGACAGAAATTCAGTAAAGATATAAAAAATTGACCAATACCATAACTAATTGTATCTAAGTGACATTTTATAGAACATAGCAACAAGTAACAGCAAAATACACATTTTTTGCAAGTACACATGGAACTTTCACCAAGATAGGCTATCTTCTGGGCCTTAACACATTAAAAATAATCGAAATTATAGAAAGTATGTTCTCTTGTATCAGAATTAAATTAAAAATCAATCACAGAAAGTTTTCTGGAAAATCCCAAAATAGTACATTTCTAAATAACCCATGAGTCAAAGAGGAAGTCTCAAGGGAAATTAGAAAATACTTTGGACTGAAAGAAAATGAAAATATAACATACGAAAATTTGTGGAGTTCAGCTAAGTCTGTGCTTAGAAGGAAATTTGTAGTGTTAAATGCTTATATTAGAAAAGAAAAAGGTTCTAAATCAATAATCTAAGCTTCCATCTTAGGAAACCCGTAAAAGAAAACAAATTAAATACAAAAGAAGCAAAAGGAAAAAAGCTATTAAAGTAATAAATGAGTTTAGCAACATCACAGGATACAAGGTCAATAAACAAAGATAAGAGCAGAAGTCAATGAAATGGAAAACAGAAAAAAATAGAGGAAAATCAGTGAAACCAAAAGCTGGCTGTTTAGAAAGTTCAATAAACTTGATAAACATTTAGCCAGACTGACCAAGAATAAAAAAAGAAAAGACATCAAAAACAGGTATTCAAACAAACACATGTACATGAATGTTTATAGCTATTCACATGTACTATTCACAATACCAAAAGGGGGCAACGACCTAAATGTCCATTAACTGATGAATGGATAAACAAAATGTGGTATATCCATACAATAGAATATTATTCAGGCACAAAAAAGAATGAAGTACTGGTACCTGTTACAACATGGATGAACCTCGAAAACATTATGCATAGTGAAAGAAGACAGACACAAAAAGTCAAATACTGTATGATTCCATTTATATTAAATATCCAGAAAAACTAAATCCATACAGACTGAAAGTAGACTACTGGTTGCCAAAATTTAAAAGGTACCGAGTTTCCTTTTGGTATGATGAAAATGTTTCAGAAGTAGATAGAGGTAACAACTGCCCAACACTGTGAATGTATGAAATGCCACTGAATTGTATATTTTAAAGTGATTAGTGGTTAATTTTATATTACATGAATTTTACATCAGTAAAAGAGAAATTGAGCAGCCGCCCCGTCTGGGAGGTGAGGGGCGCCTCTGCCCGGCCGCCCCTACTGGGAAGTGAGGAGCCCCTCTGCCCGGCCAGCCGCCCCGTCCGGGAGGGAGGTGGGGGGGGTCAGCCCCCCCGCCCGGCCAGCCGCCCCGTCCGGGAGGGAGGTGGGGGGGGGTCAGCCCCCCTGCCCGGCCAGCCGCCCCGTCCGGGAGGTGAGGGGCGCCTCTGCCCGGCCGCCCCTACTGGGAAGTGAGGAGCCCCTCTGCCCGGCCACCACCCCGTCTGGGAGGTGTGCCCAACAGCTCATCGAGAACGGGCCAGGATGACAATGGCGGCTTTGTGGAATAGAAAGGCGGGAAAGGTGGGGAAAAGATTGAGAAATCGGATGGTTGCCGTGTCTGTGTAGAAAGAAGTAGACATGGGAGACTTTTCATTTTGTTCTGCACTAAGAAAAATTCTTCTGCCTTGGGATCCTGTTGATCTGTGACCTTACCCCCAACCCTGTGCTCTCTGAAACATGTGCTGTGTCCACTCAGGGTTAAATGGATTAAGGGCGGTGCAAGATGTGCTTTGTTAAACAGATGCTTGAAGGCAGCATGCTCCTTAAGAGTCATCACCAATCCCTAATCTCAAGTAATCAGGGACACAAACACTGCGGAAGGCCGCAGGGTCCTCTGCCTAGGAAAACCAGAGACCTTTGTTCACTTGTTTATCTGCTGACCTTCCCTCCACTATTGTCCCATGACCCTGCCAAATCCCCCTCTGTGAGAAACACCCAAGAATTATCAATAAAAAAATAAATTAAAAAAAAAAAAAAGAGAAATTGAGACAGAGACAGTGACGGATAGATATGTGTATATCCATTCAATTTCAAGAAGAAATAGATAACTTGAATTGTCTTATACCTAGTAAAGCAGTTGAATGGCTACATATATCCATGGGGGTGTGTGTGTGTGTGTGTGTGTGTGTGTGTATCTATGCAATTCAGGCACAAGAAAGAAGTACTGACACATGTTACAACATGGATAAACCTTGTAAACATTATGCATAGTGAAAGAAGCCAGACACAAAAGATCAAATACTGTATGATTCCATTTATATGAAACATCCAGAATAAGTAAATCCACACAGGCAGAATGTACACTAGTGGTTGCCAGAGGCTTAAAAGGTACAGAGTTTACACACACACACACACACACACACACGGCGGGAGTGTGAGGGTGGTGAGAGAAATAGAGAGAGGGCACTAATTACCAATATCAGGAAGAAGAGCTAGCACTAAATACCCTATAGAAATTAGAAGAGAATACTACAAACTAACCATAATTCAATGAAGTAGATAAAACGGGCAAATTCTTTGAAAGACACAAACAACCAAAATGCACTCAAGAAGAAACAGATAACTTGAATTGTCTTATACCTAGTAAAGAAATTGAATTTGCAGTTTAAAATCTTCCAACAAAAAAATTCTGGGTCCAGATAGTTACACTGGTGAAGTCTACCAAACACTTAAGTGGGAAATTTTCTCCTGACTTGTAATTCTATTTAAACTTTTTTGTTTCTTTGTTTGTTTGTTTGTTTTCAGAAAATAGAAGATGAGGGAACAGTTATTTTGTTCAGCTAGTATTAACTCAATACCAGAAGCAGGAAAAGAAAATACAAGAAAAGAAAGCTACAGACCAATATCCCTCAACAACATATTAGAAAATAAGCCTGGGTACAGTGGCTCACACCTGTAATCCTAGTACTTTGGGAGGCCGAGGCAGGCAGATCACCTGAGATCAGGAGTTCAAGACCAGCCTAACCAACATAGTAAAACCCGGTCTCTACTAAAAATACAAAAATTAGCCCAGTGGGGTGGCATACACCTGTAATCCTAACTACTTGGGAGACTGAGGCATGAGAATCACTTGAATCTGGAGACGGAGGTTGCAGTGAGCCAAGATTGTGTCACTGCACTCCAGCCTGGGCGATGGAGTGAGACTCTGTCAAATAATAGTAATAGTAATGAGATCTGGGAATATAAAAAAAGATACTATATCATGGCCAAGTAATGTTTATTTCAGGAATGTAAGGCAGATTCAATGATTTGAAAATGAATCAATGTAATTCACCAAATTAACAAAGTAGAAAATGTCTTGATCATCTTAATAGATGCAGAAGAAGAATTTGACAAAATTCAACATAAATTTGTGATAAAAACTCTCAGAAGTCTAGGAATAAAAAGGAATTTCCTTAGCCTGATGAAAGTGCCTATAAAATATCTATGGTTAGCATCTTAATGTTAAAATATAACTTCTGCATGTTAAAATAAAAAACAGATGTCCAATATTACTATTCTTATTCAACACTATATTGGGAGTTCTAGCCAGTATAATAAGGCAAGAAAAAGAAATAAAAGGCATACAGATTAGAAAGGAGAAAATAAATTGTCTCTATTTGCAGATGACACAATTATCTATGTAGAAAATCTCAATGAATCTACCAAAAAGTTCCTAGAACTAATAAATGAGTTTGGCAAGATCACAGAATACCAGACCAATACATAAAAATCAACTGAATTTTTATATATGGGCAATGAATAACTCAAAATAAAAGATTTAAATACAATGTTGCTTATGATAGCACACACACACAAAGGGAATACCTATAAATCTAACAAAATATGTGCAGGATGTGTTGCTAAAAAATATAAAATACGGATGAAAGAAGTCAAAGCAGACCCAAATAAACGGAGACATATACTATGTTCATGAATTGTAAGACTCAACATTGTTAATAATGTCAATTCTCCCCAAACCGATCTATAGATTTTATGCAATCCTAATCAAAATCCCAGCAGGAATTTTTGTAGATATCAACAGGCTGATTCTAAAATTTACATGTAAAGCCCAATAAATTAGAATAGCCAAAAGAATTTATTTTGAAAAAGAACAAAGGGTTCAGACTACCTCATTTCAAGGCTTACTATAAAGCCACAGTAATCAAGGCAATGGGTTGATTAGCAAAGGCTGATGCAAGACATGCAAATTGCCACCTACCTACATATCTCCCTTTCAGTGCACCACACTGAATGCATTGAAATCAGTGATATCTTACATCCCAAAGCAGACCTGTGGCAGAGACTTCTAATTGTTACCAAATATCCATTGACCCTCTCTTATTTTTAGCGAGTCAAATTTATACATGGATTTTTTACTGTGAGAAGGTGGTGCCCCTAACCCATGAGCTGTTCAAGGGTCAAGTGTACAGAAAAGTTTAAAGAATTCAGGGCATTGCCTAACTGCCTCAGGTCTTCCCACCTTGATCATACCCTTTTGGCCTATTTAACCCCAAATCTATTTTCACCTTTATTTCTCTTCTTTCTCAACTCACTACCGCTCTCTCATTCTCTGTCAGTTCCTAGCTCTGTATTAAATTCATTTTCATTGTTATTCACCCTTTCCTGTCTTTGTGCCATTATATCCATTTCCAACTGGTTGCAAAAGGAAAAACAGAGGTAATGAAAGTTTCAAGAACACAATGTGTCCAGCTTAAGCAATTTACAACTGCCACTGGCAACTTGCCCCTTGTCTTGTTACTCTGAATCTTCCTTTTAAATGTTTCACAAAGTATTCAGACATCCGGCTCTTATCATTTTGTAACTGAGAAATACATTATATTCTAGAGAGACAATTTATCTTGAATGCTCTCTCCACTATTTTTTTTCCTGTTAGAACAGTTAAAACACAGTTGCTTCATTTGTGTGATAGTCAACCAAACCTCACCACCCATTTACAAAGCGGCATTTGTAAATCATTGATTTTTTTCATCTTTAGTTGTGGGAGTTAACTTTTTTTTTTCTTTTTTCTTTTTTGTGGAAACAAAGGCTAACTATCTTGCCCAGGCTGGTCTCAAACTCCTGGGCTCAAGCAATCCTCCTGCTTTGGCCTCCCAAAGTGCTGGGATTACAGGAGCCACCATGTCCAGCCTGGAAGTTAACTTTTATAAAGCAAAGAAAACAAAATTCCACCTTGTGTAACAGTGTGTATGACTTAAATTATGAATCAGCCTGTACTTGCAGCCACAAATTATTTAATATAAGTTAAGTAAAATTGCTTTCTGAGTGTTTATTCTCCAGTGATTTGGTGAAGACTAATTTCCATTTTCTAAATAAAAAACTGCACATGCTGATAAGCCCTTTTCTGTAATTTTATTGATTTTCATCTTTGTTTTCCTTCTTTATGAGAAACTCTTAGCATTTTACCTCTTAGGAATTTTCCTATCTGAATTTTTGCCTGTGCTAAAAGAAAAATATAGGCTGCATTGAGGCACTATTTTAAATATTGTTATAAATATTTTTTAATATACAATGTGCCCTTCAGAGTGGTGAAGGCTTACTTATATAGATTCTTCCTTATTTGAAAATAATGATGACTATCATTTATAAAATACTACATGATAGAAATTATTCATATTAGCATACCACTAGTCTTCCAGATGAAAAATGAAAAGTTAATACCTTTTCCAAAGTTACACAGCTAGCATTTAAACCTGATAGGCACAAACACATGATTTACACAGAATATTTTAAATGTATTCATTTGAAGAATCTATTACTATGGGAAATTGCCAATAAATCAAAAATGTGAGGATTCCTTTCCTTTACTGTTTGTAATAGAAGATCAACCTAGTAATATTCATATCTCTATAACCCTGATATACGGATAAGCAGTGGCTTGTATTAGAATCATTTGGTAATTCCCTGGAAAAAAATTTGCATCACAATATAATTTTATTAAAGGGCATCAATTTTGGATAAACAATTTTTTTCTTTGACTACTTGAGTAAAGATGATAATAATAATAATAGTTATAATTTATTGGGTATTTTTAATGAGCCAGGTATTGTGCTAAATCCTTTATGTACATTGCATATACACAACCACCACAACTCTGTGTAGAAGATATTCTATCTGGGTCCCAAATACCTGCTTTTAATCATTTCAGGAGAGTCATGGCCTGGCTGAATACCAAAGCACAAACACCAAAACAATTGAATAAAGAAAATGGGAATAAAGGTCAGATACACTGGCTCATGCCTGTAGTACCAGCACTTAGGGAGGCTGAAGCAGGAGGATCACTTGAGGCCAGGAGTTTGAAACCAGCCTGGACAACATAGTGAGATCCCATCTCTACATATAAAATGTTATTTTTTAAATTAGCTGGGTGTGGTTGCATGAGCCTGTAGTCTTAGCTACTCAGGAGGCTGAGGTGGAAGGAGTGATTGAGCCTAGGAATTCAAGGCTGCAGTGAGCTATGCTCATGCCACTGCACTCCAGCCTGGGTGTCAGACAGAGATTCTGTCTCTTAAAAGAAAAAAAAAAGCCATTAATTCCTAGTAACTTGGTGTCAAATAGATTCCCAGTTGTTGTACTGAACTCAATCAATATCTTTATTCAATTCTATTACTCTGATTTTTTTCTCTTTTTTTTGAGACAGAGTCTTGCTTTGTCACCCAGAATGGAGTGCACTAGTGCAAACATGGCTCACTGCAGCCTTGACCTCCTGGGCCCAAGCCATCCTCCTACCTCAGCCCTTCAAGTAGCTGGAACTACAGGTGCACACCTTCACGCCTGGCTAATTTTTGTATTTTTTGTAGAGACGGGGTTTCTCCATCTTGCCAGGGTGGTCTTGAACTTCTGAGCTTAGGTGATCCACCTGCCTTGACTTCCCAAAGTACTGAGATTACAGGTGTGAGCCACTGCGCCTGGCCACTCTGATTTCTTAATGTAGCTAAAAATCCAATGAGAATTTTTATCTAGTTTTGTCTACTTTAATCAGTTCTAAAGTTTCTAAATCATTTGGAAGTGTATAACCTGTACATTACAAGAATTCTTAAAATCTCACTTATATGATTAAGTGGTGATCACACGCACACATACATGTACAAAGAATATGGTAATAAAGAACGAGAAATAATTACAGTAATAATGATAATAACAATACAATAATTAAATATTAGGATAGTAATATTGGAATTGGAAGTTGTGCAAGTTGAAATGAAATTTCTGTCCTCAATTAAGAAGTAATAACTTTATATTACCTTAAAATATTAGAAGAAAAGCCATTTTACAAAGACTTCCTTCCCTTTGGCAAACTATTCTGCAGAATCCTAATAAGCTTTCACAGAAGATTGCTTATTATTCTTATTTTATTTACTTTACGTTTCTAAGCCAAGAAAAATTATGTGGGTCTTAAGTAGTTTTCCATAACAGAAAAGTGTTGGGAGATAATTATTTTTTTTAAAAAAGTGAATAATTAACATTTAAAATTTATATCAATGGATTTTTGTGAACCAGCACTTAAAGTTTTTTTTGGGTAATCTAGAAATATGTTGTCCAAAAATCCTCATCTTTTTTGTTGCATTTCCTATTAATACAAAAAAGAATATGTAATTAAAAATTGAAATTATTTCACACCTAAGAGACATATATCGTCTTGGAAGCAGTAAAAAGTCATAGATAGAATAAAAATAAAATAATCATAAAAATTTTGGTGAGAGTTTCAAATAGAACAGCCGTAAATAGTACATGATAAACATGTAAAAAGATTTTATCCATAACGTGCCATCCAAAAACACCTTTCAAGTCTCTCCTGATTGACCCTGAATGAAAATCTCATTTTAGGTGACAAAAAAAGGGTCATTAATGTTGCTCATGTATTTCAACATAAAAATGGAATGGAATCATTGACTACAGGTAGACATGTGCAAAACTACTCAAGATAAATATGCTGCTTTGAGGCTATACATTCACTCCAGTTTTGTCTGCCAGCTTGATTTTTGAATTGGGCACTCATGGATAAAGGATATGTGATCTGAAAAAATAGTGTGTGTCTTTTAAAAGTCAGTGTCATGTAATGTCATTTCTTTTGGCAAAATTTATGTTACACGGTGTTAGAGCATGGGCTGAGCTAATATAACATGATGCATTAAAAACTGCACATAATGATTGCTACATGTGTCAGAACAATGAATTGTTATATCAAATACCTGTTCAGCTGTAAATAAGGCCCTCTGTAAGTCACTGACAAAAAGATTATATTCTCTTGTTGCCGATGTATAATTCCTATTGTTTAAAATGTGCAGCTCTCCAACATCCATACTTTGTGACCTGTAGCCATTTAAGTTGTGTATTTAATACATACACACGTACAATAAGGACATGGCACATTACAAAAAGTCACAATTGGAGGTATTTTTGTTTTCAAAGGTATTTTTCCTCCAAAGAAGAGACATACACATGGAGCTCTAATGGATTCTGTATTACGTAGAAAATCCCTTTGGTTGCAAGTAACGGAAATCTCACAATCAGTAGCTTAAATAAATAAGATTTGTTTTTCTCCCATAAGGTGATTAGAGATAGGCAGTTGCAAGTTTTGGTTCAACAGCTCAATGATGTGAGGACGGGCATCTCTAAAATTTTGGTCTTCCTGTCATAAATGAAAGATGGATTTTTAAGCTCCAGTTTTTCCATCTATTTTCATGGAAGAAGTGGGACAGAGGCAGCTCCTCCTGGTATTCGTCCCTTTCATCAACAAATTCAACGCATTTCCAGCAGCCACCCACTTATTTCCACTTATGCCCAATTGCCCAGAATTATGCACCTGGATACCTCTAGCTACGGAAAGTTGAGGAAGTTGGCCCTGCAATGGAAGCAAGGAAGAAGAGTATTGGGAATGGCTATTGGATGAGCCAGTTAATACACTCTGCCATAGGTGCCAATAACAACTTATAAATAGGGTAGAGGCCGGGTGTGGTGGCTCACACCTGTAATCCCAGTACTTTGGGAGGCAGAGGCAGGCAGATCACCTGAGTTTGGGAGTTTGAGACCAGCCTGACCAACATGGAGAAACCTCATCTCTACTAAAAATACAAAATTAGCCAGGTGTGGTGACACATGCCTGTAATCCCAGCTACTTGGGAGGCTGAGGCAGGAGAATCTCCTGAAGTGGGGAGACGGAGGTTGCAGTGAGCCAAGATTGCATCATTGCACTCCAGCCTGGGCAACAAGAGTGAAACTCCATCTCAAAAATAATAAATAAATAAATAAATAACTAGGGTAGAAAGCACAGAATAAGGAAGGCTTTAAAAATGGTAAGCCCATATGGGAAAAAATATTATTTATTTTTTGAGACAGGGTCTCACTCTGTTGCCCAAGCTACAGTGCAGTGGGGTAATCTCAGCTCACTGCGGCCTCCACCTCCTGGGCTCAAGTGATCCTCCCACCTCAGCCTCCTGAGTAGCTGTGACTATACGCGTGTACCACCATGCCCAGCTAATTTTTGTACTTTTTTATAGAGAAGGGGTTTTGCCATGTTGCCCAGGCTGGTCTCAAACTCCTGGACTCAAGCCATCTGACTGCTGAGATTACAGGCATGAGCCACTGCACTGGGCCAGAAAAATATTTAATATTAACTTCTACCCCATACCATACACAAACATGAATTCTGGATGGAATGTAGATCTTTTTATGTGTGTGTGTGTGCACTTTTATTCAACTGGTCTCAAGTCAGTGCACAGGTAAGCCCTGGCTGCCTTCACCCACTCCCAGGGACACCAAAAGCCTTCATACATCTCAAGCTGGGGGACAAAAAAGGGGGGGGGGGCACGAAGGCTCATCATTCAAAATAAAAAAAATAAGAAAGTATTAAGGCGAAGATTAAAAAAATTTTGCATTCCATAATTTACACGAAAGCAATGCTATCACCTCCCCTGTGTGGACTCGGTAGACGACTGGGCCATTCTCCTTAGACAGAAGTGGGGTGGCTTTTAGGATGGCAAGGGACTTCCTGTAACAATGCATCCCATGATATTTGGAATGACTATTAAAAAAAAGAACAATGTACAATCAAAGTCCTCGGCCACACTGTAGAACTTTGGGGGATGCTCGCTCCAACCGACTGCTGTCACCTTCACTGTTCCAGTTTTTAAATCCTGAGTCAAGCCAAAAAAAACCAAAAAAACAAAACAAAACAAAAAAACAAATAAAGCCATGCCAATCTTATCTTGTTTCCTGCACAAGTTAGGTTTTGTCAAGAAAAGGTGTAACACAACTAAGTCACAGTCCGCCTAGAAGCATTTGCGGTGAACGATGGAGGGCCAGACTCCTCATACTCCTGCTTGCTGATCCACATCTGCTGGAAGGTGGACAGCGAGGCCAGGATGGAGCCTCCAATCCACACAGAGTACTTGCGCTCAGGAGGAGCAATGATCTTGATCTTCGTCCTGCTGGGCGCCAGGGCGGTAATCTCCTTCTGCATCCTGTCAGCAATGCCAGGGTACATAGTGGTGCCACCAGACAGCACTGTGCTGGTGTACAGGTCTTTGCGGATGTCCAAGTCACACTTCATGATGGAGTTGAAGGTAGTTTCGTGGATGCCACAGGACTCCATGCCCAGGAAGGAAGGCTGGAAGAGCGCCTCGGGGCAGCAGAACCACTCGTTGCCAATGGTGATGACCTGGCTGTTGGGCAGCTGGTAGCTCTTCTCCAGGGAGGAGCTGGAAGCCGCGGTAGCCATCTCCTGCTCGAAGTCCAGGACGAGGTAGCACAGCTTCTCCTTGATGTTACGCATGATTTCCCGCTCCGCGTGGTGATGAAGCTGTAGCGGCGCTCGGTGAGGATCTTCATGAGGTAGTCAGGTCCCGGCCAGCCAGGTCCAGAAGCAGGATGGCGTTGGGGAGGGCATACCCCTCGTAGATGGGCACAGTGTGGGTGACCCCATCACTGGAGTCCAACACGATGCCAGTGGTACGGCCAGAGGCGTACAGGGACAGCATAGTCTGGATGGCCAAGTACATGGCTGGGGTGTTGAAGGTCTCAAATATGATCTGGGTCATCTTCTTGCAGTTGGCCCTGGGGTTCAGGGGGGCCTCAAACAGCAGCATGGGTTGCTCCTCGGGAGCCACGCGCAGCTCATTGTAGAAGGTGTGGTGCCAGATCTTCTCCATGTCGTCCCAGTTGGTGACAATGCCGTGCTCAATGGGGTACTTCAGGGTGAGGATGCCTCTCTTGCTCTGGGCCTCGTCGCCCACATAGGAATCCTTCTGACCCATGCCCACCATCACGCCCTGGTGCCTGGGGTGCCCAACGATGGAGGGGAAGACTGCCCGGGCGGCATTGTCGCCCGTGAAGCTGGCCTTGCACATGCCGGAGCCGTTGTCAATGACGAGCGCGGTGATATCATCATCCATGGTGAGCTGGTGGCAGGTGTGGACTGGCAGTGGAGCAGCGAAGGCGAGGCTCTGTGCTCGCAAGGCGGATGCAGTCTCGGCGGTGGAATGTAGATCTAAATGTGAAAGTTAAAATAATAAAAATCTCTTTAAAATAAAACATAGGATAATATCTTCATAATCTTTGCTTGTAGATGAATATTTCTTAAATAGGATACAAAAAGCACTAACTATAAAGACAAAAATGTAGTAGCTAGACTACTAAAATCTAAATCTAAAACAGAAAACTTTTGTTCATCAAACACACTAATCAGAGAGTGAAAGGGGAAGCCACAGAGTTGTATTAGTTCCAGTTTCTGGCCGTTATAAATAGTGCTCCCATGAATATACTTGTATATGTCTTTTGGAAACATGTGTAAGCATTTGTGCTGGATACTTGGAGAATTTTTGGGTCATAGAGTATGCATATGCTCAGCTTCAGTAGACTCTACCACTGGTCAGCAGTAGCAGTAGCTAGATCAGCCTTCATAGAAGACAGCCCATTCATAATCCCTGTATTAGTTATCTATTGCCACATAACAAATTACCTCAAAAGTTACTGGCTAAAAACAAGAAATATTTATTATCTCATAGTTTCTGTGGGTCAGGAGTTTGGGTACCGTTAAGCTGGGTCCCTCTGCTTCAAGTTATCTCAAGAGACTGCAGTCAAGACGCAGTGTGGGGCTGTGGTCTCATCTGAAGACTCAACTCAGAGGGATTCTCTTCTAAGCTCAATCATGTTGTTGTTGGTAGGCCTTAGTTCCTCATCATGTGGGCCTCTTTACAGGGCTGCTTCATGACATAGCAACTGGCTACCCCCAGCATGAGCAACCCAGGAAAAAATGAGAAATAGCACCCATGATGGAAGCCCTTTTACTAACCTGATATCAGAAGTGATAATTGTCACTTCAGCCATATTCTATTTATCAAAATTAAGTTAATATGGAGAGGAGATTACACAAGGGCAGGAATGCCAGGAGACAGGAATCCTTGATGGACATCATACAGGCTGCCTACCACAGCCTGCACCCCTGCAGCTATGACTACTCTGTTCATAGACCAACACTGAGGTAGCTGGGAAGACAGGCTGCTTGACATCCATAGGACAAGTCATCCTGTCCACTTGGTTATTAAGTGTCTCCACAGAGGTAGATATTCTTCAGTGAGTATTAACAGGGGACACAAAAATCACATGCTTTATGTGCACTCCTGGCCTCTTCCCTAGATTTCCCTTTCTGTGATTGCAAGTTTTGTTTCTTTTAGGTCTTTGATTTCTAAGTCTCTCCTGGGGCCCAGGAGCATTTCTGGAGTTGTTCCTCAAAAAGTTAGCACTTCTCTACCACAGTGGGCATGGTCTATATGATACTCCCCTCTTAGGGTTTACCAGAATCTTCATAGGCAGTATCCTTACCCAACAGATACATCAGCATCATTGGATCTGCTGGGTCGTGGCAAGTGAGCTTGCACTGTAGCCTAGACTTGAAGCAGAGTCCACTCTTGATCTGTGTCCCATTCAAAGCTGGCAGCATTCTGAATTACTCAGTGAATGAGTTGGAACAATATTTTTCCAAGTGTAGTTACTACCCTACTTGTTCAGAAAGTGATTATGGGGCCAGGATTGAGAAATGGGTAAGTCAAACAGAGAAAGAGGAAAAGCCAATGCAAAGGTGGATTATTGAGTTTGCCCTTGCTACACATGACTGGTGCTTGATTCCACGAGATCATCTGAGGGCCTTATGGAATGCATCTTAGAGCCATCTGCTGTCTGCAGAATGAAAGGGGAGTCACTGATCCATAGCCTCCTGTTCCCCTATTCTCCTGTTTCCTGTCTCGTGGGTGCACATGGCTTGGGCCTGAAGTAAGGCGCTATCATGTTGTACTCATGCAAAGCCTGAAAGAGATTGGGTACCACTGCAGGGGCTCCAGTAAGAGGCAAGACTGAAAGAGTTTGAAAAGATGCACAAGTGGAAGGGAAGGAAGGGGATCTTTCTAGGTCTCTCAGGCATCTAGAGTTAATTATCAGAGATATTTCACAAAAATATACTTTTATCAATGATATTAATACTTCCTTATTTAAGTAATCTCTCCAGGGGTGTGTTCTGCGGTTGGCTACTTGGTTTTATTGAATAGAAATAAAATATCATGGTAACTGTACATTGAGTTCTGGAGCACTGCAGAAGGCTCCTTGCATACAGGTTGCTTCATAGTTCCAGGAGGATAAAAACATGACCAGTCTATTGTTTTTGTCAAAATTAGAAATCTATCTCAGTCCCACCCTTGATTTTTATAATATATACTGTGCATCTACTAGGCACTGGGCATTAAGCTTGATGCTAGGGGTACCAAAATGAATGTAATTTGGTCTCTAATCTCGAGGAGCTTGGAGTCTAGTGGGAAAGAATGGTGTGAGGGGATGGCAAGAACTGTGAGTTCACAGCCCAGTAAGTGTACGGGGAAAACACCTCTCAATTGTAAGGGAGTCTGTAGTGTTCTTTAATAAAATACAGTTGACCCTTGTACAACATAGGTTTGAACTGTGCAGGTCCACTCATATGTAGATTTTTTTCAATAACAGTAACACTGAGTAGAGCTGCCTCTCCTGCTTCCTTTTCCACCCACTCCAACTTCTTTCACCTCTATCAATCCCTCTTTTTCCTCCTCCTCAGCTTACTCAATGTGAAGACACAAGGATGAAGACCTGTGTGATGATGCATTTCCACTTAATGAATAGTAAATATATTTCCCTCTCTCTCTCTCTTTTTTTTTTTTTTTTTTTTTGAGACAGAGTCTTGGTCTGTCACCCCGGCTGGAGTGCAGTGGCGCGATCCTAGCTCACTGCAACCTCCGCCTTCCAGGTTCAAGCAATTCTCCTGCCTCAGCTTCCTGAATAGCTGGGATTATAGGTGCCCGCCACCATATCTGGCTGATTTTTGTATTTTTAGTAGAGATGGGGTTTTATCATGTTGGCCAGGCTGGTCTCGAACTCCTGACCCCAAGTGATCTGCCCACCCCAGCCTCCCAAAGTGCTGGGGTTACAGGTCTGAGCCACCATGCCCGGCCCCTTATGATTTTCTTAATAACACTTTTTTTCTCTAGCTTGCTTTATTGTAAGAATACAATATATCCTATATATAACATATAAATATGTGTTAATTGACTGTTTATGTTATTGGTAAGGCTTCCAGTCAACAGTAGGCTATTAGTAGCTAGGATTTTGGTGAGTCAAAAGTTATATGTGATTTTTGACCGCACAGGGGTTGGCACCTCTAACCACTGTGTTGTTCAAGGGTCAACTGTAGGACCTCAACCTTCCAAGATTGGCAATGCAAGAATTATCACTCAGGGAGGAGATGGCTAGACTTTTCTCTTGTTCTGCCAGATTCACTCAGTGCTGTTAATCTCTCAGATCTCTTCAACCCTAAATCTCAAAGGTGGATGGACTTATCCCTTGTAAAGACCTTTATAAACTCATTCCTGTAGTTCACCTGAGGCCAGGCTGGAATATTTAAACAGTATTCAATTAGGTTTAAGGATAACAGAACAAAAGGGTGCTAGACAGTGAGAAATGCAGCTTAGTTAGTTTCCATTTCAAATGCTGGAGGGCATCTCCCTGCCTAGATTCTGCAGGCCTCCCTACAGTTAGTACTCTCCTGAACTGACCTGAAATGGCCTTCCATCAGCCTGCCTCCTCAGAGTCCAGACCCGAAAGAGCAAAGCCCAGAGGAAGATGGTGTGTGTGGGGAGGTGGGGATTCAGGTTGTCTTAGTAGTCATCTTGCTGCAATGGGAAGTCTCTGTGACATATTATTAAATGGAAAACAAAAGGATTGTTCAAACAGCACTTATTTACATTCAAGAAATATTTATTAACTGCTGTGCGTAAGGCTTTGCTACATGTTGGGATACAGTGGTGAATAAGTCAAACATGAGTCCTTTTCATACAAAATTATGAATCAGACATGAATTCAGCATGATATCATTAACGATAATATGTACATTTTTATATTCATATGAATGTGAATTCTACCATGCTGTTAGTTTCTTATTTGGGACCTCTTTCCAAAATGACTTATTTATTTAACAAACTTTATGTTTGTTAAATATTATGTTGACAAAAAGAGTTAAACTCTGTGAAATACTTCAAGAGATTTATTCTGACCCAAATATGAGTGACCAATGGGCTGTGACATAGGCCCAGGAGATCCTGAGAACATGTGCCCAAGGTGGCCAGGTACTGGCCCAAGGTACCTCGGTGGCCCAAGGTACTGCTTGGTTTTACCCATTCTAGGGAGACATAAGACATCAATCAATACATGTAAGATGTACATTGGTTCAGTCTAGAAAGGTGGGACAACTGGAAAAGGGGGGTCATCCAGGACATAGGCAGATTCAAAGATTTTCTGATTGGCAATTGGTTGAAAGAGTTATTATCTAGAGACCTGGAATCAATAGAAAGGAAGGTCTGGGTTATGATAAGGGGTTGTGGACACCAAGGTTTTATCTTTCAGATGAGGCCTCCATGTAGCAGGCTTCAGAGAGAACAGATTGCAAATATTTCTTTTTTTCTTTTTTTTTTTTGAGACTGAGTTTTGCTCCTGTTTCCCAGGCTGGAGTGCAATGGCACAATCTCAGCCCACCACAACCTCTGCCTCCTGGGTTCAAGTGATTCTCCTGCCTCAGCCTCCCGAGTAGCTGGGATTACAGGCATGCGCCACCATGCCTGGCTAATTTTGTATTTTTAGCAGAGACAGGGTTTCACCATGTTGGTCAGGCTGGTCTCGATCTCCTGACCTCGTGATCCTCCTGCCTCAGCCTCCCAAAGTGCTGGGATTACAGGTGTGATCCACTGCACCCAGCCTGATTGCAAATATTTCTTATCAGACTTACAGAGTCTGTTCTATTGGTCTTAAGGTCACTTGTTAATGGTCAGCTGTGCTTGAATTACAAAAGAGAGGAGGGTATAAAGAGGCATGTCTGATTCCCCCTTCCCTTCGTGGGCTGACCTAGTTTTTCAGGTTAACTTTGGAATGCCCT
Source organism: Homo sapiens (assembly GCF_000001405.40). Classification (NCBI taxonomy): domain Eukaryota; kingdom Metazoa; phylum Chordata; class Mammalia; order Primates; family Hominidae; genus Homo; species Homo sapiens. The sequence continues at coordinate 77,779,835 of NC_000005.10, read as the reverse complement.
TGGCTGAGAGGAGGGGTCCATTCAGATAGCCCGGGGTGGGGTGGGGGTTCACAATTTTATTTTGGTTTACATTCATGTGGGGCTTAATAAGTACCAGCACTATCCTAAGCACTTTACAATTATTAGCTCATTTAAGTTTTTCATCATCTACCTTTTACAGAAGAAAGAAACTGGGGCATAGAGAGGTTAAGTAACTTGTCCAATATTACACAGTTAGTAAGATGCAGAGCTAGGATTGACCCCAGGCAGTCTAGTCCCAGGGTTCACATTCTTAACCACTATTGTAAACTCCTGAAACCTGAAACAAGTCTTTCTGATTCTTATCCTTAAAGGCGGCGCCAAACTCCTTAATCTTAACCCATAGACTCAAGAATACAATATAGAATGGTTGTCCCCTGATATCTGTGGGGTATTGGTTACAGAACTGCTAAGGATATCAAAACTCATGCTTGAGTGCACACAGAAGTTCCCTAGTTGGCCCTAAGAAACCCACAGAAAAGTGGGCCTTGCCTATATGTGGGTTTCTGCATCCTGGGAATACTGTATTTTCCATCCTTGTCTGGTTGTGGATGCAAAACCTGCCAATATGGAGGGCTGACTGTATTTATTGAAAAAACTCTTCTTCTAAGTGGGCCTGTTGCCAGAAAGCAGTCCCCATCCAGACCCCAGGAGCAAGTTCTTGTATCTCGTGCAAGAAAGAATTTGGGGCAAGTCTATAAAGTGAAATGAAGTTTATTAAGAAAGTAAAAAAATGAAAGAACGGCTACTGAATACAGCAGTGGCATGGGCTGCTTGACTGAGTATACTTATGGTTGTTTCTTGATTATATGCTAAACAAGGGGTGGATTATTCATGAGCTTTCCAGGAAAGGGTGGGGAGTTCCTGGGACTGAGGGTTCCTTTCCTTTTTAGACCATATAGGGTAACTTCCAGGTATTGCCATGGTATTTGTAAATAGTCAGGGTGCTGGTGGGAGTTTATTTTATTATGCTAATACATTATAATTAGCATATAATGAACATTGAGGACAACCAGAAAACACTTTTGTCACCATCTTGGTTTCGGTGGGGTTTGGCCAGCTTCTTTACAGCATCCTGTTTTATCAGCAGGGTCTTTGTGGTCTGTGTCTAGTGAAACCAGTCCTGCCAACCTCCCATCTTATCCTGTGATTAAGAATGCCTAACCTCCTGGGAAGAGAGCCCAGCAGATCTCAGCCTCATATTACCCAGACCCTATTCAAGATGGAGTTGCTTTGGTTCAAACACCTCTGACACACCTGCACAATTCGAAACTGTTGTTCAAGGGTCAACTGTATACACAGACACAGATAAACTCACAAAGTGTCCTCCAGAGCCTGGGAATGGGCCTGGAAACACACAATGGCAGTAGCAGCAGAGGTCTTTTGGCTGCTGACATTTACTGATTATTGATTTATAGTAAAGGCACAGATACAAATCAATTAAAACAAAGAGAAAGGGGGCAAAAGGAGGGAGGCAGAATTGGGGATTGGGGGGAAATAGCAGGTATTTGTATTGGGAAGCCTAGTTTGAGAGAAACTCCTGCAAATTAGCACAAAACTGAGCTCTGAGCTTCTTGAAACCAAAGCAAAAAAGGAAAATATGACGAGTTACATGGTTTTTGCTACCTAATCAAAGGAAAGACCTTAACGGTAGCAAAAGCCCTAGCTGCACCATCTTTTGGTTTGTGGCTTGTAGCTGCTGTTTGTGTGTGTGTGTGTGTGTGTTTGTGTGTGTGTGTGCATGTCATTTTGCTTTGGTAAGTTTGCTGTTGTGTTTTATCTACCCCTCCCTCCAGTATTTCACAGCGCTGCTGTGTGACTTGGAATTGCACATCAGTATACCAGCCAGCAGAATAAAAATATTTATTGAATTCTGTGCCCATTGTGCACAAAACACAGGTGGAGGAGGTTGGGGAAGGAAGATTTATGGAAGACAAGAATCTTGCCTCTAAACATGTTTATGAACCAGGATTTATAACTACGAAGCTGAACAAAACCCTTACGAAGGACCAAACAATAATTTGAAAAAGAAATATACTAAAAATAATGATGACTACTGGGTGACTCCAAAGCATCCAGGGAAGATTGAACAGGTGGGGTGAGTCATAGTAGACTTTGCTCAGTTTTGATCCTGGATTTAAAGTAACGGCCTTGGGCTGGCGGGATAGAAGGGGATTCCAGGACCAGTCATGAAAGTGAGAATGAGTAAGTCAGGCTAGGGAAGGAAAAAGACAGTCATATGGGTGTCTTTGAAGGATGGTACCAAGAAATTTTAAAAAGGGGGTGGGCTCGGTGGCTCATGACTGTAATCCCAGCACTTTTGGAGGGTGAGGTGGGCCTCACCTGAGGTCAGGAGTTCTAGCCAGCCTGGCCAACGTGGTGAAACCCCGTTTCTACTAAAAATACAAAAAAAAAAAAAAAAAAAAATTAGCCAGGCATAGTGGAACGCGCCTATAATTCCAGCTACTCTAGGGGCTGAGGCAGGAGAATCACTTGAACCCAGGAGGCGGAGGTTGCAGTGAGCCGAGATCAAGCCACTGCACGACAGAGTGAGAATCTGTCTCAAAAAAAAAAAAAAGAAAAAGAAAAAGAAAAGCAATTTTAAAAAGGGCGATTCTGCCCTGTATTCCTCAGGAGATTCTCTTAGGAAGGGACTGCTAGAGCTCACTGTAGATGTGCCTCATTTTATGCAACAAATATATTTTTGAACATATAAAATAGTCAAATGTTGTTCAGCATCTACCATGCGTCAGACAATGAGCTAGGTGTTTTAACCCTTATACCTAATCTGTAAAATGGACATTATTATTTCCATTTTGCAGACTGATCAGCTGCAAGGCTAAACAGCATACGTATCAGTGTTGTCTAGCTAATAGTCTAGCTATTAAAGGGTGGAACCTCGATTGTAAGCCGGTTTGTCTGATTAGGAAGCCCAAGGTTTTGTGTGCGACACACATTCTTGTAAGTTAAATATTTAGGATACACTATAAGTGATCATCTGAAGAAGTTCTGTTAGTCATTTCCTTTGAAAGGCACGTTATCTACAAACCTTCTTGCAGGGATTTGAGGTAAAGGGCAAGGATTTTCTTGACTGCGTGCATGATGGCAGTTTGTTTCACTACACATGCATCACTCTGCCTCATCTGACACCAGATAACGACATCGAAAATACCCTTAATACATTTTTTAGGTCACTCCGTCCATTAAGCAGATAATCCCGCAAAGCAACGTCCCAGAGAGACGTTAGTTTCCCCAAAGGCCCAGGCTGTGGAGACCGGGATAGTGTAACTTGCGCCTGAAGTAAAAAGAGGGGCAGTCCGAGAGAGAGGAGGAGGGCACGTTTCACTACGGGTAAAGGGGCGCACGAGGGGTAAAGGGACTGGCGGGAGCAGGGTACCGCCCTCTAGTAAACCCGCCCCGCGGGGCGTGGCGGGGACGACGGGCCGCGCAGCCTGCGCATGCGCGCCGGCGACCACGCCTAAATAGCCGCAGCCTCTGCGCGTCGCCCTCCACGGTTACCCCGGCTCTCCGCCCCTCCTTCTCGCGGCGCTCGAGGGACCATGGCCGATCCTCGCGTGAGACAGATCAAGATCAAGACCGGCGTGGTGAAGCGGTAAGGAGCCGGGAGCGGCGCCCTGCACCTCCTCTTCGTCACCTCATGGCGGCCCGCGAGGCTGAGCGGAGCGCAGGCCCGAGGAGGCCCGAGGCGGGCTCCGAACTCCAGGCCGCACCCGGGGCTCCGCAGTTGGCTGGGACTGGCAGGGACCCAGCGGGGCGCGCTGACGCCCGAGCCCGCCAGCCTCGCACGCCGCTTCCCGTCCCTCTCCGCTCACTGGCCGCTCTGATTTGCCGGAAGAGTCGGCGGTGGCCCGGTTTCTCGGCGCCCGCGGTGGGAAGGTGGTGGGCCGCGGCCTGCGAGGGCGGGCCGGGCCCTGATCCCGTGCCTCCTGTGTGCGCGCGCCGGCCTCTCCTTGCTGAACTTGGCCCGGGGAAGCGGGATCCCAGCTGTGCTCTCAAATGGGCTTGAAAGCAGGCTCTGAAGTTTAGGGGGATGCGGAGGATCTGGGCCTCGTCAAAAAAGACCGTAGTGGAGCCGTGTGACCTAACATGGCTGGCGTGACTGGCAGGCTTTGAGAACTGGGCCTGAACTTCTAGCACACTCAGCAAACTTATGTGGCCTCACTTTCTCCAGTCAGATTCCCCGAAGCTCGCCCCAGAGGCTGTGAGATGCTGTTTAAATAACTTGTGAACCAGAAGTATCTGAGACAGGTCTTAATTTGGAATGTTTATTTTGCCAAGGACGTGCCCATGACACAGCCTCAGGAGGTCCTGATGACATGTGCCCAAGGCGGTTGGGGCACAGCTTGGTGTAATACGTTTTAGGGAGACCTCAGATATTAGTCAATGGGTAAGGTGTACCTTGGTTCCCTCCAGAAAGGCAGGACAACTAGAAGGTTGGGGGGCATCCAGGTCATAGATAAGAGACAAATGGTTGCATTCTTTTGAGTCTTTGATCAGCTTTTCACTTAATACACAATTTACATGTGAGAGAGGGATAGAAGAATAGTCACTTATGCCTTAGTCGGCTAAATGAATCTGCGATTTTACATACACAGTAGGGCAGAGGAAGCAGTCAGTTACGCATTTGTCTCAGGTGGGTAGAGGGGTGACTTTGAGTTCTGTTCTTTGTCCCATACCTGTGAAGATAAGCTATCAATTTACATTGCCAGGGTGAAATACAACAGAACTGTTTTAGAGTGAAGGTCTTGAGGCCCACAAGGAATTTCCTTGGGGGCAAATTGTCAGGGAGGTATGTAGCTTTTTTTTTTTTTTTTTTAATCTTTGTAGCTATCTTATTCAGGAATAAAATGAGAGGCAGGTTTGCTCGATGCAATTCCCAGCTTGACTTTTCTTTTTGGCTTAGTGATTTTGGGGTCCTGAGATTTATTTTTCCTTTCACAAACTCATGGGTAGTGCAGTCCTGTAATTTGCTTAAATTCCTGTAAACCAAGAAAGTACCTGAGACAGGTCTCAATCAGTTTAGAAGTTTATTTTGCCAAGGTTAAGGATATGCCTGTGACAGCCTCAGGAAGTCCTGATGACATGTGCCCGAGGTGGTCAGGCTACAGCTTGGTTTTATACATTTTAGGGAGACAGAAGACATCAATCAATACATGTACGATGTACATTGGTTTGATCTGGAAAGGCAGGACAACCCAAAGCGGGCTGGGGACAGTTCCAAGTTATAGGAGGTTTTCCAATTGGCAGTTCGTTGAAAGAGTTTATCTTAAGACCTGGAATCAATACAAGGGAGTGTGTCTGGGTTAAAATAAAGGGGTTGTGGAGATCAAGGTTCTTATTAGGCAGATGAAGCCTCCAGGTAGCAGGCTTCAGAGAGAATAGATTGTAAATGTTTCTTATCAGACTTAAAAAGGTCCCAGACTCCTAGTTAATTTTCTAGTGGATCAGGAAAAAGACCTGGACAGGGAAGAGGGTTCTCTACAGAATATAGATTTTCCCCTTAAGAGACATCTTTGCAGGGCCAATTCAAAATATGTAAAGAAATATATTTTAGAGTAAAATGCTTTTATTTCTTTCAGATCCCGCTATCTGTCCTGTGATGCCATACTAGAGTAAAGCTGGAATTTGGTGTCTTATTGTTACAAAAAGCCTTAAGATCTGTTTTAATGTTAATGCTGCTCAATTGTTCCTGAGTTCCAAAGGGAGGAATGTGTAATGAGACATGTCTGACCCCCTCTTCCCATCATGGCCTGAATTACTTTAGAATGCCCTTAGTTGAGAGGAGGGGTCCATTCAGACGGTTTTGGAGCTTAGAATTTTGTTTTTAGTTTGCATTCCTGAGTGCTGGTAGACCCTTCAGTGTTCATTAGAACTTTATTGTTCAGACCCAAGAAGAGCAAACTTTTTGATGAAGTATTACAAGAGAAAAGATAAACAGCCTTCTGAAGAAGCAAGTTATTTTGTTGTAGCAATGTCTACTAAAGAAACCAACTGGCTTCTTCCTGTTCGCCCACCTTTCCTTTGTTTATTGATATTTCCACCAGAGGAAGGACCAGGCAAAAGGGAGAATAAATTCACTTTTTAAGATAATGCTTCTGAGTTTTAGCACAGCATCCCACTTCCCGGGAAGCTTTATTGCCAAGGCAATAAGGAGACCATGTGAGTAGGAGTTAAATGCACAGCCATTTGTGAAGTGAGACTGCTTGGGTTCAGATCTTGATTCTGCCCTTTATTCTATGTTGTGGAATATATTACATTGTGCTGTGCCTCTTTTACCTTATTTGTAAAATAGAGCAAGCACCCAACTCAAGCAGTTGTTGCAAGAACTGCCTGCTATGCTGTTTAATACAGTATGTGGCAAATAGCAAGTGGGTAGTAAATGTTAATAATACTGTTTGGATTCTCATTTTACATATGAGAAACTGAGGTTTAATGAAGTTAAAAAAAGAAAAAAAAAACTTGTCTAAAGTCACACTACTAGTTAGTGGCAATGCAAGGAAAAGGACCAAGGTTTCAAATCTACAACTTTCTCCTTTAAGCTACAGTGCTCCCGTAAAGAGTATTTTTAAAATTGGTAATAGGAAGGGAATTGAGATGTATATTTGAAAATATAAATAATCCATCCTGTCCCTCAGCTCAGAGTTCTTTTTACCAGACTTTTACCAGACTGGTTCACTTTTACCAGACTTGCTTGGGTTATGTCATTTTAGTCAGTATATTTGGCAGAACTATCAGGGTGTGTTGCAGAGTGCTGTAGAATGAAAGTCATGAGAAATGACTTCTAATGGTAGTTTCCCATTCATTTACTTATATGACCTTGACATTTCTCATTCCAGTGATCTCTACTAGTTTATAAAATTACTTAGTTCAAGTAGTTATATGCTGACAATACATATTCTAGAGAAAATACTCATTGAGATTATTATAAACTAAGTTTTTGACTTTTCAGAAGTTTTCAATGCTTATGTAAACTGCTTAGAAATAAATTTATCATTTTATGAAACTTGGTGATAGTTTACTATTATCTCAAATTGCTTATAAATTAATGGAAGTGTCTCCCATACATTTTAAAATGACTTTTCTGTTGACATTTTGGGGTATAGCTTCCCACTTATGTATTAAAATGCAATTAAAGAAAAACCCCTAAACTTTCTGTTTTAGCTGCTTGTTACTCACATTTTGCCTTGGTATATCACCATCTAACTCCATAAATATTGTCCCCTATTGTCTCTTGTTATTTTTCACCTGAAAATTATTTTGCTATGACTCTTTCCATCTTCTACCTTAGTATCCTATTTTTATTTTATTATTATTTATTTTTATTTTACTTTAAGTTCTGGGATACATGTGCTGAACGTGCAGTTTTGTTATATAGGTACACATGTGCCATGGTGATATGCTGCACCTGTCGACCCGTCATCTAGGTTTTAAACCCTGCAACCTATTTTTAAAAATCTATATTTTACCTCAGCAAAGTAAAAAATAGATGAGGCAGCAATGGTAACATATTACTAATTGTTGGGGCTGAATGATCATGGGGCTTCATTATATTTTTCTGTACATAAGTTGAACATTTTTCATGATAAAAAGGGTCTAAAAGATATGCTTTTTTCCTCCTCTCTCCAAATTTAGTTTCAAAGATACCTTAATTCATGATTCAGACATGTTCTTGCTTTTGTGAAAGGGATTCTATTCTTTTCTTTTTTTTTTTTTAATCAATGGTTTAAAAACCTATCCTCGACACTATTTTAAATCTGTTCTTGACACTCTTTTTCTGGTTAGACGTTCATTTTCCATAGCCTCATTTATCTTCGGAAGTCACAACCTTTATTTGGAAGAAGAGGTTTAAAGTCATTATTCATGCCCCAAATCCTTCAATTTTCTCTCTAGAAATTGAGAGCAACTAGAAATTATATTCTAGGTATTTGTCCTAGAGTTCAGTTTGGGTAGGCTATACTAGAAAGGGTGGATTAATTTAGTTTCTGATTAGACCTGGTGGAACACTTCAGGTGACTCAGAAGTTCCTGATAGTGGGTCTGAGGAAGAAATGTGGACAGGCAGGTTGAATGTTAGGGGAATATGGAAACAGGCAATAAGTAGATGATGGTATTTGGCGTGTAGGAGATCCAGCCATGCGTGCAAGACGGCCATTTCAGCATGTTGGCAAAATGGCAGAGTTGACCTAATGGATAGCAGCCCACATTATAAAGTAGAAACAAGTTTCAGGGCCAGTATTTTTAGGCCCTGGGAAAATAGGCCGGAGGTTTACGGTGAGTGTCTTGTTCCTAGAGAAACTTTGTTACCTTGTACAGTAAATGGCAAAGCATCTGATTTCTGGGAAGTGAGTTTCAAGAGAGAGAGGTTAGATTACTAGGAATAAAGAAAGAGTCTAGATACTAGGAATGGCTTAGAAGGTGAGAGTTGGACAGAATGAGGCTGAATTGGTGCTAAGCCTCTGACTCTGAGGGCTCCTTAAATATCTTCCAGCAACAAGATTTTAATAGTATTGTTGTTATTTTTAGTTGACACATACATATTTACAGGGTACCCTGTGATATTTTGTTACATGTATACTTTTTTTTTTTTCCTGAGGACTAATTCTTGCTGTGAAACTAGAGAAATGTATGTAACAGAGGCTAGATGGGTTATTATATTATTTTTATTTTTATTTTTTCAGAGTCAGAGTCTCGCTGTGTCACCCAGGCTGGAGTGGACTGGTGTGATCTCGGCTCACTGCAGCTGCTGCCTCCTGGGTTCATCCCTGCCTCAGCCTCCTGAGTAGCTGGGATTACAGGTGTCCGCCACCATGGCTGGCTAATTTTTGTATTTTTTAGTAGAGACAGGGTTTTGCCTGGCTGATCTTGAACTCCTGACCTCAGGTGATCCACCTGCCGTGGCCTCCCAAAGTGCTGGAATTATAGGCGTGAGCCACTATGCCTGGCCCTAGGTGGGTTATTATACTAAGTTTCTTTGAGCAGCAGCCTTTGTTCACATGTGACTCACTGGTAGTGGGTATTAGTTGGCAGGTTTGGGTGTAGCTGGCTCTTTGTTTTTTTTCTTTTTTTTTTAAGATTTGGATCTATGTTTCCAGCAGATTGCTAGACCTATTGATATCTGTGACAGGGTCACAACTAATCTGGCAGCTCTAGCAGAGTTACCAAATAATACTCAGTTTTTTCCCCCAGCACAGAACTGTTGAACACTCTGTTTTTTTTTTGGAGCGGGGGAGGATATCTAGGTGGCATCAATTATCACAGTTTGCCTGAGACTGAGGGGTTTCCCAGGATGTGGAACACTTCACTGCTAAAACTGGGAAAGTCCCAGGCAAACTGGAATGATTGGTCACCTCTTCTGTAACTAGCTAACATAGCTCTGTTTTATGTGTTCTGTGATTTATTTGGAGGCTATTTACAGATAGTACAACTGTGAGTTGTATGTTGTACCTTAATTTAAAACTTAAGTGCATGGTGTAAATATGAATCCTTGACAGAGTAGCTTTTGTTCTGTATTTAAATTATTAATGATTTAGAAAATAATTTTCACTAAAGTAGGAGAAAATGCAGAATTGATATTTTCTAAATGTGGTATTTCAGCTAAGTGACTTATCTGCACCAAAAAAGTTTCCAAGTGGGATTTGTGTTCATAAAAAAGTTTGTTTTTTATTAGACTTGTGATAAATTCAAGAAATTCTTCTGCAAGTAAAAAACACTCACAATCATTTAACATAAAAGGTTATTTAACTTTAAAGCCAGCTTTCAATAAAGCCTGTTAAACTAGTTCACTGGTGAGTGAATGAATTGATTAAAAATACTTTCTTAAATATATCTTTTTATAACCATTTTGGATTGGTAATGGCTTAAAATCCAATGTGAACAAAGAATGTTAGGGCATTGGAAATAGCACTGACATTGGCCCATAGTTTTCCTCTGATTAAATGAAAGTGACACCAGTAGATTAGAATGAGACTAGGACAATTCACACTGCAATTTTGTTAGTTTAACTTTAACAGTCTTTTAACACTCTTGTTTAAATGTAGCTGACATACCATAATTACAAATCTACAAGCCTTGATTATAGAATTTTACATCATGAGCCTGTGGGGAAATTGTATTGATTTTTTTTTTTTTAATAAAGCAAGCATTGTTCCCAAACTGTGGCATCTTCCGAAGTTTGTTTATATCTACATCCTATATACAACTGTGTATGGTGTATATGCTATGTATAGCAGGCATGAAGACAACATAAAAGGTATGTAAAATCTCCACTATTAGTTCAATATATATTATACTGATATAAAAAGTGAAGAATGCAAATGACACGTATACTTAAGTAGACGTAAAGTCTCCCCCCATTAGCTTTAGCTGTTTATATACTTATATTTAAAGCAATGGTGCATAGAAGTATGGTGGACTGTATCTGGGATAGGTTAAGAACATAGTCCTGTAAATTATTCCTGTAAGATTTGCTAGCTTTGTTTTCTTTTATCCTCTTTTGCACTGTACCCCATTGCTAAGTTCAGCCAGATGGCTACCTTCCTACTTTGAAATTTAGCTAGTTCCTTTAGGAATTTGTGTAATGTATTCAGTTCTCCAAAGTGGTGGTCAGAGGCCATGTCAAAATGGATTGCAGGTGGTCAGCTCTTCACCACATTCTGTTAACTACTTGGCAAGTAGTTACTCTTAGGAGCAATATAGCAGGCAACCAGATGTCTCTTCAAGCTGGAGAGGGAGAAGGCTAAGGCCACTCATCATCACAGTTTTCCCAACACAAGGTATTTTATTCTCCAGGTTGAATGTGGAGATGAAAGATCTTTGGCCCTGTATGTGTATGGGTGTTTTGTTTTTTCATTGCATTTTTTTGTTTGGTTGGAAATTTTGAAAATCTGTAGTAAGCAAGGTTGGAAAATTTTATTAATAATGGCAGTCTAAAACTCTTAAGACAGTAAATGCTTAGATGTGTGATGTCTATTCCAGTATTCTACTTCCAGTAATACCTTTATAAAAGAATATAATAATGTTCTATTGTGATGCTGTTGTGTCCAAATAGAACTGATTTTTTTCTTAATAACTTGTCATAGGTCTAACTAAAGATCACTCATTTAGCAGCCTCACTCAGAACCTACATCTTACTGTCTTTGAATCATCTGGTATGGTGTTGGCACATTATACTCAGTAAAAGTCTTTGCAATACACAGATGAAGGAATGAAATCTTCCTTTATAAGGATTTTGAACCTGATCGGATAAGCAGTAGAGAGCCACTGAATCAATTACTATATTACAGCATAATAGTTACTATATTCTTGCAATATAGTAATTGCAGAATAGTTATTTATTCTTGCAGTGAGAGTTAAATAGATGGGCTCCCAGGCTCCACTTACTACACGTTATTACATATGTGACCCTGGGAAAGTTACTTAGCCTTTAAAAGCCCCAGTTTTCTTAGCCGGAACATGGGGTTAATGAAAGTACCTGTTTTTTTTGTATTGTTAGGATAATTAAATAAGGTAATCATGTAAAGCACTTAGCCCAAATGCCTGATATGTAGTAAATGTTCAATAAATGCTAACTGCTCTCATTATTATCATTAACACCTATCTTCGTTCATTTGTGCTGCTATAAAAAAATACCTGAGACTGGGCAATTTATAAATAAGAGAAATTTATTTCTTATAGTTCCAGAGGCTGGGAAGTCCAAGATGAAGAGGCCAGCAAGTATCTGGTGAGGGCCTGGTCTCTTGCTTCCAGGATGGTGCGCTGAACACTGTGTCTTCACATGGCAGAAGAGCATTAAAGGGCCCAAGGCTGTGTGAAGCCTCTTTTATAAGGGCCTTAATCCCATTCACAAGGGAGGAGACCTCATTACCTAATCACCTAAAGGCCCCATCTCTTAATACTGTAGCATTGGAAATAAAGTTTCAGTGTGAATTTTGGAGGGATACGAACATTCAAACCATAGCAGCAGCATCTTTATTACTTTTCTGTAGATTATCAACAGTGTGGATGAGGACTTAAGGATGAATGGTTACTGATCCCCAGGAGAGACCCTGGAACTTGGCTTTGATTTAAATTGTGATAAAAGCTTGTGTTTTAGTTGCTTGTTCTGTTCACTGATTGTCTGTGGAGGGAGAAAGGAAGAGTATGAACCTTGTGTTCTTGAGTAATTTCTAAGACTTTGTAATGATCATCTTTTTGTGACCATTGCTGAAGCAGTGATTCCCTACCCCCAAGCCCCAGCAAAAAATGTGGCAAGGCCAGTTTTGCTTTTTTATTGGACTATCATTAAGTTTATTGTGGGGAAGAGTAGACAAGTGAGTTTTGGAGAACCCTAATTTCAAAATCTATAAATGATTCACACAATGATTACAAGACATTCTTACAATTCTAGTGCTAGATTATAGTTATATCCAAATCCTTCTTACTGTTTTTTAACTGAGTTCTCTGTTGTTGTTGAGATCCTTTCACTTCCACAAGTAAGTTACGGAGTTCTGTGTGTGTGTGTGCTTGTGTGTATTCTAACTCGGTTTGTTTGTCTATATAGTATGTTGGAGCAAGTAGGCATCAGCTTTTTCATTAAATGTTCCTCAGCTTCTGAATAATACTAATGTCATGATTTTAATAAATCATTTGTTGCCTGAAATACATTTGTACTCTATGAAATTTTTGAAGACCTCCAAGTCTACTGAAGTGTATTTGAACTTACATTACTAGTATAGTATTATAATTTTGATTTCCAAATCTAGAATGTTAAGTTCTGAAGACGCTGCACTATATCAAAGTATACAAAGATTTTCTTAAGGCCAAACAGTTCTTCACGTCTTTTCAGGACCAAAGGGATGGTGTCTGATATATCATTGCTTTTCACAGAATTGTTTTTCAACAAATAGACACTTAATAGATATTTGTCAATTGAGCTAAGGACTGGAGGAAACCAGAAAAGGGTTTATGAGGGGGAACACATCAAGAGACTGGAAATAAAAGTTTGCTTTATAAATAAAAGTGAGAGCCGGGCGCGGTGGCTCACGCCTGTAATCCCAGCACTTTGGGAGGCCGAGGCGGGCGGATCACGAGGTCAGGAGATCGAGACCACGGTGAAACCCCGTCTCTACTAAAAATACAAAAAATTAGCCGGGCGCAGTGGCGGGCGCCTGTGGTCCCAGCTACTCGGGAGGCTGAGGCAGGAGAATGGCGTGAACCCGGAAGGCGGAGCTTGCAGTGAGCGGAGATCGCGCCACAGCACTCCCGCCTGGGCGACAGAACGAGACTCCGTCTCAAAAAAAAAAAAAAATAAATAAATAAATAAATAAAAGTGAGAGACTTAGAAATGGAGAAAAAAGAGAAACAACCGCTGTTAAGTAATAACCACCCTCAAATAGACATTTTTCAGGATAGTATTTTTATTTTATTAGAGATATAAAAGATATGAAAATATATCAAGGATTTGTTTAAAAGCAACAATTTTACATTTTTTAAACTAGGAAGAGACTAGTCTATTGTGGAAAATTTAAAAATTATTACAGTTCTGTCAAAAAGTTTTTGTAGTTTACCTAGAATTAACTAGAATAGATTCTTAAATTCTAGTTTAATAGAGGGGTCTGTGTTTGTGTGTTTAACTGCCTGCTAAGTTACATAGACTAATCCACTCCAGGTTATTATTATTATTATTATTTTGCAACTTAAGAAAAATAGTAGGGACATAGGTATGTCGAAATCTCATGGGGAGTAGGTGGTATTTCAGGGAAACAAAAGAGCAAAGGTTTGGTCCCAGTGCTTAAGGAATTTGTACATTGTTAAGTTATGCAGTATACATGTATATGAGGATTTATTCCTAGAACTTCAAGTATGAATGTACGAATGTATGTTTTTATTCTCATTTTAATGGATATGTAGTTTAGTTTTCTTTTTTTTTTTTTTTTTTTGGCCCTAGTTTTTCACTTGTACAAATGGTGCCACAATGTACATTGTTATATATGGCCCCTAGAACACATATGTAATGGTTAGCGTAAGGCAGAACTTCTCAAAGAGTAGACCCAGAATGGATTTCAGGTGTGTGGAAGTATATCTCTTCTCAGCTATAAGGATGGCCAGGTGTGGCCAAGAGCAGCCATGAGATACATGGGGGAAGAGTCATTCAGACAGAAGAAACAGCAAATTCAAAGACTTGAAAAAGGGAGTAAGATTGGCGTGTTTGAGGAGCAGCAACCAAGTGAAAGAGAGGAAAAGGGGGTAGGAGATTCAGAAAAGTAGGAGGGAGAGGGTACAGATCTTAGAAGGACTTCATGTAAGGACTTGGGCTTCAGGTGTCACCATCTCTATGAGAGTTTCCTGGCTATGTCCAATGTTAGTGCCCCCTTTTCTGTGTTCCCAGAGAACTTTGTAGTTTTCACTATGATAGTACTAAAAATGCATTAAGCTATTTGTTCTGTTTACTAGGCTGATAGCTTCCAAAGTATGGTCTAGGAACCCCTTGGGGTCCCTAACACCCATTCAGGGGTTCTGCAAAGTAGAAATTAGTTTTATAGTAACTAAGACATTTGCCTTTTTCACTTTCACTTGCTCACAATTGTACAGTGGAGTTTTTCAGGGGCTATGTGATGTTTGATACTGCAACAGATTGAATGTAGAAGCAGATACGAGAATCCAGCTGCTTCTCTTCCAGACATAAAGATTTGCAAAAATGTAAAATAGTGCCGTTTTTCTATTTTTTGTTTTGTTTTGGAAAGTAAGATTATTTTTCGCAAAATAGGTTATTTTTGCTAACATTGTACATTGATTTTGTTATTTTTAAGTAAATTAACAAATATATTTAAAATTTTTCTAACTAAATATTTAAAAAATTTATTTTAATTTCTAATACAGTAAATATTAATAGAGATAATTCACATAAACAAAGCTCCTTGGGTAGAGTCCAGATTCAGATCACATCAAGCAAGATGTTTTCTTGTTTGGGATGGAGAATTTATATTGGGATGGCTAGCAATGACTTTTGGGTTGTGTGGAAAAAGGAGACAGTTTTGAGTTGTTTTTGGTTAATTCTAACAGAAGATAAGAAAGCACTGTAATACTCTATATTATTGGTGAATAAAGTGTTTCACATACATATTTTACCATTGGTTGAGATTTAATCCTTCAAGTGCTAAAAGTATTTTTAAAGATACCTTTAGGAAAACATTTCCCCAAATATATACTTGCTTCATCGAATCACACTGAAATTTTCTATAAATTAGTTTTTTTTCTGAATATTGCTATAAACTTTTTAAAGAGGTGAACAGAGTTAAAAATAAAGATGGGAGACTTAAGTGTGCTGTAAGGAATGAATCCAAATTAGTTACCCCAGTAGTATTTTCTTTCTTTGGTTACTGGTTGTGTAGAACTGAATTAATCTTAATCCTTGATTTATGCCACATACTCATTATTGGTCCATGCACAGCCCTCATTTGTTTGCTGTATGCCTGTATTTATTACTTTCAAATAGTGTATTAATAACATGAGTCCATCACCTAGCACAAGAAGTAAAACAGTGGTAATAACATCTAATTTTGTGCTATTACCCCCACCTGATGTAACTACTATTTTTAATCTTGTGTTTATTATTACCTTTTAAAATATAATTTTATTTGTGTATTGCTAAAACGTGTCATTTACTTTTGGTTATTTTTTACTTTATAAGAAGGGCATTTTCTGGGACTTACCATTTTTCACCTATGTTGATAGGATTCAGCCCTAAATTTTTACTCTTAGGTGCAGTACATTTTTTTGATGGTTGTGTAATACTCCATTGTTTGATAATACCGCAATTTATCCATTCCTCTTATTGATGAGCATTTGGATTGTTTCACTTATTAACTGTGTTTCTATGTACATTCTTGTTCATGTCTCTGTTAATTATGTCTGAGGGTTTTTCTTGGGTATATACCCAGGAATGAAATCGTTTGGTCATAAGTATGTGAGTATTCATCTTGTAAGATGCGTATCTTAGTTCAAGCTGCCCTAACAACATACCATAGACTGGGTGGCTTATAAATGATAGAATTTATTTCTCAAAGTTCTGGAGGCTGGAAGTCTGAGATTTAGGGTGCTAGCATGGTCACATTCTGGTGAGGGCTCTCTTTGGGTTGAGGACTGCTGTCTTCTCATTGTATCCTCGAGTGGTGGGAAGAGATCTGGAGAGCTCTCTGAGGTCTCTTTTACAAGGGCACTAATCTCATTCATGAGGGCTCCACCCTCTTGATTTCATTACCTTCCAAAGACCCCATCTCCTAATAGCGTTACATTGAACGTTAAGATATATGAATTGGGGCATTGGGGTTGGGAGGAAGGGATGGGCACACAAACATTTAGTCGCTTGCAATGCCAGACTTCCAAAGGGATTGTACCCTTTTATGTTCCCAGCTGCATTATGTGGGAATTCCTTTCATTGACCCACATCCTCTCCAATACTTGATAGACTTCTTAATTTTACTCCATTATACTGTCTTTGTTTAGTTTTCATTTTGGAAAAAAATTGTTTTGCTTGTCTTTTTATTTATTTATTTATTTTATTTATTTATTTTTTTTGAGACGGAGTCTTGCTCTGTCGCCCAGGCAGGAGTGCAGTGGCGCAATCTCGACTCACTGCAAGCTCCGCCTCCCGGGTTCACGCCATTCTCCTGCCTCAGCCTCCCGCGTAGCTGGGACTACAGGCGCCCGCCATCACGCCCGGCTAATTTTTTTGTATTTTTAGTAGAGACGGGGTTTCACCATGTTATCCAGGATGGTCTCTATCTCCTGACCTCGTGATCCGCCTGCCTCGGCCTCCCAAAGTGCTGGGATTACAGGCGTGAGCCACCGCGCCCGGCCGCTTGTCTTTTTAAACAAGCGTCTCCAAGATAAATAGCAAAAGAAAAAAAGAGGGTGTGAGGCTCCAGACCCACACTCACTCACTTAATCATCTTCTTCTGCCTTGTATAGAATGATGTACATATATACCTTAGACAACCCAGAGTTTTTCCCTGGTGGAGAGGGGAGACTTTCAGCCCTACCTGTTTCCAGGACTGTGCACTTAGTTAAGGGTGTGTGGAGAGTGAGGGGAGGCCTATAGATAGTGGTTTGTATACTGGGTCCTGAAAACCCTCTTGGTGCTCTGTTTTTCAGGAGCTGAAGCCAAAGAATGCCAATAATAATACTTTTTGAGTGGTTCTTTTCATTATTGTTAATTAGACTTATGGTACCTTGAATTCTTAAGTTTGGCATAGCATTTCTAAAGAAAGATTGAATTATTTGTTGATAATGTTTTTAACCCAATACCGTGTGGTTTATAATTGCCAATGCCATAGATTTAAAAACCTGGCAGATTATACCCCTCATCTTCTCTGCTTGTCCTCAGCACTACTACCACAATTAAAAAGTACTATTTTCTTAAAAAAGAAAATAAATAGACCTTAAAATTGATATTTTCATTTTCTACGTATTAATCTTTTTAAACTATGCTAGCATTTTTAGTATTACATTAAGTAGAATTAGTCTTGGGAGACAACTTTGTCTTTTGTTTATAAATAGAATAATTCTAATACATTTCTTTTAAATGGGCAATATGGTATATAGTATTTGGTGATGACTGTCTTCATTGCAAACATCTAGTGAACACTCTGGCTACTTCCACAGTAATTTTGCTTTTCATGATAACTACCTGTATTTTCATTCCAGTATCTACTGTCCTTCCCCACATGCACATAGCCTGTGTTCTTTGAAGGAGAGTGCCTCACCTACAGCAGCTTTGGTGGGGGCCTATTAGACTTATTAAAGGCATTCCGTTTTCCTGGCCACAGAAACTGATTCTGCATGGTCATGTGATTTAGACTAATCTAAACAGGGTAAATTTCAGAACTCTTGCTTAGAATTCTGAGACAGAAGTATTAAACTTTCCCATGTAACTCTGATTGTGGCTGCAGTCTTCTTTTAGCACTAGAGCATCTGGCCTTGGGAGGTAGCTTGTATTATAAATAGCAGAGTGAAGAGACAAAAACAAAGTCCTTGATGGAAACATCTGTTGGACGGCTGGATCAGCCAGCCTTCAAGCAGGTCTTCCCTGCATTTTAGTTACACTAGCCAAAAAAAAAAAAAAGTGATTAAATTCCCTGAATTGAAAACGTGTTACTTGCATTAGAGTATTTTTTTTTTTAAGTATTTATTGATCATTCTTGGGTGTTTCTCGGAGAGGGGGATGTGGCAGGGTCATAGGATAATAGTGGAGAGAAGGTCAGCAGATAAACACGTGAACAAAGGTCTCTGGTTTTCCTAGGCAGACGTCCCTGTGGCCTTCCACAGTGTTTGTGTCCCTGGGTACTTGAGATTAGGGAGTGGTGATGACTCTTAAGGAGCATGCTGCCTTCAAGCATCTGTTTAACAAAGCACATCTTGCACCGCCCTTAATCCATTTAACCCTGAGTTGACAACAGCACATGTTTCAGAGAGCACGGGGTTGGGGGTAAGGTTATAGATTAACAGCATCCCAAGGCAGAAGAATTTTTCTTAGTACAGAACAAAATGGAGTCTCCTATGTCTACTTCTTTCTACACAGACACGGTAACAATCTGATCTCTCTTTCTTTTCCCCACATTTCCCCCTTTTCTTTTCGACAAAACCACCATCATCATCATGGCCCGTTCTCGATGGTCGCTGTCTCTTCGGAGCTGTTGGGTACACCTGCAGAAAGGCTGTCACTTCACACTTGGAGGATTGCACAGTGGCCAGGCAGAGGCGCTCCTCACTTCCCAGACGGGGCGGCAGCCGGGCAGAGGTGCTCCTCACTTCCCAGACGGGGTGGCGGCCGGGCAGAGGCGCTCCTCACTTCCCAGACGATGGGTGGCCGGGCAGAGGTGCTCCTCCCTTCCCAGACGATGGGTGGCCAGGCAGAGGGGCTCCTCACATCCCAGACGATGGGTGGCCAGGCAGAGACGCTCCTTACTTCCTAGACGGGGTGGCAGCCGGGCAGAGGCTGTAATCTTAGCACTTTGGGAGGCCAAGGCAGGCGGCTGGGAGGTGGAGGTTGTAGCGAGCTGAGATCATGCCACTGCACTCCAGCCTGGGCAACATTGAGCACTGAGTGAGCGAGACTCCGTCTGCAATCCCAGCACCTCGGGAGCCCGAGGCAGGCGGATCACTAGAGGTCAGGAGCTGGAGACCAGCCCGGCCAACACGGCGAAACCCCGTTTCCACCAAAAATACAAAAACCAGTCAGGCGTGGTGGCGCGTGCCTGTAATCCTAGGCACTCGGCAGGCCGAGGCAGGAGAATCATGGGAGCCCGAGGCCGGGAGGTTGCAGTGAGCCGAGATCACGGCAGTACAGTCCAGCCTTGGCAACAGAGGGAGACTGTCGAAAGAAAGAAAGGAGAGGAAAGGAGAGGAAAGGAGGAAAGGAAAGGAAAGGAAAAAGGAGGAAGGAAGGGAGGGCCGTAGAGTATTAATTGAAATAATTACTCAAATTCCTAATTTATGTATACCTATGTATAACATAAAGAGTGATTTTTTTCCTTACATAAACTGGCTAGGGATTTACTTCCTTCCCTCCTATGTCTTCTAAATTCTGCTGTTGCTTTAGGTTCAGCTTTAGCCTTTCAGTTTCCCTCCATTTCAGTGTCCTATTGAGGACTGATCCTCTGTGTTAGAAGTAGGAAAGAGAATCAAATGCTGTCTTTTCTTCAACCCTCCCCTCTTCTCTCAACTCTTGTCCAGTTCAGTGCTGTTCTCTGATTAAGGAGGATAAAAGGGAGAAGAAGAAAAAGGGCAGATAAACCTATTTTGCCTTGGAATCCCAGTCATTTATTCTCAAACTCTGACATTGCTTCTGTTCTAGTTTCTCATCTTAGCTCTTAGGAGGTAGAATAGTCACCACTTCAATGGCAAGGACTGTAATGAATTAGCAGGCCTTCTTGGCATCTAAGTTGGAATTCTGAATTTTTACTAATTATGCATACTTATAAGTATATTGTATAAGTATACATACTTATACAAAGTATACATAGTATTCTGTGAATCATGTTTCATGCCCATTGAAATACATTAAATAGGCTTTTGTGGGATGCTTCTGAAGTTTAACACCAAGTGTAACATTTTTCCTATGGAAAATGCCTACTGAGATGCCTAAACACCTCACATTAATAGGCATCTTTGCAGCATAACTGAGTCTTTAATTGGAAAATGCTTGGATTATATTGTGTAATAACCTGGTTTTATGCTTACTTTAAATTTTTTATCTCTTGCTTTGATGCGTAAACCAAAAATAAAATTCAAAGGCCCCCCATAACCATCTGAATGGACTCCCTCCTCAGCCAGGGCACTGTAAAATTTAACCTGAAACATTGGTTCAGACCATTATGGGAAGTAGGAGTCGCACATACCTCATTATACCCCTCCAGCATTAACATCAACAGAGACCTTAAATCTGATAAGAAACAATTACAATCTATTTTCTCTGAAGTCTGCTACCTGGAGGCTTCATCTGCATGATAAAACCTTGATCTCCACAACTCCTTATCTTAACCCAGATGTTCCTTTCTACGGATAATAACTCAACCAATTACCAATCAGAATATGTTTAAATCTACCTATGACCTGGAAGCGTCCCCGCTCTTTGATTTGTCCTGCCCTTCCAGATCAAACCAATGCAAATCTTACATGTATTGACTGATATATTATTGTTACAGTAGGTAGCTATAGCCAGGCATGAGGTGGGCAGGAAAGGGTTTCCCACCTACCCCCCCACCAGGAGTGTCAGGTGACCGTCAGGTGATGGTTTGGCAGTTATCCCACTGCCTCTCTAAAAATGATAATCGGCAGTTGGTGCCAGGGAGAAGCAGTTTCCTGATGGTCCCCGGTTGTCACACTAAAGTGATAATTGATCACAGACAGCAGGGAGCAGCAATTTCCCAAACAGATAATACTTAAAATTGGCAGTCAGTCTCCAATAAAATGTTAGGAATTGAGCAAGTGAACCCGGGCATGTGCATTAAGAGAAAATGGCAGAGAATGACCTGGGGGCATTCCACTGGAAGAAGGAAGAATGCCTCAGGCAGGCATACATACAACTTCCTAAACACACTGTGCATGCTCACCTCCCAAGTGTAAGGAGAGCACTACACATGAAGGCAGCCCACACTAAGTGAAGAGTCATGGGGAAAGGGACACAAGACCCTGGAAGTATGCCTGTAGCAGGACGAGCCGTGGACAAAACCTCTCAGACACCGTGTTGTAGAAGGAAGGGCTTTATTCAGCTGGGAGCATCGGCAAGCTACTGTCTTAAAATCCGAGCTCTCCGAGTGAGCAATTCCTGTCCCTTTTAAGGGCTCACAACACTAAAGATTTCACATGAAAGGGTCGTGATTGATTAAGCAATCTAGGGGATATGTGACAGGGGTCAGAGTGAAACAGAACAGAACAGGGAGTTTCAAAATGTTCTTCTTTACAATGCCTGGAATCCATGGATAACATCAGGTTCTAAGTCGTGAGTTGATTTTTAACTACTAGGTTTAGGCCAGGCAGGCCCAGGCCTGGTTTTGGGCCTGGTGCCAGGCCGCCTGTCTTTGATTTCACTTTCTTGTTTTTTTCTTAAAACAGGTACTGAGTATAAAACAATATAAAACAATATGAGAGGGTCTCTCTCTTCCCTCATGCCAACATATAAAACCCCAAATCAAAAGGTCAAACGCCACACTTGTACTTTAGGTTACCCTCTCAGGTCTCTTCCAAGTGTACTTTCCTTTCCTGTTCTAAAGCTTTTTAATAAACTTCTGCTCCTGATCTGAAACTTGCCTCATTCTCTTTTTCTACCTTATACCCCTCAGTCGAATTCTTTCTTCTGAGGAGGCAAGAATTGAGATTGCTGCAGACCCGTACAGATTTGCCACCCCTAACATATTTGGTGCCATGAGACTCAGATACCTTCTACCCTTGACCTTGTATCTCTCTAAAATATATAAAAGCAAACTGTACTCCAGCCACCTTGGGCACATGTCATCAGGACCTCCTGAGGCTATGTCACGGGCACATCCTTAACCTAGGCAAAATAAACTTTCCAAATTGACTGAGACTGGTCTCAGATATTTTGAATTCATGTTTGGTAACCACGGGAGGGATTCTGAGTGGAGGTGGCTCTGACCTTTGACAAATCTATTGGTGCTTGGTACCAGCTTGGGCTATCTTTATGGCTCAAACCAACAGGACAATTGGCTGAGGCCTAGGAACCCCTGCCTCCAGAGAATCCCTGATGTCCCAAAATTTGGTTGAGATCTAAAGTTGTTTTTTGTTGTTGTTGTTGCTGTACAACTCCTTTTCTGGAATTTTACTTGCTTCCAACAAGGAAGGCAAGTTTTCCTGCTTCCATGATGGTGGAAGGCAGGTAACTAACTCCTTTCTGAAGTTTCAGCTCACTTCCAACAGGAAAGGCGAGCTTGAGTTTTTTTCCTGCCTCTAGGATGCTAGAGAGCAGTCTTTAGCTGGGGTCCCGTTCCTAGGCAAGTAGCTGAATTGGGGTTTTTTTCTGGGCTAAAGTTAAGATGAACAACCAGCTGGCCTTAATTTCTGCTTACCATTAGAGCACTCTGTAATCATATTGTTGGATTTTTTGTTGTTGTTGTTGTTCTGGTCTTTGTCCCATCAGATTTGACCAACTCTACCTGACGTGGTCAGATCTGAATGAGAATTCCAAATTATGGGGAACAAAGCCTCTGAATTGGCTAAAATTCCTTACACTTGCAAAAAGAAAACCAGAATAAAACCAAGCACTTGGTTTCTGTATTTGTTTCCTGTCTTAAAAAAAAATTGTTCTTTCATTACTTTTCTTACACTCTATTGCTCCTTACCCCTTTTGCCATCTTTGGTACCAAGAAAAGGTCTAGAGAAGGCTTTTAATGACTCGAACTCTTAAAGAACTCACAACAAAGGTGCATTCACCTGTTTTTGGGGTGTTCTGTTTGTGGAGTTTCAAGGGTCATGGGCAGATTCTTCTTAGGTCTAACGCTCTGCTTTCCCATATTGCATTACCTGATCTCTTTGGCTTTCGGGGGTTCCAGAGACTACCCTGTACAGTGAAAGGATTTGACCTTGGTGTGTGTAATGGTGGATGAGAACTACAAAGTTAAAGGTGGCTGAGGACAATTTATAGGAAGCAGTCCTAGCTGTTTTTTTTTTTTTTTCCTCTTAGGAAGTTGTTCTTTAGGATGCTAATTCTAGCGGGCAAGATTCTTTAGAAGATTCTAAAGTCTTCATTGCCTTTCCTTCCAAAATTAATCTCCATTGGCTTGTCTGCACATTCACCTGAGAAACTGAAAAGTCATTTTCATAGATAAATGAGAGATTGTGTTTCCTCAGCTCTGAAGATAAAGGTCATTGTGCTCCTCCCAACCAGAAGGTGCCTCTGAGTGACCGGGAGCCCAATGGGAGTGTCTGGGGGGTTTACCCCTTGTGACTTGTGCAGCAGCCCTACAGGGAACTCCCAACACAATTAGTTTAAAAAGGCTTGTCTAGGAAATGCATATAGGAGCTGGTCACTCTGCACTTTGAGCCCTCTGGAAGGTGCTAGACCTCTGGAGAGAAAAATTGAGACGTAGGAGGGTGGAAATGACTCCATGGTGACACACTGTTGAGTCCTCCCCACAATCAGCACACTTGGACCCACTACACGAAATCCTAGGCTGCGGTCTGGTTCCTCCTTTTAAAAAAATGTGACAAACAAATCATCTAATAATGAGGAAAAACAAGGAGAACGACCCCCCTTGGGCAACCCATTTGTGTTTTTTTTTTTGTTGTTGTTGTTTTTTGAGATAAAGTTTCGCTCTTGTTGACCCAGCTGGAATGCAAATGGTGCCATCACTGCTCACCGCAACCTCCGCCTCCCGGGTTCGAGCTATCCTCCCGCCTCAGCCTCCTGAGTAGCTGGGATTACAGGCATGCGCCACCACTCCTAGCTAATTTTGTATTCTTAGTAGAGACAGGGTTTTTCCATGTTGGTTATGCTAGTCTCAAATTCCGAACTTCAGGTGATCTGCCCTCCTTGGCCTCCCAAAGTGCTGGGATTACAGGTGTGAGCCCCTGCACCCGGCCCCTATTTGGTTTTATGGTGCCTCTAGTTGCAAATGGTTATATAAATGGAAGAGCATGCCAGGTTTTCTAATACTCCAGCTAGTTACATATTAGGTCTGTTCTTGTGCACATTTTATTTATTTATTATTTTAAATTTTTATTTATTTTTTGAGATGGAGTCTCGCTCTGTGCCCAGGCTGGAGTGCAGTGTCATGATCTTGGCTCACTGCAACCTCCACCTCCCAGGTTCAAGCAATTCTGCCTCAGCCCTCCTGAGTAGCTGGGATTACAGGCGTGCACCACCACACACGGCTAATTTTTATATTTTTATTAGAGACAGGGTTTCACCTTGTTGGTCAGGCTGGTCTTGAGCTCCTGACCTCATGATCTGCTCACCTTGGCCTCCCAAAGTGCCGGGATTACAGGTGTGAGCCACCGTGCCTGGCCTCTTGTGCACATTTTAAACTGATGGGCAAATTACATTGAGGAAGAGTCAGATCCCAAAGGTTAACCTGTAACTATAAAATTCCTAAGTTCTCTGTCTCTCTGCTTTCTTTTCTGCCTGCTTTAAGTCTGCTGCTACTTTTCTACTGAGATAAAATCCACTGTATGAATCCAACCATTTCTTTTTGTTATTGTTTTTGCAAACCAGTGAGTTTGTATTACTATCTCATGGCTAGAGTTCTGAAGTAAAAGCTGTAGAACTTTGTTTTTATGAGTATGTGTGTGTTTATGTATAGCTACATGTATTTTGTTGTGTGTTTTTGGCCGCAAGGTACCAAATTTAGCTAAAAGAGTACTCATAAATTAAATAATAATCCCAAATACTTTTCAAGTTCACATGACTGAAGTAAAATATTTAATAATGTAACTTTTAAATTATTGGTAAAATAATATTAGAAATGTCTTAAGAATTGTCAGCATTTTTGTTTGCATTTATTGATGAAACAATTTCATTTTTATCTCTGCCAAATACTCTAAGGTTTAAAAAATAAACCCAGCCAAAACCAGAATGATCTTTGGTTGTGTAATTTTTAATAAGACATTAATATTGGTTTAATGAAAACAGCTATATCTTGAATTACTGGTAAAATAACCCTGTATATAATCTTAAGGTTCTTACTTAGGTAATCACCCAAAATTCACAGGATATAAAAATGGTTGACAGGGAAATAACTTTACATGATGACTGTCACAGTTTTCATAAATAATCTAGGTAAACTGTT
Organism: Homo sapiens; assembly: GCF_000001405.40. NCBI lineage: Eukaryota > Metazoa > Chordata > Mammalia > Primates > Hominidae > Homo > Homo sapiens. Next base: position 77,754,517 of record NC_000005.10, on the reverse strand, counting down.
AAGTAAATGTAGTGGAATAAATACTTGTAAATAAACTTGTCATAAATTAGAATCTAAAGTTATACTGAATATTTCATTAAATGTCTGGATATTTTTCAATTTAAAAAACGCATTGTAGGAAAACATTCTAAAAAATATATTCTTATTAAAAGGTAAATAATTTGTCTAATTCAAAGCTTATTTAAAGGTTATGTATAAAACAAGGTAAAAGGGACCAGGAAGTAAGAGAGATGTAAAGAAAGTTATAGAAATAAATAGGTATTTTTGGTAAGAAAGGTTAAAGAAAAGTAATTTTATGTGAGAAAGAGTCTTGTATGGTGAATTTTTATCCTAAAATAAAATGACTGGGTTCTTCAAGAAAGAGAAATATTCAGGACAAGCCATAGAGTCCAGACATGCTGTGAATGGTCTAAGTTTTAATAAGGTTAATAAAAAAGGAATTTATACAAATATTATGTGACTGGCTGGGGGCAGTGGCTCACACCTGTAATCCCAGCATTTTGGGAGGTCAAGGTAGGTAGATCACTTGAAGTCAGGAGTTCGAGACCAGCGTGGCCAACATGGTGAAACCCTGTCTCTACTAAAAATGCAATTAGTCGGGTGTGGTGGTGCATGCCTGTAATCCCAGCTACTCATGAGGCTGAAGCAGGAGAATCACTTGAACCCAGGAGGCAGAGGTTGCAGTAAACCAAGATGGCACCACTGCACTCCAGCCTGGGCAACAGAGCGAGAATGAAAACAAACAAAAAATATTATGTGATTAATTGGCTATAATTAAAGGAAACTATAATAGTTTTTGTTAAAATTGAACTTTGATATTAAAAATACCCTAATACAGAATTAAATAATTGGTTAAAACAAGATGTCATTAAAAATAGTTACTCAAAGCAAGATGTTTTTAATTTTTAAATTCTGTAATCTGTCTCATTTTGAAGTTATTCACGATATCTCAGAAGCTATACCCTGCTGCCTTACCTCCTTCTCTCTTTTATGAAGGCCTGGGATGGTAACTTTCTGCTTCAGCTTTTGTTGTAACATTTTTTAAATTAATGGTTTAAAGTAAGGGAGGGAATGTTTTTAAAAAAGCAGGTGAAAAATGTTGGATCTGCTTTTGTCTGCATGTCTCTTATATCTGTATATGTGTCAGGAGAAAGTGATACTTCACTATTAAACTGTGTGAAAGAGCTCTAATCAATTGACTTAAAGAAAAGTAAGGGCTTGCCATTCTGATAGAAGCTAGCTCACATGCCTTTTAATTCACATGACTTTGGTAATCTTTGGTAAGGTTAATTTGGTAAATTTGATCTCAAAATTCTCTTCAGTAGTTTAAAATCTTAAGGTCATGTTTTGTTAAATTAAAACCTCATTTTTTTTTCTCCCCCACTGGGAATTTGGGTTCTTAGGAGTTAGGTAGCAGGAGTGTAGAACATGTTTTCAGTGAAGTTTATAAAACACAAGGATGTGGATTTTGCTAAAGAAAATGTAATTTTTTTTTAAGAGTTGCTTTAAAATAAAGAAAAAATTAGGCCGGGTGCGGTGGCTCATACCTGTAATCCCCGCACTTTGAGAGGCTGAGGTGGACAGATTAACTTGAAGTCAGTAGTTTGAGACTAGCCTGGCCAGCATGGTGAAACTCCGTCTCTATTAAAAATAAGCCGGAGGCCGGGCGCGGTGGCTCACGCCTGTAATCCCAGCACTTTGGGAGGCCGAGGCGGGTGGATCATGAGGTCAGGAGATCGAGACCATCCTGGCTAACAAGGTGAAACCCCGTCTCTACTAAAAATACAAAAAATTAGCCGGGCGCGGTGGCGGGCGCCTGTAGTCCCAGCTACTCGGGAGGCTGAGGCAGGAGAATGGCGTGAACCCGGGAAGCGGAGCTTGCAGTGAGCCGAGATTGCGCCACTGCAGTCCGCAGTCCGGCCTGGGCGACAGAGCGAGACTCCGTCTCAAAAAAAGAAAAACAAAACAAAACAAAACAAAACAAAAATAAGCCGGACATGGTGGCATGTGCCTGTAATCCCAGCTACTTTGGAGGCTGAGGCAGTAGGATCATTTGAACCTGGGAGGCGGAGGTTGCAGTGAGCGGAGATCAGATAAAACTAAATGGATAAAAAGAAAAAACTAAGCCAGAAAGGAAAATCGGAAGGAAGGAAGGAAAAAATTATACAGATAAACCTAAATGGATAAAAAGAAAAAACTAAACAAAAGTTACCTCTGAGACCTGTGGTTACAGAGAAGATAGTTAATGTGGGGGAAGGGTAAAACCAAGTAACTATTAAACCATATGGTATAATGTAAACAAATTGTTCCATTTCGTAGGCTGGTATCATCAGCTTCCTGAGAAACCTTTACTATAATGGATTGTAAAAATAACTACTTTAAGGACAAATTTCTTAATTGTAAATGCTGCAAAATGAAGGAGCTTGTTTGGGTTGATGCAGGACCCACAGCAATTAAACAATTGCTGACGAGTATATGTGATCCAGATGCACAGGAGGTTATTCTTGCAACCAGCCTATTGGACCAGATGATCTTGGTACCACCCAGATCAATAAACTGGCTCATCTGATCTTGTGGCACCCCCTACCCAGGAACTGACTGAGCGCAAGAAGACAGCTTTGACTCCCTATGATTTAATCTCTAACCAATCAGCACTCCTGGCTCACTGGCTTCCTCCCACCCACCAAATTATTCATAGAAACTCTGATCCCTGAATGCTCAGGGAGACTGATTTGAGTAATAATAAAACTCTGGTCTCCCACACAGCTGGCTCCATGTGAATTACTCTTTCTCTTGCAGTTCCCCTGTCTTGATGAATTGGCTCTGTCTAGGCAGTGGGCAGGGTGAACCCCTTGGGCGGTTACAGTGCTATGGGACAAAATTAAGATTTGGTGGCCATTGATGTTGCCTCTGGCCACATCTCCTCTGGGGAGAATGTAAATCAAAAATAAAATTGGAACCCTCCCCCACCCCCAACCATCTTAATGGACTCCCTTCTTGGCCAGGGCACTAAAATTTAACCTGAAAGACTGGTCAGGCTGGCCGGCGCGGTGGCTCATGCGTGTAATCCCAGCACTTTAGGAGCCCGAGGCAGGTGGATCGCCTGAGGTCAGGATTTCGAGACCAGCCTGGCCAACATAGTGAAACTAAAAAATACAAAAAATTGTCTTTACTAAAAAATACAAAAAATTAGCTGGGCGTGGTGGTGGGCGCCTATAATCCCAGCTACCCAGGAAGCTGAGGCAGGAGAATCACTTGAACCTGGGAGGCGGAGGTTGCAGTGAGCTGAGATTGCGCCATTGTACTCCAGGGCAACAAGAGCGAAACTGTGTCTCAAAAAAAAAAAAAAAAAAAAAAAGAAAGAAAGAAAGACTGGTCAGGCCGTAATGGGAACTGGGAGTCAGACAGGCTTCATTATACCCCTCCAGCATTAACATCAACAGACCTTAAGTGTGATAACAATTACAGTCTATTTTCTCTGAAGCTTGCTACCTGGAGGCTTCATCTGCATGACAAAACCTTGGTCTTCATAACCCTTATCTTAACCCAGACACTCCTTTCTACTGATAATAACTCTTTCAACCAATTGCTAATCAGAATATGTTTAAATCTACCGATGACCTGGAAGCACCTTGCCTTTGAGTTGTCCCACCCTTCCAGATCAAACCAATGTAAATTTTACATGTGTTGACTAATGTATTATGTCTCCCTAAAACGTACAAAAGCAAGCTGTACCCGGACCACCTGGCCTCAGGACCTCCTGAAGTCTGTTTCACTGGTGCGTCTTTAATCTTGGCAAAATAAAATTTCTAAATTGACAGAGACTTGTCTCTGATATTTTGAGTTCACAAAGGTGATATTGTTGGCCAAATGTGCCTCTTACTATTTTTTTCTTTTCAATAGCTTCTGCTTATGTCTGTCACTGCTTCTTTTGCTACTACTAATTATTTTAGGTGAACTCAGACTAGTTTTACTTCTGGATAGTGATGTGAAAACTGAGATTATCAGAAGTCTGCTCTCTGATTCTTGCTTTACTTGGACTAGACCTTTTTTAGACACCATAGTATTGTACATTAATCTCCACTAGTATAAACTTCGTGAGTCAGGAACACATCCCCAGAGCCCTGGCACAAAAAGAAATCTTGATAAATATTGTAAAATGAATGAATTTACTTTGTGACATTTCAAGTTTCTTGAGGACAGAAACAGTGTCTTACTCCTTATGTCCCTTTAAAATTTAATATATTTTAAAATATTTGAGTAATTTTTTGAATAGGATATATATATCATATGTATATCATACATGGCACAAATATGTGTGTGTGTATATGTATTTGTGCTATATATATATATTTGTGCTCTCTCTCTATATATATAGAGAGAGAGCACAAATTTGCAAAGGTACAAAGAGGTATACGGTGAAACAGGAAACAGGAATCCCTGTCCACCAGCCACCCAGCTGAGAAACCCTCCTGGAGCGAACATCATTATTCATTTTTTGGTGTCTCTTTCCAGAAATGTTCTGTGCATGCACAAGTATTTACATACATATCTTCAAATGCAAATGGTAGTATACTTTCTAGATACTTTTTTACATTGCATTTAACATTAGAACATGTAGAGCAGCCTCGTTCCTTTTAAAGACTGCAAAGTATTCGGAATGGACATACCACATTTAAAAAAAACTAGTCTTCTATTGATGGACCTTTATATTGTTTCCAAAGTTTTGCTGTTTTGGAAAATGCTACTGTGAATTTCCTTGTTTGTTGCTTTACAAATTGGCAGATTTATCTGTAGAATAAATTCCTACAAGTGCAATTGCCGGCTTAAAGGGTACTATGTGTGTTTTACGTATTGAGAGATATTGGCAAATTGGCCTTAAAGAGTTCTATTGACTATTTATAGTTCTACTAATGATTTATACAGTATTTTGTTAACACGGCCTTTTGGTCTGGAAATAATTACACTGTAAGACAGTACAGTTGAAATATCAAAGAAATTAAAACAAAGTTAGGTATGTCATAAATATATGAAATATGTGTAGACACTAGTCCATTTTATCATTTGCTACCATAAAATATGCACACATCTGTTATACAAAGTTAAAATTTATCAAAACATATAAACACAGAACATGCATAGCATAATTTGTGGTTGAGAAATGTAAACAAGTGTAAAGATGCAGTATTATTACGCATATAATAACTGTAGTCCATGCTGTACTACTGTAATAATTTTGTAGCCACCTCTTGTTGCTGTTGTGACTCACTCAGTGTTGACACTCATCACCTTCTTGTGAACAGTTCATCTCTTCAGTAAATTGTGTTTTAACATTAAAAAGTGATCTCTCGCGGTTCTCATGTATTTTTTGTGTTTAGTGCAATAATGTAAACCTTGAATGTAAATCTTGAATAACACCATGGGACCCACTAGTGGTGCTGAAAGTGCCCCAAAGAAGCAGAGAAAAGTCATGACATTACAAGAAAAAGTTGAATTGCTTGATACGTACCTGTAGATTGAGGTCTGTGGCTGCATTTGCCACCATTTCAGGCAGATGGTTCCTCTTGTAAACAGGCAACATAAACTTAAGGTGTTGGTAAACACAGTACAATACTGTAAATGTATTTTCTCTTCCTTATGATTGTCTTAATATTTTTTCTCCAGATTATTTTATTGTAAGAATACAGCATGTAATACATATAACGTACAAAATATGTGTTAATTGACTTTATGTTATTGGTAAGGCTTCTGGTCCACAGTAGGTTATCAGTAAAGTTTTTGGGGAGTCAAAAATTTTATGCAGATTTTCAAACATTAGGAGGGTCAGCACTTCTATTCTGTCTCCATTGTTTAAGGGTCAACTGTACAAGAAGTGGCAATGCCCAAGTATGTTTAGCTTTTTTAGGAAAGTACTTTCTACATCATTGTAAATTTTAAGATAAGAACAAATTAGGCCGGCAGAGATGCTAACCCATTTAAATTAATTTCACTTTGAATATAGTTCTAAAAGGAGAAAATCTTAAAAAAAAAAAGCAAAACTAAATCGTAGAGCTGATGAAGTATCCCTTAGAGATTCTTAGATATTCTCATTTTCTGTCTCTGAGTCTCTCCCTCCCCCATATTCCTCTCTCCCCCTCCATATCTCTCTCTCCACACACACGCAGAAATAGACAAGAGAAGTAGGTGGTAATTAGTTTGCTCAGGATTACCCAGCTAATTACTGGTAGAGCCAGAACTGTGGGAAACATTCCATATTACTACATTACAGTTATTTCACAGATGTGGATTCCTCAGAATGGCTTTTTTGTTGAAATTTTTTTAAGTCTTAGATTTTATTTAACATTTAGTCCTTGAAACTAGGTTCAGTGAACTTCAACCATTTTTTTCAGTTTTATCATTTGAATTTCAGTTTTTAAATAATTTTGTGATAGCTGAAGAATAACCATTGCTTATGCTAGAAACTAAGTTAGCTTGGTAAACAGTTCTGTATTAGTGATCTCAAGAGGCTTTGCATATGAATTGCTTTAGTTTCTGAGAAGATCATCTTGATTTCTCCCCTTTGGAGAAATTTTGGAGACTATGTTGAATATTTTTGAAAATTATAAGATAAAAACAAATTAACCATACAGATATGCTGAACAAGTTTCCTTCTGAATGTAGTCTTAAAAGGAGAAAACATTTTTCAATACAAATCTAAAATTCAAAAATCTAAAATCTAAACAAAAACACGAATCTGTACTTCATGTTTCAAACACTATTGCCAAAGTATCTATCTAGCCAAATAGAATAAGAAGAAGCAGAAAAAACTTTAAAAGACCAATAGCACCTTGCTAGCTCATTGCTAATAAGAACTAATAGGTACTTAAACTGATGAAAGTGATTCGGACAACAACATATTAACCCCCTACTGTGCCCTGTTTTAAGCTGTTAATAGACATTAGTCTTTTAAAGAAAGACTAACACTTCTATATTTGTTTTCTAAGCTTTTGATACATTAGTGAGCAGTTATAGACGCTTGCCATATCTGATTCTTATAGCACAGTGCATTTTCCAGAATACTTTTTAGGAACGCTAACTGCTCTAAAAGTTTAGATTCTATGTAGTCTTTAAGAGTTCTTAATGTAGTAAATATTTTATATTACGTTTTGATTATTGTAATTAAATTTTTTTGTAGAAGTTATTTGAAATGAATAAATGCTAGTATTTTTCACTGACAATGTTATATGTAGTGAAAGTAGTAGTTCTTCGATTTGATTTTTTTCAATCACATAGTAAGACCAGAATTTTCCCAGATTTTTTAGTACTGTCATCTATGAAATTTTAAGTATTTGTTATTTTCCTGAAATAAATTTAATTTTTAGAGATTTGGCTGGTAAGTGTATGTATGTATGAGGAAGGAGGATTTTTAAAGTGTAATTTTCTTAAAAATGTAAGTAAACTTTTAATGCTGACTCCCTCCACATTAGAGTATAATAGCTTAAATTTTTGTTTAGGTGCATTACTTTTATAGCACTTTAGAGAAGTGCTGTAGAAGACTTTGGTCCTTTAGTTTTTGCTGTTTTATGTTTTTATAGTAATTTCAAATATAAAGCTATTAGAAATTTGGCTTGATTTTTAAAACAATTTTATTTCGAAGAAACTGCATGATATAAGTAAATGTTGAAGAAAATGTTGGTTGGATTGATTAATGTTATGATGTATACGATTTGGATAAATTTAGACTTTACCAGAAATTTGGGGCTTTGGTATTTCTTTAAAAATAAGCATAGTACTTAATCTGTGGTCCAGATGGTACATTTGTAATGCTACAAGAAATGAATGATACGTGCACAAAGTGGTTTTCTATTGTTTCTCATCCCTATTCAAAAATTAAGGAAAAAAAGAAACAAAATATTCATGAGACTGTTTTGTACAGTTTGTGTTATTAAGTCTACCAAGTTAATATCGAAAAAGGAGGTTTAGACATAGGAATTGAGTTTATTGCTAAAAGTTAGTGATTCAAGGTAGTATTGGGGCATTGCAGTTTTGCTAGGATTAGTCTTTTGATTAAGATCAAGTGCATAGTATGACAATCTTCCCTTATCCCAGAATACTTTCTATATAGTTAAAATAAACCCTTTTTATGTTATTTTAGTATCAAAATTTACAATTTAATGTCCCACTTGTCTAGGGTCTTATAAATCAGAAATAATTGAAAAAGTAAAACAAGTCTTCATTATTAAAAAAATTATTTATTTTTATTTATTTTTTTCATAGAGACGGGGCCTCAATATGTTGCCCAGTCTAGTCTGGAACTCCTGAGCGTAAGTGATGCTTCTTCCTTGGCCTCCCTAAGTGCTGGGATTACAGGTCTGAGCTACCACGGCCGGGCCTGAAACAGTGCAACAGGTTTTGAATGGCAACTTTCAGATATCTCTAAAGGCCGAAATGCCCCGTTGGGAACCAAAGGGATGAAAAACTGTTTACTCTTCTTATGCAAGTTTTACTACTATTGAAACAGAAATGACCAGTAAACTTGAAGATATCAACAACTAATCCTTTACCCAACAGCAAGCATACAGAAGCTCATCTTTCTTACACTTTTAATTGGTTACCATAGTAATTAAAAGTCCCTGACTTTCTTCACAAGGGATAAATCTTTTCCAATAAACAGAGTTCAACAATTTTGGTGAGTGAACATGTGAAATGATAGCTAGTACCTCCCTTGTCAGCTGCTAATGTTACTGCCAATCTAGACTATGATAAATTTTCCTAAGCCTGAGAATTTCTTCACTGGATTTATTTCAACAGGTATTTATAGAATATCTACTACGTATAAGGCACTATATTAAATATTGACCACTGTTCACCAGAACTTTGTTATTCAGTTTTTGCCAAAATTGGCCCCCTATACCATCACCAGTTCTTAGCTGAAAGAGTGTAAGTGCTGTTTAACACGTAATTCATGATACACCCTAGCTTAACATTCCTTAATATCAGATATTCAGGTTTAAACTCATTGTGAAAATTCAGACTAGTGTCTTCCTCATATTATGATAAAGTTGTGAAATTTGTGATACTTGTAATTGTTACTAAGAAAAACTAAAGTTGTGACTAATTTTAGTGGCAAAGACAGTACTTTGAATTACAAATAAATATTACAGCATTTCTTTGAATTGCAAATAATACATTTACAAAGTACTGCTTTGAAACCAATGAGTGATGAGAAAAATACTGAAATAGGAAAGGCAGTTCTTTTATAATTATAAAAGTAAGGTAATATCACTTTTATACTTGTTTTATTGAATACTAATGTTTTCTGCTTCTAAAATCTCCCTTCTCTGCCTTGTGCCCCCAGCTTTTTCTTTCTTTTTCTTGTTTTGGCAACATAAAAAGGCATGGGAACAACACCATTAGTTGATATTTATTGAACATTCACTGTGTGCCGTTATCTACATTAGCTAAGCGCTTCATGTGTATGTCATTTAACTTTCACAATATGTAATGTGAAGTAGTTGCAATGACCCACATTTTACAGATGAAGAAATTTAGTTTAAGTAATGTACCCAAAGATACACAGCTGGGAAGTGGTAGAGCCAGGATGAGAACACCTGTTGAGTAACACCAGTGTACTGGCTATACCTTTTTATACTTTGACAAATTTATATGAGAGGAAACTGTGGATGAAGAAAGGTGAATAAGAGGCTGGGTGCAGTGGCTCACGCCTGTAATCTCAGCACTTTTGGAGGCCGAAGCGGGTGGATCACTTGAGGTCAGGAGTTCGAGACCAGCCTGGCCAACATGGTGAAACCCCGTCTCTACTAAAAATACAAAAATTAGCCGTGCATAGTGGTGGATGCCTGTAATCCCAGCTGCTTGGGGGGCTGAGGCAGGAGAATCACTTGAACCTGGGAGGCGGAGGTTGCAGTGAGCCGAGATCGCGCCACTGTCCTCCAGTGTGGTGACAGAGCAAGACTCTGTCTCAAAAAAAAAAAAAAAAAAAAAAAGGTGAATAAGACATTCTGTTTTCTGGAAGCTCAGAGAAGTCCTGTAGTTAAGGACAGAATGCTTCATGAGGTCAGAGGAGGTTATGACAAACTTCCTCTATGGCAGTTTTTCAGACTTGGCACTTTCGATATTTTGGGCTAATACTTTGCTGGGGGCAGGGAGGGCTGTCCTTTACATTGGGGTATTTAGCAGCATCCCTGACGTCTACCCACTAGATGGTAGTAGAACCCTCACTACACACAGTTGTGACAAGCAAGATTGTCTCCAGAAATTGTCACAATTGCCCATGTTGAGAACTACTATTCTAGGATTAGGGAAGGCTTATCACAGGTGACATTTGAGTGGGATCTTGAGATTGAATAGAGGTCATGTTTTAGATAGAACCATAGGTATGAGGGCATGGAGGTGTGAATCAGTATGTTACATTTGGGAGGCAATAAAATGTATGTGATGGCTGGAGCATTTAGGGTCCGTGGAGTTGGGAAGTTAGTAAGACATAAAGCTGATAAATTGGGACTCAGTTGTATATGTCATACTATTAATAAGTTTGCAAGTGAGTAACAATCTGGATGGTCCACACAGTATTTAATTGCCTCTTTGGATCTTCCACTAGAGTGTAAGTTCTTTGAGGGCAGAGACCACATCTGTCTTATTTACCATTATATGCCTAGTGCCTACGATGGTACCTGGCACAACTTTGTGAAATGGGAAGGACAAAAATAGGGTATTTATAGATGTGAAAACTCCCAGAAGAGGTTGTGGTGGTCATGAGAATGAAATTTGAAGACCTCCGTATAAAGGGAACATAATTAACTAAGGGCCCCAGCTACTAGATTGTGAAACCCATTGCTACATTTGTCCCAAGGTCTTGCACCCCATGAGCTGCTGCCAGCCAGAGACTGGGTGCGGCAGGGATACTGAGGCCTTCTCCTGGGAGACATGGGATTCCCCTGACGGCAGACTTTAGCCTTAGGATTCCCAGTGCTCTTGCTGAGCCTTCCTTAAACTGCAGGGAAGTCTAGGTTGCTTCTTGCTAACCTTTCCCCACTCGTATCTGCACTCAGGGTCAGAACTGCATTGTAGTCTGATGACTCTTCCAGCTTTCTCTAACTTCCTCTCCATTTTCTGTTCTCATGGATATTTGCCCAGATAAAATCCTTGCCAAGTTTAGTCTCATCTTAATGTCCATTTCTCCAGGGACTGGCTAACATACAGATTAAGTGACTTTCAAAGGGCACACATTTATTAAGTAGCAAAATATGTCCTACAATCTAGAATTTAGGTATCTTAGTCCATACCTCTAACCGCTATATGCTATCCATTAGTAAGGTAGTAATTTATGACACTGGCATTTATTTCTCCTAACCGGTATTTTGAGTCTAATGGTATGATAAAATGCCTTAGCTTTTGTAGCTGATTATCAAATCTTTAAGAATTTCTGATTCCAGATTTTAGTCATATTAAGAATTTTCTGGCTCTTGCTTAGCATATTGATAGAAGATGGCATGGGACTGGGTAAAATACAGTAGATAATTTCTATCTTGTTGAGGGATGTGTTCAGAGATCTTTTCTAATCCCCAGACTTGCAAACAATGATTTTCTTAGATCCCTTTACTTACTGTTATTACTAACAGTAGCAATTGATCTCCATTTCTGGGTCTTTTTTCTCAAAGAAACAATATTGTTTTTTGTTTGTGTTTTAATTCATTAACTAGAGTAATACCAAACATAAGGACAAAACAAAGAACAGAAGAGCTACATTGAGATCGAGTGTTGGATAGTTATCAGACTCATTCACCATATTGATGACTTGTTCTTGAATACCATCTTCACAGCTCATATAGCCTTCGGAATTGTATTTCAGCAAAATTAAAATCATATTACCTGAACATTTTGGTATATTTACTGAAAGTTAAGTTCTCAAATGTCATTACCCTTTCAGGCCATTGACATACAGGAAAACGCCATTAAGGGCCTTCTACAAATATAACTTTGTTTTTTCTTTTCTTTACAATAAAAAATGTTGACTTTATGTAATTTTTAATTAGAGATGTTAGAAATATGAAACAGCATTCAGTTAGTAGAATAAAAGTTTAAAATTTTCTATGTTTTTATTTTATGGCCACTAAATGTTGGGAGAAGAAGGGGAGGGATGAGGAAGAGACATAAAATAATGAGGGAGTCAGGTGCAAAAAGGGGGAGTACTTGTTACAGGTTGAATATTCCTTATCTGAAAATCTGAAGTGCCCCCAAATCTGAAACCTTTTTGAGCGTCCACGTGACACTCAAAGGAAATGCTCATGGGAGGAATTAGGATGTTTGGATTAGGGATGCTTAACTGCTAAGTATTATATAATGCCAGTATTCCAAAATCCAAAAAAATCCAAAATCAGAAGCATTGTGGATTGTCGCAAGCATTGTGGATAAAGGATACTCAACCTTTATTTGCTTTGGCCTGTGGGCCTCAGGTAATATTTCACTGATTCTACCCATTAGAGGACTGAGTTCCTTAAGAGTGATAAAACATACCGTATTCTCTCTGCAGTCTCCAGAATCAAGGATCATGCTTTGAACTTAGTTATTCATGAAGCATTTGACTCCTGAATAGATGACTGGCTGTTGAATCAGTGATCACAGTTCGTCAAATATTCTTCTTCTCAAATATTAGAGAGAGTACTCTGATTGGGATATTCAGAGTAGCTCAGGGTAGTTCTCCCTGAGCTATATCAGCAGCCCAAATGAAATTGAGCCAAGGGCCAACTCTAAACTCAAGCCAACTTTCCTACTCTTTATTGTTGGACTTGGTAAATATATCAACTTCTGAATATAAAATCTCCCTTCAGGTTTTCATTAAATATTCGGTTTCCTCTGACTAGAATACTCCCTAGCCATCTGCTCTGGATAATACTTAACTAGTCCTTAACTTTTAGGTCTCTTTTTAATCATTACTTTTTTAAAAAAATCTATTTTTTTTCTTTTGCTGTTACTTCTTTCTTGAAGTCTTCCATGGTTAATGGTAGGATCAGGTGCTCTTTGTATGTGCCCCACGCACCATCAAACCTACAGACTTACTTGCATCGCACCCCTACTATCCTTATTACCTCCTCTTGGAATAAAAGATCTGAACCTCTTATTGAAAGCCAACATTCTGTGATCTCAATCCTATCCTTTTGCCCTGTGTGTTTGTCTTTTCTTAATCCTGTGTCTCTAACCTCTACCAGTTTCTTCTCAATAGCATTCAGGTATGGTGAAGTCACTTTTATCTTACAGAAACAACACCAAAAACCTCTATCCTATTTCTCTCTCTCGGAACCACACTTGGCAAAGGAATTATCTTCTCCACAACCCTACCTCCTAGTCACTTCTTAACCCATTGTAGTCTGATTTCTTTTCTTAGTAGTAGCAGTAAAAAAGATCACCCATAATTTTTAAAGCCTTTATCTTGCCTTCTTAGTAACAGTTGACACAGTTGTCCTTTCCCACTTTCATAAAAAGCTTTCATCCTGTTTTCTTGTTACAGTGATACTTCAGTGCTTTGGTTTCCTGCTATATTCTTCCCCCTTATTATTATTTTTGACTCTTTTCTCTGTTATTTATGCAACAAAAATTTATTGAGCCATCAATATATGTCATGTACTGTTTGAATGACAGAGATACAATAGTGAATAAGACAGATGTAGTTTTTGATCAAGTGTAGCTTACCCTTACTTAAATGTTTTCTGAGGTTCTACCTGGGGCTTTTTTCCCTTTTTTACTCCATCAGCACTCCAATGAGCAATATTGCCCACTCATGACCTCAGTTATCAATATGCTCATGACTGCCACATTTATGTTTTTGGCCCAGACCTCTCTCTTGAACTGTGGGACTGGCTACCTTTGGCCATTTCCACCTTAATATCACATAATATCCTTTAAACACAACATGATAAAAAAGGTAATGGTTTTATATTTTACCTCTCCCTCAATCTTCTCCTGGGCTTCTTATCTCTGACAATGGTACTACCATACTACCACCTACCCAGTTATCTTTGGCTTCTCCTGCTTCCTTGTCTTCCTGCTCCATCACCTGGGTTAAAATACCTACATCTCAATTCCTATAGCTACTGCTCTTGTCTGGGTCACCACCATCTCTCTCCTGGATTACTACCACTCTCCCCTTGTCTTCCTGGCCTAGACTTGCCTGTCTCTATTACATTATCCATGTTGCAGCTGTAGTGATCTTTATAAAAGGTAAATATGATGTCACATACCTGTCAAATACATTTAGGAAAAATTCGGTTGTTTCAGTATAACTTTATAAGGTTATAACCTAGTACCCTGCTATCCTGTTCAGCTTTGCTGCTCTTCTCCTGTGCACTCAACAAACCAGCCTTACTTAATTTTCAAAGCAAATTTTAATGTTCTTTTTTGCTTTAGAGTCTTCTATGTTCTTAGCACCTAGAATGCTGCCTCCCTGCTTAGTACTCCTGCCAGATATCCTTTTTCCAGTCTCTGTCCTGCTAATTCCTACTCATCCATCATATCCTAACTTTGACATCATTTTCTAGGGGAAGTATTCTTAATAGCCCTCCCCTAGCCCCACATTTAATTTGGCTGTCTTTTAGCAAACAGAATATCATCCCCAAAATATATTTATTTTACTGAAGAGTTGTGGTTATGAAATACATTTTAAATGTTGATGTTGTATTCTTATTTGGATAACTGAGTTTCTAGTTGTGGAATTCCTTAGTGTCTTTTTTGTTTGTTTGTTTTTGGTAAGGCCCCCAGGGTGCCTTTTACTTGCCACTGTAGTTCAAAAGAAGAAGATATAAGATGAGGATTTGATGAATAGTTAAGACGGGACAAATTATTGTGTCCACTTCTTATTCTTGTTAACAGCGCAGGAAACGTCAAGTTTTTATTTAGCTGTTATATGGAGGAACAGTGCTAGTGGGTCTCTTGATGTTTAAAAACTGATTTTTAAGGACTCAGTAGTATATTTGCCTGGTGAAAGTGGGCAGGGAAGAGGAAGGATCCAGCCAAAGATGATTGGCCTTCTCTATAGAGCAAGATATTTCAAACTTTTGTTGTTGTTGAGACAGCGCCTCACTCACTCTGTTTAGAGTGCAGTGGTGCGATCTTGGCTCACCACAACCTCTGCTTCCTAGGTTCAAGCGACGCTCGTGCCTCAGCCTCCTGAGTAGCTGGGATTACAGGTGTGCACCACCACACCCGGCTAATTTTTGTATTTTTAGTGGAGACAAGGGTTCACCATGTTGGCCAGTCTGGTCTTAAACTCCTGACCTCAGGTGATCCGCCTGCCTCAGCCTCCCAAAGTGCTGGGATTACAGGCATGAGCCACTGTGCCCAGCCATGTTTCAAACTTTCTTGATCCAACCCAGAGTAAGAAGTATTATTTTATTTTGCATCATGACACACTACACTAATACATATACATATATAAAACTGAAACAGTTTAATGAACTTTTCTTATATTTACTACTTATGATGCACTGTGATATTTCTAATTCGATTTCTATTCTCTTCCATTAAACCAAAGCTGATCACAGTCCACTGGGTTGATTTCATGAGTCATGGATTATGACCCTGCCTACTGGGTTACAACCAGCAGTTTGGAAACAGTCCTGTAGAAGTAGCTGGTGACTTGAGGCCAGGTGCAGTGGCTCACGCCTGTAATCCCAGCACTTTGAGAGACTGAGGCAGGCGGATCACCTGAGGTCAGGAGTTTGAGACCAGCCTGGCCAACATGGTGAAACCCTGTCTCTACTAAAAATACAAAAATTAGCCAGGCGTGGTGGCAGATGCCTGTAATCCCAGCTACTCGGAAGGCTAAGGCATGAGAATTTCTTGAACTCCAGAGGCGGAGGTTGCAGTGAGCCAAGATCGCACCACCACACTCCAGCCTGGGTGACAGAGCGAGACTCCGTCTCCAAAAAAAAGAAGTAGCTGATGACTTGAATCTATTTTCAAACTGACTAGTTCAACAAGCAGAATCATAGCCTAGTGGGCAGGCCATGTGCATGACTAAATGTTACTGACTGCTTGTTTTGTTTGCAGCGCTGGAACAGGAACTATACTTACTTTATATTAACCATGATGTTGAATATTAGTCTTCCTATTTTACATGGGGAAACTGAGGGTCAGGGGGCAAGTAACTTACTTAGGGCCATATATATAGCAAAGGTCAGAACTAAGACTTGAACATAGGCAAGTTAATCTTCTCAATGCCAAAACCCATGCATTTGCACCATATCAGTGAGTCTGCCAAGTAAGCAGCACTGCAATATACATGCTAAATTTAGAAGGGAATTAGTGACATTTAGGTGTCTTGAAAATTTTATAGTGGAAAATAACAATAAAAAGCCCCATTAAATGTGAGTTGAGACAGGCATAAACATTGACAAACAGTTAAATAGTGATAGATTATATTGGCTTTCCAGAGAGCTTAAGCCTTCATGCCTCTGCTCATCCAAGAGGTAGAGGTAATATCCTTAAGGCTGAGATATATGGGGTTTTCTTGTTGGTAAGGTAAATGAAATGTTCAAAGGCTTTACTACTGCACCAGAGCAGATAATAAGGCAATTAGAACTGTTAAATTGATGAAACACCAGAGTGGGATGAATTATATTATGAATTACAAAGAAATAAGAGATTTTACAGCAACTTTTGAGACCAAAGAGGAAAGATGTATCAGTAAAGTGAAGAGAAATTGATAGTTAAAGTGCTGGATTTATTGACCTGAAAAAGCCAACTTTTAAACATTTTAGGGACAGTTTCAGAATATATCAGCTTTGTAAATAAGTGGAAAAAATTATCAGTTTCTGCTGATAGTTTAATTTCCTCTATTAATAAGATGAATTTAAAATGTATTTCTTCCTTTCCATTTTTTGAGCTGCAGCATACCCGAGGGATCATCTAGTCAAACCTCCTCATTTTATAAAACGATGAACCTGAGACAGGGAAATTAAGCAGCTTATTCAGTATTACATTACAAAGTAGTTGAGTTGGAACTAGAACCCAGATTACGTGACATGTCATTGGCTTAACTTTATTTGACCTTAGAGTGTCGATAAGTAACTTCTTATATAAGTTAATTTATGGAATACTGTACTTTCTTTAGAATTCCCACCACATAAAATAATCACACTGCTAACACTTAAATAATGCACTGTTTGCCAAAGTTAGCTGGAAAACAATCACTAGAGAGAGGCAAGCCTTTCGTTTCAGTAAGGAGTGCGCTGCCTGTTTTTTTGTTTTGTTTTTTTAAACAAAAGCTTTGGTTCATAATTTCAGTCTAAGATCCACAAACATTATCACATTATCATCCACACTTAGAAAACAGACTTCTGGAATACTCTTGAGTACCATGAGACTTAATATTTATTATGTCCTAAACTTTTCAGGTGTCACTGTAATTCTTGGTTTACACAAACAGGAAAACTATTCAATTGTAAGCTCTATCGTCCTTTAGAAAACTTTTTGGGATGTTATTCTCCTATATTCCCAAAAGTCTTTTCTAGATTCCAGAAACAATGTATACATATATGCCTTTAGTTTAAGCAGGCACAACTAAGTCCTATTGTTTCAGTTACTGAATGTTAAATCTCTAATACCCATCATCTATATGATTTGTGATGCAATTGGGCAGAATGACTGTTGAGTTACTATTTGTGCAAGCAATTTAATTGCAAAGCATTATATAGCTCTGTGTTATCAAGATACAATTATTTAGGTCTGAGTTATTTGGAGAATAAGACAATTAAAATTCCACTGATTGGTGAGTTGAGGAAGACTTCCAGGAAGAGATGGTATTTGAGCTAGGTCTAGAGCAAGTAGTAAATATGAGGAGGTAGAGATAGGGAAGGGCAGTCATTTCCTCTTAGAAAAAGAAATAAGGTAAAAGTCTCCAGAGCTCATTTAGGAAATGACTAGGATATATTTGGGGGGCATCGCATGGACATTGTGACAGGAATATAGAAAGTGTGGAATGTATACTGAGAAATACACGCAGAGGTTTTTTAATGTCCTTATTAGAAGTTTGGAATTCCATAAGCATTGTTTCTGTTTGATTATTTTTGGAAAGCAAGGGAATTCCAGGGACAATTTGAAGGTTGCATTGTAGAAGAAAAGAGAGCAGTTGTTTCCTAGTCGTTTCATGATTTTTTTCCAGCTAGATTTTTTTTTTTTTTTTTTTTGAGACGGAGTCTCGCTCTGTCACTCAGGCTGGAGTGCAATGGTGCGATCTCGGCTCACTGCAACCTCTGCCTCCTGGGTTCACGCCATTCTTCTGCCTCAGCCTCCTGAGTAGCTGGGACTGCAGGCAACCACCACCACGCCCAGCTAATGTTTTTTATATTTTTATTAGAGACGGGGTTTCACTGTGTTAGCCAGGATGGTCTCGATCTCCTAACCTCGTGATCTGCCCACCTCAGCCTCCCAAAGTGCTGGGATTACAGGCGTGAGCCACCGCACCCGGCCTCCAGCTAGATTTTTTAACTTAGAACCAACTTGATCTCTGATAGACTATGTCTAGTTAAGTGCTACATAGTAAGGGGTTACCCAGTCATTGTTTACTTAAGGTGAATGAATTTCTGCATAGGGGATTTCTTTTAAATAGAGGCAGTTTTGTTTTATTGCAAAATTTGTTTTATTTTGTTTTGTTTTTAATGCAAATTTATGAATAGAGCACATAAAGCTGGCCTTGTCATATTTGCCAACACCATTTCGCATGTAGGTAAAGCATGTATGAAAGAATAAACAGTAAGCATATGAGTGAATGAAGGACAAATTAAGCCAAATAAACTTGAATGCTCTTAGTTGTATTGAATTTTTAATAGAGTAGAATTATAAAATTAATATTTGATAGAAACGAATATCTAATTTTCACTAAAATGATTAATCCTATTTTAGGAAAATTAAAGTCAAGTTAATTATAAATATGGACTAAAATTAGCAGTTGAATCACAGCAAAGATAATGACAGGATTATATTGAATTGGGGGTCATGTTTGACATGGTGCCATAGGTGTTATGTTAAATACAGTTTTATTTAAATCATATTAATTACTTGGAAGAAAGCATGCAAGAAAGCCTCAAAGGATGCTAAATTTGGATTGTAATTAGAACAGAGAACTGAAAAGAGCTAGAGTGACGAGGCATGTCTCGGTAGATAAACAATGAAATTCCCTTTGAAAAATTAATCCCCTTGAGGGAAAGTAGAGTAGATTTTCGCATTAAATATTTTGTTTCTGATTTGGCATTTGCCAATCTGAGTAAAATTTGAGTACCTTATTTAAGAGACTTTCTTTTTATGTTGTGATCCTTTGTATTTATTCAGGATGTTAATAACCAAAATCTTCATAATATGTAAAATCTAGATACAGGTACCTTGGAGATATCGCTGGTTCAGTTCCAGACCATCACAATAAAATGAGTCACACAAATTTTTTGGTTTCTCAAGTGCATATAAAAGTTATGTTTGCTCTGTATTGTAGTATATTATGTGTGCAATAGCATTGCATCTAAAAAATGTACATACCATAATTTAAAAACACTTTATTGTTAGAAAAATACCTAACAATCATCTGAGCCTTCAGTGAATTGTAATCTTTTTGCTGTTACATATCTTGCCTCAACGTTGATGGCTGCTGATTGATTAGGATGGTGGTTGCTGAAGGATGGGGTGGCTGTGGCAATTTCTTAAAATAAGACAATGAAGATTGCTGCATTGATGGACTCCTTTCATGAACGATTTGTCTGTAGCATGCAGTGCTGTTTGATAACCTTTTACTCACGTAGAACTTCTTTTAAAATTGGAATCCTCTCAAACCCTTCTACCGCTTCATCAACTAAGTTTACGTATAGTATTATGATTTTTTTGTCATTTTAGAAGTAGACTTCATCTCAAGAAACCATTTTCTTTGCTTATCCATAAGGAGTAACTCTTGCCATTAAATTTTATCATGAGACTGTAGCCGTTTGGTCACATCTCTGCTTCTGTTTCTCTTGCTATTTCTACCACATCTACAGTGACTTCTTCCACTGAAGTCCTGAATCCCTCAAAGTTATCTGTGCAGGTTAGAATCAACTTCCCCCAAACTCTTGCTAATATTGATATTTTGACCTCCTCCCGTGAATCATGAATGTTCTTAATGGCATCTAGAATCGTGAATCCTTTCCAGAAGGTTTTCAAATTTTCTTTACCCAGATCCATCAGAGGAATAACTGTCTATGGCAGCAATAGCTCTACAAAATGTATTTCTTAAATAATAAGACTTAAAAGTTGAAATTATTCTTTGCTGCATGGGCTGCAGAATGGGTGTTGTATTAGCAGACATGAAAACAATATTAATCTCCTTGTACCTCTCCATCAGAGCTTTTGGCTGACTAGGTGCACTGTCAGTAAGCAGTAATATTTTGAAAGGAGTCTTTTTTTCTGAGCAGTAGGTCTCAACAGTGAGCTTAAAATATTCATGCTATAAACAGTTGTGCTGTCATCCATGCTTTGTCATTTCATTTATAGAGCACAGGCAGAGGAGATTTAGCATAATTCTTATGGGCCCTAGAATTTTTGGAATGGTAAATGAGCATTGGCTTCAACTTAAAGTACTAGCTGCATTAGCACCTAGCAAGAGAGTCAGCCTCTTTTTTGAAGCTTTTAAGCCTAAGCAGTGATTTCTAATTTCTACCTATGGAAGTTGACCTAGATGACATTTTCTTCCAACAGAAAGCTGTTTCGTTCATGTTGAAAAATCTGTTGTTCAGCATAGCCACCTTCATCAGTGATCTTAGCTAGATCATCTGGATAACTTGCTGTAGCTTCTACATCAGCACTTGCTGCTTCCCCTTGCACTTTGATGTTATGGAGATGTCTTCTTTTCTTAAACCTCATGAACCAATCTCTGCTAGCTTACTGCTTTTCTTATGCAGCTCCCTTACCTCTTTTAGCCTTCATAGAATTGATGTGAGTTAAGGCCTCGCTCTGGATTCAGCTTTGGTTAAGGCAATGTTGTGGCTGGTTTGATCTATCCAGATCACTAAAACTTTCTCCATGTCAGCAAGAAGGCTGTTTTGCTTTATTATCATTCGTGTGTTCACTGGAGTAGCACTCTTAATTTCCTTCAAGAAGTTTTCCTTTGCATTTACAACTTGGTTAACTGTTTGGCACAAGAGGCCCAGCTTTAGGCCTATCTTGGCTTTCCACATGCCTTTCCCACTGAGCTTAATCATTTCTAACTTTTTTTTCTCCCTTGAGATAGAGTCTTGTTCTGTTGCCCAGGCTGGAGTGCAATAGCCCGATCTTGGCTCACTGCAACCTCTGCCTCCAGGGTTCAAGTGATTCTCTTGCCTCAGCCTCCTGAGTAGCTGGGATTACAGGCATGTGCCACGATGTCTGGATAATTTTTGTATTTTTAGTAGAGACGGGGTTTCGCCATGTTGGCCAGGCTGGTCTCAAACTCCTGACCTCAGCAATCCACCCGCCTCAGCCTCCCAAAGTGCTGGGATCATAGGCATGAACCACTGTGCTTGGCCAATCGTTTCTAACTTTTGATGTAAAGTTAGAGACATGTGATTCTTCCTTTCACTTGAACACTTAGAGGCCATTATAGAGTTATTGACTGACCTGATTTTAATATTGTGTCTCAGGGAGTAGAGAGGCCTGAAGAGAGCAAGAGAAATGAGAGAACAGCCAGTCATTGGAGCAGTCAGAATATACACATTCATCGATTGAGTTTGCCATCTTATATAGGCACAGTTTGTGGGACCGTAAAACAATTAACAATAGTAACATAAAAGGTCAGTGATCACAAATCACCGTAAAATATATAATAATAGTGAACAAGGTTGAAGTATTGCAAGAATTATCAAAATGTAAGAGACACAGAGTGAGCACATGCTTTTGGAAAAAAGGCACTGACAGACTTGTTTGACACACGATTACCACAAACCTTCAATTTTTTTTTTTTTTTTTTTTTTTTTTTGAGACAGAGTCTCACTCTGTCGCCCAGACTGGAGTGCAGTGGCACGATCTCTGCTCACTGCAAGCTCTGCCTCCCGGGTCCATGCCTTTCTCCTGCCTCAGCCTCCCGAGTAGCTGGGCCTACAGGCGCCCGTCACCACGCCCGGCTAATTTTTTGTATTTTTAGTAGAGATGGTCAAACCTTCAGTTTCTTAAAAAGAAAGAATGAAATAAAAAAACAAAAATCCAACATCAGCAAAGTGCAGTAAGATAAGGTAATGCCTGTGTATGATTTCATAGGACCCAGATACCCATTTGTTTATAGAGAAAACGTTTTAAGATTGAGAGAAATTCTAAAACTGGAAACCTGTAGTCACTCTGTGGAGAAGCTATAGCTCTAGAAATGTTTTCAGGAGTGTTTCAGATTACTTATTGGGAAGACATTTTCATTTTTTGACACCAGATAATGACATCAAACATACCCTTAATACATTTTTTGGTTCACTCCGTCCATTAAGCAGATAATCCCGCAAAGCAACGTCCCAGAGAGATGTTAGTTTCTCCAAACACCCAGGCTGTGGAGACCGGGATAGTGTAACTTGCGCCCAAACTTACTTCCTTAACAGTCAGTAATGCTCACCCTGAATATTAAATCAGTGAAACTCTGCTAGAAATTGCCTCTCATATCTTTTGGAATTTTCTCCTCTTTAACTATTAACTCTTTCATTTTACCATTAAATTAAAGTATTTTATTTTTTGGAAAGTCCTTATCTATGTAAAACCTGGATGCCATAAAGAAAAGATTGATAGGCGATTATATAGATATTATAAAATAAAATTTTTCTAGGGAAATAGCAAAAATGGGGAAAAAGGAAGAAAAATCAATGTGGAAATATAAATGACACACTGGGGAAAGTATTTACTATCTATACAACAGATAAAAGATAGAGATACGGAATATAGAGAGAGCTCTTACACATTAGTAAGAAAGAGATGAACACTGCAACATAAAAATGGGAAAGAATATAATCAGGAAATTTACTTGCAAAGAAAAAATAGGATTGGATGACACTTAAAATATTAATGGTAGCACTGTTTATTGGCATGGTTGTGAGCACTTCATAGGTATTAGACAATTTAATTTTCCCAGTAACTCATATGGTAGATACTATTATTATCCTTGCTTTGCAGTTGAGGAAACTGAGGCACCATGAGGTTAAGTAACTTTGAACCAGTGGAACTAGGATTCAAATTTAGGCAATTTAGCTCTAGATAATAACTATATTGTACCTCATCAGTAATCAAAGAAATGCAAATAAGCACATGGTAATATTATTAGTCACCTATACAATGGGCATAGATGAAAACACCAGTATTAAATGTTGGTGAGAGAAATGGGCTCGCTTCTCACTGTTGGTGAATATGTCAATTGATAGGACATTCGTAGAAGGCCACTTGTCAGTATATATCACTAAGTAAAATGTGACCTCAAAATACCATGCTAAGATTTTCATCTAAAGGAAATCTGCAGGCAAGGGCATACATGTATGTACAATGATGTTCATCTCAGTTATTATTATAATATTGACAAAATGGAAATAAATGTTCATCAGGAGGATATTGCTTAAAGTATGTCACATGCAATCAATGAAACACTATATTGTTATTAAAAATCTCAGATGGAGGGTTGTATGTATTAACATAGAAAAACTTCTATAACCTATTCTATAACCTATTTAGTGAGACTAGACCAAAATTATCATGAGGGAGAGGATAGTTGTTATTTTGTTAGTTGCCCACTGCTTGGCATATCATAGCATTTGGTAAATATTGGATGGATGGATGGGTAGGTGGGTGGATGGATGGATGTGAGATTATGATATAGTGGAAAGGTTCCAAGAGTTGAAACTGGAAGATTTATGTTCTTGTGCCATCCTAGTAACAACAGATCACTTGAATTGAAGTCCTTTAAAATGCTGATGTTCCCATGTATTTCTAAAAAAAAAAAAAATTTGAGCTTGCATTAGCATCTGTTTCAATTACTTAGGACTGCCATAACCAAATTACCACAAACTGGGTGGCATAAAAACAACTAAAATTTATTTTCACATTTCTAGAGGCTAGAAGTTCAAAGTCAAGGTGTCAGCAGGGCCATTCTCCCTCCAAGAGGCTTAGGGAAGAATCCTTCTTTGCCTCTTTGGCTTAACAGTTGGCAGTGATGTTTGGTATTCCTTGGTTTGTGGCAGCATAACTCCAATCTCTATCTCTGTCTTCATGTGACCTTCTACCTTATGTG
The DNA here is from genome assembly GCF_000001405.40 of Homo sapiens. Lineage (NCBI taxonomy): Eukaryota > Metazoa > Chordata > Mammalia > Primates > Hominidae > Homo > Homo sapiens. The sequence continues at coordinate 77,730,276 of NC_000005.10, read as the reverse complement.
TCTTCCCTAATAAAGACACCAGTCCTTGGATTTATGGCCTACCCCAATTCATTATGACCCCATCATAACTATATCTACAAAATCGATATTTCCAAAGAAGATCACATTCTGAGATTCTGGGTTGACATGAATTTTGGGTAACATTCAATCCAATACAACGTCTCAGCTGAATATAGTCTTAAGAATAGAGTCTTTCAGAATATCCAAGCTTCAGAGCTTTCCTTTTTTAAAAAATCAAAAATTATTTCAGTTTAATCATTCTGACTGGAAACATTTATAAAACTTAGGAATATATTAAAGTATCATCCAAGCAACTGAAAATAATATTTAATCTCAGGATAAAGTAAACTCAACACTTGATAACTCATAATAAACACAAAATATCTTAAAGAGAGAATGGGTCCTAGTCTTATATTACTACACTATTAACTGATATGTTGTATTACCATTTTCACAAAGAGAATGTATTAACTAACATGAAGGAAGATTGGTCAATAGTGGAATGACAGAATAAGGAAAATCACAGCGTAAATGTTTGCTTTGCCCATCTAAGTGCTGTCCAGGGGACAGGAATTCTGAGTGTACTTTTTGTTATTTGTGAGATCATCCTGTCTCCTTCATGTAAATTTGTAGTTACTGAATGTTACTTTTTAGCAAAGGAACTTTTTTTCTTCCAAAAGCAATCTTACGCAGATTGCAAGCTTATAAAACAGTTAACAAAAACAAAGTGCCTCTGAGACACCTTCTTGAAATGCTTATGCTCTAGGAAAGACCAAAATCTACTTTAGTTATGAAGCATTCCATTTATCTAATTCTCTTTTTTTCTGGTTCCATGCTCACAAGTCAACTTTCTAGTGAGGCTGTGGTATTTTATATAGGTCTGCCTATCACAGGAGAATGGGCTAGCCTAATGGAGAACACTTTTCCAGTGATGGTATTATGCTTCTCTCTCTCCTTTTTTTTTAGATGGAATCTCACTCTGCCACCTAGGCTAGAGTGCAGTGGCATGATCTTGGCTCACTGCAACCTCTTCCTCCCAGGTTCAAGCGATTCTCCTGCCTTAGCCTCCCGAATAGCTAGGCTTACAGGCGTGCACCACCATGCCCAGCTAATTTTTATGTTTTTAGTAGAGATGAGGTTTCACCATGTTGACCAGGCTGGTCTTGAACTCCGGACCTCAGGTGATCCACTCGCCTCGGCCTCCCAAAGTGCTGGGATTACAGTCATGAGCCATAATTTTTAAATTGTATTTAAAAATACAATTCTCATTGCATTTTTAAAAATTGGCATTCGACTATAATATATCAGCCTCATTAATCAATGTTATTCTGCCCTTAAGTCATGAGTCCACTTATGGCGGGCCCACAGATTGTGAGCCTGAGAACTAGAAACTTGGCTACAATTAACTGACCAAGGAAGGGAAGGCTTTTCAATGAGGCCCTTCAGTAGACTACCTCCTCATCTCTCTTTTATGAGACATAGAGACCTACTATGTCAGGTTATGTTCCAACCTGACGTAGTCTTTAGTTCCATGAGTGTTAATTTTTTCTTATTTGAATCCCTATTAAAATTTGCTTTGTAAAAATAAATAAATAAAAAATAAAATTTGCTTTGTTTTTAAGCAGAGAATTTGAACATCATTTGACTTTTTTTTAACACACAAGTTTATTGCTGTCCTATATTAACCCTCTCCCCACCTCCTGCTTAGGGATTATCAAGTTGTTGAGGTTTATGTACTCTACATGAAATGATCCTTGACTGCCATGGTTTACATGGTTCTTTCCTTTCCCTAGTCAGATTTTTTATGATTGTTCCTTTTATCAGCTTGCTGTTTATAATACTGGTTTCTCCTTTCCTCAGCTACTGGCTTAAAATACAAGAAACCAAATTTATAGAATCATACCTAAAGAAAGAATAACTGTTCTGAATAAGGACATGAAGATCTCTCCTGTAAATCATATGTATAAGCTTTAGTGTAAATTTTGACCTCTATTTTAGCTCTTCTGAGGCCCTTTCTGGGGGCCTCTTTTTCTTAAGAATTCTGTTTCATTTAGGTAGAGGTGCCTGCTACCTTTATTTCAGATAGTAGATATTATGCTTGCAGTTTTGAAATGTATTATTCTAATAAAAATATTTATAATCTCTTTATTCCATGTTTCTTTAGCATTTGCACTAGAAATACGGTCTTGGTAGAAAAATAACTTTTACTAAATATTTATCTTTGCTTCTGAGGAGGGAATGAACTCTTAAAAAATTGTAAGCCTGAAAATTCCTTGCTTAGTAATTTTTCTTTCACATTTTTCTCCAAAATCTTAAAACTAGAAGCTTGACCTGATTAACTATACCTGCCTTCACTCTTAGCTTTACTCATACTATCAGCATGAATATAGTACTGTCTTTTCTACTTAGGTTTTTAAAAATTGTTGCATTTTTATGTATTTTGGACTTTGTCTTATTAGGCCAACTATTGTCTTTTCTTTTACTATTTTATTATAATGAAATTACATTCTCACATTTAAGGTATTCCCTGTTGGGCTGAGTTAGACTTGTATGTATTTGGGCTATATTGACTCTATTTGCTTTTTGAAAAGCTTAATATCTTTTTCATGTTCTTGCCTTTTTATGTTTCTTAATCTGGGGAAAGAGAGCCAGAGTTCTTCGATTTGTGTAGCTTATCTATAAATGTAAAAGGAATGATTTTGTTCCCTGCAATAGATTTAGGCTGATAATACATTTACCTGAGAAAATATAATTGCTTTTCTGTTTATACTTCTTATAGTATTGTTCTCGTACTCATTTCCTATAACTCTTTAAAAAGAAATAACAACACAGCTCCATCAGAACATGGAACGTTACTATCTAGATATACATGCATGTGATGGTAAGATCAGTTTCCACTCTACAATGTTGTTTCAAGAAGCAAGAACTCTGTCTTGTAAATTAGGCAATCTGGATTTCAGTTGTAGCTCTGATACTAAATCTCTAAAACTTAAAGTGGCTCCTCCAGCACTATTCTTTTTTTTTTTTTTTTTTTTTTCCTGAGACAGAGTCTCACTGTGTCTCCCAGGTTGGAGTGCTGTGGCGTGATCTTGGCTGACTGCAACCTCCGCCTCCTGGGTTCAAGCGATTCTTGTGCCTCAGCCTCCCAAGTATCTGGGACTCAGCACTATCCATTTTGATACAAAGTTTGCTTTAATTTTTAAAAAATCATGAGACTTAATAACTTCAAGAGGGATACATTGTTAGAAATTAGTAACTCAAAGTTCAAATGACAGCAGATCATTTGAATTTAAAACCTTAAAAATATTCAACATCTGGGCTAACAATTCTTGAAATACCATAACCTGGGCATATAAGATGGTCCAACAAGAATCTCTTCTTACATCTTGAATCTTTAGAACTTAGTTATAGAAATATTGCTTGGTATTTAACTATTAAATAACACTATATAGACTATATTTTGCTTATGAAACACTGAGTTTGCAGCCCAGGATGAAATACTAATGAACATAATTTTAATCCTTGCACTTAAACTGAAAAATGTTATCATTCAGCTTCTCCTTTAGTGAATGAGTGAATATTTTACTCTCTTCAAACTGGAAGCTGGGGAAGTGAAGAAGAATTCTTTCCCTACAGATGAAAATGAATTCAGAGAATATTAAATGAGTTTTCATTTTATTTGACACTGGAATGGATACTACAAATAATAACCTCATAAATACATCCAATAGTATTTTTTTAATAGAGGTTTTCAGTTTGGGGTGTTTAAGGTTTTCATTACTCTCTGAAGCATGTGTTAAGTAATTGTTTTATTGTTCAACTATTTTTCTCCTTAAAGCTCAAAAGAATATGATTTTCCTGCATGTAATGAAGAAATCTGTTTTACACAGTGATGGCATGTTCTGATACTGAAATAGAATTCAACGAACAGTGGCCTCCATTCCAGACCATTTATAATTCTGCAACAGTGCTGGGTGCACATTTACTAAAGTGTGACCTTGGGCAAGACCTGCAGTCACAGTGTAAAGTAAAATGAAGCATTGCCACTGCTTCCTTTCTCTTCTTTGGAAGTTAAAAATACTGTGCATGGCTTTTCTACAGTTTTGCACATTTGAGTTAGCTCCTTACACAGCGGATACCCTTAATAAAATGACAACAGTAATTTAGTTTTGTCACTTGAACTGGCACTGGCTACATGGCTCAAAAATACAGTATTAGAGTAGTTGAATGTGTGTCGAGTCTAATTCTTTTTTCCATTTTCCAGAGAGCTGCTTTTCCATTAACTTTGGGAAAACACAGTGGCAGATTCATTTAAAATAATCTCAGCTCCACCCTTCATATAAGTGACTTAGCCTGTGCAATAAGAAATTAAGATCAAGGGACATTTTTTCATTAGCCTGTCGTTTTGTTATTTGCATTCCAAAGACGGCATTACGAAACACAACTGTATCTGCAATATAACTCATCTCAAGGAGCCTTAAGACACTTATGGTAGCATATGCTAACTATTACAAGATGCCTGATGGAAGGATATTAAAATTACTGGTAATTGACATAAAATATGACAAAGTGTTTTAGGCTTTCTGAGCAAAGCAACACACATTACGGAGGAACGGCCCCATAATGTAACTGATTAATGAAGGATTGCTGAGGCATACGCGGCTGATGTTATGAAAAATGAATTCTTTGTTGTCGTGCCGACAACCCAGCAACTGCAGTCGGAAAAGACTATTAGCGAGAATCATTATCAATAGCGATATTTTCAAACTCTATTATAGCAATCAGGCTAGAATTTATTCAATAGATTTACTTCATTTGGTGGTAATTGATAAATAATCAAAATTTATCAATGTGCTTGCACACATTTCACTAACAATCAAGCAAAAGTGGTCCATTTACCACCTGACTTGGTCCAAATTAGGATTAAATTGATGATCAATTAATCTTAGAAGGGGCAGTGTTGTATTTTGTGGAGGAGCAGCAGCAAAAGTGGCAAATAAATGGAGTAAAGACAGGAGATTAGTAGAATGAGCAGAAATGAGCTGAACCGCTACGGTTCGCAGCTAATGAGCATGCAGCTGGATTGCAAATGGCTGGATTTATAGTGTTGGTATAAAAATAAAACTGGCTGTAGTTTAGAGCTGTCACATGCATAGACAGAAATTGGAGTATATTCTACATCATCCGTCTACAAATAAAAAAGCCGTCTCAGGTAATACCTCTCATTGGGCTAACTGTATAATATTGGCAGGTAGCTTATGGAAGAAAGAAAAGGTTGTGAGCTGAGAGGTATTTTTGAAAGAGCAGGACAGTCTTTTAATAGTTGATTTATTACTGTGATGATGTTACGAATTTATATAAACATTTCTTAGAGTAAATCAGAATAGTGTATTTCCTAATTCATGGTATAATTAGGACTTAAATCTTAACACAAAAATCCTAGAAATGTACACTCTAGTGTACACGTTTCCTGAAGTGTATCAGGGCAAAAGGCAAACAGTAATGTTGTTACAGGAAGTGCCATTTTAGTTTTAATTTTTATAAAGTGTGTCTGAATATCCAGGATTTACTGAAATAATATACTATAATAAACTTCTAGTAGCTTTTGCCATTTCATGTGGTAAGGGAGTTAAGGGAACTGGTATGACTTTGTTGAAGTGTGAAACCAATGCTGAAGTGATTTTCAAGGTCAGTTCATTTTATTGATAAATATGATGCCCTTATACCATAACTATATAAAGTACTTGATTCCCTGTAGTTTCATAGTATTGTCCTCTGACATGTTGTTTTTTAAGTATGGCTTAGATAAAATTTAAATATTTGCTTTATATGTACTGGTACTAAAACTGGACTCATCTTATGTTGTGTAAAATATAGGTGTGTGTTGATGTAATGTGAATAATTTTAGTTACAGATGCTTAGTTATGACTAATTTAAACAATTGGAAGATATTACTAAAGTCCTTGATGTCAGTTATTTTATTATTATATCTCTTTGGAGAGAGTAGATCATCCTTTCTAATTTAGTTTTTAAAAAAGCACATATGACAGATATATATCTTACTTTAAAAGTGGTAAGTCAAAAACCAGTTGCTTGACTAACTCTAGTAATGATTGTCCCTTTACACGTATCTATAAAAAGTAAATTTGCCTCATACATTGTTTACATGATTGTTGTTGAAGATTCGTGTACACAAAGAAGCCCTAGATTTGTGTGAATTGAGAAAACAAGTTGTACCTTTGTAAATTTATTACCTGATCTAAAAATGAAATTATTGGTCTTTCAAATCATATGGGTAACTATTTTAATAATGGAAAATTTGAACTGCAGCTTAAAGTTTTGAAAACATTAAAAACTATTTCAAAATATTTATGAACTCTTGGAATAACATGGGCACTTACATTCTCCCACACACATCATAAGAAGTTACTTTTTCTAATCATAAATCATATTCTCTAGTTTCTGAATGTCACGTGTCTTTTCAAAGTATTTAAGATACGCAGTATCTATTACTACATTGTCTTAGTATTTCCTTATTACCACAGCATATAACATAAATGAGTGATTTAAGTTGACAGGCGACAGTGACTAAAGGACCTTGCAGTGCCTGGAAAATAAAATTTCATACAATGGACTACAGGTATTTTTTTTTAAGGCCATTCTCAATTTTCCAGGAATTATAGTTTGGAAGAACAAGTAGTCCAGTAGGTTAAATCAGATGGTTGGGAATTTCAAAGTTCAGTTTCTCACAGCATTAAAGCTAGACATTTAGTCTGTTCTACCATAATAAAAATGCTACCCATCCCCCACATGATCTGGTCTATTTCAGATGTTTAAATTAGTGGATATTTGTTAATGAATGTTTAGAGATCTATAAATGGCAAATTTTATGTACTAATTTGTTCATAAACTCAAGTTTCTACAAGGCCCCAGTTTTTATTATAAGTGGTTAGTTAACGTTTTCTAATGAAGCCATCTTACTTTAAAATTACTTTTTTTAAAAAAAAATTGTAATACTTTATAAGATTTGTAGCTTAAGGACCATTGGACATTTATTACCATTCAGTTAGTATATCTAAGGTAAAAAATAAACTTCCAGTAGGAAAAGTTGAATTGGATTTTTTTAAAAAAACCCATTTCATCAGCCATTATAATGTTACTATATAATTTTTCAAACTAAATATTTTTCTTGATAATACACAAGATGGTATAGCTACTTTCTACTAAAATGTGAATTCAGTTGTAAGCAAATTAGAATTCTTTTAAATTGGAATTTAAAAAAATTTAAAGTAGAATTTTATAGAACAGTTATAATGTTCCTTGTTGTTTTATTTAATATTATACTATCATAGAGAGATATATGCTAGTATTAGTTTTGCTATTGTTAATGCCACATTAAGATGTAAACACCAATTTTATTTAAATTGATAATATATTTTATTTTATATAAATTGGAAATTTTGAACAGAATAGTTTATATTTAATGTTGTGTAGAACTACACCTTAGAAATTTAGGAACAAATTTATCAGTCACTAAAGTCAGAATTTTGCATATTACTTTTTCATCATTTTGGATTCCAAGTTGATGGAATCTGGTTCACTAGCTCTTAATAAGCATGTTGAAAAAGTGTTCTGTGCTCGAATTAGTTTGGGAAGGGTTGAGTTAAACAAAGTTTAATATGTTTCTTTACTGTAAGATAACTCAAAAGCTGTGATTATGTGAAACCTTTAAGAGGGGAAGAGTGTACTTCCAAATACACTTTGGAATTTCCAAAAGTTTATTTTTGGAATTTGGTATTTCCAAAACTTTATTTGTTCATAAAAACGTTGTTACTTTCGTTTACTTTTGCCATATCTATTAACATTTCTTTGAAGAGCATTCCTTTTTCCTCTATAAAAGAAAGCAGTTGTTACCACATTTGAATGGCAGTTTGGTTATATTTACATGATCAATTAAAGGACAGATTTTCCCCTCATACATAATACAAGTTAGAGTCAGCTGGCTGTAATTACAGCTCCTGTGTCTTTGTTTAATCCCAAATGTTACAGTTATTACTTGGGGTTTTTAGGTTGACCAGAAAAAGGAATGTTTGTCACAGATGTATGTTTATGTATAATCATGATAGTCTATCCACAGTCAGGGTCCTGAAAGATTCTACCAAGTAATTCATCAGAAATAGTTCAGGAAGACTGCAGAACAACAGCTTGCAAAAAGTTGTGATGCTCTTCAAATGCCATAAAAGACATAATTTATATATTTTTTTCTGTTTTTGTGAGATAAAGTTAGAGATTTTTCGTGTTTTTACATGCTAAAACAATACTATTCTCCTGTTTAAGCCTCCAGTTGTGAAAATGCAACATTTTAAAATAATGTTTACTGGCAAATTCAGGAAGTCAGGCTGTAAAATGACCATTTTACTTTGAGTAAACAGGTGAAGAATGAAAGGGTAAAATATTTGATACAGAATAGACTTTTTTTAAACTACAGGCTATAAATAAGGTGACTTAGACAAGAAAGATTTGGAGGGCTTCAGAGTCTTTCCTAGCTGTTAAAATTGTGTCAAGTACAGCTCTATGCCAAGTACTATTACCAAATTTTATTTAAAAGTAATTAAGCAGTTAAGGACTTATAACGTAGTTTTTTAAACTCCAAATTTTGATGTGGTAAAGTACAAATTAAATATACATTGAAAATGGACCCTTTAACATATACCAAATCAGTGTATACGTATACCATCAGATAGGATTATTGTGTGAAAATTATTTGTAACTCTTAAGTTTTTCTGAATGAAAATTATTAATAATGATTATTTTGTCATTCTTTTGTACAAAAGGACTTAAGACATCAATATCAGTAATATGAAAATAGGAATCTTCATACATGCTTCTTGGACCATTTTGACTTAATGAACAAAATCTTAGTTCAATACGCTGCATAAACACATTACATATCAAAGTGCCTCTGTATAATGCTAATAATCCGAAAGCCATGAGTTCTCTGAACCCAACTAAGAAATCCCAGATTCTGTTCCCAAATTTTCTGATCAGTAATTTCAAGAATAACCTGAGTTGATAGGTCACCAAGAATAATTGCTGTAGGAAATATCATTAAATTGGGCTTATTTTGTAGTTTGATAAAATTCAGATATCCTGACTAATGCTAACTTTTATTATCTGTGAGAAGCTAAAGTCATTTCCATCCAAATTTTCTTCACCCATTTAAAATAGTATGATAATCAATATTAGTTTGAAATAACCAAATAGCCCATCATCTGTCTGTTTTAGACAAACAACTATTTATTTCACACAATAGAACAGAATAGAGTGATGATGTTGGATATTCCTCTCCTAATACTCTAGTTTGCCAGCATCCTCTTTCAGATGCTACCTTTAAATCTCTTTTGGATCTAAGTTATATATAACAATTTTGGAAGGAAATTATGAATAATAAAAGTACAGATGCAGTTCATCCAAGGAGAACCACTTATGTACCATGTTTTAGGTTCTCCACTTCTTTTAACGCATCTAAGATAGACTTCGCTTTTTAATTTTTTTATTTTTTTGAGATGGAGTCTCACTCTCTGACCCAGGCTGGAGTGCAGCGATGTGATCTCAGCTCACTGCAACCTCAGCCTCTGGGGTTCAAGTGATTCTCCTACCTCAGCCTCCCAAGTAGCTGGGATTACAGGGGCCCGCCACCACGCCTGGCTAATTTTTATATTTTTAGTAGAGACAAGGTTTCACCATGTTGGCCAAGCTGGTCTTGAACTCCTGACCTCAGGTGATCCACCCACCTCGGCCTCCCAAAGTGCTGGGATTACAGGCGAGAGCCACCGCGCCTGGCCGACTTGGCTTTTTTAGAAGTGTAATAACTGCATTATACTCTTGACTCAAATTGAGCTTGCAGACAACTTAGCTATTTTCCCCATGATGTTCACAAGGCAGTCCTACTTTATCTAGTAATTGTATAGTCTCACTTAAAAACAAAACAAAACCCCTCACATGCAGAACTTTACCCTATCCATCTGTGTTTCCTTCTGTTTTTCTCAGACTTAGCCAAACCAGTTGCAATGAGAGGTTTCTAGTGAACGATACCGCAAAGGTTGTGAGATGAGAGCATGATTACTATGTTGACAGCTCAAGTTGGGAAGGGTATCATTTTAGAGAGAGATGATGATGATCTCAGTTTTCAGCCTGCTTCAGTTGCTAGTGGGGATGTCTAAATAGAGATGTTACAAAGGCAGTTAGAGATATGGGTCTGGACAGAGGATAAAAAGTCAAATGTACAGACAGATTTGTGATTTTAGGTGGTAATTAAAACTGTCAGAGTGTTTTGTATGGAGATGAAGCAGCTGTGGGAGGTGCTATTGCTTTCTCATATAAACTCAAGCAGAAGCTATTCACAGTGTCTTTAGCCCTTTCAGTAGTATGCACTTTTTAATCTCACTGACATCTCAGGACCTTTGAGGGACCTTTTAAGGGACAGGTTAGAGGATTCGTGAAATAATGAGTTTTATATTTGTGTTTTTTGAATTTTCATTCTAAGATTTATTCATTTATTAATCCTTGAGATTCATAGTATTGAAAAAAGTGATACTGATTTTATGTTTGACATGCATCATTTTAGCTGTTTATAAAATGTCTAACTTATTTTTTAAAATTAATTAAAGCACATATTCTACTTCAGCAATTAATAAAACTTGAACTGTCTCCAGTTTAATGGATTAATTAATGGTTACTGAGAAACTATAAGGTAACAAATACCATGAAATTAAACATTCATTTTCTTTCATTTAGGATACAAGAAATTGAGAACATGTTGCTTCCGGTGGTGGGAACTGAGTGGCTGGGGTCAGGGTGTGTAGGTGGTGGGTTGCCTTTTCACAGTATATTCTTTTGTGCTATTCAGATATTGAACCATGGAATGATTTTACCTTGGGAACAGATCAAAGAAATTTAAATTTTGAAAATTGCTTCATTTACTTTAAACATACGATTGTATTTTCTGTAGAAAATATTGACACTTGAAGTTAGAAGTCATGATTTCACATCCTGTTTTCATCGTTTCTTGGACAGCTGGCTTTTCACTTCTTTGAATTGCAGGTTCTCATTTGAAAATGAGGCTGACGATAGTTGCCCTGCTTACCACGCAGGGTAATTATGAGTTATTTCATTCAGCAAATATATCTGTGAGGCATATATTCTGCTAGGTGTGATATGAGACATATTTTCACACCTTGGGGGATTTATTTTTAATTGTCGAAGTAGACAAAATTTCAACCTATTGTGATGATGCAGATAAATATGCTATGAAGATACATAGACAAAGGATCCACAGTGTCAGCTTGGGAGAGTGGAAGGATTGATGTTAGAGTGGTCCTCCTGGAAGACAGGACATTTATTTGAGTTAAGTTTTGAAGAATGAGTTGGTTGGGAGAGGATGAGGAGAGGAGACATTCCATTCAGAACAAGCAGCATCTCCAGCCCCATCTCATTTTATGTGTTTCTGGGTAGCACACTTTTGTTTTATTTTAAGTTTTGTTAGGAGAGGATACTGTAGCAGGTTCTTCCTTAGTTTTGCTGACTGTTGACATCTTAACTATAATTCTCAAGTTTGGGAACAGTGAAAAATCTCACTTAGGACTTTATAATGACCACAAGGATTGGTGGAAAATGACTAAAACTCACTGAATTTTAACTACATACATTGTACTGTATAGACCATTAGCACTAAATCATCAGCTTCTGATGTCAACCTTAGTTCTTCCGTACTAAGGAACTAGTGAGAATTCTTAATTAATGCAGTTGACTTGCATTTTTCCAATTGACTTTTTTCTTCCTGCATCCAAGTAGTAAGTGGATACACTTCCTGGTGCCATATTGTTTCCTTTGAAGCACAGTGAAACTTCTTACCCCATAATGGTCTATAGATTTAGTATCTAGCTACTTAATTCCCACTCTCCATTAAGTTGCAGTTTATAGGCCTTGATATTTTACTATTCAACACCTAATATCCTGTAAGTTACAGAAATACTTTGAAAATGTGATGTAGATAGAAGGTAATATTATTTATTCTGAGTATTATCCTTTAGTAGCCACCATGATTATTAAAAACAAAGTGGTCTTGGTTTGTTTTTTGTTTTTTTGAGACAGAATTTCACTCTTGTTGCCCAGGCTGGAGTGCAGTTGTGCGATCTCAGCTCACCACAACCTCTGCCTCCTGGGTTTGAGGGCTTCTCCTGCCTCAGCCTCCCGAGTAGCTGGGATTACAGGCCTGCGCCACCTCGCCTGGCTAATTTTGTATTTTTTAGTAGAGACAGAGTTTCTCCATGTTGTTCAGGTTGGTCTGGAACTCCCGACCTCAGGTGATCTGCCGGCCTCAGCCTCCCAAAGTGCTGGGATTACAGGCGTAAGCCACTGCCCCCGGCCTTTTTTTTTTCTTTTGAGACAGAGTTTCGCTGTTGTTTGCCAGGCTGGAGTGTAATGGCACGATCTCAGCTCACTGCAACCTCTGCCTCTTGGTTTCAAGCGATTCTCCTGCCTCAGCCTCCCGAGTAGTTGGGATTACAGGCGTGCACCACTATGCCTGGCTAATTTTTTTATATTTTTACTAGAGACGGGGTTTTACCATGTTGGTCACGGTAGCCTCGAACTCCTGACCTCAGGTGATACGCCCACCTTGGCCTCCCAAAGTGCTGGGATTACAGGCGTGAGCCACTGCGCCCGACTAAAAGCAAAAACAAGTTTACACTGTTTTAAGTGTGAAATACAGACTTTTACACAAAATTTATATGGAAAAATTTTTAATATAGTGGAAATCCCCATAAAACTGGGGATTGTATAGGTAATTTAATCTTACTTTCTTCATGTTTATTTGTAGATAGGGAAAAAATAAGAGATACTTCAATTTCTAAATGATTTGTTTAGAATGAATTAGTCTCAAGTAGGAAAGCATTATTTCTGTACTTACAGAACAATCTTCTGCTGTTAGTGACTATCATTTTAGATGTTTTAGCTTCAAGTAACAGAAAACAAAACTGTATGTGGCTTAACTATAAGGATATTTATTATCGCCTGCAATAAGAAAACTAGAAGCAGTACGCTTTTACGGTTGGTTGATTTAGTAATTCAGTACCATCATCAAAGACTGCAGTTCTCTGACTAGATTGACCTGTCTTTTTAGGCAGGATTTCCTCATGATCCCAAGGTGTCTGACACAAGTGGCAGGTGTCACACACAGGTGACAATGTCCAGGTGAGAAAATGGATTATATCCCATTTATGAGCAATGGCAACCTTCTCAGAACCCCCAGCAGATGTCTCTTATGTAGCTTTGGCCAGAGTTGGGTCATTTGCACGTGCCTAAACTATCACTTGGAAAAGGGGGTAAAATCATTGTGATTGGTTTCTTCCTTTGAAGGGCATGACTTCTTGGCTGATCATAAGCAAAACTGGATTCTGTTGTCAAGTAAGAAGTGGAGGAATGGTTGCTGGGTAGGCACCTAACAATGCCTGCTGTAATTGAACACATTTAGACTTTTATGTTCAAATGTTTGAGAATTACTTAAATTAGTAGCTAAGGATATGGAGTTTAACAGTTCTTTGGCACTTAACAAATGTGAGAACTTGGACAAGGTACTGAAGCTCCATTAATTTTGAATTAGTAGTTACTAAAATGGGAATAATACTAGTACCTGTTTGGTTTGTTTTGAGGACTTAAATGATATATATGGCATTTAGCATGCCTTGGCACACTGCTTGGTTCATAGTAAGTGGTCAGTTTGTTGTTAGCTGCTTTTATCATCATATTTAATTTTTATTTATGTCAAGTGATTCAAGCTTTTGCCTAAATTCATTACATATGATATTTCATGATATACCAATATCATAACTGTCTGTCGAACTTCACCAAATGGCAAAAAAGTTTTAGGAGAGCAGATTTGTTGATGCCCATTGGAAATGCTAAAACCTCAGATGTCATTCATCCAACCTAACTTCTTTCATCAGTGTTATCAATCTTTAGCTTAATTTCATTAGTAGTATCATTTTTTGATCAGCTTCCTGAAATACACTAACTTAGATTTTATTCATTTCTGAAATATTGATGTCTTCATTAACTTCTATTTTCATTGACTCTTTTAAAAACATTGTGGAGAGGCATAATTAAAAAGAGATTGTAAAATAGAGATAATACTACTTAAATAGGATCAAAAGTATTAAATGCAATACAGTACCTAAAGGTCTGTTCATATAAGGCCCTCAATTTAAGTTTGTTCTTTTCCATAATCCCTCACACAACACAAATCTTAAATATACTGTTCGTTTATTCAGAGACAGGAGAGTTTGTTATCAGCTATATCAGTAGAGGAGAACTGTATATAACAGGGAAAAGGAAATTATACTAGAGGCTCCAAACAGGGGGATTTAATACCTGTTTGAAGGAATTAATGACACAGGTGTTGGTATAATTTTTATAAAATGCCAAACTTTCATTAGTTGATCAGGAGTCATCTTACCCACTTTTTACAGCATGTTTTTTCTTAAACTAAATGTTATTAACTGCTTATTGTGTTCTAGGCACTGTGGGAACTAGCCTGCCCAAAGAAGACTTTTTATAAATCCAGGTTAAATGGATTCTCTTTTTCACCAATTGCTTCATATTACAACCATAACCATTTGTTGCATGTGTGCTTTTGTGGGTGTGCATGTGTGTGTGTCAGGGGGATGAGGTTCCTGGAGTTTCTAATTATTTTCATTTTTATAATTGAGAGAAAAAACATGACTTCTTTATTATATCATTAATATCTTCTACCTTATTACTCATTGTCTCTGTTCCTTAGAATCTATTCTATCCTTCTTAAAGATGTTTTCATAAGAGCTCACACTAAGATCCTCATTTAGACTGATTGTTTTTCAGGCCTATAGCACAGTGTTAACCTTGGGATGTATTTTTCCTTTGTTAGGGATTATGTTGACAAGGACTTCCTGGTTTCATGGCTTCTTTTCTTGGTTTTCGTCTTCAATTTGCTGGAGTACATTAAGTAAATTTCTCAGGTGACATAGTAGATCAACTTTTTACATTTTTATGTAACTAAAAATAGATCCCTTGGCCTATAACTTCTTTCATCAGTTATTTACATAGCTTATTGCCTCTTTGAAATCTTAACTCATGTGTCCTCTTCTCAAAGAGACAATCCTATTTTAAATTGCAAACCCTCTGTATTACCAGTCCTCCTTCACGGCTTTTTCTCCATAGCACTTTTCACAATCTAACATGTTACATATTTTGCTTATTTAATTTTATTTCCCCACTAAAAAGTGCCATAGGGCAGGGATTTTTGTAGTTCATTGCTGTATCCTTGATATATAAAATCATACCTGGCACATAGTAGCCCTTTAATAAATAATTGTTGGCCGGGTGCAGTGGCTCACGTCTGTAATCCCAGCACTTTGGGAGGTCGAGGTGGGCGGATCACAAGGTCAGGAGATTGAGACCATCCTGGCTAACACGGTGAAACTCCGTCTCTACTAGAAATACAAAAAATTAGCTGGCCGTGGTGGCAGGTGCCTGTAGTCCCAGCTACCTGGGAGGCTGAGGCAGGAGAATGGCATGAACCTGGGAGGCGGAGCTTGCAGTAGGCTGAGATTGCGCCACTGCACTCCAGCTTGGGCGACAGAGACAGACTCCATCTCAAAAAAAAATAATAATAATAATAGTAATAATTGTTAAGTCAGTTAATGAATTTTCTTCTCCACCTTTTATTATAGTTATAAATCCAGGTTATAAATCATTTTCTCTCAAAACTTTGAAGGGATTGCACCATCTTCTTCTGATATCTACTGTTATTAATGAGAAGTGTAAGTCAATCTGATTCTTCCTTTTACAGATGACCTATTCTCTTTTTGAAAGCTTTAATTTTTATGGAGCTCTGGAAATTCTTTTTTTGTTTGTTTTTTTGAGATGGAGTCTCACTCTGTTGCCCAGGCTGGAATGCAGTGGTACGATCTTGGCTCACTGCAGCCTCCGCCTCCCGGGTTCAAGCGATTCTCCTGGCTCAGCCTCCCAAGTAGCTGGGATTACAGGCACCTGCCACCACACCTGACTAATTTTTGTATTTTTAGTAGAGATGGGTTTCACCATGTTGGGCAGGCTGATCTCGAACTCCTGACCTCGAGTGATCCTCCCACCTTGACCTCCCAGAAGTGCTGGGATTACAGGCGTTGAGCCACTGGAAATTCTTAATGTACATAGATGGGGTTTTTTTTTTTTTTCAATGGATTCTGTGTGCGTCTAAAAGGCACTTATGAAGCCCTTTCAGTTAAGATTGCTTTTCTTTTCCAGCTTTGGGAAATTTTATTCTTTTAAAAAAAAAATCTTTACTTGCTTTGTTTCTGTTCTGTCTATAACTCCTGTGGGTTATATAATGAACCTATCAGATTTATCTTATTTTCCTGTGGTGTTTCATTTCTCTCATTTTAATTTTACTTTGCTGTGGTGTAAACTTTAATATGCTTATTAATGTTTAAATAGTTAAATTTGGCATATTTTCTTTGACTAAAATAAAAAATCATAGTAGGCTGAAATAGTAGATTGATTTAATATTTGCATTTTGTCATTCACTAATAACTAATGACAAAGTTTGACTTACCACATTATTAGAAAAAGTAATTGTTAAGAAATGATCACTGGTTGACTGGAAAAGGAGTTAATTTCACATTATGCACTATGTATTTAAAATATTTTTTTAGGAAGAAAATATTTCATGTCTATAAAATTTGTAGGTAGGGATGCTCATCACAGTATTATTTATAATAAGGGAATGGCTTAAATATCCAATAGGATAATACTTCAATATGCTGTCATCTCAGTATTATGAAATACTTCACAATCACTAACAGCTGTATTTTCAAAGAACATTTAATGACATTGGAAGTGATTATTATCCAAATTATTGTTATTTATTAGTATTATTATATATTTTTTGAGACAGTCTTGCTCTGTTATTCAGGCTGGAATGCAGTGGCACAATTATAGCTTACTGCATCCTTGACTCCCTAGGCTCCAGGGATCCTTCCACCTCAGACTTCTGAGTAGCTGGAACTACAAAGGCATGCCACCACGCCTGGCTAATTTTTAAAAATTTTTTGTAGAGACAAAATCTCGCCGTGTTGCCCAGGTTGGTCTCAGACTCCTGGCCTCAAGTGGTCCTCCTGCCTCAGCCTCCCAAAGTGTTGGGATTACAGGTGTGAGCCGCTGTACCTGGCCCAAATTATTTTTTTATATATCTAAATATAAATTTTCACACACACATGTTGAGAGAAAAAGACTACTGGACAGTACTCAAAATGTTAATACAGGTCCATAATCCCTTACTTTGAAAACCCTTGGGCCCATATGTGTTTGTGAATTCCAAATCTTTCAAATTTTATAAAAGTAATGTATATTTCCATAATAGCATCTAGAGAAATGCTCTACAATCATACACATTAATATTTCTGCAGTGAAACGTAACTATTCACATTAGATGGTACACATAAATTCTATAAATCATTTTATCTCATTTGAGGTTACACTTTGCTGCTAAATGAGTTTGTTTCAAACAATAAACAATGTTCTTTTTTTAAAACTTCTTTGGGTTTCAAAATTATGTGTATTTTGAATCTGTAGTGATTATGAGTGATTTTTAAAATTTTGTTTTTTTATAATTTTTTATAAATATGTACATATGTACATTACAGAAAAATATCTTAATACAAATTTTAAAATACATACTTGTCTTCAGTATTCTTATTAAATCTTAGCCTTTCCTGCAAACGAGAGGAGCCAAATTCACCAGAAGATACTAATTTGTTGATTCAACAAATATTTATCCAGTAAATACTAGAGAGAAAACTAATACTATTTTAATAAGCATAAAGATGCTCAGCCTTATTACAGAAATATTTCAAACCATAATAGAAATACTATATCACACTCTTCTGATTGTCAGAAATTTAATAATTCTGACAATCCCAATTCACCAGGATGCCAAGAAGTAGGAAATTTCATACACTACAGGTTGTATGTCAACTGATAAAACTACTTTGGAAAGCAATTTGATGATATTTAGTGAAGTAGAAGTTGTATATATACTCTATAAAACCTCTTTAGCATCATCTGACTTGTCATCAGTACATTGATTTGTACTGTTTAAGAGTGGAACCTTTATTATTTCTCATACCGCATCTTACCCTAGCCTTTATTCACTATAATTTTACATGCTTGCATTATTGGGTTCTCACTAACTGACTGATTTTTTTTTTTTCTTTTTCAGGGCAACACATGCTATTCAATAACTTGTTTCCTGGGCCTTTTCACAAAATATGACTTTTTAAGCAAAAACGTAACTTGTATTTATTTTGATATTCCAATAACCATGCAAATACGCAGCACCTTTACTTATCCCATGTGATAGGTAGTTAAGTAACTCTTTAATGTTGCTGGAGCCATTGCTGCTGTTTTCCATAGACAAGCACAATGAAGTAGGATGACTTGGATTACCAGTCAGAATTATCTGTGGGCTTAGGCATAGAATCCTCCTCTTCTGTTGTATACTTCTTCAAAAGTTACCATGTTGTTCTTATTGCTCAATTTTTGTGAATCACTTTTTTTCTGCTTCAGAATTGTTTTATAAATATATATTTCTATCTTTAAATTGAAAATGTTAAAAGACAGTAGTGAGATTTCTAGACTCAATTTTTTATTCATTCAACCAACATTGAGTGCCTACTATGTAGGAAGATCAATTAAACAATATGAATACAACCTTATCCTCTCTTCAAGGAACTTAAGACCTAGCAAGTAAATGGCTTCGGTGTAGTGTGTTAATGCTGATATAATTAAGTAGGTGATGGACAGAATTAAGTGGAAGTCTTTCAAGTCAGGGGTCAGCAACCCTTTTTTGTAAAGGACCAGATATTATATTTTAGGTTTTGCAGGCCATATGGTTCTTCTATCACAACTACTCTTCTCTGCTCTTATAGCATGAAAACAGCCATACATGATACATAAATGAATGAGTATAGCTGTGTTCCAATAAAACTTTATTTATGGATATTAAATTTGAATTCTGTATTTTCGTATGACAAATCTTTTAAAAAATTTTTAGCCATTCAAAAATGTAAAAACTGTTCATAGCTCTGAGACTATACAAAAACAGATGACCAACCAGATTTGGCTCCCTGGCCATAGTTTGCCTACCCCTGTTTAAGTCTTTGAATTATAAGATGATATGGAATGGGCCTCTCTTTAATAGCCTATCCAATTCCAGCTACTTTCATTACTAGGGGAATTTAGTCACATACCAGGTTTAGAAGTATTGAAAGTCTCATTGCTAATCCAGTAGTTTCTGAATATCCTTGATATTCTGAATAATGATCATGATTATATAATGATAGTGATAATAAAACAACAATAATAATACTGTTGCGTTGATAATATGCACACAGGTCCCAAACTCAAAGGCGTGCAAAGGCCAAGTGTAATGCCTGACTGTTAAGGAAACAGGGAGTTATGTGAATTGAGGCAAGGGAATAGCATGTGACCCATCTATAGGAGACAACAGCCACTACTTAGCTCCAGCCAGTAGTGGGAATGCAGCCCTCATGTTTCCTGATGAAAACATCCAAGAGAAGCCAGAAATTCAGATGTATATGTCAAATCTCCCAGCTTTTTAATGTGACAACATTTTTTTTAAACAAATATTCTTTGTTTTTAACATTGTGAGTCAAATAAAATCATCTTTAGGTTTCATTTAAGCAGGCTGGCAATTTGCCATCTCTGTCCTAACAAGTTTCTTTTACTATTTAAAGGGAACTTTTTTAGATAAATATCTTTTGTGATATGCATTAATGATTTTATTTTAAAATATTATATCTCAAAGTATATTTTAATATTGAAAATTATTGCTAAAACAATTTTAAATTATAAATCAAATGCAGATTTCTGTATCTGACATTCACATGTTTCTGTTGTCATGCTTGAATGTATCAGTACTTGCAGCTTTCCCCTGAAGCTGACTTTGTGGTCACAGCTTTTTTTTCCTTTTTGCCAACAGCTTTATTGAGATATAATTCACATACCATACAATTAACCCATTTTAAGTCTACAGTTTACTGGCTTTTAGTAGATTCACAGAGTTGTGCAACTATCACCACAATCATTTTTAGAACATGTTTCTTACCCCCAAAAGAAACCTTATACCCTTTAGCTATCACCTTTCCAATTCCCCTGTTGTCCCCAGTCCTAAGCAACCACTAATCTACTTTACGTTTCTATAGATTTGCCCGTTCTGGATATGTCCTGTAATAAAATCATACAATATGTAGCCTTTTATGTCAGACTTCTTTTTTACTTAGCATGTTTTCAGGGTTCATCCATGTTGTGGCTTGAATCAGCACTTTATGTTTTTTATTGCCCAATATTCTGTTTTCTGGATATACCACATTTTCCATTGATTATTGGACTTCCACATTTTGCCTGTCTTGCATAATGTTGCTGTAAACATCCATAGACATGTTTTCTGTGGGCATATATTTTTATTTTTCTAGGGTATGTACCTAGAAATGGAATTGTCAGGACATATGGTTACTCTGTTTAACTTTTTGAGGAATAGTTAAACTTTCCTAAAGCTACTATACCAATTTTGATTGCCATCCAGCAATGTTTGATGGCTCCAATTTCTCTGCATCCTTGCCATCTTGCCAACAGCCAGATGGAGAAAGCTATTTTTATTACATATGTGCTATGAAAGCTTTTTCTTCTGCTCTTTAGATACTGTGTATATAGGAATGTTAATATTTTCTTAGACTATACTTTTATATTACAACTTTAAACAACCAGAATTAGGGAAGATTGAGCTATTATGATTAATATAATTTGGATTATCTGTGGGATAATCAGTAGAACTTTGTATTGCAGTATTTCTTATTGTTGAAACTTTTCCTGATGTACTTCTTTTAAAATACTTTTTCTTACTTTAGTAAGTAAATACTAGTTTGTTTCCACCACTTGTCTGTGACAGAACTGCATCTATCCCAGCTCCTTGCACAAGGAAAGTCTGGCATAAAATTAAACGCACAATAAATACTTGTTAAACGATTTTGTTGTTAAAAAATAATCCAGTCTTTCTTTGTTTTGGATTTGACATGCAATCTACTGAATTTTCCCCTGCCAGTAAACTGAGCTTTTATCATTGTGCTGTTTCAGATACATGTATAAAGGTTTGGAAGACATATTTAAAAAAAAAAAAAAAAAGACAGTTGTATTAATATATATTGGTATATACTAATTTTGAGTATCGCTTTCACATTGTAATTATAATATACTGAAGTGGGTTTTTAATTTAAAAATTAAGAATTTCATGCTTTGGGCCAGGCACGGTGGCTCATGCCTGTAATCCCAGCACTTTGGGAGGCCGAGGCTGGTGGATCACAAGGTCGGGAGATTGAGACCATCCTGGCTAACATGGTGAAACCCCATCTCTACTAAAAATACAAAATATTAGCCGGGCGTGGTGACGGGTGCCTGTAGTCTCAGCTACTCGGGAGGCTGAGGCAGGAGAATGGCATGAACCCGGGAGGCAGAGCTTGCAGTGAGCCAAGATCTCGCCACTGCACTCCAGCCTGGGAGACAGAGCGAGACTGTCTCAAAGAAAAAAAAGAATTTCATGCTTTGATAGATTGCACTTACGTTAGGCAGGTATAGGACTTAAGAGCATGAGGATCATGCTTATATTTATGACTAAACTATTTTTCTTCTGTTCCTTCCTCCCCCCATCTAGTATATCTACTTTGGTATTTTAAATATAATATGTTTTATATTTACACAGTTTCTTTCTTATGGTCTGGAGAGAAAGCTAATTTTCTAAAACATTTTTGGCTTTTTTATAGGTTGGTCAAAGAAAAAGTGATGTATGAAAAAGAGGCAAAACAACAAGAAGAAAAGATTGAAAAAATGAGAGCTGAAGACGGTGAAAATTATGACATTAAAAAGCAGGTAAAATTATATCATAAATAACAATAGCTAACATTTACAGAATGCCATATTAACTAATGTAGTTTTTACAGTAGTCCTCTGACTGAGATTATATTATTATTTACTTCTTTACTATTAAAACTTCCATTTAAAGATAAGGAAACTCAAACACAGGTTAAATAACTGCGCAAATCACATAGTTGTTAAGTGACACAGCTGAGGTTTTGTTTTGTTTTGTTTTGTTTGAAACAGGGCCTCACTCTGTCATCCAGGCTGGAGTGCAGTGGTGTGATCATGGCTCATTGCAGCCTTGACCTCTTGGCTCAAGCAATTCTCCCACCTCAACTCTCTAAAGTGCTGGGATTACAGGCATGAGCCACCACACCTGGCATAGCTAAGATTTGAACACAGGCATTCTGGCTCTAGTATCTGTACTCTTAACCGCTAAATTCTACTGTCTTTTCCAATTTTAAGTATCAGATATAAAAATGGACTAATCTTATATTAATTATATATTTAGATTCACAAATATTGTCTCCACACTGATGTGAAGACTACAAAAATAAAATACGCATTGCACTTTTCAATGGCTACTTGTGATTGTCTTCATGACAAATTTCAGTGGCCTTAACATTGCATACAAGGCTCTTCTTGATTTTGAATCAAGAAATGAGGTTACATCTGCTTATCTAACCTCATTTCTTACCAATCCCTGTCTCAACCTCTTAGGTGCCTTATAGCTCCCTGAACATGCCCTTTCTTCTTTGCCTCTGAAATTTTGCATGTCTGGGATGCTCTTACTCCTGGCCTTACCTACCCTCTCCTTATTAATTTCTGTTCTTCCTTGAGGTCTCTTCTACTCTCACCTCAAACTGAGTTAGGTGCCCCTCCTTTTTGCTCCCATAACACTTTCTTTATTCCCATGATAGCATATATTGAACATTCATTCTCAGCTGACACTTGCTTCATAATTCCTTGAGAAAATAGAGGCCGTTAGGGAACTTTCTCATATTCTTACGACAAAATCTGTCAACCTATCTGCATCTGTACCTGTACCACTTTCCTTCCTGTAAGAGTGGACTATGTGCCCTAGCCCTTGTTATAACTATCAGTGACATTGTTATTACTCTTTTTTCCCTCATCTTAAATACCTCAATAGCATCTGACACAAGTTACCACTTTCACCTTGAAACTTGACATATCCTCTGAGGTGTTCAAAATTAAAATCTTGATTTCACACTACTCCAACCTACTCTCCCAAACAAAAAACAATTTCTTCTTTCTTTTTCCTCATCTCAGTGAATGGTACCTCCACTCATCCAGATACTCAGGTCAAAAATTTAGTTGGTCCCTTCTTGATATTTTTATCTCTTTCTCATAACCACATCTAATATCAGCATCATCTCCTATTTCTTTTTTTCTTTTCTTTCTTTCTTTTTTTTTTTTTTTTTTAAGATGGAGTCTTGCTGTGTCACCCAGGCTGGAGTGCAGTGGTGCAATCTTGGCTCACTGCAACCTTTGCCTCCTGGCTCAGCTGATTTTCCTGCCTCAGCCTCCCAAGAAGCTGGGATTAACAGGCATGCACCACCACGCGCAGCTAATTTTGTATTTTTAGTAGAGACGGGGTTTTGTCATGTTGGCCAGGCTGTTGAACTCCTGACCTCAGGCGATCTGCCTACCTTAGCCTCCCAAAGTGCTGGGATTACAGGGGTGAGCCACCGCACCCAGCCAGCACCTCCTATTTCTTACTCTCTCTATTTTTCTCTCTATTGCCATTGTTCTAGTCTAGTCCACTATCATCTCTTGCTAGTACTATTTATTGCAAAAGCCTCCCTGTTGGCATACTTCTTTCACCAGGAATGGGACATCCTCCATTCCTTCCCCACCACAACAACTAAATAAATCTCTATAAAATGTACCTCAGATCACTTGGTCTTCTACTTAAAATCTAGTGTTAGATGCATTTAAAATAATTTCCAGATGACAGTTTAAAAAAAGGAGAATGTGAACCAGCTTGTACAGACTATATCTTAAAATTTATTTTTAAAATCAGCTTTATGAACTCACAGTCATTTTTGCCATGTAAATCGTGGCATAATTGGTAATCACACTTAACTCAGGCTTTATTCAGCAAAATTAATCAATCATTTAAAATAGAATTTTTTGTAGGGAGTTGCTTTCTACCGTGCAAAAGAAATGCAGCAGCAGCTGAAACAACCTGTTGGCTGTGTCTTCCCTTGGCTATCTAGGAAGATAGCTTTCTTATTTTATTAAGCTTTTAGGAGAGGCCATCTTCCTTTATTTGTGATACAGCACTGTGTGTATAAAAGACATTTGTGTGTCAGATACTCATAAATTGAGGGAGGATTAGCAAACAGATGTGTAGATATAGTATGTCCCCTTTATTTTTTAATATTAATAAATTATATTGGGCAGTGGGATCTCTCTGTGATGCCCAAGCTGGAGTACGGTGGTGTGATCCTAGCTCACTGTTACTGCCTCAAACTCCTGGGTTCAAGTGATCCTCCCACCTCAGCCTCCAGAGTAGCTGGGACTACAGATGTGTGCCACCATGCCTGGCCAATTTTTAAATTTTTTATAGAGACAGGGTCTTACTTTCTTGTTTAGGCTGGTCTTCAACTCCTGGCCTCCAGTGATCCTCCCACCCCAGCCTCTCAGAGTCCTGGGATGATAAGCGTGAGTCCCCCCTACCTGGCCTTGTCCGCCTTTATGAACTAACGACCCTTCATAAGGATTTACATATGGAATGTAACTTTTTATTCTTAAAATTATGATATATACTGCTTTTGTACCTCTTTCACTCTTAAGTCTTCTATTGTTTTCCTACATCTAGTGGGAAAATATTATGACACAGTATATAACTTTATTTCATCCAGGTCCTTCTTGGACTTCATCAGCTTGTTTTCCCAGTCATGTAGCTAGTGACCTCATTTAGTCTTTTTCTTTGCCCTGCTTTTTTTCACCATCAATAATGTATTTTAAAATAGTCCTATAGCTAAAATAGGAGTTATCAGTTACATGGAGTAGAGGAATAAATGTGTTCCCTTTCTAAATAAAATTTTACAAATAAAGTTATGGGTTATCACAGAACCTGTTTTATTTCATTTATAGTTATGTATGTATCATCTTTCAATGAAATCACTACTTTATAGGTAAAGATTAACTACTGAATTCTGTGTTGTAATTGTCATTTGAAAATACCAGCCACACACTAGTTACATTACTGACTACATACACAGATGTAAAAGGGGAAAAAAAATTGTTCAAAAGTTGTTTCTACCCTCAGACATGTTAAAATTCTCTTTTTGGTCATAGGTATCATATTTTTTAACAGGATTTGTTAGATTCATAGCCAACTTAGTACTTATTCAGAAATAACATTTCATATCTGATTACAGAACAATAGTTGTTTCTGTTTGCTTCTGTTGTCAACCTACCATGTATATAGTTGTCAATTGCAGTTTTGTTTTAGAGTTTCCTAAAAACTTGTCTTTAGCCAACCTACATACATTTCTTAATTTCTTTTCCCTGGCTTAGCTATATTGTGGCCATTCTTTTTTTTTATCATATACAATGGGTGTTGCATAACCAAAAGGACTGCTCTGTTTGTGATTGCCTGGGACTTTAAGTTCAGCAATGGTTTTCTTAACATTTATTGTGCCTTTCATAGAAAATATCAAGACAGCCAAGTGCTGCATTTTGTGGGTTTTCTACACTTCTCCCTAGATTTCTTCCTCTTCTGAGCTAAACACTATCCTCAGTCACTTCTCACTACTTTGGCTCTTCTCTCACTTGGATCCGTTTTGCTCTGGCTTTCCTACTTCTTCTAAATTGGCTGTATTTTAAGCACACAGTTAAGGTGCTATCTCTTATTCTCTACCAAACTCTTACCTGAAGATGGTTGCCAAAAATCAGGGGACAGTCCCTCTGTTGGACTAGTTATAATTTTGGTTCTTTTAAAATAAGTAATTAGGCCAGGTGCAGTGGCTCACGTCTGTAATCCTAGCCCTTTGGGAGGCCAAGCTGGGTAGATCACTTGAGCCCAGAATTTGAGACTAGCCTGGGGCTAGCTTGTTTGCATTAGTCCATTTTCATACTGCTATATAGAACTACCTGAGACTGGGTAACTTATAAAGAAAAAAGGTTTACTTGACTCACAGTTCCACATGGCTGGGGAGACCTCAGGGAACTTATAATCATGGCAGAATGTGAAGGGGAAGCAAGCACCTTCTTCACAAGGCGGCAGGAGAGAGAGAGAGAAGGAGAACAAGTGGGAAGTGCCGCACTTTGAAACCCTCTGATCTCATGAGAACTCACTCACTATCAGAGCATATAGGAAACCGCCCCTATAATCCAATCACCTCCCACCAGGTCCCTCCCTAACATGTATGGATTACAATTCAAGATGAGATTGTGTGGGGACACAGAGTAAAACCATATCAAAGGTGAAACTCTGTCTCTACAAAAAATAAAAAAATTTTATTAGGATACAAAAAATTAGCTGGGTGTGGTGGTGTGCACCCAAAAGTCCCAGCCACCTGGGAGGCTGAGGTAAGAGGATCACCTGAGCTCAGGAGGTCAAGGCTGCAGTGAGCCGTGATCATGCCACTGTACTCCAGCCTGGGTGACAGAGTGAGGCCTTGTCTCAAAAAATACATAAAATAAAATAGAAAATTTAAAAATAAGCAACTAGGTAAAAGTTTTCAGGAGGCTAGAATATCAGTCAATTAAAGATTTATTCTGTCTTTTTTTATTTTCTGGCTAAACAATATAACACGTCATTCAAATATTGCCCAAATTGATTTTAGCCTTCTGCTTCTGATATCTCTCTTCTTCTCCACCAATTAGGGTTGGGTACAGAGGGTTTTGCCCTCACTTGGTAAAGCTTTCTGGTTTGTTTTTCAACCTATCCTGGGGCATAATGATTGGCAGTAATGACACTCAGTCAGACATATCTCTGTCATTTCTCCTGAGGCACAACTTATCTCTTAGGTTCCAGAAGTAATAAGACAAACTGGTATAATTTTTGGACAAAGAGTTCTCAGTTTTCTCACAAAAGAGTTTTCACAAAAGCTTTGCAATTATTGCATATAGTTACAGTAATGTAAAATTCATCTTTTTGAAAAAGATGTATATGCTTTTTTTTACTCTTTGAAACAAGAGT
Organism: Homo sapiens; assembly: GCF_000001405.40. Classification (NCBI taxonomy): domain Eukaryota; kingdom Metazoa; phylum Chordata; class Mammalia; order Primates; family Hominidae; genus Homo; species Homo sapiens. The sequence goes on along the minus strand of NC_000005.10, from coordinate 77,703,077 downwards.
GAACATTTACAATGACATGTTTCTATGTTTTTCCTAAAAATAAAGGGGAAATGTTTTTCATTAAATATATGGAAAATATTAGGAGGCTTCAGTCAACAAAGAAGATCCCCCTTTGACCAGGAGTGTCTCACAAGGCTGATCCTCAAAGAAAAACCCAGATTTTCTTTTAATCAGTAGTAAAAATATGGAAAATAACTTACAATCATCCAAGAAAATGTGTTTGTCTCTTGGTACCTATATGCAGGCTTATAGAAGGTAATACACTTGCTTTTTAAATTTCTTGTTATAGATTTCACAGGAAATTCCAAAAGATATTCAAAGAGGTGTCGTTACATCCTTCATCCTTCCTTCCCCAATGTTAGTATCTTGTATAAATATAATACAGTATTCAAACCATGAAGTTTGCCTTAGCACACCACAGAGCTTACTCATATTTCACTAGTTATACCTGCACTCATTTGTGTGTTTGCATGTATAGTTCTCTGCAGTAGCATGTGCAGCAACCAATCAAGATGGAGAACTGTTCCATCGCAAAGCTCCCTCTTGCCACTTCTTTTTAGCCACCCAATCCTCTCTGCTCCCAAAACCCTAAATAATTACACTGCCTCAAGAATGTCACATAACGTAGAATGGAATCTACAGTATGTAACCTTTTAAAATTGGCTTTTTCTATTTTATATAATTCCCTTTAGGTCCATTGAAGTTACTGAGTGTATCAATAGTTTGTTCTTTATTACTGCTAAGTAGTATTCCATGGTTTGGATGTACTAACATTTAACCTTTGATGAACATTTGGATTGTTTCCAGGTTTTTGCTGTTGTGAGAAAAGCTGCTGTGAATGTTCATGTACAGTTTTGATGTGAACATAGGTTTTATTTTATTTTATTATTTCTGTAGGTTTTGGGGGCACAGGTGGTATTTGGTTACAAGAGTAAGTTCTTTAGTGGTGATTTTTGAGATTTTGGTGCACCCATCACCCAAGCAGTGTACACTGTACCTGATTTGTAGTCTTTTATCCCTCACCCCATTCCCACCCTTTCCCTCTGAGTCCCCAAGGTCTATTGTGTCATTCTTACGCCTTTGCATCCTCATAGCTTAGCTCCCACTTATAAGTGAGAACATATGATGTTTCCTTTTCCATTCCTGAGTTACATCACTTAGACTAATAGTCTCCAGTCCCATCCAACTTGCTGCAAATGCCATTAACTCATTCCTTTTTATGGCTGAGGTAGTATTCCATCATATATCTATATATACTGAGTTACCTCACTTAGAGTAAGTCTCCAGTCCCGTCCAAGTTGCTGCAAATGCCATTAACTCATTGCTATTTGTGGCTGAGTAGTATTCCATCATATATATATATATATATATATATATATATATATATATATATATGCATGCCACAGTTTATCCACTTGTTGATTGATGGACATTCGGGTTGGTTCCACATTTTTGCAGTTGTGAATTGTGCTGCTATAAATGTGTGCAAGTATCTTTTTCATATAATGACGTCTTTTCCTCTGGGTAGATACCCAATAGGAATTGCTGGATCAAATGGTAGTCCTACTTTTAGTTCTTTAAGGAATCTCCACACGAATGTGCTAGTTTACATTCCCAGCAGCAGTGTAGAAGTTGTTCCCTGTTCACCACATGCACACCAACATCTATTATTTTTTTATTTTTAGATTTTGATCGTTCTTGCAGGAATAAGGTGGTTATTGCATTGTGGTTTTGATTTGCATTTCCCTGATCATTAGTGTTGAGCATTTTTTCATATATTTGTTGGCCATTTGTATGTCTTCTTTTGAGAATTGTCTATTCATATCGTTAGCCCACTTTTTGATGGGATTGTTTGTTTTTTTCTTGCTAATTTGTTTGAATTTGTTATAGATTTTGGATATTTGTCCTTTGTCAGATGTATAGATTGTGAAGATTTTCTCCCACTCTATGGTTGTCTGTTTACTCTGCTGACTGTTCCTTTTGCCATGCAAAAGCTCTTTAATTAAGTCCCAGCTATTTATCTTTGTTTTTATTACATTTCCTTTTGGGTTCTTAGTTATGAAATCGTTGCCTAAGCCAATGTCTAGAAGGGTTTTTACAATGTTATCTTCCATTTTCATGGTTTCAGGTCTTAGATTTGTCTTTAATCCATCTTAAGTTGATTTTTGTATAAGATGAGAGGTAAGGATCCAGTTTCATTTTCCTACATGTGGCATGCCAATTGTCCCAGCCCCATTTGTTGAAAAGGGTGTCCTTTCCCCACTTTATGTTTTTGTTTGCTTTGTCAAAGATAGTTGGCTGTAAGTATTTGGGTTTATTTCTGGGTTCTCTACTCTTGAACATAAGTTTTCATTTCCATAGGATAAAAGCCTGAGAGTGCAATTACTAGGTTGTATTCGTGTGGTTTTTGTTTTAAAAGAAACTACCAAACTCTTTTCCAGAGTGGTTATACTATTTTATGTTCCCACCAGCAATGATTCAATTTCTCTACATCTTCACCAGCATTCAGTGTGATCTCTATTTTTTAATTTTAGCATTTAGCCATCAGCTATATGATAGCTGTATAGTGATAACTCATTGTGCTTTTAATTTGCATTTCCATAATGGCTAATAATGTTGAATGTTTTTTCATGTGCTTATTTGCTGTCTGTATATCCTCTTCAGTGAAAATGAGTGATCAGGCCTTTTGCCCACTAATTGGATGCTTTGTTTTTTTTTTAACATTTGAGTTTTGAGAGTTCATTGTATATACTAGACACATGCCCTTTGTCAGATACGTGGTTTGCAGATATTTCTGTCTGTAGTTTGTCTTCTTATCCTCTTAACAGTGTCTTTGACAGGGAAACAGGGATTTTTGTTTTTGTTTTTGTTTTGAGACAGAATCTTGCTTGGTCGCCCAGGCTGGAGTGCAGTGAGGAGATCGCGGCTCACTGCAACCTCTGCCTCCTGGGTTGAAACGATCCTTCCACCTCAGCCTCCCAAGTAGCTGGGACTGCAGGCATGCACCACCATGTCTGGCTAATTTTCTTTTTTTTTTTTTTTTTTTTGAGTCAGAGCCATACTCTTTGCTGGAATGCAGTGGTGCGATCTCAGCTCACTGCAACCTCTGCCTCCCAGGTTCAAGCAATTCTCCTGCCTCAGCCTCCCTAGTAGCTGGGATTATATGCGCCTGCCACCATGCCCAGCTAATTTTTGTATTTTTAGTATAGAAAAGGTTTCACCGTGTTGGTCAGGCTGGTCTCGAACTCCTGACCTCAAGTGATCTGCCCGCCTTGGCCTCCCAAAGTGCTGGGATTATAGACATGAGCCATCGCGCCCAGCCAACAGTTTTTAAATTCAAGAATGTCCAATTTATCAGTACTTCCTTTTATGAATCATACTTTTGGTTTCAGGGCTAAGGCCTCTTTGCTTGTCTTAGGTCCTAAAGATTTTCTATTTTTTTCCCTAAAAGTTGTATGATTTTGTGTTTGTATTTAAGTCTTCAATCCGTTTTGAGGTAATTTTTATATAAAGTGTTAGGTTTGGTTTGAGATTCATCTTTTTGCCAGTCAATGTCCAGTTGCTCCAGCAGCATTTGTTGAAAAGGCTGTCTTCCTTTCATTGAATTGCTTTTGTATCTTTGTCAAAAATAGTTGGACATATTTGTGTGGGTTTACTTTTGTGTTCTCTCTTCTGGTTCATTAACAATACTGCACTGTTTTGATTCTGTACTGATGTAGTAAATCTTAACATTGGGAAGAATGAGTGTTTATTTTATTTTATTTTTTTCAAAATTATTTTAGCTTTTCTAGTTTGTTTTGGCTTTCCATGTAAATTTTTAAATAAGCTTGTCTGTATCTATAAAACACTTTTTGATAGGAATTGCATTAAACCTATAAATCAGTTTGGGGCAAATTGATGTCCCAGTTAATGGATATGGTAAGTCTTTCTAATTTATTTAGGTCTGATTTCCTTCATCAGCATTTTATAATTTTCAGCATACAGATCCTGCACATTATAAATGTATAGCTAAGTATTTCTTTTTTTTTTTTTTTTTTTTTTTTTGATGCTCTTGCAAATGGTATTGTTTTTAGTTTTGGTTTCCACATACCATATTTGTTGTTAGATATAAAAGTGCAGTTGATTTTTGTTTTTATGTTGATCTTGTAACCTGCAAACTCACCTTGCTGAACTTATTAGTTCTAGGATTATATTCATTTTCTTTCTCAGACCTGAATTACATGGATTGATTTTCAAATATTTAACTGTCCTTGCATACGTACAATGAATCCCACTTGATACTGGTCTATAAATAATTATTTGTATACATTGCTGAATTCAGTTTGCTAATTTGTTGAAGCAGTTTTCGTTTTTTGTGCTGTCTTTGTGTGGTGTTGCTGTAAGGTTAATACAGATTTCATAAAATCATTTGGGAATACTGATTTCAAAAATCATTTGTTCCTTCCTTTTCTGTTTTCTTGAAAGATTTGTGTAAAATTGGTGTTAATTGTTATTTAAATGTTTGGTAGAATTGTCTATTGAAATTATCTGGGCCTGGAGAGCTCTTTTGTAGGAACTTTTAAATTGCAACTTCATTCAGCAGAACATTGGAGAAAAAGTATTTTTTAAATTAACAACAACAAATAAATTACAACTTCAGTTTCTGTAGTGATTGATTAATAGGACTATTTAAGTAATTAAGTTTGGGTAGTTGGTAGTTTTTGAGGAATTGGTCAATTTCTTCTAAGTTGTTTATGAGCATTATGAACAATATTATAACATCATTTATATTATTTCTTTCTTCTCCTTTTAATAATTGCAGGATCCGTAATGATATCCTCTATTTCGGACTGCTTTTGGTGACTTGTGCCCTTTCACTTTATCTTTGTCTGTCTTAATAAAGGTTTATCAGTGTGTTTTTTTTTTTTTCTTTTCAAGAAACCAGCTTTTTGGTTTTTTAATTTTATTACTATTTTTTTGAGACAGGGTTTCACTCTGTCGCCCAGGCTGGAGTGCAGTGGTGTGATCATGGCTCACTGCAGCCTTAACCTCCCAGGTTCAAGCAACCCTCCCATTTTGGCCTCCCAAGTAGCTGAGACTACAGATGTGTGTCACCACACCTGGCTAATTTTTTGAGAGATGGGGTCTTGCCTGTTGCCCAGGCTGGTCTCGAATTCCTGGGCTCAAGCGATCTGCCTGCCCCAACCTCCCAAAGTGTTAGGATTACAGGCATGAGCCATGGCACCCAGCCAAAACCAGCTTTTTGTTTCATACAGTTTTGTCTATTGCTTTTCTGTTTTTAATTTTGTTGATTTCTGCTCTTATATATTATTTCCTTCTGCTTGTTTTAGGTTTATTTTGCTCTTCTTTTTCTAGGTTCTCGAAACAAGAACTTATTTAAATTAAATTAAAACAAGATTATTAATTTCAGACCTTTCCTTTTGATTAATGTAAGCATTTAGTGCTGTAAATTTCCCAACAGACACTGCTTTAGCTGCATCCCACAAAATTTGACATGTTATATTTTCATTTCCATTTATCTGTGTCTTTATTTGAGACTTTTTTTTGGCCCATGGGCTACTTAAAGTATGTTGTTTAATTTCTAAGTAGGGATTTTCCTTCTTTCTGTTATGATTTCTAATTTTACTTCATTATAGTCAGATAATGTATTATGTAGGATTTCAGTTCTTTTAAATTTGTTGGGGTTTTTGTTATTGTTGGGGTTTTTTGATCCAGAATGTGGCTTACTTCAGTAAATATTTCATGGGCACTTGAAAAGTATTTGTATTCTCCTTACTTATTAGAACATTGTATTCTCATTTCTGAGGTAGAGTGTTCTACAAAAGTCAGTTACACCTTGTGCGTTGGTGTTGTTCAGTTCTTTTATACCTTTACTGATTTTCATCTAATATTTCTATCAGTTGCTGAGAGTGGGGTATTGAAATCCCCAGCTTATGTATATGGATTTGTCTGTTTTTCCTTTCAGTGCTATCAGTTTTTGTTTTACATATTTTTAAACTCTGTTGTTTAATGCATGCACATCTAAGATCACTGTATTTTCTTGGTAGATTGATAATTTTATGATAATGTAACATCCCTCTTTGTCTGTAATAATTATTTTGCTTTGAAGTTTACTTTATCTGGTATTAGTTTAGCCACTCCTGATTTATTGGCTTTTTAGAGGCAAGGTCTCACTCTTTTGCCTAGGCTGGAGTACATTGTCACGATCATAGCTCATTGTAACCTCCCAGCTCCTGGGCTCAAGTAATCCTCCTGCCTCAGCCTCTTGAGTAGCTAGAACTAGAGGCATGTGCCACCACACTCACCTAATTTTTATTTTTTGTAAACAGAGTTTCACTGTGTTGCCCAGGCTGGTCGCAAACTACTGGCCTCAAGCTATCTTCCTGCCTTGGCCTCCTAAAGTGCTGGGATTATATAGGAATGGGCCACCATGCCTAGCCCTGATTTTTTAAATTAATGTTTACATTATATATATTTTCCCATCCTTTTATTTTTTATTTCATTATGTTTGAAATGAGTTTCTTGTAGACAGCATGTTATTGGGTCCAATCCATGAATCTCTGCCTCTTAACTAGTGTATTTACATCATTTACATTTAAAGTAATTATTGATACATTAGAGCGTAAGGGCCCAAAGATCATTTTTTTTCTTTGACTTAAGATTCTTCTTACAATCTTACTCATTTAGCAATAACCACAAAATACAAGTCAGATAGATTTCCTGAGAAGTGAGTACATTAACATTTTACTACCATCTAAAGGAAACACTTAACCATTATTCCAGTAATCTCTGGATTACTCTAGAGCTCAACCTGGCAAACTAATGCCATTGGTTTCAGAGGGTAGCCAGTAGCCAATATTAGAGTATCTATTGATTGTTATAGCTAAAGGTATAGCCAGCTTCTGATGGATGATCTGGATCCTTAAAGAAGCTGGAAACCTCATCACAATCAAGCAATAACCTAAGAGCTTGATTGACATTGGCCAGATTATTTCACAGAACTCTTCTTTCTGACAAAAATGAAGATCTGCCAATTGGGGTATATCCTTTCCAATTTACATATGTTTGACTCTAAAGGAAATTGATTAGATTTTAGGTTCAGCCATTTATTCATTGTTATAACCTGAACCTTGCTAAACTAACTCCCAACTTCCATTTTACCAAATAAGTACCCCCTATAAAACCATAACTTGTTTTAAAAACAATTAGACATCAGTGAGTACCACATCCTGTTGTGTTTGTTCCTCTAAGGTTCTTTGCATCTCCCAGTCTGTGCCAAGATCCTGAATTAAGCTCAGATTTATCATAGTCAACATTAGAATAAACTGACAATTGACTCAGATATTGTAAACAGAGGCACAATTCATTTGACTACTACCTCCCAAGGGAAACACTTTGAAAGATAATATTCATTTAATTAAGTTTAGGTGTTTTGGGGGGTATCTTTACATATATAATCACACCTCATATACTGTGTTTTAAAATTATTCCAGACAGTTGGAATTCATTGTCCCAAGGTAAAATATATGATTTATGGCTTTGATGAAGATGTGGTTTGTGGATTCCAAATCATAGCCATCACTGTGTTCCTTTGCCTCTCTGTGGCATGATCTTCTTGAAGCAATCTCAAATGTTTCTTTTCATGTTAATACACCTAGACTTACGGATTTGGAGGACAGAGACCTTTTCTTTTTCATCTTTGTATCCTCAGTACCTGGCATCCTGAAGACGTATAGTAAACTTATTGAATGAATTGGGGTAGTGTATGGGAGAGCCTGAGCTTTGGCCCTGTGTAAGTTGGAGTCCTGTTTTGATAGACTGAGGATTCTTGATCTGTAATAATAGATAGAATTTTAATGAATAGAAGTTATTTTTGGATGGCATTGTCTAAAGTTTTTTTTGGTGGCTAAAACTTAGAAAATATTTCTTTTTACAAACACATATTGTGACTTGTCATGGATTTGACCTAGTCATTTCATCTTGTTTAATTCCTGTAACGATTCTGAAGGGAATTCCATAGGAAAGGAAATAGGAAAAAGCCACTAAGAAATATTCCTGTCACTGATTTTTCACATATATTCAGATTAACCAGATACACAAAAATAATTTAATGGCAGTGGTTAAATGTGTAGGTATAGTATGATTAGCTCTGAAGTAAAATAATGATGTTATGTTTGAAATTTTCAACCTGTGCCTTATTAGTAAAAGAGGTTTAAGTTCAACAATAGATTTCCACCTGAGAAAATAGATGTGAATAAAGAACTTCTTTGTATGTTATAATTGAGATTTTTGTTTTCAATATGAGCTCTGACAAAGCTATTTGGGAAAGGAAGAAGGTACTGGGACTTAAAGTTTCTATTAAAATATAGTATTATTACCGTTAATCTCCTTAGTAAAAAGCTCAGATTGTCTACCTATTTCTTTAAAGGTATTTGACCAAACATTGTTTTTTTGGAAATAAATGTTTAGATGAGCTCTATGTTTCTTTCTGAGAATAGTTTAAGGAAATAAAGCTTCCTGCTACTCTAAGAAAAAGCCCTATTTGAAGTCCAATATGTGGCATTAACTTATTTACTCTTATCAATTGGGTTTCCCTGTCATTGATTTGATTTTTTTTCTTTCATGATTTGATGTGTTATAGTCCAGTTTTGAATGATGGACTTTACGTCCAGAAATATCCTCTAGAATACATATTTCTGTGTTTAATTCTGTAGTGTCTGTCATCAGGAGGAATAGGCAAGAAGTTTAGATTCAGAGGGGTGCCACATTGGTAATTTGGCTCACATTGCATGGGGAGAATAATCGCTCTCCTAAAATGAAGCATGAGGATAAGTAATAACTTTTTATGCATGATAAGCATCAAAAATATGAACCTGCTGGTCTTTGCTTTTCGTTTTTCTTTACCTCTCTCTTTCAGTGTGAACCTCCTGCAGTGTGCACACGATGTGATCAATAACTCAATAACTTTTTTCATGCAGTAATTATCTCCATGTGATATTATCTGAACACTGTTTTTCTTTATTACTCAAAAGATGCAGGAGATATTTATATAACCAGCTGATCCCATTTTAGATAAAGGTGCTTTGCAACAGCAGGGGAAATAGTTTATTTTAAATAGCCTTTTAAAATAAATGCTCTATGAAAAGCTTTTCCAGTTAACTTTCACTTAGCATGAGAAGGTGATTACCAAAAAGATTTAGTTCTAAAACTTGCACTTTGTAGATTTTACAGTATGATAGTCTTTCTTTTCTAACTTTTTTTTTTTTTTTTTTTTTTTTGAGATGGAGTTTCACTCTTGTTGCCCAGGCCAGAGTGCAATGGTGCAATCTCAGCTCATCACAGCCTCCGCCTCCTGGGTTCAAGCGATTCTCCTGCCTCAGCCTCCTGAGTAGCTGGGATTACAGGCATGCTCCACCACGCCCTGCTAATTTTGTATTTTTAGTAGAGACAGGGTTTCTCCATGTTGGTCAGGCTGGTCTTGAACCTCCTGACCTCAGGTGATCTGCCTGCCTCGGTCTCCCAAAATGCTGGGATTACAGGCGTGAGCCACTGTGCCTGGCCTTTCTAACTTCTAATAAATACAATTTAAGTTAAAATATTGAACCATTTAACATAACCATAACTTTTTTCTGATTCCTCTTAATAAGGATATACTTACCAAGATATGAGCTAAACACCTACAAGTTCTGCCATCTTTGAACGTCTCACAGAGATTCTCATTCTAGGCAGAGATCCTACAAGAATCCAGGATGATGATCCCAGATTGCCAGCGCAGGTTGGAAGCCGCATATTTGGATCTTCAACGGATACTAGTAAGCAAAGACTTCTGTGTCATGTTTAAATTTTTTTTTTCAATCCAATACATGGAAAGCCAAAAGTTTAAATATTTAACACTGAGAACTAGTTGGCAGTATTTCTTATTCACTTGCCCTTTATACCGCTATATTTTAAAATAATTAATGGAGTTTAAATTGTGTTTTGAATTATGCCTCCAGTAAAAGTACTGTTTTCTAGCATGTTTGTTCAGTTTATTAAAATTTAGCTAGTTAAATTTATTTAAGTTATGATAGTACCAGTATTGTCCAGCAATGTCTTGATTATTTGGTTTTCATACATAAAGATCTTTTGAGACATTGAGGATGAGTTGACTGATTAAAATTTTAAAAGATCTAATGTTTCAAAAGAATTTGGGATCTTATTAAAAGGATCTTGAATTCTTTCACATTCAAACCTAGATCAGTTTGAGAGGGGGAAAAAACCTGGTAATCTATGTAGTCCCCTCATACTAACTTGGAGCTGAATAACACTTATACTTGCTGGTATAAATGCCTTGTGATACAGAAGGTAGATAAAGCAGGAAATAATAACTGTTAAAATACTATCTAAGACAGGAAGCATCATTTGTATTTCTTGACAGTTTAAATGCTTTTTTCTCTCATGAATCTAGTAGCTGAGAAAGTAATAGAAATTGCTTGGAAAAAAATAATGTTGGCCGCCAGGTGCAGTGGCTCATGCCTGTAATCCCAGCACTTTGGGAGGCTGAGGTGGGTGGATCACGAGTCAGGAGTTCAAGACCAGCCTGACCAACATGGTGAAATCCTGTCTCTACTAAAAATACCAAAATAATAATAATAATAATAATGTATTTGGATGATATATTTGTATGTGAAGATGTATTCAACAATATCTCTGCCCTTGAAGAGCTTGTATTTACTAACAGAGAACAAAGATGTGTTTAAGGTATAACATGGAGGTTTAAGAAATTCTTACGTATAGTTTGAGCTAAGCAAATTCTCAGTCGTTTTGCTTTCAGTTTTCATATTAAATACACACATACTTTATTTCCTCTACTGTTTGTATATCTCCATCTTTTATTGACCTGACATAAATTGCTAACCATAGCTTCATTTAAAAATCAAACAAAATTTCCTGTGTACTTTAGATAATATTATTTCATTTGTCTGTTATCATTACAATATATTAGTAAAAGTTGCCTGTATATCAGTATTATGGAAAAACTCAATCTTTAAATATCAGAAAATGAAAGATGTATTTTGTTTCCTTTAGTGTAGGGTATGTAATACCCATTAGCAAGCAGGCAATTCATTTGTTTAATTCAAAGATTATATTTAACTCTGTTGTGACATCAGAAGCCTTCTTTGTCATTGTGAATAGTCAGTGGATTATTTTGGCCTGAATGCTGTCATATATGTAACATGTTAGTAAATCTTCCTTTTTACTTTTCTCTTTTGTATGATGATGATGGGTCAACAAAATGAGAATAAACTTTTTCTGAGGTTTTTATTTAATTAATGCTGGTAGCTTTAGAAGACTGTTATTCACTTATTTTATGAGAATATATACAGTGAAACAAAACCACCAGTTATTTCTTCCTTTCCTTGTAAAGAAGGAACAGAATGTGGGAAACCTGTGGAATTACAATATATTTAGATGAGGCTTGGGATTTTTTACTTTTAATTTTTTAGTTATTAACATTAATGGTTTGTAATATTTGAGTAAATAACAAAGTACTGAAACTTGAAAAGGATAAACTTAATTTTTATTGTATTTCATTTTAGGAAAATGAAAAAGACTTGGAAGAAGCTGAGGAATATAAAGAAGCACGTTTAGTACTGGATTCAGTGAAGTTAGAAGCCTGAAACTTTTCTCGTATGGGGTGGTTTTTGCATTAAATCCTGGGGTCCATTTTACAATCCATTATTTTTGACCACTGCTATGTGTTCAAGTAGTATGAGAATGTGATTGTTTTTATCTGGTTACATATATATTTCTTTGTCTAATTTAATATGTCAAATAAATGAGTTCATCTAATAAAATTGTTTATTTTATACTTTACAAAATTTTTAAATTAACCTTTTATCATTAAACCACATAGACTTTATGACAGAGAACTATAATCTGTTAGGTTCTATTCGAAGTCTACATATTTTGCTTCACAAGCATGGATTGAGTTTTAAAAAATAGAATACCATTTTTTCAAATAACAATCCAAATTTTAGTTGGGTGTAGTGGTACATATCTGTATTCCCAACTACTGGGGAGGCTGAGGTGGGAGGATTGCTTGAGCCCAGTAGTATGAGGATGCAGTAAGGTATGATTATGCCAATGTACTCCAGCCTACGGAACATAGCAAGACCCTATCTCTAAAAGATTGAATTGTAAGCAGTTTATTTGGAATAGAATACAACTGATATAAAAGGAAGAACTCTCTTTGGGGAAGGTCTCACATAATAAGGCCTTCACAGTGAAACTCTAACATTTCCATGACTATAAATGAATGAGAAACATTTAAATCTTTTTCGAGGACAGATTCACACAGAAAACACCCCCAACCATTTAGATCTTCAAATAAGATTCTTATGAACAATGAAGAGTTGAATGGTATTTTGAAACAATAATGGCCATTGCCAGTGAAGTGCTGGCAAATATTTAAAGACTCTTCAGAATAGGAGGGGAACCTCTGATTGGTAGCTTTTGCTGATTTCTGTGGTATAAATACTCCTACCTTTGACCAATTTCAAACTACTAATATGACATCACTGAACACAGAGTTATGAAAATTTGGGCCAGCTCCACCATAATTTGGCTGTAGCCAATCTTGATTATCTAGATTGACTCGGGGGGGAAAAGTATCATTTTGTCAGAAAGCATTTTTCCAGTACAATTGTGACCCTGTTACCCAATCACTTGAGTTTATTTTCCAAAAATACAAGACAACTCATTTAGATTTTTTATATTTCCAGAAAATGTGTGTGAGCCTTATATCACCAGCCTAATGGGCATTGGTGTAAGGAACCAAATATCTATATATAGCATTTAAATTTGAAAAGTCAAAATTGGAAAAAAAAAACTTGAATTTTTGCTGCATTAAATACTTACAGTGTTATTATGGTTGGTATGATTTTGGAAGTTGTAGATAATCACTAGAAATCATAACATTTATTGAATCTGTCCAAAGATCAGAAAAGAGAAAAATAATTATTTTTTCCTAAGTTATTCTTAAAGGTTCTGTTGTTATAAAGCACAGATTATATCACTTATAAAATAAACTTAAGCCAGGCGCAGTGCTCACGCCTGTAATCTCAGCACTTTGGGAGGCCGAGGCAAGTGGATCACCTGAGGTCAGGAGTTTGAGACCAGCCTGACCAACATGGTGAAACCCTGTCTCTACTAAAAAATACAAAAATTTGCCGGCTTGGTGGCAGGCACCTGTAATCCCAGCTACTTGGGAGGCTGAGGCAGGAGAATTGCTTGAACCCAGGAGGCAGAGGTTGCAGTGAGCCAAGATCATGCCATTGCACTCCAGCTTGGGTGACAGAGCAAGACTCTATCTCAAAATAAAATAAAATAAAATAAAAATAACCTTATTACACATGCCAAAAATTACTTCTTCAGAGAATAACATATATCAGAAGCATTTCTAAATTGGAATGTCATCCCAAAACATATTACATGCCATTTTAAAAGTATTTGAGGTGGGAAAAGGAAAAGTTGAGAAAATAAAAAGTAATTATAGTGTAAAACTTGATATTAAGGTTTAGTGTTAGAGGTTTGAACACCAAGAGAATTAGATTATTTTGTGGTTGCTATCAAGTACCAGAGCAATAGATTGGCTTGGGAAGGGGTGGGTGGGTGGGGGCGGGTGCGGGGGAAGTGCCAATTAGTTTTCCAAGTAGTATTTCATTTACAGAAACTATTTTGGTATTTTTTTTAATGTATAACCTCTCTCTCTGTGTCTCTATATATAAATATATATATATAGCAAATGGTTTCTTGACCAATTAAAGCTTAAAGAGAACAGAACACAAATATATATAGATACAGATTCATATGTATAAGTCTTGCAGCAAGGACTCAAATCATGATTACTAAAAAAATTACTTTGTTGCCAAAAAGCCTAGAAAAGAAGAAATCAATAATAAGGTAAATGAAAGAATGCATATCTTTGTTGGCCAGGCGTGGTGGCTCACACCTGTAATCCTAGCACTTTGGGAGGCCAAGGCGGGTGGATCACCTGAGGTCAGGAGGATCACCAGCTGGCCAACATGGTGAAACCCTGTGTCTCCTAAAAATACAAAAATTAGCTGGGCATGGAGGCACATGCGTGTAATCCCAGCTACCCGGAGGCTGAGGCAGGAGAATCGCTGGAATCTGGGAGCAGAGGCTGCAGTGAGCCGAGATTGCACCACTGCACTGCCACCTGGGTGACAGAGCAAGATTTTGTCTCAAAAAAAAAAGAAAAAGAAATATATCTTTAGAGAATTCCTGTCTCAACTATAGATTTTATACTGGATCACTCTCCAAGTATTAATGAGAAGCACAAGAGGCTTAACATCCTGTGAAGACTATATTTCTGGGAATTTTTCATACATTCCACTTAGGTTTTCATGGCCATCAATAAGCATATTAAAATATGAGCAGCTGTAATCAATTCAGCATCTTGTTTTTAAGTTTTTATTTAAACCCTTATATCTGTGTAATAACAGGTAGAAATTGCCAAGTAATTTTGCCTCTTTTTCTTCCTGCCCCAACACCTGAGCCCTCAACCAACATATAGTAGTTGTCCAGTAAACATTTGTAGATTGAATGAAAAGCAAGAACATCTTTGACCTCTGGAAATGAAAGAATGCCAAGAAGGATTCCATCACATTGCAAACACGTTTAATACAGTGCCTTTCCCACTGTTTTGACTGCAAACCACAATACAAAACACATTTTCCATTGTGACCCAGGGCATATATATGAAGGTGTGTGTGTATATACAATATGTGTTCTTACTATGTACAATTCCTACCTGCTATTGGGTGGTGAAAAACACTACCTAAATACAATCATATAAAATTATTCTGTTCATGAAAATTTTACACACACACATGGACATATAAACTTCTTAGATCAGTTGTCTCAGTGAACATGTGCAAAGTCATACACATTGCAGGTATAAAGTGTCATGGTAAAGTGTAACCACTTATTTGTAATATGCCCCAAGTCCTTGCACAGACAAATATAAAGGCTTCCACAGGGAACACAGGCAAAACAAAGGCATACAAGTGATAGATACAAGTAGTAAACCTAACATCTGTATTTTTCTGTACAGCAAAGGTCACATCATTTTTAAGTAAGAATATGCATAGGACAAAGAAAGAAAGATACAAGGTATGGAATCAGTAAGATGACCAAATCCAGGCCGGTTTTAATGCCAGTAAGAACATTCCCAAGTCCTAGCATCTTTACTTTATCATTCTTGGCTAATGGGCAGATCAGTCCTAGTAAATCAAAATAACCTCCTCAGTGGTCCTGGACAGGGACTTTCTGTCTGGGCTTTTAGGACATTTATATTTCTGGTTGAGCATCAACATCTCAAGAAGTAGGTTGTCTTTCCTTTCTCATGTTTTGTACCATGTTATGTAAATCTTTGGGGGGAATGAAACTTGTGAGGAGGGGAGAGAAGGCACACCGCTAAAATAAAAACATGTTTATTTTATGAGTAATGAAAAGTAGCTAAAACAATATATTGTAATGTTTGTTTAACATTTCTCAACTTTCTGGTCAGCAACATTCAAAGCCTAATATTTTAAGATTGCCTTTATACCTGTACCTGTACACTGAATCACTTCAAAATTGAGCAGTCAAACCTGTTTAATCTAAATCACTTTGCAAACTTCATTACTTGGGTTTTTTTTAAATCCTATCAAATTTAATAAGGACATATCCTACAGCTAGTTATCACTTAAATCTTATTATTTGGTCATTTAGACAAACCGAGGACAGATTAATCCTTTCTTTGATGGCGTTAAGGCCTTTAAATGTCAGTGTAAACTTAAGTACATGGGATGCAGAGCTGTGAGGCATGTGGTATTAAAGGGTTAATCAGATCATTTAGTCCATGAAGCTCCTTTGAGTGCTTTAGCTGGAAAGAAAATGAATGGTTTAGAAATGCTATACTATGAGACAAGTTATAAGTATTATTGTACTGGAAATTTGCAAGACTGCTTCATAAAAATCTACATTGCTCTCCACTATTCATCTTACTATTACAATATGAGAGGGATTTGCTCATGTATTGGACTGTTGCACAGAAAGGTATAATTAATCTGTGTTACAGTAGATCTGTACCTTTCTTATATTTCGTTTTGTGCTTTCTGTTGGCTGCTGGATAGCTGACAAGGTGCTTTCAAAATCTTGGAGGAAAATATTTTTAATAGTCACAAGAAGTTAAGATTTTCAATGCACAAGAGCTCTTTCAAATTAATTAAAAACCTTCAATATAAAAAGTAAAGGATAGAAACACATAGTTCACAGAAGAAGAAATACAAATGGATGGGTTTTTAAAATGTTCCACTCCAGTAGTAATCATACTCAGATTTTAAAAACAAGCAAACTTTTTAAAGATAATGAATACCTCTTGTCTAGGTGTGATAAAAGTACCAGTCAATGAGCTTAGATAAGAAGATGAAATGAGAAATAAATATTGGAAAAGAGACATCATTTTCATTATATGCAGATAAGCTGTGCCCCAGGAAAACAGAGAGTCATCTGTGAAATAATCAGAAGCAATGAGGAAATTAAAATGAGTATTTACATGATATGTAGAACTGTTATGGGTTGAATTATGTTACCCAAAAAGATATGTTGAAGCCGTAACCCCCAATGCCTCAGGATGGAACCCTATTTGGAAACAGGTCCTTGCAGAAATAGTTAAGATAAGGTCTTAACTTACTAGAATAGGGTGGGCCTTTAACCCAGTATGACTGATGTTATGAGTAAGAAGACACTGTGAAGACATAGTGAGAAGGCTATATGACAACAGAGTTATGCAGCCTCAAGCCAAGTACCACCAACATGACACCAGAAGCTAAGAGAAAGGCAGGGAACAGATTCTCCCCCAAGAGCCTTCGAGGGCATGTCCTTGCAGACACCTTGATTTTGGCTTCTAGCCTCCAGAAATGTGAGACAATAGTTCGTGGTACCTTGTTACAGCAGTCCTAGAAAACAAATACATAGAACCCAAAAGCTTTTCTGTATGCCAGCAGTAGCCAAATATAATTGAAAAAAGGATTTCCAGTGAGAGTCAAAAAGACATTTAAAAAGAATGACTTGTACTGTATATGGAGAGTTAATATTGTGAAAATGTGAATTCTCTCTATGTTAATCTGTAAATTCAATGAAATAAAGCACAGAAGGGCTTTAGCAGAGGGGAGAATTTGAGGAAATGGTTCTAAAATCCAATTAAAATTTTTTTAACAGGCAAGAATGACTGCCGGGGATGGGATCTGAAAAAGAATAGTGGTAAGAGGGAACTACCTCTGCTCACTAGTAAAACTTTGTTAAGTTACAATAATTCAATGTATGGTAAAAGAAGAGAAGATCAAACAATAAGAGTCCAGAAGCAAACCCAAATTTATATGAATATAAATTTAGTATATGATAAAGGCTATTTCAGATCCTTGGGGGAAAAATATGGAGCTGGATCTCTATTTCACCTCTCACACCAAAATGCATCTCAAATGAATCAAAAATTTCAGTATAAAATGGAAAAGAAAATGTAGAAGAAAACACTGGTGAATCTAATAGACTAACAATTTTTAAGTTGATATACAATGAGGGTATAGGGAAATGGAAAATGAAACACACTGTTGGTGAGAATATTTTAAAGATGGCAATTCTCCACAAAGTAACATATATCTGTAATACAAGAAGTATTAAACTTATAAAGAGAAAAATAAGTGGTGAGACTGTTCAAGAATTGAGACAGAGTCTCCCTCTGTAGCCCAGGCTGGAGTGCAATGGTGCGATCTCGGCTCACTGCAACCTCCGCCTCCCGGGTCCTGGTTCAAGCAGTTCTCCTGCCTCAGCCTCCCCGAGTAGCTAGGATTACCGGCATGCACCACCACGCCCAGCTAATTTTTGTATTTTTAGTAGAGACGGGGTTTCGCCATGTTGGCCAGACTGGTCTTGAACTCCTGACCTCGTGATCCGCCCTCCTCGGCCTCCCAAAGTGCTGGGATTACAGGTGTGAGCCACTGTGCCCGGCCAAGAAAATCTTAAAAATGGAGAATTGGTGAGGGAGAAAGAGGATAAATGTAGGAGGCATTGCAGTTGGGTATTTGAAATTTAAAACTCCTGCATGTAAAACAGTGAAACTGGCATGAGATTGAACTGTCAGAATAAAGTAGAAAACCCACACCATACCCGAATATATATCAATACATAAATATCTGATAGAGGTGGCATCTTAAGTTCGTGGTAAAAGGATGGATAATTCCCATTCCAATAAATAGAAAAGTCAGTTCTTGAGAAAAATAAAAATAGATTTGTCTCACCTCACACAATAAAATAAAGCTTAAATAGATTAAAGAATTTATGCAACAAATATTTCTCAAACCTTTTATTAGCTAGGCATTATTCTGGTCCTGGGATGCAGTAGTGAGCAAGACAGACACAGATCTTTGCTTTTAAGGAGCATACAACTCACAGAGGTTGATAATAAATAAGCAAGAAGATATCGGAGGCATGTTCTGTGCATAAAATGAAAACAAGCTGGTGTGATAGAGAACAACCAGATGATGAGGGAAGGCCTTTCTGAAGAGATGTTTAAGCTAGGCTCTGATTCAGAACCTCAACAAAGAGAAGTGGACTGCAAGCAAAAGAAAAGCTACTCTGACGCCTAAGACAAGAAAAGGCTGGGTGAGTTCAAAGAAAGGAGACCAGTGAGGCTAGAGTTAAGTGAATGATGGGGAAAGTAGTACATGAATTTTTAGGACTTTGTAAACCAAGGAAAGAAATTAAGGTTCTATTCTAATGAGAAGCCACAGATTTTAAGCAAGAGAGTGAAATGGTTTAATTACAGCATTGTTTAAAGATCCTGTGGCTCTTAGAAACTGAGTCATAGGGGGCAAAAATGAGAGCAGAGAAAGGCTTCTGTAATAGTACAGAGTTAAATGTAAGAAATAAAACGTAAAAAACCAAGAATATTTTACTTAAGATTTAATCTGCAAATGGAAAATCAATTTCTAAAAATATAAAGACTACATTTTGTTGAACAAAAAATTGTGAATGTCTTTTTCAAAATAGAACTAACTAAATTACATAACAAACATCAGACTAGGATAAAAGATTAAGGATTTTAATAGGTAATTAATATTTTTAATATATTAGAAACAGGCATGGTGCCTCACACCCATAAACCCAGCACTTTGGGAGGCCAAGGCAGGAAGATTGCTTCAGCCTAGGAGTTTGAGGCCAGCCTGGGCAACATAGTGAGATCCCATCTCTATTAAAATATATATATGTGTATATACATACTATATATATGAAGATAGATCAGTTACTTTTAATTCGGCCATCCCCTTCTCTGTAGCCAAAGTTATATCTAGTTCTTTTTATTGGGAATTCTTAGGAAAAACTCACTTATTGAATTCTTCTCAAATCTTTTTCCTTTTTTAATAAGCTCAAAAGACATGAGTCTTCCATTTTTGTCCTCCAGCGCCTCACTAAACATCACCCACGCACACTGTCCGCACCTGTCCTCATTCCCTTTCGTCTGCCAGCACACACAAATCTTAGGGAACCTTATGGTTTCTGTTTTGTAGTCTGAAGGGAGTAGCACAGTAAGGCCAATTGGATACAAGTAAAAGCACATCGGCTGGTATTACATAGTGCTTTACATGTCTGCATGTGCCTGAGCCATCATGGAGAACAGTTGAGTATACAGTGATTAAGAGCCCTGATTCTGGAGCCAAACAACTTGAATTCAAATCTGCTTAGCTGTATGACTTCATGATTCAGCAAGTTACTTAATTTCCAAAATAAAACCTGCTGGTAAAGCAAAGCCAAAAGAAAAAGAAAAAAAGAAAAAAAGAAAAGCCATCAGAGGATGAATGTTTTTAATAAATTTAAAAAGCTCTAACCACCCAACCTAGATCAAGAAAGCAGGCACAACTGCTCCTGCTTCCACCACTGGCAACCAGCTCTGGTGAGATAAGTATCCCAGGACATGGGTATCTACCCAGAGGAAGCGAGGGGAGCGCTTGAAATGGAATTTTGAACTAATTATCATGGGAGCAAGCTGAACATTCTGAAAGCATCTGGTATCTGCCAGAGGATGGACTCAGTGAAGAAACGGAGAGAAAAATTAAGGGCAGTTTTAGAAATTAGTCTACTTGGCCAGGCGCGGTGGCTCATGCCTGTAATCCCAGCACTTTGGGAGGCCAAGGGGGTGTGGATCACGAAGTCAGGAGTTTGAGACCAGCCTGGCCAAGATGGTGAAACCCCCGTCTCTACTAAGAATACAAAAAATTAGCTGGACGTGGTGGCACGTGCCTGTAGTCCCAGCTACTCAGGAGGCTGAGGCAGGAGAATCACTTGAACCCAGGAGGCGGAGGTTGCAGTGAGCCGAGATCACGTCACTGCACTCCAGCCTGGGCGACAGAGCAAGATCTCATCTTAAAAAAAAAGAAAAAAGAAAGAAAGAAATAAGTCTACTTATTTAAAAATCTCTTTAAAAAACAAACAAAAATAATGTTACAGGTGTGTAAGAAAAGGCAAACATCCCATTAGGAAAAAAAAACAGCAAATAACATGAATAGTCAATATGTAAAAGGAGTACAAATTGCCAACAAATATATGAATGTTTATGGTCAACCTCATAAATAAGTAAAGAAATGCATATTTGAACAATGAGATTACCCTACCTTCCAGTCAATTTGACAAGGAATTTTAAAAATTCTTATATAAACATGGGAAATTTGGGGTAACAGACACTTCAGCACACCGTGGTAGAAGTAGAAATAAGCAATAAGAATATAATGCCTTGCTGGGCGCAGTGGCTCACGCCTGTAATCCCAACATTTTGGGAGGCCAAAGCAGGCAGATCACTTGAGGCCAGGAGTTCAAGACCAGCCTGACTAACATGGTGAAACCTCGTCTCTGCTAAAAATACAAAAATTAGCCAGGTGTGGTGGCAGGCATCTGTACTCCCAGCTACTTGGGAGGCTGAGGCAGGAGAATTGATTGAACCAGGACCCGAGAGGAAGAGGTTGCTGTGAGCTGAGATGGCGCCACTGCACTCCAGCCTGGGTAACAGAGTGAGACTTTGTTTCAAAAAAATAAAAATAATGCCTTAAACATGTGCATTCCCTAAAACCATTAGGTGAAATACTAATGACAAACGATATGAACGGTTTAGGCTGATAAGAGCTAAACCCTCTGATTGATTTAACGTCACTAAAACAGTGACAGCCAGACACTACAGGACTCCTAATGAGCTGCAATACAAAGAACACAGTACTGTCTCTGAAGTACTTTTGCCTAAGTGTCAAACCTGAAACTGGTCAAACCTCTGGCTCTAACTACCAGTGTATAGGAAATGCTGAGGGCAGAGGAATATATTAAATGACACCACCAGGATGTGGAAATTCTCCAGAAAAAAAGACATAGTTTTTTCAATAAATTCAAGTAAATAAATATGTGGACCTTGTTTGGACTCTCAACTTGTTCAAATACTTTTTAAAAAAAATGTGTGAAACAATTGGAGAAATTTGAACAGTTACTAATTAATCGATGATGTTAAAGAATTAATGTTAATTTATTAGGTGTGGTAATATTATTGTGATTATGTTTGTGGGGGGAAAAGAAAGGTCAAGGGGTGATATGGTTTGGCTGTGTCCCCACCCAAATCTCAATTTGAATTGTAGCTCCCATAATTCCCACGTGTTGTTGTGGGAGGGACCAGGTGGGAGATAATTTGAATCATGGGGGCAGTTTCCCCCATATTGTTCTCGTGGTAGTGAATAAGTCTCACGAGATCTGATGGGTTTATCAGGGGTTTCCGCTTTTGCGTCTTCCTCATTTTCTCTTGCCGCTGCCAGATAAGAAGTGGCTTTCGCCTCCCACCATGATTCTGAGGCCTCCTCAGCCATGTGAAACTGTAAGTCCAATTAAACCTCTTTTTCTTCCCAGTCTCGGGTATGTCTTTATCAGCAGCGTGAAAACTGACTAATAAACAGGGTAAGTGTGCCATATTTTTTAGAGATTCTGTCGAAGTGTGTATTAACTACATTACAACATGGCTGAGTTTTTCTTTCAAATAACCCAACAGGGTGTGGGATATGGAGTGGGGAGGCATAGATGAAACAAACTTGACAATGTGTTGACCACTGAAGCTCATTCATGGGTAGATATGAGTTCATCATACTCTTCTCTCTACTTTTCTATAGGTTTGTAACACTCTAAACATTGTTGATGCATACTTTTTTAAGAAAACTGTAAGGAGAGTGTAAACAAATATTTGTGACACTGGCTGCCTCAGGAGAACAGAGAAAGGAACCAGTACTGTAGAAGGGAACAGAAGGAATTTAAACTTTATCTGCACTGTTAAATTCATTCATTTTTAAAACCATTCCTGGCAGGGCGCAGTGGCTTACACCTGTAATCCCAGCACTTTGGGGAGGCCGAGGCAGGCGGATCATGAGGTCAGGAGATCGAGACCATCCTTGCTAACACGGTGAAACCCTCTCTACTAAAAATACAAAAAATACGAAAAAAAAAAAATTAGCCGGGCATGGTGGCGGGCGCCTGTAGTTCTAGCTACTTGGGAGACTGAGGCAGGACTTGAACCCGGGAGGCAGAGCTTGCAGTGAGCCGAGTGAGCCACTGCACTCCAGCCTGGGCAACAGAGCTAGACTCTGTCTAAAAAAATAAAAAATAAATAAAAAATAAACATTACTGAATATTCATTGCTCAATCTTTTCTTATCATATGACCTATGGAAAAGAAAGTTATACTTTTAATTATAGCAGAAAAGAATAAAGTAACATTATAAAATGGAAACCTTATTTTGTATAGTGCTTTATAGTTTGCAAACCTCTTTCACATTCATTGTGCAGTTTGGAACACAAATGGTATTTTCCACTTCTTCAAATCAGCCTGTGATACTTTGAAAAAAGCAGGTGGTGTTATTATGGAAACTGAGGCTTGCCAAAGGTCACAGAGATGGCACAATGAAATGTCTAATAAGTCAGCTGTGTCTGTGTAATATGAGAGAAATTCCTGTTTTATGACATTGCCATTGAGCAAGCTAACGTCCATGATTGCCTAACTCTACCATGAGTTGTTTCAAAGTAGGATGAAGAGTAAAGTGTTTAGGGCTGGGTGCAGTGGCTCATGCCTGTAATCCCAGCATTTTGGGAGGCCAAGGCAGGCAGATCACCAGAGGTCAGAAGTTCGAGACCAGCCTGGCCAACATAGTGAAACCCTGTCTCTACTAAAAATACAAAAATTAGCCGGGTGTGGTTGTGGGTGCCTGTAATCCTACTCAGGAGGCTGAGGCAGGAGAATCACTTGAACCTGGGAGGCAGAGGTTACAGTGACCTGAGATCGCGCCACTGCACTCCAGCCTGGGTGACAGAGAGAGACTCTGTCTAAAAAAAAAAAAAAAAAAAAGTAAAGTGTTTAAATAAAATAAAGAAAATATTTTTTCAAGTTTTTCAAGTAAGAATTTCTTAAGACACAAAAAAGTGAAATACTCAAAGAAAAAATTGATCAATTTGACATGAAAAAAACTACAGAAGGGAAAGACTAGTCACAAACTGGAAAAATATATTTATAATACATCTAACAAAAGATTGGTATCTAGAATATATGCATAAATCACTAAAAACCAAAAGGAAATAGCTTAATAGAAAAATAGGCAAAGAACACAAGGTGGCATTTCACAAAAGAGCCAGAAAATGATCAATAAATACTTCAAAGGAACACTTACTTCATTTGTAATCAAAGAAAGTTACAAGATAGGTGCTTTGTGCAATACTTATGTAGAAATGAGACGTAAAAGTTACTACACAGTTATAAATGCATATTTCATGTTCCAATAATAGTAAGGTGTTACCCTCTTTTGAACTGCCAAGACTCCCCCACCCTTTTTTAAAGATTTTTTTTTAGAGGAGTTTTAGGTTCACAGCAAAATTGAGTGGAAGGTACAGAGATTTCCCATACACTTTCTGACCCCACACATGCACAACCTCCCCATCATCAGCATTCCACCAGAGTGGTACATTTGTTACAACTGATGAACCTACCTTGGCACATCATGATCATCAAAAATTCATAGTTTAAGCTGGGCGCAGTGGCTTATGCCTGTAATCCCAGCACTTTGGGAGGCTGAGGTGGGCAGATCACTTGAGGTCAGGAGTTTGAGACCAGCCTGGACAACATGGTGAAACCCTGTCTCTACTAAAAGTACAAAACTCAGCCAGGCATGGTGTGCGCACCTGTAATCTGAACTACTCAAGGGGCTGAGGTAGGAGAATAGCTTGAACCCGTGAGGCGGAGGTTGCGGTGAGCCAAGATCGTGCCACTGCACTCCAGCCTGGTTTACAGAATGAGACTCCATCTCAAAAAAAAAAAATTTCATAGTTTACATTAAGGTTCACTTTTGGTGTTGTACATTCTATGTGTTTGGACAATGTTATATATCCTTCACTATAGTATTGTACAGAGCATTTTCACTGCCCTAAAAATCCTCTGTGCTTCAGCTATTCATCCTTCCTCCATCCCCTCTGCAACCCCTGGCAATCACTGATCTTTTTATTGTCTTTGTATTTTGCATTTTTCAGAATGCCATATAATTGGAATCATATAGTATGTAGCCTTTTCAGATTCACTTCTTTCACTTAGTAATATACTTTTAAGTTTCCTCCATGTCTTTTCATAGCACTGAAGGAAATTCACTGTCTGGCCAGGCATGGTGGCTCATGCCTGTAGTCCCAGCACTTTGGGAGGCTGAGGTGGGCAGATTGCTGGAGCCCAAGATTTCAAGACCAGCCTGGGCAATATGAAAACCCATCTCTACAAAAAAATACAAAGATTAGCCGGGCGTGGTGGTGCACACCTGTAGTCCTAGCTACTTGGGAGGCTGAGTTAGAAGGATCACTTGAACCCAGGAGACTGAGGCTGTCTTGAGCTGAGACTGTGCCACTGCACTCTAGTCTGGGTGACAGAGCAAGACTCTGTCTCAAAAAAAAAAAAAAAAAAAGAGAAAGAAAAAAGAATGAAAAGAAGATTTACTGTCTGGTTGTATTATAGTTTATTTATCCATTCACCTACTGAAAGACATATTGGTTGCTTCCAAGTTTTGGCAATTATGAATAAAGCAACTAAAAACATTTATGTGCAGGTTTTTGTTTGGACATAAGTTTTCAACTCCTTTAGGTAAATACCAAGGGGTGTAATTGCTGGATCATATGGTTAAGAGTATGTTTAGTTTTGTAAGAACCTCCAAACTGTCTTCGAAAGAGACTGTCACATTTTGCATTCCACCAGCAACAAATGAGAATTTTTGTTCCACATCTATGCCAGCATTTGGTATTGTCAGTGTTCTAGATTTTGACCATTCTAATAGATGTGTAGTTGTAGCTCATAGTTGTTCTAGTTTGCATTTCCCTGATGACAAATGATGTGGAGCATCGTTTCATATGATTATTTCCCATCTGTATATCTTCTTCGGTGAAGTGGTTGTTAAAGTCTTTTAGCCCATCTTAAAATTGGGTTATTTGTTTTCTTATTTTTGAGTTTTAATAGTTCATCATATATTTTGGCTAACAGCCCTTTGTGAGATGTGCCTTTTGCAAATATTTTTTTCCCAGTCTGTGGCTTGTCCTTAAAATTGGGTCATTTATTTTCTTATTGTTGAGTTTTAAGAGTTCATTGTATATTTTGGATAACAGTCCTTTATCAAATATGTCTTTTGCAAATATTTTTTCCCAGTCTGTGGCCTCTCTTCTCATTATCTTGACATTGTGTTTGCAGAGCAGAAGTTTTTAATTTCAATGAAGTATAGTTTATCAATTATTTATTTCATGGATCATGACTTTGTTCTTGTATCTAAAAAATCAACACCAAACCCAAGGTCATCTAGGTTTTCTCCTTTGTTAACTTCTAGAAGTTTTAAAGTTTTGTATTTACACTTAGGTCTATGATACATTTTGAGTTCATTCTTGTGAAGGGTGTAAAGTCTTTTGTGAAGGGTATAACTCTAGATTTTTTTTTTTTTTTTTTTGCATTTGGACATTTAGTTGTTCCAGCACCATCTGTGGAAAAGACCATGTTTGCTCCATGTTCTTACCTTTACTTCTTTGTCAAGATCATTTGACTATATTTATGTGTATCTATTTCTGGGCTTCTGTTTTGTTCTATTGGTCCACTTGTCTGTTCTTTTGCCAGTACCACAGTCTTGATTACTGCAGCTTTGTAGTAACTCTTGAATTGGGTAGTATCAGTCTTCTACCTTTGTCCTTCCCCTTCAACATGGTGTTAGTTATTCTGGGTCTTTCGGTCCTCTATATAAACTTTAGCATCAGGCCAGGTACAGTGGCTCACGCCTGTAATCCCAGCACTTTGAGAGGCCGAGGCCAGTGGATCACCTGAAGTCAGGAGTTCCAGACCTGGCCAACGTGGTGAAACCCTATCTCTACTAAAAATACAAAAATTAGCTGGGCATGGCGGCAGGTGCCTGTAATCCCAACTACTCGGGAGGCTGAAGCAGGAGAATCACTTGAACCCAGGAGGTAGAGGTTGCAGTGAGCCGAGATCATGACATTGCACTCCAGCCTGGACAACAAGAGTGAAACTTCATCTCAAAAAAACAAACAAAAAAAAAACATTTAGAATCAGTTTGCTGATTCTTACAACCTTAGGTTATAATTTTTGAGGTGACATGTTCTCTGATAAACATCACTTATTTCTGCATATTTAGTGTTCCTTCCCACAGGAGAATTGTACACACTTCGTTTTTGAAGTCAGGTGTGGCCATGTGACTTGAATAATGTGCTGAGATTTGTCTGTGATTGCACTGACTCTACAGATCAAGTTGGGAAGAACTAACATCTTGAGAATATTGTCTTCCTATCCATGAATCTCAAATGTCCCTCTATTTATTTAGATCTTATATTTCATTCACAAAAATTATATAGTTTTCCTCATATAGATCCTATACATATATTGTTAGATTTATTCCTAAGCATTTCATTTTTAAGGAGTGCTAATATAAATGATAATGTGTTTAAAATTTCAAATTTCACTTTTTCATTGCTGGTATATAGGAAAGCAGTAGACTTTTTTATATTAACCTTGTATTCTGAAGTTTTTCTATAATCACTTTTTACTTTCAGGAAGTTTTTCTTTGTCAATTCTTTTGGGTTTTCTACATAGACAATCACCTGATCTGTGCATAGACAGTTTTATTTCCTCCTTCCCAATCTGTATACCTTTTATTTTATTTTCTTGTCCTATTGCATAAGCTAGAACTTCCTTTGTGATGTTGAAGAGTAGTGGTGAGAGGTGACATTCTTGCCTTGTTCTTGATCTTCATGGGAAAGCTTCCAGTTTCTCACCATTAAGCATAATGTTAGCTATAGGTTTGTCATGGATATTCTTTTATCAAGTTAGGAAGTCTTCCTCTATTCCTCTCTTAATAGTAACTCTCTTATTGAGAGTTTTTATCATGAATGAATGTTCGATTTTGTCAAATGATTTTTCTGCATCCATTGATATGATCATGTGAATTTTCATTTTTAGCCTGTTGATGTGATGGATTACATTAATTGATTTTTGAATGTTGAGCCAATCTTGCATACCTGGGATAAATCCTGTTTGGCTGTGGCATATAAGTCTTTTTACACATTATTGAATTCTATTTGCTAATATGTTGTTGAGGATTTTTGCATCTACTAATATGTTCATGAGTGATATTGACCTGTAGTTTTCTTTTCTCATAATGCCTTTGTCTGGTTTGTTATTAGGGTAACGCTGCCTTCATAGAATGAGTTGGGAAGTATTCCCTCGGCTTTTATCCTCTGAAAGAGATTATAAAGAATTGGTATAACTTCTTCCTTAAATGTTTGGCTTAATTGTCCACTGAACTCATCTGGGCCTGGTGCTTTCTGTTTTTGAAGGTTATTAATTACTGATTCAATTTCTTTAATAGATATTGACCTATTCATATTTTCTGTTTTTTCTTATATGAGCCAACCCTTTTTTAATTTACAAATATCTCTTTCCTTAGGTTATAATTTTTGAGGCAACACGTGCTCTGATAAACGTCACTTATTTATGCATATTTAGTGCTGCTTCCCACCGGAGAATTGTACACATCCATTTTTGAAGTCAGGTGTGGCCATGTGACTTACTTTGGCCAATGAAATGGGTGTAGGTAACAACAGTCACCTCTGAGCAGAACCTTTAAGATTTAACACATAGTCCTCCATGTTTTCTCATCCCTCTGCCTGATACCTGGCAATGTGCTACGAAGAGGCTGCTCCATTAGCCTAGGCCCTAGGGAAGAGAGCATGTAACACAATAATGGACATGTAATTTGAGCAAGAAATAAACCCTTGTTGCTCTAAGCTTCTGAGATTTTAAGTTGTTTGTTACTGCAGCATAACCTAGCCTGTCTTGACTGATACGCCTTTCTTCACTCAATTCTAAAAAACAAGATCGACTCTCATTTAACCCTGTTTTGTTATAAACATTTCCCTTTGGACTATACATTGTCATTAAAGGTGTCAACTGCCACTATATTTACTACTGGACACCCCTATCAAGCCCATAAAAGAAAGACAAATCTGTTTTCTGTAGCTCTAGAAAAATTCCTGAAGTTCACCATGATTGAACCTATTTAGAAAACACATGGCCATACTTAAACTAGTTCCTATGGCTGGAGTAATGTAACATCCTTGTTAGCCTGAGCCTGGGTTATGACTGATTCTTGAGTCAATTTCTGTGGATAAAGGAATGAGATACACTGAGAGCTTAAATCGACCAAAGGGCCACCCCTTAATCTAGGGCTGGGTGAGGTCCGTATAAATCTTAGTGTTTTATGCTCAGTTGTACCAGGCAGCCCACATGCCTGGTACCAGCACCAGAGGGAGCAGAGTAGACCCCATTCACACTGAATGTTCATGATTTGTTTCGAGCTCTCTGGTAGCTCCTGGAAGAACAGCCAAAGGGCTTGCCTTCATCTTTCCTAATTCAGAACTCCCCCAGTGCTAAAGCAGCCACTGGCATTTGTGGTGACCAGGCGGGCATGAGGGAACTTTTGAGCATGATGTGGAAGTTCACTTTCTTGATTGTGGTCATGGTTTCACAGGTTTCTCCACATGGTAAAATTTATCAAATTGTACATTTCAAGCATGTACAATTCAAGTTTATTGTATGTTAATTATACTTCAAAATAGCTGCTTTTTAAAGAACGGATGTTAGGCAGTTTTCACCACTGGGAGGCCTGAAAGACTAGGCTCAAGCTTACGCAGTTAAGAGCAATCCCCGAATGAAGACTCAGAACAGGTCCTGATAGGGCACTATGCCCGTTAGTACTGCCTACATGGCTACCTCTGGGCACTGGACACAAGCAGTGCCTCTCTGCCATGGCTGTTCCGGGGACTCAGTCTGGCCGCTGCCGCCATCATAAACAGAGAAAGCACTGCATTACCCTCCTTGCTCTGCAACACCGGCTCCCATTTCAGTCCAGGGTGAGTGTGTCTGATAGGTGGAGCTTAGGACATGGGTTCACGCCCTCGCTTTGGCAAGTGAGGCTTGGGAAAGCAACTTTTCGACATTTTTCTGCTTCTATCATGTGATGTAGGCTCTGCCTCTAGAGCACTTGTGGGTAGATGGTGGGAAATGGGTATTCAGATGCTGAAAAGGACAACTGAAAGGCATGCATGATAAGAGTTTTCAGATAGGAATAAAGTTGCCTGGGGTGCCTATGGAGAAGACAGGGAGGAGGAGCCTTGAAGGATGGCGGGGTGTAATTATGGAAGGCAAGAAGTTCCAATGGTGCTGGGGAAGAGCTGTGCGTCTAAGAAGGGGGTTGAGAAAGGTAACAAACTTTCTGGCCTGTGTGAGTGGAGGTCTGGCTGGACTCAGGAGTCATGGTGGGAAGCTAAGTTGGACCAATAGTCCGGCCAGATATGAAGGATCTTGAAAGCCAAACAGGAGCTTGAAACTTAGGTGGCACAGGCAATGTGGAGACTCAGTCAGACCTTCTTAAGCAGCAATGTCTCTCTAGTGTTTGAGTGATTCAGTCATTTATTCATCAAATCTTGAGTGTGCAAGGTAGTGGGAATAGAATAATGAATAAAGGAAGTACAGTCTCTGTCCTCAAGCAATTCCAGTTTAGTGGAAAAACAAACAGCAGACAAGCAAATACAATACATTGTGGAGACAGAAGAAGAAAGCCCTAGGGGCTTTAGGAGATGCAGGGATGGGGACATTCAATGTCAACTATGGGTGATAGGGAAGGCTTCCTCAGGGAAGTGAGATTTCAGTTGAGACCGAAACATTCCAGTGAAAGGAAACAAACCGCTTGGATTCCCACCCTCAAAGCTCACCCCAAGGTTTCATAAATGGGATATAGATTATTAGTTTTGTGTTTCAGAGCATGGACCTTGGAGTGGCACCGTTGGGCCCCAAGCCCTACTCTGTCATTCATGAGCTATGTGAACTTGGACAATTGACTTCATTTGAGCCGTAATTTCCACAGATGCAGAAGCAGAATGATAACAGGCCCGTCCTCATAGGATGTAGTATCTATGGCACTTTATATCAAGCCTCACACACAGTAAGTGCTTTCATCAGCCGGGGCCCCACCAGGAAAACAGAAACCAAAAATTACAAAGCCATGGAATTTAATGCAGGCACGTGGTTACCTACATGATAGAAGAGCTGAGAGCCAAACAGGAGATGGTGAAGCAATCAGAGATTAGCAATAGCAGAGAGCTGCTGCCACCCCACCCTGGAGGAACAAAGGGAAAAAAAGGTTTTCTGGAGCCCAGGGTCCAGGACTGCCTGCTGCAGCTAGAATTAGGGCAGGATTGCCTGGAAGAACTGGAGCCAATCTTCTGCTCCGAGGGCGTGTTTCCACCAGCCCTGGGAAAAGGGATGGGAGTCTATTGTCAATGTGATCCGGCTGAGCTGGACAACTTGACATTGCAGAAAATTGACATTTGTTAGGTTATCTCATGGAGAAAGACAGCACTTGACATCTCCCCTGCTCCTTTTAAAAGCAAACAATTTTCTGACGAGTTATCCAGAGTCCTGGAGGTAAAGTGGACACAAGACGAAATTGAGGAAAATAATCTGTCAGTCTTTGCCTGCTCCAAACTCTCATTTTGGAGAGACTTTCCTCCTGCAGAGCAGAGACCACCTCCCTCCCCAAAACCAGCGTCTACTCCCCTGACTTCTTAGGTGTGCGGGGCCTCCAGCAGGCTGCTGACAATGCCACAGCTGGGCAGGCTTCCCAGGGAGGAGTGCCCGGTTCATCTGGTTCATGCTGGTGTCTTCCTCCCCTCTTCCCTGACAAAAGCGACTGTCAGCTCACAGCCTCTTTCTCTGACCAGAAAGCCATGAGGAAATGGAAAGGGGAGCCTACTCTGAGTCCCTGGGCACTGTGGCCTCCTTTTAAAGATCTATGGTATAAGGATCCTAGACACTGTAACTTGGCCTTGGCCGTGGTTTGGCCCTGGGGGGGTCTGGCAGCCTCCTTACCAGTGACTGCTCAGCCAGGCAGGGCAGCTAACACCACTGCCCTGATTCCTCCACTCTCCACTCCCCGCAACTCAATGCAGACCCTCCACTCCCTCCACCCCCTCCAGATTCTGGGCAGAGCACAATTTCGTTTACAGGTAAAGCCAGTTAAGGGTAGTTCTCCTCTGAATATCCAGCCTTCACATCCACTTCCACCAAAGACAGAGATAGACATCCCAGAAGCAGTGGGAAAATTATGACTAAGAATAAAAGCCGCATGTTTCTGTTAGGGGAAAGGCTACATTGAAAATGAAATAGTTAAATTGTTTATAAATAGGCAGGGAAGTTAGCAAACACTTGAGTGAGGCAATAGCTTGTCCCATAGACAAAATAAAAGAGGAGCAGTAGTCACATACTGATTTCTAACATGAACACAGAGTTAGAACCTGTTCATCCATTCATGACACAACCGTTCATTCAACACCTGCTGTGTGCCAGGCACCATGCTAGGCTCTGGGGATACAAAATGGAGAAGCTCGTGACCCCGTAACTAACCGTTATAGCAGTAGTGGACCAAGTGGTGTGAGAAAGATTTGATAAGGTCCTATGGGAGCCCAGAGGAAGGGGCCAACAGGAACCTTTCAGTTTGGATTCCATATACTATGCCACAGCTGTCCAAGTCATCTCAAGTAGGAGGTCATATGAAAAAATCTCAGAGAGTTGTAAGAAGACTCCTGGATCCCATAGAATGTGTTTAGCTGCAGTAACAGAACACCTGACTGACACCGGTTTGAACGGCGGTGCTCCTCACCACTAGGGAGGTCTGGCAATGGGTGGTCCTGAGCTCAGTCCAGCAGTTTATTGATGTGATTGAGGGCTCAGGCTGTCTGGACCTTTTTGGCATTCACATTTTCAGACTGTAGGGACTGTCTTCCTTCTGGCACCAAGACAGCTGCTGCTACTCTGGTGGGCAAGTCATCTACATTTTTTTGGATCTCCATCTCTCTTCCATAAAATGAGGGATGTGATTAAATCATGAGGAAGGGCTGGGTGCGGTGGCTCATGCCTGTAATCCCAGCATTTTGGGAGGCCAAGGCCAGGGGTTTGAGATCAGCCTGGCCAACATGGTGAAACCCCATCTCTGCTAAAAATACAAAAATTAGCAGGGCGTGGTGGCGTGCACCTGTAATCCCATCTACTCAGGAGGCCGAGGCCGAGGCCGAGGCAGGAGAATCACTTGAACCTGGGAGGCAGAGGTTGCAGTGAGCCGAGACCATGCCACTGCGTTCTTTTCAAAAAAAGAAATCGTGAGTAAGACCCCTTTTGGACCTAGCTGTCTATTATACCAACTGCTACCCTGGGGTGATAATTTAACAC
The DNA here is from genome assembly GCF_000001405.40 of Homo sapiens. Taxonomy (NCBI): domain Eukaryota; kingdom Metazoa; phylum Chordata; class Mammalia; order Primates; family Hominidae; genus Homo; species Homo sapiens. The sequence goes on along the minus strand of NC_000005.10, from coordinate 77,670,158 downwards.
AACAGTCCTCACGCTTGAGTGTTCATCATACTCACCTGGAGGTTTAATTAAAACACAGAATTTCTGATTCAGTAAGTCTGGAGTGGGGCCTGAGAATTCACAAGCTCTAACAAATTCTAACTTCTAACAAGTTCCCAGATGTTGCTAAAGATGCCAGTGCAAGGGTCACACTTTGAGAAGCACTGGTGTCACCTCTAATGTGTTAGTTTCCCCAAACTGTAAAATGAAGATGTAGCTATTCAGGAGAGAGCTTATCACTCCTGGCTAATTGCCAAAATCCTTCCATGAGGTTTGTAAAAATGCAGATTGTGGGGCTGCATCCCTGGAGATTCTGATACAGTGGATCTGGGCCTGGGCCCAGGAATAGGACTTGTATTAAATACCCCCCGGGTGAGTATCATGATTTACCAAGTCTGGGGGTTACAAAATTAGATCATCTTTAAGATGCTTCTAGCTCCAACTTCTAAAAGCAAGCTCACCAGTTACAGCAAACTGAGCAGTCAAAAAGGAAACATAACCACAAAGGATGTAGTATTTTCACCATCCTTCCCAATTTTGTAGACATCTGTGGATCGATGTTTGTTATTCATTTAAACATCTCCCCATGCTGGGGGGAAGAAGCTGGAAATTACTATACTAGACACTGTAATAATCTTTCAAGGAGGACTAAAAAATCACAACTCCAAAAAGCGTTTTCTCCTCCCCTCTTTCTGGAAGCATATAATCTCTCCAGTCTTAATTCTTTTAGCATGTATCTATATTAACATTATTAGTTTCTTATGTATGTATTACTTGTTTTTTAATCAATATATTACATGGATAGAGTTTTTTTAAAAATCAAATATTAAAAGGTTGCAAAACACAGCAGACTCCCACCATCCTCTCAATCTCGCTTCCCAGAGCCACATTTAGCTCTTCTGTCTGCTGCTTCTGGTATTTACTTCCATATTTCTTATAAAAATCACTTATAGGAATCAAGGCTTATGCTGCTTGATTCTTGGTTTCTCCATGCTTAGCAACATTTATCAACTTCCCATGATAACTGAGGATCTCATTCTCTTAAACCTATTAGTGTACTATGATTATATGTTTGATTTCTCACATGATTATTTTCCTCATATTTAATAATAGCCTCAATATTTTTCATTTTAATTTTCTGCAAATCCGTCACTAGGCTGGGCACGGTGGCTCACACCTATAATCCCAGCATTTTGGGAGGCTGAGGTGGGTGGATCACCTGAGGTCAGAAGTTCGAGACCAGCCTGAACAACATGGTGAAACCCCTTCTCTACTAAAAATACAAAAATTAGCTGGGCATGGTGGCAGGTGCCTGTAATCCCAGCTACTTGGGAGGCTGAGGCAGGAGAATTTCTTGAACTCGGGACTGAGGTTGCAGTGAGCCAAGATCGTGCCATTGCACTCTAGCCTGGGCAACAGAGTGAGACTCTGTCTCAAAAAATAATAATAAATAATAAATAAATCCATCATTAACTTTTTCCAAATGCTTCAATAAATTTGTCAAACAATGGGTGAATTAATTTTTCCAAATTTTTAAGCATTACATTAGTGTTTTGATACAGAGCCCTCCCTCCTGGAGCCTCCATTCTCTTCTGGCCCCACCTGGAATTGGGAGCAGCGCTCTGCCACACGCTTGTCCTCCTGATGGTGTCCTTTTTTTGCCTTGTAGTGAGCCCTCTTTTTCCAGAATCCCATGTCTATGTGCTTTTTGCTCTTTCTGGAATTCTGTTATACAGATATTAGACCTTCTGGACTGATCTTCTATATATGTGCTGTCCAATATGATAGCCCCTTGCCACTTTGGTCATTGAACATTTGAAACATATATTATCAAAATTGAGGAATGTTGTAAGACTGGGTAGGACAAAAAGATTGTAAATATTTTGTTAATAATTGTATGTTGATTACATGTTGAAATGATATGGTCTCAGATTTACTGGGTTAAATAGAATATATTATAAAAATTAATCCTGTTTATTCCTACCTTTTTAATGTGGCTAATAGAAAAATTAAATTACAAATGCAGCTTGTAATGTATTCCTATTGCGTAGCACGCTCGAATATATATTATCTTTTCTATTTTTCCATCTCTTTATTCTGTTTTCTGGGAAATTTCATTAATTTCACCTTCCAAGCCTTCTACTAAACTTTCCGTTTCATTTCAGTGTTCATCTTTTTAATTTCCAAGAGTATTTTTGTTGATCTCTCATCCTTCCTTTTACATACCATTTTACACTTAGTTTATGAATGCAGTGTTTTCTCATCTCTCTGATTTTGTAATTCTAGTTCTCCTGACATTTTATTCTGCAATCTGCACTATTCTAGTATGTTACAGCCTGCCTCATTCTCTTGATTTGGTCTCTATCTTTCACCTCGGAGGCTTTCCTCAACCATTTAAAGCTTCCTGTTCATATTCAAGAGGCACCAAAAAGCTTCCAGGAATGCTGTGTGCACTGGTGGTCTTTATTATGAGTTGACGAGGTGGAAAACTAAACTTTCTTTGAGAGACACCACGACTACTCCCCAAGTGTCAGTTATGGAGTCTTTTTCTCTGGCTCTGTACTTTTTTGTTTCTCTAGAGAAGAATCCTCCAGGCTGCTGTCTTGGTAAGTAGTTGGGGAAGGAGACTGGCATTTTAGGAATGGGAAAGACAGATTGGGAGCTAAGTGTCCATTTTTCACTTAATTCCACTATTTTCAGTGCCTGTTCATCCCTGGCCTCTCTGATAGTTTCCAAATTCAGATTGCCTCTCATTCAATTTATCTGGAGAATAAACTTTCTACTTCTTGGCAAGGTTGAGGTAGTCACCTGAGTGGGTGCCAGGGTTGAAAAGGGGATGTGTCTTATTCCAACTGTGAGCTCCTCTATCGTGCTGTAGGGTGAAGGGTTTCACTTCTTTTTGGCAAGAAAAATTACTTACCCCTGTAAGTACTTGGGTTGTAACTTTCTCTATTCTGCTAAGTCAGTTACCACTGCTCTTTCTGTTTTTTCATTGTTAAAAAGCTGTTTAAGTCTTTCATCTACTGTTGCCTCCTGTCCTGTTGTTGTCCTTGTGAGTGATTTAAAATGATTTAGTATTTTCTTCGTAGGGATTTAGTAAAGAGAGGAGATCAACGCATGTGGTCCATTTCCTTATCTGTACCTAGAAGCCCTGTTCCTATCCTGAGCTCTAGTTACTCACCAATTTTTATTTTCTCCTCTAAGATATAGCAGTTTCCTTGGGGGCAGGATCAAGGACTGCTTTATCTTTGAGTCCACCCACCACTTCCTACCTAGCATCTACCTTTGAGTTTGTACATACTAACTGCTCAACATTGAAGGAAGTCATTCATGCAAATTGTCTGTATGTTTGAATCTTATTAGTTCCCTGTGTACCTTGGGATAAGTCACTTCTCTCTGGGTCACAGGAGGAGACCAGAGGCTGTTCTCCAGATGATTCCTAAGGCCCCATTCAGCTTTAACATTCTAAGAATCCATGTGCCCAGTTTCTTTATTACTTTTGCCTGTTTGCTAGCGTAAATTATATCATCACTAGGCATCCTACGTTGTAGAGACTTGAGATTTTTTGCAAAAGAAAAAATTTTAATCCATCAAGAGAGGCAATAATTATTCCCAGTTAAGGGGCATACAATCCTTGCTCAACAGCGGTGACCAAGTGCAGTACTGAAGATAGAACAAGAATAGCAAGTGCAAAAAAGCAGTAGCTCTTCCTGGCCTAGCTGCGTGGGTCTTAACATGTGGAATGAGAGGATGAGAGAGGTGGGTTGGGTAAAGCCGTTGGAAGTTGTCTTAAAATTTTTATTTCATTTAGGTTTGGGGATACCTACAGATCAGGAGGCTATTGGCATTGAAAAGATGGTTTGTTACTTACAGTTCCCAAGAGGGTCATGCCAAACCAGGCGGGGCCGTGTGGAAAAGCACCAGGGTTGGTCAAGAGGAAGAAGGATGAAGAGGACAGAGTAGGCAAAAGCCTTTACTGTGGTTCCACGACGAGGCAGGGTGAGCACTTGAGCAGGGTTAGGATTGGATACTTTGAAGGATTTTGGCAGGCTCTGGGACAGAGGGGTGGTCGCTAAGTTGTCCAGTATCTGAGCCTGGGATGATTCGAAAAATATTGCCTCCTGGAATATAAAAGCTATGTAGAGAAGGTGGTTTAGACTAAAGGCTCTGGACTGGTTAGTTCACATATGAAAGGCACACTTCCCAGAGGATTGTTTGCTGTCTCTAAGAAATGGCTAGCCCTAGGAGAGGCAGTCTTTCCCCAGTCAGTTAGCCCGCAAATGCCAGAGCATCAAGAATTCAGAAAAGGAGAAAATATAGTTAATATCAAAGTGGTCGAAGCCTAAGATAGAGAGGTAGAGAGTCATGAAGAAGCAGGCAATAAGGCAAGAGTGAGGTGGCCCTTGGAAGAAAGAGTGAAGTCAGAGCTTATAAAAGCAAAGGCCAGGAATGCCCATGTTTGGGGAAACACCCATCATTGTGTCATCATGAATGGCAGGTAGTCAAGGTAGAATATCTTAGTAGGAGGTTTGCCTTTCTCATATAACCAGAAGTCTGGAGGTGCAGTGTAGGGCTGACGCCTCCACTCAAGGAAGTCAACCAGGATGCAGGCTCCATATCACTTCCTACTCACCGCGTTTTAGTCCACGTTGTAGCAAGAAGGCCAATTCACCTGCCAGCAGGCAGTGCATCCTAATACCAGGCAGGAATTAAGAGAAGGTGAAAAGTCAATTTCTAGCTGAGATTTCCCCTTTTTTAAATCCAGGAAACAATAGCTTTCTTACACATCCCACCCAGCAGACTTCTGCTTACATCTCATTAGCCAGAACTAAGCCCAGTGGTTTACCCCAAGAAGCAAGGGTATCTGGGGGAGGTAATTGTCCCTAACATTTACATTGCTACCCTCAAAAAAATTGAGGTTCTATTAATAAGGATGAAGGTGCGAATGGATTATACTTAGTATTGTTTGCCACAGAGGGGAAAAAGGAAATATGAGCTTGTCTCCTTCAATTAAATGAGACAAACCATATGAAGCATTTAGCACAATGTCTAGCTTATAGTGTGTGCTCAAAAAAAAAAAGTTTACTGCTGCTGCTGCTATCACAACTACTAGTACTGTTAATAAAATATATTATTGGCAGCCGGGCGTGGTGGCTGATGCCTGAAATCCCAGCACTTTGGGAGGCCAAGGCGGGTGGATCACGAGGTCAGGAGTTCGAAACCAGCCTGGCCAATATAGTGAAACCCCACCTCTACTAAAAATACAAAAATTAGCCAAGCATGGTGGCGGGCACCTGTAGTCCCAGCTACTCGGGAGGCTGAGGCAGGAGAATCGCTTGAACCTGGGAGGTGGAGGTTGCGGTGAGCCAAGGTCATGCCATTGCACTCCAGCCTGGGCAACAAGAGTGAAACTCCATCTCAAAAATAAATAAAATAAAATATATTATTGACTATGTGCAGTTGCTCACACCTGTAATCCCAACACTTTGGGAGGCCAAGGAGGGCTGATTACTTGAGGTCCGGAGTTTGAGACCAGCCTGGCCCACATGGTGAAACCCCATCTCTACTAAAAATACAAAAATGATCTGGGTATGGTTGTGCACGCCTATAGTCCCAGCTACTCAGTAGGCTGAGGCACGAGAATTGCTTGAACCCAGGAGGCAGAGGTTGCAGTGAGCTGAGATTGTGCCAGTGCACTGTAGCCTGGACAACAGTGAGACTGTCTCAAAATAAATAAATAAATAAATAAATAAATAAATAAATAAATAAATAAATAAATAAAAATTTAAAAATAAATAAAATGGGCCAGATGCGGTGGCTCATGCCTGTAATCCCAGCACTTTGGGAGGGTGAGGTGGATCACCTGAGTTCAGGAGTTCAAGACCAGCCTGACCAACATGGTGAAACCCCACCTCTATATTTAATACAAAAAATTAGCCTTGTTGGTGGCACATGCCTGTAATCCCAGCTACTTGGGAGGCTGAAGCAGGAGAATTGCTTGAAATGGGGAGGCAGAAGTTGCAGTGAGCCGAGATCGTGCCATTACACTCCAGCCTGGGCAACAAGAATGAAACTCCATCTCAAAATAAATAAATAAATAAATAAATAAATAAATAAATAAATAAATAAATAAAATGTATTATTGATTTTTCACAGTCCCATTAATTCAACCAATATTATGCACTTTTACAATATTCAGTATTTAGGTGTTGGGGATCAATGAAATCCTTGCCAGATCAATGAAATCCTTGCCTGATCCTTGCCTTCTAAGAGTTTACCATCTATGTAGACAAATACTCAATGAATTGAATGTGGTAAAAGCTTCAGCAGAGCAGCCTTGTACATTATTAGAAGTGGAAGGAACTTGAGAGAGCATGAGAAATGAATCCCTCATTTCACAGATGAGGAAAGAAGGAGCCACCAGGGAAGAGAAAGGGCTGGCAGAGTTACCCAGCTCTCTGCAGAGAGAACCAGGCCTCAAGCCAAAACCTCTTGATGCCCAAGTGGGTGCCTTTCTGACTACACTGTCCTGTTTGATACAACTTGAAAATATGAAGCTAGAGGAAGAGACTGGAATAATACACCCCTACTCTTTGGGCAGGTCATCTCGCAGAAGCATAGCCCTTGGCCCCAGAGGAAATGCCACCCACGGTAGATTCCCTGAACTCCCGGGATTGTGGTGATGTGTGTGTGCCAGCATAAAAATGAGAGTCTGTCTGAGCGACAGACAGGAGAATTCCTCTGGGTCAAGACTTTTATTCACTCTGTGATTTTTAATTAGCAATTTTGATTTTTCCAAGGATTGCATTAAATCAGCAAATGCTTCTTGCTTAACTCCCCACCCACTGATTCACTATTGGATGACACGGGTCACTAAAATGTGGAAAAAGAATGAAAATTTGGAATCCTGCTGCATGACGCAAGATCAGAGGAGGTAAAGAGCTATAAAATGTCGTTCAGAAATATTTTAGAGATATTAAATGTAGTCTGTTCACTACAATGACCACTATATTTTTTAAATTAAAGAACACTGTATTCTGCTTGGCATCAAGCATAGCATGAGCTTTTTAAAAAAATGATGAAGTTAATGAAAATCAGACTGGCTGGCAGAAAAAAATAAAGTCACATCTGGAAACAGCTGCACTAGCAATTAAATAGCATTTAATGTGACTAATATCAAAAGGGTGGGTTATTTTCCCCCTAGCATTAAGGATGCAAAATTTCAGCTTCCAAGCTACTCTATTATTTTTTGAGTCAGTGGGTGTTTAGAAGTCATTCTGATATTTATAAAGAAAAACCCCCAGTGAGTCATAGAAGGGGATTTGAGTCAGAGAAAAAAAAATGAACAAGAGCTGCACAGTTTGAATTTTGAGAACCAGCATAAATTTTACAGTTTTCCCCCTAAGCATTAACTGTTCAGTGTTTCAGTTCAGTGAAATAAAGGCCTCTTGTTTCCCATACCAATCAAGTGACCTCCTGCCTCACCATAATTGGTGGCAAACTTCAATATGCAAGCTAAAAGACCACCTAATTAAAAAGCGTAATTAATTTACATAGATCATTCAAAATGGCTAGATTAGATAGCTTATGGAGATAATGTAAAACTCTTTGAGCTGCTTTTATTGGCTTCTTTCCCTGCTGTTCCTCAGGTTCTGAATATTTTCATGGGAATGAGTTTATCAAAGTGGGAAGGGCTTGGAGGTGATGGTTTTAGCTAATCACTGTTAAACATTTAAAGCTTTGCAATTATTTTTATCAATTACCCAAGTATAAAACAACAAAAAAAATGGCCTTATCTTCCTGCTTGGTGCTGAGTGGCCTAATGTTATTAGCGAATATTTATTAAGTGCCTGTTGAGTGCAAGATGCCACTCAAAACACACAGTTATTTTTTAGTTTGCTGGTTAGAAATCACTCCTCTGGGCTAGACAGCAATTTGATTCTTCTGATCACCATGAGATGGCTGCAGAGCCCAAGAAAGATAGTGACCAAAGTTTTTTTTTTCCCCCTTTATTCATAATTCACACTGCCAAGAAATGTCCTATATTATCTACTCTGCCTTCGGCATAAACAGGATTTGACTCTGGAGTTCGGCCAATCCCCTATGTGACAACCAAGTGAACTTTCCAATGGTGAGGGAGAAGAGGTCTAATTTCTTACCTTTCTTGGTACAGAAATTGTGATCCTGTGGTGACATCCAATCATAATTTTCTTTCCCCTTACCTGGGTACCAAAAAGAGACGTTTCTTCCCAATTTACTTATGGAGCCAATATATCAGAAGATCAATCAAGCAGGACTTCTAAATGAAGAAGCTTCAGATAAGGAATTTGTGAATACTGCCTGTCTTTGGGGGAGAAGTCCAAGGACCTTCACTGTACCTTGCCAAAGAACAAGAGATAAATTATCACCCTCTCTTAATTTCATCTGGTTCTCCTGAGAAGGAAAAATTGTCACAGCATCAGATGATCTTGGGCTAACTCGATAGGATTGTCCTAACAATAACAACAACAACAAAAAAATAACAAGAGCAAATGCCTATTTTCTCCTCAACATATTTGATTATATATTATTGAGACATGAATCTTCTATATACGTCCTTAATATTTGGAGACTTTGAATCATTTGACAAGAAATACTTCCCTCCCCACGAGATAAACTATCATATTATTACTCATGGAGTGAACCCTACACTTGGGAAGCTGAATTATATAGCTTGACTGCTTACATTTAAATCCCTTATTAGCTCTTAAAATTTCACCTTTTTGTTCTGTGTAAACATAGTCCAGGTTCCACTTCACTTTCCATATGCCCCAGTTTTCTCATCAATATGCTTCAGATAATAGTGTTGTAATTAATCAACTCAAACTTTTGATATAATCAGAATAATAGCAAATATTATCTATAATAGCAGTTCTCAGACATCGTTACATGTTAGCTCTCTTAGAGAGTTCAAAAATAAAAATCCAGATGCCTAGGCTGCATCCCAGTCCAACTAAATCAGAATTTCTGGGAGAAGGAACTCAAATATCAGTATTATTTCCTATGTGACTGAGCAATAAAAGTTTATTGTTATATGCCTCTGAGTTTTGGACTAGTTTGTTATGCAGCTTCATTGTGATTGTAGCTCTCTGATACACTCACTCATTCATTCTTTTATCTTCTCTGTGTTGCCATAAAGAAATACCTACAGCTGGGTAGTTTATAAGGAAAGAGGTTTAATTGGCTCATGGTTCTGCAGGCTGTACAAGAAGCATGTCACCAGCATCTGCTTCTGGTGAGGGCCTCATGGCAGAAGGTGAAGGGAGAGCCAGCATGTCACATGGTAAGAGAAAGAGCAAGAGGGAGAAAGGGGACGCCCAGATGTTTAAACTAGATCTCATGTGAACTAACTGAGAACTCACTCATCACCAAGGAGATGGCACTAAGCCATTCATGAGGGATCCATCACCATGATCCACTCACCTTCCACCAGGCCCCACCTCCAACATTGGAGATTACATTTCAACATGAGATTTGGAGGGGACAAATATCTAACCATATCACTGGTTGACCATCTACTGTGTCCCAGAGACTTTCTAGACTTTGGATAGACAGTGGAAAACAAAGATGGCCAAGGCCCTTGCCCTAATGCAGCTTAATTATTTGTGGTAGTGATGGACAAAAAATAAGTAAACAGATAGCTATATAATATCATTTCAAGTACATTTCAACTACCATTAAGAATTGTGAAAACAGAAAAAGGCAGAGCAAGATGACCAAATGGAAGCCTCCACTGATTATCCTCCCCACAGGAACACCAAATTGAACAACTATGCACACAAAAAAAGCACTTTCATCAGAACCAAAAATCAGGTGAGCAATCAGTACTTGGTTTTAACTTCATATCACTGAAAACAGCATTGAAGACGGTAGGAAAGACAGTCTTGAATGGCCAGCACCACCCCTGCCCCATCCCACAGCAGTGGCTGCATGACACTGAGCAAGAATTTGTGTGCGTTGAGGAGGGAAAGTGCAGTGATTGTGGGCCTGTGCATTGGAACTCAGTGCTGCTCTGCCATAGCAGAAAGCAACCCTGGGCAGAACTCAGCCAACACCCATGGAGGAGCATTTAAACTGGCCCTAGCCAGAGGTGAATTGCCCATTCCAGTTGTTGGAACCTGAGTTCTGGCAAGCCTCAGCAGAACAGGCTAAAGGGCTCTGGTTCCTACCTAAACTTGAAAAGCAGTCTAGGCCATAAGGACTGCAATTCCTGAGCAAGTCTTGATACTATGTAGAGCTTGGAGCCAGTGGACTTGGGGGACACATGACCTACTGAGATAACAAACGGGACAGCCAAGGAGTGCTTACATCTTCCCTCCCCCAACCCCAAGCAGTACAGCTCATGGCTCCAGGAGTGAATCCTTCCATCCGCTTGAGAAAAGGAGAGGGAAGAGTAAAGAGGACTTTGTCTTGCAACTTGGATGCCAGCTCTGCCACAGTAGGATACGGTACCTGGCAGAGTCCTGAGGCCCCCATTCCAGGCCCTCGTTCCCAGACCACATTTCTATATACATCCTGGGCCAGAAGGGAACCCCCTGCTTTGAGGGGAAAGATCCAGTCCTGGAAGCACTCACCACCTGCTGAATAAAGAGCCCTTGGGCTCTGAATAATCAGCAGTGATACCCAGGCAGTACTCACTGTGGACCCTAAGTTAGCTCAAATATGTGTTGGCTTCAGATGTAACCCAGCATATTCCTAGCTGGGGTGGCTATGAGGAGGGACTCCTGCTTGAGAAAATGAGAGGGAAGAGTAAAAAGGACTTTGTCTTGCACCTCAATTACCAGCTTGGCCGCAGTGGAGTAGAGGACCAAGGAAGCCCTTGAGGCTCCTTTTTCCAGGCCGAGGCTCTTGGATGGCATTTTTGGACCTGCCTTTGGCCAGAGGGGGACCCACTGCCTGGAAGGGTGAGCCCCAGGCCTGGCATCACTCACCACAAGCTGACTGACAAGCCCTTGAGCCTTGAATGATTATCAGTGGTAGCCAGACAGTACTCACCGTGGGCTTGGGGCAGTAGTGGCCATAAGGAGAGACTCCCCTGCTTGTGGAAAGAGGAGAGAATAGTATGAAGGACTTTGTCTTGTGGTTTGGGTGCCAGCTCAGGCACAGTAGAGTAGAGCACCAGGTAGATTCCTAAGATTTCTGACTTGAGGCCCTGGCTCCTGGATGGCATCTCTGGACTCACACAGGACCAGGGGAAACTCACTGCCCTGAAAAAAAGAACACAAGCTTGGATGGATTTGCCACCTGTTGATTGTACAGCCCTAGGCCTTAAGTGAACATAGGTGGTAGCCAGACAGTGATTACCATGGGCCTTGGGCAAGACCCAGTGCTGTGTTGGCTTCAGGTCTGACCCAGCACTGTCCTGTGGTGGTGGCCACAAGGGTGCTTTTGTTACCCCTCCCCCAGCTCCAGGCAGCTCAGAACAGAGAGAGACTCCATTTGTTTAGGAGAATGTAAGAGAAGAGAACAGGAGTCTCTGCCTGGTAATCCAGAGAATTCTTCTGGATCTTATCCAAGATCTCCAGGGCAGTACCTCTATGAATCTGTAAGAACCACAGCAATAAATACATAACTCTTCAATGCCCAGACACCAACAAACATCCACAAGCATCAAGTCCCTTCAGGAAAACATGATCTCACCAAACAAACTAAATAAGGCATCAGGGACTAATCCCAGAGAGACAGAGATATCTGACCTTTCAGACAGAGAATTCAAAAATCACCGTTTTGAGAAACTCAATGAAATTCAAGATAACACAGAGAAAGAATTCAGAATCCCATTAGATAAATGTAACAAACAGAATTAAATAATTTTTAAAAATCAAGCAGAAATTCTGGAGTTGAAAAACACAACTGACATCCTGAAGAATGCATGAGTCCCTTAGCAGCAAAATTGGACAAGCAGAAGAGAATTAGTGACCTTGAAGACAAGCTATTTGAAAATACACAGTCAGAGGAGACAAAAGAAAAAAGCATAAAAAGAATGATGTATGCCTACGAGAACTATAAAATAGCCTCCAAAGGGCTAATCTAAGTTACTGGCCTTAAAGAGGAGATGGGATGGAGGATAGAAAATTTATTCAAAGGAATAATAAACAGAGAGATCCCCAAACCTAAAAAAAGATATCAATATTCAAGTACAAGAAAGATATAGAACACCAAATAGATTTAACCCAAATAATACTACCTCAAAGGTCAAGGATAAAGAAAGGACCCTACTCCCAAAGGTCAAGGATGAAGAAAGGACCCTAAAAGCAGCAAGATAAAAGAAACAAATAACATACAATGGGGTACCAATATGCTTGGCAGCAGACTTCTCAGTGGGAAACTTGTAAGCCAAGAGAGAGTGGTATGATGTATTTAAAGTGCTGAAGGAAAAACTTTTATTCTACAATAATATATCCATTGAAAATATCCTTCAAACGTGAAGGAGAAATGAAGACCTTCCCAGACAAACAAAAGCTGAGGGATTTCATTAACAACAGACCTGCCCTACAAGAAATGCTATAGGGAGTTCTTCAATCTGAAAGAAAAAGATGTTAATAAGCAGTAAGAAATCATCTGAAGGTACAAAACTCACTGGTGACAGTAGGTACATAAAAAAACAAAGAATATAATAACACTGTAATTGTGGTGTGTAAACTACTCATATCTTGAGTAGAAAGACTAAAAGATGAACCAATCAAAAATAATAGCTACAACAACTTTTCAAGACATAGACAGTACAATAAGATATAAATAGAAACAACAAGTTAAAAAGCAAGAAATTAAGTTAAAGTGTAGAGTTTTTTTAGTTTCCTCTTTACTTGTGTGTGTAATCAGTGCTAAGTTGTCATCAGTTTAAAATAATGGGTTACAAGATATTATATGCAAGTTGCATGGTAATCTCAAATCAAAAAACATACAACAAATACACACAAAACATACGCACACACACACACACACACAAGATTTTAAAACATACCACCAGAAAAAGTCATCTTCACTAAAAGAAAGACAGGAAGGAAGGAAAGAAGGAAGAAAAGATCACAAAACAACTAGAAAACAAATAACAAAATGGCAAGTATAAGACCTTACTTATCAAAAATAATATTGAATGTAAATGAACTAACTTCTCCAATCAAAAGGCATAGAGTGACTGAATGGTTGAGAAAACAAGACCCAATAGTCAGTTGCCTACAAGAAACACACTTCACCTATAAAGACACACATAGACTGAAAATAAAGGGATGCAAAAAGATATTCCATGCAAATGGAAGCCACAAAAGAACAGAAGTAGCTATACATATATCAGATCAAATGGATTTCAAGATAAAAACTATAAAAAGAGACAATGAAGGTAATTATATGACAAAGAGGTCAATTCAGCAGGAGGATATAACAATTGTAAATATATATGCATTCAACACAGGAGAACCCAGATAAACAAAGTAAATATTAGAGCTAAAGAAAGAGATAGACCCCAATACAGTAATAGCTGAAGATTTCAACACCCCACTTTCAGCATTGAACAGATTGTCCAGACAGAAAATCAGCAAAGAAACATCAGACTTAACTTACACTATAGACCAAATGGACCTAAATCTATTTACAGAAAATTTAACCCAATGGCTGCAGAATACACATTCTTCTCTCCTCAGCACATGAATCATTCTCAAGGATAGACCATACGTTAGGCCACAAAACAAGTCTTAAAACATTCAAAAAAATTGAAGTTATATCAAATATCTTCTCTGACCACAATGGAAAAAACTAAAAATCCTTAACAAGAGGAATTTTGGAGATTATACAAACACATAGAAATTAAATAATATACTCCTTAATGACCAGTAGATCAATAAAGAAATTAAGAGGAAAATTTTAAAATTTCTTAAAACCTATGGGATAAAGTGAAAGCAGTACTAAGAGGAAAGTTTATAGCTATAAGCACCTTCATCAAAAAAGTAGAAAGTCTCCAAATAAACAATGTAACAATGCATTTAAAGAACTAGAAAAGCAAGAGCAAAGCAAACCAAAAATTAGTAGAAGAAAAGAAATAATAAAAATCGGAGCAGAAATAAATGAAATTGAAATGAAGAAAACAACACAAAAGATCAAATGAAACAAAGTGTTGGTTTTTTAAAAAGTTAAACAAAATCAACAAACTTTTAGTCAGACTAATTAAGGAAAAAAGAGAGAAGACCTAAATAAATAAAATCAGAGATGAAAAAGGAGACATTACAACTGATACTGCAGAAATTCAAAGGATCACTAGAGGCTACTATGAGCAACTATCTGCTAATACATTGAAAAATGTAGAAGAACTGAATAAATTCTTAGTCACCTACAACCTACCAAGATTGAAGCATGAAGAAATCCAAAATCTGTACAGACCAAAAACAAGTATCCAGATCAAAGCCATGATAAAAAGTCTCCTAGCAAAGGAAAGTCTGGGATCTGATGGCTTCACTGCTGAATTTTACCAAACATTGAAAGAAGTGGTAAATACCAATCCTACTCAAACTAATGTGAAAAATAGATGAGGGAATACTTACAAACATATACTACGAGGTCGGTATTGCCTTGATACCAAAACCAGACAAAGATACATCCAAAAAAGAAAACTCTAGGCTAATATCCCTGATGAACATTGATGCAAAAATCCTCAGTAAAATACTAGCAAACCAAATTCAACAACACATTAAAAAGATCACTCACCAGGAGTGGTGGCTCATGCCTGTAATCCCAGCACTCTGAGAGGCCAAGGCAGGCAGATCACTTGAGGCCAGGAGTTTGAAACCAGCCTGGCCAACATGGTGAAACCCTGTTTCTACTAAAAATAAAAATAAAAAATTGGCTGGGCGTGGTGGTGTGCACCTGGATTCCCAGCTACTCAGGAGGCTGAGGCAGGAGAATTGCTTAAACCCAGGAGGCAGAGGTTGCAGTGAGCTGAGATTGCACCACTGCACTCCAGCCTGGATTACAGAGTGAGACTCTGTCTCAAAATAAATACATTAAATAAATTAGTAAATAAATAGAAAAGATCATTCATCATGACCAAGTGGGATTTATCCTAGGGATGCAAGGATGGTTCAACATATGCAAATCAATCAGTGGGGTATATCATGTCAACATTATGAAGAACCTCCAAACTGTTCCCCACACTAATTTACATTCCCACCAACATACAAGGATTCCCATTTCTCCATATCCTAGCCAGCATTTGTTATTGCCTGTCTTTTGGATAAAAGCCATTTTAACTAGAGTGAGATGATACCTCATTATAGTTTTGATTTGCATCTCTATGATGATCAGTAATGTCAAGCAGCTTTTCATATGCCTGTTTGCCATTTGTATGTCTTCTTTTGAGAAATGTCTATTCGAATATTTTGCCCATTTTTTGATCAGATTAGACTTTTCCCTATAGAGTTGTTTGAGCTCCATATATTCTGCTTATTAATTCCTTGTCAGATGGATAGTTTCCAAATGTTTTCTCCCATTCTGTGGGTTGTCCCCTGCCTTTGTTGATTGTATCCTTTGCTGTGCAGAAACTTTTTAACTTGAAGTGATCTCATTTGTCCATTTTTGGTGGAGGGTTTGCCCAGGGGAGTGACATAATTGGACTTCCATTCCAACTGCTGTGCTGGGGGTAGCATGGAGAGGTGCAAGGACAGAGGTGGGGACAAGAGGAGGAGGCTATTCAGCTGTTGCAGTAATCCAGGTACCCTATATAGTGGCTTGAACCTGTGACCGTGAAGGTGGGGAGATCTTGGGATATATTTTGAAAATAAAGCCAAGAAGGTTTGCCATTGAATTGTATGTCTGGGTGGTAACAAGTGATGATTTGAGGGTGACTTTAATCCTTTTGATTGGAGCAGCTGGGTGGACACTTGAGTACCTATTGTATTCTGGGCAGAAAACAGATATGGTCCTTCCCTCAGAGAAATCATTTTGAAATGGGAGAGACAATAAGCAAGCAGACACTTAACTCAATAATAACCTTGGGAGAGGGCTATGGGGGTGATAGTGGGGTCCTGGGATAGAAGGGAACCCCAGAGAGGAAAGGGCCTGGTGGGAGAAAGATGAGAAAGGCCTTGCCTGGAAGGCGAGATTTCAACTGAGGTCTGAAAGCCAAGAAGAAGCCTGCTATGTGAAGAATAGGGGAAGAGCACTGAGTGGAAAGGGAAAATCATGTGTAAGGGCCTTGAATCATAGGAAAAATTATTTTATGAATTTTCAGGAGGCTAAGGTGGCTGGTGTGTGTCCTACCAATCAGAAGTGGAGGTAGAGAGATAAACAGGGGTCAGGTAATGCCAGTGCTTGTGAGCTTAGACAGTAGTATTTGTGTGTCTGTGTGTGTGTATGTGTGTGTGCATGTGCACACACATGTTTATTTTCTAACAGCAATAAGGTTTAAAGTTTTATGATGCTATGTCACCTGGCCTTGAAATTCTGGAAGCAAAGAGGGCAGGCATAGTATTCTGCCAAGATGTGGCCTGAACAGATTTGATGCTGCCTACTTCTTTATTCCACCACTACCCCCTTTTTCTTTTTCTCAAGTTGAGTCCTCAATCTTTTCCTGAGATGAACACACTTCCCTTTCTCCAGATCTTGTGGCTCCACAGAAAGACAGAGGACTTGGACTTCTTTGACAGTTCCGATCTACAAGTGTTGGTGGGACGCCCTTTCCTAGCCGCTTATCCCTGTTTCTTTCTCACTTGAAGGTCTGCCCACTTTGCACCATCCCCTCATGAAAGGAGGTGATATTTGATGGCTGTGGATAGATAAGAATGAATGACAACAAAAATATTATGGTGTGGTAACCTGGAAGTGGCTTGAGAGCCTGTGTGCAGTCGCTATGAGGGACAGCCATTCCTCCCTTTACCACAGCCATACACCAAGTTTCGGAAGGGGGAAAAAGAACATCTTAATTGTGAGCTGATGAGCTGATCAATATTCTCAATTTATCTCTTCAGCTCTAGGCTCCAAATTGAAAACGGGACTGTGAGAATCTCAAAGGGCTGCAGCTGTGGCACATCCCTGCCCTGCAAGGAGCAGTTGCTTCATGCCAAGTAGCACCTCCGAGGTTTCCGGGCACCTGCCCAGGATAGTAGGGTGCTCATGCTGCTTGGCCACTTACAGACTTGTGGGAGCTGCTTGTAGGACCATTGGCATCAGGACTGGTTGTAACTTTATGCTCTGTGGACCGCCCCATACGTCTATTCTGGGTTAGAACAGGGCTCCAGGGGCCAATCCTTTTGTTTCCATAATAACTGTAGCCAAATACAACTTCTCAGCAAGGGTATGGGAAATGTGTCCATGAATGGGTGGGAATGGGAAGGGTTAATAAGAAACATAGCAGCAGCTATCATTGACACAGCACTGTAAGTGCTCCACAGGAAGATTCACCTCAACCTCAGGAGGCAGGTACTATGATTATCCCCATTTTACAGATCATTTAGGGAAGCTCTGCTAGTAGGGATTCTTCTAATAAGTGTCACTGCGCTTAGTGTTTGATAGAAATTTCATACTAATCCTGGCAGTTTCTATGACACTAATCCGGTTAATCCAGGAGGGTGAAAACAGTTCTGGGGGTTGGGAGACCCAAGCCCCACTTTCGATTTCTATTAGTTGTCGTGCCACCTTGGTCCCCTGGGACCTCTGTGTCTCATCTTTAAAGATGCAAATTTTAGGCAATAATTCCCAAGGACTCTTCTGGCATGGATGGTATATGACCCTTCACTTCAGCATCCTCTATTTTATGTGCATCAAATTTCAGCCCAGTCTCCTGTCCAAAAATGGAGTCCCTCACCACCAATGACTAACAAGGCAGTCTCTGCATTGGGCTCACTTTCCAGGGCTTAGCCTTGAGCACAGAGCTGGAGAGGGAGAGCCTACATTCATTTGCAAAAGTCACACTGGGCTCTTTACCAACAGGGCCGTTTTAACATTGCATCGTCAGGCAGTTGTCCACTCTCATTCTGGACTGCTCTACACACATGGAATTGGCTAGGTTGACCCCATCCTGAATGGGTAGCATAAATTTCAATAATAATAATAAACTCTTCTTCATAATTCTGATTGCTCACTAAGATTAGTTTGAATTGGGAAATCTGATTCCCAACTGCTACTGAACAACTGGATCATTCATTCATTCTTCCTTTTATTCATTCAACAAAATTTTTTTGCACATTATTATGCATCAGAAACTGTACAAGGCTCTAGGGGTACTAAGATATGAAGACCAAGGTTCAGCCATTACAGGGCTTGCATTCTGCTCAGGGAAAGAGGTAATAAACAAATAAGCACATAGCACACTTTTTCAGATAGTGATGAGTGCTGTGCTGAAAAAATAAAGCAAGATAAAGGATGACGAATTATGGATCTACTTGACTCTTTTGGGGGACTCTTTTAAGTTTGGAGAGGAGATGTCAGGAAGGGCATCTCTACAGAGATAAAATTTTACAGAGACCTGAATAAAGAGAGAGCTGTAATCATGTGAAAGTCCAGAGATGTATCCTTCAGGAAGAAGGAACAAAGCAGAAGGTACCATGGCCAGAGGTTGGAATGAGAATGGCAAGTCCGAGAAAAAACAAAAGGCTAGTGTGTGTGCATACTGGTAGCAGCCTTCCATCTGAGCAGGGAGGGCCTTCCTTCATAATCTGACTTGGCTGCACGTTGGCAATTAGAAGAGTAGGATGCAGAAGAGGAATCTCACATGCTGTAACTTTTAAAGATAACAACATATGTGGCAAGACAGCCCAAGCCTACCCTAACATATGCAGGACCTGGAGCAAGAGTACAAACAGAGGCCCACATACTATATGTCCAAATATTTAAAAACTATAAATTAAGCTAACAAACTGTTCAGTGAAATATGTCCTGTCTTCTTACCTTAACAACTATATTTTCATAACAACCTAGAAGTTCAAGTTCAAATTTATAATGTTTGGAGTCCCAGCCCCTAGCTCCAGGTTTGCACCTTCTCTTCCTGCCCACCAGCTGCATCCAGGGCAGCAAGAGGCCTCTCACATGCACAAGTGGTCAGCCCAGCCCAGTTGTCCAAGCTCCCCCCACATCTCATCACAAGCAGCTGCCTCTTGGGCCTGGGAGTGTGCACATGACAGATGGGCAGATGTGGGAGAGACCCACAGAAGTTCTGGAAGCAGGAGCAGGACTGTTGGGCAAGGAATTCTGGGGCCCCAGGTAGTCTACAGGGGGAAGAGCAGGCTCTTGACGGGCTGCAGCTGGAGATGGTCCAAATGGGGCTGTTTAAAGCCAAGGTCCAGGGCAGGCAGCTCCTTCTCATCCTGTATAAGGACAATACCTCACCTGAACTACTACTGCAGGTTGTTCCTGGAAGGTGAATATTAAAGCAATCATCCTCCATGCAGAGACAAGCTAAGACCCAGGGAATGAAGGCTGAGGTCAAGGTGCTGGAGAAGTTGAGCTTAACCTTCCAGGCTAGACAAAGGAAGAGCTGATAGAGATCTTGGACTTTGTAAGCTGGGAAGGTTACACGTTTCTTGTATTTTCTATGTTTATGCTCTTCTTTGTCTTCTCTACATCTATCTATATTAAACTCTTTGAAAACTCCATGCAGTCTTGGCTAAGGGAAGCCCAGGGAAAGGTTTTGATCTTTACTTCAGCCAAAATATTTAAGGGGGCAGCAGCACCTGGGTGCCAGCAGGAAGTCACGTGAAAGAATCCAAAGAAGGAGGTGAGGCCTCTGATTCAGGGGTGTCTGCCAACCCTTGTACCTCCACACACACACTCCTGAAAACTTTCTTTCAAGCACTAACTTTGGAAGTTCTGAGTGAGAAAAAGAACCCCTTAGTCCACAAAGACTGCTAGAGACTCTAGTGTCTGTTCTCTCTTTCTGTCTCTCACTAATATAACTCTCTGTTCTCACATGGAATACGAATATCTAGTGTAAAAATACGATTTCCCAACCTTCCCTGTAGCTGGGTGTGGTCATTTGACCAAGTTCTTGACAATGGGATTGAGAAGTGATGTGTGCATCTTTAGGGTTGTGCTTTCAAAGGAAGAAGGATACTCTTGTCTTTCTCCTTTCTCTTCCTGCTGGCTAGAATATGACATGGTGGTGAGCCATCCTGGATAACATGGACAAGGGGGACATCCTAGCAGATAGGAACAAGATAGAAGAGGCGGGGTCGCTGACACCATAGACCAACCATGACAGTCCTGGAGTTCTTGCCTTTAGACTATTAAGTGAGAGAGAAACTTCTATCTTGTTTAAGCCACTGTTGGTTTTTGTTACTGCTGCTGTTGTTTCTTTTATAGCCACTGAACTCTCATCCCAACAAATATAGTAATTTTACCACCCCTTGGAGGGAATGCATTCCTCACGTTTAATTTCCCATGTATAAAGGACTTTTTAAATGCTTTAAACGAAGGTTGTAGGTTGTCTCCTAATCTATATTTACACTCTCGTCACCATACTGAATTGTATAGATTTTTGTTGCCATCCTGAATTGTATAGATTTTGATCATGTCACACCACAGCACATCTTCCTATGTTGAAATCCTTTGAGTTTTAGCTTGACCTCATAGAGAACAACTCTGCCTTTCCTAAAATTCAATGATTTCAATTTTATTATCTTCTCTCAGTTAAATGGTACCATGGGCTATTTAGTCTTTGGGCTGGGAACCTGGCCCAGAACCTACAAATGTTGATTGAATTTAATTAACTTGAATTGAACTTCAAAAAGCATTTTCTCTTCAGAGAGATAGCATGAACTAAGCATAAACTAAGTCCAGGGTTTCATTCTATCCCAAGTAGACAACATGAAGGCATGGAGGGAAGTAGGGCTTAAAGCGAATTCCTCTACAGGAACATGTTTCCCCTTATGGCCCCAGCTCACCTCAATTTCCTGACCACTCCCTATGCACACTTCATGTCTCAGCTTAGACGTCACCTCCCAGACCCCTAGACTAGGTTCATTTCCTCTGAGTTATTATCTCAAAGCCTCTGGGATTTGCTTTTTATTACATACATCATACTTGTGTTTACTTCTCTGCTGGCTATTTTTGTCAATTATAAAAGCAAGACTATACCCATTGTATCCACAGGCCCTAGCTCAGTGCCTTGCTCACAGCCAGTGCTCAATAACAATTTAGAGCCAGGTGTGGTGGTGAGCAACTGCAATCCTGGCTACTCAGGACACTGAGGTGGAAGGATCCCACGTACTCAGGAGCTCAAGGCTAGCCTGGGCAACATAGCGAGACCCCTGTCTCTAAAAAAAAAAACAGTCAATGGATGAATAGATAATCAATGAGTGGCATTATCCTCGGCTCTTCTTTCTCATACCCCACATCTAGAAGCACATCCTAGGCTTCCTAGGAAATACTTCTAGATTCCAACCACTTATCACCTCCTCCACTGCTCTCATTCTGGTCCAAGCAGCCATCATTTTCCCCTTGGATTATTACATTAGGCTACTACCTGGCCCCTCTGCCTCCACTTTCCACCTTCCATCCCTCCTCTGGCAAACACACACCATTTTTTTTTTCAGTACAAGTATTAGAGAAGACTGAAGATGGGGTCAAGTCATAAATTAGGGCCATATTGAAGATAGCATTTTTGTCCCCTCCCAGAGCAGGAAAACCATGGAGCCTTCTCTCTCATGTTTTAACCAGCTCAGGTAAAGACTATAGCACTCAATTTCTATTTAGGTAGGTATGGCCATGTGACTAAACTCTGTTCCATGCATTGTGAGAGGAAGTAATAGAAGCATTTTTGAGCCATGCCCTTAAAAGAAAGGAATGAGCCTTCCTCTTCATCTCCGTTTCCAGCTACCCAACATGCAGAGGTGATGGCAGGAGCTGGAGCAGCCATCTTAGGCTGCAAGATGGAAGAATATGTTAAGGAAGACAGAGAACAATAAAGAAGGCTGGGCTGGGCATGGTGGCCAAGCCTGTTTTCCAAGCTACTGGAGAGACTGAGGCAGGAGGATCATTTCAGCCCAAGGCTGCAGTACACTATGATCATGCCTATGAATAGCCACTGTCTCTCTCTCTCTCTCTCTCTCTCACACACACACACACACACACACACACACACGGAAGAAGAAGGCTAGGTTCCCAGTCTTTTAGAGCTTCCTGCCATATTGGTCTTGGCATGTTTTTCATGGGCTGTTATGTGAGAGATAAATAAAATCCTATATGTTCTAAGCCACTCTAATTTGGGGTCTCTGTTACAGCAGCCTGTGTATCCTAACTAATACATATTCCCTTCCCTACCACAGCTGCTTCCTAGAGTGTGAAAAAAAATTCTGCTGGGAAAATATATGTAAAAGTCCATCTCCTTTTTAATGGGTGACTTGGAGACCTCTCAAAAATTAAGGGGGGGTAGAGTAAATCCTTGTTCTAAAGCAGTTGGGAAAGAGCTATCTCCTACACAGAAAAGGCTCTTTGGTTCCATATGTCAGCAACTTAGGAAAGTGCAGGAGGGTGGAGAAGGCAGCCCTGTTACTGGCTTTCAGGCCCTAATGTGTGAAATGCCTTTGGGGAGTGAATGAAAGAATTAGCTTAAGGTCTGGATTTGGGGGCTTTAGTAGGCTTAAGACAGACTTTAATCACCCTTCACTCTCTGTGGTCCCAGCGTGTAAATTTTAATCACATTCACTTGCACCTCCACCCAGGGTTAGGTCTGTTTATTTATGACCCACCATTGTATGAGGCTGATCTCTCCAGCCAGAGTGCCGACTGCCCAGGGCCTGCCTCTAGGAGAAAGAGCTGCCCACCAACAAACCAGGTTTCCTGACAATTCTCTGCAACATGAAAACATGTAATATAGGTTTGGATTAATATCAACCTATATTTTGGTCAGATGGAAGATATGAAATTGTTATAAATTTGTTAGACTGCATGCATCTTCTAGCCAGTTGTTTTCTTGGAACTTACTGGTTTGACAATTTCTTTTTGATTCTTCACCCAGCTGTTCCCTACATTCAGACTTATTGGTAGAACTCCTCTAGAGATTTGCATTTTTTCTCTGAAGATGATAATCATAAATTTTCACCCAAATATCACTCTTTTATAACCTGGGGCCCATAGGCAGCTCAAGAGGGGTTTTGAACCCCCTAAAGTTTTTGGTAAATAAATGCATTTTAATGGGAGGTGGTCCATAGCTTTCACACCCCCCAAAAACATTTCTTAAAAATATGCAAGAGTTTCCATCAGCACTGGTGAGGCTGATTAGGGAACCAGTATTTGGATCACAGTAACCCCCAAATCCTTCTGTCTCAAGTCTCCCACCACCACTAGGCAGATATGGAAAAGTCACTTATCTAGGCAATGTGCCTCTCCTTGCAGTCCTTTTACAAAAATGGGAACATTCCGTGAAGGATATTACATTAACTCTTAACACCTAAGAAAGTTAATTCAAATTACTTTCTTCCTTGAGATCTCAGGTTTCTGGGTGAGAAGAAAATACAGACTGAGAAGGTAAGAGAGGGTGAGAGCCCACCAAAACAAACTGAGCTTCTTCCTGGGTTATCTTTGCCTCCTACAGGTACAAATCCTGATGGCCACAGTCTACTGTAGTGGAAAAATTCAATGCAGGCCATTGTGAGCTCTACTAAGCCAAGCATCTGTCTCTCTGTTCATCTCTCACCCCCTCAGTGCCCAACATATAGTAGATGCTCAGCAAATGTTGGTTGGATGAATAAAGGAAAGTGTGTCAGCTGCCTCATTGGTCACCTTGTGTAAATAACGTAAATTTCCTTGTCCCATTAAGAATGGGTCTAAATGATGAAACTGAGCCAAGGAGAGGGCTAACAACCTAATTAGAAATAAATACTGAGGCATCACCACCTCTGGACATTGGGAGCATGCACATGTATACACTGTGATGCAGAGAAGAAATTCATAGGTCGTCCTTGGCCTAATAAACCAGAAAGATCAGAGGTACCCGTTTAAGACCCTTTGGAATAATTTATTTTAGACTTAAAAAAAAGACATGGTAAAAACAGAGTTGTTGCCTTTTCAGTACTTTAATAAAATGTGGAAAGAGACTTGGAGAGAATGAGAACCCCCGAGGCCCTTCCACGCCAGGACTCCCAGACGCGGTGTCCGCGCGAGCTGACCCGGGGTTCTGGGGTGCCGCGGTGGCACCCCTGCCTCTGAGCACCTGTTTTTGTGACACCCTTTTCCCGATGGAGCTCACATCTACCCGGGAGGACTTCCACCTGTTCCAGAAGTTTCCTGGACTGACCCTCGGCACCCGCCCCAGGCAAGGGCCCCTCCCTCGGGCCGGCTTCTCCAGTGTTCGGGGGCCTGGCAGTTGCTTGTGCCAACCCGGCCGCCCAGCCGAGGCGGAGCGGGCCGGGCTGGCGGGGCCCCCTAGCCGCTGCGGCGGCTTGTGTCCCCCGCCCGGCCCGACGGCGCGGGAGACGCCGGGAGGAGGCCGCGCTGCGGGCGCTGCGCCCCCTGGGGGCCGGGCGGGGCGGGCCCGAGTCCCCTCTGGGACCGCGGCACCTCCGGACCGCTGGAAGGCGACGCGGCGGCCACTTCGGGCGGACGGGCCCGGCCTGCAGAGGAGTTGGGCTATTTTGTAACTGCACCATCCACCCAAGCCTCATTACCACCTCTTAATGAGACCCCTTTACTCCGTGACGTGCAACCGCTCCATCTCATTAAGGAAATCGCTCTTCAATGCTGATTATTTTATTTGCAGCCATAATTATATTTCTTTCGGCTAAATCACGGTTTAATCGAGCCCACATGGAGGGCAGCAGCACTAATTACGGCGGGGGATGCGGCGACGGCGGCGGCGGCGCGGGCCGGCTGGGGGGTGCGGTAGGGGGTGCCCGGGCGGCGGGCGCGGCCGAGGGGCCCCCGGGCGGGGAGGGGCGCGGGCGGGGGGCGGGGGCCCGGGCTCAAACACAACAACTTATTACTTCTAATTCCCCAACTGTCACCAAATCACCTGCACGAAACAAGAATCTAATTTGTTAAGCTGGCATGTCTGCAGATGGAAGATCGATCTTCTCTGTAGATTTCTCTAATTGAGTGAATATAGACGCCCGGAATTAGCCGCACTCGGGTTGCGGGGAGGGGACGAGGGTCTGGGAAGCGGGGGAGAAAAAAAAGGGGGAGGAAGGGAGAAGACAGAAGAGAGGGAGGGAAGGAGAAAAAGGGGAGAGAGAAAGGGAAAGGAGCGAAAAGGGGAAAGAGAGACGGATGGGAGGACCGATGGAAAAGAGAATGAGAGGAAGGAGTGGAGGACGGAAAGGGAGAAAAAGAGAAAGGAGGAAGGAGGAAAAGGAGCAAACAGAGAAAAGGAAGAGAGCATAAAGAGAAGGGGGAAAGAGAGAGAAAGGGAAGAGGGAAAGGGAAGAGAAAGGGTAGGAGATGCAAGGAGGAAAAGATAGGGAGATGAAATCCTATTTGAGAAAGGCTCTTCACCCATAGATGCAACTCCCTCCTCCACCCCACCCCCCGAAGCGTAGAGTCGCTGGAGCGGCCGAGTCCCGGCGTCTGTTGCAAACCTGGCACTAATTGCGCCCGAAAAGAAAAGGATTGGGACGTAGGAGCCGGGCGGGGAGCGAGCGGGGAGTGGGCGAGCGCAGGCGGCTCGAAGAAATGGCTTACAGAATTACATTTGTTTTTCTTGTGATTTTATTAAAAGTCACTCCTCATCTCCAGAATGCGTGAAAATATCTACTTTCCACTCAGATACACCGCATTAACTTGTTGGAGGCGAATTTGTTTGTTTGTCTATTTTATTTATTTGCTAGATAAGATTGATGCAGTCTTATTAGCGCTATATCTAGTTATAGAAAGAGATAAGGATGAGATGTTTTTCTTTTTATTCCAATTACTAGCCTTGTCACCTAACTGAATAACTGATATATGATTATTTATCCTGAGTAAATAGAAATCAGAAAAGCAACGAACTTAACACATGCAAACAAAATCTCCATGTCACTTATTATATTCCGTGTGGCTAATTGGGGCCATTAAAATTACGGGGCGAAAGGCAAAAAAAAAAAAAAAAAAAAAAAAGAGAAGCAAGATACGCAGTCAGGGGGCGGATACTAATCCGTCATTGTTTTGTGTCGAGCTTTCTGTGTGGAGGGCCGTGAGCGCCAGTAGTTAGAAGGGAAAGATGGGAGAAAAAACGAGCAAGGGACCGGCCCTTGCACCCACGAAAAGTCAGGCGGGTGGACTGTCTGGTTGAAGTTTGCAAACTCGAATGTGTGGGAAACTGTTTACTGCAGAAAAGAAAAAAGTGTATATGTCGAGCTCGTGTATTGCGAAAGGCTTCTGGGTGGGATAGGAAATGAGACTCTTTGGGGCAGGTTTCTGCCCCTCCGCAGCGCCTGGCATGCCCCCTCCGTGTGAGTGAACAGGCAAGGAACACGCACTGCTCGCACAAGCACACACAAGTACACGTGTCATGCACACGCAGCCTGCTACCGGCGTTTAAAAAACAGAAAGAAAGCCCCAAGTGTGGATCCTGAACGTTGCTTGGCATTTGGCTCCGAGGCTGGGGATCCTGGGTCCTGTAG
Organism: Homo sapiens; assembly: GCF_000001405.40. Classification (NCBI taxonomy): domain Eukaryota; kingdom Metazoa; phylum Chordata; class Mammalia; order Primates; family Hominidae; genus Homo; species Homo sapiens. The sequence continues at coordinate 77,643,585 of NC_000005.10, read as the reverse complement.
GCAGAATTGTTGCGGCCAGAGGGCCCCCTCAGCGACATCAATCGAACAGCTGGCTGAGAGCCTCCCGGAGTCCCTGCGCTCCCAGCCCTGGGAGGCCAGGAAGATGCACATTTGGGCTGGGCCCAGGCCTGTTTGAGAAGGGTTAAAAACGCTTCACTTTGCCCTCCAGAGCCCTCTCCCGAAGGCGAGCGGAGGACCCTTTCACAGTGGCCGGGCAGGGGCACTCAGAAGAGAAGCCTCTTTGGCTGTGGTCTCTATTGCTGGAAACCTCAAGAGAGTTATTTTATGCAGAGAAGCATGGAAATGCCTTTTACCCCTTTACAGACACTTGGCCGCCCTCCCAGGTCTCCTTCCTACTAGTCATCCCACCCTCAAAATGACTCCCCGAAAATAAGCCATACACTAAGCAGTCTCAAACTCCAGAGTGGCCAGATGCAGACCACCAACCCCAGTCTGGGACAGGGTCAGGTGGGGAGAGTGGAGGCTGAGGGGGAGTGTAGGTTCTGGTACCCAGGGCAGGATGTGCGGGAAAAGTGGTCATCATTGTTCCGAGCACAGTGGACTTGAGAGCGTCCTTATTTTCTTCTAGTATGTGTCCCCACCCTTTAATTCTTTTCCATTTCTTAGGTAGGCCTGAGGAACACGATCTGATTTGCCATTGCGTTTGGATTATTGCCTATCTGGAAAAGTAAACAGGAGTGTGCAAGTCACTTGATTTGTTTTCTGTAAGCAAATAATACCCAAAAGCATGGCTGTAATTTACCACGAATTAAAATTGATTCTTTTCATCAGGCAAGAAAATAGGAAAATGTGAGATCGTTAATTATTGAGGGAGGAGCTCCTCATTAAAGGGAACAATGTTACAATTCAGCATTTAATAGCAGGAATGTGAATAATAACGCGCCATATTTCAGCCCACTGTCTGCAAAGAAAAGAGAGCAGTTTACAAACAACTCAAGCAGCCGAAAGTTACATTTAATAAACCTCCGAGGTTTTTGTAAGTGGAAAAGCAATTAGGGCTCTGGGCATACTACCCAATTCTTCCCACAACACCCGGTATATATTTTTATTCTGTCTGTTTCTGTGTCTACAAAGGATTCACAATGCACGCAGAAATACGATTAGAGAGACAATCAGAATTACAAATACAATCAGCACAAATTCCTCTGGAAGGCACCAGCTGCCCGGGGGCCCCATCCCACCCCACCTCCCGGTCTAGACACACATTTCTAAGTCTTGATCTGGAACTGGACGGCAAAGCAGGAGTAAAGACACTGATTTGATAGTTGCTGTGCTTGTAATTTACATTATCAGTCATCAAGTTTTTTTTGTTTTGTTTTTTGTTTTGTTTTTTTTTTTTTTAATTCTCCCAGCAAGCCGACTTTCCTCGCAGCTACAGAGTTCTCTGGCTCTGTCTGGGCGCGCAGGGCGGCTGGAGTCAGGAGCCGATTCCCTGGCCTGTGAACGCTCTTTGTGCTTCGTTAGAAAAGAGAAGGAGGGAAAAGGAGAAAGAAAAAAATGATTTCCCTGTGCATCGTCCCTTGGCAGGATCTTGTACAAAATTCAATCTCTATTTTTTATGAGAAGTAAACTGTCTAAATAAATTTTATTAGGGGCAACCAATATATTTTCTGGTAGTTCCCTTTGTTCCACTTCTACGTGTGTGTAACAATCTAAAACCTATTTATTGAGGAAAAATCACTGGATCCGTCATAGAAAATCCTTTTACTTTGCTTTGAAGTGATTTCTGAAGACATTCTTGTCATTCCGAAGATTTGGGGGCCATTGCGCTAAAGCTTCGCCTTGTTAGGGACTTCAGTTCCCATGATCATGTGGGAAATGCCTTAAATTATCAACAGCAATGGGCCTGACCGGCACTTTCCCGGCTGCCCCAGGAACGTGGGAAGATGACGGGGAATAAAACTCTGGTAAATACATATCAGGCGCTACCCAGGTGGATTCAGACATTGGCCAAAACGAGCTACCGAGAGGGAACCGGGAGCAGGGGGGAGCTTTTTACATCCAGGCTATTGTCGTTTTTCTCGCTCTGCCTGCTGGCGGCGGGCACCTGGCTCCAACTCCAGCCTGCGCCCTCCCCGCCTCGACGCCCCACACCGCCCCCTTCCCACTCTCAGATTTCCCTTTTTTTTTCTTTCCTTTCTCCCTTCCCCCCCCCGAGATGCTTATGCTCTGAAGTCTTGCAAGAAATGATTTAGTTTGTTTATACTGCTATAAAAATCAAGACCAATAGAAAAGTCATAAAATGAAGCGGGCTATCAATCATGCCGCAACATTGTTATTCAGCGGTTACTAACAGAGATGGATAATCCTTTGATTTCGTCCCATTGTTATTACTCTGATGTGTCTTCACATTAACTATTACACATTCATTTATCGACCTGAAAGATACAACAAAACAGAATATACGAGCGAGTGCGTGTGGGAGATCGCTGCACAGCCGGCGCCGTTCCGGGGGCGACTGTGGGATGGGGACACTAGCGCTTGTGTGCACGCACGTGGAGACGCGCGGCCCCGCGCCCTTATCCTTGTCTCCCCAGGTCGCGGCCCCTTCTCCCTCCCTCCAGACAGCGTGTGGAGCCAGGCTGTGCGGCCTGGCGGACCTGCCTATTTCTGGGAGCAGGGTTCTGGAGCCAGGTCTCCCTGTCTCTTCCTTAGCCACTTTCCCCCCACTTCTGACCCTGCGTTCCGGTGTGGACACCCTGCAAGCCCCACCCAGGTGGGCAGAAACCTCCTGCGAGTCCCTGGACGTGCGCGGGCCGGTGCGTACTCCCGAGTCACCGTCCTGAGCTCACGCCGCCCCTCCCTGGGCTGCTGTCTGGCCTCCTTTTGCTGTGCGCTCCCAGCGCTCTAGCTTCTAGATTTGAGGTTTTGTTTGGGGGCAAAGAAAGCTTTTATTGGGGAGACTTTGTTTGCTTTAGGTCTCGGAATTCTCCTCCCAGGCAAAGCGTTTCTCAGAAGGGCTGCGGCCGCTTGCCAAAAACCCTAGCGGCTCCCAGACACGCCGCGAGCCTGAGTCCACGACCCCGGCGCCCAGTCCCACATAGGCCGCGTTGGTAGCAGCTGCAGCAGCCGCTGAAACCCAGTCCGGCCCGGAGCTTCCCGGGAAGCGGTCTCCGCAGCTCAGAAGAAACTGGTGTGGCCAATACCCTGCATTCACACGTGTGTGCATATGTGTGCGCGCGCACGTGTGTGTGCAGGAGAGGAGGCGAACGGGCTGCAGGAGGGAAGGAGGAAACAAAACTGCCCGAGAGTTCGCTTTGCCGCCTCCTTTGTCTCCTTGCTCGGTCCCTGTCACACATACAGCTGAGGACACACACACACACACACACACACACACACACACACACAATTCCTCTCGCATCTGCTCTCAGCCAGCATTTTCAATGTTTTGTCTAAGTCAATTGGACGGCGAACAAAAAAAGCCATTTGCTCAGTATTATTTAAAACAGACTTCATTGGGCCACCCTTTTGTGGAAGGTTTATTTGCACTAAATGAATAATCTTAATTGCATCACTCTCGAATTAAAAATCAATGTTAATCAAGTTGGGAGTAGTAAATATCAGTTTTCATTGTGACTGGGTAGAGGGCATTTTTCTTGTGTTGCAAATAAAAATACAAGTCAAATAACTTTAAAAGGGCATTATGTTCTGCTACAAATACAATTGAAACGGATTGTTTAGGAGCAGATCAGAAATGGTACAGAATTTTGCACTTAATTTCCTCAGTTATCATTTACAATAAGAACCTCTAGGCTTGACAGCCAAGTCTAAACAGTAGTAAATTAGTACAAATTTATACTGATTTTACTCTAATAATCGTAATAAAAGCTTATAGATTTGGCACTAATTACATAAATGCCTAATGATCTTGAAAATTACTCTGGTTAGAAATATATTACTAATCTAAACTTTGTTGTTGGCTGGCTCTGAAAAATCAGAACATTAGAAATGGTTCGCTTCACTTGTGCAAAGCACTTTAAATTGTTCAAGTAGTTTAACATATTCAAGAGGAAAATAAAGAGCATTTAACTTTATTTACAGCCTTAAGTGGAGTTGGGAGCCGAGCTGAACTTAGAAACTTTGACCAAAAGAGCGAGTTAGGGGCGAGGATGCGGGCGTGGGCCAAGCGGAAGAGCAGGAGCCGGGAAGAAGCCCGGTGAGAAGAGTGCAGAGCGCTCGAACCCACACTCCGCGAGGGTCCCCAAAGCAGACAGCGGGCGCTGGCGGTGCCAGGGAAGCCGACTCCTCTTTGCGCTCTAGGCCCACTGTGGGGTTGGGGCTCGTATAGACCCCAGGGCACAGCCAGGGCGCCTGGACCCTAGGCGCAGGCCTACTGAGCCGCGGCGAAGTCCAGGCGTTGTCTGAAGGCCGCGGTGTGCCCTCGTCGCGCCCTGGGCTGGCGGGCCAATATGAGCGGCAGGCCCAGAGAGCGCAGGTGGGGGCGACCCTCAGGTCACGCCAGGGTCATGGCCCGCTCTGACCCCTGCTCTGCCCCTGCCCTAGGAAGATGTTAGCTCAGAGGCACAGAGCTACGCCTTCGAAGCGCGCAGCGCCGGCCAAGGGGAAGGAAAGGGGAGCCTGGAGAAAATCGCAGGGAAGAACTAGAGGGAGCCGGGCCCAGAAGCTCAGGGCGAGGCCGAGGCGGCTGAGGCTGCTTTAGCTCCTGCTCCGGGCTGGAGCTGCCAGGGCTGCCGCCGCCGCCTCCTTCAGGCGGGCGCAGGCGAGCGGGCGGGCGGAGTGGGGGACTCTCCGGGCGCTGACATTTGCAGGCTGCCCTCCTGATTGGTCCCCTCGCCGAGCTGCTCACGGGTTCATTCAACTGTTAAGCACCTCCCCGTCTCTCTAAAGGACATTATAATGCAAGAAGCCCCCTTTTTAACCACAAACCGAATTTTCTTTCATTTAGGTGATCTATATATATCTATATCGTATAGCTTATAGCTTATATCTATTTTAAATAACTTAAAGCCGCTAAAATTTGGGGGGGAACAGCTTTCGCCCTGGAGCGGTGCGCGATGCTGTCTCATGCCGACCTCCTGGACGCCAGGCTAGGTGAGTGCGCGCCTCTCGCCCGGGCAGCCAGGAGAAGCCGGGGCAGGAAATTGTCAATTTGTTCCTTATTTTACCTTAATGCGACCTAAATGGACTAATTTCTTTAAAAGTAATTGTGCTGCATTAAAGTTTAATTTGATTTAACATCGCCTTTAAAAAAAAATCTATGGAATATGTAGATCCAAGAAAGGAGTTGGGGAATGTTGTTACTTTTTGTTTTTCTTATTTTTCTCTTCCCCCCTCCCCCGCCTTTTTTTTTTTTTCGAAAGGCGATATACCCCGTGATAATTTGTTAGGAGGTGTTTCTCTCTCTTTTTTCCCTCTCCTGTTTGTTTTGATTTGGGATTTCTTTCTCCTTCCCTCCCCCCGTTTCTCTCTCCCCACCATCTTCTTCTCTCCTCCTTTTCTAAGTGTGGTGTAATTTGTAAAAAATCTGGCATAAAGGAGAAGCTGCTGCCATCAAGGCGGATTTGCTAAGTGTGCTGGTTGAGAAGGAGAGAAGCCAAATTCAACCTCACAGTCATCCCCCCCTCTTCTGCAAGGGACTCAGCGTTGCCAATGGCTGTGAGGAATGCGCCTTTTATTTCTCTGGAAAGAAAAGTTGAAATCTCTAAAGTTTGATTCACGGTTGTCCATAGAGTTCACTCGAGTTTCCTTAATGCTATCTGGGTTGCTGAGCTCTGGGTTTCCGGATTGGGAATCTTCGGTGATGGATGTGACTCCATTTTCCAAACACTTTCTCTGATTTGAGGGGGAGGCGGAGCTGATTTGGGTTGATTTCGGGGGGTGAAAGCTTGGAGGCTTATTCATCTTCCGAAAGTAAGAGGGAATCGGCTGAGGGCCGGAGGTACAGTTCGTCAGGCTGCCGAAGCGCAGGTGCCGCAGCAACCGAGGAATTGTTTAATTTTCTTTCTGCCCCCCGCACCCCTGTGTCCAAAGATTTGCTCTCGATTTCCTGGGGCGCCTGGGGTACGGTTTATGGAAGGGATTCAGAGGCATGTTTTATTGCCGGGACTGGGAGTGTTTTATTGTGGGAGAGACGAAAGCTTGTGCTGTTTACTACGGGAGCCGGCTGCGGCGAGGGCAAGGGGCCGGGAGATATTATTCCAACCCGGCTGTCCAAATTCTGGGGAACCCAGCTGAATACCCTGGGAGTTTCTTCCTTAGGACAAGCGCGGGTGCGGAGGGGGCCGAGGACGGGTTGAAGGAAGGCTGCGCGGGGAAGACAGCCCCTCCTGGCATCGCCAAGAAAGTAGTGACCGCGATCCCCTTGCCTCCTCAGGTATGAAAGATGCCGCCGAGCTTCTGGGCCACCGGGAGGCGGTGAAGTGTAGGCTGGGCGTGGGGGGCTCCGACCCCGGGGGCCATCCGGGGGACCTGGCGCCCAACTCTGACCCAGTGGAGGGAGCCACTCTGCTGCCCGGGGAGGACATCACCACAGTGGGCTCTACTCCGGCCTCGCTGGCGGTGAGCGCCAAAGACCCGGACAAGCAGCCCGGGCCCCAGGGCGGCCCGAACCCCAGCCAAGCCGGCCAGCAGCAGGGCCAACAGAAGCAGAAGCGCCACCGGACGCGCTTCACCCCCGCACAGCTCAACGAGTTGGAGAGGAGCTTCGCCAAGACTCACTACCCCGACATCTTTATGCGTGAGGAGCTGGCACTGCGTATCGGGCTGACCGAGTCCCGAGTGCAGGTACGAGGGGCTTGGGATCTGGGACAGAAGGCAAGGACAGGGCGGGAGGATTTGGGCAAAGGGAGCAGGGTCTTCCCTTCCCCTGTCGAGATCCTGGGCTGCTTTCAGGCTGCCTGTGCGTTCCTGTATCGAGTTATCTCCTTCTCTACCCGGAAACTGGTCCCCATCGCCATCCCCCAATGGACACGCAAGGCCCGTCTCCGGCCAGTATAGCGACATCCCGGAAGAAGCTCCTCAAAATCGAAGCCCGGCGTTGTCGGGCTACAGGGTTCGCCTCCTCCGCCTGAGAAGGCAACCTCAGCGCCCCCCCGGGCGGCCCAGCCGAGCGCACACCTCAACTCCTGCTCGCATTATTGACAAATATTACCCCCTAATGAGTTTGTGTTAAGCGTTTGGATAAAAGGAGGAATGCAACAATTATACAGAAAACAAGAGAAAAGAGCAAATAAGGCGAATGAGCGCCTTTTAAAAAAGTGCTACACCCAGGTTTCACGGCGTGGCTTTATTACCTTAAGTATCACCCTCCCTCTGCACTCAGGCGAAATATTCCTAGCTTTGATGTTTGCAAGGGGTTTGAACTTTCGTAGTCTACCAGTGCGCTGGGGGCAGCTGACGAGATTCCCAAAGCCGGTGAGCCCCGTTTTGTTTTGGAGTCCTCTAAGGAAGCTACGGTGGGGGAGGGGAAATGAAGGCTTTCTGTTGTGGATATCATGTCTGAAGAAGGGGCATTCAGAACGGGAAAGGTTGACAGGCAGTAGAGGAAATCATTGCTGACCCCTTATTCTCCTCCAACCACTCTCCAAGCTGTAAATTATATATAACCTAGAAAATCACACCTATAATTATTCTGAAAATTGGTGAATAAAAGTATAAGCCTAGTGAATCCCAGATTTTTGTTTGTTTTTTTTTTTTGTTTTTTAAAAGAAAGAATGAAGACATATCAAATATTTTATGGACAGGTGCCTGGAGGTGAAATTCCAAGCGCCGGTACTCACTCTTGAGCTATCCAGGGTGCTGAAAAATCTTCCTTTGCCGTCTTGGACGGTGGTATTTTCTGTACGATATCCTGGGTGTCATCAACCTGGTCAATTTGTTAAACCAGTGCTACCTACTTTTATAAAATTAACTTTAAGATCTTAGTTACTTTACATTTGATCTAAGAAGTAAGCAATGAGAACGTCCGTAATCACAGCGTTGAATGTTTCTGTCTCCATTCGGCATTTTAAAGATAGTCTAAACTGAAAAGATAGCGCATGCTTCTGCTCTAATAGCAAATGAATATTATTGGGGATTTAAAATGGTCAAATTAATAAAGTAATGTTGATTAACATAATGATTAGCATTTTTATACAATATAAGTCTGGGTGGTTTTCCTAGTGAAAGGCCTAGACCATGGTCTTTTAAAACGACACACCAAAAGAGTACTAATTGTGTAACTGTAAACATGTGTTAGTAATGCTCTTCAAAATTTTTATTTTTCACCTTTTAAAAAATATCTGAAGTTGAGTTTAAACCTTTACATAAATATACAATTTCAATACTTCCATCAACACTGATGACAGTGCTTGCTTGTAGGTTCAATTTTGCAGGTTAGAAATTCATAAATTTTGGGGTTTTGTCCTTTAAGAGAAAGATTATCTATTAATTCTGTATTTAAAGGGTAAAATGCTGTGTCTTAACCTAGATATACTGGCAATTAGTTTAAATTAAAATAGAACTTAGAATCACAAATAAAATATAATTGAACAACTGATTTTATGAAAAAAGAAAACGAGGTCTATTAAACTTTATTAGGTCTTCCAAAGGTTAATGACAGTTATTCTTTTAACAGAAAAAGTTGTAAATGAAATAAAATATAAGCTATGTAACAGAAATAGTTATTTTCAAAAAGTACACAAAAGAATGCACAAGAAGAAAGAGACAAAGTACTCTAATTGTTCCAGCATAATGTTCAAGCAAAGATAATAGCTTGAGCCTGCTGATAGACACAATTTAATAGAATGGCAATTTCAATATTTTTAAAAATAATGTTCCATAGTTTAAAAAGTAATCAGATCAACATAACCTTCTTAATTAACTTTTCAAAATGATTAACATTATGTAATGTAATGCAAAAATAATTTATGGAAAATGTATTTACTTCACAATTCACTGTACCATTGCTCCTTGACCAAATTCAAATTAAATAGTAATTGGCTTATGTTCTTATATGATCAATACTTCATAGTTTTCTTTATAGTTAACAGACTGCCACACATTCTTTTCAGTATGTGGGCCACTGCGCTGATTAAAAATTATCTAAACATTTAATTCATTGCAATTGTATATTTTTAAAGATGCTTTTTGATTCTAGACTAAATTATCCAATATACTTATTTTTTATCTTTATTTGGTATATATCACACTTTTAAGTATTTATTAAAGCATCTCTACTCACATGGAGGCCAATTCCATGTCTGATATAGCTCCTCTTTTCTGGCCAGTGTAATAAAACCATTCCTTTTATAGCATGCCATTATTAGAAACCAATTTCAGAATTATTTATAACCTGGAATGGCTTATTAAGCAGCAATGTGAGAATCATGCAAATTATGTGATCAAATGCAATATAATAAGCATAATCATTAGTCTCTAGCATGGATTAATTAACTTTCAATATTTTATTTACATAAAAACCAAATCAGTAAAATAACTTCTGCACAGTCAGGCTTGCCTTTCAATATTTTATATGAACAAAAATAGTGTGCTGTAATTCCATTGACCGTGTCCCCCAGAATGGCCCTGTCACCTGCCACATCTTAATAGGGGGACAAACTGAGAGTATTTTCTAGTTTTCTAATGGAATGAGAAATTGCATTTTCTTCCTCTCCCAGCACTATTAAACTGTAATGAATTCGGCCCAGAGTTCACGGCTGGCTGATCGAAATGAACCTGAGATCTAGGCTTTAATACAGCTCCCCAGATTTCCTCCAAAATCTTCACATTAATCATTTGCTGGATTCCAATGAGATCTTCATAAAGCATTTGCTTCAAGGGGGGAAAAAGTAATATTCTCTCTTTCTCTCCCTCTTTTTTCTATTTCTCAGTCATTTATAGCTGGGGAATTAAACGGGCTATATATTTTAAAATACATTTACAGTATGTCTATATTACTGTAACAGCAGATATCATGAAAGTGGATTTTTAGATTCCAACCTCCATTAGATTCTCACTGTTGTATTAAGCATTTTCCAAGAAGAGCTGCATTTCAAACTGAGTACAAAGTTGGCCCGTGGCTGGGGTTAATATATTTCCTGGAGTTGTCATCTGTGCATTCTAAAAATCTCCCTTAGGTTTTGCCTGCATTTTAATCCGTCATGCTCTAGTTTTCAAGTGGAAACATTCACATTTAAAAAACATATGCATCGTAGCTTGGAACGGAGGTGCTCAGACCCCACGCAGATTTTTTTTCCCAATCCCAGTAAGCCATGAAACATAAAAAAATTTGTAGCCATCATTTGACTACTAACCCTCAAACATAATTGAGCACGATTTTCCGATTATTTCTATAATATTTAGTTCTTTAACAGCTGTTCTTTTCCGCCTGTGCCTGAGCAGATCCTAGATTCAGAAACCATTCTGGTAGTCACATTTTCTATTGAAATTCTACTGGGCAATCCTCCCCCTCTTTCTTTTTTCTGCTCCTTCCCTCACACTCCCTCTCCTCAAACAAACATTTCGGGATTCACTGGCACTTGCAGGTTGTTAGGAACCGGTCTTGATTTTATAAGACACCTTTCAAAACATAATCCCGGTGCGGCGTGTAAGGTGTGGGAACCGTTTAGTCACAGACACCGTCCCGTCTACCTCCCCCGAGTCCAGCCTTGGGTGGGTGCTGCACAGCGACTTTCGGCCTTAGGTCTTCTCGCTGTGCCTTCCTTTCCTCCTGAGAGATGCTCTCCGCCTAAGACCGCTAACAGCTCAATTGGGTCTCATTGATCCCACTCACCATCTAGAGCCCTGTTGCCTCATTAATCCGTTGTGCCACCAGCTCACGGGCTGCAACTGGGAAGAGACGAGACCTGTTTATCCATCGCCGACACTGGGATACGCAGCAATCTGCAAAATGGGGTAGAAACCACAGGAAGAAAGTGGTAGGCGACGGCGCAGGCACGGTAGAAAGGCGAGGGCCGGCCCCAAGCTGGGGGAGTATTCTAGACTGCAACACCGTTCACACTGGTAAGCGTAGAGTGCGTCTACGCTTGCCTGGGCATGAACACACCGCTGAACATTGCTGGCTCACCGAGACCGAGGGCAGGTATGTCCATACCCCTGATACTTTAGCTTGCAGAGTAAACACTAAATAGGTTAGATTAACGGATGCACAACGTTTTTTTCCACGGATATCGTGGTCAAATTGCGTTGGCCAAATTCTAAGAGGAAACTCAGTACCTGGGCTTGTCCTACATCATTTATATTTAGGCACAGTAAACGCCAGATGACCAGATTTTAAACTGCAAGTCTTCCAGGCAGGCTTGCTGGCAAATTATTATTATTATTATTGTCATTTAAAAAGATCACATTCAAATAGGGGGAGATGGGAGTTATCTTGGATTGGCAGCTTATGTGATATCTTTCAGGCAGAACTCTTCTTCTGTGATAGAGGGTTTGACATGCCTAGGCAAATTTGCCTGACAGGGTCTGTAACTCCCGGGCCACTGTTAAAAAAAAAAAAAATAGGAAGGCTGTTTTCATTTGGAGTGTATTTTATCAAACTCATTTCCCTGAAAAAGGACGTTTGGGTTTGTCTGAGCAAAATTAAATTTGATTCATATATCTCGTAGTGAAATGTGACCTCCTTTAATTCATATTGGTCCGAAAATTTGCTTTTAGTTTATAAATGAAATGGGGGCGACTTGAGGGAACTGGAGGCCTTGTTACTTGGGACCCTTGGTAAGTTCCTGAAAGGAATAGACTTTGGCTTGGCGCGGTGGCTCACGTCTGTAATCCTAGCACTTTGGGAGGCCGAGGCGGGTGGATCACGAGGTCAGGAGTTCAAGACCAGCCTGGCCAACATGGTGAAACCCCGTCTCCACTAAAAGTACAAAAATTATCTGGGCATGGTGGCGCGTTTCTGTAATCCTAGCTACTCGGGAGGCTGAGGCAGGAGAATTGCTTCAGCCGGGACCCGGGAAGCGGAGGTTGCAGTGAGCCGAGATCGTGCCACTGCACTCCAACCTGGGCTACAGAGCAAGACTCCGTCTCAAAAAAAAAAAAAAAAAAAAAAAAAGAATAGGGTTGAAGGCTCTTGGGGCAGCAGGTTCCAGCCACTCGTACAGCCCAGACAAAGGTGTCCATAGAGTGGTTTGGGAATGAGGCACGGAGAGTTGTGGCAGTAGCACGAAGCAATATGGGAGGAATCGGAAGTCATGGTGGTGACCCAAACAACACTGTAGCTCAGTGGCGTTCACTTTCCCACGCAGATCACTGTATTAACCTCTCCGCTCTGTCAACCGTAGCGTTAGGGGTTTTCCTTTGTCTTTCGATTTTGAAACTATGTCATCCACAGCCTGTCATCAATTTCCAAATTTCCAGCGTTTCTGAAAATTCTATAGCACATCAGTGTTATAAGGCATGCTATTAAGCTACATGGGTACACGTTTATCTTCATTTGTACACCTGTGGGTCGAACTTTGACACATGCCTGACTGCAGACCTGTGAATCTGTGCAGTGCACAGAATGTGCAGGGGCGTGGTGAAGACTGCACACATTTGGTGTGTTTGCACAGTGCGTAAACTCTTCGGGGCACGAGCTCTTAGGAGCGCAGGACTCCGCGCTTGGTGGGTGCAGGGGGCGCCAGTTGCCAGGAGTTGGTGGGGAGCCACAGTCTCCGGCTGGGTATGGGGGCTTGTCGGGCCTACGGCACTTGTTCCTCCCAGGGCAGAGCGGCTGTATCCGAGGCGGGTTTCTGGGGCTCAAGCCCCAACTCCCCAGCCGCCGGGCCGGCTAATAGCTCCCTGTCTGTCTCCCGCCCCGCCCGCTCCAGGTCTGGTTCCAGAACCGACGCGCCAAGTGGAAGAAGCGCAAAAAGACGACCAACGTGTTCCGTGCGCCCGGCACACTGCTGCCCACGCCAGGCCTGCCTCAGTTCCCGTCGGCTGCCGCCGCCGCTGCCGCCGCCATGGGCGACAGCCTGTGCTCTTTCCACGCCAACGACACCCGCTGGGCGGCGGCCGCCATGCCTGGCGTGTCACAGCTGCCTCTGCCGCCGGCGCTGGGCAGGCAGCAGGCCATGGCGCAGTCGCTGTCCCAGTGCAGCCTGGCGGCCGGTCCGCCGCCCAACTCCATGGGCCTGTCCAACAGCCTGGCGGGTTCCAACGGCGCGGGGCTGCAGTCGCACCTCTACCAGCCCGCCTTCCCCGGCATGGTGCCCGCCTCCCTCCCCGGCCCCAGCAACGTCTCCGGTTCGCCCCAGCTCTGCAGCTCCCCGGACAGCAGCGACGTGTGGCGGGGCACCAGCATCGCCTCCCTCCGCCGCAAGGCGCTAGAGCACACAGTCTCTATGAGCTTCACTTAATGCAGCCGCGCCCCGGCCCGCTCCGCCCCCAGCACCGCCCCGGGGGCCGCCCCGAGGCCCTTCCGGCGCGCACCCGGACCCCGGCGCCCTGCCCCGTCCCGCCCCGGCCTTCGCCCCGTCTCGTTTCGTCCTCGCCTCTCTCCTCCACTCGCTCGGGCTCACCCCAAGCCCCAGCCCGCGAGGCCTCCCCTCCGCCTGATTTCGATCGCCCGCGGTCCCCCGTCTCCCGGCCGCCCCTCTTCCCTTCCCACCCAGCTGCGCCCTCGGCTCGGTCTCCAGCGCCTCAGCCCACCCTTCCCGCCACCCTGGCCTCCCTGCTTGCGCTGGCCGTGCTCGCGCCCTCCTCCTGGCCTTCTGACGGGCGGCGTTCCCACCCACACCTTCGACGCGACGCCTACGACCCCCCTCGCCCGCCGCCTCCCCTCCGGTCCCCTCTTTCCCCACACTTCGCGACCCTCCTCCCGCGCCCGGCAAAAAGTATCCTTCCCGCCATTTTACGTACCAGGGAGTCGACTCAGGATCTGAAATCAGACACCAATGGACTGGTTTGTGGGCAGAAACACACACACTCGCACTCTCGCTCACGCTCAGACGCTACACACGCGCGCGCACAGACACGGTGCACCTAGGTCACACACGGACGTGTTCAAGGGACAGCACAATGTTAGGGATTTTTGTCTTAAAGGAGGACAAGCATTGCTACCAACCGCCTCATCTGAGGGCCCAACTGATATGATTTGATTTATCCTTGTACTCTCCAAGCTCCTGTCTTTCTTTCCTCTCCCACCACGCTACCCTTGCCCAGTCCACCCAGTCACATCCGTGCAGCCCTCTCTTGGCTTGCAAGATAACGCTTTTATTTTTATTTTATCTTATTTTCATTTTCTTAAGCACAACTGTGTGAGAGTGTAGAAGGGAAGGCTTCTCAGGAGGAACGTGACAGTGGATTGGGTGGCTGGAGTAGACTAAAGCAGTCATGTGACGAGGAAGAGGTGATCTGACCCATTTTGATAAGTCTTTATAAGGAAGAATAAAATAAACGTGTAAGCAAAATTTTCTTTTGTAAAAGCAAAAGCCACATCTCTTTTCTGGATCCTTCAGGACTGGGGTTTGTTTGCTTCCTTTTCTGTTTCTGTCTTCTCGCTGCTCTGTGCCCTTGGTTGTTTTGTGGTGGTCCTGTCGTCCCTCGTGCCCCTCGGCCACCTGCTGGCAGCCGATGGGGGCACTCGGACATCTACAACCCTGCAACTTTGTACAGAGAAACACAATCAGCTCTTTCTGCATGTGCTGGTCAAATCCAAACCCAGAGAACAGAAGCGCTTTCTAAGAATGAACAAATATGTGAAATAGGATGTTTTGTGTAGATAAAGCATTCTTGTTACATACTGGTCAATTTGTGATATGTTTTAACTTAATGTCTGTGTTTATTTATGGAATTCGGTTTTCTTAATAAATGTTTGAGCTAATATAAAGCATATTATTTGACTTTTCCGGACAAGTTTATATCAAGTTAAATGTAAATGGATAAAATAAAATCATTTTCAGTATGTGATATAGAGAATGATGGGTTTTGGTGTGACCTTGAACGGCGGGAGGGGTCTCGTGGGGGGAGGGGAGGGGCCGGTCTTGGGAATGGTTATATTCGCGCCAGTTGGAACGCGTGGGCCCTTCGCCCTGCAGTGGGCTTGGGTTCGGTTTCTGGGCTGCAAGGTGAGGTCTCCGCGACGGGGCGGCATGCTGGGGCGCCGCGAGCGCCTCACGCAAGCTCTGAGCCTCCCGAGGTTTCCGGGCCAACCCAGGTTTCCCAGGTGGGACTCCGAGCGTCGCTGTCGGCACGAAACGCAGGGCGCGAGAGTTCCTCAGATGAACGGTGTCCCTGGGGCAGTGGCGCGGAGGGCGCCCCTCGCGGGCTGCGTGCGCGTGATGGGGAGGCCGTGGGTGGGAGGGGACCACAATTCGCACCCTCGGCCTTCAGAGCCTGGAGTTCTGCTCTCCGGCGCCGCCCCAGCCGTGTCTGGCCCCAGGTACGCGGTGGAAGCTAGGCCGCGGCTCTTGCCTCCTCCGGGGCCTAGGCCTCTTTGGGGCCTTCCCTAAGGCCACGGCGCCCCTTCATGTCCCCAGACCCGGGATCCGCTTCAGATACCCGGGACCTCCCAAGTAAGGGACAAACGCGCTTCTCCAGAAGAGGCGTGTCCGGGACGACCAGCACCTACCAGGGCTCCCCCAACCCCGGGGCTGCTCTGGTTTCCTGTCAGGGTCCCTGCTGGCTGCGTACTAACCTCGACTTCAGGCACGTGCTCAGGGGACTGCCCCAAAGGAGTAGGAAAAAAATGCCGTTTCTTCGGTCGGCCGAGGGGAAGGTTTGCGGTGTGTTTTAAACTTGGAGGCAAATCGATATCACAGGCTTCCTTGGGAAGGCTAACCGAAATCAATCTTGTGGTTTGAAATTTAATGGTCATTATAGGCATTGAGAGGGCACCCCTTTTCCCACGGGAAGACTTCTCATTTGGTTGCCTCAGAGTGTAAACCCTAAAAAATACCCTCCTGCTAAAATACAATACAGCTGGGCTACATGTGAATTTGAGGAGCTGTTGTAATCGTTACTCAACTAAGAGAACACAATGGAATCTCCTCAGAGATGAGAACAAAAAGCTATGATTTTTAATGATAAAGTAAATCTGTTCATGTTACCTTAGGAATTTTAATTAGAGGTAAACTGGTGGGTGGGTTCACAGAATATTTCAGTTATACACTTTCCTAAAGACTATTTTTAGTACATTAAAATATTAAAGAAGAGAAAACATGCTCATTTTGAATTTCATACAAGAACGGAACATTTCTGTATTTGAGAACTCATCCAAGAATTCAGCAGCACACAACCACCAAATTTCTAAAATATGAGTTAATGAAAAATACTTTTCCTTGTTTTTGCATTTCATCATATTCTCGCTTGTTTTATGTTAGTGCTTTTTTTTAAAAAAAATTGAAATCGTGGATACTGTAATCTCAAGTCACATTTAAGAGATCAGTACAAATTACGGATTGCTTCACCAGTGCTCATGGAATGTTGTTTACAAGGATGCCAATTTTACAGCTTTTTATGCTGCTATAAAGCATAACTTTATGATGTAGGAATGCAATAAAGGATGCTAAATGGAATCTTTAAAAATTGTATTTCTCAAAGGCAAGGGAAATGGGATCTTTCATTGGAAAAAAATGGGCCAACTCAGAACACTGATGAGAAGTTGCAAATCAACTCAAGTGATAGATGCTTTCAAAGATACTTATATTTCATAATGTAGTGGTTATTTATCAATATTATAGTAAAGTGTACAGAGTTTTTCACTTGGCTTGACTCTGGGCTAATATTTGTTTCTATAGCAATAATAGATTTTTGTATTCAGAATCCTGAACATTTTAAAGTCATATACGCCATTAGGTTAAGGGAAGGCAAGCAGGCCTGAATTGTTAAGGTTGACGGTTTAGCAAAGATAAAAAGAGAAGAATAAGAACCTCAATCACAAGCCTGAAAGATTTCTGCTTTTTGAAGGAGAAAAATCTAACAACAGAATAATGCTTCATACAATTTTTTTACTCATCATTAACAGCAATTCTGACTCAAAATTGTTAAAGATCTAATAATAATTAAGTAAATTTAATAAGGGAATAAAGACAATAAAGTTGAATAATATCAGAACACAAAGTAGTTTAAGTACAACATGCTAGATGTCCTGCCTCTAATAATTGTACTTTTTGCTGAGTAGCCTGTTTGATATTGAATACTGTCACCACATGCTAGCTGGAAACAATCCATTATGATGTAACCATATGATTGATTTATTTTAATATACAAGTTCATCCTTGTATCTTTATTTTTTCCTCAGTATTGGTACTAAATATCATACATGCCATACAAGTGATGGTATAGTAATGATTTTGCACTTAGATTACCTTTTGTTGATGGTGGAGGAAATATGATATGGGAATGCAACCTGCTGAAGATGATGTTAGATACTCAATACAAAACAGCATGCAGAGCAGTTTGGGTAAATCACGGTAGATGTGCATATAGACATGCAGAGGAAATAAAGAGGAAAATTCTAACTTTGGGACAATTTATGTTTGGTGCCCCCAATGACAGCTTTTCCCAAAAATGAAAATGTGTTTTTAATTTATATTGTGGAACTTACATTTAAATTTTTAGGATAAAGAAAAAACTTAGCCCACAAATATGTGTATTCTAGTAATGGCAGTAGTTAACCTGTCAGTTGAAATAATGTAACCTTCCTTTTCTCCTTTTCATGACATAAAGATAATCTCATCTGAGGGCATTTATGTGAAGAAATAACAGCATGGCATGGTGAAACCACTGGCTCATTAATCCTGGCATCTACTTCCTACAGGGTTCCGTGATTAGTTAGATTCATTCACTGGGCATTTCAGAGTTTTTGATTTGTCACCATTGGCTAGGTTCACTGAGTTCAGGCTGAATTGAGCCAGAAGCAATGTTTATTAGTAATTTTGTAGTACAGGCTACCCTAATAATTCAGCCCAAATATCTCATCTGAAAAATATCCATTCACCCTCACTTCTAATGTGGGTTGCAGCTGTGTTCATAGGGAATTGAAAGAACGTCAGTGATTGGGCATGTATTTTCTAAATTATTAATATGATGGCTAATAGCTGTAAACCCATCTTTGTATCCAATGCAGAAATTATGACTTATTTTAAAAATGAAAGCTGCAACAAAGAGGGGCACCTCCTGCCCGGCTTTCTGCTAAGTCTCCTCAGTGCAGAGCTTTTGGTATAGGAACCATGGCCGATTTAGCATGTGGTCATTACAGAGAGACACAGAACAATGCCTTTGGCTTTTTTTAATGTGTACACTATCAAAACAAGGCATGGATTTAGAAGACTTACTAAAACGTGCCATTAAGGAGTTTTGGGTATGAGCTGTGTACAGAGTTTTTCACTTGACCTGACAAAAAAGAGCCATCTTTTGATTTTGATGATGGCATACATGCCATACAAGTGATGGCATGGGGACCGCAGTTCACACCCTCGGCCTTCCAAGCCCTGCGCTCATAAGTTGTTTGTCTTTAAGCAGGCATAATTAGTTGTTATTACCGTTAAGCTGCATCTTCCATCCACGTGATGAAATATCCCATATATCTCAGTTTCCATCTTCAGACCCATTTTATTTGAGTTACACTTGTTGCAGTTGCTCACGCTGCCACAATCCCTCTCAGTTCTGTGTTGAAGTAATTCACAAGTACCAGGAAATATATAATTAACCCACATGACATATATAGTATATGTTCTTTGCATCTTTCACTGAACTGTCATAAGACTTTATATACTTTTGTTCCTAGTCTTTATTGAATCTATTAAAGATAAACTCAAGGTCAGATTAAGAACTGTAGATGCTTTTTAACATGGAAAAGATTATATGTGATTTTTATGAAATTAAAAATAAAAATATTAAATTATAAAACAAAACATAGATATACTGAAATTAAAATAAGTTCTTTTTAGATTTGCTAATTGCACAATTCTGAATGAGTTAAGTGAAGCTGAACTGGTCTTTTTGCTACCCTTGCTTTATTAATTATCTTAGTCTATTATCTTAATGCTTAGGTACTCCAACATTGATTTCAAAAATAACATTTTTAGAGAGTGTTATTTCATTACTTTCCCTCCAGTACCTTACATTTGAACTCCATTTTTTAGTTGACACAGCTCATTATCTCATTTAACTCATGGCACCATTATGAAGTAGATATTTTAACCCTTGTTGTATAGAGGAAGAAATTGAGAGTCATGAAGGCTAAGTAACTTGCCAAAGGTCATATCCCTAGTAAGTGGCAGAGATCATTCTTTAAGTTACATTTTCAGGTCATTAAGCATTACCCTTGTGTATGTAACATATAGACATTTCCCCTACTGTTAAAATATTTTCGGGGAATAAAACGAAATATCTTTACTTAGAAATTTAACAGTCCACCCTTGTAATTTAAACAAGAGATACTTTGATAGGACATGATAACTGCATCAAAATAACACATGGTTTCAAGAGTCTAGAAACACTCCTGTCCTACGGAACCTCACCCTCTTTCCAGAGGTTAATTCAAGATATTTCAGCCACCGAGAAGGCTCTTAATCCGGTGAGAAATCTTTATCAATGAAGTCATCTTCTTGTGACACAAGCTCTGAGCTGAGGTGGCAATAAACTTGTCAAATAGCCCTAGGAGTACTTTGAAAGGTGTGGCATTGTAGATGGACAGGGGAAGGGAGAGGATCCTTGGGTCTTTTGGTGCTTTTCTTGTCTGTCCCTGCAAGATTTTACAGGGAGATACTTTGATGTTGCTTCTGTATGTTATTAAAAGAATTACAACTCAGCATAAACTGCATGTCCTTTTTCTGGCCTCCATATATTAGGAATCCATTGCCAAACATAGATCATAAAATCTTAGCATTTGAAGGGACCTTGAAATCGTCTCATTCAAATTTCTTGACCACAGTTGTCCCTTTTTTATTTCTCACCAAGTGGACTTGTGGGCTCTGTTTGAATGAAAGGTAGATGTCTTTTACTGGCCTGCCAGAGTTCTTCCTTTCATTGAGCCTAGTCTGTCTTTTGTCTCCTAGTTCTTTCTTCCGTAGTCTTACCTCAGGAAGGACTTTCTGTCACAGCTCTTACTACTGAAATGATTTTTCTTTTTAGTCTTCTTTTGTTAATATCAGTCAGTGTAATACCCCTAGGCTATGCTATGGTACCAGATAAAATTCATCTCTGGCTTAACACAACCAGGGATTTTTTTTTTCTTGCTCACACAAATGTGACTGTGAGTAAAGTAAATCTCTAGGAGAGCTCTTCTTCATGTGGTGACCCAGTGATCCAAGCAGGTTTCATGTTGTTACTTAATCACCCCATTATGGGGTTTCCACGGTCTTTGTGGGAGGAAGAAAAAACTAGAAGTTTAAACTGGTTCTTTATGCTTTGGTCCAGAAACTTCTACTCATGGTCCAGTACCTAAGAAATTATTATAAGGCTTCCCCTAATTGCAAGAGGACTGGCAAATGTGGAACACATGAATAGCCAGTGAATAGAACATATCTCTGCCATAATCTTATTTTCTCAGTGATAAACACTCTTAGTTTTCTCATTTAACATGTTTTTCCTACTTATATATGTCAACAGTTTTTTTGTGCTTGTTGGCAAAGCCTGTAGGTGGGGGTACCAGAGAAATATATAACATCCAAGCTCTTCAAGGAGCTTATCATATAATTGGAGAGACAAGACAAATATACTTTAAAAAGAAAATCGTACAAGTCAATTTATAATGGATTGATCAAGTGCTAAGTACTCTGATCTATATCTCAGATGCAATGGAAACTCAGAGAAGCAGGAGATCATTGTGGGTAGAATTCCTGGCCAGGCTTCCTGGAGGAGCTGGGTCTTATAGGATAACAAGGTCATCCTTTAGGATTTTATTCTCCACTTTTGTTTTATTCTGTTGGAATTATTTTGACCTTTCCTTGTGGCTCTTATTTTCAGATCTATAAAGTATGTTTCTTGTGTTTATATATATCCTTACTAAATTCTCCACTAACCTCTTAAATGTGGAGCCATTAACCGGATTCAAATCTCTAATGACCAAGGCAAGACATGGTGGGCCACTTGCCAGACTCACTTTAATAGCCATTCATAATCTGATAGAGTGTTTTAGTATCACTGATATTCCCCAAATGGATACATTTGAGCAATGTAATTCCCCAATATATAGCATAGACTCTGACACATATTAGGTGTGCAATAGATGCTTATTAAGATTAATTTAGGTCAGATGTGTTGATGTTAAAGTTCCCAGCTTATTGCACGTGCTATGATCTATTATCATGGTGGGGTAGTTACCAATTAAAAATATGTATCGTAAAGGGCTTACATCATTATTAAGGTAAAAAATAAATCACTCCTGACAAGCAAGATAATGTTTTTATTCCCACAAAAAGAGATCATCCTTGTCCTCTGATGAGCACAGTGCTCACTTGGAGTAAACTAGTCACCCATGGGAAGCTAATTACCTTTTCCAAAGAACTGGGGTACCATGTAATGTCTTCGAAAAGGTAATTTAGTGAATGATGCCCTGTTATCTTGGAAGAGTTAATATGCCACTTTTAGAAACTCCAGTGACTGGATTGTCTCCCACAATGGAGGGAGGAGCACACACTTGCCAGGAAGCCAGCTATCTTAGATTTCCCTGTTGGAAGACTTAAGAGCTTCATTTTCATTTTAAACCTAGTGGTTTCTTTGAGAACTGGTTGTATGCCATAAGCCATTTTAGATTTGAAGAGTGATGATGAGAATTTTCTCCTTAGGCAGAAGAACTCCGGAGGAAGACCTTGAGCTTCTGATAGGGGTTGTTTTGGGTTCAGGTTAGGAGAGCGTTGCTTCTCAGGGAGGGAGGTTGTTTGTTTTTTAGTTACAGAAGAACAATCCTTGTCCAGTCATGACTCTGCTATATTTGGGGACCCAGAAGAAATGCATGGTTTGGAAAACATAGTTATAGTCCTTGATCAGCCATTACCTGACTGTGTTCTTAGTTCAGTCACTTAGCAGTTGTGCACTTCCATTTCCTCATCTAATATCTGAAGTTATTTCCCAATGCTGACCATTCTAGTAATGATTAACTCTACATTGCTGACTAGTGTGGGGCAACTCAGTTTATTTTATTTTATTTTATTTTATTTTATTTTATTTTAATTTTATTTGAGACGGAGTCTCACTCTTGTCTCCCAGGCTGGAGTGCAGTGGCGCGATCTCGGCTCACTGCAAGCTCCGCCTCCCGGGTTTTACGCCATTCTCCTGCCTCAGCCTCCCTAGTAGCTGGGACTACAGGCATGCACCACCTATGCCCGGCTAATTTTTTTTTTTTTTTTTTTGTATTTTTAGTAGAGATGGGGTTTCACCTTATTAGCCAGGATGGTCTCAAACTCCTGACCTTTTGATCCGCCAGCCTCGGCCTCCCAAAGTGCTGGGATTACAGGCTTGAGCCACTGCACCCGGCGCAACTCAGTTTAAACATAATCAAATGCCTGGACTGGTCTTTGTCTAATCTGTTTCTTTTTTTTTTTTTTTTCTTGACCTGGAGATAGGGGATCTGATTCTGAGTCAAGTCAGCATTGTGTTACGGTGGTGAAAAGGTAAGCTCATAATATCAATGCTCTGCTGAAGAGTTGCTGCCACTGACAACATCATTAGCCTCCTTGTAATAGGACCCAGGGAAGGGATTGGGACTGTGTAGGAATTGTTTTCCAGAGTAGGAAAGAAAGAGTGGAACATGCAAGGATATAACTTCTCATAGACAAACATGGCTGTGCAAAAGAATCCTCATTCCTATCCTTAAACAATTAGTGCCATGGGGTTTGCATATCATCTAACTGAAAAGGAGAAATTAGAAAATAGACAACCTAGACATATACTCATATAGGAAGCACTCGGTAAATTTTGGTTGGATTAATTAGATTCAAATAGTACCAGTTTCTTGTGTAAACTTAGTGGAACAAATGGCCAACGACTTAGAAGCCTGAGGGGGCAGTTCCAGCATATTTATTTCGTTGCCAAGGCAACACCAGGTGTTTGTGACCACAAGGGAGAATGAAAAGAATGGGCAGCCTAGTGGTTGCTCAGGTGAGCGCAGGTACACAGACCAGGAAGTATCTCTGCTCCTAACCTCTCTTTATGTATGCATGAAGCTAATTGTTCAAGTCCAGGGGAAACTGGTGAGGTATGTGAAGTTTTTGTTGGGACTTCAGCTTTCTTCATCCCCCAATATTTTCAGGGTCATAGGACCTTATCTTTCAAATTCTTTTCCCCTATTAAAACAGGAAATTAGCTGGGATCATTTACATTTTGACTAAAGAGACTTACAGCAATATGCTAACTTTCTATTTTAAACTCTTTAATTTTAGTATAGAAAGAATATTTTTATCTTAATTCATTAAAAGAACTTTTAAGCAGTAGGAGGCAAGTAAGGGTGATGTTGTGGGTAGAGTTTGCACAGAGGCATTCTGCAGTTTCAGGAAATTATACCACACCTGAGAAGAATCTACTTTAATTGTTTGGGAATGCTCAAGGAGCTGGAGCAAAAGGGGTGAAGAAAATATTCTTTCTTTGGTAGGTGGGAACACGGGTATTTGTTTCTTATTATTTACACTGTATATTATATATATAGCATATATATATGCTTATTTCTTGGACATATTTCACAATAAGATAGGAAAAAAAGTACCAGTAGTAATTTCCTCTTCCCTTAGTGTCCCCTCTTTAAACATCATCTTTACTAGAGTGATGGCCTACAGGTTCCCCGAGGGATTGATTGCCTCACAGCTGCTAAGTATACAGAGGCACCTTTTGGCATTGCTGACTTCTCCTATGCGAAGCCCTGGGCTCCGAAGTCACCTCTGTTTCCTGGCTTTCCAGTAAGACTATCTAACCCTTGTTAAAAAAACAAAAAAACAAAAAACACCCCTTTTCCTTTCCTAGCTCTAGTCCTCTGCTTTAAAATTCCCAGGGTTCATTCTTACTGTGTAATATCCTGCCCTGAGTTTTCTTCTTCCTTCCCTATGGTAATCCTGTTGTTCCCTCTAGACAGGTAGTCCTCATCCTCCTGGCCCCCAATCTCCACTGCATCAGAGACACCTGGACTTGGGGTCAGGTCTGGGGAGAAGCAGCAGCTGGACACGTTGCTCAAGCACCTTTCAGATAATGGGGGTGAGGGTAAGAGGGAAAATTGGGGGGTCTCTAGGGGTGTAATACAGGAAAGTCTGCCCTGGAACACAGGGATAGGTTGAGACAATGAAACCTGAGTGTGGGGAGAATCAGATTCAGGACTTTTGTTTCTTAATTTGTGTGTATTGATGATTAGTTTAGCTATTTTCTGGCCTGAATGCGTGGTACCTGACACTTATTAGATGGCAAAAAATTATTTGTTGAATAAATGATCCTGGAATGCTGTGAGGGAAATGCAATATCGACTTTGACTTTAGGTACCAGAAAAGTGAGAGAGGAAACAAATGATTTTCCATGTAAAAGTAAAAATCATATTGATGTGAGCTGCTTATGTAATCACCGTGAAACAATGACCATGAAGCAGTTATATGTAAAATAAAATACTTTCAAATGAACTTTGAGTTCTATTTTGTAGCAGTAGTAAATTCTACTAGTGTCAGGTAGGCTGTATCAAGGTGTAGAAAGGGAGGTTACTGGTCATCTAATCTTAGTGTTGCTGGTTAAATTCTTCACACAAATTATAGACCAAATTGTCATTTAGCATAGCTTATGGACAGGATGCCCACCACCTTCTATGGGATCCCATTTCTTCTAAAACGTCGTTATATCACACTGAAACCATCCCCCTTCTGGCTTATCCTTGATGTCCCACAAAGCAAGTCTTCAACCTTTATTGCTTGACAGGTCCTCACATGTTCAAAGATAGCTTTTCTGGTCCCCCTTCTTTGTTAAATTCTGTGAAACAATAAGGGGCTATGGTCACAGGCACTAAAGTTCCCCAAGTCATCAAAAAACGTGTTTAGGCTGAGTGTGGTGGCTCACGCCTGTAATCCTAGCACTTCAGGAGGCCGAGGCAGGTGGATCACTTGAGATCAGGAGCTCAAGACCAGCCTGGCCAACATGGTGAAACCCCATCTCTACTAAAAATACAAAAATTAGCCAGGCATGGTGGTGTGCGCCTGTAATCACAGCTGCTTGGGAGGCTGAGGCAGGAGAATCACTTGAACTCAGGAGGCGTAGGTTGCAGTGAGCTGAGATCGTGCCACTGCACTCTAGCCTGGGTGACAAAGTGAGACTCCATCTCAAAAACAGAAAAAAAAAAAACTTGTTTAGTCATCTTTATTAAATAGAAGACAGATTTTATCCATAAAGAGCATCAGAGTGTTCATACAGTTTTTCCTATGCCAGACATTTAGAGCAAGTTATTCTTTTAAATCAGTATTTCTCAGGCCCTGGGAATGGGGCGTAGGAATCTCATTTTATAGTTTGAGAACCATTGTTTCCATTGCTTCACATGTCCAGGGGAATTAAGTGTGATTGATGCTAACCTCAGGAACGGGTCACATCTGGAAAGCAATGTTGAGCCTTTCTGGCCTCTCAGCCAATGGCCTTGGAACAATGTTAAGTCTTTTACTGACTGAAAATTAACATTATTCCTCATTAGCTCTCTTATTCTCATTTACAAGCTTTCTTTTCCCTTCTTTTTCTTAAGTCATCGATTTCTCAGTTCTAGTTACATCTCCCTCTGCAGCCCATGACTGGAATTCTTTCAGCCTCCATATCCTCAGCCCTCAAGTTGCCACTCATATGGGTAGTTATTTGCTTGCAACATTCAAGTTTTATGAGACTATTCCTACACTCAGTCCTTTAAATTGCATTGCCTTTCAACCTTTGTTTATTTTTTCTAAAACTTTACTTATATACAAATGTTCAAAATCCATTTATAACCTGTTGCTCCATCTGGTTATTTTCATGGGTTATGTTCCCTTTCAATCCTTTGACACGTACCTACCTAATATTTTAGTACTTATGACCAAAAACGTAGATGGTATTTTGTGTTTTGTTTTGCATTTTGCTTCTGTTTATTTCCCATATCGGTATATATCTTCATATGCCTAGTTTTAATGACTATGATATTTGTTTATAGCTTTCTCTGATTTTTAAATATTACCTGTTTATTTTAAAAATTGTTGAATATAAACATATTTATTCACTCAAAATATATTTGAATGTCTGATTCTATAGATGCTTGCCCAGAGTTAAGCACTATTAAGATTTAATGCATCTGTGTGTGTGTGTGTATGTGTGTAGATGAGAGAGACAGAAAATTATTTTAAAGAATGTTTTGTATATAACAAGTCTCCTAAGTGAAAACACAACAAATGGAAGTCTTTCACTTACTGCAACATTGTCCAATATGGTAGCCACCAGCACCATGTGGCTATTTAAATTTAAGTTAGATAAAATCAATAGTTCTCTTCCTCAGTCACAATAGCCACATTTTCAGTGCTCAAAACCCACATGTGGCTTGTGGCTATTATATTGGATATCATCACAAAAAGCTTTATTGGACAGTGCTGACTCAGCATTCTAGGCTAAAAAGATACAGAATAAAGTTGCCCTGCTTCGTGCTGAGTTTCATGGGCCCCCATTCTGTGCTTTAGCTGTGGAATGGAGCAATGGACATGGACAGTGAGTGTCCCTGAAGGCCGTTGAAGAAATGCATGTAAGTAGGAACTTGGCCTAGTCCTGAGATTTCTATCTAGATTTTAATGTAAAAACATTTTTAATGGGATAGGATGGGGAAGAAGAAGAAAGTCTTAACTACCAAGGGAATAGAATGAGAGGGGTGTGTAGTTTAGGTCTGATATTTCTGTGCTTGCTATACACCACTACTAGAATCCATGCTTCGGTGATTTTCCATCAGTGGTAACCAAAGAAGGCTTTTTATCTAAGGTTTTAATGTATCTGTATGTAAATGTTTGGGCTGTGGCTTGGTCATTTAGAGTAGGTATATGAGGGATGTGGTAAGGAGTGCAAGAGGAGAGAAACTACGACTTGAAGTAAATGTATGTGTATGCAACACACACACATACATGCACACTAAGATTTTCTCCAGCGATGTCATAGCTGTTTCAGGAGAGCAAGTGTCTTACCACTTACAGCTTGTCCAGTGCCTGATCTGAAATTAGCCTCACTTTCTCCCCAGGGCATCCTTAGTTCCCTGCAGATCTCAAAACTGGTTATACATCAAGACTCTGTGGACCTGGTCAGATGTGCTGCTACATTAATTATAATGCAGATCATGGTTGTGGATTCTGTATGCAGATGTGCATGGAAATCTGCAGGCTTTCCATGTGCACAAAGAAAAAGCTGTTGAAAGGGCTTAAATACATTGCATTGGTGCCAGGCATATTTATCACAGGCTAGTTACTGAGAATGCTGATGGATTTATTTCGTGACCTGTGTGGTATAAAGTATGCAATGAGGAGAGACTAAATTGAGTTGGTAGAAAAAAATATATACATATACCTTCTATCCCACCCCAATTTCCCCCACCTAAAAAAAAAAAAGACAGAGTGGGTTTATATAAAGTTTTGAAGTTTCAAATGATGACTTAAAGGTAAGCAATTTAATTTTACTTTGGAGACTTGCAGTAATTTTATTAATTAATTAATTTATTTATTTATTTATTTTTCTTTGAGACAGGGTCTCACTCTGTCTCCCAGGCTGGAGTGCAGTGGTGTGATCTCGCCTCACTGCAACCTCTGCCTCCTGGGTTCAAGTGATTCTCCTGCCTCAGCCTCCCGAGTATCTGGGATTACAGGCATATGCCACCATACCTGGCTAATTTTTGGAATTTTAATAGAGCCAGGGTTTCACTATGTTGGCCAGGGTGGTCTCGAACCTCTGACCTCAAGTGATCCACCTGCTTCAGCCTCCCAAAGTGCTGGGATTACAGGAGGCGTGAGCCATCACACCTGGCCTTTTTTTTTTTTTTTTTTTTGACTTGCAGTAATTTTAAAAACTGAGATTTAGAATGATAACCTGGTGTCTTAGTTGCTGGCAATATTGGAAAATCACACAAACTCATTATTGCCTTGGTTTATGGTATTGACCATGAGAGGCTATTATAGTAACCATCAATTTTTTAAATTATAAAATACTTCAAACATATTCAAATGTAGAAAAAATAGTACAATGAACTACCATTTATCCATCACCTAGATTCAATAATTGTCAAGATTTTATCCTATTTACTTAATTCATTCTTTTTCCCATTTTAAAAAATCTGTTGTAGTATATTAAAGCATATCTCAGACATTATAAATATTTTAATAAACATCTTTAAAAATATGGACATATATGCCATTTGCACCCAATAAAATAAATGATATATTTTTAGTATTTAATCCATAACCAAATTTATTTGACTATTTCAAAAATGTCTTTAGAGTTAGTTTGAGTCAGGTCCAAACAAGGTCCATACAACAGAGTGGTCTTAAGACTTTTTTTCTTTTTTAGACAATTCAGTGACATTAATAAACTTGTAGAGTTGGGCAACTATCATCATAATCCAGTTTTAGAACATTACCTTCACCCTTCAAAATTTCCTCCAACCCATTTGCAGTCAATCCCTGCTCCCACTTTCAGCCTCAGGCAGCCACTGATCTTCTTTCTATTTGTATAAATTTTACTTTCTGGACATTTCATAGATTATGTCTTTTAAAATCTAGCATAGTTTCCTTCTCTCTTCCCTCTTCCTCCTGCCATGTACTTATTTTTCTGTAGAATGCCCTGTTTTCTGAACTTTTCTGTTCACTTCTTTCTGGTGTCATTTAACTTGTTCCTTTATCCCCTTCTCCTCCACATTTCTTTTTTTTTATTTTATTATTATTATACTTTAAGTTTTAGGGTACATGTGCACAATGTGCAGGTTAGTTACATATGTATACATGTGCCATGCTGGTGTGCTGCACCCATTAACGCGTCATTAAGCATTAGGTATATCTCCTAATGCTATCCCTCCCCCCTCCCCCCCCACCCCACAACAGTCCCCAGAGTGTGATGTTCCCCTTCCTGTGTCCATGTGTTCTCATTGTTCAATTCCCACCTATGAGTGAGAACATGCGGTGTTTGGTTTTTCGTCCTTGCGATAGTTTACTGAGAATGATGATTTCCAATTTCATCCATGTCCCTACAAAGGACATGAACTCATCATTTTTTATGGCTGCATAGTACTCCATGGTGTATATGTGCCACATTTTCTTAATCCAGTCTATCATTGTTGGACATTTGGGTTGGTTCCAAGTCTTTGCTATTGTGAATAGTGCCACAATAAACATACATGTGCATGTGTCTTTATAGCGGCATGATTTATAGTCCTTTGGGTATATACCCAGTAATGGGATGGCTGGGTCAAATGGTATTTCTAGTTCTAGATCCCTGAGGAATCGCCACACTGACTTCCACAATGGTTGAACTAGTTTACAGTCCCACCAACAGTGTAAAAGTGTTCCTATTTCTCCACATCCTCTCCAGCACCTGTTGTTTCCTGACTTTTTAATGATTGCCATTCTAACTGGTGTGAGATGGTATCTCGTTGTGGTTTTGATTTGCATTTCTCTGATGGCCAGTGATGATGAGCATTTTTTCATGTGTCTTTTGGCTGCATAAATGTCTTCTTTTGAGAAGTGTCTGTTCATATCCTTCACCCACTTGTTGATAGGGTTGTTTGTTTTTTTCTTGTAAATTTGTTTGAGTTCATTGCAGATTCTGGATATTAGCCCTTTGTCAGATGAGTAGATTGCAAAAATTTTCTCCCATTCTGTAGGTTGCCTGTTCACTCTAATGGTAGTTTCTTTTGCTTTGCAGAAGCTCTTTAGTTTAATTAGATCCCATTTGTCAATTTTGGTTTTTGTTGCCATTGCTTTTGGTGTTTTGGACATGAAGTCCTTGCCCATGCCTATGTCCTGAATGGTAATGCCTAGGTTTTCTTCTAGGGTTTTTATGGTTTTAGGTCTAACATATAAATCTTTAATCCATCTTGAATTAATTTTTGTATAAGGTGTAAGGAAGGGATCCAGTTTCAGCTTTCTCCATATGGCTAGCCAGTTTTCCCAGCACCATTTATTAAATAGGGAATCCTTTCCCCATTTCTTGTTTTTCTCAGGTTTGTCAAAGATCAGATAGTTGTAGATATGCGGCGTTATTTCTGAGGGCTCTGTTCTGTTCCATTGATCTATATCTCTGTTTTGGTACCAGTACCATGCTGTTTTGGTTACTGTAGCCTTGTAGTATAGTTTGAAGTCAGGTAGCATGATGCCTCCAGCTTTGTTCTTTTGGCTTAGGATTGGCTTGGCGATGCGGGCTCTTTTTTGGTTCCATATGAACTTTAAAGTAGTTTTTTCCAATTCTGTGAAGAAAGTCATTGGTAGCTTGATGGGAATGGCATTGAATCTATAAATTACCTTGGGCAGTATGGCCATTTTCATGATATTGATTCTTCCTACCCATGAGCATGGAATTTTCTTCCATTTCTTTGTATCCTCTTTTATTTCATTGAGCAGTGGTTTGTAGTTCTCCTTGAAGAGGTCCTTCACGTCCCTTGTAAGTTGGATTCCTAGGTATTTTATTCTCTTTGAAGCAATTGTGAATGGGAGTTCACTCATGATTTGGCTCTCTGTTTGTCTGTTATTGGTGTATAAGAATGCTTGTGATTTTTGTACATTGATTTTGTATCCTGAGACTTTGCTGAAGTTGCTTATCAGCTAAAGGAGATTTTGGGCTGAGACGATGGGGTTTTCTAGATATACAATCATGTCATCTGCAAACAGGGACAATTTGACTTCCTCTTTTCCTAATTGAATACCCTTTATTTCCTTCTCCTGCCTAATTGCCCTGGCCAGAACTTCCAACACTATGTTGAATAGGAGTGGTGAGAGAGGGCATCCCTGTCTTGTGCCAGTTTTCAAAGGGAATGCTTCCAGTTTTTGCCCATTCAGTTTGATATTGGCTGTGGGTTTGTCATAGATAGCTCTTTTTATTTTGAGATATGTCCCATCAATACCTAATTTATTGAGAGTTTTTAGTATGAAGGGTTGTTGAATTTTGTCAAAGGCCTTTTCTGCATCTGTTGAGATAATCATGTGGTTTTTGTCTTTGGTTCTGTTTATATGCTGGATTACATTTATTGATTTGCATATATTGAACCAGCCTTGCATCCCAGGAATGAAGCCCACTTGATCATGGTGGATAAGCTTTTTGATGTATTGCTGGATTTGGTTTCCCAGTATTTTATTGAGTATTTTTGCATCAATGTTCATCAAGGATATTGGTCTAAAATTCTCTTTTTTGGTTGTGTCTCTGCCTGGTTTTGGGTGTCAGGATGACGCTGGCCTCATAAAATTAGTTAGGAAGGATTCCCTCTTTTTCTATTGATTGGAATAGTTTCAGAAGGAATGGTACCAGTTCCTCCTTGTACCTCTGGTAGAATTTGGCTGTCAATCCATCTGGTCCTGGACTCTTTTTGGTTGGTAAACTATTGATTATCGTCACAATTTCAGAGCCTGTTATTGGTCTATTCAGAGATTCAACTTCTTCCTGGTTTAGTCTTGGGAGGGTGTATATGTCGAGGAATTTATCCATTTCTTCTAGATTTTCTAGTTTATTTGCATAGAGGTGTTTGTAGTATTCTCTGATGGTAGTTTGTATTTCTGTGGGATCAGTGGTGATATCCCCTTTTTCATTTTTTATTGTGTCTATTTGATTCTTCTCTCTTTTTTTCTTTATTAGTCTTGCTAGCAGTCTATCAATTTTATTGATCCTTTCAAAAAACCAGCTCCTGGATTCATTGATTTTTTGAAGGGTTTTTTGTGTCTCTATTTCCTTCAGTTCTGCTCTGATTTTAGTTATTTCTTGCCTTCTGCTAGCTTTTGAATGTGTTTGCTCTTGCTTTTCTAGTTCTTTTAATTGTGATGTTAGGGTGTCAATTTTGGATCTTTCCTGCTTTCTCTTCTGGGCATTTAGTGCTATAAATTTCCCTCTACACACTGCTTTGAATGTGTCCCAGAGATTCTTGTTCTCGTTGGTTTCAAAGAACATCTTTATTTCTGCCTTCATTTCGTTATGTACCCAGTAGTCATTCAGGAGCAGGTTGTTCAGTTTCCATGTAGTTGAGCGGTTTTGAGTGAGTTTCTTAATCCTGAGTTCTAGTTTGATTGCACTGTGGTCTGAGAGACAGTTTGTTGTAGTTTCTGTTCTTTTACATTTGCTGAGGAGTGCTTTACTTCCAACTATGTGGTCAATTTTGGAATAGGTGTGGTGTGGTGCTGAAAACAATGTATATTCTGTTGATTTGGGGTGGAGAGTTCTGTAGATGTCTATTAGATCTGCTTGGTGCAGAGCTGAGTTCAATTCCTGTGTATCCTTGTTAACTTTCTGTCTTGTTGATCTGTCTAATGTTGACAGTGGGGTGTTAAAGTCTCCCATTATTAATGTGTGGGAGTCTAAGTCTCTTTGTAGGTCACTCAGGACTTGCTTTATGAATCTGGGTGCTCCTGTATTGGGTGCATGTATATTTACGATAGTTAGCTCTTCTTGTTGAATTGATCTCTTTACCATTATATAATGGCCTTGTTTGTCTCTTTTGATCTTTGTTGGTTTAAAGTCTGTTTTATCAGAGACTAGGATTGCAACCCCTGCCTTTTTTTGCTTTCCAGTTGCTTGGTAGATCTTCCTCCATCCTTTTATTTTGAGCCTATGTGTGTCTTTGCACGTGAGATGGGTTTCCTGAATACAGCACACTGATGGGTCTTGACTCTTTATCCAATTTGCCAGTCTGTGTCTTTTAATTGGAGCATTTAGTCCATTTACATTTAAAGTTAATATTGTTATGTGTGAATTTGATCCTGTCATTATGATGTTAGCTGGTGATTTTGCTCGTTAGTTGATGCAGTTTCTTCCTAGTCTTGATGGTCTTTACATTTTGGCATGATTTTGCAGCAGCTTGTACTGGTTGTTCCTTTCCATGTTTAGTGCTTCCTTCAGGAGCTCTTTTAGGGCAGGCCTGGTGGTGACAAAATCTCTCAGCATTTGCTTGTCTGTAAAGTATTTTATTTCTCCTTCACTTATGAAGCTTAGTTTGGCTGGATATGAAATTCTGGGTTGAAAATTCTTTTCTTTAAGAATGTTGAATATTGGCCCCCACTCTCTTCTGGCTTGTAGAGTTTCTGCTGAGAGATCAGCTGTTAGTCTGACGGGCTTCCCTTTGTGGGTAACCCGACCTTTCTCTCTGGCTGCCCTTAACATTTTTTCCTTCATTTCAAGTTTGGTGAATCTGACAATTATGTGTCTTGGAGTTGCTCTTCTTGAGGAATATCTTTGTGGTGTTCTCTGTATTTCCTGAATCTGAACATTGGCCTGCCTTGCTAGATTGGGGAAGTTCTCCTGTATAATATCCTGCAGTGTTTTCCAACTTGGTTCCATTCTCCCCATAACTTTCAGGTACAGCAATCAGACATAGATTTGGTCTTTTCACATAGTCCCATATTTCTTGGAGGCTTTGTTCATTTCTTTTTATTCTTTTTTCTCTAAACTTCCCTTCTCACTTCATTTCATTCATTTCATCTTCCATCACTGATACCCTTTCTTCCAGTTGATCGCATCGGCTCCTGAGGCTTCTGCATTCTTCACGTAGTTCTCGAGCCTTGGCTTTCAGCTCCATCAGCTCCTTTAAGCACTTCTCTGTATTGGTTATTCTAGTTATACATTCGTCTAAATTTTTTTCAAAGTTTTTAACTTCTTTGCCTTTGGTTTGAATTTCCTCCTGTAGCTCAGAGTAGTTTGATTGTCTGAAGCCTTCTTCTCTCAACTCGTCAAAGTCATT